>NC_000008.11:108214222-109464222 GCF_000001405.40 Homo sapiens
ATGTAGTGGTCTTTCAACAGAATTTCCAATTTAATGGGTATCTCCTTTGTACTGTTGTTGAAAACCATTTTAGAAATGTTTACTACACTTTTCTCCTTACGTAAAGGTACAAGAGTATTTACTCTTCAATAAGGTAACTGATAATCATATATTGCCTTCAACTTAGTATTTTGAAAAATTATGCCACTCAAGCTAAAACTATCTGAGCCTGTAGCAAAAGTTAGGTTTTTAAATAATTTTATCAAATTGTTTCATTGTTCTTCTGAAAGCAAAAATAAATAAAAATCCAATTAACTGGAATTCTATTAAGTGTAAATTCACAATAAATGGAAATTTCCAGGAATTTTAAAGTAGAAAATCCAAATCAAATCACGGTGTTCTTACTTAATGCTGATACACTGGTGGATGCGACAGAAAGTCTCAAATATGAAGAGACGGGCATTTTCAATGAAATCCTCAAGACAAGCCACCAAGAAGAAGTCATTCACAAGCACCTATATGTACAAATACAACAAAAATTAATGATGCTGACAAGCAATTGCCTGAAACGTGAATCAAATACTTTATCTGCTTTATTTTTCCATTCTACAATCATGAGTTTTATACCACAGCACTTTCTAGAACACTGTGTTCAAATCTTTAATGATTTAAATAAGTAGTAAACGAATACCACAAGATAAAGACCTAAAAACTGCAATGTTTCTGATAACTTTAATAAAGTAGCCTTCTGACAACAAAGTTTGGTACTATCCATTATTCTACATAAATGCTCTGCAGATAATGTTATCTCTTCCAACTATTTAAAATAATTATAAATGGACTACAAGCTCGGAGTATTTCTACAATATTAAGTAGACTTAGAAATTAGAAGGAAAAGAATGCAAAAGGTGGCTACTATTCCACAGATGGTGTAATTAAGAGAGAATATTTTAATTTCAAGAACAGCAACCAAGTACCCTCTAGGTCTTTTAACATCAAAACCTAGACACTTAGCATAATGAATATACGCCAATATTTACCTTAATAATGCAATATATGACTACAAAAAAAAACACCAATTACCATATTGGATTCTAATTTTCTATTCCATCTAATGTTTGAAAATCATCAGGGAGGCCAGGTGCGGTGGCTGACGCCTGTAATCCCAGCACTTTGGGAGGCCGAGGTGGGCAGATCACAAGATCAGGAGATCGAGACCATCCTGGCTAACATGGTGAAACCCTGTCTCTACTAAAAATACAAAAAATTAACCGGGCGTGGTGGTGGGCGCCTATGGTCCCAGCTACTTGGGAGGCTGAGGCAGGAGAATGGTGTGAACCCGGGAGGTGGAGTTTGCAGTGAGCCGGGATCATGCCACTGCACTCCAGCCTCGGCAACAGAGTGAGACTCTGTCTGAAAAAAAATAAAATAAGAAAATCATCAGGGAATGGATATTTGCATGATCATTTTTTTCCTTAGAGAAGTAAGATATTTGTCAACAAATTGCCCATTTTGTGCCAAAATTTTGGTTCCAAGGGTGAAACTGATAACCAGTAACTTGTGAATCTGGTAAATGCAACTACATTTAGCAGTTAGAATTCTTAGTTTAGTTTCTTAAAACTTGTAAACTAATTATTCAAAACAACTATAAGTCTTCCATTTGCTCTAAAGGTACTTTAATTTCTACTAAACAATAAGAGACACCGCCGTTATAAAATTCGTAATTACAATGAATTGCCTGGTTTATCACAAATGTTAAATACAACCATGGGAAATATTCTAAAGATAAGCCCATCTATGAACCAAAATTAAAAACACAGTTGTTATTTGCAATTCAAAGTGACCTTGCCTGTACATATGAAATATTAAAAATATTCATTCGAGATTTAAGACATGAAATTATGGATATGTCTGTAAATTTAAATTACCCCCAATGTTTTAACAAACTCCCTCACAAAAGGGATAAACACATGGCAACAACATTAAAAAAGTCATCACTCTAGCACATTCCCATTTTAAGATTAATAAACACAAGCCATTTAAGCCATTTTAAGGTTAATAAACATGAGCCATTTAGGCCTTTTTAAGATTAATAAGCATATTTCCGTTATAATTACTTCATTACTTTAAGGAAGACACTGCAAGATTAACGTTACAATATCCAAAAATTTAAGAATAGTATTAGTTTATAAATAAAAATTCACACTTACTGATTCACATTCCCTCAGCTTTTTCTGAGCCCCATCAAAGTCAAAGTTAACATATAAACATTCAACAAATTCTGTAATTGGGTCTTTATATGTGTAAGACTCCTGTAAAAATAAGTCAACGGTCAAGGTAAGTCTGATTCAACATTGTTTAGCAGATTGCCCCAGAATATCCCAATCTTCTTGTTTTCTCCTTCTTTACCATTAATTTCTAGCCAAATTACCTAGCATCTTCCCAAAACAATTGTTCCTATCCTGATTCCAGACCACACCTTAAGCTTATTATGTCTTTCAAACCAAGTTCTCTAAAGTCTCATCCTAGAAGCATTCTGAAAGCTTTCAAATTCCTCTACTACCAAAAGTCTCCCTTGGTCAATAAACAGTAATAAACTTCCCCAATCATAAGGGTATTCATTCCCTACTGAATGACAATAACTTCTTTGTATTTAATACACTCTTAAATAAATATTTAAGTTATATTTCTAATCTACGGGTTTTGCTGACAAGCTCACTAAATATCAATCAGCATGGCTGCCTGAAACCTTTTGCCCAACTTGGGGTCTATTGAAACGGTATTGTATATAAAGTTCACCCATGTAGAATTACACAGGTAATGACCCCCACCTCCAGGTTCCAGATTTTCTTCACTCTTTGCAATAAGAGAAACACATACACATAATGTATATATTAAGTGTTCATCTAGCAGACAGTAATAATCATTCCTACCACATCCAACTTGTGTATCTTGGACTTAAGGAAAACAAAAGCCCATTTGAGGGTCTTCTCTTTTCTAAACTTCAAGTATTCCTTCCACCTATTTTTAAAAACGTTTGTACCTTAAGAACTAAGTCTTACCTTAGAAAAAGAGGTTAGACCTAAAGCTTAGGTATTTAAAAAAAAAAATCAATATATATTTTAGTTTTACCTGTTGAATAACTTTAACTAGATCTTTTAGAACCTGCCGACGTTTTCGAACATCCTTGTTTGTTATGACTGCTGTAGTCAAATAGCGAAGAATGTGTGGACACATTGTCTGAATTGCATTAAGATATCTAAGAAAAAATATAAAAGTTATTTAATAACTTACCCAGGGTGAGATAAAGAAAACTCTCGAGCAGGTCATTAGATTGTACTATTTCACTAGCCTAAGACTGCAAACACTTAAGAATGAGTATTATAAGAAAATCTCCTCCAAGGAAATTTAAAAACAGAATCCAGTTTCAGGAATCCAAATGAGGAGAATGCTAGCCACTATTTCTTTAATATGGGGTGAGATGGAAGACTCAATCAAGAGGCTAATTATCCTATTATTATTTTTGAGTAACAGGATTTTGCAAGGTTCATTGACATGCTGTCAGTCTGTTCCAAAAGGCTACTAAGCGATGACTTTCATTCACCCATTAGAAAAAAATGTGTGAAAACCTATGTGCAAAGCACTCATACTAATGAGAAAATCAGCCACTTAAATTAAATAATTCAGGGGATGAAAGACTGGAAGCAACGGGGAAGGAATATTACAATATTACAAGACATTGGTTAAAGTGGTAGCAGTAGGAATTAGGAAGGAATAGATGTCAGGTAAACATTAACAGGGTCTTGGCTAATATTTAGCAAATCTTGCTGTTGTGATGATCAACATGGGACAATGCCCTGTAATTAGGTGTTTACCCTTATTTCTCCTGCTTAATTTCCTCAAATAGCTCCCTATTTATTTACCCAATAAATACTAATTTAGCACCTCTGAGGGCCAGACACTATACATATCTCAGAATTATCTGTCAATAAAGTCCATTTCTTTTAGGTGAATATTCAAGCCCCAAATTATCCATCCAGCTACATCTCCCATCACACTACCATTGACAGCTTCCTCTCTCTTTTCTTCAAGTTCACTCCACACAGATTGGTCTCCCAAATACATACCCCTGAAAGCCTAAATCCTAGCCATCCTTCAAGGTCCAGCTTCAATACCTTATCTTCTAAGTTCCCCCAGGCAATGATGAGTAAATCTGTATTTTATTATATTATAGATTCCCACAAAATGTTGTTTAAACTCTTTAGAGGACCCTAGAATTGAACACTTAATAATATCTAGTCCCACTTAGCCACCCTGAATGCCCTCTAAACGAGGTGAAGTATAAAAAGAATATCCACTCAAGAATAAATAATTTCTAGGAAAAGACACCAAAAACACACTGGCTAAATTACATCATCTGAAAAATTAAGCTTGAGTTAGAAATGAAAATTTTGTATTGCAATACTCATTTAGAACAATTACTTCTCTTGCCAGAGAGCTCAGGTACAAACACAGGAAAGCATGATTGTTTCTCTTACTATCAGTTTTAAAGTAGGTGATTTTATTTTTTTATTTTATTTCTTTTTTTTTTTTTTTTTTTGAGACGAAGTCTCACTCTGTCTCCTAGGCTGGAGTGCAGTGGCACCATCTCAGTTCACTGAAACCTCCGCTTCCCAGATTCAAGAGATTCTCCTGCCTCAGCCTCCCGAGTAGTTGGAACTACAGGTGCACACCACCACACCTGGCTAACTTTTTTGTATTTTTAGTAGAGATGGGGTTTCACCGTGTTGGCCAGGCTGGTCTCGAACTGCTGAGTCAAGTGACCTGCCTGCCTTGGCCTCCCAAAGTGCTGGGATTACAGGCATGAGCCACTCCACTCAGACAAAGTAGGTCATTTTAGTGCACGTTTATGAGACTCATCATTAATTTATCTAAAATCAATTTATACATAAATAGTTCTATAAGTTTGTTGTATAGTGTGTTCAACTCATAGTTATTTTTACTTATCCTGAGTTTATACCATTGCTCCATATACATCTTAATTATTTTTACTGGAGGATTACTTATTTGGGAAATCTACTCTTTGTTTCTGTGAGTGTATTTCAGAAGCCAGCAAAATTTTTGTAAAGAACCAGATAGTAAACATTTTTGGCTTTGTGGGCAAGAGGCAAATTCAGAATATTATGCCAGATACTTCTATAAAAAGAGAGGAAACAAATTTCCAAAATATAGGTCTGCTAATGAGACCAATGGAATTCTTTCACTGGGAATAATTTTGCTTAATTAATTTCAAATTTAGAGGTCCATATCATTAAAAAGTATTGCAAATGTTTTTCTGATAATGTAATCTGTAATGAGATTTTACATATTTAGTCCTTGAAAATGTAAAAACGGCCAGGTGCCATGACTCATGCCTGTAATCCCAACCCTTTGGGAGGCCGAGGTGAGAGGACTGCTTGAGCCCAGGAGTTCAAGACTAGCCTGGGCAACATAGTGAAACCTTGTCTCTACAAAAAATAATAATAATAAAATTGAGGTGGAGGATCACCTGAGCTTAGGAGGTCGAGGCTGCAATAAGCCGTTACTGCACCACTGCACTTCCAACCTGGGTGACAGAGCAAGACCCTGCCTCAAAAAAAGAAAGAAAAAAGAAAATGTAGGCGGGGCATGGTGGCTCATGCCTGTAATCCTAGTGCTTTGGGAGGCCGAGGTGGGTGGATCACTTGAGGTCAGGAGTTTGACATCAGCCTGGCCAACACGGTGAAACCCTGTCTCTACTAAAAATACAAAAATTACCCAGGTGTGGAGGCAGGCACCTGTAATCCCTGCTACTCAGGAGGCTGAGGCAAGAGAATCACTTGAACCCGGGAGGTGGAGGTTGCAGTGAGCTGAGATGGTGCCACTGCACTCCAGGCCTGGGCGACGGAGCAAGACTCCATCTCCCAAAAAAAAAAAAAAGGAAAATGTAAAAACATGCACAGGCACTAGTAAATGCTGACATCAAACACCAACTGACAAGCATATTATTTTAATTGAGCACATTTAGAAAGACATGTACAATTCTATTATTTTGGTATTATCTTTTAGCGTGTCATCACATTGCAGATTAATCACTTTCAATTCAACTGTAGTTAAATTTTGAAATATAGAAATTTCCTTCATACTTGCAATGAGGTCTAAAACTTTCTGCAACTATAATTTGAACTTGGAAATGCATCTGCTACAATCCTATTTAGCAATGAAGGTCTCCCTTTGTGTTTTAACTTCTGACAGAACACAAAATGTGTAAAGCAGCTGGCTTTTTATTACTTATGATTCATACCATGTTGTCACTGAAATGACTTTACTGCAATATAAATTCTACATATAAACACTTTTGTTTTGCAATTTTAGATGGCACAAACTAAGAAACATTATCAAGTCTGCTGCAAAAGTTAACTTCCAGAGCCATTCAGTGTTTGATAACGGGTTGGGGGCACTTTCAATCTCTCCCCAGATCAACATGCTGTCAATATCCTCAACTCAGAGCAACTGTTCTCGCTGAAAGGTTAATAGTTTTAAACAAGTTTACTTCACTGGACAGATTTCTCTGGCTGCTAAAATCAAACATGTTTTAACTGGATCACCACTGGTAAATGACTTTCCTTACTTGGCTGATAAAAGTACTACACATGCCTGGGCGTAGTGGTGTGAGCCTATAGTCCCAGCTACTCAGGAGGCTGAATTGGGAGGAAGGATCATCTGAGCCCAGGGAGTGAGTGAACCGAGGCTGCAGTAAGCCAAGATTCCACCACTGCACTCCAGACTGGGCGACAGAGCGAGACATGGACAGACAGGAAAGGACAGGACAGGACAGGACAGGATGAAAAGAAAAAGAAAAAGAACTGGGAATGAAAAGAAAAGGGAAAGGAAAAGAAAGAAAAGGAAAGAAAGAAAAGAAAAGAACCCCTCAGACACTTAACTGAAAAAAAAATTTTAGAGCAGGGTCTCATTCTGTCACCCAGGCTGAAGTGCAGTGAAATGATCACTACTCAGTCTCCCAGGCTCAACTGATCCTCCTGCCTTAGCCTAAGTGATAGGGCTATGGGCATGAGGCAATGCTCTGGGCTAGAAATTTTGATGCCTCACTTTCATTAATTTTTGTGAAAAAATTCTGCTGGGATCTAATATTCCATTTCTAAAGGTTATAATTTTTCTGACAGTTGCTTTCCTGTCAGTTTGAGAACATGTGACAGTTGTGATAAGTGATTATAGTCCGGTAATGTGGATGTATATTATTAGCTTACCTACAGTGTCAGTTTAGTACTTTGCTTTGTAATTCCTACAATAAAAATCTCCACTCCACTGTGCTTTATAATCATAGTCGAAGTTCACTTCTCTGTTTTGACACGGTAAATAAGCACTGGTAATAAAATAACATATAAATAAAATGTTGCAGTGTGACAATATGGGGCTTGAGAAACACTGTCCAGGTATAACTGGCATCACTTGGATTTGTAGTAAACTGAGAAGAGTATGAGGTGGCAAAAGTGCAACATATCATCTCTGTCTCAACTACTTAGATCTACCATTAGAGCTCAAAAGCTGCCAGACTACACACACACGCACACACACACACACACAAAGTGGCTGTTTTCCAATAAAAAGTTATGAACACTAAAACTGAAATTTCATGTCATTTTCACATCACAAAATATTATTATTCTTTTCACATTTTTTTAGCCAATTAAAATATGAAAGCCATTCTAGACTGCCAGACATATAAAAACAGGCTGTGGGCCAGATTTTAGCCCATGGTCCATAGTTTGCAGATCCTTGGTATACAGTATCACCATGGCTCCAGGCGTTTTTACTTTTTAGAGATGGAATCTGACTCTGTCCCCTAGGCTGGAGTGCAGTGTTACAGTCATAGTTCACTACAGCCTTTAACTCCTGGACTCAAACCATCCTCCTGCCCCAACCTCCCAAGTAGTTGGGGCCACAGGAGTGAATCACAATGCCCAGCTAATTTCTAAAAAAATGTTTTAGAGATAGGTCTCACTATGTTACCCAGGCAGGCTTCAAAACCCCTGGCTTCAAGCGATCTTCCTGTCCCAGCCTTCCAAGTAGCTGGGATTACAGGGAGGAGCTACCATGCCCAGCCAGACTTTGAAACATGGCAGACTCCCTACCTTACAGGGCAAAAGTGATCCATCCTGTATATAAACATTTAGGTGTGTATGCATCTATATATAGATAAGGAGAGGAAGGAATAGGAGTGGAGATTAGAGGTGATTATTTTGTTATCTCAATTCACATTCTTGAAGGATCAGCAATTAAAAACTTACTTCAAACATGACCAAAACCACAGGTATATATTTTAACAGTTAGCCTACCAATGACCAATGTGCTCTTTTGTTTTACTTCCCTGGCTTATCTCTCTTCTCTGTCCAACCAAATTTAAGACAGATCAATTTTTATCTTCAAGGACTGGATGCTTCTAACTTCTCCAGTATTTAGCATGTACAATACCACTGTATGTACTTATTAGACATGCTCTTGTATTACTTATTATGTTACTCGTTTGAATTCTAAGCTGTGTAATAGCAGGCTATACTTCTCATAGTTTTGAAATCAAATTTTCTTAGTTTTTTTTTTTTTTTTTTTTTAAATAACAGACTCAGTATTTGTGCTATGAAGTGAAATTTCAAGCTAGGTAAGTAAAATGTTTTAGTTTATTTTTTCATTCTAGCACAATCTTCCCCAACTGTACAGCTTTATGGGAGTTTTCCTACAGTGTTTCATAATTAAACACAGAAAATTTAATAATCAAAACATAAAATATGCCACCAAATTAAAAATACTTAAGTATCTACTATGTGCTACAAGAACATGAAAAATGACAACTCTGTCTGTAACTATGCTTACAAGTTGGGGAGATGAAGCTATTATAAGTTTTGTTTATTTTAACAGCTTTAAGTAACTAAACACCAAATACAAGCTAAACAAAATACACTGAAATGACTTCACGAAGGAAGTAAATCTGAGCTGGACCTTAAAAACAGATAGGTTTTGGACAAGAAAGAACAAAAAGGGAAGTGCATTTCATGAAGGACAGGCTTTAAAAAGAGAAAAACAAAAACACAGGTAGGACACTAAGTAGACCTCCAGATGAGGACCTTGGAGGTCATCCTGAGTGAGCTAAAGCAGGTAAACTATCTGCACGACAAAGAGTTTTTTTTACCAGGAACTAATTAGAAAATATAAGGAAAATAACAGCAGGAAAGGTCTGTCTGTACAAATTCTGGACATCACATAGTGGATTGGTTAATAGTAAAACTTGAAATTTCTTAGAAAATTCAGATTATTTTTATTGAGAAAACAAAATACTCTTTTACTAACTGAACTTTGCATCTTTCTTTCTACAAGTGGAGAGTAATAGGGCATTGTATTACAAATGGATTCTTTTTCCTAACAGCATCTACATTTAGTGGCAAAGCCTCATCTCCGATAGCCTACGAACACTGCTCTATCTTACACCTGCCACCTTATCTTATATATTATGTTACATTTAAAAGTTCAACACTTTTCAAATGTGTAAATCATCTCCATTTTAGATTCAGAATAAATTATGGCAGAAATGGTAATATATGTGATGTAAGAGACTTTAACCTGCACTGGTATCTAAACTTTCATTTTAAGGACAAACGTATACATGATCTCTAACGTACTTTTATATTAAAAATAAAAAGTATGGCCAGGCACGGTGGCTCACACCAGTAATCCCAGCACTTTGGGATTCCAAGGTGGGCGGGTCACGAGGTCAGGAGATAGAGACCATCCTGGCTAACACGGTGAAACCCAATCTCTACTAAAAATACAAAAAAAAAAAGTAGCCAGGCGTGGTGGTGGGCGCCTGTAGTCCCAGCTACTCGGGAGGCTGAGGCAGGAGAATGGCGTGAACTCGGGAGGCAGAGCTTGAAGTGAGCCGAGATTGCGCCACTGCACTTCAGCCTGGGCGACAGAGTGAGACTCCGTCTCAAAAAAAATAAAAATAAAATAATTTTTAAAAATATGCAATTTACAATCTACATATAATATCCATTGAACATGCAATCAACCAACTACCTACTGTGCTATAAGAAATTAGAACTACTTTTTTCATAAATCTTAAACAGAGACAACTGAAAAACACATACTGATTATAGATATACAAATGCAAATCACACACAATCTCAACAGTAAATAGCTCTCCCACTTCAAGAATATGAAGTCCAGGAAATGGGTGAAACAATGATCTGTCAAGTCAACTGGGTATATTTCCATTAGGAAAAAAGTCAGAATCAAGCAAAAATCAAAATCAGGCAAGAAGACTTAACAAGACAGAAAATAAGACAGCAATCTGACCCTATAGCAAGTGAAAACAGTAAACACAGTACTTTTGTAAACAACTAAAAGTCATCATACTACTGAGTAGTTTTCTTTTCCACAGGCTGTTTCTGTTCAAAGAAAATAGTTCCACAGGCATGATGGTTCTTACTGGGGCAATAAAAATGTTCTAAAACTGACTTGTGATGGTTATATCACTCAGTTAAGTTACTAAAAATTACTAAACTATAAACAAACAAATTCTTCTTGTACTTTAGAGTAAATCAAAGCAGTGGCATCAAACTATACTAGCAGTCCCTATATTTTTCACCACCACACTTTTGCAGTTTTAAAAAACACACAAAAAGTTTCAACTATGTCCTTGAATCACGTAGCCCAAATTAATTTTTAAAAACTTCAACCCTTAAGTACTAATCTTTCTAGTCTTCTGTATGACTAAATGGTAAGTATTCATAAAGTGCTTCTGCTGTATACACACTTCACTGTCACGGCTGTCCTTAAGGAAAAGCACTTGTGCAACTGAGAAACAAGATGAACCAGCTGCTTTTCTCACAGAACACTGTTTTTACTTGAAAGAATGGCAGACAAACTAAAGCTATTCAGACATTCAGACTTGGGAATTTGCCAGACATTTTCTAGAAAATGAAGTGAGCCTGTCCTTCAAGAAAAACAAATGATAAAATTAGAGCTTTCAAGAAAAACTAGAATTTTGGAAAATTTGTATCAGCCACTGGGAGCTTGAAAGCTTTCCAATGCTTAAACCCGTTTCTATGGGTCTGGTAGTGATGTTCATGAATGTGGTTTTTCTGGTGTTGTATAATGTCAACACACTGGAATACCTGCATAACTCACTGGACCAGTAAGTATTTCCCAAACAACCAATGAATGATACTATAAAATCATGCATGGGTAAAAAAGATCCATTCCAAGTGCAAGATAGCTCAATACAGTCTAGAATACCAGTACAGCTTAGGATCCCAAAAAGTTTAACCACATGGTTTCAGATTCTACATTACAAACAACCTTTTAAAAACTATTTCTTGTTGAGTTTTATTTTATCTGTACTTCTTACTGAATTTTACTGTATCTTCAAAAAAGAATATTCACAATTATCGGAAAAGGATATTATTAATAAAACACACCTTTCTTTTCCAACTACATGTGTGAAGCTAGGTTTTTCATCCTACAGTTAAAGCACATCACAACAGACTGCAAGAAAGCAGGCATGAAAACCCAGTTGTCAATTAACCCAGCAACTGAAGGTCTGCAAAAATGTAAAGCAATGTCACTCTTCTCACTAATTTTGTTTTCAAAGTTACTTTCGTTAAAATTCTATTATGTGTTAAATTGAATCAATTTACCATTTATTAATGAGAAAATTTTTAATTTGTTTTGATTTTTAATACAGTTAAGTCCTTAACATAATCGGTACCTTCTTGGAAACTACGACTTTAAAACCAAGTAACATTCTTTCATTATGAAGCTGTTGAGAAAGAAAATTGTTTCATTATTCATTGTTTTGCTTAGAGATGCAGTTTCCAAGAACCTAGAGACAATATTGAGGACTTACTGTATACACCAAGAGATAAAACCAATGCAAAGAAAATTACATTCAATAATTCTTTTTTTTTTTTTTTTTTTGAGACGGAGCTTCACTCTTGTTGCCTAGGCTGGAGTGCAATGGTGTGATCTAGGCTCACTGCAACCTCCACCTCCCAAACTCAAGCAATTCACCTTCCTCAGCCTTCTGAGTAGCTGGGATTACAGGTGCCTACCACCACGTGGGGCTAATTTTTTGTATTTTTAGTAGAGATGGAGTTTCACCACGTTGACCATGGCTGGTCTCGAACTCCTGACCTCAGGTGATCCACCCACCTCGGCCTTCCAAAGTGCTGAAATTACAGGCGTAAGCCACTGCGCCCGGCCTACATTCAATAATTCTTAACAGTGTAAACGGGTTCCAAGACCAAAATGTTTAAGAAGCACTGGCTGGTAAAAATACTCCCAAATATAATTTTAATATCATTTTTCTCTTCCTTCCAAATATCCAATGGCTTTTCAGTGTATATCTATCTAACTTTAATGTTTGAGGAGGAAGGCTTTACTGGATGTTCAAATAAGGGATTTTTTGCCCCACAAAGTTAGGATATATTCCCATATGCACACACTTTTTAAATACTGACCAATACATTCATCAGGACCCATAATCCTGTTAATGGAATCATTTAAAAACAAAGCAAAACCCCCCATGATTCCTCCCTCAGTTAACTGATCTGATAATGCCACACAGGGTATTTCAGATTTTGGAGGATATCAGCCAAGTATATAGTATTTCCTAATGATTTAGAATTCTTATTATTTCATTTGTCATATGAAACCATTTTCATTTCTACAAGATAAAATGTAATGAAACTATAAAATCTTCATTTAGATGAACAAATAGTAAAAGTATGAACTAAGACTGTTAATGTAGGGCTGGGCCCAGTGGCTCATGCCTGTAATCTCAGCACTTTGGGAGGCTGAGGTAGGAGAACTGCTTGAGCTCAGGAGTTTGAGACCAGCCTGCACAACACGGTGAAACCCTGTCTTACAAAAAATAGAAAAATTAGCCAGGCATGGTGGCATGTGCCTGTAGTCCCAGCTACTTGGGAGGCTGACGGGGGAGGATGGCTTGAGCCTGGGAGGTAGAGGCTGCAGTCAGGCAAGATAATGCCGCTGCACTCCAGTCTGGGCAACACAGCCAGACATTATCTAAAAAAAAAAGTGTTATTGTAAAATTTGCCCAATAATATAGTCAATACAATATAACTCATACCATGAAGCAACTGCTAAAATTGCTACTGCAATCTTAGGCTATATTAGTAAAAGCATACATACAAGTAACATGAGCTAATATTGCCACTGTAATCTATAAAGTTTAGATGACAATCCTAGAATAAAATTTCAATTATGAACATCTAGATTGTAAGAATATGAATAGAAATTATCTAAAAAGGCAATCAAAATACTAAAGGGTCTGAAAAACTGTGTTACTTAATAAAACTAGAGATATTTAGCCTGAAGGAAGCAGAGAGGAGTAAAAAATTATCTTAAAACATCTAAAGAGTTTCCATGAAGCAGTCTTGTTTTCTGTCATTCCAAACAAACAAGAAATAATGGGCAGAAGTTTCAGAGGTATTTGAGTTCCACTGGAAGAGTAAATTTTACAAATAATTTCTAGCTTACAAAAGAATGGTCTAGTTCATAAGCAGTGAATTTCTCATCACCAAAATATTAAACAAAAGCTAGTTGACAGAGCAAAGATGATATAAAAAGATGCACGTATTCCTTTCAAGTAGTATGCCCTAGAGCCTCATTTCTAAAGCTTTGATGTTTACATGAGTTACCTGGGATCTTATTAAAATGCAGATTCTAATTTAGTTCTAGGGTGAGTCCTGAGATTCTATATGATTTCTATGCTGCTGGCCCAGGGACCACACTTTAAATAGCACTTTAAAAGGCTTAGGGTACACTCTGTCAAATAGTTTACTTAAGAGTCACATGCATACTTTTCAGTAACAAGCAAATCTACTACATGAAGAAAAAAAAAAACAGGTGACAACAAATTCAAATGATAGAAAAAAGTATATTTTAAGTTTAAACAACTCCATGTAATTTTATCTAAACAAAGCCAAAATTACACAGTGAAATAACTTACTGTGGCTGATAAAGGAAGAGGTCAATAATATTATCGCGACCTTTGGGGTGATTGAAGAAAACAAACAGAGACCAGTGAATGAGCCATGTTCTCTGCTGAAGAGACTGAAGTGGAGAACTCACAGACTAAAGGATTTAAAAATATATACATAAAAAATATTAATATATAAGAAAGAGGCAGGAGGACAAACATCACTAACTTCAAAACTGTAATTAAAAATGAGCCCCTTCTAAGGCATGCACGGAGGTCATTATGATCAATGTCCGACCCCCTATGCCTTCTCTCTACATGATCCCTCGACATTCCAAATTATTACCCTGTTCTTAGAGACAGATTCAATAATGTCTACTGAAGACGCTCTAATTTATAAACTCTTACAGAAGTTATAAATTATAATCATTTCAGAAAACATTTTAAAAGCAAGAATTAAACTGAACATTTCATAGTAAGTGGTTTAATTAGATAATTGTAGATGAAAACTGTCTTCTGCATAGGACTTTCAATAATAGGTGGCACTAACAGCATAGTGTCATTTTGACTGGCATAGAAAAAAAGGGCACAGTAGCTGTAAAACAGAAATGAAGGCTACGTTTTTTCTCTAAGAGCCAAAAGAAGTCTGACAATTTCATTCAAGGAGATTCAAACTAGTCAAGCCACTAATCCACTATGATTTTTGTAAGGTCAACAAAAGCTAATATGAATTTTTTTTTTTAATTCCCAAAATGCATAGTGATTTTCCTCATCAGAAAGTGTGAAGGATACACAGATATTTCAGAGAATAACTGTGAAAAAGTCGAACTCACATTATTATCTATGGTCTCTTTTAACCGTGTAAGGTCTTCCATGGCTGCATCCCAATTCTGCATTAAGATTTCAGAGGCCAGCTTTCCCCAGAGTGAACTTAAAGCATTTCTATCTGTTGCTGGAACCTGTTTAAGAAATCATAATTAATTATATTGTGAATACTCTTGAAAAATGAACATAATGTATGTTTTATACCCATGTATCCCTCTAGCCTACTAAAAGACCTATAGCTTTCTACAAAAAACTGTAATTATCTAAGTCCTTATTGGATCACACTGGTTTGTTTCAAAAAACCTTTGCTAAAAATACTCAGGTCTTCAATAATCAGTCTAGATAAGAAAATAAAAAATAACTTTTATAACTAGGAAACAGCAGCATCATCTTACTATAACCCACTTCAGATAATTTATACATAACTAATCAAATTTCAGGCACCTAAAACTTCAGAAACCAAGTTAGATTTACATGTAATTTGTCACTAAAATCACTAGGATGAAGATGTGGAAAATCAAGACACGTGAGTCTCATTTACAATGTAATGAGAAATTATGTACAGAACCAAAAAATATTTCCAAATTATGACACAAATGGAAGTCAGTACGGAGAGAGGGAGACAGGAAAAAAGCAGGCCCACTGATTAACAATTAATAGTTATCAAAGGATTATGTACTGAGCAATACAAGTTAGTGTTCTCCTGTAATCCTAACAAAAACCCTATATTTTTTTATCCCCATTTCAAAATGGGAACTAATACATATAGAGTGTAACTTGCCCCAAATTACACTTCTAATCATGAAACCTATAAATTTTACACCACAGTCTTAACCTAAAAAAAGAGGGGACTAAGGGCCATCCCTACCTCTTCTATCCGCTGGTAAAAGAGTCACAAACTCAAAACATCCATAATGACCAGGCTAATAACAATGAGCAAAGCTGGACTCCCTCAAAACAAAGCAGCAGAAGTAGGTAAACTGACTCTGAACCGATCAGATGTGCTAAAGCAATAGAAGCAAGTAAGGGCAGTAGAGGGGGAAGAATACATGTCTACACCTCAAGATGAAATTTCAAATTTAATTTTTTACAGAAGCACTTTTACATAATAGTATAAATATCAAGAGATATCATAATTACAAGTTAAATTATATGTGCAGGATCAGAAATCCAATCAAGAATTCTGTCTCTACCACTTAACAGCTAGTTTGTACTTTAGCTTCCTCACTGCAACATGGGGATAGAACCCACCTCAGTTGTATAGTTTAAGTGACATAAGACATACAGGGATTACAATTATCACCTGATACAGAATAAGAACTTGGTAAATCTGAGTTACTGAAATGATGATGAAAATCATCGCAGAGATAGGTATACAGATTTACATATATTTACATATACATTTACATACGTAAATTTATATTTATCTATATGTAAATGTGTATACATATTTACAGATATATGATCTAAACATTGGGGACCACAATACAAACTCAGTCTATACTGAGATTCTTCCTTTCAAATGTACTAAATAACATTTGGCACACTAAGAGCAGGCAAATAACACAGGGAGTAGATGTGTAAATTAAATTTTGAACCACTCCTGGTTCTAGTTATTATCACAAAGTATATCCACAATACAACTTGTACATGCATATTCATACTAACTTTATTTTTAATAGGCAAAAACGAAAAGTAATCTAAATGTTCATCATCAATAGATGAATATATTAAACAGACCATGGTAAATTCACAGAATGAAATACTACTGAGCAATAAATAGAAACTAACTTCTGATACACACAATAACATGAACCTCAAAAACTTGCTGGTAAAAATAAGCCAAACACAAACATACATAGTACATCATTCCACTTACATACATAAAATTCTAGAACAGGCAAAACTAATCTACAGGGACAGAAAGCAGGTCAATGGATGCCCAGGACCATGGGTGGAGTATGGCCACAAAAGAACAAAAAGGGTCTTTCTGAGGTGACAGAAATGTTCTTTATCTTGACTTAATGTAGCCACACAAGTACACAAATGTTTCAAAATTCATTGAAAATTTAAAAACTGGTTTATCAAAATCCATAAAATAATTGTTCTAATTACAAAGGATAAAATGTTTAATTCTTATAAAGGATATCTGAATATAAAAATATATCATCGAGTCAAAAATGCCATCAATTTTAACATACATTATTATTTTATGTTTCTAAAACCAAAAACCCAGTAAAGACACTTTCTGATTTCAGATGTTAAAATATGCAAAACTATGCTTGAAGATCAATATTAAATGCACAATTCTTACAGTGACATCACAACAGGATACAACAGAGCCAGAATTTCAATCAAGATCCTAATGCCTCTAAAAATTATCATTACTCATACTGTCTTGAGCCTCAAGGAAAAATATTTTTAAATGAAGTGGTATATACAAACAGGAAATACATTTTACATCCTGAGGGAGGGAAAGAGACAGCTCCAAAAGTATAACAAATAGTCCTAGGAACTAAAATCACTTTTATTTCAAAGAGCTGCTGAATAAGGGAATGGGGTATATTATGGAGCCAGATCAAAGGCCACAATGAGGGAAAATTTTAACAAAATAATCAATAGTGCTAATAACTGTTAAAGCAAAAGTGTTCAAAAATTCCCACCAAACCAGCTTCGTCATTTTATTTCAATTAACACATTTCTTGGAGTATAAATCAAAGAAGTTTCACACCAAACAGAGTGTACCTGAACAATTCTCAATGTATTCTAAAATCCACGAGTCTTTTCTTTTTTTTTTTAAGGGCAGATTCTAGGGTCACACAGCTTTAATTTATACAACACTGACCTACAATAGGTCATTTGGAGAGTCAAATTCTAATCTCAGATCATAGTTACAATAGCTCTTTCATAGCTTATGTTTCCCTAACCACAGATTTAAAAGAATAATCAACCACCAGAAAAGTATTTAGAAATAAAAAAAGGCCACTGCAAAAAATAAAATTAATTAACTAAAAAGTAAAACACTGACATTTCTCATCCCAAATCCAAACAAGATTTTTAGATTTGCTATTAACAAAACTTCAAACAAATACACAGATCTTGTGGTAGTGGCTATCTAAATCAAAAGAAAAAGATATCTATTCTTTTAAGCTTGGCACTGTTAGCCTGCCAATATGCCAACAGGAAGCAACAAACTCTCGCCTAACACAAATGTTTTGTGGCTCAGACAGGACAAAAATTTTAAAACGAATTGAATGTAACTTTTTAGAATTTCCAGTAACTCTATGTTGACTGTTCTTGATGTAAAACATATTAACTTAGTGTTTGTATCACAGTATTCAATCACTTAATCAAAATATCATTTGAGTTCCAGCACAAGATTTGTTAGGGGCAATGCAAAAGTTTAAAACTAACCCTCAAATTTTTTTAAGACCGGGAATTAACTTGTATCGTCATATTTTAAAAAAATAAACATAAAAATTCACCAAACCTACAAGTACAAACCTGTCACTTGTAGAAATTTTCAGACTAATATAAAACCATACTACATAAATATAATACTATTAACACTAGAATGTGTTATATGTGTTAGAATAAAAGCTTTTTGTAGCAGTGTAGCAAGTTTTTTAATCCTCAAAAGGTTCATGTGTACTACTCTGGCTAAACTCCATGTCATTACAGTTGGCTCTTCATACTAACCTGCTTTCAAGGGTGGATATGCTAGAAGAGTTTCAATATCTGGATTTCCAGCAGTTACCTTAAGTTTCCATGTCTTAGCAAAATGGCACATTCACTCACTGACCAGCAACAATAAATTTACTGTGCTGGAACTCTAACATGACACTAAATCTTCATTCTCAAAATTCACTCCCAGCATTAACAAATGATATAAATAACCAACTCTTTTCATGTACCTGTAATCATACCAGGCTTCTGATTTTACAATCCGGGTTTAAGCTGTTTACATTTCCAAAGTAATCAACTTTTGCTCTCCTAAATCCCTCGTAATATTCAAAGTAAAACTGATGGAATTTTTTGATAAGTTACTACAAGTTTAGCATCACTGATTACCTTCAATGCACTTGCAAGTGAACCACAGCTAATCTGTAAATTAAGAATTCATCTACAAATGGAAGCAAGAAAGAAAAAAAGTTGTTTTTCTTAAGCAAAGTTGGAAATAAACAGAAAATCTTTTTCTTTAAAGGACGGTGGAGTTTCAAAAAGTGAAGTTGTCTATGCAATTTAAGTGTAGAAATTACCTGAATCAGTAATACTAATCTCTCCCTCCCCACAAAATGAAAATTTTAATTTCCTAGAAAATAACCACAGACAGCAGCCATGAGACTTTATTTTGCAACATGTGGAGCTACAAGTGAAGAAAAAAGCACCAGAAAGTAAAGGCAAAAAGAAACAAACTCTTCCAAGGTTGGAAGACAAAAAGTCTCTGTTTTAAGGTCTTTTTCCAACTTCTAGGATTAACTAGAGAAATCTTAGACAGGCAGGGTGCAGAGGCTCATGGCTGTAAATCCCAAAGCATTGAAAGGCTGAGGAGGGAGGATCACTTCAGGCCAGGAGTTTGAGATCAGCCTGGGCAACATAGCAAGACTCCATCTTGGAAAAAAAAAAATTAAAAATTAGCCATGAGTGGTGATGCACACTTGTAGTCCTAGCTATTCAGGAGGCAAGAGAATCTCTTGAGCGCAAGAGTTCAAGGCTGCAGTGAGCTATGATGGCACCACTGCACTCTTACCTGGGTGAGAGCAAGACCCTGTCTCAAAAAAAAAAAAAAAAAAAAAAAAAAGAAATCTTAGACTTTAAGTACCTACTTACTAGTCCAAGGTAACAAATTATAATTTCTCAAATGAGAGGCTAGTTAATACAAGGATGTTTTGATAACTGTAGAAGGCACTTAATACACTTTCCTAAACAGAAGACAGAGTGAGAACGAAGTACATCAATTTGAAGGCCTGATATATATTTATTTATTTATTGATGGAGTCTTGTTCTGTCACCCAGGCTGCAGTGCAGTGGCACCATCTCGGCTCACTGCAACCTCCACCTCCCAGATTCAAGGGATTCTCCTGCCTCAGCCTCCCAAGTAGCTGGGATTACAGGTGCGTGCCACCATGCCCAGCTAATTTTTGTATTTTTAGTAGAGACAGGGTTTCAACATGTTGACCAGGCTGGTTTCAAACTCCAGACCTCAGGTGATCAGCCCGCCTCAGCCTCCCAAAGTGCTGTGATTACAGGTGTGAGCCACCGCACTTGGCCAAGGCCTGATTTTTAATTTGGCTTCACACAACTCTCCTTCTCTAACAAAAGCACTAAATCTAGAAGCCTGTCAAATATACGGTAATAGGATACTTCATGGTTAATAGTACCATTTAAACTCATCTATACCCCACGTAATGAAGAAACCATTGATATTTATATTCCAATAGCTGAAGGCAGAGGTAACTGGAAAAAAGTTACTACTAAGGCATAAAATATTTCACATACCGTTAGGATTCCACAGTTGTTTAGAGCCAAGTTCAAGGAGTATATATATATATGATAAAGTATTAAATCAGGAATAATGGATTTACTCAACAATATTAATTAAGCACCTACAATGTGCCACTCACTGTGCTGTATAATATTATAATAATAAATCCATTACATGATACGATTCTGTTAATGCTAAAAATCATAAAATTGTTCCTACTTTTGGATTTCAAGGACAAGTTAAATCACCCTCCAAATTTTGAGGCCCTGAAACAAGGTTTCTAGTTTCTGTTTTTGAGTGGGAGGGTTTTCTTTACTTTTTTCTCTTTTGCCAATGACTGTTGAAAACTTAATGAACAGACCCAAATCTATCTATATACATGTTTTGAAGAACCAAGGGAATCCTACAAAAGACAAAAAAAAAAAAAAAAAAAACATGTACTTATACTTACCAGCACTCTAAAAAAATAAAGATATTCTGCTGCTCCTGAGTAATTCCCACATTCGTACTGGAATTTTGCATATCTGTAGAGTGTATCTAAATATTCCTGCCTAAACTAAAAAGAAAAAAAAAAGATTAAGTTCTCTTTAATTTAGAGTTTTAAAACCCCATTGTAATTCATAAGTCTTTGAGGTCAAAACTATGAATGTTTAAGTCACCAACTTCTAATGTATATTTTATGAGTCAAATGTATCTCTGATTATGGTATTTATTTTTGGTGGCAGCTTTTGGGAGACTTTTATAGAACTGACCTCTGGAGTTATTTAAAGAAGTAAACTAATGGGGGCTGGGGTCGGGGAGGTGGTTTCAGGATGAACTGTTCCACCTCAGATCATCAAGGCACTAGCTGGATTCGCATAAGGAGCGTGCAACCTAGATCCCTTGCATGAGCAGTTCACAATAGGGTTCGTGCTCCTATGAAAATCTAATGCCTCCACTGATCTGACAGGAGGCAAAGCTCACATGGTAATGCTTGCTCACCTTCTGATCATCTGCTCTGTGGCCCTCCGGTACTGGTCCATGACCTGGGAGTTGGGGACTCCTTAAATAATTAATTATATGCAAAGCCTCATGCTTTGAGTTAACACAAGGGAAATAAGATTGAGTGACGGTTAGGAAAGCTTACGATGTTTCTTTATTTGTGAATCTGGGGACTTATAAAGACCTTGATAATTTCAAAGGCTATTGTGTTCCACAAGGCAGCCAAAGTACTACCTAATTCTACTGCTCAAAGCATTTCTAATTCAAATTTAATTCTGTTTGCCTTACTCGTTAATCCATAAGAAAAGGCATCCTATGCCCTATAATATATAATACTTAGCTTGCTATTGGCACTAATATAAAATGCCAACAATTACTGCCAACTATTACAACTCTGGAATAAATACAAGCTTTGAGAATTTCTGTCATCTAAAGGTGAGCTATAAGCACATATTTTCCTGTCAGCAACAATTTATAAACACTGAAGTTTTAAAAATATAACCAGATTTTATAATTAATAAATTAATCTGGAAATTATATTCTTAGGCCAAGCCATAAGCTCATCTGTACAAACCAGTCTTTAGTCAGCATTATTAAAACATGACAACTTTAAAATATTTTTAAAACACTTACACCATGCTTGTCCGCCAGGTAGTCAAAGAGCATCCTACCATCCCTAAATAATAAAAAACAAAAATTACATTATTTTAAAGGCCACAGAAAACAAAATAAGCATATCCAACTTCTAAGTTATTACCTACGCAAAGTCACCTTAAATAAATACTTAAATGTTAAAAGACTTCCAGAATAAAATAAGCAGGACATTACATGTTTTGAATATAAGAAGTATACAAGGAGAGCTACAAACTTTAAAATTGACTTTCAGATTTCTTTAGCCCTAACTGAAAATTAGTGTGTTTCACCACAACTAAGGTAAGGCCTTTAACAGTTTGTCAGACAATAAAACCAGAAGATTCTGACTATTTCTAGTAAGGTCAGTAGTCTACTTAGTGGTAATCTACTGAGAATGGTTTTTGCTCTATGTGGTCAAATTTCTAATAGATAATATAGTCTAATTATAGAGACTGAAATAAATGTACCATGTACAAACTAGAAGAAACTAATCCTATATATAAATGTCCCCTCCTCCAATCTGTTAATATTTTTCAAAAGGACGATTTGACAAATTTACAAGATTAATAAATCATGCCTGGCCGGCCGCAGTGACTGATACCTGTAATCCCAGCACTTTGGGAGGCCGAGGCAGGTGGATCTCCTGAGGTCAGGAGTTCAAGACCAGCCTGGCAAACATGGTGAGACCCAGTCTCTACTAAAAATACAAAAATTAGCCAGGCATGGTGGCGGGTGCCTGTAATCCCAGCTACTTGGGAGGCTGAGGCAGGAGAATCGCTTGAACCTGGGAGGTGGAGGTTGCAGTGAACAGAGATGGCACCACTGCACTCCAGCCTGGGCGACAGAGTGAGACTCTGTCTCAAAAAAAAATAATAAATAAAAATTTAAAAATCATGTCCGATATACATGACAGCTATGCTACATACCCTACACAATCCTTAGGTATAACCAAGTGCCATATTTAATTTTTCTTAAATTAGCTTTGCATTATCTTGAGATGTTGACAGACTAGTAAAAGACAAACTAATAATAAAGAAAGACATCAAGGGACAGGGGATATATGTGTATAGTTGCCCACCTTATGAGCATTTTTGTTGTTACTGTTTTTTGAGACGGAGTCTCACTCTGTCACTCCGGATGGAGTTCACTGGTGTAATCTCGGCTCACTGCCACCTCCGCCTCCCGGGTTCATGCAATCCTCCTGCCTCAGCCTCCCAAGTAGCTGGGATTACAAGCGTGCACCACCATGCCCAGCTAATTTTTGTATTTTTAGTAGAGATGAGGTTTCACCACGCTGGCCGGGCTGGTCTCATACTCCTGACCTCAAGTGATCCACCCACCTTGGCCTCCCAAAGTGCTGGGATTACAGGCATGAGCTACTGCACCTGACTGCATTTTCCAAAACAAAAACATTTTCTTATCCTTCTCATGAGAAGAAATATGCTATAATGTGTCTTTGGGAACACAATTTTGCTTGAAGATTTAATGGAGCAGAGATATGTCCCCATAAAAATTAATATAGGTGTATTACAATACTGATTATGAAATGTACATGAAATTCCAACATAGAAGAACTTCAACAAAAACTGAACATTTGCAGTGGATCACACTGAATAACTTTGTATTGCACTACTCATACCACTCACGTATATAATCACTGTCCTCTGGCTGATTATTTCCGGGAAAGTGTAAGTACGATACTATATATTCAATGAAATTTAAAAAGGGTGAATTGTCAGAAAAAGGTTTTTACATTGAAAATAGGTAGTCTGTAAGTATAAGATTACAAGTTTTTAACACATGATCCTTTCATTTATCTCAAACTCAGTACCTATTAAGCTACAAGGATCCTCTTTTTCTAACTGGTGAACACATGTACATTCATCTTATTCATGCTCTGATCCCATTACTTCCCAGTCTTTGAGTGACTAAACTACAGCATCCTAAATTTTCTGTTGTAGTCTAACATCTGGATTATTTCCGCTGTCCCTTTGTAATCACCTACATGTGACCTGAAGATCTAAAATTACTTCTTCTAAAAGCATAAAAGTAGTTTAGTATAATATATAGCTCTGTCTATGCGCATGATGTGTGTATATATCTCTGTGTGTTTTCCCGCATATAGTCATCCCTTGGTATCCCCAGAGCATTAGTTCCAAGACCTTGCCTACCCCCTACTCACGAGCCCCCTCAAATACCAAAATCTGCAGGTGCTAAAGTCCCTTATGTAAAATAGCACAGTATTTGCATGTAAATTATACACATCCTCCCATCCACTTTAAATCATCTCTAGATTACTTACACTTAATGCAATGTAAATATCATATAGTTGTTAGTTGTTACACTGTAGTTTTATTTGTATTTTTTATTGTAGTATTGTTATTTTTTAGTTTCTTTCCCTGAATATTTTCAATCTGCAGTTGGCTGAATCCACAGATGCAGAACAGAGAGCTAACTGCATTTGTATGTAGTATATGTCACAGTATGGTATGGTATAGTATAGTATAGTACGCTATAGTATGGCACAGTAATTGTATATTTGTTGCTTTTCTAAAAATATCTGGTAACACCTTCACAAATCACAAAGGAAAACTTAAGAGCCAATCTCTAAAAATTTGGTTTAAATACATAGAAATCAAAGGTATAGCACGGCAAAATATCCAGCAATTCCTCAAGTGAATTTACTGGTAGCTAGGATTTATCTCAAATGACAATATTCAATTTTAGTAAGAGATTTTATTTTTAAATGTTTCTAGTAACCCAAAAGACTTCCACCCGTGACATGTACTACGTCAGACTAAGGCAATATGTTTTCTTTGGAAACGAAACAGTAACGTCTATTTGTAGGTAAAGGGAAGTTAGGAATAAAATAATCTTATCAGCTCAAAACTACCCTCCTTGGGCATGGAGCTTGGAAGGGTATGAAAGAATGTAGCCAGGGATAAAGTGAGCTCAGGTTTCTCTTATAACGAGATACCCATGTGTTCTAAGGTTCTAGGTATTGCCCAAGCACAGGGTTTCTTTTTTATTTTTTCCTGAGATGGTGTCTCATTATGTCACCTACTTTGGAATGCAGTGGTATTATGACACTGACTCATTGCAACCTCCGCCTCCCGGGCTCAAGCCATCCTCTGACCTCAGCCTCCCAAGTAGCAAGTAAGCTGAGACTACAAGCGCACACCACCACACCTGGCTAACTTTTTATTGGTTTTAATTTTTTGGTAAGATAGAGGGTTTCGCCATGTTGCCCAGGCTGGTCTCAAACTCCTAGGCTCAACGGATTCACTTGCCTCCACCTCCCCAAGTGCTGAGATTACAGGTGTGAGCCACCACACAGTGGAACAGGGTTTCTTAATGGACATTTTCAGTCGGATAATTCTTTGTTGGGGAGTAGCGGCAGCAGTGCTTGTCCTATGCACTGTAGGATGTTTAACAGCATAACTGGCCTCTACTCACTAGGTCCCTATAGCACCCCTCCAGTTATGACAACCAAAAAGTATTTCCAGACATTGCCAAATGTCCCCAGGAAGGGGGAAACAGGAGATGGAATTTCTGTAGTATAATCAGTATAGATAAGTACTAAAGAAGTTTTTTTTAGGAAAAAAACTTAGTGTTAATATTAACATTTATTAATTATACTGGCCCCTACAAAATAAGGATAAACAAAAATTAAAAATGAATAAAGCACTCATTTAAACCATGAACTTTTACTATGGGATACTGGATAAAGTTTGAATTAACATTTGTATTAATCCAGAAAGGAGAATTTTTAGAATTCAAAATTAAGACGAGTTTACCTGGTTGACTGCATTTGCCTTGTAGTTTCTGGATCTTCAAACATCTTCACAATTGGTTCTGTTTCTGCCTGAAGCTGTTTCAGTTGTGCAACCACTGTGGTTCTTTTCTCTCTCAAAGCTAATTAAAAATGCAGAAGAGCACTACAATGTTAAGGAATGTTAAATTGTGCTACTCATCATGAGAATGTCTGGAAATTTTTCAGTGTATTTAAACTATACATATATTTATTTACCCCCAATATATTCATATGCCATGGGCTACTCAGTCAGAAATGTCCCCGATCCCTAATTTCTTTTTTCTACTAATACAAAGGCACAAAAAGGAAAAGGGAATCCTCTTCCTACTCTTGAGGGAAACTAGAGAATATACAGCCTTGGGGTGACAGAGGGATGTGAAAGAAAAAAAGGGTAGGACCCAATTATCTATCATTTAATTCTCCATTGCAGAAACTTCTTTCCAAGTGTTTTTATATTTGTTCTCATTTAATTTTCTTAGGTGAATATTATCCCAGAGTTTTTGAAGAAAAACTCAGAGGGATTTACATATTACTATTACAGGTTATCAACTAGGTTGAATGGAATTTAAATCCATTAAATAATCTCTTTTAACCACAAATCCAGCTCTATAATCTCTCAAACCAAATTCTATCGTTCCTTTTACTATACTATGAAAAGGTGGAGAAAACTTGCACATAACCAACTCTGGTAACACCTTAATGTTTCATTAAGAAACTAAGAAATAGGCCAGGGGCAAGGGCGCACGCCTGTAACCCCAGCAACTTGGGAGGCCAAGGCGGGCTGATCACGAGGTCAGGAGTTCAAGACCAGCCTGGCCAATATGGTGAAACCCCGTCTCTACTAAAAATACAAAAATTAGCTGGGCATGGTGGTGGGCACCTGTAGTCCCAGCTACTCGGGAGGCTGAGGCAGGAGAATGGCGTGAACCCGGGAGGCGGAGCTTACAGTGAGCCGAGATCGCACCACTGCACTCCAGCCCGGGCAACACAGCGAGACTCCATCTCAAAAAAAAAAAGAAAGAAACTAAGAAATAGTTTCCTTTTTGTTTATCCATGACAAACTAAAAAAGAGATACTGTTATTGCAGGGAACTACAAGTCAAACATGTGGATTATGTTTAATGTAATAATGTCTGTATTATATATTAGAAAGTATATTCTAGAGCAGTCTTTCTGAAACACAGAAGATCTATGATCAAATTTTGAGAAATGCCAATTTAATCACAGTATACTGTATTTCTCTACTGCCAAAATTCTTGGAACCTTTAAAAATGTAATGTGCATTGAAGAAATGACACAGAATTATTTCCCAAACTTAAGAGGACCACTTAACAGTTTTGATTAAGTAGGTCTGGTGTGTGGCCAAAAACCTGCATTTCTAACAAGCTCTCCCAGGTGAACTGATGATGCTGGTCCTGGGGACCATATTTGGAGAACAATGTCTACACTAGATGCCTCAAAATTAAAAAAAAAAACACAAAACTCTAAGGCACACAATGCACTAACTGAAAAAGTTAGCAACCCAAGAACTGCAACATTCTCAGATAATTCTAAGGAATGTGAATCATAAGCACAACTTTGATGATACATACTATGAAATGAAGGCATCTGATGACCATATTTTAAAGTAGTTCCACATCTTTCACAGGGAGAAAACAATATATTTCGGAAGATATGAAACCTTTATATAACCTCTCACCCAAAGAACATTAACATTCAAATCATATTTAAGCCTTTTGGCTAAAGCTGTCTTATAAATCATAAAACTTTAATACACACATCCTCAAGTCACAAGACAAGTTTCAGTTCTAATGACAAAACTTACCATGAGGAATATCATCAGAATAAAGGTTTTTGTATACATCCATAGCAAAGTCTACCATGTTGGTATCACTAAGAAGGTCCAATTTACCTTGTAATAATTCCTTTTCATTATATATCTGCAAAAGAAGATAACTTTCTAATGAATATATTTAAGTTCCCCAAATAAACTGATTAATACTAAAACTAATTTACCTGGAAATATATTTCAAGAAATACTTTATAAAATACGATAAACCATTAACATTCCCCTCTTGTAATAATGGCAAGCAATATGGCAAGCAACCAACCTATAGACGTAAAAGTATTTTACTTACCTAAAAATTTTAAAATGAAGAGAATTACTGTAGACATTCCCACCTACTTCTGATTTACATGACCTTATTTTTTATGTGTCCCTACAAACCATCTCTTACCCTTTCTAGGCAAGGCTGTGTATAAATAAAACCCACGCCATCTTTCCTGTAAAGCACATATAGCTGTCACTTCTCCACATCCAGGTAATCAGTAATAAACTCCTATATGCTTCTCCATCCACATTGCTGAAACAACCTGCACCAAGTTTTTAAGTCAACCATGTCAGATCAGGCTTTTGCTTTGCAAAGGATCCAAAAAAGCATAATTTAACCTATAGTACAGGGAGCAAATAGATACATATACACAAACTCACAACAACATGAAGTGTACTGAGTAATATGTAAAGATTCTACAAAATATTCACGGACAGAAATGCTTCAGCAAAAGAAAAGATTTCTGTACTGAACTTAATTTTGCAAGGAAAGAAAAATCCAAGAAAATGCCACAATATTTCACTGCCCACAAAAAATAAAGATGAAGGTGGTCAAAGGGTATTTAGCCATGAGAGCAAAATCGAACCTTCCAAATTACATGCAGAACTCCTATAAATGAGTAAGACAAGACAGACCTTGCAATTGAAATGGCTAAAAGATAGGCACTTCGCAAAAGAAGACAACCAAATGGCCAACAGACACATGAAAAGGTTCTCAACGTCATTAATCATAAGGAAATGCATACTAAAAATTACAATAAAAACCTAAAAAATCCTGACAATACCAGTGTTGGTGTGGATGTAGACTAACTGGAACCTATTCTCTTCTGGCAGGAATACAACTACTTTGTAAGATTTTTATCTCCCAAAGCCAAACATACTTTTTGATCCAGCAATTGTTTCGAGGCATCCAAAACAAATGGGTGCATATAGTCAAAGTGCACTTCCAAAAATGTACACAGGAGCACTATTTGTAATAGCCAAGTCTATCAATGTTAAAATGAGAAAACAAACCACAGCATACTCATAATAGATTAACATTCGGCACTGAAAAATCAATGAACTACTACTGCTATCCTAAAAACATGATGACTCACAAACAATGCTGAGTGAAAGATGTCATACAAAGCAGTACATGGTGGTAAATGCTTAACTCCACCTATATAAAAATCAAAAACAGGCAAAATGAATCATCAGACTACAGCTTACCTTTAGGGGGTGTGAGTAGTGACTAACAGGGGTCAAGATGAAGGTTTAAGGATGTCGCCAGGCGCAGTGGCTCACGCCTGTAATCCCAGCACTTTGGGAGGCCGAGGCAGGCGGATCACGAGGTCAGGAGATCGAGACCATCCTGGCTAACACGGTGAAACCCTGTCTCTACTAAAAATACAAAAAATTAGCCGGGCGTGGTGGTGGGCGCCTGTAGTCCCAGCTACTCGGGAGGCTGAGGCAGGAGAATGACGTGAACCCAGGAGGTGGAACTTGCAGTGAGCCGAGATTGCGCCACTGCACTCCAGCCTGGGCCACAGAGCAAGACTCTGTCTCAAAAAAAAAGAAAAAAAAAAAAAAAAAAAAAAGGATGTCTGTAATGTTTTATTTATTAATCTGAGTGGTGGTCACATAAATGTATTCGCTATTCATTTTGAAAAAAATATGTATCATTGACCAGTACATTTATATTTGTGTACTTGTATGAATGAACGTCATATCTGATAAAAAATTTACCTAAAAAACCTTAACTTCTCATCACTTTGCCCTATAGAAACACTAATCTTAAATAAAAACATTCTTTTCCAAGCACGCTACCTCTCCCCACTCCACTAGTAACTTTTAATTTGCCACGTCTCTCTCCACAATAGATTCAATAGCCTTGCTCCTCTACCATCAGGTGTTACTGTCCTGTTCTCAAATCTACATATGCCTCTCAATTCTGCCTCATAAGCAGAAAGCAAATACTTCAGACTTTGTATCAAGAAGCAACAATTGAAAATACTATATAAGTACTCACATGAAAAACGAGAATCAAATTTCCACAATTTTTTAAAAATTTTGAAACAGAAATAATAACAGTAAAAGTTTTTGTAATACAGGTCTATTAATAAGAATAGAATGCTTTTTCAAGAGAAATTATTTCACTTAATTGGGGTATAAAGTTAATATTCTATAATTGCTAATGTTTGCAAATGTTCCTCTGTTACAAACTATTCTTAGCCCCAAAACCACACAAAAACAGGCTGCTATCTGATTCCCAGGCTATAGTCTGCTGATCCGTCGTCTATCAACCTCTTGAAAACATATTACTTTTTAACAGATTAAGAATCTTTTTTTGCTGTCTCTTCCTCTGCTGTCATTCAACACAAATATAATGCCATACTGATGACTCTTTAAAAGCTTGAGCCCTAAAATTCCTTTATTCCTCAAATTATGACAATTTTCATCATGTATCTCATCTCCAAGAATTCCAACTTAAAACTGATAACCCCTCATCTCCAAGAATTCCAACTTAAAACTGATAACCCCTTCCACCATTACCATTAAAATCTTCATCATCTCAGACTTTCTGCCCTTTCTAATTTTTGTAATACCCTTTTTGATGTCACTTTCTGCCTTAGTTTGGATATCATTTTTAGCTATTTCAAAGATTTTCTCTTCAGTTCTATCATTGATTCTTTCAAACTAATTTCTCCAACTATATACAATTCAGTGTCAATCACTAACTCTGGAAAAAAAGTCACCTATTCTCTAGGTTCTGGCTAAGGATGACTACAAAATGTTTCAAAATTAGGGAATAATGTTATTCGATCACATCTGTGCTTCTCTAAATGGCATTTACATACAAGCCTACCCCTAAATATGTCTATACTACTCCCATAGCCTTCTACCGCTCCTCGCCCTGAGAATGACCCCATTATTAGCTCTAAGGTATGATTTCCAATCTCAGTTGGGCCCTCCACACTTAACCAATCCTTGTACTTTCCTTTGATCAGTTTCTTAGTAACCATTTCCAGTCCTTACCTTACTCCTCAAAACCCTCACTGCCCCCCCCTCCCATCCCATACCAATACAGAATGGGCTAGTCTTCCAAAATAAAAAACATTTAGAGCCAAGGGTGGTGGCTCATGTCTGTAATCCCAGCACTTTGCGAGGCCAAGGTGGCAGATCACTTGAGTTCAGGAGTTTGAGACCAGCCTGGGTAACATGGTGAAACCCCATCTCTACAAAAAATACAAAAAAAATCAGCCGGACATGGTGGCGCACACCTGTAGTCCCAGCTACTTCTGGGGCTGAGGTGGGAGAATTGCTTGAGCCCAGAAAGTCAGGGCTGTAATGAGCTAAGATTGTGCCACTGCACTCCAGCTTAGGTGACAAAGCGAGACCCTGTCTCAAAACACAAAACATTAAGGAGTACTCACTCTGTCCCAGAAGAGCGTAGTGTTTTATATGCATTATCTCATGTAATTTTTCTAACCCGATGAGATTGGTGGTAGTATTAACATTTTATTCATGAGAAAAGGTTAAGAGGGTAAAAGAATCTGCTCTGACTGCACAGAGGTATTAAATGACCGAGTCATGAAAGGTCCAATTCAGAGCCCAGGGTCCTAAATATTTCACTATCTGGCCTTCTGCTTCACATGAAAATAAAGAAGAGTGAGAAACAAGTATGTATTCATTCAATCATTTATTAAACAATCATAAAAAGCCTTTATGCCAGACTCATATTATGTGCTGAGAGCACAAGGAAGCTTCTGCTCTCATGAAGCTTATATTCTCCAATGTACTACAAATATATGAAACTGTTTTTCTCTTGGTGCAATGTAATAGTCTCCCCTTATCCATGAGCTAAATGTTCCAAGACCCCCCAGCGGCTGCTGCCTGAAACTGCAGATAGCCCCAATCCTATATTTACTGTTTTTTTCCTATACATGCATACCTATGATAAAGTTTAATTTATAAACTGGGAACAAGAGATGAACAATAACAAAATAGAACAATTAAGTTAGCATATACAGTGTGGATACATTGGACAAAAGGATGATTCATGTCCCAGTTTTAAGCAAGAGAGCGAGACAGATTTCATCCTACTACCCAGAAGGGCGAACAATTTAAAACTTACGAATTGCTAATTTCTGGAATTTTCCATTTAATATTTTTGGACCATGAGTAACTGGAACTGCAGAAATTGAAACTGCTAAGGGGGTGTGGGGGGGGGGGGCTGCTGTATCCTCACATAGCAGGATCACTGACTCTATTCTAACCATTTTGCCTTCAAGACTCAAAGCCTCACCTCCTCAAAGTCCTCTTTGCTCACTGAAGATAACAAAATCTCAATTTTGATAGCACTCTACCAGTACCTACCTCTTCGACATTTATTTTTACCTTATATCAAAAACATTCAACTCTAAAGGATAGGTAAGTTGTTTAGTGGTGAGATGTCTGGGTTTTATCTTGGATTTCTCAGTTATATGGCCCTATACAATTAACCCTTGGACGACAAGGGTTTGAACCACACAGGTCCACGTATACACAACTTTTTTTCAATAAAAGTTACACCAAGTGTGCCTGCCTTTCCTGACTTCCCATCCACTTCCTCTACTTCTTCCACCTCTGCTACCCCTGAAACAGCAAGACCAACCCCTCCTTTTACTCCTCCTCCTCAGCCTACTCAATATGAAGACAATGAAGACCTTCATGATGATGTACTTCCACTTACTAAAAAGTAAATGTATTTTCTCTTCCTTATAATTTAAGACCATTTTATTTTCTCTAGCTTACTTTATTGTAATAATACAGTATAGAACACATACAACACAGGACTGTCCATGTTCTCAGTAAGCCTTCCTGTCAGCATTAGGATATATTAAGTTTTGGGGGAGTCAAAACTTATAACGGATTTTTGACTGCGAGAGCTCAGCGTTCCTAACCCCTGTACTGTCCAAGAGTCAAATGTACTTAGAAATTGCTAATTAAATACTCCAGCATCTGTCTTCCTCTTGGTGTATTACAGCTATCTTACCAACATTTTCTCCAAAGAGGTGGGTATTGGGCAGTTTTTCCCACTGATTCTCAACTGCCTGCAGTTCATAGTTTTCGTCTAGCCCTATGAAAATCTAATTCACATTTACATATTCCTCCTTTCCTTCTGTGTGCCATAAAAAAAATGAAATTATAAAGAACACAAAAATATATAAAGTTCAGCTAGTTCAGAAGTACTTCTACAAGCAGCTGGTAAAGGCTTTCAAAATATAGCATTTTTACTAGATCTTTTGTCCTCACTTTTCCAGAAAAGAAAACAATGCAGATGCGAATGTTTTACTCAAGGTCTAAAATACAGGTGTAAAAAGAAGAATCAAAGCAAAAATATATCAAGAGAAAGTTTTACATGACAAGACATTCTTGGACATTTACTGAAAATGATCTTAGCCGTTACCTAACGTCAACAACTTTAGAGTTGTCTATGTTTAGAAAAGGTGCATATGAATATGAGGATTATACCTGTCTAACGAGCCACAACACCTGGACGCTGGTTTTTGGGACGTTTTTGTTTTATTGCTTTTTGTCTTTTGCTACACAAAATCCACTCCCCAAATCTAGAGTTCCCTAAGTAGACTTATATTGTAGTCTGCTTCCAGAAACAGAACTCACTTATTTTTCTGAAAAAATTCGAATTCCTTCATCACTGCAAATTACTTTGCATTATTAAAATGCATCAATTTCCCAATAAACTCACGGTATAACTAATGTCAATTTTCTTTTAGCCAAAACTTTCAAGTCCAATAAAACTTTTAGGACTGACATATGCTTTAAAATGAAGTTCCAGAATTACACATTTATTCATGATATCTTGAGTAGATAATTGAATATTAACGACCAATTCAAACCACATGAAGTCAGTACAATATATCCACTGGAAAACACATTTAAAGATTGGAGGGATTTTTTCTGGGGGGGGGGGCGGGGGAGCGCCGTCCCCATCTGACGAAATATGCTGTTCTAGAAAGTCCTACTTAACCAAGACAAGAAAACGCAAAGAACTCACAACTTCATGGAAATTAAAGCGCTAGATACTTATTTTAAGTGTAAGAGAATCACTCCAAAAGACTCGACATGCAAAAACCCACAGCCAAGCCCAGGCTTCCCACAGTTCCCAAAAGAAAAATCAAAAGCTCTAACAGCACTCCAGGTTGCTTTTACAAGCCAGCCTGTGAAGCTCTAACGTTCTCTAGCGAAACCAGCGAATCGCCAACTTCCGAGAAGAAATGATGCGAAAATCCCTCCCGCACTGACACCTCAGTAAGTGAAAGAGACTTCTTTTCTCTCTCCGTAACCTCCCTCCTCCTCACTGCCGAATAGTGCGGTGCTTCTTAACTGAGACGACGCTAAACTACCAGAAGATCCTTAGTGTCCGTCCAGGAACCAAACTCGCGACCGCCTCGCACGTGTCAGGCCTAGGACTACAGACACCACCTTTCGGCCTTGCTCAGCACCTCATCCGCCCCCACGCCTTCCTTGCGCCCAAAGACCCCCTCACCTCCTTTACAGAGAGAAATTCAAGAAGCGGAAAGACTAGATGCCGATCCAAAAAGTGCGCGATGCGAGTAGTCAAGTCGTACTCCGCCATCTTGCCAAAGAAAAGGGAGTCTGTGCTCACTAAAACTTTATTGGTAGCGCCGACAAACGAACAGACAGATCCTGTACTGCGCATGTGCTGTGGTAAAACTGGCCTAAAGAAAGGGGCGGGGTTTACCCTGGAGAGCAGAGGACAACGACGCATGCGCGCGGGTTGTCCCACCCTTTGCGTTAGGGCGCGAGTGACGGAAACAGATCCCTCTATTTGTAGGTTTGTCGGTATCCTCTTTCTAATGCTGGCCTTCGATTACCAGTCAGTGGCTTGCAGTCTATTCCGTTAATAACTATTGAAAGCTCAGAATTGATTGCTGAGGCAATGTGACTGCATTGGGATGCGGCAAAGGACAACATGAGGAGGCCCCTGCTTTCCAGGAAGTTACATACAGGGAAGAATATCTAGGCTTTTTCATTTGGCATACGCTAATCATTTTGTAAGCGATTGTTAAAGTGAGGGTGGGTTTTTAGACAGAAAATAAGTGAAACAAATTTCAGATATAGTAAGAGCCATAATTTGGTGGAGATGGTTGGGTTGGACCTATTTAATTAGGATGGTTAGAGAAAACTCAGATAGGAATTAAGGAAATTAGAGAAAAGTCTGATAGAGTAACAAGTTAGCTGAGAGCTGTGGTAAGAGAAGGAGGTGATTAAAACTAGAGCCAGGGTAAAAACATGATTGTTGGAACGTACAGCAAAAACAATGACCATGAGACAGGAAGGGACTTAGTGTGTGCGTTTCAAAAATTGAATGGCCTGTGTGTACTGGGGAGTAAGGTTAAAGAGTTTGACAAGGGTCAGGTCATGATTATGGTAAGGAATATGGGGTTTTTTTCTAAGTACTCTGCAGTGTCCTTTGCTAGTTACTTCTCATCTTTTAGGCCTTTTCATTTTGAAGAGCCCCAGGGATCTTGGACCTCTTCTCCATCTAGACCAATGCCCTAAATGGTAACGTCCTTTGCATGCAGTCTGCACATTGACAACTCCCAAATTATAGCCGCAAAACTGACTATTAGTCCCAGACTCAAATGTACCCAGCATTTCAACGTGAGCTTGTCCCAAACCAAGTTTCCCCATGTAGCTTACCAAACCTGCTCCAGCTGCACTCTTCACCTCGGTGAATGGCCACTCCATCTGTACAGTTCCCCAGACTCAAAACCTTAGAGTCATCATTGACTTTTTCTCTTACACTGTGCATGAAATCTACCAAAAAACCTTTTAACTCTAATCTTTACGGCATATTCAGACCCAATCAGTTCACACCACCTCCGAAGTTTCAACTCTAGTGCACACCACCACTATCTCCTGCTTTGATTTTGGGAATCACCTCGTCACTAATCACCTTGCTTCCCCTCTTCCTCCTGTGCTTTATTCTTCATAAAGCAGCCAGAGTGAAGTTTTAAAAGTCAAATTATGCTTAAAGGTCTCCAAGGCTTGCTATCTCATTTAGAGTAAAAGATGTAGTAGGTATTATAAGTGACCTAACAAGCCAGTAGATCATCTGGACCCATTACCTCTCTGACCTCATCTCCTAAATGTTCCCCTCTTGCTCACTTGACTCCAACCACACAGATTTCCCTTCAGTTCCTCAGCTACTCCCATCCTGCTTTCATCTTGTCCTGTTATATTTGCTATTACCTCTACCCGGAATGTTCTTCTCCCAGTTATCTGCATAGCTCTTTCCCTGTCTCCTTCATATTTTGCTCAAATGTCATCTGCTCAATGAGACCTTCCCTGACCAGTCTATTTAAAAATGTAACTAACCTGCCTACAAGAACTTCTCATCTTGCTTTCCTGCTTTATTTTTTTTGTTTTACAGTATTTTACTTATTTTATTTACTTTTGGTCTTCCCTGACTATTGTATTAATTCCACAAGATCAGGGATTTTGTCATTATTTTAAATATAATAACTGCTTCTCGAAAGTCTAAACAATGCCCAGTATATAGTTGGCACTCAATAAATATTTTTGAATGTGTATATGAGTAAAAGAAGGAGGTAGGCCTTTGGAGAGTGATGTAAAGTTTATTTATTTATTTATTTTGAGACGGAATCTCTCTCCGTTGCCAGGCTGGAGTGCAGTGGTGCGATCTCGCGTCACTGCAACCTCTGCCTGCCGGGTTCACGCGATTCTTCTGCCTTAGACTCCTGAGTAGCTGGGACTACAGGCACGTGCCCAGCTAATTTTTGTATTTTTAGTACAGACGGGGTTTCACCATGTTGGCCAGGATAGTCTTGATCTCCTGACCTCATGATCCGCTCGCTTCAACCTCCCAAAGTGCTAGGATTACAGGTGTGAGCCACTGCACCTGGCCTGATGTAAAGATTTTTAGTTGAAATGTATTCTAACTATTGTGTGGTAAATGAATTGTGAAGGGGCAGGAATGAAGGCAGCAGGATCAGTTTGATGTTCTCAGACTGGGCGAGGGCTAATGGTGGTATAGACAAGTATATTCATACAAGTAGCGAGAAGAGATAAGATCTAAGATGGACTTTGGTGGTAGAACCAACAAGACTTGCTCCTGGATTGGATATGATGGATAAGGAAGAGTAAAAATCAAAATGATTTCTAGAAATACTACTCAGCTAAAAAGGAGGGGACTAGCTATACACACAACAACCTTAATGAATTTCCAGGGAATTACGCTGAGTGAATAAAAGTTACTTCCCAGCCGGGCGCGGTGGCTCATGCCTGAAATCCCAGCACTTTGGGAGGCTAAGGCAGGTGGATTGCCTGAGGTCAGGAGATCGAGTCCAGTCTGGCCAACATGGTGAAACCCCGTCTGTACTAAAAATACAAAAAAATTAACAGGGCATGCTGGCGTGCACCTGTAATCCCAGGTACTCAGGAGGCTGAGGCAGGGGAATTGCTTGAGCCAGGGAGGTGGAGGTTGCAGTGAGCTGAGATCTCACCACTGTACTCCAGCCTGGGCAACAAAGTAAGACTCCATTTCAAAAAAAAAAAGTTAGTTCCCAAATGTTACATATTAAATTATTTTATTTACATAATATTTTTACATGACAAAATTATGGAAATGGAAACTAGATTAGTAACTGCCAAGGGTTAAGGAGGATGTGGGGGTGGGAGGGAAGTAAGGGTGGCTATAAAAGGCAATAGCAGGGATTTTTGTGGTAATGGAATGCTCAGGATCTTAACTATGTCATTATCCTAGTTGTGCTATTGTACTGTAATTTATGTTTTGTTTTCAACAGCTTTATTGAGATAAAATTTATATACCAAACAGTCCACCCATTTAAAGTATACAGTTCCACAGACATACACAGATAAGTGCAGTCATCACCACAGTCAATTGTAGAACATTTTCATCACTTCAAAAAGAAGCCTTGTACCCTTTAGTTAAGGGTAACTCCCCTATCCTTCCATTCCCCTCACTCCAGCCCTAAACAACCACTTCCTATCGGTACAGGTTTCCCTATTCAAGATGCTTATATGAATGGAATCGTATAATATGTGGCCTTTGGTGTCCCACTTTTTTCACTTTACATGATGATTTCAAGATTCATCCAAGTTGTAGCAGGTATTAGTACTTCATTCCTTTTTATGGCCATTGTATTTATATAATACTCCATTGTAGTTATAGACCACTTATTGTTTACGCATTCATCTGTAAATGGAAATTTATATAGTTTCCATCTTTTGGCTATTAAGGATAATGTTACTATAGTAATCCCAGCACTTTGGGAGGCTGAGGTGGGGGTATCACTTGAATTCAGGAGTTCAAGACCAGCCTGGCCAACATGGCAAAACCCCATCTCTACTAAAAATACAAAAATTAGCCAGGCGTAGTGGCATGCGCCTATAATCCCAGCTACTTGGGAGGCTGAGGCAGGAGAATCACTTGAACCCGGGAGGTGGAGGTTGCAGTGAGCTGAGATCGCACCACTGCACTCCAGCCTGGGTGACAGAGCGAGACTCTGTCTCAAAATAATAATAATAATAATAATAATAATAATAGTAATGCTACTATAAACATTCGTGCACAAGTATTTTTGTGGACATGTGTTTTCAATTTGCTCAGGTATATGTATAGGAGTGGAATTGCTGGGTTACATCTCTGTTTAATAGTTTGAGGATGTGCTAGACTGTATTATAGTTTTGCAAGATGTTACCATTAGGGTGAATTGGGTAGAGAGCAAATAGGATCTCCCCTGTGCTTACAAGTTGATCTTACAACTGCATGTGAATCTTCTATTTCAAAATTAAGAAGTTTATTCCTGCACTTTGGGCTTAAGAAACTGAGTCCCTTCTGGTGACCAGTATATGGGGTAGAATGGCAAAGGAATATGCATGGGTACTTAAACAAGGAGTTCTGTTTCAGGCAAAATGAGATCTCTATTAAATATCTGAGTGGTCATGTCTAGTAAGCAAATGGAGATACTATTCTGGATGAGTTGATATAGTTATCGATTGCTTACAATGCATGTCACCTTGTATGTTTTCAATGATGTGGAAGTATTATATGATCTCTACCATTATGCCATTTACAGTATTGTTGGGAAAGCAAGGATGAATGCCCATGAAGCAGAGAATACATGTTAGTATAAGCTGCTAAATTGTGGGGCATAGTCTGTGTGGCCTCTAAGAGTTGAGAAATAACAGTTGTAATTTGAAGTTTCCTGAAATCCCAGGAAGTTGTAATAAAATATAAACAGGAAAAGAGGCAGAAGTGAGGTAGAGCATAGGAAGTAAGGAAGCAGGTAGCAGTATGAAAACTTTCCAAAAAGGAACAGAGAGCATCTTTGAGAAGCAGAGAGAAATAAGATGCAATTCTATTTGACAAACATTCTGAACTTTTACCACATGCAAGGTACTAAGCTAGGTGTTACTGGGAATATATAATCAATAAGTGTTAGTCCGTGGCCACAGGAGCTTTCAGTCTTATAGATGATAATTATTAATTTATTCAATTTAAACTAAATGCTTACAACATGCTAGGCACTATTCTAGGTCCAGGGAATACAGAAGGAAAGAAAACAACATTCTCTAAAGAAAACTTACATTCAAGTGGAAGGATATAGATAAAAACATATTAACAAATATATACTTTGTTAAGTGGTAATAAGTGATATGAAGAAAAATAACTCAAGGTAAAGGCTAGAGAATGATGGGGAAAGGTTGCTAATTTGTATAAAGTAGTTAGAGAAGGCCTCAATTATAAGGTAGAATTTTTTGTTTGGTTTTGTTTTTTGTTTTGTTTTGTTTTGTTTTGGGAGACAGGGTCTCTCTTTGTCACTCAGGCTGGAATGCAGCAGCATGGTATCAGCTTGACCTGCAGCCTCAACCGCCAGGACTCAAGTAATCCTCCCACCTCAGCCTCCTGAGTAGCTGGGACTACAGGCATGTGCCACCATGCCTGGCTAATTTTTTAAAAAACAATTTTGTAGAGACAGGGTCTCATTGTGTTGCCCAGGCTGATCTCAAATTCCTGGCCTCAAATGATCCTCCTGCCTTGGCCTTCCGGAGTGCTGGGGTTACAGGCATGAGCCACTATACCCGGACATATAAGGTAGAATTTGAAAGGTAACCTGATGGAAGTGAGAGAGCCTGTGACTGTCTAGAGGAAGAACATTCCTGGTGAAGGAATATTAAGTATAAAGATACTGAAGCAGAAGTGTGCTTGGAGTCCTCCAAGAATTAGCAAGGAGGCTAGAAATGCTAGAGCTGACTAAGAGTAGCTGTGGTAGCAGATGGACTCAGAAGCAATGGTGGGCCAGATGTCATAATGCTTTATAGGCCATGTTAATGACTTTGGTTATATTCTAAATGAGATGGGAAGCTACTAAAAGGATTTTGAGCAGAGGAGTTTACATAATCAGCTCTAGAAAGACCACCTTGAGGGTTAGGGGTGCAGGGACAGAGAGATCAGTAAAGATACTATTGAAATACTTCAAAAAAGAGATGATTATGGCTTGGACCAAAGTGGTAGCAGTGAAAGAGTTGTAGACACAGTGCAATTCTGAACGTATTTTCAATGCAAAATTTGCTAATGGATTAGATGAGAAAGAGAGGCGTCAGAGACGATTGTAAGATCTATAAGAACTGAGGGCCATTTACTAAGATGAGGAAGGGTATGACAGATGCAAGTTTTAGGGAAGAGGGAAATAAAGTGTTTAGTTTTGGACATACTATGTTTGAGATGCCTTTTTGACATCCAAATAGAGATATTAATTAGGCAGTAGAACATATGAATCTGGAATCAGGGGAAAGGAGATAGAGCTGGAGATAGAAAATTAAATCTTTTTAACCTATTGATGAAATTGAAAACCATGGAACTGGATGAAATCTGAGTATGCATGTGTTTAGAAAAGAGATTAGCAGGGTTAAATCTTAGATACTTCAACCTGTAGAGGTTGGGACAACTCAGATCAAATAAAAAAGCTAAAGAAGGATCGGCCAGTTCATGGAAGAAAGAAGAGGAGGAAGAAGAGAAAGTGGTGTCCTAGAAGTCAAAGGAGAGTGGCCCAAGCAGCAAAGAGCAATTAACTATATCAGATGGTGCTGTTAGTTCAAGACTAACCCCAAACAGGAATTGATTATCAGTGGAGGTAGAGCAGATGGAAAGGTTAGTGGATTGGAAGTCTTTTGTATTAAGACTGCTAACTTGTACTACATATATGGAAGACAACAGTACAGGTGGTTCAGGAACAACTTGAACACTGTAGAGGCACAGAAACAGGAAAATGTAAGAAATATCTGTGAAGGACAACTCGGGAAGTGAGCTGATGATTGGAGTCTATAGGGGAGAATTCCTGGACAAGAAAAACCAGGGCCAAGTACAGTAAGTCCCCACTTAATGTTGTCGGTAGTTCTTGGAAACTGCAGCCTTAAGCGAAACAAAGTACAGCAGGTCTTCTAGTAATGTCATTTCATTCAAGGTCACTTCCTTATAACATTGATGAGGAAAATAAACCCAACAACTTGGTGTCATTATACTTAGTTTTGCCTAAAGTCACGGTTTCCAAGAACCTATTGACAACATTAAATGAGGGCTTACTAGAGTAGAAAACTAATGTGAGGAATTTGAGATTTATCTTAGGTCATAAGGAGCCTTGAAGTATTTTTGAGTATGATAGTGAATAATCCTGTCTGTGTTTCAGGGAGGTGATTCTGACAGTTGTGTAGACACTGGATTTGATGAGTAAAATAGAGCCAGGCCATGGAAGGTCTTCAAAACCATATGGGGAAACTTGGATTTGATCAGATAGGCAAAGGGAGCCACTTGTTAAATTCTTAAATAGAAAAAGACATGAAGACAGTGGTGTTTTGTCCTTTAAAATTAAACTGGAAGTGATTTACAAGATGGATTAAAGTGGTGACAGATTGGAAACTCTGCTGATTCCCCTGGCTTTTCCCCTGGAATTTTCCTTGCTGGTTTGTAAAATATCTTGTTTCTTTTTATAAGAGAGATTTAGCCCCAAATATGGAAAATCTGACTTTCTTTAATCTCTTCTTAGTGTTTTAGTTAAAGAGAGTTATCACAGAGAAAGCACAGGCAAGGCTTTACCTGGTAGTGTCTAGGTGGTAACAGGTGTAGACTTTGATTCTCACACATTTATCAAATATTTATTGAAGACTTTCCCATTTGGTGATCACAATATCGAGCTATGGGGAAACAAGGGAAGCCAGTCCCAGCCCACAAGGAGTTTACAATTTAGTCAGAGTAGCAAGTGTGTAAAATGTAAACTAGTCATAGCACCAAATGAGAGTGTCTAGGCAGAATACTCCTGGGAGTCTAGGGGAGGAAGTTCCTCGCTGTCAGAGAACGTTCGAGTTTCATGAAGAAGGCAACATTTGACTACCTCTACTTGAATAGATAGATGTTTGGCTGGCTAAGAAGAGGAGAAAGAATACTTCAGGCAGAGGGCAGAGCAGGCACACAGGCTTGGCCTTGAGGAAAAGCCTAGTGTGATTGGAGACTGTGAGGTTTTATGGCTAGAGGGCACAGCGTGCACTGTGTTGAGTGGCAGGACAAGAGTCTGCTGCACTGAGGGATCAGAGGGAAATTGTCAGAAGCCTGTGGACTGTGCCAAAGAGTCTGAATTCTATCCTGCAGGCCAGTGATCCTTAACATGATATTCCTGTTGACCCTTTTGACATCTTCCTTTGCCATGCTTCCCTCTGTGTCTCTTGTTCAAATTCAGATTATCAGCCATGACAGGGATAAAACAACAACCAAACCAACCTTGGGATCATCACCCATACAAACTAAATACTGCAATAGTCTTCCAAAGGGTCTCCCTGTCCTGGTCTTGCCTCTGTCCACACTGCTGTCTTGATTATCTAAATTAGATCTAACCCTTTTATGGGCTGAATTATATTCTCTCCACGTTCATATGTCAAAGTCACAACTTCCAGTACCTCAGAATGTAGCTGTATTTGGAAGTAGAGTCTTTAAAGAGGTGACTAAGTTAAAATGAGATTATTGGGGTGGGCTCTAATCCAATATAACTGATGTCCTAATAAGAAGAGGAGATTAGGACACAGATATGTACAGAGTAAAGACCATGTAACAACACAGGGAGAGATGGACATCTATAAGCCAAAGAGAGGCCTCGGAAGAAACAACCCTATCAACACCTTTATCTTGGACTTCCAGCCTCCGGAATTGTGATAAAATAAATTTCTGTTCTTAAACCCAACCAGTCTGTGGTAGTTGGTTATGGTGGCCCTAGCAATTTAATATACTCTGTCACTTCCAATTTTGTGTAATATAAAGTCAAAACTTCTTAGCCCATGAAATAAAGTTCTTCGGGACCTCATCTCTCCAGAACCCTACACCCCTTCCACAGTAAGCTCTGCTCAAGTAAGCCACCAAGTTTATTGTTTCTTCAATAAAGCTCCTTCAGTCTAAAATGCTCTTCTGTCCTCACCCTGTTGATCACCTTGTCATATTTTAAGATTTGGATGAAGCATCTTTTTATTCTCTATTTCCCATTAGCAAAACTTATCTAAAGTCGTCAGTCTCTTCTTCTACCACTCTCTACTGGCAACAAACTTTTATCTCAGAGCCTATAACATTATTATTACTTTTTTTTTTTTTTGAGATGGAGTTTCACTCTGTTGCCCAGGCTGGAGTGCAGTGGCACAATCACAGATCATTGCAGCCTGGGCCTCCTTGGGCTCAGGTGATCCTCCCACTCCAGCCTCCCGAGTAGCTGGGACTATAGGCACGTACCACCATACCCAGCTAATTTTTATATTCTTTGCAGAGAAGGAGTTTTGCCATATTGCCCAGGCTGGTCTCAAACTCCTGGGCTCAAGCGATCTGCCTGACTCGGTGTCTGAAAGTGCTAGGATTACAGGCGTGAGCCATGGCACCTGGCCTCAAAGCCTATAACATTTTAGTTTGCTTTTTTTGTTGTTGTTGTTTCCTCCTACTAAACATCTTCATAACAAAAGACTATGAATATCTGTTATTATAGTTCCAGTTCCCATCTCAGTACCTGGCACATAAAAGTTATTCAGTAGGCCAGACACGGTGGCTTATGCCTGTAATCCCAGCACTTTGGGAGGCCGAAGCGGGCAAATCACGAGGTCAGGAGTTTGAGACCAGCCTGGCCAACATGGTGAAACCCTGTCTCTACTAAAAATACAAAAATTAGCTGGGCATGGTGGCATGTGCCTGTAGTCCCAGCTACTCAGGAGGCTGAGGCAGGAGAATCGCTTGAACCCAGGAGGTGGAGGTTGCAGGACCCGAGATCGTGCCACTGCACTCCAGCCTGGGTGACAGAACAAGACTCTGTCTCCAAAAAAAAAAAAAAAAAAAGTATTTAATAAATGTAAATGCTCTAGAAATAAATGAATGTGCACAAAACCTGGATATCTAGAACTATGTGTTCTTGAAAGAAATTGGCTTATGTTTTGGGATAGTCTAATGAATACCTGCCACTACTGTGGTGCACATATTTTAGCAATCAGAATGTTCATATCTGCTGATTCCATATATCTCAGATATTTCTAAATAGTCTTAACATTTTAATCAAATAACCTTTCCTGTATACTACATGCAGATGCCTATTACAATTCAATGTCTGCCTTCTTTCGTTATATTTCCAGCTCATTTAGTCAACACACATTTTCTTCATCCCTCTTCTGAGCCAGACACAGTGCTAGATTCTGAGGGTAAAACAAAACAAAACAAAAATGACTAAAATACTGTTCCTATGTAAAGGAACTCACTGGTTGGTAGAAGGGACAGATAGGTCAAAACTTAGAATTCTGCTGCAGTGTGATAAGTACAACCATAGAGATGGGTTATGAACTATTAATGGAGTAGTTTAATTAGATTAAAATATATACGTATCTTACATCTAAGTGTTTTCTATGTCTTTTTGTAAAATAATTATTGTTTCTTGGAGTATGTATCTTCAGAAGATGACTTTTTCCTGACCTTATTCTCTTGCTCTTGAGGGACCTTATTGGAACTTCCTATGATTACACCTAATGCCTGTGTGAGAATTTCCAGAAGCCTCAATCCTGCTGTCATCCTCATTAAAGAATCACCTGGAGAGAAGATGCCTTTGGAGAACTTTAATCCCCTTCTTTCTTCACTTACCACCTCATATAAAGCTAGGATTGACAGTCAATTTTACTCTATTTCTGAGGCCTCGTAATATGTGAAGTGAAGGATATTGGGAAAGGGGAACTGTCACTGTTCTTTCTCATCTGTCCCCAACACTAGGCCCTGGAATGTGGCTACCCCATTCTTTGGGGGAAGGTAGCAATTTCCAGTAATTGGGAGTATCTCAGAGGAATCTAAAAGAATTGTGGTAAAGCTAGAAGAGTTGACAAGCTAATATAAACCACTAGCCAGTTCAGAACATAATTAAAATACCTATGTATTTGTTTAAATACTTCTAATTTTGTGTGTCTCTTGTAGAATATTCTGTCTGTGTTATCCGTCTTTAAAAATTCCTGCAGTATAGATAAACACTCCCTGCCTGATTACCAGACCAAGTGGTTGGTGATTGTGCTTACTGATAGAAATACAGTGATACTGGAATGCAGCATAGATTTCTAATAATGACAGTTACCCACTGAATGCATTCTCTTGGCTAATAGACAGTTTGAATTATCTGGCCAAAAATCTTATTTAGCATTTATTTAAAATATTTGGTGTGAAAAATACAGGCTCTTTAAGAAAGTAATTTTAAAATAAAATTGTCATGTTACATTAAGTCATGTATCTCAAGCCAATGCTATAATTAACTGACTATGAGGGAATTAAGCTAGTATTGCATGCAAGTCAAGTTACTGATCTAGCCAAAAAATAAAAAGTAAATATTGAGATGATGTAGGGAGCCAGGCAGATATTCAGCCTGGAATTCAAACAGGAAAACAGGGTTTTCCAGGGACTTCAGAGGCCCAAGGCAGAAGAGTTAACCAACGAGAACAGTAATACTGTTCAAAGTTAAGGTATGCCCTTTGTCATGTTGTATTTACTTACCTGTTTACCCATCTGTCCCTTCCACTAAACTATGAGTTCTACAAGGTCTGGAATTAGGTGTATTTATAACTATACCCCATGTACCTTTTGGAAGGAATAAAGAAAAAGGAAAGGAGGCCTGTAGTTAGTTCACAGAAGAACAACTGGGATTCATGGGTGCTTGAATATTTTAACATTATATCAAACTAACCTGATAATGTGAGGCTATGAATATGGTTAGAGAAGTCTTCCCTGACTTTCCTATGTAGAATGGCTCCCCCAGTTTCTCATCACCTTCTTGTCATGTGACAAGAACTAAGTGAAGCCACAGAGATACAAAGATGCCTAAGACGATGGTTTTAAGGCAGCGGCAGATACAAAGCAGAGCTCTGTCTGTAGCTGCTGGAAAAGGTTTATCTAGACTACTAGCTTCACTAATAGTCTTTATCTCTTCATGTCTTTTTTATTTTAAAAATATTGCTTTTCTAATTTTTTTAAATTTCCTTTTTCACTTCCCTTCTTTTTTTTTTTTTTTTTTTTAAGATGGAGTCTTGCTCTGTCACCCAGTGCAGTGGGGGACTCTCAGCTCACTGCAACCTCCACCTCCTGGGCTCAAGCAGTTCTCCTGCCTTAGCCTCCCAAGTAGCTTGGTCTACAGGTGTGTGCCACGTAGCCCAGCTAATTTATGTTTTTCCAGAAGAGACAAGGTTTCTCTATGTTGGCCAGGCTGGTTTTGAACTCCTGACCTCAAGTGATCTGCCCGTCTCAGCCTCCCAAAGTGCTGGGATTACAGGCGTGAGCCACCGTGCCTGGCCAATTCCTATTTCTTTTAAGGCATTATCTCTTGTGTTTATTTTCTCTGGTATTCCTTTTCATTTCATCTTTGTGTTGGAAATGTTTTTCCTTTTATCTCTAATTCTTTTGTCGTTTTGTCCCCTCAGTACTGAGCTTTTCTGATTGTAACTTATAAGTTACCCAGTGAACACATTCTTCCACAAAACACCATTATTCAAAACCTTGAATAATTTTCCTAATGTTCTTAGACTTGTTTTAACGTGTGAAGTTACTATTTTGAGCTGTTTTGTGGGCACATCTTCCTGGCCTGCTTTCCTTGTCTGTAGATGTTTATTTGCTCCTTTTTTTTTTTTAAATAATAATTGTGTATGGGATTTTCCCTCCGTACTCTCCTGGTGTTCAGTTCTAGTTTTTCCCACATTTTTACAATGGGATGGAATGGAGGAAATCTTTTCTGACTTTAAGAAGCTCCCACTTCTGTTGTTTTTGCATAGTGGTCAAAGCGTCAGTGGCTTGCTTTCTGGGATTTCCTGGCCCCGAGCCCTCTCCACTGGACCTTTACTTTTCTTTATCCCATTTATCCCAATGCTGCTTTGGATTGTTTGCAGCAGATTCTTGTCAGTGTGGGGCCATGTCCCAGATGGGAGTGAGCAGTGGCGAGTCACAGGTTTTGGAGTTACAGGCAGGCTGGACTGCTCCGGTGCCCACAGACTGCCAGCAGGAGCGCCACCCTGGCTAAGAGGACAATGTGCTGTCTCCTATCTGGCTGCTCTGAGCAGTGGCCTGCAAGCCCACAGCTGCTGAGGCTCCTGCCTGCACCTGCTCTCACCTGCTGGCAGTGATCTCAGTCCTCAGCTTCATGGCTACCTTCTTCCTCCCGCACAGAACCTGACAGTCTGTGACTGTTGAGGGGTTACCACCACCTGCTTGTATTTTGAGGTCCCCTAGCTTTATTGTAAATGTTGCTTAGGTGTTTTGGCTTTGCCATCTAGTTGCTGTGTGTGTGTGTGTGTGTGTGTGTGTGTGTGTGTGTGTGTGTGTGTGTGGTGTGTGTGTAGGAATTCAGAGATTGACAATTTGGGCCACCGCCATCTCCCCCAAATACCAGTCAACTGCTTTTAAAACTAGGACAAACTAGAAATGAGCATTTATGACCTTCCAGAAAGGCTCTTTGAATTAAAGAACAGTCCTAAATATTTATCAAATGTATTTTCCCATGTCCCTATCAGCACCCACTATTCAGCCACTTATTGTTTTCCTAACCAGTTCAGCTGTGTTCCGTTTACTCCCACCCCTCACTCACAGTTTAAGTAACCTTTCTAGTATGCAAATACGACTATGTCACTTGTATTCCTACTGATTCAATCCTAAGTTCTTTGGCAGGGCATCCAAGGTCCCCATGACTGGGGTCTTTCTCCCTCTTTGCTCTGATGTCCCGTCACTTAGCCTTCAAACTCTGTACATTAATAATACTGGTCTGCTTGCAATCATGTACATACATGATGTTCTTTCAAGCCTCAGTGCTTCTGTGTGTCTTATTGTGTCTGCCTGGATTGTATTTCCCACTTTTCTTCTTCTGGCTAATTCTTACTGGACTTCCCAGGCTTCACTGCCCTTCTCTGAGTTCCCACAGCATCTTGTACTTATCTTTATTCTGTCATTTACCAAGTAAGATATATGTTATATGCTAAAGTGTCTATTTCCTCTACTTGGCAGTAAACTAGGGTCCATATGTTACTCATCCATGTGCCCCAGCATCAAACACAGTGTCTTGCACATAGATAGTTTTAATATCTTCACTGCTTCTTGCTTCTACCTGTCCTTTCTGAGTCATTTTACCTCTCTTGGTATTTCAGCTATGCCCCATTTCATCTACTGCCATGGTATATTAAAAGAGAAAAATATCAGTGCTGATGACTCCCAAATTCCTCTTTCTGACTCAAGCACCTCATCTGAGCTCCAGATCATTTATTCAACTTATTCGTTAACATCTGCAATTGCATGTCTCCCAGGAATCCAAAATCAAGGTCCAGCCCTCCACTAGTGTTCCCTTTCTTGATCAATGGCACCCTGTTGATCATGCCAGAAGACAAAAGTCATGCTAACTCATTGTGTTTTTTTTAATTGCCAAGCATCAGCTTTCGTTAATTCCACCTTCCAAGTTTATCTCAGATTTATTGTTTTCTCACCTTTTCCAGTCACTGCACCAGTTGAAGCCATATCATCTCTCACCTGAAGCCACTGCAAATAGATTCCTAACTATATCCCTGTTTCCACTCTTGACTTTCTCTAATCAATTTACACACGATAGACAAAATTACCCTTTGAAAATGAAAACCTGATTATATTATCCTCTGCTTAAAACCAATCAATGGCTTTTTGTTGTTCTTAGCATGAAACCTGAAAATCCTTAAATTGGCCTGTAAGTTCCTGTTCTTCCTTTTGTGCACGGGCTTTCTTTAATTTCCTTAAATTTAAACAGCTCCTTCCAATCATCCAGTTATGCTGTTTCCTCTGCCTAGATTCTCCTCTCCATCCTCCTTCATCCTCACTGGGGCAAACTCCTATTCTAGCTTTGAAATGGTAACAATTTTTCTTTTTATATTATTTGTTGCATCCCTAAGCACAGTTCCGTTTTGCTTGTTTGTGAACTTTACATAAATGAAAACACACTGTATCCGTCCTTTTGTGACTTGGATTTTATGTTCAACATTATGTGTAAAGGATTCATTCATGTTGCTGAGTGTATTGTTTGTTCATTTTCACTGCTTTATAATATTTCACATTTCCACAAAATCTATTTTAGACTCGATGAAGTTTAGGGTTTCTAGTTTTGGGCTATACTGAGCTATGAATGATGCTGCTATGAACCTTCTACAAATATTCTAGTCTACCCATGCACCCATTTTTTCAGGTATATACCTATGAACTTTGGCAGTTAATACCAAACTGCTCTCTAAAGTGGGCATTCAAGATTACACTCTTCTCAGGAGTATATAAGAGTTATTGTTGCTGTATATCCTTGCTGACACTTTTTAATTCATGGCAATCTGATGGAAGTATATGTTGCATACACTTTTTTATTGTAAATTAGTGTTATATAAAATACTAATATGGTGATATATGGTTGATTAGTTCCAAAAGATGACCACAACAATTCTTCTTACCTCAGTCTCCTTCTGCAATGTGAATCTGTAGCTTCTTCATTAAAAAGTAGAGTCTACTTCTCTTCCCCCTAAATATGGGCTGGCCCCATGACTTGCTTTGACTTCTAGGTCTGGGTCTTCAGAAGCCTAGCAGCTTCTAAGTTTATTTTCATGGAATCCAGCTGCCCTATAGATAAGTTCAGGCTAGACTACTGAATTATGACAGTCTATGCAGAGTGAGGCCAAGTCATCTCCCAGCTCTTCCAACCATCCCAGCTGATGTGGGTTGGATCTGTGTCCCTTCCTAAGTCTCATGTTGAATTGTAATCCCCAGTGTAGGAGGTGGGGCCTGGTGGGAGGTGATTGGATTATGGGGGCAGAGTTCTCATGAACAGTTTTGCACCATTACCCCCTTGATACTGAATAGTAAGTGAGTTCTCATGAGATCTGGTTGTTAAAAGTGGGTAGCACCTCCCCTGCCACCTTCCTCCTGCTCTCAGCCATGTGAAGTACCAGCTTTCTCTTCACTTTCTGCCATGATTGTAAGTTTCCTGAGGTCTCCTTAGAAGCCAAAGCTGCTATGCTTCCTGTACAGCCTGCAGAACTGTGGGCCAACTCTTTTCTTTGTAAAATTACCCAGTCTCAGGTATTTATTTACAGCAGTGCAACAACTGACTAATATACCAGCTAAGATGCCAGATATATGAGTGAAGTCATCTTAGACAACCAGCCTCGGTTGAGCCTTCAGCCGAATGCAGCTGCATGAGTGACCCCAGTCAACATCATGCAGTGACATAATATATGGCTGTTATTTTTTTTCTTTATTACCACTCCCTTAGAACAGCATGAAGGCTGTGATTCTAAAGCCACAGAGTTGTAGAAATTTTATTATACAGCAATAGGTCGTTGAATCACAATATATAAAAAGCCTTAAAAATCCTTATATCCCTTGTATCAGTTTCCTTTAAAAAAGAATCTATCTTAAAGATATATTCAAAATATTATCTTTAAGTGAGTACAAAAATATTCCCTGTAGTGTTATTTACTTTTAAAATATATATATAGAGAGAGATGGGGTCTCACTTTACTGCCCAGGCTGGTCTCAAACTCTTGGGCTCAAGTGATCCTCCCACCTTAGTCTCCCAAAGTTCTGGGACTACAACCATGAGCCACCACACCCAGCCTACATCTTTTTTTTTTTTTGACACGGAGTTTTGCTCTTGCCACCCAGGCTGGAGTGCAGTGGTGCAATCTCAGCTCACTGCAACCTCTGCCTCTTGAGTTCAAGCGATTCTCCTGCCTCAGCCTCCTGAGTAGCTGGGATTACAGTCACCCACCACCATGCCCAGCTAATTTTTGTATTTTTAGTAGAGACAGGGTTTCACCATGTTGGCCAGGTTGGTCTGGAACTCCTGACCTCTTTTCAAAGTGGAAATAACCTCTAAATTTAAAAATTGTAAAAGGTTGTTAATAAAATAAATTATGAGGCTGAGCATGGTGGCTCACACCTGTAATACCAGCACCTTGGGAGGCCAAGGTGGTGGATGGATCACTTGAGGCCAGGAGTTTGAGATCAGCCTGGCCAACATGACGAAACCCTGTCTCTACTAAAAATACAAAAAAAAAAAAAAAATTAGCCGGCCATGGTGGTGCACATCTGTAATTTCAGCTACTCAGGAGGGTGAGGCATGAGAATCACTTGAACCTGGAAGGCAGAGGTTGCAGTGAACCAAGATTGCACCATTGTACTCCAGCCTAGGTGCCAGAATGAGACTGTCTCAAAAAAATAAAAATAAATAAATAAATAAATTATGATGCATTCATGAGATAGAACACTATACAGACAAAACTACATTGAAAGGATTTTAATGACATTGGAAACTGCTGAAGAAAAATATCAGGTGGTAATGAATCTATCTATCTTTCTACCTTCATTTCATTCCTGACTTGTTTAAAAAATTGTACATAGAAAAAGACTAAAATTAAATGGAAAAAAATAAACACATTAACAATGGTTTGATGGTTTGATTTAATTTTTCCCATTCTTTGAAAGTTTTTTACAGAGACCATATGTTGCTTATATATACAGAAAAGAAGCTAAGGTTGTTTTTTGGAGTACAGTCATATACCACATAATGATGGTTTGGTCAGTGACAAACCCACATATACTATATCATGGTCTCCTAAGATTATAGTACATATTTTTACTGTACTTTTTCTATGTTTAGATACACAGATACTTACCATTGTGTTACAACTGCCTGCAGTATTCAGTACAGTAACATGCTGTGTGGGTTTGTAGCCTAGGAGCAATAGGCTATACCATCTAGCATAAGTGTGTGGTAGGCTATACCATCTAGGTTTGTGTGAGTACACACTGATGTTAGCACAGTGATGAACTAGCCTAAGGACACATTTCTCAGAACATATCTCATCTCCTCATTGTTAAGTGACAGAAGACTGTAGTAGAAAATCTGCAGTTAAATTTGACATGCTCTGGCAGAAAAAAATGCCTCTACAGTTGAAATCACACAGGCTGTAGTACTCTACTTCCCCTGGTGGCAATCGGTTCAAATTTCAGGAGCAGACCTGAAGGCTTGATAGCTCAGATTTTTCAAAGTTGAACAATATAGCGTTTCTATCTCTTAATTTATCAGAATTAATAAGAAAAAAAGGCCATACTATTTTACTGTTAGAATTATTTTGTAAAGCAAAGAGCATTTGAAAGTCCTGAAGGTAGGAAGAACATAATCTGAAAATAAATGACAATCCTTTAGATACATCTAACTTTATGAATAAATAACTTTATGAAAAATATGGTCTTATTAATTTTCATTTTTCTATGGACTGGTGGAAACTTCATTTGGGAAACTCTGGCTCAAAGAAAGAAAAAACAATGCTAAAAGTTAAAATTACACAGGGATAGCAAATGTCATATATATTCTTCCTTGGTAGGAAAGCACCTAGGTTTCCCAATAAATTATCTTTAAAGTAGAGAGTAATAGAACTTCTAGAGCCATTGAGTTAAGTTAGGTTTCTTTCTAGGGCAGAGTTTCTCTAAGTGGAAGTGCTTATTAAATAATCGGTCTCAGGGACCCTACCCTAGACCCACCGATATTGAACCTCTGGGATTGTGACCTAGGAATCTAGATTTTTAACAACATCCTCAGGAGAGTCTTACACACTTAAACTTGGAAACATTGTCTTTGAGGGGTTCTCTATCTTGATCTGGTTGGCGGTTACATGGCTGTAGACTATGGAAAGATTTATCAAGATGTACACTTGTGTACTTTACATAAATGACACCTCATTAAAAAGCAAAAAGAAACAAAAAATGCTAGGAATTACATAATGCTTTAACAAAACAAGTAAACTTATTGTTTTGAAATTTTTAATTAACATTTGTGGCCATAATTTATATATTTCTGTTGTACTGAAGCAGATTGTTTTGCATTTTTGTTAGCAAACTTCGGCAGTGGTCATTTTAGAAACAATCTTGTACATACTTTTGATTAAAACACTTGATTTTGTTAGTGAAAAAAGAATTCTAATTTATAGCCAAGAATTTTTGGCCACTATTTTTTTTCTTGGATATAGATAACATTTATTATTTTACATTTTAAAAAATTTATATTACTTTAGGAGGTTGATGAGTCAAGTAAATGGTACTTTGAACACCCTGTTGTCTTTGTTTTGTGGCAGTGAAGAAATGAAAATTTCTGTAAAAAGAAAGAGAGGAAAGAAGGAAGGAAGGGTGGGAGCTGGAAGGAGAAAGGGAGGGAGAAAAGAAGGAAGAAAAACAAGGAAAAACAGAAGGAAAGAAAATGGAAGCAACCATTGCCCCAAGGACAAACTATTCCTGCCCACCCTCTCAAAACTAATCCCCTCAAATAGCCCAAGACGTTTCATATGTTTTTATCCTTAGTTACATCTCCAGCTATTTATTCTTTGATTCCCATCTAGAACAGCCTCTAGCTATTGTAACACTTTATGTTTGAATATATTTTGTCATTGTTTCCATTAGTGTGTCTGTACAAACTTTTTTTTTTTTTTTTAAATATGACTGTTACTCCATTGAAAAGAGAAGAGCAGGATTCACTGTAAGGGGCAGAGAATCTGTGGCCTCTCATTTTGATCCCTGATTTATCACACACCTTCACAGTTTTACCAGTGTCAGAAGGAGGCCTGTTTTCTCCTGGAATGCTACATTCTTTGGGGATGAAGTGTTTTGAGTCTTTAGCACTGCATTGGAGTGTCTCTGGAGTGTTTAGCATCTGGATACAGCCGTCATCACAGTAATGAGAGATAGAGCAGGCCAGAGCTGGCTCTGTCTGGAGGGAAAAACAGGATCAACACCAAATCTACCATGGCTCTTTCCGTTGTTACAAAAATAATGGATCAATAAGGCATCTCTGTGAAATACTTATTCCATCACCCAATCTATTGTTTACACATAGTTAGAAAGTGAGTCTAATAGTTAATGACATTACTATAAAATTTCAGGAGATTATCAACCATAATTTTCAGGAGATTAATAACCATAACAACAGTTGCAGTCTGTTTTTGTAAACTCTGTTTTCCTCATACAAATGTAATATCTTTCTCTTTTTCAATAATAGTACTAATAATATTAGAAGGACTTCTGAAATATAACAAATGGCCCATGTTTGCTCAAATAGTCTTTCGTTAGTATCACCGAGAGACAAAATTCTATGCTAGATAGATCATCTGATGTATTTTGTATGTATAAAAAATTTGCATAGCTTTTATTATAAAAATCACACACGTATGTAATAAAAAGATAAGCTGAAAAGATCATAATTAAAGTCTCTGGTGGAACAGCCACTTAGAGATAATCACTAATACCAACTTACAATAGAGGTATGTTCTGATAAAGCCATCATAAGTCAAAAATATCATAAATCAAAAATGCAACTAATATCCCAATAAACCCATTGTAAAGTCAAAAAATCATAAGTTGAATCATTGTAAGTCAGTGGCCATCTGTATTTGTAGAGATACATCAAGAGTGAGATAGATCATTGCATTTATTTAGCACAAACTATGACCAGACCTTGTGTTATGAATACTAGCTCATCTAGGTATTACTGTTATAAACACTATTTTTACAGAGGAGAAAGCCAAGAAACAAAGTTAAATAATGTATCCAAGGTCATAACACTAGTAGATGGTAGAGCTAGAATTTGAGGCCAAGCAGTCTGACTTTGAAGTTTTTATTCTTAATCAATTGCTAGGGTTACAATTACATATATATGTGTATATAATTTTTTTGAGACAGGGTCTCGCTCTGTTGCCCAGGCTAGAGTACAGTGACACAGTTTTGGCTCACTGCAGCCTCAACCTCCTGGGCTGGAGTCATTCTACCTCAGCCCCACAAAAAGCTGGGACTACAGGTGTGCACCACCATGCCTGGCTAATTTTAAAAAATATATTTTTGTAGAGATGGGGTCCTGCTATGTTGCCCATGCTGATCTTGAACTCCGGAGCTCAAGTAATCCTCCTGCCATGGCCCTCTAAAATGCTGGGATTATAGCCATGAGCTACTGTGCCCAGCCATCAGCATATTTTTAAACAGCTTTATTGAGGTATAATTGATATAATAAACTGCACATATTTAAAATGTACAATTTAGTAAATTTCAAAAACTATTTTTCAGTGTACATTCCAATAGTGTTCAATATATTCATATTGTTGTGTAACACATATTCAGAACTTTTCATCTTGCAGAACTGAAACTCTACCCATTAGACAGTAACAATCCATTTCTCCCTCCCCTCAGCTTCTGGCAACCACCATTCTACTTTTTGTTTCTATGAATTGACTATTTTAGATAGTGGAATCATACAGTATTTGTGATGTTGTTACTAGCTTATTTCATTTAGCAGAATGTCCCCAAGGTTCATCCATGTTGTAGTATGTGTCAGAACCTCTTTCCTTTTTTTAAGGCTGAATAATATTCCATTGCGTGTATACCACAATTTGCTTATCCATTCATCTATCAATGAACAATGGGTTTCTTCCATCTCTTGGCTATTGTGAATAATGCTGCAATTAACATGGGTGTGCACCTATCTCTTTCAGATCCAGCTTTGAATTCTTTTGGAAATACATCAAAAAATGAAATCACTGCATTATACTATAATTTTATTTTTAATTTTTTGAGGAACTGCCGTATTGTTTCCATGGTGACCATATCATCTTACATTATTACAGACAGTGCACAGAGGTTCCGATTTCTTCACATCCTTGTCAATATTTATTATTTTCTGGGTATTTTTTTTTTTTTGGATGGTAGACATCCAAATGGGTGTGAGGTGATGTCTTATTGTGGTTTTAATTGGTGTTTCTCTGATGATTAGTGATATTGAACATCTTTTCATATGCTTGTTGGTCATTTTTATATCATCTTTGGTATATGTGCTGCCAAAGTGAGCACTGTATATCATCTTTGGAGAAATGTCTGTCCAAGTCCTTTGCCCATTTTTTAATCAGGCTATTTTGTTGTTGTTGTTGAGTTGTAGAAGTTCTTTATGTATCCTGGATATTAACCCTTCCAATATATCTTTTTAAACAAATGGAATTACACTTTGCAGGCTGTTTAGCAAACTATTTTTTCATTTTATATATGTTGAATATATTATTTTATATTATTTTGCTACAGGATTTATATTCTGTCATATCTATAGTATACTTTTTAATGCTTTCTCTATTGTAGACACTTTTACTTTTGCTATTATAAATAAAATTATACTGATCATATTTATTAATTTTATGGATAATTTCTGTATTAGCTTCCTGAGGCTGTTGTAACAAAGTACCACAAATTTGGTGGGTAGAAACAATAGAAATTTATTTTCTCACAGCTCTGGAGGCTATAAATCTGAAATCTAGGAGGGCCACACTAATCCAGGGACTCAAGTAAAGATAATGTTCCTTGGATTTTCAAGCTTCTGATGGCTGTTGGCATTCCTTGACTTGTGGATGCATTTCCTCCCTGTTCATTGCTTCCTGCTCATTTGTCTGTGTGTTCTCCCACTGCCTCTGTCTTATAAGGACAGTTGTCATTGGGTTTAGGACCCACGCAGATAATCAAGGATGATCTCATCATCCCAAGATCCTTAATTATATCTTCTTCAAAGACCCTTGTTCCTTATAAAGTAACATTCACAAATTCCTGGGGTTGGAACATGGACATGTCTTTTAGGGGAACACAATTCAGTCCACTACAGTTTTATGAAGATAAATTCCTAAAATTAGAATGGTTAGTTCATGGTATGTAAAATTTAAACATTTTAAGATAAGTATTTCAGAATTGTGCTCCAAAATGACTTTGAATTTTTAATGTTCTTAAACACATGTGTGTATTGTGTCTTCATGCATAGACACCATGCAATAACGTATATGTGTGTTGTGTGTGCATGCATAGACACCACACAATACATATGTGTGTGTTGTGTGTGCATGCATAGACACCGTGCAGTAACATAGGTGCACCCCATAAAATAAAAAAAGGAAAGCAAAGAGAAAGTTGGAGTTAGGGAGAAATGAGAAAAACAATGGTAGGGACCACTCAGAGGTGCCCTTGATAATCTTAAGTACTATCAGTAGCTGTTTCAATAAAACATACTTTATTGGTCTATGTCCAGAAAAATGGCCAAACTTGTGTTTTGATCTATTTGCTTATGTCTGTCTTGTTTCTCTCTAGAAATATGTTTCATTTTTCAAATCTTTGCATTTTGGTGTAAAAAGTTAATCTTCAATTTTGACCAATGAACATTTCCATGAAAAAAAAAAAACTTTTTATTCCACTTTCTTCATTTGTCACATAATCTTTGATGTATGGATTTGTGAACTTTTAAAAAATGATTTCATGAATAAGATCAGAAAAGCTTTATACATACGTACGTATGTATGTATTTTGTTGGGAGGTAGAAAACCACCAGTATGGAGTATTTCTTTTATTAAACATAGTTGAAAAGTTCACCAAAAAGGAGCTTTGTTCCAGGATAAAAGTCATTTTCAAGAGCATTTAGGTAATAAATCATGTGGAATTGTATTTTCAATACTTTATCATGAATAGCAATCAATCACTGGTTTCTTGATAGAGGGTTACTTTTTGTAATCAACTTACAGAGCTCATTACCCATTGAGTGTGAGTTCCTTCAAAAGTGGAAGCAATGCACTTATTCCAGCAATGTGATCATTGCTCAAAACTCATTTTTAAACTTGCCTTAAAACTAACTGCTTTTAAATGGAGCATTAAAGAGTCTCAAAAATAAATCAATTTCATTTATCTGATAAACTCACCTAGTTTTTATTCCATAATGTACATTTATTTTTCAGTTTGACCATTCATTGACTTGACTTTGAATAACTTCTATTTGGTTCCAAAAATCAAGTCTACCTTTGTGGAAAAATAATTTGCCACCAGAGGAGGATACTCAAAAGAATATGCTGCTATATTTTCTAAAAACAATTTAAGCTACAATATTATCATCAGAATAACCTCACCTGGGGAGGTTACTTTGAGAGACAGAATACTCAGAAGTGTTATTTGTGGTATGTTTTTACTAATATCCTGACACAATACTATGACGTAACACAATAGAATCATAAGAAAATAGATTTAATGAGGGACAAGCTACCCTTGGTGTTTTTCAAGTCAAATTTTACAAATAAAGAAAGAGGCAACTTAGGCAACCTAAGTAAGTTACAGAAGGCTAGCCATATTCTCAGTTGGTGATGGAGGTTACGGAGATCCAAGTCTTTTTTTTTTTTTTTTAATTTTAGGGCTTTTAAAAAACCCCTATAATATAGTGAGCTGAATTGGCAAGTGGCTAGCAAAGTTTAATCTGCAGATGTGCTCCTATTAGCTGGAAATTTTAAAATATGATTGTAAATACCTTTAGGTAGGGGGAATAATTCTTCACTTCATATTAGCAACAGGTTTTAGTCATGTCTGAAACATATGGCCCTTGGGTAAAGTTGTTAGATTTAGCAAATAAAAGTTTGAATTTCTGATAACACTTAATTTTTTACTCTGAATATGCTCCAAACATTGCATGGGATATACTCATACTCAAGCTATTCATCGTTCATTTGAAATTAAAATTTAACTGGGCATCATATATTTTATTTGGCAAACATAGCTTTGGAGGATATGAAGCATATATACTGCCATTTTGAATCCAGTCTACCAGCCAGATGTGGCAGAAATATTTACTATTCACTAAACAGGTTTAGGTTCTCCCACATTTTGCAGCTTCCTTAAAATTAGGCAGAGCCATATGACTAGTTCTGGCCAGTGCTATGGTTTTACAAATGCTGTTATGTCAGTTGACTAATATACTTAAAAGCCAAACACAATTCTCCAGGTCACTCATTGCCTGTTGCAGTGAACTAGAACCATGTGTTCAAGATGTTCTAGATTCAAGACCCAGCAGCCTTGGATCCCTGAAGAAAAGTTGGATCGAAGGTACTCAGAAGAACCACGGGACCTACAGCATACTTTGTGTGTGTTGGGAACAATCCTTTATTAGTTAATCCACTGAAATTTTAGGGTTGGTTCGTTCCTGCAGCTTGGCATAAACTATCCGGACTAACACACTGTATCATCACATGAATTAAATAAATTCTGTGAGTCTAACTTTGTTGTTGTTGTTGTTTAATCTTCATGGAATTGCCATCAACTTGTCAGATTTATTTGGAGGACTGAATGAGAATTACAAGTAAAAGTCTTCAGCATTCTGTCTGCTGCCTGGTAGGTTGCAGCAAATGAGACCAATATTTAATGATAACATGTCCATTATGAGTATTATTTTAATTATTATAGCAATCTTATGAAATTGGTGTTATTATCTTTTCCATTTTATAACTTTCCGTATAAATTTTATAAGGAAAATGAAGCTTGGAGTGGTTAATAAATTTGCCCAACATCATTTCACAAAGCTCTTGTTAAAAATAGAGATAAGTCTCTATTCCAGAACAGTCTAACTCCAAAATCCCTATTTTCAAATCCATGCCACATACATATTTTCCTGTGACATACAGAAGCCTGTTTCTGTGTCATTCATTCATTTTTAACACAAATATGAATTCAGATGCAGTGGCTCACACCTGTAATCCCAGCTACTTGGGAGGCTGAAGCAGGATAAACCCTTGAGCCCAGGAGTTGGAGGCTGCAGTGAGCTATAATTGTACCACTGCACTCCAGCCTGGGCAACAGAGGGAGACCCTGTCTCTTAAAAAACAAACAAACATTTATATATATAGATTGATTGTTGACCTCATAAAATGCCATGTGTGTTAGTATGTTTTTGTGTTGCTAGAAAAGAATACCTGAGACTAGGTGATTTATAAAGAAAAGTGGTTTATTTTGGCTCATGGTTCAACTGGACTCTTGATGCGCCCCTAGTGGAAATGTTCTCCTTTGGAAAGCAGAATCTCTAGATCCACAGAACTCAAAGATCTATGCTACAATAATAAAGAAACCTTAAATTTCAGTGAAGATCAATCTTTAGGTCATTTAAACAATTAGCAGCCAAGAAGAGAAGAAAAAGGTAGAAAAGGAGACCAAAAAGGAAGTGGTCAGTTATGAGGAGGGAAAAAAAAGTGTGTAATGTTGCTGAAGCCAAAAGAAAAAAGCATTTCAAGAAATAGAGTTTGATCAATTATTATCAAATGCTGCTCCAAGAAAGGTACAATAAGTTAAGGAGTGAGAATAGACTACTAGATTCAATAAGAATTAATTAACTTGGCTGGGCACAGTTGCTCACATCTATAATCCTAGCACTTTGGGAAGCGGAGGCAAGAAGAAGACTTGAGGCCTGGAATTCAAGACCAGCCTGGCCAACACAGTGAGACCCCCATCTCTACAAAAAATAAATAAATTTAATTATCCAGGTATGGTGGTGTGCACCCATAGTCCCAGCTACTTGGGAGGCTGAGGTAGGTAGATTTCTTGAGCCCAGGAGTTGGAGGTTGCAGTGAGCTATGATTGTGCCACTGCACTCCAGCTGAAGAAATGATGTCCAGACACAGGGCTCATGCCTGTAATCCCAACACTCTGGGAGGAGGCAGGAGGGTTGTTTGAGCCCAGGAGTTCAAGACTAGCCTGGGCAACATAGCTAAGCCCTGTCTCTATTGAAAAAAAAAAAAAAAAAAAGAATTGATGGCCTTGAAGAATGTATTTTCAGTGGCGTGGAGGTGAAGAAAGACTAAAATAGAAGGAAAGAAAGTGAAGATGGCGAGTATGGATGCTTTTAAGATGTTTTTCTATAGATGGGAAGGAGAGGTAAAGAAGGTACCTTAAAGCAAAAGGCACAAAGGATTCCTTTTTAAGGTGGGAGATATTACGGAATGTTGATGGAAATAACCCAGTAGAGAGGAAATGACTAAAGCCGTTTGATTCTTTTTTTGTCATAGGTGTCTAACAAGAAGTTCTCAGTAAATGCTATTTACTCTGATTATTTTATGCCACTTTTAAAATCAGACCTTTATCATTATAAAATCACCTGCCCCCTTATCTTATTGATTTTTTTTATTTCTAGCAAGTTTCCAAGTATGTCTTCAATATACTTCAAATTTCAAATGTCTATGAATGTTGCTATGAAAAATAAGAAATAGGAAAGTTTACTGTTTCTTATGACCATGTGAAAATAAAGTTACATACATTGTTTTGGAGGGAAGGGGTTATGTAAGCCGGTTCGTAATTGAATAAAAACCTGTTATCCTCCACCCCTCCCCCGCAAATAGTTTAGAAGTATGATAACGTTTATTATTTGACGAGACTTTTGTCAGTAGTCAATACTAGAATGCCCTGTGGATGTGTAGGGCCACCAAGCCAAAGAAATAAAAAATACAAACAACCACAACACACAGAATAAAGAATATGTTCAGTGGAACTGTTGCAGAGCATGAAGCCCAAGTTGAGTGTTCAGATAAAAACTCTCCCTGTTTAAAAGTAACTGTGGTGACTGGGTAACTAATCAAGATGTCTGGGATTAGACCTATTAGTTTAGTGAACGTAGGACAAAGACAAAGGGATAGTATGGCATAGAGTTTTGTTATTTTGAGCAAAAGAGAAAAAAATGAACCTCTCATGAAATTGTTCAATTTGTGTGTGAGGAAAAGCCATGGCTATAACCAATCAGAGCCTTCGGCCAAGTGAAAGATTACAGAGAATTATTGTCAGATGCTGGAATTTTCCTTCCAGATAAATGACAACCCTGTACCTTGAAAATTTCAAGAGCAGTCTTCCAAAACCCCTATAAAATATTAAACTAATATACTTGCAATTTTAGTACAAATCAGGAAATGCAAAAATTACAGTACTCATAGTGATATTAACTGAGTTCACAGGGTGCACATCAGGACTTTTATTCCAAAGCAGCCCAGTTTGAGGAGTTAATATTTCTTTGGGGACTAAAATACTTGTATTTTCCATCTTCTCTGAATTAAGATTAGAAAATGAAAATGAGGGTTTACATACTGCGTTTAAAATATAATTTCTCAGCATTGCCAAGATGTTTGGCTGACCTCTGATTTTCTATCAATATTTAAGGGAAAGTATTAAATAGAAAATCATCTTGAAGCAAATTCAAAGAACATGTCATGTACTAGGGCTTTTATATGTTTTATATTTATAATGTAGTAATTTTATTTTGTGACTAGTTTCCATAACATGTTTCTATAAATTAAAAGGAGAAAAATATCTAATTTCTAAGGGCAAATCTCCAAGTTTTTCACTTTTTATGTGAAAACACTGAACAGAATTATGCAGATAACTTAACATTGAACTTACTAATTTTTCTCAGTAAAATTTTTCTCATGCCGTATTTATGTTTTAAATTGCCCAAATATTTTATATTGGCCTAAACATTTTGAAAAATATTCATATTGATTTGAAAGCTGATACAACACTTCTAAAAGTCATGATGGCACATCTTGCCAATGTGAAAATGGACATAAAAATATCTCTGGCCAGGTGCGGTGGCTCACACCTGTAATCCCAGCACTTTGGGAGGCCGAGGCTGGCGGATCACAAGGTTAGGAGATCAAGACCATCCTGGCTAACACAGTGAAACATTGTCTCTAGTAAAAATACAAAAAAAATTAGCCGGGCCTGGTGGCATGCGCCTGTAGTCCGAGCTACTTGGGAGGGTGAGGCAGGAGAATGGCGTGAACCAGGGAGGCGGAGCTCGCAATGAGCTTGCAATAAGCCACTGCACTCCAGCCTGGGTGACAGAGCAAGACTCTGTCTCAAAAAACAAAACAAAACAAAACAAAATCTGTAAATCCTACATTTTTCAACCAAGGAAAAAAAATACAGTCATCTTAAGAAATGTGGCAATCAACCAATATGGTTGTATCATACGGGGTCAGTTTGAGGAGCTCTGTGCAGCTCGCCTCAGCATTATCCACTCAAGGGATGGATGAGGGGGGACTCTTGCCCCTCATTGTGTTAACTCACTCACACTTCCAGGTTTGTGAGTGAGTCAAAATAGCTGAAAAGGTACCCACAGGTACTACAACAAAAATTCCCTGATGTAGAAAACAAGAAATTTTCACTGCAGTGGAGACAAGGTGCTGTCACATCATACTTTTGCACAACTGGTTGTCATAGCAACAGCTGGGCTAGAAGTACATTAACAGGATGTGAGGTAGGGCACAAGAGGTGTCTCAACACCCTCTCATGGCGAATTTTTAAAAAATAACATGGCATAACCATCAATAGATGTGGTTACCTGTAAATGAATAGTTAAGGTGACACAGGACCATGCAAGATTTATCAAGGTGACTATAAGTAAGAATGCCTAATTCCAATCAAATGCTGATTGATTAAAGAAAAGACAAAATATACTATACACTGCTGGTGGGAATATAAATTAGTTCAACCTCTATGGAAAACAGTGTGGAGATTTCTCAAAGAACTAAAAATAGAATTACCATTCAACCCAGCCATCCTACTACTGGGTATCCAGCCTAGGAAAATAAATCATTATATAATATAGACATTGGTCAGGCGCAGTGGCTCACCCCTGTAATCCCAGCACTTTGGGAGGCCAAGGCGCAGATCACCTGAGGTCAGGGGTTTGAGACCAGCCTGGCCAACATGGTAAAACCCCGTCTCTACTAAAAGTAAAAAAATTAGCCAGGACTGGTGGCAGGTGCCTGTAATCTCAGCTACTCGGGAGGCTAAGGCAGGAGAATCGCTTGAACCCAGGAGGCAGAGGTTGCAGTGAGCCAAGGTTTAAGCAATAACCCCAACTCTGCTCAGTGTTCTTCATCTCATGCTACTCAAATTCACCAAGGACCAGTATGTAAACCATGGTTCAACTTTAAAAATTCACAGAATGGAGGTTGGAGCGAACCCGGATTGCACCACTGCACTCTAGTGTGGGTGACAGAGCCAGAACATGTCACAAAAAAAAAAAAAAAAAAAGAAAAGAAAGAAAGAAGGAAGGAAAGGAAAAAAGATAAGATATAGATAAAGAATATATCCCACGTTTTCAATCATGCATATGGGCTCTGGTAAGAGGGAGGCAAAAGACTATAGAAGCTTGTGTACCTTCAGTGTAGTTACAAAACATTGCTTCCTGATAAACTGGTCAAATATCCAGTCTATTTAGCAGCATGGCCCTTAGTGAAGAGGGGTGCCAGGCAATTATAGCTGAAAGACATAAACTAGAAATACCATCTAACTAACTTTACCTACTCTGCTTCCTTTTCACCAAACAGCTTTGTGATTCTACTGAGGCTTCCTTATAAATTGGTGTGCATGGACTAAATGCCCTAATTTTTACAATGTGTAATTGTTTTCTTTATAGTCATATGTATCGTTGTTAATTTTTAAAGTTGAACCATGGTTTATATACTGGTCCTTTGTGAATTTGAGTAGTGTGAGATGAAGACGACTAAGCAGAGTTGGGGTTATTGCTTAAAAATATATCAAGCATGGCTATAACAAGGAAACCAAGATGGTATGACAAGAAGAGGGTTACATTAAGTTCTGGTAGGAAAAGGATCTGAGTGAAAGTTTCTAGTGGAATGATAAATAGCTTGGAAGGAGCAGAAAGTGTAGAGTGTGCTGATTCTTCTTCCTGGCTCTGTGGGCAAAGAGAAGGAGTTTAGGAGATAGTATGGCTTTCAATTAATGGGAGATAGAATGTTTGTGAAAAGGTTCAAGACTATGCTTGGTTATTTTGACAGTGAAAGGGGCTCTACGAAAGACTGCAGACCAAGTTATCCTAAATTTTCAATTGTAATGCGGGGTAATGGTGCCTTCTACTTTAGCAAAGTCGCTTCTCCAGGTTGGTGGTTTGGTTTGATCCATTACCAAAAGTCTTTGAAGATGAGTAATAAAGGTGATTGCAAAGCATTTGGTAAACATAAATTAATATAAAACTCAACATTAGCAACTTTCCAGCAAATGTATCTGAAGTAAGTGGTGTGTTTTGTGTAAAATTTCATAGAGTGGTTTCTTAATACATTAAAATGTTTTTCTCTTATTACTGATGCTTTCATAGTTGGCTTGATTCACTTGATATCGATGATCTACACTATAATAAAATTTAAGCAGAGAAACTTAATACAGTCTGAATTAGGAACCACAGCTTCACCGGGACTTAATGTATCATGTTGCAGCATAACATTCTAATATGCATAATTTCCTATATCTTGCATTGACTTTGGGGAGTACTTAAATATTCAGCCCAATTCTCTTTTAAGCTTTCGGAATACAGTTAACAACGTAATGTCCTGCATGCAGAAGGTAGAAAAGCTCCCCTCCATACCCATATTCTCCAGTAGAGCCAGAAAATGAAGCAACAACTCTGTGAAAATCTCTCTTGCAGAATTATTTCCAGCATATTTTGATTAGACACAAAAGGAAGAAGAAGCAACATTTTTTGACTATCTACTATGTGAGAGCCCTATTACTAGTATTTTAATACACTTCAATCATCAAAATATATCTCCAAGTGTAGATATTTATTATTCTTATTTCACTTTTAAGGAAATTAAGCTCAGAGATGTTGCCAAAGTTAGCACATCTGTGATGGAAGTGAGAATGGAATACAGTTCTGTCTTCAATCTGTTCATATACTTGAATCTATCTAAAATCTACAAAGGCAGGAGAGATCTGTCTGAGAATCCCATAATGGGTATTTTAAAAGCATTATTTCCTCATCAGACAATTTCAGTGCTGTCAAAGTAGACATGAATTTAAGAAAGGACAAAATCTACACAACCTCGTTAAAGGCAAGAAGAGTGTTATCAGGCCAGTCTTTGCTTTCTTGCTTGCTTTTTTTCTTCATAATAAAGTATCAAGCAACAGTCTTTGCTTTCTTACTGACAACAGTTACGTTTCAGGACCCAAGCTCTGATATGTTCCCTGACTATAAACTCCTGAGTGCCAGAGGCCATGACCTTGACTTCCCATATTCAATTTATTTCTGGCTGCAAAAAAATCGTGCCCAGAGTCAAGCCATGGTAATATGTAATAACGTTATGTTTCAGTTGGTTAATTTTTGCTTCCTTTAAACACTGAAGACTCAAGCACCAAATTGTTTCAATTATTTAAAAAATAAACCAATGCTCAGGTTAGTACAGTTCTTTATTTATTTGATACGAATAAATGAAGAAACTGTTGGCAGTTGCTCACTTCGACAGTGAATAGGGTTTGGCTTGTTGACTGAGTGGCGAAGGATTTGGATATGAATATTTTCAGTTGGCAGTAAGGAGGAGAAAGAATTTTCTATTTTCTTTTTGACATTGTGAGTATAAGAAATGCTTTGTGCTGTTATCCTGACAACCTTACAAATCAAAATAAGAAAGAAATGGTAACCTACAGCTTTCAGTGGAAGATAATAAGTGGGGGAAAAGACAAGTATATTTTCATTCTCAAAAGGGTAAAATCTGTCAGTAGGAGGAAGAGGAACTCTCATTTTGAGGTTAAAGTATAAAATATTAACTTCAAATAGCTTCACATGCAGACAGATTAGCATTCACTCTAACTTCATGAGGGAGTTAATAAATACATGTGAAAATGAAGATAACAACTTCAAATAAATAATTGAACAGTCACTTTATAAAGGGGTGTTTTGTATGCAGCCTTCAGAACAGCCGCTAGTGGTCACTGACTCTTGGTATTCTCATTCTTGTGTAATCCCCTTCAATGGAGCGTGGGCTAGACTTACTTTCTTTGAATGAATAAAATAAGGTAGAACTAATGGTGCATGTCATAAAAGGAAGTATGTTCTTTCTCTCTCTCTCTCCTTCCCTGTCTCTCTCTCTTTCTCTCCCTCTCTTTTTGTCTCTAAGATCATTCACTCTGGAGGAAGCCAGCTGCCTGGTCATAAGCAATCCTATGGAGAGGCCCATGAATTGAGAAACTGAGGCCTCTTGCCCAACAGTCATGTGAGTGATCTCAGAAGTGGATCCTCCCAGCCCATTCAAGCCTTTGGATGACTGCAGCCCCAACTGACAGTTTGACTGCAGACTCATGACAGACTGAACCAGAACCACCCAACTAAGCTGTTCCCAGATTTCTGATCCTGGGAAATTGTGTAAGAAAAATGTTTGCTGTTTTAAGCCAGTAAATTTGGGGGTCAATTTGTTGTACAGCAATAGGTAACTAATACGAAAGGGCAGGAGTCATAACATGCCAGCCCATCCTGGAAAGGAGAGCCAGGGATCCACTTCACTGACAGGACTAGACAGAAACATATTATGTTTAAGTAGGCCACTTAAAGTCGGTCTTAATAGCCAGCATGTCAAGCCTGCAGGATCAGAGAGACAGCAAAATTGGCACATTTTAGAAGACACCTCAGTATTTAATCTTAAAGGCTGCATGGACACAGCTAGAGAGAAGCTAAAATTACCTTACAAATTGGAAGACTCCATAAGACAGTGGATGTGGAAGTTGTTATAGTTATCAGCATTCAATCAGTTAAATATGCATCATTGTTACCCTTTAGAAATATTTTTAAATGGCTAAATTGACATGGGCCAGCATATAAAAGGATGTAACTCCAGATTCTAGAAGCACGTTCTTCTTCCTCCTCATCATTCTCTCTGCCACCATCTTAGCTTGAGCTCTTAGCACCTCACGTCTAGCCCTTAATTGCTACCAGGTTGTTTCTCATTCTTTAGTCCTGTCTCCTAGCTAGACTGTAGGCTACTTAAGGAAATGATCATGTCTCCTTCAATAATCCCCTCCAACCACAAGTTATTCTTATTCGAAATGTGAGTCTATACGGACTTATTTCTGTATACCTCCTCTGAAGCCACAAGAATTTTGGATCAACATGCACGAATCATTTCAAGTTGCCACCGTCTTCTCTCTAGTGAGATTTAGGGTCCTCTGGATTATTTGCTTCTACCCTCTTCTGCCTCTCTAGACTATTAGTTATGTTCTCTCCAGTTCTTATGGAGATGTATTGTCATTTTCCTGAAGCTGTGAATATTACCATGTGGCGCAAGTAATGGTGCTAGGTGTTGGAAAGACGTGCTGCCGTGGAACAGATAGACATGGATTCTGCATTCTGGTTATTTTCTACTCACACAGTCTGTACAGTACTAGGAAAAAAGGTAATTGAACAATAGTACACTTAAGCTGTGGCATCTTCTGGGATTGTTTGAAGGCACTACCAGTGACGTGTCATGATATTGCCCAATGGAGGACCTATTTTTTGATCTGACACTATGCAGTAGGTAATATTCCTTACTAAAGAAGACTCCATAGGACTTTCTTATACAGTATGCTTTTCAAAATAGAAAAATGCACTCACATAAAAGGATTCAAAGCACAAAAATGCTGGAGAGACAGAAATGCAATATATATATATATATATATATATATATATATATATATATATATATATATATTTTTTTTTTTTTTTTGAGACGGAGTCTCTCTCTGTCTCCCAGGCTGGAGTGCAGTGGCGTGATCTCGGCTCACTGCAAGCTCCGCCTCCCAGGTTCACGCCATTCTCCTGCTTCAACCTCCCGAGTAGCTGGGACTACAGGCGCCCACCACCACGCCCGGCTAATTTTTTGTATTTTTAGTAGAGACGGGGTTTCACCGTGTTAGCCAGGATGGTCTCGATCTCCTGAACTTGTGATCCGCCCGCCTTGGCTTCCCAAAGTGCTGGGATTACAGGCATGAGCCACCGCGCCCGGCAGAAATGCAATATCTTAAAAACAGGCAGCTAGCAATTGTTACAGTATATTGAAGGGAGGTAAGACCTTAGAAAATAACTTCTAAAACTTTGGGTTTTAAAAATTTTCATTTGAACAAGTGGATATATAGAGCATATTTTAAAAAGACCTTAATACATATCTTAAATATGATTCACTACAATTTTGTAAAATTACTAACTCTTTCTAATTCATTAGGTGTCCATTTAAAGTAATTTATTCCAGGAGTCCCTCCCTTGCAGTTGAATAGTTGTTTTTTAAACATAATTTAGAGTAATTCCATAATTAATTATCTATTTCCACCAATAAATTCTGGGCTTTCAATGAGCAGTGACCTTTCTCGATTAAATGTGTACTGCCAGTTCCCACCACAGTGCCTCACACATGAAAAGTCTCCTAAAAATATTTGTGGAATGAATGAAGGGGTAAGTAAATGGAGGTAAAAAGGGGTTATCAAACAATAATAACCACCACGAGCCCAGTTATTACATACACAATTTCTTTAAAAAGATAAAACACCTGAAAGAAATGAAATCAGCATGTAGGGCTATTCAAGCTTGTCTGATGATAAATAATTCACTAGGAGCACAAGCATTCATTCATTCTTTTTCATTCATTTCTTCATTTATTACCGTCCTCCTTCATATTCATCAAAGCCAGATTTTTCATCTCCTGTTTGTCCTCTGGAACCTTCCTTGGGGACTCTTCCTAGGTTTGGCCCTGGCAGAGAGACAGTATTTCTAGAACTCACTCTCTTTCTTATCTTTTGCTCTGAAGTGTCTGATATTAAACAGCCCAGCTTGTTCATTCATAACAGGCTGAAATGTTTGAACTTTATTCTGCCAGCAATAGCAGTCACAAAAGATGTATGAGCCAAAAAGTGACTTTGCGAAGCAGGGTTCAGGAAGATGCGATTGGAATTGCTTTTTCTCTGAAGGTCTGGTGTTGAACAGCCATAGTTTTTTAGAGGAAGGCCATGAACTGAATGTTAAAGGGTGAGGAGCAATACAATGTCTGTACTTGGTTCCAAGTGGGTGTCACTGGTATGAGTTCAGTGAAGGGGAGATGATGTGAGATGGCAGCTCAGGGACCCTCAGTGATGAAGGAAGACATAAGTTATCTTGGGCACAGCGCAGTGGCTCACATCTTTAATCACAGCATTTTGGGAGGCCGAGGTGGGAGGAATGCTTGAGCCCAGGAGTTGGAGACCAGCCTGGGAACATGGGAAAACCCTGTCTCTACAAAAAAAGAAAAAATTAAAAATTTAGCCAGGTTTGGTGGCACAGACCTGTGGTCCCAGCTACATGGGAGGCTGCGGTAGAGGATGGCTTGAGCCTGGAAGGTGAAGGCTGCAGTGAGCCATGATTGTGCCACTGCACTCCAGCCTGGGTAACAGAGTGAGACCCTGTCTCAAAACAAAAAATAAGTTACCTTTGAAGGCTAGAAGGATTAGATAAGTAAGAATGCATATGACTTGTTTACAGAAAAACATAGACAACAGCTTGGTTGTAGCAGTGGTTCTCAATCTCAACTTCAGAATTACTTTAGGAGCTCAGTAAAATGAAAATTCATGTGATCTGTCAAATGCCCTCCAGCCAAAGCCCACCAGGGACATATCTGTAGTTGAAGGATTAATTACAAAGAGAAAAATTACACACCATGGGTAACCCATGGAGTGTCTCCATAAAAAGGTGTTAAAAAGGATTTGGAATTGTACTAGGTGAACTTGAGGAGGGTCCAAGGAAACAGGCTTTTCCTCTGGATTAGGTGCTGTCACGAAACAGAGGCGCTTCTATGATTATCTTAATAATTTTTATCTAGAAGGTGGGACAAACCAAAGAATGCTGAAACTGTAGTTGGTAAAGAAGCAACAGGCAGTCATACTCACCAGGATGGGGGATATTTGTCTGTTCTTCTGGTTTGCACAATGTTCTTGTTTTTGTCTGTGTTTCTTCTTGATTACAGATTGGTCATCATGATCACCAAAGAGCCTTGTCTAATGTTGGCATTCTGTGAAATTACTTGTGTTCAACAGAAGTACATCATGGCCTCACTGCGAAGCCCAGCCAGCTCCTGGATGTCAGAGACTGCTTTCCAATTTCTCAGATGTAGCGCAAGATAGTGATTCACTGGCAGACAAGAAATCTGTATCTCTAATAAGATACCTATGTGATTCTGATTGAAGGAATCTAAGACCATGCTTTAATAACTATTCCTATGGTAAGAAGTAGGGCTGAAAATGGAGGAGCAGATTGTAAAGATCCTTAAAACACAGACTAATAGGTTTGAACATAATTCTGCCAGCAATAACAACAATTAATGGCATATGAGCAAAGAAGAACCTTCCCAAGTAGGGTTCAGAAAGAGTTTCCTGCTAGTAACAAATAGAAAGGTTAGGTACTGTCTAAGAATGGGGGCGAGCCTGGGGACAAGGAGGGAGAATAGAAGCAGATAAACCACCAGCTAGGAAACTCCTGCAAGGGACCAGCCCTGACAAGACAAGGAGTTAGATTAAAACATTGCCAGTGGGCATGGAAAGAAAGTATTGAATGTGAAAGACATTAAGTAAGAATCTGAAATCCATTCAAGGGCAGGGATTTGCGTTGATAAATTCTTAGCTCCCAGCCCTGTGCTTGGGGACAAAATGAGCATCCAATAAATATTTAAGAGCTAAATCAATTAACCAACTAATTGGATTATGTAACTGAGATGATGTGGGGGAAGAGGAAGAAGGAAAAATCAGGAGTGATTTAGGGAGAGTTAGGAAGGGAAAATTATTTCAGAAAAAGGAGCATCCACTTTAGTCAAGTTTAATCTCTGTAATGGTGAAATATTCTAGCCAGAAGTTACTGATGTGGGTTTGGAATTTGAATTTAAGAGAGAGGTTAAGGGGTCAGGCGCAGTGGCTCATGCCTGTGATCCCAGCACTTTGGGAGGCTGAGGCGAGCAGATCACTTGAAGTTGGGAGTTTGAGACCAGTCTGGCCAACATGGTGAAACCCTGTCTCTACTAAAAATACAAAAATTAGCCGGAATGGTGGCGTGCTACTCGAGAAGCTGAGGCATGAGAATCGCTTGAACTCAGGAGGCAGAGGTTGCAGTGAGCCGAGATCATGCCATTGCACTCCAGCCTGGGTGACAGTGAGACTCTGTCTCAAAAAAAGAGAGAGAGAGAGAGGCTAAGGTAGGGGTTGCAGGATGAATAAGTGGGTAGATTGAAGTCATTGGAGCACGTGGAATTTTCAAGAGTGGGCAGGTGAAGAAAGAATGGAAGACAGGGTCAGCCTCCCACTGATTTGCCATGGCAGTTCTTGTTTTCTACTTTAGAAGATGAGTTGACATCAGGGGAAATAAATTATGACTATTTCAGGAATACAACGTACATCTTCTGAGAATGGTTTCTGGAGTCATCAGACAGGGTTTCCAAGACACCTCTGTCCCACTCAAGCTGTGACTTTTCCTGTGTTTAACCTAAGTTGAAATTTTCTCATCTGTAAAAAGCTGGTGATAAATGTAAAGCAAGCTCTTAAAGATAGGCCCAGAAATAAAATTAAAAAATACAAACCTCGCATGGCAATGTCTGAGTGATGACACGCAGTAAGTATGGTGAAGCTTCAGTTAGCTGATGAGGATATATTAGTTTTCTCAAAACATCATCTCTTAAGTAGGAATGGCCATCCACAGTGACTTTAACCTTCCATATCATAGGACAACAACTACCAATTTAGGCTTATCCAGTTGTTGCCGAATGAGTGGCATTCCCAGAGCACTTTCAGAAACTGAGTATGTAGAAAATAAGAGGAAACACTCTTATCTTGACCAGACAATGCTATATCCAACCATGAATAGGATTGTTATATAAAAGTAAATGTATTTGAGATAGCTCTTGCCTGGCCCAATCAGTTTTGTAAAAACGTATTTTCAGATAGCTCACTTAAAGCATCTGCCTTTCTCATTGAAATCTAACCAAAAGGTGGCGGTATTCTATACAAATGCTAACTAGTCCCTTAACTGTTACCTGTGTTTTGTAAAACAAATGTCACAACAGCATACATTGAGAATTAAATTGCTAAAGAACCACTCCCCTGTCCCCACAAAAAAAAAAGAGTTACCAGGCTTCATTGAGAAAAATTGAGATTTGCAAGAAAAGATTAAAATGCAATGCAGAACACCACCCAGCCCAGTGTGTTAGAGTACTTGTGTACCCACCAAGATTCCTATGATACACTAGATGTCAGAGACACAGGGGGTGCCACATCATTTCCATGCTTAATACATACACAGCCATCTTCTTGCTTATCACACTATCCATCTGAACAGTCTAAAATTTATTAGGGCTTCTTTTTCTTTAGACAAATCTTTATTCCCCAGCCTTCTTCCCAGGGTGGCCTTCCAGTTTATCACAACAGTCTGTGTAATCTGTGGGGAAAAAGCACTGCCCTGTTTCTTTTTTTTTTTTCTTGAGATGGAGTTGCCAGGCTGGTCTTGAACTCCTGACCTTGTGATCGCCTGCCTTGGCCTCCCAAAGTGCTGGGATTACAGGCCTGAGCCACCGTGCCCAGCCCAGCCTCCTTTTTAAGATGTCCAGGTTTTAGGCTGGGTGCGGTGGCTCATGCCTGTAGTCCCAACACTTTGTGAGGCTGAGGCCAGCGGATGGCTCGAACTAAGGAGTTACAGAACAGCCTAGGCAACATGGTGAAACCCCATCTCTACTAAAAAATACAAAAATTAGCTGGGATTGGTGGCGCTGCCTGTGGTCCCAGCAACTGGGGAGTCTGAGGTGGGAGAATCACTTAAACCCGGGAGGCAGAGGTCACCGTGAGCCAAGATCATGCCACTTCCCTCCAGCCTGGGCAACAGAGCGAGACCCCGTTTCAAAAAAAAAAAAAATTCTAGGTTTTAATTCCAGCTGCATCCTAATCAGAAAAATGTAAGAAACAAATATTAACTGAGCATCTATCATGCACTAAGATATATGTAATCTTGCTTAAGTGGTAAAGGAGACCCAATAGGGTAAATATTCTTAGTCCCATCTGATAGATAAGGAAAACTGAGGCTCAGAGAAAGTAAATAACCTATCCAAGCCCATGGACTGGCAACTAGGATATAAACATTTAAACCAACTTTGAAGTTCTCAGTTCTTTCAATTATATAAACTTCTGTGACTACATACTATTTATATTTCTTGATTGTTTGATATTATAATGGGAGGGGGGAGCTACTACAATTTACGAACATTTTTCAGGGTGTCGGGATATTTTTGTAGTTCACAGCATGAGTTAGATGTGAAGTATAAAGATCTGGAAGTATGTCTTCTAGTGAGTATATTTTAGTAAGACTGAATAAAGTAGCTATATTGTGACATTGTTCAGTTTTATACTCAAAGCTTAATGTGAGAGAAAAACACGGAATTACAACATATGATCAGTATCCATACCTTATTTTTATGCATTATCCTACATTTTTTTCCCCAAGGGTCTGCATTTTCCACTACTGTTTAAGGGTTTTAGATTCCCTAGCATTATGTTTTTCCAGCCCAAATCTTTGACAGTCTCAGTCAAAATTCAATTGATGTCGTGGGTTGATTTTTTTCCCTAACTTTTTATTGAAACAGTCTATTGCTCTGGACTATTTTAAGGCTGTTACCATTTCCTGCTGGGTGGGACATTTTTTGGCTATGCTGTTTGCTTAAACTATGAAGCCATTTCAAGTAGACGTGTTTTATCATCCTTTTTTCCTCTTTAGAGGAACCTCCCTGTAATTTAAGGTTGTTAATAACCTCACCAAAATGACATTTTCTAATATTGATTTATTTTTCTCATTGGAAACACGGAATGAAGAACAGTGATTTTTCAGCAGTAACTGTAATTCTAACCTATTTAAAAACTACAATGAATTGTTGACTGTTTACTCTCTCAATGAAATGATGTCATTTATTATTATTTATTTGTTTCTGAAATGATATTATTAAAGGGAGTTCTTTTAAACATAAATATAAATAAAGCTAATAATTTTGAAAACAGTGCCTTAAAATACAGCTTATCTATTTTGAGAGTTGAAAACCAAAACATATGTCCTGAGGTTGCTTTTGGAGAGCAAAAGGCATTGGCATTAAAGCACTTCCACAAGTATTTAGGGCCTGCATATTATTATTTTCCCCATTGTTATTAGTAAGACACTTTATCCACACAAAAAACATTGTGGCATGTTTTCTCATTTACATGTCATCATATAATCAAATCTAGTGACATGCTCTTTGGGGACTTACTAATGAAACAGAATAAAAATGACAACAACTGCTTTAGGCCAACAAATGCAGTGAATCATTAAAGGTGGAGGAAAGAATGGACATCTTTTCCCTTTCACAGATGTAAACTTGAATGCTGTTTTACAAGTTATTTCAATATTTTCTGCTCCACTGAGAGATTTTTCTATTTTGAAATTCCCTTGCAAGGGTATCCTGACGTATTAATACATTACCGTTAGCTGCATTCCAGCATGATGCTAACAAAAGCCAATTAAACCTTCTTCCATCATACTCTTGCTCCAGCCACTGTCCTAATGTAATCCTTTGTTCTAGACCCCATTGGCTTAAAGAGTGTGGGAGGATCAGGGACCCTGGGAAAACAACTCACAAAGCGTGTTATACTGATGAGAGCAAGCACTGCCCTCTCACACCATGCAACATATTCCGTATTTCCCAAAATTATAGGGAAAGTTCTAGAAAGTACTGGACTGGTAGTCAGGAAACTGAGATTCTAGTTCTAACTCCATTTCCAACTTATTAGGCAATCCTTGGCCTCCCTTAGTCTTAATTTCCCAATGAATAAAATGAAAGAATTTTAGGCTAGTCTCTAAGACACCTTCTAGATGTAAGGGTTTAACAAGGCTGACAAGATCTGTATTTAATGACATAATCCAATTGGAATAACTACAAATTTTCTAGGTAAAACACTGAGCACTAGCAAGGGGACTGCACTCATCTGCTGAGTGATGTTTTGAAGCTCTCTAAACCATATGACCCTTTCCAAATATCAGAGCATCATACAATGTATTTTGTCCTATGAGCACGCATGCCATGAGAATGAATAAAATTCCCAGTTACAAAACTGCTTAGAGCTCTTTGGAAATCATCTTCAGTAAACATACAATGTATAGCTAGCTAACTACTAGAATGCTTAAATATGTATTCTAACAAAACATGCTAAGAGAGCTACCAGTCTGAAAGAAGAAAAAAAAATAAGTGAAAAACAATTTTATTTTCTTTTAGAGAAGCCCCAAATGTTTATCTCATCTATTTTTAAATTAATTTTTTAAAGGACTTTGTTTTATCTATTTCTTATTTTTAAAGAGTCTTTTACACAGCAGTTGTAGGTTCACAACAAAATGCAGAGGAAGATACAGATATCTCCTATACAAATTCCCCCACTTCCCTGCCTCCACTTGAGCACCACATCCCACATTATCATCATCCCACACCAGACTGGCACATTTGTCACAATTGATGAACATACATTGACACACCACAATCACCCAAAGTCCCAGGATTCATTCTCGTTGTTGTACATTCTATGGAAAAATGTATAATGATATGTATCCATCGTTACAGTATTCCACAGAGTATCTTCACTGCTCTAAAAATACCCTGTGCTCCACCTAGTCATCCCTCTCTCCTCTTCCAAACTCTGGCACCACTGATCTTTTTACTGTCTTCATAGTTTTGCCTTTTCCAAAAGGTCATGTAGTTGGAATCATACAGTATGCAACCTTTTCAGCTTGGCTTCTTTCACTTAGTAACATGCGTTTAGGTTTCCTTCAGTCTTTTCATGGTTTGATACTTCATTTCTTTTTAGTGCTGAATACTATTCTGTTGTCTGGATGTACCATAGATTACTGATTACTTATCTAATCACCTACTGAAGGACATCTTGGTTGCTTCCATGTTTTGGCAATTATGAATAAATCTGTTATAAATATCTGCATAAGGATTCTTGTGTGGGCATAACTTTTCAACTCCTTTGGATAAATATGAAGGATTGTGATTATTAGATCATATGGTAAAGTTTGTTTAGTAAGAAACCATCAAATTTTCTTCCAAAGTGGCTCCACCATTTTGCATTCCTACCAGCAATGAATGAGAATTCCTGTTCCTCCACTCGCCAGTATTTGGTGTCATTGGTATTCTGGATTTTGGCCATATAAGGGATGTGTAGCGTTACCTCATTTTTAAGTTTCCATTTCCCTAATGACATGTAATGTGGAGCATCTTTTCATATGCTTATTTGCTATCTATATGGCTTCTCTGATGATGTGTCTGTTAAGGTCTTTGGTCCATTTTAAAATCAGGTTGTTTCTTTTCTTAATGTTGAATTTCAAGATTTCTTTGTGTATTTTGGGTAACAGTCCTTTATCAGATATGTCTTTTACAAATATTTTCTTCCATTCAGTGGCTTGTCTTCTTATGTTCTTGACATTGTCTTCCACAGAGCAGAAGTTTTGAATTTTACTGAAGTCTGTCTTATCAATTATTTATTTCATGGATTGTGCCTTAGGTGTTGTATTTAAAAACTCATTGCCATACCCCAGGTCATCTAAGTTTTCTCCGATTTTGTTTTCTAGGAGTTTTGTAGTTTTACATTTTACATGTCTGTCTGTTATCCTCTGTCATCTATTTTGAAGATTAAGAATAGGAAATATCGCCTAATATTCAATAAATTTAACAACTAGGAAGGAGAAGCAGAGATTAGAGAGGAAACAAAAGATGAAAATGGGGAAAAAGAAAAATGAGGCAGATAAAGACATCCCCAAAGCTAAAGAAAGAGGCAGAGAAGCCACAAACACATTGACAAGGGAAACATCAGAAAGACCCTCTACAGAAGTTGATAAGTGGAAAGGCAAAGGCAGACTGGTACTCCACAAATGGAACACGAGTCGTTCTAAGAGAAAGGTTTTCATGGAGAAACAGCTTGGTCAATGGCCTTAAATGAAACAGATAGGTTTCATGAACATACTAGCTAGTTCTGTTTGTTTGTTTTTTCTTCTTTTTCTCTTCTAGTTGATTCGGCAGGTGAGTTGTTTGACACTCCTTAGCGAATTTCGACTTCCATGGCCACCGTCCTGCTCATACTAGCTAGTTTTAAGCAATGACAGTCATATGGAAATGATAACTTCTTGGTACTTACTTCTGGGCCAACTGAAGAGGAACTGAAGACAGAATCAGAGAATCCCCGATGTTATGTCAGTTAGCAAAGATTAGCTTCTTTAACGGGTATCCTTGTTATTGTAAAATGACAAGAACTAACTAGAAGTTTATATATCCCTCCTCTAGAAAAAGAGTGAGAAAAACCCAGGACAACAAACAATGTTTACAAAGTATTTTGTTCTCCGTGGAAAAAATAAATAATTTAAAATTTTTTATGGAAGTAATTTATTTATGACTTTAACATAATATACAACTGTCAACATCAATCTCTTTTATATTATTAACTTAAAATAGAATTTTTAAATATTTAGGTATTGTTCATTTTTTAGCTGTTATAGATGACAGCATAACCGTTACTTTTTAAAAAATATCTTTATCAGTTGGAGATGTAGATATTTATGAGTGAAATTACATGATTTACTTTGATAAAATCTGGCAAAAAATTTGTGCGGGGTATATAGATAAAACAAGTGCCAAAATATTGATAACTGATAAATTGGGAGGTGGGTATATAAAGGCTCATTTCATTATTCTTTTTAATATTGTGTACGTTTGAAAATTTTCCGTAACAAAAAGTAAAATTATTTTTCCTTTAACTGCATCAATTACATATAAAATATTTCACTGTGTTTAGAAGTAGCTCAAATGAATGCAGAATCTCAGTTTCACAGTATCATGAAAGAATCTTAGGTAATTTTTGTTACAGAAGTTTCTTTGGTTCCTACTTTTTTTGCGGTGATTTCTACGACTTTATTTTTCATCATTTAAGTTTTATTTTCAGAACAACTCAACTGTGTTTTTATAAATTTCCACTTCAGAAACACAGGAAATCCTAAGAGATGGATGAGAACCAGGTACTTAGTGTACAGTTTTTCATTGTGTTTTATTTAACCTAACTACCAAATTCTAAAAGCAGAAGTGGAAGTGTCTTTATGCCCTGGTTAAAGATGTCTCAATTGTTCCATGAGAAACCTGGAGAAAGAGCTGTATTTGGAAGCCTTGCTTTGGCTATCACCTGAGACTGGTATCCTAGAAGTGCAGTGCTAAGTCTCCTGGAGAAGAATGCTTGCCTCTTACTCACACACTGCTTTATTTGCAAGCTGAAGTCTCAGAGGAGACTGCCTGTCTACCCAGCTGCAGAATGTGTATGCAATGATTGCATCTGTTGACATGGAAACTGAAATATAACCGATAAACTACACACCCCAAACAGATTAAAATTGACTTGGGAAAACTATGTAGGGTTATTACAAAATTTATGATAAAACATCTTTTTGCTGCACCTCCCTCTATTTAAAATGATAGCCTATGAAGTAAAATTCTCATAGAAATCATTCTCCCTAACAGAGTTTGGTGGTAGTAGCCAGATTATTGCTGAATAAATCCTTAAAGTGGTATAAAATAGCTGCACATTACAGCAGATGGATGAATGATATAAAAACATATATGCTAAACATATATGTATAAGGCTACTGACATATTTATGAAAAATTATAAGTCCACATAATCTAGGCTCAAACATGTTTGAACATGATAAAAATACAACTGATTTGTTTTAACATGATTTACTGTTTCAAAGACATGTATCTACTGTCTTGTTTAATTATATCAACCTAAACATAACAATAGCTATTACTTATTCAGCACTTACTATTTGTGGGAAACTATGTTAAGCTTATTTTATTTAATTCTTGCTATAATTCAATAACTGGAGCCTTTTATTTTTACCCCCACTATAGATGAGAACTGATCTCAAAGAAGTAAAATATCCTGGTCTATAATAGTATGGGTTGTGAACCTTGGTCTGAGTAGCTTTAAACTTTAGTTGTATAAACCTGACTTTATTGACTCTCATTTTTACTGTGATGAAAAAAGCTTATTATAACACTGGCAGCCTATAATGGTGGTATTAGAAGAGCTTCCAATGACATGTTTATATAAAGAGTCTCTACTATACCCAGCTTAAATTTAGCTTGCGTGCTTCTATTTTTGACATATCATATTGTACGTTCTTAGAGGATAGGAACTGAAACTATCATACTTCACAAAGATGTATGAGTGGTGCTTGATTAACACTCATAATGATTAAAAGTCACACAGCTATAGACAAGTAATAATCAACACTTTTGTAGAAAATTAGTTGTTTAAAGTGGAGACACATTTTTATTTTTCTTGCTGCAATGTGCATATCATGTCTAGGGAGCTAGAACTGGTCATTCAGGGAAACTAAAAAATTATGATTGATAATTCTCTCAATGGTATGCACTTAGTAAAGCCTTTTTTGTTTTGTTTAGCTTTTGGCCAAGGACCAGGATTAAGGTCATTTGATAGCAACAATACGTTTTTAAAATTTTTTTCTAGGAAAAAATTTAAATGGCAGTGTATACTAAGGAAGAAGAGCAAACTGGGATTATACTTGAACACTTTTGAATGTTCATTGTTTATTGAATTTGTTATGCATTCGAGATTTTAAAAACAACCTCCCATATTATAAAGAGCAAGAGGACAGCTGATGAAGGACATGTCCTACACAAATTCTGAACAGTTTATTTTGTCTTCTTTCAAGTCAGAGGACTGCAGGATCTTTCTTCCCACTTGTTGCTTTGAAGATTTATAGGAAGGGGGAGGTTATTTTGCAGACAGCTGAAATAAAGTTCCAATGTTCTAAATTCCATCTTTGGAAATGAATTGTAGCTTCTAAAACAGGTAGTTCTAATGGTCCATGTATAGCTACATGGAATGTGAAATGGCCTAGGAATTATAATAACTGAATCTTTGGTTAGTCTCTCTTCTACCATTACCTGGCTATGGATCTCAGACATTTCTGTGCCACTGTCTTCTCCACTGTCAGATCTCAGTAGGGGGTGCCAAATAATCTTTGTATTCCTTTCAGCTCCAATTAGACTCAAACCTTGTGGTACAATGTTTCTGGCTGACCCAACCCTATCCACAATTTCTTTCTTCCTAGACATCTTCCAGTATTGGCCCAGGAGTAACCATGTGTCTAGTTCTGATCAACGAGCTGTTACTGGCTGGGACTCCAGGAAAACTTTTAGGATAGACTGGACTGGAATGTTCCTTTTGGTCTTTTTGTTTTATTTTGTTTGTTTGTTTCTCTGAGACAGGGTCTTGCTCTGTCATCTAGGCTGGAGTGCAGTGGTGCAATCGCACAGCTCCCTGCAGCCTCTACCTCCCAGGCCCATGTGATCCTCCCACCACAGCCTCTCGAGTAGCTGGGACTACAAGCATGTGCCACCATAACTGGCTAATTTTTTTGTATTTTTTGTAGAGACGAGATCCCACCATGTTGACCAGGCTGGTCTCGAACTCCCAAGCCCAAGCAATCCTCCAGCCTTGGCCTCCAAAAATGCTGGGATTACACAGACGGCCACTGTGCCCAGCCCCTTTTGGTCTTTTGAACCTGTCTCCTTCTTGCCTTCAACAAATGCAGTGCCTAGAGGTACAGCAGGTAACTAGTAACCATAAAATGACAGGCTAAATACTTAGGACAGCAGAGGCAGGAAGGTGAGAAGAATGTGTGTCCCTAATGCTTCCTTGAGAAGCTGCACCAACATTGGCCTGCCTATATCTGGATTTCTTGTTATATGAGAAAAATAAAGCCATAGTTTCAGCCACTGTGGTAGGGTTTACCATTATTTGCAGCAGAACGTAGGCCTAACTGATATGTCTAACACAACACATAAAAGTAACATGCTGTAAATTGAAGAATGGTTCTTATGGGGGCTACAAAGGTTAAAACCATGACTGCTTTCTCCAGGAGCTTGTAATTAATAGAAGGCAAAAGACAAGCACTGAAACAGCCACAATACAAGACAATACATTAAGAAGAGGCACAGTACTAACATTTTAAGCAGGATGTAGTCATATTTGCTTTCAGGGAGAGGTGTGGAAAAATCAAGAAAAGAGCCTTAAAAATATACATTTTAGTATTCTTAGAAGTTTATGCTGCTTCCTAATAATGACATCATTTCTCATTAAATTATTGATATAGAACTAATAATTAGATAAAGGGCTTTAATGCTGACCTAGAGATTATGCTGATCTCATCAGGATGTCACATTGTCTTGGCTTGACCTTCAAACTAAAATTGTAGCAAATTTAAAAAATATATATATTTTTAAAATTAGAATTTCATATTTTTGAAATGAAATAGATGATGGTAACCCCATTTCCTTCTGCTTGATCAGCTGCTGGCTTATGCAGCTACTCCTTGTGCCCTGGTAATTTGCTGTTTGGTACAAATATGTACTAAACTCTGTGCCCGTCCTTCCTTTGTTTTATACACTTGCCTCCACCGCTCCCAATGCAACCCTTACCCTAACTATTCGAGTCTTTCCTCAGATGGTATAATCTGATAACTGATTCAACATAGATGAGTTAGTAAATGAAAATGGCTTAGTATGGTACCAGCTCTCCCTCAGTATATATAGTTTTATAACATCTAACCAAATGAAGATAAACCCTGATCTCAAATGGGTTAAAGGAAGCTTTAAAAAATATCAATGTGTGTGCCCGCTCATCTAACCCGGTTTGAATTCAACTGGTCTCCCGTGTGATGCAGGCGTGGGTAGGTTTATTCGTTTTGAAGAGAAACCAGGGCATAGGCATGGGTAGGTTTAAAAGCATTCCAGGTATTGCTAATCTACAGTCAAGGTTAAAAACCAGTGGTCCAATCTACATTCAACATGTGTCCACCAGATGCCTGACATTGCTAGTTACTCTAAAAAGCTACCCTGGGCCTTGAGGGACTAGATGCCTAAAACAGGAATTATTTTGCCCTTGAACTAAAAAGGGAGTTTATTGAAAGAATACTGGATTTTCCCAAGAAAAACACAAGCAACAGTGTTTCTATAGGGTCTATACCCAGTATCAGGAAAGCTGACAGGAACCGACAGCAGCACACTCTCAAGTACTCTCTCTCTCTCTGTTTATTCTTTGTTTTTGCCCTCACATATCTGGTCCATCCTGCTCTTTCAGCAGCCCAGCTTTCTGCCTCTGTAGCTATAAAGGACAGTACTATGGCTACCCAAGGTCACTGCACACATTATACATTTGGGCCCAGAATCTGAAGCTGCACCTACCTAGAGGGCTACCTTTTTCTATTGTTTGTTTGTTTTGTTTTGTTTTGTTTTGTTTTGTTTTGAGACAAGGGTCTCACTTTGTCACCAGGCTGAAGTGCAGTCTTGTGAACACAGCTCACTGCAGCCTCAACTTCTTGGGCTCAAGCGATCCTCCTATCTCAGCCTCCCAAGTAGCTGGGACTACAGGCGCATGACACCATGCCAGCCTGGCTAATTTTTGCATTTTTCATAGAGATATGGTTTCCCCATGTTGCCTAGGCTGGTCTCAAACTCCAGAGCTCAAGCAATCTGCCTGCCTCAGCCTCCCAGCACGTGAGCCACCATACCCGGCCAGGGCTGCCTTTACTAATGTAAGCAAAGACGTCATGCTGGTGGGACCCACTCTCACAGGTATATTACTACTGGTTGTGGGCAACAACTCTCTAGTTCCCAGCTCCTCCATTTAGGAGACAGACGTAGGTTAAAAAGCTTTTTTTTTTTGTCGTCCCAAGTACATAGTCTCTGGAGAGAGAATCTAGCCAGCCCAGCATGATCAGGTTTCCATTCCCGATTGACTGGCTTATGTTCCAAGAAAGGCTAATCTGGTAGAAGCACAGCTGCAGAGGACTCACCTGGTATGGGGAAGAAGACACGTTCAAAAAAGGAGATCACTTATGAGGCAGGCAGTTAACTGAAAAGGTATACTTGATTGCTCAAAGAGCTAAATTTAGACTATGCGAGATAGTTTAAAATTCAAAATGTCTCTTACATGCTGTCAGTGGAATAAGCACATGGGGGAAAAAGTGGTTATATCTGACTGGTGTGTTCTAGAAAAGCGTCACAGAAGAGATACAATTTTTATAGACATTGTGGAGAAAGAGGCAGCCCAGATGGGCAGAAAGATTACAATAAATGAAGACATAGAGGTAAGAATGGGGACTCTTTCAGGTTGATTGGACTACACAATTTAGAATGCAGTGGTAGATAAATCTGGGGCCAGACTATGGAGATTTCTGAAATTCAGGCTGGGAGAAAAGACTCCTAGAAAAGGTATGTTTTTTGAGCAAGAGAAATATATAATCTCTCTCTCTCTTTTTTCTTTTCTTCCTTTCTTTCCTTTATTTCCCTTTCTTTCTTCCTTTCTTTGTTTCTTTCTCTCTTCCTTCCTTCCTTCTTTCTTTTCTTTTCTTTTCTTTCTTTTCTTTTCTTCCTTTCTTTCTCTTTTTTGGCAGAGTCTCTCTCACTCTGTCACCCAGGCTGGAGTACAGTGGCACAATCACAGCTCACCACAGCCTTGACCTCCCAGGCTCAGGTGATCCTCTACCTTACCACCTCCACCTCAGCCTCCTGAGTAGCTAGGACTACAGGCGCCCGCCACCACGCCTGGCTAATTTCCATATTTTTTTTGTAGAGACGGGGTTTCGCCATGTTGCCTGGCTGGTCTTGAACTCCTGGGCTCAAGCTATCTGCCCACCTTGGCCTCCCAAAGTATGAGGATACAGGTGCAAGCCACCGCATGTGTAGAAATATATAATCTGACTTGTATTTTAGGAAGATGGATCTTTTCTAACGTATAAAGTAATAAAAGTGACAGATTCTGAAAGTGGATGAGTAGATCAAGCAAGAGACAAGACAGGGTCTAATCTAGGTTGGTGGCAGTAAGAATAATAATAAAGAAATTGAAGGCATTTTTGAGGACTATGGGGATTTCAAGCAGCATGCCAGAGGCAAGGAGAGAGCTACTTGGATTAGGAAGCATATTCTCAGGGTTCTGGCTGCATTCGAGTATGGTAAAGTCAATCTTCTATAACAAGTTACTTTTTAAAGTGCCCTATTGAATTTGTGTATTTTACTAGATTCATTCCAACAGTCATTCACTCAACAAACATTTATTGAGTGCCTAATTTGATCAGACTTTTATAGTAGGAGGTGGTTCAGATAAGATGAGTAAGATTAGTCTCTTCTAATGAGGATACAGACAGGAAAACAATGAATGAGAAGACACCATAAAAAAGCCAGATTACCTCATAGGGCTGCTGGGAAGATTAAATGAGATCACGTCTGTAAAATGCTTAGTTAGGCACAGTGCCTGGTACCTAGTAAGCGCTCAGTAAATAGTAGTTATTATTCCATACAAAATCCTGTGAGAGCAAAAAGAAGTGATGAACTGTCTTAGGATATTGAGGACAGCTTCAGTGAGGAAGTGAGATAATTAACCAGGCAGAGACAAATATGGACATTCTAGATGGAAGAACTTGCATGAGGAAAAGCATGGTGTGTTCTGACAACACAAAGTATGGCCTGTATAGAGTATGGGAGGGGCATTTAGGAGAGGCACGTATAAGACTAGCAAGGTAAGTTGGGCCTAGATTTCAGAGGACCTCGAATGTGAAGCAAAGTTTAGACTTTGTATTTTAGGCAATCAGAAGCAATGACTAGTTTTCCAGCAGAGAGGGTATGAGCAGATTGCTTATTAGGAAAATCACCCAGGGTAGTCTGGAGGATGGATTAGGGGTGAGAGGTGAGAAATAGGTCAGAGGCAAAACAATCATTAAGCTGCTTAAATTGTTCGGACAAGTCAAGTGAGGTAAGGTTCTTCATGAATCAAGATGGTTGCAGTAGGAATGGAGTGGCAGAAAAAAATGATAAAGCTCTAAAAGTTTATGAGATCATGTTTTAAAATTTTTTATCTAATTCAAAATGTATTGCATTTTTACCAGCTCACTATTATAATATCAATCTCTTCTAAAACACAGGAAAGATCTTACTTTAGGGAAAAACCAAACCAAAACAAACCTTCACAAATATAACATCCATTATAACATTTTGGGTTAGATTACTTGCCTACATAGTGTGCAAAAGTAATTTCATGTAAACATTTTAATGAGTTGTTTCCATTTTGTGTATTCTTGACAATGTTACTTATATATTTCAAGATTATGGAATAGATGCAGCAAAATCTAAGTATTCTGGTGCTCTGATGAAGAATATCTTTTTCTTACTGGATTACATGATAACTGCACAGATGACCTAGACACAGGTTGCACATGGAGACACCAGCAGCTTTCCAGGTTGACAACTAACTAAGGCTTACCTTCCTGGCCCCTGGAAAAGATTACGGGGTAATTGCCAGAACTACCAGAGGTCTTATTAATGTAATTATGTGTATGGTAATGCCCATTCATTAAAAACCCAATTAACTAGAAATTTCATATAATAAGACCTTTTTGACTGAGTGCAGTGGCTCATACCTGCAATTCCAGCACTTTGGGAGGCCGAGGTGGGTGAATCACTAGAGGCCAGGAGTTTGAGACCAGCCTGGCCAACATGGTGAAACTCCATCTCTACTACAAATATTAGCCAGGCATGGTGCACACCTGTAATCCCAGCTATTTGGGAGGCTGAGGCAGGAGAATTGCTTGAATCCAGGAGGCAGAGGTTGCAGTTAGCCGAGACTGTGCCACTGTATTTCAGCCTGGGCTACAGAGCGAGACTCTGTCTCAAAAAAAGAAAGAAAGAAAAAAAAGAAGACCTTTTTTATAGTCCTATGTATAACTCATCCTCATAATGAAAGCACTTGTCAAAACTGTAAAATCTTGTATTTTATTTTAAAACAAACCAGAAACATATTTTATTTTTTAAATTATTTTTGTTGTCTTTTTAAAATTAAACTTTTTATGTTGAGATAATTAGAGATTCATATTCAGTTGTAAGAAATAATACAGAGAAATCCTTTGTACCCTTTGCCCAGTCTCCCCTAATGGCAGTAGCTTGCAAAAGTATAATATAACAACCAGGATATGGCTATTGACATAGGGTAGGCTATTTCTGGGTTCTTTATTCTATTCCGTCAAACTACCCACATTTTCCTCCATCAATAGCACACCATTCGATTACTATAGCTGTATAATAGGTCTTAACATTGAGATAGAGTGATTCCTCTCACTTTATGTTTTTTTTCAAAAATTTTTTAGGTATTGTAGAGTCTCATTTTAGTGCCTTTTATATTTGACTTATTTGAAAAATTTGAAATCCAGGTATATAATATATGGCAATTCCTATAAGCCACAATATTTAATTATTATAATCTCATTACTCAGAATTCTGAATAAACAGGATTTTACTTTTAGACCTTTCTTTTATGGTAGTATTACCATAAGCTAGATTACAAAAGCAAGTAATGGGATCTTCTCTGTCAGTATTTGAAAAACATCTATTCCCATTTAGATATGCCATGAATATCTCAGGTCTCATAACTCTAAGATATTCATCCTTTAAAATAATTTTAAATGCTAAAAGTTGTAATATGTTAAACCAATAGGGTGTTCCATAAAATGTTCTGTTTTATCGACCTTTAGCCATATTTACCTACCTATAACCTTTATAAAGCAATAAATAACTGCAAGCACAGAACATGAACAACAAATCCCAAGACCAGCTTATTGAAATGTAACTTTGTCTTTAAAGAATCTGCTGTGCCATTTACCTTTTGAAAATAAAGGCCAAAAAGGACAAACAAAGCTTCAGAAATGGAAGCTCTGATATTAAAGGTACTTGAGTGTGGCGGATATATCTTTATTCATGAGAATGCATGTTTTCACTGGTGGTGCTCTTTTGTAATTGCCTGATTTAATAAATGGGTCAGAATACCTGAGATAAATCTGCAAACTGTTGAATACACTTGCCAATTACTGAATTTTAAAACAATTGGCATCGTAAAATTTTATGCAACCTTCTTTGATATGTGGTACAGCTAATTTCTTTTTGAGGTACGAGGACTTTTTATTTTCTCCCAGACAATTGATTAAAATATTTGTAGTGTCTTTAAATAATGAAACAGGCTTTTAACACAGTGATCTTTTATTGCTGAAAAATGAGAAATCTAACCCTATCAGAAATCACTGCAGCTTATAATCAAAAGAAACAATATAAAACAAAAATATCCTCGCCATACTTGGCAATGCTTCCTCTATTTAGCTAATGAAATCTTTAAGCAAAAAGAGGTTTTTTAATTTTAATTTTTATCAGCTTTATTGAAGTATAATTGACATAAAACAAACAGCATATATTTAAGTGCATAAAAATATATAATAGTCCATAGTAATATATTGTACATTTAAAAGTTTGCTAAGAGGGTAGGTCTCATGTTGTGCTCTTACCACAATAAAGTAAAAAAAAGTGTATAGGTTTTGATGTATGCATACCCCTGTAAAACCATCACCACAAGCTAGATGATAAACATGTCCATTACCTCCAAAAGTTTCCTCATGCTTCTTTTTATTCGTTTATTTAAATTTCAGATTCAGGGGGTACATGTGCAGGTTTGTTACATGGGTATATTGTGTGATGCTGAGGTTTGGGCTTCTAATGAGCTAGTCACCCAAGTAATGAGCATAGTACTCAATAGGTAATTTTTCAACCCTTCCCCCACTCCTACCCTCCCCACTTTTGGAATCTCCAAAGTTTATTGTTCTCATTTTTGTGTCCATGTGTACTCACCGTTTAGCTCTTACTTACAAGTCAGAATATGTGGTATCTGGTTTTCTATTTCTGTATTAATTTCGCTTTGGATAATGCTCATGCCTCTTTTTAATTCTTCCTACCTCCCCTTCCCCAGCGCAGGTAACCACTGATCTGCTTTCTGTCACTATATATTAGTTTGCATTTTCTAAAATTTTATATAAATGAAATTATGCACAGAGTATTTACTCTTTTATTGTTTGGCTTTTTTTTTTTTTTTTTACTTTTTTATTCTGGGATTCATTCATGTTGCTGTATGTATCCATTACTTTTCATTCCTGAAGAATGGATGTACTACATTTGCTGATCCACTCTCCTGCTGATGGCGCATTTGCATAATTTCCAGTTTTTGGCTATTACAAATAAAAGTGCTGTAAATAGTTGTATACAAATTTTTCTATGGTTCCATTCAAACATATGTTTTCACTTTTCTTGTGTAAATACCTAGGAGTGAAATGGCTGGATCATACAGTAGATGTGTGTTTAACTTTTTAAGAAGCTGTCCAAATTTTTTCCAGAGTGGCTGAGCCACTTCAATTTCCACTAGTGGTGAATGACAATTCCAGTTGTTCCACATCCTCACCAATACCTGGTATGGTCAGTTATTTTCATTGTAGACTCACTGTTGGGTGGTCAGTAGTATCTCATTGTGGTGTTAATTTGCACTTACTTAATGACTAATGATATTAAGCATCTTTTAATATGCTCATTTCCTATTCATATATTTCTTTGATGAAGTATCTGTTCTTTTTTTTTTTAATGGGTTGTTTTCTTATTATTGAGTTTTGAGAGTTCTTTTTATATTCTAAGTCCCATATCAGATATGTGATTTGCGCATATTACATTTCATTTTATTGTTTTCTCTTATGGATTGTGCCTTTGGGAGGCCAAGGTGGGAGGACAGCTTGAGGCCAGGAGGAGTTCAAGATCAGTCTGGGCAACATAGTGAGACCCTGTCTCTACAAATAATAATATAGTAATAATATATTAGGTGGGTGTGGTGGTGCATGCCTGTACTTTGGAGGCTGAGGCAGGAGGATCACTTGAGCCCAGGAATTTGAGGCTGCAATGAGCTGTGATTGCACCACTGCACTCCAGCCTAGGCAACAGAATGAGACCCTGTCTCAAAAAAGAGAAATATTTGTCTAACCAAAAGCCCAAGATCTCAAAGTTCTTATACTATATTGTTATTTAGAAGTTTTTTAGTTTTGAGGTTTTACATTAAATATTTGATCCATTTTGACTTAATTTTTGTATATGGTAAAGAGTATGAATCAGAGTAGGCTTTTTATATATGCATAGTCAAGTGTTTCAGAAACATTTGTTGAAAACAATTATCCTTTTTCCATTGCATTGCCTTTGGACCTTTGTCAAAAATGTTGCCTATGCACTTATGGATTTATTTCTGGACTCTCTATTCTGTTCCATTGATCTGTTTGTCTGTCTTTATGCCAATTCTGTACTATCTTGAGTACCATCATGCCCTGAAATCAGATAGTATTTGTCTTCCAACTTTGTTCTTCTTTAGTTGGTTACCCAGGTATTATGGCAGAGAATAGAAAACATCTCTCAGTTATTCTAGTTGGTCCTGAGAAGATGGAATCAAAAATTCAGTTCAAGATGGCTCTGTGAGGGATGTGGTCACAGGTAATATATGGTGATGTTTTATTACTTGTATCTTGGACTTTGTTGAACATAGACCATGTTTCAATTATTGTGGCTGGAACCCACATTAGTCCAGTTCTTGATAAATACTAATTACTGTAGTATAGATACATGACAAGTAAGTGCTGAGTATAACTTTCAGAAGTTACCTTTGTCTTTTGAGTCCCTGATGCATCTAGAAAGAAACTTGAGGGAGTTTTAATGCAAAACTCCATTAAAAATTCAATAGGATTGAGGACTATTTAGTAACATGAAATGACATGTTTATAAATGAGAAACATAGCTAATCTTCTTATCCAATTATCTGCAACAATCCTCAGTAGTCTTTCCCATCCTTTCAGCCCAACCATTAGCTTGAGACCATGCCTGTGAGAAGTGATTAAAAAGTGGGTTGTTTCTATGACATACTGAGTAGGTACTATTAACTCTAGGTCTTTTCCTTTTTGCGAAAGTGATATTGTCAATATACTCTACCTCAGTTGAGTGTGAAAAATTTACGAATAGGAAATTCTCTCGAAGCTAGACAGCATTATAACTGAGAGCCTAAACTTTGGATTCAGATGAACTGGCTTTAAATATTGACTCTGCCTTGTAGTAGCTATCTGGCTTTGCTTCTGTTACCAAATATCTCTAAATTTCAGTTTATCACTTGGAAATTGAAGATACTACGGTGAGTGCTTGTTAGGATTGTTACAAACATTTACATTAGATAATGTTTATAAAACACTTGGACCATATGCACCTGTATGCAGGTACTGTTATGCACTAGGTCAAGGATTCCCAAACTTGCCTGCACAGTAGCATTACTTGGGACCTTAAAAAAAATTTTAAAGCACAATCACTTGGGATGAGACACAGAGATCAACATATTTTGAAACTCCTCAGGAAAATCCAATGTGCACACAACTTGGGAATCATTACCCTAGGTGATTTATATAAATTACCTTAATTTTATAACACTCTATAATTTATACTTTACTTCCATTTTATAGATGAGAAAACTGAGGTTCACACTGAGTGTGTTGAGTAAAGTCATACAGCAAATAGAGCTTAAAAGATTCAAACTCAGGTTGTCTGACCTCAAAATCCCTGCTTTTAACTATTATGCTGTATTTCTTTAAGCAAGGTTCTTAGAAATTCAATTTTTAGAAAATGCAATCTATAGCCAAAATTATATTGTAAATATTTGGCCCAGATTTGTGACTAAAGAAATGAGAGAATTGGAAACATTTTGATGCCATTTGTGAAGGAGTCTATCATAACCCATTAATATAATCTAACAAAATCAATGAAAATTCATGATCAGGGTTTCAGTATTAGTATCCTGGAGTAAACTCTGGTAGATTACACAATGTAGCTTTATATGCGCTTTATATTTTTTTTCCAGTCCTTGCAGTAGTCAAACAAAGTCCAAGCCACTAGTCAGAGCTTCTACCCAGTGTTTTCCTGAGAATAATTCCCAGATGTGCTGCATGTACAATAGCCAAGATAACCTGATGACTAGTTTTTGGAATACTACTCTGTTTGCTATAAAATGCATTCCTATGGGCATGTAATTTACTCCCTACACACCTAATTTAAGATATAGATGAACCAACATCACAGTTCTAGTGGGAACACTATGACAGGCTTTGGTATCTAAGTGGCAGATGGCTCTGAACATCACCATTGGCTATTGCTCTCCCAGGCTTATAAACAAGTTACATGAACTGAGCAAAAAATGACACTTCTGCATACATGATGACATAATTATGGGTGTAAACCTAATCTTAGAGAAGAATCCCAAAAGAGCTTATGTCAGTACAAATTGTAAAGACATTACCATAAGGGTATTTTTTGGATTTCTTTACTTCCATAGCAATTGCAAAGAACTCAATGTTATTTGACAGCAATTCTATTATTGTGAGAACTTTCTGCTTAAGTAGTAGGCAACTATTCTTCAGTCCTACCTGGCATTTTGAGGCTGAGGACTCTCCAGACTTCATCCACTGAAAGAACAGTGGTTTGTTTTCAATGTAACACACTGATGCAAATCAAGAAGTTAATAATACTTTGACATTATGAAAAGTGTTTTCCCACAAGATAGCTCCAAAACTACCAGATGTTATTTTCCAGGAGGCAATAAAATACTCAGCAAGGTTGATTTTTGTTTTAATTTAAGATTTTCTTTTTTTACAAAGGGGAAACAGTTTATTTTCGTCTTATGTTTATAAAAATATTACCTACTCTTTGTAAAATATCCAAGCCATACAAAAAGATATAATGAAGAAAAAATCACCTGATATCTCACTATGCAGTGAGAACCTCTAGGTATGTAGGTGTTCCTCTCTCCATCCTATCCTCCCCCCTTCCTATTATCTATCTATTTATCTACCATATTTGTCTAAAAAAAGTCAATATATACACATGCATGGGGAAAAAACCTAATGTTAGATAATGACATAAAACAAAAAGCAAAGTTCCCTTCTCTGTTCTTTTCCATTCCTAAACCAGTTTTCCAGAGGTTAAATGTTTGTTTTCTCACAATTATTTACACAGATGACTCCAAATAACATGATTTTACTGACATTTTCTTGGTTTATCAACTTTGGATATCATTTGTTGGCTCCCAGCTACAGAGAGTAAAGATTTAGTTCACTCATTTACTTCCTATTTCTTTTTCCTTACTATCAGTTTTAATAATTATATCACTACTTTGATTTCTATTTGTTACTTTCTAGCTTTAAATATTATACTGAAATTGCTACTGATTATTCCATCAACTGTCAAATTTATCTCTACACTTTTCATGTGAGTAAGATGATATTAACATTAGTATTTAAACTTCCACCTCTCTTGCCCATTTTTCAAGTCTCACTTTTTAGATTTATCATATTTATTTATTTTTCTTCTGCAAGAATCTAAAATGAAGAGACCTTCATTAAACCCTTCTCTTCATTACATCCAACCTGTGTAATATAATTCCGCTAAGCCTTGGTAGTGAGTTACATTTTCATTTTCTTAAAAGTATCTTTGGATTAGCAGAAGTTTCTAATTTTGATAAAGTCCATTTTATAATTTTTTTTCTTTTATAGTTGGTGCTTTTTATATATCAAAGATCATTGCCTATTCCATGACTGCAAAGATATTCTTTATGCTTCCTTCTAGGAACTTTACAATTTTCTCTTTTATTTTTAGATTAACAGTCCACTTAAGGCTAATTTTTTTAAAGATAGGGTCTCACTACATTGCCCAACTAGTCTTGCATTCCTGGATTCAAGCAATCCTGCCAACTGGACCCCCTAAAGCTCTGAGATTACAAGCATGAGCCACTGAGCCTGGCTCTGGTAAAATTTTAATACATTGTGATATACAGGTCAGAATATACAGATATGCAGTTGTTCCAGCATCATTTACTGAAAAGATTTTCTTTCCCCTATTGAATTGCCAATATATTTGTCAATTGGCTGAATATATGGGAAGGTCTACTTCTGGATTTTTTATTCTGTTTAATTCATCTATTGGCCTTTTCTTAAGCAAATAACACACTGTCTTAATTACTGTAGTGCTATAATAAGTCTTAAAATCAGTTATCCTAAGTCCTCCAACATTTTTCTTTTACTTTTTTCAAGATTTTGACTATCTTAGGTCCTTGCATTTGCATATAACATAACATTTCATGTTAGATTATTAATTTCCACCAAGAACCCATTCTGAGTTAGAAGTACGTCAATCTTACCGATCACTTAGGGGAGAAGAACAGCTTTACAATATTGAGTCTTGCAACCAACCAAGTGCATGACATATACATACATTTATTAAGCTTCTTAATTTCTTTTTTTCTGTTTCGTGGTTTTCAAAGTGGAGATCCTTTATACCTTTTCTTAAACTTATACATTTTTATATTTTTGACACTATTATAAAGGGTATATATTTTTAAATGTTATTTTCCAATTATTCATTGAAACAATATAGAAATACTGACTTTGTATCTTACAGCCTTGCTGAATACACTTACTGGACTAATAGATTTTTGGAGACATATAGAACCATGTTGTCTGTGAATAAAATCAGTTTCATTTCTGCTTTTCCAATCTTTAGTCTTCATTTACCCATTTCTTTATATGTTTAGTCTTCATTTACCCATTTCTTTATATGTTATATCCATCTTTTCCTGTAGATGTTTTAACATATTTGTCATAGTTATTTTAAAGTCTCTTTCTGCTAATTCTAACACCTAGGTCCTTGGTTGGTCACCTTCTATTTAGTATAAGTCACATTTTCCCATTTCATCACATGTCTAGTAATTTTTTTTGTTATGCTTTGAGTAATAGATTGCAGAGACTCTCGATCTTCCTCTGAAAAGTGGTGAAGTCTTGTTCTAGCAGGCAGTTAAATTACAGATAGATTGCTTTTAACTGGGGGAGGTCTGGTTTTCTCCTGTCAAGACAAGTCTATGTTTCAGTCTTGATGCTCTTTTGATGCATGTAGTCTCTATTCCTAATTCAATGGAAAGCCTGAAGTGTTTACCAAGCCCTTCTAACTTGGCTAGACTTAAACTCCAAAATTTCTCTTACCTGTGGTGGGCAGCCAAAACTCTCGGCTTAGCTCCTTGAACCCTTCCCAGCGTTATCTTCTGCTAGGCTCCTGAGGTTCTCACTGGCACAATCGCAGTTGAGTCATTTGGCCGTTGATTTTGTTTTTACTGTAGAATCAAAATAACAACAACAACAACAAAAGCTGTAATAAAAAGTCTCCCAGCAAAGAAAAGCCCTGAGCCCAATGGCTTCACTGCTGAATTTTGCCAAACATTTAAATAAGAATTAATACCAATCCTACTCAAATTATTCAAAAAACCCAAGAAAGAAATCCTTCCAAGCTCATTCTATGAGGCCAGTATTACCCTGATACCAAAACCAAAGACATGTCAAAAAAAGAAAACTATACCCAATGTCCCTGATAAACATTGATGCAAAAATACTCAACAAAATACTAGTTTCACTCGAGTCCCTGTGAAGAGACCACCAAACAGGCTTTGTGTGAGCAATAAAGCTTTTAATCACCTGGGTGCAGGCAGGCTGAGTCCAAAAAGAGAGTCAGCGAAGGGAGATAAGGGTGGGGCCGTATTATAGGATTTGGGTAGATAAAGGAAAATTACAGTCAAAGGGGATTTGTTCTCTGGCGGGCAGGAGTGGGGGTCGAAAGGTGCTCAGTGGGGGAGCTTTTTGAGCCGGGATGAGCCAGGAAAAGGACTTTCACAAGGTAATGTCATCCGTTAAGGCAAGGACCGGCCATTTTCACTTCTTTTGTGGTGGAATGTCATCAGTTAAGGCGGGGCAGGGCATTTTCACTTCTTTTGTGATTCTTCAGTTACTTCAGGCCATCTGGGCGTATACGTGCAAGTCACAGGGGATGTGATGGCTTGGCTTGGGCTCAGAGGCCTGACAACTAGCACATTTAATTAAACAAGGTATTAAAAAGATCATTCAACATGATCAAGTGGGATTTATCCCAGGGATGCAAGAATGGTTCAATATATGCAAACCAATGAGATACATCACATCAACAGAATGAAGGACAAAAACCATATGAGCATTTCAATTGAAGCTGAAAAAGCATTTGAAAAAATTCAACATTCCTTTACCAAAAAAAGCCTCAAAAAACTGGGTATAAAAGGAACATACCTCAATATAATAAAAGCCATATATGACATAACGGACATAACAGACCCACAGCTAGTATCATACAGAATGGGAAAAAACTGAAAGCCTTTCCTCTAAGTTCTAGAATATGACAAGGGTGCCCAGTATTGCCACTGTTATTCGACATAGTACTGGAAGTCCTAGCTAGATAAATCAGACAAGAGAAGGAAATAAAGGGCATCAAATTGGAAAGGAAAACGTCAAATTATTCTTTTGCAGAGGATATGATTTTATATTTGGAAAAACCTAAAGGCTCCACCAAAAAACTATTAGAACTGATAAATAAATTCATAAAGTTGCAGGATACAAAATCAACATAGAAAAACCAACAGCATTTCTATTATGTATGTCAACAGTGAACAATCTGAAAAAGAAATCAAGAAAGTGATCCCATTTAAAATAACTACAATAAAATAAAATACCTAAGAATAAACTTAACCACAGAAATGAAAGATTTCTACAATGGCAACTATAAAACTTTGATGCAAGAAATTAGAGAAGATGCTGAAAACATAGAAAGATATTCCATGTTCATGGATTTGAATAATCAATATTATATTGTTAAAATGTTCATACTACCTAAACCAATCTACAGATTCACTGCATACCCTATCAAAATACCAAGGACATTCTTCACAGAAATAGAAAACAATCCTAAAATTTATACGGACCCATAAAGACCCAGAATAACCAAAGCCATTCTGAGCAAAAAGAGCAAAACTCACATGACTGAGCTCAAATTATACTACAGAATTACAGTAACCAAAACAGCATGGTACTGGCATAAAAATAGATATGTAGAACAATGGAACAGAAGAGACAAACAAAAAACAAATCCATACATCTACCATGAACTCATTTTCAACAAAGGTGCCAAAAACATACATTGGCAAAAGAATAATCTCTTCAATAAATGGTGCTGGGAAGACTGGACATCAACATGCAGAAGAATAAAACTAGACTCCTATCTCTCACCATGTACAAAAATCAAATCAAAATGGATTAAAGACAAATTTATGACCTCAAAACTATGAAACTACTAAAAGAAAACATTGGGGGAAACTCTCTAGGACATTGGTTTGGGCAAATATTTCTTGTGTAATACCCTACAAGCACAGGCAAGCAAAGCAAAAATGGAAAATAGGATGCATAAAGTTAGAAAGCTTCTGCACAGCAAAAGAAGCAATCAACAAAGTAAAGAGAGAACCCAGACAATGGGAAAAATATTGGCATATTATCCATCTGACAAAGGATTAATAACCAGATGTATAAGGAGCTCAAACAACTCTATAGGAAAAAATCTAATAATCAGATTAAAAAATGGGCAAAAGATATGAAGAGACATTTTTCAAAATAAGACAAATAGCAAGGAGGTATATGAAAAGGTGCTCAACATTGTTGATAATCAGAGAAATGCAAATCAAAACTACAGTGAGATATTATCTCATGCCCATTAAAATGGCTTATATCCAAAAGAAAGGCAATAACAAATGCTGGTGAGGATGTGGAGAAAGGGAACCCTCATACACTATTGATGGGAATGTACCACCACTATGGAGAATAGCTTGGAGGGTCCTCAAAAACCTAAAAATAGATCTATCATATGATCCAACAATCACACTGCTAGGTATATACCCAAAAGAAAGGAAATCAATATAGCAAAGAGATATCTGCACACCCATGTTTATTGCAGCACTACTCACAATAGCCAAGATGTGGAATCTAGGTAAGTGTCCACCAACACAAGAATGGATAAAGAAAATGTGGTACATATATACAGTGGAGTATTATTCAGCCATAAAAAAAGAGTGAGATCCTATCATTTGGAATAACATGGATGGAACTTGAGGACATTATGTTAAGTGAAATAAGCCAGGCACAGAAAGACACACTTTGCATGTTCTCACTCATTTGCTGGAGCTAAAAATCAAAACAATTGAACTCATGGAGATAGAGAGTAGAATGATGTTGCCACATGCTGAGAAGGGTTGTGGGAGTGGGTAAGTGAGGCTGGTTAGTGGGTATGAAATATAGTTAGAATGCATAAGATCTAGTCTTTGACAGCATAACAGGGTGATTTTAGTCAACAATAATTTATTATAAATCTAAAAATAACTAAAATAGTATAGTTGGAATGTTTGTAACACAAAGAAATGACAAATCCTTCAAGTGGTGTATACTCCATTTACCCCGAGGTGATTATTACACATTGTATGCCATATCAAAATATCTTAAGTAGCCCATAAATATATACACCTACTATGTATCCATAAACATTTTTAAAAAAATCAAAATCTTAGGAGTAAATTTAACCAAGGAGGTAAAATATCTGTATACTAAAAACTATAGAAATAGAAGATGACACAAATAAAAGATATCTGGCGTTCATGAACTGGAAGAATTAAGATGTCCATACTAACTAATGTGAGCTACAGATTCAATGCCACCCTATCAAAATTCGAACATCATTTTTTACAGAAATAGAAAAAAACAATCCTAAAATTCATATGGACCCAAAAAAGACCCTAAATACCCAAAGCAACTGAGCAAAAAGAACAAAGCTCGAGGCATCACACTACCTGATTTCAAAGTATATTACAAAGCTATTGTCATCAAAACAGCATGGTAATGGCATAAAAACACACACGTAGACCAATAAAACAGCATAGAAAGTCCAGAAATAAATCCATTCATTTACAGTCAATTTATTTTTGATAAAGATGTCAAGAACACAGAATGGGAAAAGGACAGTATCTTTAATAAGTAATATTGGGAAAACTGGATCTTCATATGCAGAAGAATGAAATTGAACCCTTTCATGGATCATGAAGTAAATTTTTATGTGTGTTTAAATGAAATTCTTTATTTTCATTAATTTATTTAAAGATTACACATGTATTAGAGTTCTTTATTTTCTTTTCATAGGGAAATAATTATCTTTGCAAGGTAGTCTTAGATTTTTCATTCAAGTATTTATTGCTAGGTAACAAATTACCTCAAACTTAATTGCTTAAAACAAAAAATAGTTCATTTGTCCATGGTTCTGTGGATCAGGAAGTCAGGGATTGGCTACGTAGTTTTTCTTCTTCATGAGGTGTCTTGGTGTCTTGAGGGTGCTGGGATGGCTGGAGGTCTAACATAGTCTCACACATATGGTGGGAGATTTGCTGATTCCTGACTGAGGACTCAGCACTCAGCTGGAGCTGTCATCAGAGACCTTGATTTTTCCCCACAGAGTTCTCTCCATGTGGCTGTCTGGGCTTCCCCAAAGCATAGTGGCTGAATTTACTGAAGGTGCATTATAAGCAGTAAAAATAGAAGATGTATAACTTTTAAGGCCCAGGTTCAGAAGTCACAAAGCATAACATTTGCCATTGATCAAAATAGGTACTAAGACTAGTGCAAATTCAGTGGTAGAGAAACTAGGCAAAGCCCTCATGACTAATCACCTCTTAAAAGTCCCACTCCCAATACCATTACTGTGGCAATTAAATTTTAACATCAGTTTTGGTGAGGACATTCAAACCATAACAGTCATATTCCAAAAGAGCATGTCAAATGGGTATGTGTTATGATATATATACCCATTTATATATATAAATTAGAAGGCTGTGCAGAAGCCTTCTAACTTTATGGATCCCATTTGTCCATTTTTGCTTTGCTTGCCTGTGCTTATAGGGTATTACACAAGATACATACATACATATATATATATACACCTATATGTATATATAGGTTTTCATCTATAGCTCCTGGCTCCTAACCCCCATAGCCCTTGTTACAGTCATTTTTAAATAATGTTGGGTGTGTTAGACCTCAGGGACAGGCCTATGACCTTCTCCTGCCCAACATTCACCTGCCCCAAGGCAGGACTCTACTCTTGCCCTGCCTTTCTGATTGTGAATCTTAAGGCCCTCCTCAGAGGGTCCTGCCCTACACCCTGGAGGAAGGAACGCTGATGTCATGAAGTTCCATAAAAACACAAGAAAACTTGGTTCAGAGAGCTTCAGGATAGCTGACCATGTGGGGGTTCCTGGAGAGTAGTGGGCCCAGGGAGGGCATGAAGCTCTACGTTCCTTCCCCATTCCTCACCCTACACATCTCTTCATCTGTATCCCTTGTAGTCTCCTTTACAATAAACCAGCAAATGTACGTATGTGTTTCCCTGAGTTCTGTGAGCCATCCCAGCAAATTAATCGAACCCAAAGAGGGGGTCATGGGAACCCCAACTTGAAGCCAGTGGGTCAGAAGTTCCAGAAGCTCAGACTTGAGATTGGTGTCTGAAGGGAGCAGGTGCAGTCTTGTAAACTGAGACCCCAGCCTGTGGGACCTGACACTGTCTCCAGGTAAACAGTGTCAGAATTGAATTGGAGGACACCTAGCTGGTGTCTGCTGCTTGGTGTTGGGAGGAGAAACACACACACGTATTTGATCATGGCAGTCATCTGTGTTGATTGTTGTGGCTGGTGTGAGAGTAGAGGAAAGATGCGGTTTGAGAGTTTTTCCCAATATAATGGGTGCTATTGTAATGCTCTTTGGAAACACAGTCCACTCATGCTATCTAATGTTCTTCCTAGTTTACTAAAAACTTTTTATTTTGAAAAATCTCAAAATATATAATAATAGAGAAAACAGTATAATGTACACCATGTATGTGTTCTGTGTTTTCTTAGGTTCTTTCTCTATTTGGCATACATTCATCACAGGACAAACTTTTTTTTTTTTTTTTTTTTTTTTTTTTTTTTGAGATGGAGTCTTTGTTGCCCAGGCTGGAGTGCAGTGGTGTGATCTTGGCTCACTGCAACCTCTGCCTCCCAGGTTCAAGAGATTCTCCTGCCTCAGCCTCCCAAATAGCTGAGATTACAGGCATGCACCACCATATCCAGCTAATTTTTGTATTTTTATTAGAGACTGGGTTTCATCGTGTTGGCCAGGCTTGTCTCAAACTCCTGACCTCAAGTAATCCACCCACTTCAGCCTCCTAAACTGCTGGGATCACAGGCATGAGCCACCGCGCCCAGCCCAGACCAACTTTCTTAACTGTATTTTCTTTTCTGTGTTCTTGATGCTCTGGAATTTGGGGGCCTTACACACCTGAGGAGAGACTGCCCCTCCCAAGATTTGTTAATTCTTTTTTTTTTTTTCTTTTTTTTGAGATGGAGTTTCGCTCTTGTTGCCCAGGCTGGAGTGCAATGGCATGATCTCGGCTCACCGCAACCTCTGCCACCCGAGTTCAAGCAATTCTCCTGCCTCAGCCTCCCAAGCAGCTGGGATTACAGGCATGCGCCACCACACCCTGCTAATTTTGTATTTTTAGTAGAGACAGGGTTTCTCCATGTTGGTCAGGCTGGTCTCGAACTCCTGACCTCAGGTGATCCGCCTGCCTCGGCCTCCCAAAGTGATGGGATTACAGGCATGAGCCACCGCTCCCAGCCAAGACCTGTTAATTCTTAAAGGTCATAAACAACTTATTTGGGAGCATGACTCTCATATGCAAACCAACCATCTCTTTATCTCTCATGCATTGAGCCAATATTTCCCCTGCTCAAAATCATCCCAAGGCCAGGTACCAGTCAACTAGAGACCATCTCTATAGCCCAGAGCCCACCAGAATTATTCAAACTGGCCAGTCTTAAGCTATTTACTCTGCCATACGTTGCCTTTTCCATGGAAACCCCAAATAAAGGCTTTGGGCTAGATTTTTCTCTTGCTCCTGTCTTCTGCCTCCTGACCACACTGGTGCTTCCCCTATGGCCCTGTGTGGCATGACGTGCCCCCTCCTTTCAGAAAATTAGTAATAAAAATCTTCCAATGGCTTTAGCCTTTTTGTGCCAGGACTTAGTCACCTCCTTAAATTAAAATCCCTTGGGTACAAATGAGACAGTATGCATTACCCAGTTTCACCAATCCAGCAGTTAGCAACTCATGGCCAATATTGTTTCATTTAAATACCCACATTCTTTTCTACCCCTCCCCTGCAATATTTAGAAGCTAATTCTGAGTCTCATATAATTTTGTCTGTAAATATTCCGGTGCGTGTGTCTGTTTATATATGAATGTATGTAGCTACGCATATTTTTTCTTCAAATATTATCTCAATATCCTTATCTCAGCAAATAATTTTTAAATATCAGAAATATTCATACAAATATTTTCAATTGTCTCATAAATGTAATTAAAAATTTTTTTTTTTAAATTAGGTCCAGGCTGGGCATGATGGTTCCTGCCTATAATCCCAGCACTTTGAAAGGCCAAGGTGAGGCAGGAGGATTGCGTGAACCCAGAAATTAAAGGCTACAAAACCACCTTTACAAAATTATGACTGAGACAGTGAAAGAGATCTAACTTAACTGACTCCATCTTGCTTCTAACCTCCAAGCTGTCCTTGTTCATTCCTGGGTATAGGCTGAACTAACTTTGGGAGAAATTTACTTTGTAGTTTAAAACAAAGACAGTCCTTTCCCAAAGCGGACCTCATACTTGCCTGGGGATTAGATTGCCTTTGTAGGACTAACATTAGCCACAAGATTAGAAATTATGGTTTAGGAGTCAAGCAGCTGGAAGCTACAAGATCCTGACCCTCCTTAAACTGCTCCTAAGGTCAGTGCTTGACATGTTTCGCAGATCCTGTACTTGATGGATCAGCTGGCACCACCCTGATCAATAAACTTGCTCATCTGATCTTGTGGCCCCCTACCCAGGAACTGACTGAGCACAAGAAGACAGCTTCAACTCACTATAATTTCATCTCTGACCAATCAGCACTCCAGGCCCACTGGCTTCTCCCCCACCTACCAAGTTGTCCTTAAAAACTCTGCTCCCCAAATGCTTGGGGAGACTGATTTGAGTAATAATAAAACTCTGATCTCCCACACAGCCAGCTGTGCATGAATTACTCTTTCTCTGTTGCAATTCCCCTGTCTTGAGAAATTGGCTCTGCCTGGGCAGTGGGCAAGGTGAACCCATTGGGTGGTTAGAGCTACAGTGAGCTATGATTATACTACCGCACACCAGCTTGGGCGATGGAGCAAGACCCTGTCTCTGTAAATAAATAAATAAATAATAAGGATTCAAATGAAATCCGCATATTGCAACTAGTTGATGTGTCTTTTTATTCTCTTTTTAAAATATAGGTTTCTTTCTAAATTCTTTTTATTGCAGATTTCTTCTCTCTCTCTCTCTTATATTATTATTAAAGAAACCAGATGGTCTCTTGTAGAGTTCTGACTCCCCTCATTCTGATTATATTTCCATGATGCCATTCAACATGTTCCTCCACCCCTTTATTTTCTGCAAATTGTTAGTTAGATCTAGAGTTTTATCAGATTTGTGTTTGGTATTTTAGCAAGAGTTTGTCTCACTTTCAGTGATGTTAGCAGCCATTGATTATTATTCCCTAGATCTATTAATTTATTAGGGGTTACAAAATAGTGATATCATAATTCTATTATTTCTTTATCAGCTGAAATACCTCTGTAAAGTAAATCTTTTTGACATCAGTTATTTGCTTTTCCTGATGTATAGTCCATTTTCAAAATAATAATGATGAATGAAGTTTTTAAAATATTATTTTGAACTTAATATATTTAAATATATTGGATTTGCTTCAATTCATTGAAGTTATTAGCCTTATTGATGCTCAAGGTCCCAAGTCAATAAGACAAGCTGATCCCTGAGTTTTTTATCAAGTCCCTAGTAGTCTTTGATAACTTCATTGCTTTCTGCTTGACAAGATGTTGCAGGCTCATCAATACATTTCCTGTTTCAGAACTGGAATCACCCATCTATCCAAAGAGTGCTAGTTCCTTTTATTGGAAAATGGTGCTAAGACACCATGTTCTGTGTTTTAAGAGTGCTTATTGATATTAGGTTTGTTGTTTCTGAAATTTTGTAGTAGACACAATTAGAAAACTAGAAAAAAATTACATATATTTTTTTAAAGTAGTTGAGTTCATATTGATGTTTTTAATTCAAATTTTGGACTAGAGAGATTTTCCTTAACCTCCTATAACTTAATGTGTATCCTTTTCTATGCAAAAAATCTCTTATGCCAACATAATTACTCATTTGATTTTGTACACTACAAGATAATAATATAAATTTAGCTACCCATAATATGATTAGTAAAATATGTCAGACCTTTTGTTGCAGATCCTTTGTCCTTTGTACTTAGGTTATGTCATTTGAAAGATATGAAGTCAAATTACTGTATTTTAAATCACTTGACATAGTTCCTCAATGTATGTTTATGTTAGTAAACTAGATATGTTACACTCATTTGTTTCTTGAGGTTTTGTTTTTTTTTTTTTTGAGATAGGATCTCACTGTGTAACCCAGGCTGGGGTACAGTGGCACAACCATGGCTCACTGCAACCTTGACCTCCTGGGCTCAAGGGATCCTCCTGCCTCAGCCTCCCAAGTAGCTAGGACCACAGGCATACATCACCATGCCTGGCTAATTTTTCTAATTTTTTGTAGAGATGGGGTCTTATCATGTTGCTCAGGCTGGTCTTGAACTGCTGGGCTCAAGTGATCCTCCCACCTTGTCCTCCCAAAGTGCTGGGACTATAGGCTTGAGCCACAGCACCTAGACCACTTGTTTCTTCAACTTTATTTTTTATTTTTAAAACTTGATTTTCCCTCTCAACTTTATTTTTGTCTTATAATTACATAAAATATTTACATACTTCCAAAATCAACTGTATATAGTAAGGAATTTTCAAAGAAATTCATTTTCTATTTCTGTCCTCTCCACTCTATTCTCTTTTGCTGTTGTTGGTAACCATTTGCATGGTTTATGATTCCTTTCTTTCTTTTTCTGTTTTTTAAAAAATAGACTTTATTTTTTAGAAAGACTGTTCTTTTTTAGAGAAGTTTTATGTTTATAGTAAAAATGAGCAGTAGGCACAGTGATTTCCCATATCCTCCCTGTCCCACATTTGCATAGCCTCCCCCACTATCAAAATCCTGCACCAGAATGGCAAATTTGTTTTAATCAATAAAACTACTTTGACACATTTTCACCCAAAGTCTAAAGTTTACATTATGGTGCACTCTTGGTACATTCTATGGGTTTTTGACGAAGAATGACATGCACTCATCATTTTACTCAGGACAGGAATGCCATACAGAATAGTTTCACTGCCCTAAAAGTTATCTGTGCTCTACCTATTTATCCCTCTCCATCTGCCAACTCCTGGTAACCACTGACTCGTTTATTATCTTTACAGTGTTGCTTTTTCCAGAGTTTTATATAGTTGAAATCATACAGTATGTAGCCTTTTCAGGTTGGCTTCTTTCACTTAGTAAATTGCACTTAAGTTTCCTCCATGTCTTTCCATGGCTTGATAGTGCATTGCTTTTTAATGCTGAATATTATTCTGTTGTCTGAATGTACCAATGTTTGTTTAACCATTCACCACTGAAGAACATCTTGGTTGCTTCCAAGTTTTGGCAATTATTAACAAAGCTGTTACAAACATCTGTGTGAAGGTTTTTGTATGGACAGGACTTTTCAATTCATTTGGATAAACTCTAAGGAATGATTGCTGAAGAGTATGGTAAGATTTTGTTCAGTTTTGTAAGAAACTGCTAAACTGTTTTCCAAAGTGGCTCCACCATTTCATATTCTCAGCAGCAATGAATGAGAATTCCTGTTGCTCTACGTTCTCACCGAAATTTGTTGTTTCTTCCTCACTTTCATAAATGTCAGCATATCATAAACATTCCTTTTAAAATTTGATTATATCCTATAGATCATAATATCTAGAGATATTACTCATTCCTTTTTATAGCTGCAAAGTACTCCATTGTGTTGATGCAGGATGGTTTTATTTAACCCATCCCTATGGATAAACATTTGGGTTGTTTCCAGTCTTTGCTATTACAAATAGTACTTCAGTGAATTCCTTGGGAACCTAACTTTGTGAATTTTTGCCAGTGTATCTTTGTGGTAGATTCCTTGAAATGGGATTGTTAATTATGCATAATTTTGCTATGTATTTGCAAATTACCCTCTATAGGAGTGGTAACATTTTGTGTTTCCATAAACAGTGTATTAGGGTGCCTGTTTCATCACAGCTTTGTCAACAGAGTATGTTATCAGACTTTTGGATTTTCTCCAATCTGATAAGAAAGAAATAATAACTCAGTGAAGTTTTAAATTGCACTTCTATTGGTATGACTTGGGGTAAAATATTCTCTTACATTTAAGAGCCATATATATTTATTTTCCCTATGAGCTCTGTTCATATATCTAGCTCATTTTTATGTCATTTTTTTCTTTATTTTTAAAAGTTTATATATATGTTTGAGATATTAACCCTTTATCTGTGACATATGTTGCAAATTTTTATCCCAGTTTGTCATTTGCCTTTATTTTTACTTGTTTTAATAGTCACATTTATATTATTATCTAATCAAATTTATTATTTTAATTGCTTCTAGAGTCAAAGTTTTCACCACTTTCAGGCTATAGAAAAATTCAATTGTGTTTCCTTTTAGCACTTATATAACCATAATAGTTTAATGGGTCATAAGCCAAAACTTTTAAAATAAAATACAATACAATAATATAGAATAGAAAATAATAGCATGCATTGCACATAATAAAGTAAGTATTAAAAGAGCTTGAAAGTTTTCACTCCCATACTAACAATAAGAAAAAGGAACTGAACAAACTGAAAATCAGCTCCTCTTAGATTCATCAGAGAATTGATGTGAAAAGGTAAATTGCTTCCCCCAAAAACTAAAGGGACAGACAGGTGAATACAGAGAATCACAGTTTACCAGGAGCAGAAACTCAACAGGAGAAGCTGGAAGCTGCAGCCATTATTGATAGGTATATTTTAAATTGTAATTGATGAATTGCTGGCTGTTCAGTACAGACTAGTTTGAGTTAAAAATTTCAAGCATCCAATGTTAAGGAGACTTCCACACATTTGTGAGTTTTACCTCTAGGAGCCCTACTATGTTCTCATTGTAAAAATGGAAGAAAAATCCCCTCAGGCAGGAAGAGGGAAGAGTAATTGTTTTAAAATACATCCAGAGTTGTCTGTTCCTCTTAACAAGGCCTACCCTCAAGGGAAACTATTTACCAGATCCTAACTGGCTGGGGTTTTTCTAAATCATAACCTACATGGGGGAAAGAAACACCCAACTCAAGCTCACTATAAGACAGACTTAATCATAGGACTCAAATGCTTTCCCTCCTTGGGGATTACAGCTCAAAGAACTGTAAGCCTCAGGCCCTACAGAAGGAGTCTCTATGAAAACTCAAAGACAACAGTGGAAGCAAAAGCAAAGACAGTAAAGGAAATGTCAGCCTCTTACCCCACAACTATAGTAAACTGTAAGTACAGCCTAACTCCTAGTCAGATAAATATAAAGTGAGTATGGTTTTATAACAATTTTAAATGCTTAGTATATATTAATATAGACATAGTTATGAATGTGTATATTGGATTGTGATTTAAAGTGTATTTCTTACTGTGGATCACAGTAAAAAATGTGGAAAGCTATTGGCCTACAGAATCTCTTGGCTGTGCTCTCTCTAGAACGAAAGGCTACTAGTACCTACAAATGTATTACCCATTCAAGCAAATAAAGAATGTATTCCATGTCAGTGAAGTCATGGACAATGTATGTTCATGAAACTTATTATTTTCATGCATACAATGGGATCTCATAGTCTGGTACTTCTCAACCAGAACATACTCAAACTCCTCAAATCAAGGCAAGTCCTTAATGTCCCAGCAATGCTTCTTTTTAGCTGACTGTGATATCCACGGAGCTAGTAAAAGATATCAAAGATGCTAGAGCCCCTGTGACCCCAACAGACAGGCTTATCCTCATCCTCCTTGTGCTAGCCATAGTCTCTGTAAAACCACTGTCTCTGAAGCATGCAGAAGTTTTCAAGTATAAATATGTCACATAATTTATATATCCTTTAGCACTAAGTCTCTCAGCAATTTAGTCTCCTTAAGATACTAATGTTGTTACTCTCTTGTACTGCTTACCTATGTCTATATCTTTGTTCTGGCTCTTAGATCTCACTTATCTGTAAGAACAAATTCCTCTTAAGTCAAACTCCCCTATAAGATTGTAAAGATTTCTATCTAGGCCTCCTTTTATTTATCTGTCTCCAAGTGTCCCAAGACTTTATTTCCAGAAACATTCTTTTTAACCCAAGAATTATTTACTACCATGAGTATAGTAGTTAATTATTTCACAAGCATGAATCTTGACAGACTTGTCACATTACGAGCTCCTGGAGTAGATGGTCCTTTTTAAAATACTCTTCAGTAGTAAACAGATTGGCATACAGTTGGTACTCAATACATACTTCTTCAGTAAGTGGATTCACTGACATTTCAATACATTAATTCTTTAACAAGGACAGTTGTGGACATATATATGTTAATCTCTTTTCATTTCTATTATTTTTATGAATATGATGAATTATTTACAAGTTCACAAAACTAGCAATTCATGAGATGGGACCAGTACTTATAACCATGTCTTTCTAGAATTTTAAAATAACTGATGATGCTAGCACTCACAATAGCAAAAACATTTAGAAAGATGAATGATGAGGTTAGTCAGCCCTGTAGTCAGATGATAGACCTTCCTACGTAAGGCTATTTAGACACTTCCTTCTGCATGTAGAGTTTCTAATTAACTCCTGAACTCATAATCCCCTGGGGTTTTGCCACAACATCCATCAATTCAGTTCTTCTCTCAGTAATGCATGGATACCATTCAAAATATATTTCTAAGTATAACTCCTTTGCCATTTTTCCACCTAAAAAGTAATCTCTACTACAGGATGAAGAAAAGTCAAAGAACAAACAATATATAATTGAGTTCCGTGCCAAGTACAACTTCTTAAGACTTAAGTTGTATACATTAAGCAGTCAATCTCAACCATTCAACTTTGGCAATTCTTTTTTTTTAAAAAATCTGCAGGGCTCTTTAAGTATCAGCATCTTTGGAATCAATTATCCATCTTCTAATGTACACTGGTATTTCTTTTAGATTTTGGGTCCATAGATACTTCTTAATTAGTTGGGCTTTTTATTTTTTTTGTTTTATTTTCCTTAAAGAAAGGAAAAGTACCTGAACAGCCTATCAAAATCTTCTGTATCCCACTAAGTCTAGGGTCACTCCTTTTGGTTTTAGGTTGAAACTGCTGCCTAAGTAGCCAAATAACCAAGCAGCTGAACTAGTTGCTCCATAAATTCCACCTACAAGTAATTCTGATTAAGAATTTATTTAGTTATGTACATTCAGACCCTTAATTGGTTTCTTACCTAAACCACACATTTTTAAAAACATGATAATTCTTCCTTTTTTATTTTCCATAACAAATTCATTCAGAACTTGGGTTAGCCAGCTTTTTCTGTAGTAATAAACAACCCTAATATCTCTGTGACTTACAACAACAAACATATTACTTGCTCAAGTTTGAGAGGGTGGTAGCTCTGCCCAGTCTAGCTGAGCTTGGTTGAGTTAGACCTTGGCTTCATGAGAAGTATCTTTTTACTCCATAGCCCAGGCATAGGAGTAAGCCACTGTCTTGGACAAGCTGTTCTCATTCTGCAGGGCAAAATCAAGAGAGTGAGTACTATGCTGAGTGAAATATGCAAGCACATTTAAAACTTCTACTCAGATATTCTAGTGGCCAAAGAAAGTAATATGATCTAGGCCAAAGTCAGTGGGGCAGGAAAACACATTTTACTCACAATGAAGGATGGCAAAGGTACGGAGGGAACGAGTATTTGTGAAGTAGTGAAATATACCACAGCCTTTTTTTTTTTCTTAACAAATGTTCACTTCCTTCCTGTAGGCAAAATGTAATCACTTTATCCTAAAGATCCAAAGTCACATCCAATCACAAGATCTAACTTGAAATCCAGGATCTTGATAATACCTCATGCCCAAATGTAGCTATGCAAGGGTGAAAATTCCTATTCCAAAGTCCTATAAACTAAAAGACTTGTTATTTGCACTACATATACGCAACATAAAATGAGGGAACTCACAATAATGTCCCATTTAGAAACAGGAAGGATGGCAGAATCCAGCAATCACTGGGTCCTCAGCAATTCTGGAGTCCCATTGAGCAATTTTTAGCAGGTCCACTAACCTGGGAGTAGGAAAGCTGCTTCATCAATACTCAGTTTTGTTTTCTGGAGGTAGCTTTTGAGTCCATGATTTTCCGTGGCTCTTGGTATCACCTTCTGGGTGGGCCTTTCTTTCCAATATCCTTTTCAGGAGAAAATGCACTTCTTAGAAGATGAGTAGCTATTCAGTCTGCTCACACAAAGTCGAGGGCTCGAGGGTAGTTTACGGCTCAGTCATAAGTTGTTTCGTTCAAACTGGTAGCACTTCGGGTACTGCAAATCTTTGAAAAACATTGTTGGTTTCTTTAATATCTTTGTTTCTTGTTAGCTCCTCCTGCCAATAGCCAGATCCATGATTAGAAGACTTTCCTCTAGGTTGAATTACAAGTAATTTAGACTCTATTGGTTTCCATTGGGCCAAATCTACATTCTCTTTACCCTGAGCCATGTTGTACAAGTGAAATGATTTAATGGGGACCACTTTAAAGAAATCAGAGGTCTTAACAAATGGTGTGGTGATCACAGTCTTTATTTGTTCTTTGTCCCCAAGATTGGGTCTTTATTATTATTGATGTTATTATTATTAATTGGGTATACTTTCCTTAATAAGTTGAAAAGATTAACTTTATATTGTGAGGGATGCTAAAAATGTTTTCATAGGCACTTTACAATGAACTTTGCATAATTGCTCATTTTCTTTTTTCTTTTAAAAATTTCATTTATTTACTTTTTCCCTCACTTCTTTGAATTCTATGCTCTTGTTTTCTGATTCTTATAATGGGCATCTAAAAACTAATAGATAATAAAAGTTTCCACTTCTTCCAATATTTCCTTTAAACGCTATTTGAAATTATCCTTAAAATTGCTCACATATTACTCTGGTACTTTCATATTCAGAATTTGTTCAAGTTGCTAAATTTCTGATGTACTTCAAATTCAGTAAAAATCATTAAATTTTTTTTCATGTAAGGAAATGTACACATAACTAGAAAACAACCAGCCATGCCCTGTCTTGGTCTTTGCACTGAAATTGTGTCATAATTTGAAAATAGTTCTCTGACTAGAGATGAGAAACACTTGTATCTTTCAATTCTGTCTCTGGACTTTAGACTCTCCTCTTCCCTTCCATTCTCATTTGCAAAAAGGTCAGTTCTTTTCTGAGTTCCTCTTTCTTATAGAGCGTAAAAAGCAATTTTGGGCTACCAACATTCTGTCTTGAAATTTCTTTGCCTTTCAAGTTATCTCAGGTGACAGTTTTACTAAAATTTTCACCATTGCATAGTACAGGTATAGGTTGTCATTTTTCCAGCCTCATGAAACATCTGGGCTTCTATAACAGCCATGGTGCGGATATCGTATATTTTAGTTTTGTTGATTTTTTTGAGTTGTTGTTGTTACAGTAGTACCTTATTTCTATGTACTAATTTATTTATTAGTCAACTTATGTTGTGGCAACAAACAATCTCCAAATGTCAGCAACTTACAGTACCAAATAGTTTGTTGTTCATGTTACTGGACTCTGTTGGGCTCTTTTTGGCTCAGCTTGCATTATGTGTCTTCACTGTCTGCACTGAGTCTGAGGAGTAGCCACTAATGGAAACATGTTTTTCTGACTGTGGGAAGCAGGAAGAACAGGAGGAATGTCAGACCATGCAAGTGCATCTCAATCTTCTGCCCAGGCATGCCGCAGGTCAGATCTGCTCACTTCCCATTGATTAAACCAAACCATAGGGCCACACCCAAAGTTAATGGGTGAGGGGAGCATATACGGACCTTTGGGCAAAAAGAAGAATAACTACTAACAAAAATAAAATACACCCTAACAAATACTTATTGAAAAGCAACTGTGTCCCTTCCAGCTGTAAATACACTCTGTAAATGAAACAGTGTCTCTGATCTCAGAAAACTCAGTCTAGTGGAGAATTCAGCTAAATAGAGAGGCAACTACAATGCAATGTAAGGCACGTACAGGAATCTATGCCATCTAATTCAGAATTGAGGCATCAGGGAAGGCTTCCTGGAGAAAGAAGTAACTGAACTGAGCCCTGGATAGTGAATAGGAGTTGAGAAGCCATGGGCAGGAAGAGGGTTCCCAACAGGTCAGCATGAGTGAAGCGTGAGGCCAACAGGAAGCACGAAGGAACCAAAAACATTTGGTATGCATTTGCACTGCATAGACCAACCCTGTCAAGTACACAAAGCAATATTTGAGTATTTCATATTTGAAAGATAAACGTTGGTTTTAAAACTGCTAAGTCAGAAGTTTCATAAATAGTCTCATGGTAGTATACTACTATACACTGAAAACTGAAGAAAACGAAAAAGAAAAACTGCCTTTCAGAGTTGGAATGCCCCAGAGAGCATGGGCATTTACACTTTTACAGTCAGGGTGAAAAACAGAAGTAGTTTCATTAAACTGCCTCATGGCCTGGCACTTTTCTTCAGCATGCTTTGTGGGTGAAATCTTCAGTGTTGAAAATAGAGTTGAATGCAGTTAATGTAATGTAATTACATTAGCAGCAGAAAAATGTCCTTAAGGTTTATAGCTAATATATCTGATCAGAAAATACAGTACTTTTCATCAATTAACTACATAAACTAGATTTTGGAAAAAATAGAAATTGAAATGCAATTTTACTCTAACCCATTTCAAGGGTGTGGCCTTATGTTTGGTCTTAGCAAAGTGAAGAAACTTTAAGAACATCCCTATTTTGTCCACAGTGTAGGCAGCACAGTGTACTGCCCTGTGGAAGAGTCCAGCACATATCGACATGATTAAGGCCCTATTGTCCCCTTGAAATGAACAGCTGAGGAATGTTAATATGCTGATAAAACACATAAAAAATAGCACTCTGGTTCAGTTTGTACTCATTGTATATGTATTTTTAAAGGATTTTAAAAAATCCTTTTAAGTATCAGCCATAAACTGCTCTCAAAACAGGATCTGGTAAATATGGCTTTGCTAAATAGTCCAGGATACAGAATTTGTAAATATTCACCTTTAAGATACACTTCTCATTTGCCCGAAGTGCCTGTGCAGTTCCCTTGCCTATCTCTTTAAGGACTAGTCATAAGAAGAGAAGTTATAGTTGGTAAAAACAAAAATCCAGAAAAAATCATCTGAAGAGATCAAATGTTGATGCAACGTTAATATACTACATGTGATCTTTATTTCACCAGAAACACTGGACACATGGGGATACATTTGCACCTCATCTCCACCATTACATGCCACAGTGTTGTTGAAATCTGCATCTTGTCCTAAGCAAAAGCATAGAAAAGGCAAAGTGTGCCTTTGGTGCCTTCTATCCATTCAGAATCCCATTGCTCTTGCTGCAAAAATAAACCAATAAACAAATAAAAACCTCTTCTTCTCTACCCTCATATTAACAACTACCATTTATTGGTTGTTTAACCAGGCCATGGACACTGTGCTAATCAATGTATACATCATAACTGTAGGAAGTAAGCATATTTCTTTTATCTTACAAATGAGAAAACAGGCTAGCCATGGTGGCTCATGCCTGTAATCCCAGCATTTTGGGAGGCTGAAGTGAGAGGATCACTTAAGCTCAGGAGTTGCAGACCAGCCTGGACAATACACTGAGACCCCATCTCTATGAAAATAAAATAAAATAAAAAATAAGGAAACTGAGACAACTCAAACGATATTTTTTTCAAGGCCATAAAGCTAGTAAAATGGTAGAAGCAAGATTTAAAAGAGAACTTTTTGAATTTAAGAAAATCCATAGTCTGACCATTCCACATTACAAAATTATGTTTTGCGTAATTTAAATCTTTAACTAAAATGAAAAGACTGAAGAAAATCATGAGTTATATTAGTAGCAGACATTTGAATGCAGGTTTTAATTTTCCTGTTTAAGCACACAGGATGTTGGTAATCAGGGCTACTACATTAATCCAATTTATATAAATTTAAAGCTTCTGATACCAATGTAAACCTTTCACTTGTCCTCATTCATAATTTATTTACCAGGCAACTTCAATTTTCCTTTGTTTTCTTACTACTTCTAAAGAAAACTCTTTTCCATATGCTTCCTTATTCCCATTTACTTGCAGAGTTAATTTCTCTCTCTTTTGTATTCCCAAAGCACTTATTATCTCTCTATACATAACAGCTCTTACACAGTACATTGTATTTTTTACATGTTAATTATTTTCATCTTAACAATCCTAAGGTCTACATTGACTTACAGATTTTTAATGAGAGCATCTAACAGTATCTGACACTGATTAATTGCTGAAAAAATAAATATATAATTTCTGTCATTATTTCATATTTGAAAAATGGTTGCCAAAGAGTCAGTGTTACCTAAAATGTGCATCTGCAAAAGTTAAATTTTTATCTATGTAAAACTAATTTTTCTAATTCATTTTTATTTTTTTGAGATGGAGTTTTGCTCTTTCACCCACGCTAGAGTGAAGTGGCGTGATCTCTGCTCAGGGCAACCTCTGACCCCGAGGTTCGAGTGATTCTCCTGACTCATCCTTCAGAATAGCTGGGATTATAGGCACCCACCACCAAACCCAGCTAATTTTTGTATTTGGTAGAGACAGGGTTTTGCCGTGTTGGCCAGGCTGGTCTCGAACACCTGACCTCAGGTGATCCACCCGCCTCAGCCTCCCAAAGTGTGAGGATTAAAGGCATGAGCCACGGCACCTGGCCAATTTCTTTTTCTCTCCTTTACTTGTTCATTCCGTCCTGCTTTCTCTTATACTCACGCTCTTTCAGTTTTGCTTTTTCACTTTTTTTAAACAAATTATTATTTTAATTTAATTATTTTACACACTGAGTCTCACTCTGTCACCCAGGCTGGAGTGCAGTGGCATCATTATTGCTCACTGCAGCCTCAAACTCCTGGGCTCAAGTGATCCTCCTGCCTCAGGCTCCCCAGTCACTGGGATTACAGACACAAGCCACTGCACCCAATGCCTTATTGCTTTTTGCTCTCTCTCTCTCTCTCTCTCTGTCTCTCTCACTAACTCTACCTGTCTCTCATCATGGTTTGTCTCTGTTCAGCTTCATTCTGCAAACAGGCTTTTTACTATGGCTGGGAAGATGGTCACTGGTCCCAGGTTCAGTTTTTCCAAGCTTAGCAACCTAGCAGGAAGAGAAATTTGTTTCTTTTAGCACTGAGAATGTCATTACCCGGCTTTGGTACATCTATCTTACTTTTTGCTGATAATATTCTAACATGAGGGTAGGTCAGGAGGCTTGACCTCAGATACCTGTAACCTGATCTGTTACTAACTTTGGTGTATTAATTAGGTTTGCACTGTGATTATGCTGTGTAAGAAGCAACCCCCCAAAGCTCAGACCAATTCTCAGAAGATTCTCCCTGATTGTTCCAAAATTGTTGCCAACAGATCTCAAGGCTACTTGCTTCTCATTAACATACTACATTTGGCTCACTCCCTCAACCATTGATTTACAATCTCAGGCTTCATTCTTATTGCACTAAATTAGGTCATGCTGTTCTCTGAAACAATTACAAACCAGACTAATGCTAATTAGTTTAGGCCTGAGCCACATTTGCCATTCATAGATATGAGGTAGTGTCCTATTTTCTGAAGTGCATAAACTGCTTGGAGGGCTAACGAGTGATCATTTGAAAGACAACAGGGTGTGAGAGCCAAAAGAAGGTGATAAAAGGCTACTAGAATCAGCAAATAAGCACAGAATATCATGCTTACATTTCAGATTGCTTATTTCACTTCAAGTTTGTGGTTTAGCTAACTTGGGTCTTAGGAAGAAGAACCATGCAATGGCCGTCATCTGAACTCTATGTTAGTAGATACCACTTCAAAGACTGAACTGAGAAAACGTGCAAAGGAAAGATGGAAAGGTGATGAAGAGACACTTAGTAAGGGGTGATATTTTCCTTCCACCACCTGAGCTAGTGATAAAGAGCAGCTACTTGAATTTAAACTTTTTCCTCCCCTGGAATGAATGTAAGAAACATCTGTGGTACCTCAGTCATTTTTCCAACTCTAGGGGGAACATATTAAAATGTTGGTTATAATAGTAGAGAAAAAGTTACCCAGAAAAATTTTTTCTTGGCCAAGAAAATAAAATATATACATAAAAAATGGAAAAGGACAAATGTTAAATAATGCAGGAATTCTTTTTAAAAATCCAGTACATCTCAAATTTCTGATGTGACAAATAAGGATAAAGTTAGGAAATAATTTTAGCAATGGTGAGGACAAGATTATCCCCACTTCTGGGTCATACCCATGGAGTATCTTGGACTCAATGTTTATTCAATGCACTGCTATGACTTATCAATGAAGGATTTTCTATCCACAATTGACTGTAGTTATAAAGCTCCTACCTTAAGTTTTTTTCTATATTTCCCTGCAAGGTAGTTTTGAGCTACCCTGGAGATTTAGGGTGTTCTTCGTAACTCTACTTGCAGCTATTCACCTGGAGAAAGCTCACAACTGTCTGCTTGTTTATATTTTAGGGATGAAATGAAATAATACATGAGATATGGTTGAAATAGTCCTGGGTGGTTGGAAAGTGCATGACCAGTTATCTTTCTTATTGCTGCCTGTTATTTTGATCCATATAATTTGAATCACTTTTCTGTAAGGTCAAATTCTGTGTGCTAGTTGCTGCTTCAAGGATTGGGTGGCAGGAAAGTCCAGCAACACCTTTGTCTGATCTTACAGGATGAATGAAGGAGGCAGCTGGTTTCTAACATCTCTGCTTTGACAGCGCTCAGAGCCACTGGATCCTCAGATACAGTTAAAGTCGTTGGTAGCTTCTGGAGAAAGAGCACTTGAACATCTTCAAAATGCCAACTTTTTTTCAGGGAATAATATCCATGTGTCTCAAAGTGAAAATTAAATCCAAACTTCCCTCATCATCAAACACTTGCTGTTCCTCTTTGAGAACTTGGTGAATCTGGTGCTCGTGAAAACATGGGTTAGTGAGGATCAGTGCAAAAGGCCAAGTAACACGTCTTTTTTCTACTCTTTGACGCTTCATTTTCATGGCCCTAGTAATTCCTCAATAGAATAAAAGCAAACAGTGAAACAAAAAACATATAGAAATGATGCTGACAAGGTACAGAGTCCTCCCACAGTTAATGACACAATACTTGCTAGTTTAATGCAATACAACTTGTACTGATAATTAAACACTGATAATTAAATGACAATTTAAAGGTTTGCAGTTACTGCATTTTTACACCATGATTTATTTGAGTAAAGGTTTTGTGATATGTTTTAACTGCATTACTGAATGAAGACCAGTAAAATAATTTGCATCTTTATTTTGAGGTTTATTTTATTTAAAAAGTACCTATAGAGAAGTTTTGGAAGGTCATGCCCAAAATATAAAATGCAAACTGGAAAAAACAGTAATGAATATTTTTATACTTATTTATATTTAAAGGAATGTAAATCAAAGTGAAGTTTGATTTTTAAAAAAATGTTTAAGATTAGACCAGGGTGAAATAGTGGAGGATGTGGAAATAAGTTGTCCAATATCTTGAAGGAAGAACTATCAGGATTTGTAGATGGATTGGATGAGACATGTGAAGGGAGAAAGAGGAGTCAAGGATAACTCTGATGCTTTGAGTATGAGCACCTGGAACGATGAATTTACTATTGACTGAAAAGAGGAATATGGTGAGCAGAGCAGATTTGGGGTAGGAATGTGAAGAAGAGGGGTTTGATTTGGGGCATAATGGATTTTAAGTTTGATTCTACTATCATAAATGGTTTAAGTACTTTCCCCCAATTTATTTTAATTAGATCTATTGGTTTCCAGAATATAATATTTTTCAACTCTAACTAACCTAAGGAAGAGATTTTAAACTTAATTAATAACCTGGCTTTTCAAGAGCTCCAACACTAAAAAACAAAGACATAGGCTGGGTGTAGTGGCTCACGCCTGTAATCCCAGCACTCTGGGAGGCTGAAGAGGGCAGATCATTTGAGGTCAGGAGTTCGAGACCAGCCTGGTCAACATGGTGAAACCCCATCTCTATTAAAAAAAAAAACAAAAATTAGCCAGGCGTAGTGGCACACACCTGTAGTCCCAGCTACTTTGGAGGCTGAGGCAGGAAAATTGCTTGAACTTGGGAAGTGGAGGTTTCAGTGAGCTGAGATTGCACCATTGCACTCCAGCCTGGGTGACAGAGCAAGACTCATCTCAGAAAAAACAAAACAAACAAACAAAAAACCAAAAAAACACACAAAGATATAAGTATCAACATAGTGTCTAATAACTCCCAGGTATTATCACTATATGTTAAGCACTATACTTACAACTTTACAAATGTTATTTTATCTAATCCCCACCATACACTCAGAGATGGTACTATTATTTCCCAGATTTTAAAAAATTGGGGATTTAAATGGGTCAGGGGACACACAGTACTCAGCACAGCTGGGGGGATCCGTTTGACTGTAAAGTTCATGCTAAAAGCCATTAAAATATATTTCCTGTACTCATTTATTCTTTATGAAAAATAGTAACATTGATTTTTCATACATATATTCCTAAACATTTATAATTTTTATTTATCTCTTACTTTTTGCGAGCATATTCTCATTTAGTTTAAATGCAAAATGGAAACAAATATTTAAATATCAATCACAAAACAATATCTAACATAATTTAATATGACTGGTTTCAATGTAAGAATTGATTTGACATCAGGGCAGCCATATGGAATTGTCATCAGGATGTACAGTCAAAAATACATGCTTAAAATATTGCTGAGTAAACTGAAAAATATGTCAATTATATACACTAGATAACTTCTTTTTTGAAAATCAGATATATTAGCAAATTATTTTAAAAAGCTGAAAGTGTAGGTATTCCAAATACAGATACTCAGTCTAAATATTAAAATATTAAGGTGGGCACCTTAGTCCTTAGGAATGAAGAACAATCTGAATGAAAGAAAACAGGTTAATTAATTACCACTTGCCCTGAAGAAATGCTATCTCAGGATTTTCCACAGGAAACACCAAGTCTGTGAGGGATGTCCTGAACAAAACAAGACCAGAAGAGCAATCTTGTGGTGCCAAGAGCAAATCTGGATTAATCATTAGTGGCTGGTCCTTAGACAAGAGTGGTTTCCTGTTTGGGATGTCACACTCCTGTTTTGAGTTTTGACTACTACCATCAAGACCAGACACCATCTTTTCCTACACCATCAGGCCCTGTGGAAGATCCCATAATATGCCACTCTTCTAGCATTTTCTTTAGAGAAAATCACATTAAAAGGAGCATCAATAGTGGCACTGAAATGGAAAAGGACAGATTGGTGCTTGTGGGGGAAGGAAAGTCTGATTGCCCTGCTCTGGTTGGGTAATGAGGGTTATAAACTGATTCTCCAATAGAATCTTTGCTATAGAAAGCCTTCATATGTTATATACAGGTTACAGCAGTTGTCTTTTTTTCATATTTCCCTGGAGTGTCTATGACAGGCAGTATCCAATTAAAAGAAATATAGAAAGCTACCCCAAAGAGAGAATACACAAGTGCTGGGACAGGTACCACTATTTTAGGCACCCATGTGAGTTAGTGGAGCTGTGAGGGCTTGACAGACTACATTATATTTTCATTTTCAATTCCTGCCCCCTCTTGGTGCTTCTGGTGGCAGAATTAGCATGAACAGACAGGTTATTTGACTGTTTCCATCCTTGCTGTCACCTCTTTCACAGATAAAGCCTTTAATCGAAATCAACTATTGTATTCTACCCTGGGTGGCCTGTCACCTGCCCTTTCCATGCTGACTGGATAAGCCTAGCTAGAGACTTCCCAGGTGAGCCAGGAAGGGCTGCATCCTCCTCTCCCTCTCATGCACCCCCAACTTGTCAGGATGGGGTACAATTCTGTTACCCATTTGGAAAGGCTATTTGTTAAAAAGTAAAAAAAATGATTACACAGTGGACCCTTGAATCATGAGTTTGAACTGTGCAGCTTCACGTATACGCAGATTTTTTTTTCAATAAAAGTTGCACCAAGTGTGCCTGCCTCTCCTGCCTCGCCTGCCTCCCTTTCCACCTCCTTGATCTCTTCTGCCTCTGCCACCCCTGAGACAGCAAGACCAACCCCTCCTCCTCCTCTTCAGCCTACCCAGTGAGGATGAAGACCTATACAATGATCCACTTCCACTTAATAAATAGTAAATATATTTTTCTCTTTCTTATGGTTTTCTTAACAACATTGTCTGTTCTCTAGCCTGCTTTATTGTGAGAATGAATACAGTACATAATACATTAACATACAAAATATGTGTTAATCAACTGTGTATGTTATGGGCTTTGGGTCAACAGTAGGCTGTTAGTAGTTAAGTTTTTGGGAAGTCAAAAGTTATACATGGATTTTTTTTATTGTGTAGGGGGTCAGTGTCCCTAACCTCCACGTTGTTCAAGGATCAACTAATTTTATTATTTATTTATATATTGTGACAAGGTCTGGCTCTATTGCCTAGGCTGGAGTGCAGTGGCATGGTTTTGGCTCACTGCAGCTTCTACCTCCCAAGCTCAAGTCATTCTCCTTCAGCCTCCTGAGTAGCTGGGACTATAGGTATGCGCCATCAAGCCTACTAATTTTTGTATTTTTTGTAGAGAGGGGTTTTCACCATGTTGCCGAGGCTGGACTCGAACTTGTGAGCTCAAGCGATCTGCCCACCTCGGCCTCTCAAAGTGCTGGCATTACAAGCATGAGCCACAGTGCCCAGCCTGTTTTATTATTATTATTATTTTTTGAAGACAGGGTATCACTGTGTCACCCAGGCTGGAGTGCAGTGACACAATCACAGCTCACTGCAGCCTCGACCTTCCAGGCTCCAACTAGCTAATTTTAAAATTAACTAATAGTTAATAGTTTAATCCTATGCATCCCTAAAAAGAGAATTACAGATGTCTCTAAATTAGATCATTCATTTTCAATCGCCAATTAGCATTAATCAAGAAACCTCCTTTACCTCTGAGGCTCTTATGCCTAATCTTATGAAAGATCTATATGATTATGCACATCTCATGCTTTTTTCAGAGGGGCTGAATCAATCCTGAAATCAGACTCTCTCTTTTCCTGAAATTAGTAATATCTGAACTCAACCATGTTCTTTCTTTACTATAATCCATGGATCATCTTCCCTCCTCCCTCCATTTCTTGTTGATATTGACTGTTCTTCATGCCAGCTATCACTTATTACTTGGCACTTTGCTTTCGTTGCTACCAGCTGTCTTCAAACTTTACTTTTTCTTTTCTTTCTTTCTTTCTTTTTTTTTTTTGAAAACTGAGTGTCTTTGCAGAAGCACTCTTTCCTTAATGGTGAATGTAGTCCACAAACTTACATACATTGAGATTTTGGAAATAGTAGGCTTTTTTTCCTAGCCTTATTTAAAACCAGATTCAAAGTGAAATACTGAAGGAAAGAAAGAATCTGATCATCTCTCTTTGAAACAAATACCTTTGGAAATTCTTTTTTTTTTTTTCTTTTTCTTTTGAGATAGGCAGTCTTGGTCTATCGCCTAGCCTGGAGTGCAGTGGCATGATCTTGGCTCACTGCAGCCTTGACCTCCTGGGCTCAAGCAATCCCTCCACCTCAGCCTTCTGAGTAGTTGAGACCACTGGTGCATGCCACCATGCTGGGCTAGTTTTTGTATTTTTTTGTAGAGATGGGGTTTCACCATATTGCCCAGGCTGGTCTTGAATTCCTAGGCTTAAGCAATTTGCCTCCCTCCACCTCCCAAAGTACTAGAATTACAGGTCTTAGCCACTCTGCCCCATCTAGAAATTCTTAATAACCTAAATTAGTGCTAACTAGCAGGCTAATAAAGTCCTGTTTGCTAATTAACATTTTTTTGGTGCCTCATTGAATGTTAATGTGGTATACCTTCATGTTATTCATTAAAAAAAAAAAAGAATCCTGTGTATTTAATGCATAGAAAGCTGTCTTCCTTTTGGATGTCTTAGTCTCTGGTTTACTTCACCATTTCCAGTCTTTATTATTTCTACATGGATAAATGACGATATTTTTCTATTCTTAACTTAAAAACAGGTCACGAGACAAAAATTTGTTCCAATGCAACTAATCTTTAGATAGCTAGTGCCAAAAAAGCAGCATTCATAATATTGTCCTCAGTGGCTTTCCTTTTGAAACTGTGGTGCCAGGAAAAATGATTTACTGCCAGCCTGGACTGAGACTTGAGCTTTGTAGAAAAGATTTATTGGTATCAACTTAGCATAATGCCATAATCATCCTGAAAATACATCTGTCACTATAAACCCTTATTGTCAGGTGCCTGACACTTTCCATAAAACTATGCTTCAAGTGGAAAAGTGATTTGGATTTCACATCCTTTATTGCAATGTTTCTTGATCATTTAAAAGTCTATCATTTCTATGAACTTTCTGGATACACTAGGGCAGTGTTTCTGGGACCCATCTCTAGATTTCCATGAGACAGGGGTGGAAACCACAAATGTACACTTTAAACAAGTGCCTGAGGAGATTCTGTTGCAAGTAGTCTTTGAGAAACTCTCTTTGGAAATAGGTATGGTGTTCTGTGTATTCACTGTGGCTCTGGCTCTACTCTTTTTACATGCATAACTTTGAATAAGTTAATGTGGCCTCTGTGCCTCATTTGTTTCTATATGTATATTTCCTTACATATGCATTCATGGTGCAAGTAAACTTTCTGTTCACAAAGAGTGAAGTTTAAAGAAAATAAAGAAGTACCTAACAGAAAGTATAAGCAGGAAGCAGATGATACATCTTAGTTTTATTTCTCTATAATTCACGACAGCAAACACAAACCCACAAACTAAATTACATGTGTATATACATGTAGCTCTAGAAATAGGGAATTGGTTTCTGATCAGAATGGGAAACGAGGCCACAGCCTGGCAAACAGTCAAGGTTAGGAGACATAACCACAAGCCAGTGTTTATAGCAAGATGGACAATCAGAGAGGGCTTGACTTGGGACCCCAGTCCCAACGAAGACTAAGAAGCTGAAAACATTCCTCAGTATCAATGACAGTCCCTCAGATTTGACCAGAGTTTAAAGTGCTAAATGCACTTAAGGTAGCTTGAAATTACCATTTATCATATTTGTTAACTTGTCAAGATATACAGACTTTAAAACTGTGCACAAATTAATTAGTCCATCATTTATTCTTATCTTTGCCACAAATCAAAGGAGTTCAAAAGTCAACCTAATGGCATTTGTGCATTTCAATTGATTCCAAATGTAGGATTATTATAGCGTTTACTTTTTAAAAATAATTTATAGCGAGCATCCTTTGTAATGTGGATCTGTGAGATCTAACTGAGGCCACTTATTTAAAATGTGTAAGTTGATTTGTATGTAATTGCTGCATTCTGCTTTCTATTTGAAACTCAGAGAAATATCTCCCTTTAATGGGTCTTGGAGAAAGTACAGTGAATCTTGATGTCAATCAAAAGAAAGAAACTCCCAAGCAGCAGGTAGCTGTTTTATCAGGTAGCTGTTATTTCCAGAATTTTCTATTTTGGTGATACTCCAAGATTTACTGGTTAAATTATATACAGTAAAATGAGATATATATTCAAAAAAAGTTTTGCCTTTTAGTCACTGTATTAATCCATTTTCACACTGCTATAAAGAAATACCCAAGATTGGGTAATTTATAAAAAAAAAAGGTTTATTTGACTCAGTTCCACATGGCTGGGGTGGCCTCAGGATACTTACAATCATGGTGGAAAGCGAAGGGGAAGCAGGCACCTTCTTCACAAGGCAGCAGGAGGGAGTGAGTGAATGAAGTGGGAACTGCCAAACACTATTAAAACCATCAACTATTGTGAGAAGTCACTCCCTATCACGAGAACAACATGGGGGAAACTGTCCCCATGATCCAATCACTCCCCTCCTTTGGCACGTGGGGATTACAGGTCCCTCCCTTGACATGTGGGGATTACAATTCGAGATAGGATTTAAGTGGGGACACAGAGCCAACCCATATCATTCTGCCCCTGGCTCCACCCAAATCTCATGTCCTTTTCACATTTCAAAACCAATCATGCCTTCCCAATAGTCCCCCAGAGTCTTAACTCATTCCAGCATTAACCCAAAAGTCCAAGTTCTAAGTTTCATCTGAGATAAGTCCCTTCTGCCTATGAGCCTGTAAAATCAGAAGCAAGTTAGTTACTTGCAAGTTAAAATGAGGGTATAGACATTGGGTAAATATTCCCATTCCAAAGGGGAGAAATTGGCCAAAATAAAGGGTCTATGGGCCCCATGCAAGTCCAAAACCCAGTGGGGCAGTCATTAAATCTTATAGCTCCAAAATGATCTCCTTTGACTTCATGTCTCACATCCAGGGCTGGCTGATGCAAGGAGTGGGCTCCCACAGCCTTGGGCAGATCCTTCACAGGCTGGCATTGAGTGCCTGCAGCTTTTCCAGGTTCATGGTGCAAGCTGTCAGTGGATCTACATTTCTGAGGTCTGAAGGATGGTGGACCTCTTCTCACAACTCTGCTAGTCAGTGCCCCAGTGGGGACTCTGTATCGGGGCTCCAGCCCCACATTTCCCTTCCACACTGTATTAGCAGAGGTTCTCTGTGAGGGTTATGCCCCTGCTGCAGCCTGCTGCAGACTTCTGCCTGGACATCCAGGTGTTTCCATACATCCTCTGAAATCTAGGCAGAGATTCTCAAAGCTTTTTTGTCTTCTGTGTACTCACAGGCCCAACACCATGAGAAGCCACCAAGGCTTGGGGCTTGCACCCTATGAAGCAATGACCTGAGTTGTGCCTTGTCCCATTTTAGCCATGACTGGAGCTGGAGTGGTTGGGACGCAGGGCACCAAGTTTCAGGGCTGCTCTTGCGTGGAGCAGTGGAGCAGCTGGCCCACAAAACCATCTTTCCCTCCTAGGCCTCTGGGCCTGTGATGGGAGGGGCTACCACGGAGGTCTCTGATGTTCCCTGGAGACATTCTCCCCCTTGTCTTGACTATTAACATTTGACTCCTCATTAGTTATGCAAATTTCTGCAGCTGACTTGAATTTCTCCCCAGAAAATGGGGTTTTCTAATTTCAAACCACCTCTTAGTGAGCATATATAACTGATTGCTTTCAGAATCAACCAGGTGTCTTCTTGAATGCTTTGGTGGTTAAAAATTTCTTCTGCCAGATACCCTAAATCATCTCTCTCAAGTTCAAAGTTCCACAGATCTCTAGGGTATGGAGAAAATGCAACCAGTCTCTTTACTAAAGCATAGCAAGAGTGACCTTTACTCCAGTTTCTAACAAGTTCCTTATCTCCATCTGAGACCACCTCAGCCTGGACTTCATTGTCCATATCACTATCAGCATTTTGGTCAAAATCATTCCACAAGTCTCTAGGAAGTTCCAAACTTTCCCACATCTTTCTGTCTTCTTTTCTTCTGAACCCTCCAAACTGTTCCAACCTCGTCTTGTTGTCCTGCTCCAAAGTCGCTTCCATACTTTCAAGTATCTTTACAGCAGTGCCCCACTCCTGGTATCTGTATTAGTCCATTTTTGCACTGCTATAAATACATGAGATTGGGTAATTTATAAAGGAAAGAGGTTTAATTGACTCACATTTCCAGATCACTTCAGTCCAGGAGTTCAGTAGTGAGATTCCATCTCTACAGAAATTTAAAAATTGGCTAGGTGTGGTAGTGCATGCCTATGGTCCCAGCTACTAGGGAAGTTCAGGCCAGAGGATCACTTGAGTCCAGGAGGTCGAGGCTGCAGGTTGAGGTTGAGCAGTGATTGTGCCAAGGCAGTGCAACCTGGGTGACAGAGTGAGACTCTGTCTCAAAAAAAAAAAACAAACAAAAAAAAAACCAAAAAAGAATAAATGATTCAAGAAGAGAATTTTCATGGCAGTGCATCTTTGTGGGCCCAATTTCTTATCCATAAAATCACACACACTATTCCTTCCCCAAAAACCCACCCTCCGAACCCCACCCAGCATTCTTGGGAATGTTCAAGTACTAGATAGGTGATTTCACCATGAAATTATGAAGTAGAAATATGACTTTCTGCCATTTGATGAAATTAGGTTTTAGCTATTATGGAAATGTGTTTCAAAGTGAAATTAGACTTGATAGGTTACATTTTATTTCTGTATTTTAATCATATTTCTAATTCATAATTTCACGGTGAAATCATCCATCTTGTACTTAAACATTCTGAAGAATGGTGGGTGAGGGTTGGAGGGTGGGTCTTTGGGGAAGAATTGTGTGTATGATGTTATGGGTAAGAATGGGTTAAAAAGGATGCAAAGCCAGAAAAAGGATTTCTTGAGAAACTTATGAAAGAATGTTGTTACATACAAAATTAAGCATGCAGTGGAGTGGCACAGACAGTTGAGTGACATATGTATGTGTTTCACTCACCCTTCACGCCTCAGCTTAGAAATCCCTTCCTCCAGGAAGCCTGTCCTGATCACTAAGGTTAGATTAGATGCCCCTCCTATGCAGTTTCACAGCACTCTGTTCAACTCTATCATCGCACTCTTACATCCAATTGCCTGCTCACAGTTCTGCCTCATATAACAAAACAACAACAAGCATTCACTAAACATTTTACTGAATGTATTAGTCTGTTTTCACACTGCTGATAAAGACATACCCGAAACTGGGAAGAAAAAGAGGTTTAATTGGACTTACAGTTTCATATGGCTGGGGAGGCCTCAGAATCATAATGGGAGGTGAAAGGCACTTCTTACATGGCGGCAGCAAGAGAAAAATGAGGAAGATGCAAAAGTGGAAACCCCTGATAAAACCGTCAGATCTCATGAAACTTATTCACTACCATGAGAACAGTATGGGAGAAATCGCCCCTATGATTCAAATTATCTCCCACTGGGTCCCTCCCACACACTTGGGAATTTTGGGAATACAAATCAAGATGAGATCTGGGTGGGACACAGACACAAACCATATCACTGCATAAAGCACTCTGCTTAAAGCTTTAAGTGATTATCTTCTTTAATAATAACAACCACCTAGTAAAGTAGGTATTATTATACCATTTTGAAAATGAGGAAATAGAGGTATAAGGAGGTGAAGCAACTATCCAAGGTGAAAGAGCTTGGTACATTGGAGAGAAAGAAATCAAATCTAGGTAGTGTTACTAAAAAGCAGGGAAAGTATATTTTTATCCCATACTAGCAGAAAGCTGGGCACTTAACATCCAAATATTTGTTGAATGACTCGTTTAATGATTTCAGAGAAGAGGGAGACAGATGAAGACTAGAGCTATAGAGGAAAACTTGCTAGGGAAAGGGTGGAATTTGAGCTGGGCCTTAAAGAATGGGGGAGATTTAGATGAACTTAAGAGGAAGATAGAGAGCACTTGGTGTGGAGAACTTGAGTCAAGCAATGAGAATAGGTATGTTGTGTGCCCTGGGGTCAGTAAGGAATCTGTCATATTATAAAGGAAGAAGCAAGGTAGTGGGCATGAAGACTGGGTAGACAGGTTGAAGTTAGATTGTTGAAGCCCTCAGAATCCAAACAAAGTCACTGAGTAGTAAGTAGAAAGCCATTAAAAGATTTTGTTTATGAGCATTACATATTAAGAGCAGTTTTTAAGTCAAAGCATTATGAAAAAAAGCAAGCAACTATCGACAAATTTTGAGGAATGCATATTTAAACTGATTTCAATGAGGGTAGCTTTCATTTTATAATTTTTACTTAGTTGACTAATGTTAATTGAGTACCTTTGAAACCATCATTGCAAAATTGTAACTGAGGCAGTGAAAGAGATCTGACCCAACCAACTCCATTTTTCTTCTAACCTCCAAGCTGTCCTTGTTTATCCCTGGGCATAGGCTGAACTAACTTTGGGAGGAACTTAGTTTATAATTTAAAACAAAGATAATAACAGGTCTTTCCCAAGGCAAATTTCCTTCTTGCCTGGGGACTAGACTGCCTTTGTAGGAAGCCACAAGATTAGAAATTATGGTTTAGGGGTCATGCAGCTGGAGGCTACAAGATTCTGACCCTCCCTAAACTGCTCCTAAAATCAGAGCTTGAGATATATTGCAGACCCTGCACTTGATGGATCAGCTGGCACCACCCAGATCAATAAATTGGCTCATCTGATCTTGTACCCCACCCCACCCAGGAATTGACCCAGGACAAGACAGCTTCGACTCCCTAGGATTTCTTCTCTGACTTGACCAATCAGCACTCCTGTCTCACTGGCTTCCTGCCACCCACCAAGTCGTCCTTGAAAACTCTCATCCCCGAACTGTGAGCTTTCTAGGTCCCTAGGAAACCATTTCTGCCTTGCTTTACAGGGGTCCTTGGGGCAGGCTGCCCGATGTACTGGGAAAAGGCCACAGGGAGAAGGAAACCTCCAGCTGAACTTTGTAACAATTCCAACTGAATGAGAAGACTCCTGGCCAGAACTCAGGGGAAGGCATGAATCTGGTGTGCAGACTCCACAGGCAGGGAAGCAGGAAAGTCCTTCTTGCTTTCGCAGCTGGGAGGCGGGTAGCCTGTGGCGAGTTCTCAGCCCTGCTCACCCACTCCCTGGAAACACACTCAGTGCTGTTGTGGGGGGCAGGGTGGAAGTAAGATTGGCCTTTTGGGTTGTGTGGGAGCTGGGCGAGGTCTGTGACTGCCAGCTTTCCCCTACTTTCCTGACAACCTGCATGACACAGCAGAGGCAGTCATAAGCTTTCTGGGAATATAACTCCATTGACCTGGGAACCAAACCTTCATCCCCCACAGCAGCTGCAGCAAGACCCGCGCAAGGAGAGTCTGACCTCAGACACAGCTAGCCCTGCCCAACCTGGTGGTCACTCCCTACCCATCCTGGTAGGTGAAGACAAAGGGCATATACTCTTGGGAGTTCTAGGGCCCTGCCCACCACCTGATCCTCTCCATATTACCACAGCTGATGCTCTTTTTAAAGTACCACCTCCTGGCAGGAGGCCAGTGATCACAAAAATGGTAAGTTAAACAGCCAAAACTAAGGACCCTTACAGAACCCATTTCATCCCCCTGCCACCTCCCTGGAGCAGGAGCTGGTATCCATGGCTGAGACACCCACACACAGTTCACATCACAGGACTGTGCAGACAACCCCCAGTAGAGCCTGGAGCCTGGAAAACTTGCTAGGCGGCTAAATCCAGAAGAGAGATAACCAATCACTGCAGCTCAGCTCTCAGGAAGCCACATCCCTAGGAAAAGGAGAAGAGTACTACATCAACGGAACACCCTATGAGACAAAAGAATCTAAACAACAGCCTTGACCCTAGACCCTCCTTCAGACAGAGCCTACCCAAATGAGAAGGAAGCAGAAAACCAACTCTGGTAATATGACAAAACAAGGTTCATTAACACCCTAAAAAAAATCACATTAGCTCACCAGCAATGGATACAAACCAAGAAGAAATCCCTGATTTACCTGAAAAAGAATTTGGAAGGGTGGTTATTAAGCTAATCAAGGAGGCACCAAAGAAAGGCAAAGTCCAATTTAAGAAAGTAAAAAAATGATACAAGAAATGAGGGGAGAAATCTACAATGAAATACATAGTATAAATAAAAAACAATCAAAACTTCAGGAATCAAAGGACGCACTTATAGAAATGCAAAATGCTCTGCAAATCTCACCAACAGAATCAAACAATCAGAAGAAAGAACTTCAGAGCTCAAAGCCAAGGTTTTTAAATAACCCAATCCAACAAAGAATATTCATATATACATATATATATATATATATTTGTTTATATATAGGTTTGTGTGTGTGACTGCCAGCTTTCCCCTACTTTCCTTCCCTACTTACACACACACAAACCTAGAACCCAAAAGCAAATGCAATAAAAACAAAGATAAATAGTTGGGACTTAATTAAACTAAAGAGCTTTTGCACAGCAAAAGGAATAGTCAGCAGAGTAAACAGACAACCCACAGAGTGGGAGAAAACTTTCACAATATATACATCTGAAAAAGGACTAATATCCAGAATCTACAACAAACTCAAACACATGATCAAGGAAAAAACAAACAAACCCATCAAAAAGTGGGCCAATGACATGAATAAACAATTCTCAAAAGAAGATAAACAAATGGCCAACAAACATGAAAAAATGCTCAACATCACTAATGATCAGGGAGATGCAAAACCACAATGTGACACCATCTTACTCCTGCAAGAATGGCCATCATAAAAAAATAAAAAAATAATAGATGTTGGCATGGATGCAGTGAACAGGGAACACTTCTACACTGCTGGTGGGAAGGTAAACCAGTACAACCACTATGGAAAACAGTGTGGAGGTTCCTTAAAGAAGTAAAAGTAGAACCTCCATTTGATCCAGCAATCCCACTACTGGGTATCTAGCCAGAGGAAAAGAAGTAATTATATGAAAAAAGCTACTTGCACATACATGTTTATAGCAGCACAATTCACAATGGCAAAAATGTGGAAGCAGCCCAACTGCCCATGAATCAATGAGTGGAGAAAGAAATGAAGGTCTTATTTAGCAAAGTTGTAGGTGATAAGAATAGAATGTCAGGTGAGTTATAAACCCAGTTTCAAGTTCTTAGTCATCCAGTTGCCTTTTCCCATTAATTAAAAATGCTATTTAGGCTTACATGTACTTTCAACACTTACTGACTAGTTTCAAGAAAGATAGAAAGATTCATTATTTTGTTTGTGTTAGCTAAGAGTACTCAAGAGTTGAACTGGTTCCCTTGCTAGGGTAATTCAAAATTGCTACACTCATGAGATACCAGAATATTTAAATTTATTTTTGAAAGTCTGAATTAATAGAACATTAGCTTTTTTTCTGAGAAGATATATAAGAATTTGCGGCTGTCTCCCTTACGCTCTGGATTTGAACTGGTGAGACCTTGAAACATATGATATCATTACAGGGCCACACCACAATGAATGGGGAGTATACTGGGACGATAACACCTGTGCAGGAAAGTCTGCTTTTCTTAGTTTTTAAATTTTTGCACGTCAACTTATTTCACAATTTGGAGAAAACAAGTTACTGCTTCTCCATTGGTTCTCAGGACAATTGAATGTGGTAATTTGCATTTCTGAAAATATGTCAGTTTGGACATATACTTCAAACTGAACAAACTTCACATTTTAAAAATCACTAGCTATTATTCAAGTTCCAACTGCCAAATAGCTTGAATATTAAGAACTGGTTTTAAAAAGCCAAACCCACAAAGTACTCCAGGAATTGTAAATCAGTCTTCAATTGTCAACCACCAAGACACTTCAATTTAGAAAAGAATCAAGAGACTTTCCCGTTATTCAAGTCTAAATGTCTTAACTCACTTTCAGACTGAGGATAAAACACCCTAAAGAAATGAAAAATGTAACAACACTCACTCTTTTTTTCCTTTGGAAAGCTTTTTATACATTCTTTAAAAGTCAGGTATTATAAAACTGAGTTACTAGTCATTACTGATAGAGGTGAGAGGGAAACTGATGATCTGAACAGAGCTGAAGGAAAGTTGTCTAAGTAATCAAAATTCCAGACTTCCATTTAGACCCCTGAATCATTTCCCAAGTTTTTTTGAGGTGGTTAAGTCCATCTTCTGCATTATTTCTCAAATGCGTTATGATATTGTTACCGTGTGTGTTTTCATTTTTTGTTACTGGTTTTACAATTTACCCTAATTGAATGAAAAATGAGGGCATAAAGTAAAGCATGGGAGTTCTTGATCCTTTTTCTCCTTTAACCCCACACGTTAAATAAAGACTTGCCTCATGCTGATTTTTGTAGCATTTTGTAGGAGGCCCCTATCCAGCAATCATTCTCTGTGACTTCCAGACAACTGCCAGCCATATTCTTGCTTAGGAGAAATGGAGTTTAGAAAACTGACAAAGTCCCAGCCCAAAGCAAAAATTCACCAGGTCAGTAATCATGAAGCATCTAGCATTATTTTGATTATTTCAAAAATATTTTCCTTTATCTTTTTCAAATATATCATCTGAATGAAGTGGGAGTTATGTGATATTGCTATAATTACCAGCTTTTCAAATAACCAATTTTAACTCACTGTGTAAAGTACAGAATACTAAATTTGTATTGTAATTTGTGATAAATTTTAACATTCCCATTTGAAAGGTTAACTTATAATATTAGGACTTTTATTTAATGATTTCAAACTAATAGTGGTTGCTTTTAGACAGATGATACTGAGGAATTGGGAAGGACAAGAGAAATACCAATTATTTCCTATAAACACATTTGTGCTATTGGAGTTCCTTGCCATACAGAGGCAATGCTCATTAACATTTGTTGTTTTATTAAAAATTTTATTTCAAACTACATTAGAGATACTAATTGCAGAGCACTTGCTCTACCAACAAAGGTAGAAAGAATTAAATGGCTTGTCTAAAGGTTCCAGATATGTTAGATATGTCAGAGTTGGGAAGAGAATAAAAAATCAATATTCCAGTGTTTTCCTATCCATGAACTTCTCTACCACAATGCATTTAGATTTGGTTACAAATAAATTTTTATTTCCAATACCTATTTCAGGGTTTTCTTTGTATTTTATTCCTAAATTGCTAACCAATGTTTATTTTATTTGAAGCATATGTTAACCACTCTTGATTATGTTTTTTCCAAAAATGATTTTCCCTAGTGACAACTGAAACTCAAGTGATGATTACAACAAAAGAGATTTTAAGAGTTCTTCCAGAACCAGGGTCATTGGTGACATTTCCATAAATCACACACAAACTCAACAGAGACCATCTTACAGAGAAGCCTCATTCTAATAAGCATAATATACAGAGGTTAAAATAGCCCTGTTGTATTTATCTTTCACTGTGCAGCTTACCAAAACCAAATTTCTGTCATCAACAATTATTAATCATCCATATACCCCACAGAGAATTTTAATAAAGCATATTATGAACCTGGGGGTGGTGGTGGTATGAGAAAGACACAAATGTGATCCAAATTTATAAAAGGAGACGGGGGTCCCTGTTACTCCACCACATCTGTTTGCCACATGTTCATAAATCACATCAATGTTTTGAACATTTCTCCTAGCACCTTCCTGTCACTTCAGTTTTATAGTTCATAATTCTACCCCTCATCCTCACAAAAAGAAAAGAGGAGAAAAGTTTCTCATTATTGTATTTCAGGCTTGAGAGTGACATTTGACCAAGTATGAAGTCAACCAACTGCAGGTAAGGGCTGGTGCCAAAGGACCCTCCAATTTCTTGAGATTTGGTCACAGCAAGCAAAAGTGGTAGTGAAACTTCCCGTTTATTCTAAAGTAACAGTGTAATAACGTGAAGACACCAATGACCACCACTGCCAGACGAAAAGAAAGCTGCATTTTGAGTCTGAATCCACAAAATAGAATTGCCAAAAAGAAAGCTGCTAACTTAGAAAAAGATATTTTTCCTGGCAAATGGGATCCTCTGATACTCCGTGCACACTACTCTGTTTATTTTCATTTTCCAGTGATGCTAATGCATGTCTACATATAGTGCAGTGCCTGTTCTCCAGGAATTTGCTATCTGTGACAACTGTGACTTGTAAAGACAGAGCAACAAGATTCAAGCCTGCATTTTTTTGGACAGTTTATGTGATCCATTCGTTTATTTAATGGAAACAAAATTAAGCAAACTGAGAATACAAAGAAAGTCAAATTAGCTAGGTGGTATCATATAGATAAAACTGAAATTTTTGGTCAACATGGTTGGTTAACTTCCCCAACCACTTGCTTCAAACACTGCGCTGCTGAATAGATATAACAACCCTGAAAACAGGCATATACACATATCTCAGTTTGAAACAAAAAAAGAAAACTACATGGTACCAGAAATGAAGAAAGTCAATCCAAAACTTGAGCAGTGAATTGGAGCTAATGCCAAATGGCCCATAAAGTTACTGAGCCTGGATACTCTCCTAAATTACTGAGGTTTTAACCTAAGAGTAGAGAGTTGAGAAGTAACACAGAAGTTGAGTTTGCAGGCCTGGTGGCATGGGAAGCTACAATTTCAATCTCAACTTAAAACTGAGAGCCTAGAAGGGACTATAAAAGTTCTTTCCATTGGAATGGAGATTTAGGGAGAAAAATGGGCTGCCTGTCCTAAGTCATGGTCGAAAACTAATAATCTTGGAAAAATCTAAACCAATACTATGTGAATATTGGGTTGAATTAACATATCAAGCTTGATTTTTAAAAATCTGAAGTCAAGAAATTATTGTAAAAACTAGCTGAGAGACCACTGGACCTGGCAGAGGTAAACATAAACCACCAGAGTGATAACTTCACAATCCTGAGCCATGACACATCCTTGGAAAGCAATTTCCTCTGAAGATACTTTCAAAGTCTGAAATTTGAAACACTCAAGAAAACAGACCTTGTTAGAGCCAGGAGTCTCTTTTAAAATTATATATATTATTAATATTATTTATATATATTATTAATATTATTTATATATATATTAATAAATGGAGGTGGGGGTCTCACTATGTTGCCCAGGCTGATCTCAAACTCCTGGGCTCAAGTGATCCTCTCACCACAGTCTCCCAAAGTGCTGGGATTACAGACATGAGCCACTGTACCTGTCCAGAGCCAGGAGTCTCAACAAATGAGAATTTATATGCTAAAACCAATAGATCACGGGACAATGTGAAAACAAATTTGCTTTAAATGTTAAAATATGTAAATAAGGACAAAATAAAAATCATAAGGATAACATCTAAAAGAGAAGCAGCAGTTTTGAAAAAGAATAAAATGAAAATCCTAGAAATGAAAGCTATAATAATTGATCAAAAAACTCAATATATAAACTTTATCCAGTGTATTAAATACAAATAAAGAGGAAGAAATTAGTAAATGTGAAAACAGATCTGAGAAATTAACCTTATATGCAAAATAGATATATAGATGGATAGAGGATAGATATGTAGATATATAGATATGTATATGGTGCAGTAAGATGGTACCTAGCACACTGTATGCATGTTATTCCTGAATTTATTAATTATAAGCTCATTGGTAAATAAATAAATTACATTAAAAAAGAAGAAACATTGAGGATGGAATGAAAATCTCCAACATATGTTTAATAACTCTAATACATATTCTCTCTAGAATGAGAAATTAGGAGAGAAACAATATTCCAAAAATGAAAAATAAAACACGAATCTTCATACTCAAGGAGCAGATAGTCTTTAGTAGAGTAATTTTCTGAAAAATCTACACCTAGACTTAGCATGGTTAAGCTTTAGATTATCAAAGATGAATTTTAAAAATTTGTAGAAGAAACCAGAGAAAGTATAGTCCATCTACTAGGGAATGATGGTAGACTTGACATCAGCAAAAGATGCCGGAAGGAATGGTATTTTTATATTGCTGAGGAAAAATAACTGTCTGCTCAACTAAACTAAATGAACATTCAAGAGTAAGGGTAATTTTTTTTTTAATTCAGATGTACAAAGACTGAGAAAAGTTATATTTACAGATCCTTACTGAAACATTACAAAAATATAATTTATAATCTGTCATGGGATTAGAGGAAAAACAAACAAAGTTTAAAAATATAATTCAGTTACATAGCAGGAAAGAGTGCAGTAAAAGAACCAATAATGAACAAACAAAAGACCAAAAAGTACAATGATAGATTTAGGTTTAAATGTATGTGTGTGGACTAAAATAAACTAAAAAATAACACAGATGATGGGATGGGAGAAAACATTTTAAGATCCTTGTTTTATTTCAAGAGAAGAATAGAATTATTGATTTACCTCAAAACTTATTAGGCTATGTATATATTTTTATTAAGAGTAACTCCTAAAAGAATGGAAATAGAATGTCTAACTCACAAACGTACAAAAAGATACTTTCTAAAAGTGACGTAAAGATGGAAATAAACTCAACCATTACAAGAGATATAATCTCTAACCTGTCTGGGTTTTTTTCATTGATTTTTATAGCTTACCAAACATACTAGTAAAAGTAAGATATTACATGCATTTTCAGGAATTATGATGAAGATGAAGCTAGAAGAATTGTACATAGGGTATTTCGAATATTGAATGAGGAAGACAGAGCAAGATGGCAGAATAGAAGTCTATACCCATTAATTCTCCCCAACAGGAACACCAAATTTTAACAACTGTCTGCACACAGAAAAGTGCTATCACAAGAACCAAAAATCAAGTGAGCAATCACAGTACCTAGTTTTAGCTTCATGTCTCTAAAAGAGGCATTGAAGGGATCCAGAGAGACAGTCTTGAATTGCTGATGCTGCCCCCCAACCCCATTCCCCCGCAGTTGTAGGGTGTGGAGACTGGGGGACTGTGCACCTTGGTAAGGGAGAGTGCAGCAAATGGAAGGCTTTACATTGAACTCAGTGCTACCCTGTCATAGTGGAGACCAAAACCATGCTGGGCTCAGCCAGTGCCTGTGTATGGAGGGAGAATTTGGAAGACTCAGCCAGAGGGGAATCAGCCATCCCAGCAAGTTGGAACTTTGTCTGCAAGCCTCGCCCCATGGGCCGAAGTGCTCTGGGGTCCTAGGTAAACTTGAAAGACAGTCTAGGACACAAGGACTGCAATTCCTACGCAAGTCTTAGTGCTAGGCTAGGCTCAGGGCCAGAGGACCAGGGCAGCATGTGTCCTAGGGAGTTACCAGCTAGGGTGGCTAAGAGAGCGCTTGTGCCATCCCTCCCCCAACCTCAGGCAGTGCAGCTCGAAAAAAAAGGTGACTCCTTCCTTCTGCTTAAAGAGAGGAGAGCAAAAATAAAGAGGGCTTTGTCTTGCACCTTGGATACCAGCTCAGCCACAGTAGCATAGGGCGCCAGGCAGAATCATGAGGCCCACATTCCAGGCCCTTACTCCCAGATGACATTTCTAGACACATCCTGGGCCAGAGGTTACCTGCTGCCTTGAAAGGATGGACCCAGTCCTGGCAGGATTCATCACCTGCCGACTAAAGAGCCCCTGGACCCTGAATAACCAGCAGTGATACCAAGGTAGTACACTGTGGTCCTTGGGCTCTGAGATGTGCTGACTTCAGGCATGACTCAGCAAACTTCCAGTTGTGGTGGCTATGGTGAAAGACTCCTCTGAGAAAAGCAGAGAAAAGTAAGGGGGACTTTGTCTTGCAGCTTAGGTACCAGCTCGGCCACAGTAGGGTAGAGCAACAAGCAGGCTCTTGGGGTCCCGAGAGCATTTCTGGATCTTGGAGAGCATTTCTGGATCTGCCCTGGGCTGAAAGGAGTCCACTGCCCTGAAGCCTGAGTCTCAGGCCTGGCAGCATTCGCCATAAGCTGACTGAAGAGCCTTTGGGTTTTGAGTGAACATTGGCAGTGGCCTTGCAAAAACCCCTTGTGGGCTGTTGGTGGTGGTGGCCAGAGGGAGAGGCTCCTTTGCCTATGGAAAGGGGAGGGAAGAGCAGGAAGAACTTTGTTATGTGGTTTGAGTGCCAGTTTAGCTGCAGCAAAACAGAACATCAAGCAAATTTCTAAGGTTTTTGACTCCAATTCTGGCTCCCAGGAAGCATCTCTGGACTTGCTGAGGTCCTGGGGAGCTCATCAACCTGAAGGCAAGGACACAAACCTGGCTGGCTTTGCCACATGCTGATCATAGTGTTCCAGGGCCTTAAGTAAACATAGGCAGTAGTCAGGTAGTGGTTACAGCATGCCTTGGGTGAGACCCAGGGCTGTGCTGGCTTAGGGTCTGACCCAGTACAGTCCCAGTGGTGGTGGCCACAGGGGTGCTTGCATCACCACATCCCCAGTTCCAGGTGGCTCAGCAAAGACAGAGAGATTCCATTTGTTTGGGAGAAAGTAAGGGAAAAGAACAAGAGTTTCTGCCTGATAATCCAGAGAATTCTTCTGGATCTTATCCAAGGCCACCAAGGTGGTACCTCTATGAGTCTGCAAAAACCACAGCATTATTGGGCTTGAAGTCCCTTCAAATACCTGGAAAACCTTCTCAAGAAAGATGGGCACAAACAGGTCCAGACTGCGAAGACTACAATAAATGCCAAACTCTTCAATGCCCAGACACTGACAAACATCCATAAGCATCAAGATCATCCAGGAAAACGTGACCTCACTAAACGAATTAAATAAGGCACAAGGGGCCGGTCATGGTGGCTCATGCCTGTAATCCCAGCACTTTGGGAGGCCAAGGCGGGCGGATCATTTGAGGTCAGGAGTTTGAGACCAGCCTGGCCAACATGGTGAAACCCCCCTCTCTACTAAAAATATAAAAATTAGCTGGCGTGGTGGTGCACGCCTGTAATCCCAGCTACTCCAGAGGCTGAGGCAGGAGAATAGCCTGAACCCAGGAGGCGGAAGTTGCAGTGAGCAGAGATAGTGCCACTGCATTCCAGCCTGGGTGACAGAGTGAGACTCCATCTTCTCTCTCCCATATCCTGATCGCTTCTGTGCCTCTCTCATTACTGTGCAGCAGAAGACTGGGTGACAAATAACATAACATAACATAACATAACATAACATAACATAACATAACATAACATAACATAACATAACATAACATAGTAAATAAAATAAAATAAGGCACAAGGGACCAATCCTTGGAAAACAGAGATACGTGATATTTGCAAACTACCCATCTGACAAGGGATTAATAATTAGAACATACAAGGAGGTCAAGCAACTCTATAGGAAAAAAATCTAGTAATCTAACTTTAAAATGGGCAAAAGATATAGATAGATGGATCTCAAAAGAAAACATACAAATGGCAAAGAGGCATATGAAAAGGTGCTCAACATCACTGATCATCAGCAAAATTTAAATCAAAGCTGCAATGAGATGTCATCTCACCAGAGTTAAAATGGCTTATATCCAAAAGACAGGCAATAACAAATGCTGGCGAGAATGTGGAGAAAAGGGAACCCTTGTACACTGTTGGTGGGAATGTAAATTAGTACAACCGCTATGGAGAATAGTTTGGAGGTTCCTCAAAAAACTAAAAATTGAGCTACCATGTGATCCAGCAATCCCACTGCTGGGTATATACTCAAAAGAAAGGAAATCGCCAGGCGCAGTGGCTCATGCCTGTAATACCAGCACTTTGGGAGGCCGAGGTGGGTGGATCACGAGGTCAGGATTTCAAGACCAGCCTGGCCAAGATGATGAAACCCCGTCTGTACTAAAAATACAAAAATTAGCTGAGTGTGGTGGCGGGCACCTGTAATCCCAGGTATTCAGGAGGCTGAGGCAGAGAACTGCTTGAACCCAGGAGGTGGAGGTTGCAGTGAGCCGAGATCACACCACTGCACTCCAGCCTGGGTGACAGAGTAAGACTCCATCTCAAAAAAAATAATAAATAAAAAGAAAAGAAAAGAAAGGAAATCAGTATATCCAACAGATATTGGCACTCCTATATTGGTTGCAGCACTATTCACAATAGCCAAGATTTGGAATCAACCTAAGTGTCCATCAATAGATAAATGGATAAAGAAAATGTGGTACATATACACAATGGAGTACTATTCAGCCATAAAAAGAATGAGATCTTGTCATTTTCAACAACCTGGATGGAATTGGAAGTCATTTTGTTAAGTGAAATAAGCCAGGCACAGAAAGACAAACATTGCATGTTCTCACTTATTTGTGGGATCTAAAAATCAGAACAATTGAACTCATGGAGATAGAGTAGAAGGCTGGTTACCAGAGACTGGGAAGGGTAGTGAGTGAGGGAGGGGGCAGGTGGGGATGGTTAATGGGTACAAAGAGAAAGAATAAGACCTAGTATTTGATCGCACAATAGGGTGACTATAGACAAAATAATTTAATTATGCATTTAAAAATAACTAAAATAGTATAATTGGATTATTTGAACACAAATGATAAACACGTGAGACGATGGATACTTCATTATCCATGATGTGATTATTATGCACTTCATGCCTGATTCACAATATCTTACATTCCCCCTAAATATATACACCTACTATGTATCCACAAAAATTAAGGATTATAATTTTTTAAAATTTAAATGAGATAATACATTTAGAACAAGATGATCACACAGAAGGAACAAAGTGAAATAGCTCAATAAATGGTAGCTATTATTTATTGTCATTATCATTATATTTAAATGTTAAATTTAAACTTTCAGAGTTAACCAGAAGAATCCTGCACCTTCCTTGATATTAATGTCTAATGTGATTACAAATGAGCATTCTAAACTAAAAGGCAATTTGGCAATCTGAAGCAGGAAGCAGAAGGCCAAAACAACCAAACACTTCTGACATTTATTATACAGAAACAATAATAACAAACAGTTCAGTGAGAGAAAAGGATAAACAAAAGCCTCACAATTGAATTTAAAGGGATTGCATAGATTCATTTGAAAATTGGTACAGCTTTAAAAATGGCGAGAGGAAATTCAGCTTTGAGATAATGCTAGAAAACATTTAATATCTTCTACATTGAAAAGTGGTCTCTCTATTCTTAGAGACCTTACAGAACCTATTGCATTTTCATGCAATTTTCCACATTCTACTGTTTAATAATTTTTTGAGTACTTGTATTTTTTGTTGTATTTTGAGTACTTGTATTTTTTTTCTTCTGGATCATAAGAATTTGAAGGCCTTGAATAATGTTATTCATTTTTGGCTTTCCCCATTTATCTACCACGCCTTGTACATAGTTGAAACTCATTAAAATTGCTTTGTAGATGAAGAGATAAAAATAAATCTTCTAAAAATAACTGCATTTGTGATAAGAGCTGCTTAAATTCGGTAGTACTTACCCTTCCTGTCACAGAGAAAGACAAACATTCTCTTCAACCCTCTTCTCACCCCACCAAAGAGAGACCAAACAGGAGCCAAGACTAAGACTTATCAAGGAATGTATGCATCCAAGCTTTTAAGGTGAAAGTCTTCAAATGTTTCAGAAATAGATCCTTCTGACAGAAACTCAAATATTCCTAGTTTTGAAAGTATCAGACACATAATGGCTCCTTTGTTCTTCATTTAAGAAGCGTGTTACTTTGCAGCACATGACATAATCAAGAATTTTAGTGGATCCTGTTTCTCTCCAACCACCTATTGTACTTATAAAAAAAGAGGCAATGGTGTAGAATATTCACTGAGGCATATTCTTACTGAGGTTTTCCACGTTTACTTCTATCTTCTCTCTCCCATACCCTGATCGCTTCTGTGCCTCTCTCATTACTATGCAGCAGAAGACTGGGTGACAAATCATTGTCTAAATAGTATCCATTAGTTATCCATTAAGCCAAAGACTGCTTTCTTTTAAAGAGTGGATTAAAAACTGCACCTTACTCTTTGTGTTGAACTCTTTAAGTGCCAGATGGTTTCATTTCAACAGTAAGTTGCTGATCTTCCCATGACACTTGCCAGAAGAAAGTCTGGGACACCTCTTCACATGTTTCTTGAAGTAGTCTCTTGATACTAAGGAAACCTCTCCAGATGTAACCCAGTAAAGATAATACCTTACAAACCATAAATAAAATGGCCTCAACTAACTTCACATCAGGAGACGGACAGCCTGTAGGAAGGCATTCTTTTCTTCCTGTAAAACTCAACAAAGAAGGTGGCATGAAATTGAAGGTACAGGGTGTGATTCTCTACTTTCACATTAGAATCTTCCCAGATCAATTAAATTTGAATATCTAAGGAAGGGGGGATTGGGACATTTGCTATTATTTTTTTAAACTTCTTTGGTAATTCTAATGTTCCAGGTTTAGAAACAGTGCTATGAGCCTACTGGCAGGAGTATCATATTTGCTCCTTAAAATGAAAAAGCTATACATGCTTTATTGTTTTTTAAAAGATAGCTATAGATAACCAAAAATAAGACAAACAAAATCCATGTGTAGTCTCCATTTCTAGAGAAAAGAAGTATTAAAATCTGGGTGTATTTTCTTCCAGATCCTTTACTTTGCATGTTTGTGTGAAAACATGCATGCAAGCATAAGCAGTTTTGTTTCTTGCATTTTTTTCACTTCAAAGATTATAAAAAAAAATTTAGGCTTATAATTCCATTGAGAAAATAGCCAATAATGTAGGAAAGAGGGTCAATGTAATTCAGTCTTTATTTATATAATACCTCACTGAAAAAGTCTAATCCATCATTAGAATGACCCTATAAGCAGGAAAGCATTATCTGACTTATTCCTTCTTTCTTGCCTTCTTGCCTTCCTGCCTTTCTTTCTGTTTTTGCATAGGTGAATTTATAAAAGAGATTAAATAGGGCAAAATTGGAGCTCTCACCTTATACATTGCTGTTGAAAATGTAAAATTGTGCAGCTCCTTTAGAAAACAAATTGTCAGTTCCTCAAAAAGTTAAACATAGAATGACCAAATTACATGGCAATTCCACTCCTAAGCATCTATCCAAAAAAAAAAAAACAAAACAAAACATAAACCCCACAAAATCTTGTACATAAATGTCTAAAGCAGCATTATTCATGGCAGCCAAGATGTTTAAATAACACAATGTCCATCAACTCATTACATGATAAAAATGATATTCCATGATACACACTACAATATGAATACCTTTGAATATATGAGGCTAAATGAAATAAATAAGTCACAAAAGACTACATATTGTATGATTTCATTTATATGAAATATTCAGAATAGGCAAATTTATAGAGACAGAAAATAAACTAGTGGTTGCTTAGAACTGGGGTGGGGAAAGAGGAGAATGGTGATTGATTGCTAATGGGCTTTGGGTTTCTTTTAGGGATGATGAAAATGTTCTAAAGTTAGATTGTGCTGATGGTTGAACAATGCTCTGAATATGTTTTTAAAAACATTTAATAGTGCATTTTAAATGGGTGAATTGTATGGTATGTGAGTTATTTCTTAATAAAGCTGTTAAAAAAAAAAAGAGACAGAGGCAAGGTGCAGTGGCTCACGCCTGTAATCCCAGCACTTTGGGAGGCCAAGGCAGGTGGATGATGAGGTCAAGAGATCAAGACCATCCTGGCCAACATGGTGAAACCCCGTGTCTACTGAAAATACAATAATTAGCTGGGCATGGTGGTATGCACCTGTAGTCCCAGCTACTTGGGAGGCTGAGGCAGCAGAAGTGCTTGAACCAGGGAAGTGTAGGTTGCAGTGAGCCGAGATCGCGCCACTGCACTCCAGCCTGGCAAAAGAGTGAGACTCCATCTAAAAAAAAAAAAAAAGAAACTCAAAGCCCTTATTTTACATTTTAGTGTTCTGACTTGACCATTTATTACTTTTTAAAAAAGGATTGTATTAGTCTATTTTCATGCTACTGATAAAGACATACCCAAGACTGGGCAATTTACAAAGAGGTTTAATTGGACTTAACAGTTTCACATGGTTGAGGAAGCCTCACAATCATTGTGGAAGGCAAGGAGGAACAAATCACATCTTACATGGATAACAGCAGACAAAAAGAGAGCTTGTTCAGGGAGACTCCCTTTCTCAAAACCATCAAATCTCATGATACTTATTCACTATCATAAGAACAGCATGGGAAACACCTGTCCCCATGATTCAATTACCTCCCACTGGGTCCTTTCCACAACACATGGGAATTCAAGATGAGATTTGGGTGGGGACACAGCCAAACTATATTATTCCACTCTTGGCCCCTCCCAAATCTCATGTCCTCACATTTCAAAACCAATCATGCCTTCCCAACAGTTCCCCAAAGTCTCAACCCATTTCAGCATTAACTCAAAAGTGCAGTCCAATGTCTCATCTGAGACAAGGCAAGTCCCTTCTGCCTATGAGACTGTAAAACCAAAAGCAAGTTAGTTACTTCCCAGATACCATGGGGGTACAGGCATTGGGTAAATACAGTCATTCCAAATGGGAGAAATTGGCCAAAACCAAGGGGCTACAGGGCCCATGCAGGTCTGAAATCCATCATGGCAGTCAAATCTTAAAGCTCCAAAATGATCTCCTTCAACCCCATGTTTCATATGCAGGTCATGCTGATGCAAGAGGTTCCCATGGTCTTGGGCAGCTTAGCCCCTGTGTCTTTGTAGGGTATAGCCTCCTTCCCAGCTGCTTTCACAGTCTGGCATTGAGTGTCTGCAGCTTTTCCAGGCACACGGTGCAAGATGTCAGTGGATTTACCTTTCTGGGGTCTGGAGGATGGTGGCCCTCTTCTCACAGCTCCACTAGGCAGTGCCCCAGTAGGACTCTGTGTGGGGGCTCTGACCCCATATTTCCCTTCTGCACTGCTCTAGCAGAGTTCTCCATGAGAGCCCCACCCCTGCAGCAAACTTTTGCCTGGACATCTAGTCATTTCCATACGTCTTCTGAAATCTAGGTGGAGGTTTCCAAACCTCAGTTCTTGACTGCTGTGCACCTGGCAGGCTCAACACCACATGGAAGCTGCCAAGGTTTGGGGCTTGCACCCTCTGAAGCCATGGCCCGAGCTGTACATTGGCCCCTTTTAGTCATGGCTGGAGTGGCTGGGACACAGGGCAGTAAGTCCCTAGACTGCACACAGCATGGGGACCCTGGGCCTGTCCCCCAAAACCATTTTTTCCTCCTAGGCCTCGAGGCCTGTGATGGGAGTGGTCTCAATGGTCTCTGACAGGACCTGGAGACATTTTCCCTATTGTCCTAGTGATTAACATTTGGCTCCTTGTTACTTATGCAATTTTCTGCAGCTGGCTTGGATTTCTTCTCTGAAAATGGGATTTTTTTTTCTATGGCATTGTCAGGCTGCAAATTTTCTGAACTTTTATACTCTGTTTCCCTTTTAAAACTGAATGCCTTTAACAGCACCCAAGTCACCTCTTGAATGCTTTGCTGCTTAGAAGTTTCTTCCACCAGATACCCTAAATCATCTCTCAAGTTCAAAGTTCCACAAATCTCTAGGGCAGGAGCAAAATGCTGCCAATCTCTTTGCTAAAACATCATAAGAGTCACCTTTGCTTCAGGTTCCAACAAGTTCCTTATCTCCATCTGAGACCACCTCAGCTTGGATTTCATTGTCCATATCATTATCAGCATTTTGGTCAAAGCCATTCAATAAGTCTCTAGGGAGTTCCAAACTTTCCCACATCTTCCCATCTTCTTCTGAGCCCTCCAAACTGTTTCAACCTCTGCCTGTTACCCAGTTCCAAAGTTGCTTCCACATTTTCATGTATCTTTTCAGCAGCACACACTCTACCGGTACCAATTTACTGTATTAGTCTGTTTTCATCCTGCTGATAAAAACATACCCAAGAAGACTGGGCAATTTACAAAAGAAAAAGGTTTATTGGACTTACAGTTCCACATGGCTGGGGAGGCCTCACAATCATGGTGGAAGGCAAGGAGAGCAAGTCACATCTTACGTGGATGGCAGCAGGCAAAGAGAGCTTGTTCAGGGAAACTCCCATTTTAAAACTATCAGATCTTGTGAGACTCATTCACTATCATGAGAAAAGCACAGGAAAGACACACCCCCATAATTCAGTCATCTCCTACTGGGTTCTTCCCAAGACTCATGGGAATTCAAGATGAGATTTGTGTGGGGACACAGCCAAACCATATCAGAGATCCATCCCCTCAGTTATTCTTCCTTTCCTTCCTTCTCCCTATGGCTCTTTTATAAGTGAGCTGATAAGGAACTCTTCACCATCTGGTGTTCAGGCAATGATAATATCTGCTTAGTTCTAGCTTAAAAGACATTTGATACTACAAATTTCAATGTCCCTAGAGGCTCAACTTCAAACCCATAGCAAAAAGGAGATCTGAGTGAAGGCTGTGTCACTAAAAGATGCTGTCAACATTTGATATTAAAATAACTATTTTCAGGACTTGAATTCTCAGAATGTATTAACTGCACCCAACTAGCTGGGTTTCTGGTTTGTTCTTTATACTGTTGGCTGAAACACACCTTAAAATAAACTCCATGTTATTCTGGAAAAAAAGTTCCCAGTAAAAAATTCTGTTCTCAGAATTTATCTTCCTAAAAAAATTGGTACATAATAATTTAGATTGGCAATGGGTTGAGATGTGATAAGAGGAAGTTGGGGTTGCTAAGAGTGCAGTAGGGAGTTATGAGATTGAGTAGCATTTTGTATTAATAAGGAGGGATATAACAGCAAATGCCTACTTCTTTCCTGATTCTGTGTTGTGGTTACCGTGATTAAAAGGCAAGTTTAGAGTCAACTTGAGATTCAGGGTTGCAATAAACTGGTCAAACTCAACTATTATTTAAAATTGCACTTGGACACTTAGAAATAGCAATTTGGTGCCTTCTGGGGATTTTTCTTTCCCCTTTTGCTTTCAAGTGTTAGAAAATAATGTGAAATTTTCTGGCCAATCATAAACTAATGGAATATGTACAGTAAGAAGTCAACCACTAGTTAATCTCCTAGGGCAGACATCCCAGAACTGGTGGGTATATTTCCTTAGAATTAAAGTACCAGTTGAAAACCTCATAAAGGGGGGTAAAAGGTCCATTAATCTTAATAAAACCCCAAAAGCATTTCCCATAATTTTTAGATTGGTAGTCATGTAATAGCAACTGCAGGAGGAAAAGGTAATTTAAAAGAAGTGGTATATATAGTCCATTGAAACAGAAAGGTCCATATTAAAGTTTTATTCATGGTCCATTCAAGATGAGTCTCCTGTAGAGAAAAAGGATGGTATAAAAAATAAATGATATACTATGACAGTCCTGTGACATGAACTATCATTGTCTCTCAGAGGCATATGCCCTTAACTCATGTTGTGCTCATTCCTTTTGAACAAAAAGCCCAGAAATACTGGATCTTCTCTAAATATAATTACAAAAGTTTGTGGTCTTGAAACTTTATTACTTGACTTTCTTGTTTAGAGCTGTTTTTGGTTTACAGAAAACATGAGCAGAAATTACAGAGTTTCCATATGTCACTTCTCCCCACCTCTATCCTGTATACAGTTTCTCTTCTTACTAACATCTTGCATTAGGGTGGTACATTTGTTAGAAATGATGAGCCAATATTAATACTCAATTATTAACTAAAATCCATAGTTTATATTAGGGTTAATTCTCTATGTTGTATAGTGCTGTAGGTTCCAAAATAATGCACAATGATAATGTCATGTATGTAACATTGGAGTATCATATATAATAATTTCACTGCCCTAAAAATCCTACATGTTTCACCTATGTATTCTTCCTTTCTTACTCTAAACCTCTGGAAACAACTGATCTTTTTATTGTCTCTACAGTGTCGACTTTTCCAGAATGTCTTATAGTTGGAATCATATAGTAAGTAACCCACTCAGATTGGCTTCTTTCACTTAGTAACATGCACTTAAGGTACCTTTATGTCTTTGTGGCTTAATGGCTGATTTTCATTTGTTGCTAAATGGTACTCCATTAAATAGGTGCACCAAATTTGTTTATCCATTCACCTTCTGAGGAACTTCTTGGTTGCTTCCAAGTTTTGGCAATTATAAATAAAGCTGTTATAAACATTTTTGTGCTGGTTTTTGTGCAGACTTAAGTTTTCAACTCATTTGGGTAAACACGAAGGAGTGTGATTGCTAGTTTGTGTGATAAGAGTTTGTTTAGTTTTGTAAGAAACTGCCAAAACTGCCCAAACTGTCTTCCAAAGTGGCTATACCATTTTGCATTCCCATCAGCCAAGAATGAGAGGTCTTGTTGCTTCACATCCTCAACAAGCACTTGGGGTTGTCAGTGTTTTGAATTTTAGCTATTCTAATAGTTGTGAGTAATATCTCATTGTTGTTTTAATTTGCAATTCCTTAATGACATATGATGCTGAGCATCTTCTCATAGGTTTATCTGCCATCTGTATATCTTTGGTGAGGTATCTTTTCATATCTTTTGCCCACTTTCTAGGCTGTTTGGTTTCCTATTGTTAGGTTTTTAAGGACTTTTTGTATATTTTGTATACCAGTTCTTTATCATATATGTGTTTCTCTTAATACATTCCCTTAATGCTATCTTTTACAGTAGCAGAAGTTTTCAATTTTAATAAAGTAAAATTTATCAATGTTTTTTCATGGACCATGGTTTTGGTGTCATAGCTAAAAAACTCATTGCTATATCCAGCTCATCTAGGTTTTCTCCTATGTTATCTTTTAGGAGTTTTATACTTTTACATTTTTCAAAAGGCTAGGATCAATTCTGAGTTAATTTTAGGCAAAGGTATAAGACCCTTGTCTAGATTAAATTTTGATGTCCAGTTGTTTCAGCACCATTTGTTGAAAAGACTCTCTTGTCTCCATTGTATTGCCATTGCTCCTTTGTCAAAGAACAGTTCATTATGTGTGTCTGTGAGTTCTCTACTCTGTTCCATTAAAGTATTTATTCTTTTGCCAATACCACACTGTCTTGATACTGTAGCTTTATAGGAAGTTTTAAAGTTGGTAGTGTCTGTACTGTGTTCTTAATACTTTGTTGCCTATTCTGAGTCTTTTTGCCTTTCCGTATGAACTTTAGAATCTGTTTGTCAATATCCACAAAATAACTTGCTGGGATTTTGATTGGGTTAAATTAAATATATAGATCAAGTTGGTAAGAACTGACAACTTAATAATATTGAGTCTTCTCATCCATGAGCAAGGAATTTATTTGGATCATTGATTTCTTTCATCTGACCTTTGTGGTTTTCCTCATACAGGTCTTGTACATACTTTTAAAGATTAGTATTTATTTTTTCCTTTGGTGCTAAATTAAATTGTGTTGTTTACTCATATTCATATTTCAACTATTAATTGCTGGTATAGTGGAACAACACTGACTTTTGGTATTAAGCTTGTACCCTGCAACTTTGCTACAGTTGTTTATTAGTTTCAAGAGTATTTTTGTCAATTCTTTGAGATTTTCTACATATATAGTTATGTCATATGTGAACAAAGAGTTTTATTTTTTCCATCCCAATCTGTAAACTATTTCTTTTCTTGTCTTATTATATTAGCTAGGACTTCCAGTACAATTTTGAATAGGAGGGGTAGGACGGTAGGACATCCTTATCTTGTTCCTGATCTTAGGGGGAAAGCATCAAGTTTCTCACTATTAACTGTGATGTTAGTTGTAGGTTTTTTTTAGATGTTAGCAAGTTGAGCAAATTTCCTTCCATTTCTAATTGATGTATTTCTAATTGATGTATTCAGATCAATTACATTTAAAGTGATTATTGATGTAGTTGGGTTTTTAAATTTAATTTTATTTTTTTGAGACAGGACATTGCTCTGTTGCCCAGGCTGGAATGCAACGGGACACTCACAGCTCACTGCAACCTTTGCCTCCTGAACTCAGGCGATCCTCCCATCTCAGCCTCCCAAGTAGGTGGGACTACAGGAATAAGCAACAATGGCTTGTGACTTTTTGTATTTTTTGTAGAAGTGGGGTTTTGTCATTTGCCAAGGCTGGTCTAGAACTCCTGAGCTCAAGTGAGCCACTCGCCTCCCAAAATGCTGGAATTACAGGTGTGAGCTACCACACCCAGCCTGATATAGTTGGCTTAATATCTATCATATTTGTAACTATTTTGTATTTATTACTCTTGTTCTTTATTTTTTCTTTTGACTTTCACCCTTCTATTGCCTTCTCTGATTTTAATTGAGTATTTTATATGAATCTATTTTCTTAGCATAAAAATTATACTTAAAATTTTTTTTTAGTGGTTGCCCTAGAGTTTGCAATATACATTTACAACTAATCAAAGTTCACTTTGCAATAACAGTATACTTCTGTTAGTCTGTTTCCATTGCTATGAAGAAACACCTGAGACTGGGTAATTTATAAAAAAAAGTTTATTTGGCTCTCAGTTCTCCAGGCTGTACAGGAAGCCAGGTCCCATCATCTGCTTCTGGTGACAGCCTCAGGAAGTTTACAATCATGGTGGATGGCAAAGGGGAGGCAGTGTGTCACATGGCAAAAGAAAGAGTAACAGAGAGAGGGAAGAGGTGGCAAACTCTTTTAAACAAAGATCTTTCCTAAACTCTCATTACCATGCGGGCAGTATCAAGCCATTCATGAAGGATCCAACTCCATGGCTCAAACTTCTTCCACTAGGCCCACCTCCAGCACTGGGGATCACATTTCAACATGAGATTTGGAGGGGACACACATTCAAACCATATCAATAATGCTTCATTCTTAGTGCAGGTACCTTATAACAAAGTATTCCCAATTGCTGCCATTCATTCTTTTTTTTTTTTTTTTTTTTTGAGACAGAGTCTCAATCTGTTACCCAGATTGGAGTGCAGTGGCATGATCTCGGCTCATTACAATATCTACCTCCCAGGTTCAAGAAATTCTCCTGTCTCAGCTTCCTGAGTAATTGGGATTACAAGTATGCCAACCATGCCCAACTAATTTTTGTGTTTTAGTAGAGACAGGGTTTCACCATGTTGGCCAGGCTGGTCTTGAACTCCTGGCCTCAGGTGATCTGCCCACCTTGGCCTCCCAAAGTGCTCGGATTTATAGGCCTGAGCCACTGCCCCTGACTGCCATTCATTCTTTATAACATTGCTGTCATTAATTTCATTTATTCATAAGCTATAATCACAAAATTAATTTTTGTTATAATTTCAGACAAACCGCTCTTAGACTAATATTTAAAAAGAAAAATAACACATGAATATATGTTATTTTACTTTTGTTTACTCCTATAACACTCTTCCTTTTTTTTTTTTTTTTTAAGACGGAGTCTCACTCTGTCGCCAGGCTGATGTGATCTCGGCTCACTGAAACCTCCCGGGTTCAAGCGATTCTCCTACCTCAGCCTCCCGAGAAGACTACAGGCATGCGCCGCCACGCTCCACTAAGTTTTGTATTTTTAGTAGAGACGGGGTTTCACCATGTTGGCCAGGATGGTTTCAATCTCTTGACCTCGTGATCCACCCGCCTCGGCCTCCCAAAGTGCTGGGATTACAGGCGTGAGCCACCGCGCCCGGCCTCACTCTTCCTTTCCTTATGTAGATCCAAGTTTCTGACCTATGTAATTTTCCTTCTCTCTGAAGAACTTTTTAACATTTCTTGCAAGGTAGTTCTATTGGCAACAAATTTCCTCATTGTTGTTTGTCCAAGAGTCATTCTCCTTCACTTTTGAATGATAATTTCACTGGATACAGAATTCCATACTGGTGGCTTTTTTCTAACTTACATATTTCACTTCACTCTTGAGTGCATAGTTTCCGAAGAGCAGTCAGATGTAATTCTTATAATTGTTCCTGTGTAAATAGGTTTTCTCCACCACCAATCCCCAGCTTCTTTGAAGATTTTCTTTTTGTCTTTGAATTTCTGAAGTTTCAATATGATATGCCTAGGTGGAGACTTTTTGGTATCTATCCTGCTTGATATTCTCTGAACTTCCTGGCTCTGTGATTTGGTATCTCTCATGGCTTTTGAAAGATTTTTAGCCTTTATTACTTCTAATATTTCCTCTGCTCCTTTCTTTCTCTCTTTGAGTATTGATATACTTATTATGCATATATTGTACCTTTTGTAACTGTCTCACCATTCTTAGATATTCTGTTCTGGGTTTTTGTTTTTTTTTTTGTCATTCCTTTTTTTTTTCTTTGCTTTTCAGTTTGGGAAGTTTCTTTTGATGTATTTTCTTGCTCACTGATTTCTTCCTCAGTTATGTACATTCTTTCAGTAAGCCCATTAAACTCTTCATTTCTATTACAACATTTTTTATTTTTAGCATTTTCTTTTGCTTCTTTCTTATTTCCTATCTCTCTGCTTGTATTACCCATCTGTTCTTGCATGTTGTCCCCTTTTTAACTATACCTTTTAGAATATTATTCATAATTATTGTAAATTCCTGGTTTGATAATTGCAAAATCTCTGCCATATCTGAGTATCTGAGCCTGGTTCTGATGCATGCTTTCTCTCTTCAAACTGTTTTTATTTTTATTTTTATTTTTTGTTTCTTTTTTTTTGTTTTTTTGCATTTGTTCATGCTTTGTAATATTTTGCTGAAAGTCAAGAATGATGTATCAGGTAAAAGGAATCAAAGAAAATGGGTCTTAATGTGAGGTTTTATGTTTGTCTAGCTAAGAGTTAGGTTCTGTTTACTGTATGCTGTAGCTGCAGGTGTCAGGGGCTAAAGTTTCCTCCAGTGTTCTTGTTTCTATCCCATCTTTTGTCTTTGAGTTTTTGTAGAGACTCCTTAAACAGGATCCGAACCTGTAGTTCTTTTAGCTATAATCAACTATTATTATTAAGAGCCTGACTGATGGGTTGGTAAGGTGTGGGTACAGAGGATGCATTGTGTAGTCCTATGGTTAGGTTCTAGTCTTTTAGTGAGCCTGTGCCTCTGGACTGTGACCTTCACAATTGCTTCTCAGCTTCCCTCCCTATCCCCCTTAGATGCGGGGGGGGGGGGGAGACAAGACAATTAAATGGGGCTGGGGTTATTTCCCTTCCCCCAAAGGTCAGTTAGGTTCTGGTAAAGTAGTTTCTTTTCTTTTCTTGCCTTTTTCTTTGTTTTTTTTTTCTTTTCCTTTTGACAAAGGGTCTCCCTCTGTCACCCAGGCTGGAGTATAGTGGCACAATCACAGCTCACTGTAGCCTCGACCTCCTGGCCTCAAGTGATCCTCTCACCTCAGCCTCCTGAGGTTGGACACCATGTCCAGCTAATTTTTTTTTTTTTTTTTGTAGAGACAGGGTTTTACCAGGTTGCCCAGGTTAGTCTTGAACTCCTGGGCTCAAGTGGCCTACCCACCTTGGCCTTCCAAAGTGCTGGGGTTACAGGTGTGAACTACTGCACTCAGCCAAAAATAGTTTGAGGGAAGTCTTTGTTAAGAAAAACAGAAGGCCCTGGGTGCATTTCAGGTGGTTACTATTCCTTCCCCTTGCCAGGAACATGAAGGGATTTTTCCCTGCTTCACCCTTAGAACCTAATAGGGATCCTGGAGATAAAAATTATGAAAGTATGGGGTTATCCTAAAACCGAATCTTAACAGATGTCTTAACTCTCATTCTAGTCCACATTGAGCCTTCAGAAAGTCACCGTGTTAACTTTTCCTATCACTACTGCTCCCAATGGCAGGATTTTGCTTTGGGCTTCTGCTCCTGGTCAGTTGTGATTCTTGGTATTTGTCCCTCCTTCCAGTTCTGGGGGCCACAGTTAGCCCTGTGATCTGAATTCTCTGATGGCTCTACGAAGAGTTGTTGATTTTCAGTTTGTTCAGCTTCGTATATGCTGTGAGGATGGGAGTAATGACCTCTAAGCTCTTTACATATCAGACCAGAAATCAGAAGTGATCCTCAAACTCTGATGATGCTTATGCATAATCATCACTGGGAATCGCTGACAGAAAAAATCTCTAATGAAAATCTATTGTAGTGTGTTACTGGTGCAGCTATTCTTAAAGTAAGCTTGTTATAATCAACAGCCGTTAGACCTATACTGTAGCTATTTTCACCCTATATTTTAATATTTTCATGCAAGTTAAGGGAAGAACCAAGGGTTTTTTTTTTTTACACTAATGCCAGTACAGAGCACGTTAATGGGCACAAAATAGAATCAATAAATATTAATTGAATGAACAAATAAAGTAATTAGGGTCCATTTTCCTTTAGGCTAGTCAAAACCTCCAAGCATATGAAAACCTAACCACAGATTAATGGTTACTTTTAAAAAATCCATTGCTTAAAATGCACTAAACTTTTTGAACAACTGGAAAAAATAAATGTTAGAACACTGAATTAGCTTTAAATTGTCTCCACAGGAAACCTATGCCTCCTATTGGGATGTCTGGTAGTGACTCATTAGGGGAAATAGACAAATGTGACTTTAAGAACTGTTTCACAAGGAAAACTAAAGAATTGGGAACAATTTAATTTATCATTATAAAGCAGGTCTCGAGAGAAGTTTTTTTCTGGAATCTTTGTATAAAACCCAGTTTGGTTTCATACTTCTTTTCTTTATAGAATCATTCTCCATAAATCCAGGGCTTTCTGGGGATTAGCTATTCAAATCACATGTGTAAGTTTGAAACCAGTTATAACAATTTACTTATAAGATAAATGTGTAATTAATGACAGGGAGAGAGGCTGTTCCCCACTAAAATCTGTTGATACATTTTGAAAAGGCTATAATTGATGTGCTACAAGAGCCTAAAACAGTGTTTTTCAATTGCCCCTTGATTTTTAGAACAAAAAAATGACTTCTTTTAAAACAGATTCCCCAGTCAAATTCATCTTGGAATTTTTTATGCAATAGCTTGCTCTTGTTAGAGAGATTAAAATGAATGTATTATAACATATTGAAGTTTTAAAAAATTCTGCAGTAGAAAACTACCCAGATTTTAATTAATTTGGTGATAGAACCCATCCTTTACTTATTATTTTCCTCTGACATCTATTACTGTCTCATAAAATACACTTTGGGACATATCCTATTAAAATTTTTTTTTGAATAATCAATTTTGGAATAAATGTTTTGGAAATCCAGGAAAGGTAGAGCTGAGCTAATGAATAATTTAATGCTTGCTTCACTTTTGTCCTGGTATGATAGATTCTGCGGGAGGGAGGTATAATAGAGACATAAGCAATCTAAAATGGGTAATATAGAAGTCCAAATTCTCCTTTTGCTGATGGAGTTTTAATTACATCTGGTATCTACAATGACTCAAGTATAAGAAGATTAAGTGAATGTTTTAAAACTATGGTGGTAAATGTAAAGGTGAATAGATACCCCTTGGAAGGTTTGGATTCGCAAATTGATTCACATTCACCTTGAATAGCATATATTTTATACATTATATGTCTATATACTTTTGTTTCTTTTTAAGAATCATAGAGGAAAAGATTTCATTTCATATTTGTTTTCAATAGTCCATGAGAATTTAATGTATATAATTTGGTGATAACATCAGCCCTCTGTAAAGTATAGTCAGCATATTATTTAAGCACAATTGTAGCAAATAAGATTCAACCTTAATATGTTGTTATCTGTAAAAGAATTGTATTAAATCTAATTAAAATGAAAAACTCTTTCCATGTTAATGTAGCAGTCATTCTGAACCAGTTGTTTTTCAGAATGATGCCTTTAGAGAAGCAATCTCAGATTTAACACAAAAGCCCAAAGAAATGGAAGACACATTTAGCATACTTCCTAAAAGAGGAGTCACATTTCGCAGTGTTTTAGAAGATAGACAACTGAATTTAAGATGTTAATCAGTGTGGAGTGCATTAAAATCACAAGGCTGTCCTCTACGAGACTAACTGTATTAAAGAGAATTCAACTGGCCAAGTAGAATGGCTGATACTTTAAACCTGTATTGACTCATATTTGAAATAGTAAGACACTTGAAATTGAATTCTTTATTTTGGTTTACATAGTCCTTGATGGCTTGAATGTGTCATAGATTTCTCAAATAACTAATAAAAGTTGGAATTACTTTCCATAAGAATTAAAAGTGGTATTTTGGTGCCCATACTGTGAATCAGTGTAATTCTTCAGAGAAAGAACTTCAAAAAAAGCAAATAAACATGAATGTGAATCACTGGTATGGGCCAAGTGATTGGACTAAATCTACTCTCATGTCCCTTAAAACTGTAAAGTATAAACTGTCATGCAGTGTAATGTAAAGCACATGAGTTCTGAATTAGACTGTATTTGAATCTTGCATCTGGCAGTTTTTAGTTACATGACTGCAATGTATTCAATTTCTCTGAGTCTCAGTTTCCTAATAAAAATGATTGGATTAAAAATAAAATACTTCTCTTGAAAAGCTACTGAATACAGTCACCAGAAATGATACAAAAGCGTTTGGGAGGGCTCCCAGATAGCTGAACACATGAAGGTTCCTGGAGGGTGGTGTCCCAGAGGGTCATGGAAGTTCCACGCCCCTTCTCACATGCCTCGCTCTGCGCATCTCTTTATCTGGTGTTCATCTGTATCATTTGTAATGTCTTTTATAATAAACTGGTAAACCTAAAAAAAAAACTTCCAGTAGAAAAGTATCAAACTAAAGTATCTCATGTGAAGGATCAGAAATCAGAATGGTATCAGACTTCTCAATAGCAACACTGGAAGCTAAAGACAATGTCATAAGCCTTCAAAATACTAAGTGAAAATTATTTTCAATCAATAATTCTGTATCTGACCAATCTTTCAATCAAGTATGCTTGTATAATAAAGATAATTTTGGATAGGCAAAATTTAAAAATTTCAATATACTCTTTCCAGGAAGCTACTCAAGGGTAATTTTCACAAAACAAGAGAGTAAATCCAGAAAGAAAGATTAGAATCGGCAAATCTTCTCCTAACCAGGAGCACAGGAGAAGGATGTGCAATCCAGAAATCCATTTCATTAATTTTTAATGAGAAATATAATGGTCAAGTGCCTGCAACACTGTTTATCATCTGGCTGTTACATCTTTTCCCTAGAGGAAAACCTAGGTAACAGACATGGTTATAATCATAAAGCTGTTGCTTTGTTAATATGAATTAAAGTGAAGGGAGATAATCTATGAGGCCAAGAAATCCATGTCCATTCTCAGGGATCTCATCCCTCCTGGGGTAGCGGGGAAAATATGTTAGTGTTCTTATTTGATATATTATCTATCTACATTTAATTGTCACCTTCTGTGTTAACTTGTTCTTTCTATTAACTAGATTAAATTGATGAATTAACCTTTATTTGAGGAGTCCCAAAATTTCCTCAGTCACCTATTTACAAACCATCTTTCTAGACTGAATTAATGTTATACTTCAATGATTATGTATGATTCTTACTTCTTTTATTCAAAGAAAATAACTTTATTTCCAACTTCTGGGGGCATCTCACCATAGCTACTCATGTACTGACCACATATGTACCCCCAACAAACTGAATAAAATTAACAAGAATTCCCAAATAGAATAATCACAAAACAAACTTGTAATTAAGAATATGCTCAAAACATTTACCTTATTCTGAGCATTTTGGTTGCAAGGAACATAAATTAGCTCAAGCAAAGGATGGAGAATTATAATGACAGATCTTAGTGTATCCAAGGAAATGCTATACAATCATGAACAAATGAGGCCTTTGGGGATTTCAACAGCGAGAGATGCTGTATCATTACTCTAGGCTTCCACTACTATTTAGCTTAGCTACACAACTTTCTAGTGTTTCATTATTAATATAACTCAGCTACACTATGTATGACTATTTTCTGTTTCCCAGTCTCTTTGATTTTAGAATATGTATTTTCTGAGACCAAAATACATATATAAATATTCTCTACCTTGATCAGTCAAAACCACTATTGTAATAACCTCACACATGCATATACACACACATACACATATGCACACACTAATGTACACATATCAGCCATTCGAATCTGGTTTCAAATCTAGCAAAGAAAAGCAGAAATAAGAACATTTGGTATAATTTAAGAATGAAGAACAATTTTTGACATATTTTTTAAAGTGTCAGAAACATTATATCAAAGTATAGGGTTGACCCAAGGTTCCTACACAGGTTTGTTAAATTTGATCTATTCTATAATTACTGATATTTCCACTAATCCCAGTCACCTTCGCACTTTGAATCATTAGTCACAGCAGGGGATTCTGATGTAGTGTGAATGGATCAGTGCAAATCCACCCTTATCACTGGAATACTATCTCAAATTGCATGCCCTATAGCGGGTAAGGGTTAACATCTTGATATGTAAGTGATTAATTACAACCACCATTAAAATAATGATAGGGAGCTCATATTAAAACAAGCTAAAAGACAATCTAAAAATATAGAAAGATTAGAGAGCAGAGCAGCTGGAAGGGAAATGCTACTGTTGGGGAAATAAGAAAGATTAAAAGTCAATGTCTGATAGAGATTGAAGGGAATAGGAACAGAGAAATAAAAGAAAAATGAAATATTACAGATGGACTTTAAAAAGTTGAGCTAACTTCTTGTGAGCCATTACATTAAGGCCCCGTTTAAAAGGCAGTGTTCTGGTAATCATTCGAGGACTCCATTCTCTTTACCTTACCATTGCATATAGGTATCTTTAAACAAGGCGATCTTATAGCTATATTGAATGACGAGACTTGTTTCAAATGAGAGACTAATACTTTCAAACTTATCTATGATAGGCAGTTTCTTGATCTTGAATTCATGGTCTCCCAGATGACCATAGATAGAATTTGAGGATCTATAAACTCAGTTGAGAAAGATTATATCTTTATTTTTATTAACAGCCAACTTGAATTTAGCATTTCCTCCAATTGTGATTATAAACAGCAAACCACAATACTATTAATAATACCTGGAACTGTGTCATGGATAGAAGTAATATATATTTTCATGTCACATTACAATTGTTACAGATACCTCAAATTATCATTTATGCTTATTATTCCTTTGAATTTACAATAGTTATTAGATTTGCTTCTATTATCAAATGTGTCAATAAAGAAATACTTCTATTACTATATCACAATTTATTCTTTTTAATATTTTGATAACTATATTTCAATATAATTGGTTTCATTTATTTGCGTGTGTGTGTATGTGTGACACAGGGTCTCACTCTGTTGCCCAGGCCCGAGTGTAGTGGTGCGACCTCCCCAAACTCAGTTGATCCTCCTATCTCTGCCTCCTGAGTAGCTGGTACTACAGGTGCATGCCATTATGCCCAGATAATATCTGTATTCTTTGTAGAGATGGGAGTTTCACCAGGTTTTCCAGGCTGGTTTCGAACTACTAGGCTCAAGGAATCTGTCCACCTCAGCCTCCCAAAGTGCTAGGATTACAGGCGTGAGCCATCACTCCTGGCCTATTATAATTGGTTTCACTTGTATTCTTATTTATTTTATTTTAGGCATTTTAAAACATGATTGTGAGAAATGTTTCATAGATTGCAGGAATGTTCATGGAACAAAGTTTTAAGACCCCTAATTAAGGGGACTCAAAATATCAGTGATATGATTTGGATGTTTGAGTCCTTCAAATCTCATGTTGAAATGTAATCCCCAACGTTGGAAGTGGGGCCTAGTGGAAAGTATTGGATCATGGGGGCTCATTCCTCATAAATGGCTTAGCACCATCCCATGGGTGATGAGTGAGTTCTTGCTCAGTTATTAACAGTTCACATGAAACCTGGTTGTTTAAAAGAGTCTGGGACCTCGCTCTTTTCTCTCTTGCATCTGTCTCACCATGTGAAATGCCTACTCCCACTTCCCCCGCCATGATTATAGGCTTCCTCAGGCCCTCACTAGAAGCAGATGCTGGCACCTGGCTTCCTGTACAGCCTGAAGAACAGCGAGCCAATTAAACCTCTTTTATTTATAAACTATCCAGTCACAGGTATTCCTTTATAGTAATGTAAAAATAGACTAACACAATCAGTGATTCAGTAAGCATTTTCATGTTAATTAAAAATAGATTTTTAAAATAAGTAACACAGTATCATTTTTAATAGGAGTATTTTTAAAAATATCAAATAGTATAGAATATAAATAAAATAGTATATGAAAGAGTCCTGGACAAGTGGACAAGTGTGGTGGCTCACATCTGTAATCTCTGCACTTTGGGAGGCCAAGGTGGGAGAAGCGCTTGAGCCTAAGAGTTCAAGACCAGCCTGGGCAACATAGTGAGACCCTCTCTCTAAAATAAAAAAATTAAACAACAACAAAAAAGAGTTCCTTCTTACCTCCATATACTCCTGTTACCCAGTTCATTCTGTGGTGTCCTTCCTGACATTTTCTATGCATATTTAAAAGATTTCATTAAATGAATCTCTTAAAAATATATAAATATATAAACAGAATCATAACATACATACCGTTCTACAACATGGCTTTTAAATTTAACAATATATTGTAGATATTTAAAAATATCATTACATATAATTGTTTTTTCTTTTTTAAAAGTTATATTTTAAGTTCTGGGGTGCACCTGCAGAATGTGCAGGTTTGTTACAAAGGTATACACATGCCATGGTGGTTTGCTGCACCCATCAACCCATCATCTACATTAGGTGTTTCTCCTAATGCCATCCCTCCCCTAGCCCCCACCCCGCAACAGGCTTCTGTGTGTAATCTTCCCCTCCCTGTGTCCGTGTGTTCTCATTGATCAATTCCCACTTATGGGTGAGAAGATGCGGTGTTTGGTTTTCTGTTCTTGTGTTAGTTCCAGCATCATACATGTCCCTGCAAAGGACAGGAACTCATACTCTTTTATGGCTGCATAGTATTCCATGGTGTATATGTGCCACATTTTCTTTATCTAGTCTATCACTGATGGGCATTTGGGTTGGTTCCAAGTCATTGCTATTGTAAACAGTGCCACAATAAACATACATGTGCATGTGTCTTTATAGTAGAATGATTTATAATCCTTTCGGTATATACCAGTACACCCAGTAATGGGATTGCTGGGTCAAATGGTATTTCTGGTTCTAGATCCTTGAGAAATTGCCACACTGTCTTCCACAATGGTTGAACTAATTTACGCTCCCACCAACAGTGTAAAAGCATTCCTATTTCTCCACATCTGCTGCAGCATCTGTTGTTTCCTGACTTTTTAATGATCACCATTCTAAATGGCATGAGATGGCATCTCACTGTGGTTTTGATTTGCATTTCTCTAATGACCAGTGATGATGAGCTTTTCTTCATGTGTTTGTTGGTTGCATAAGTGTCTTCTTTTGAGAAGTGTCTGTTCATATCCTTTGCCCACTTTTTGATGGGGTTGTTTTTTTCCTGTAAATTTGTTTAAGTTCTTTGTAGATTCTGGCTATCAGCCCTTTGTCAGATGGATAGACTGCAAAAATTTTTTCCCATTCTGTAGGTTGCCTGTTCACTCTGATGATAGTTTCTTTTGCTGTGCAGAAGCTCTTTAGTTTAATCAGATCCCATTTGTCAATTTTGGCTTTTGTTGCCATAGTTTTTAGTATTTGAGTCATGAAGTCTTCTCCCATGCTTATGTCCTGAATGGTATTGCCTAGGTTTTCTTCTAGGGTTTTTATGGTTTTAGGTCTTATGTTTAAGTCTTTAACCTATCTTGAGTTAATTTTTGTATAAGGCATAAGGAAGGGATCCAGTTTCAGCTTTCTGCATATGACTAGCCAGTTTTCCCAACACCATTTATTAAATAGGGAATCCTTTCCCTATTGCTTGTTTCTGTCAGGTTTGTTAAAGATCACATGATTGTAGATGCATGGCATTATTTCTGAGGCTTCTGTTCTGTTCTATTGGTCTATATATCTGTTTTGGTACCAGTACCATGCCGTTTTGGTTACTGCAGCCTTGTAGTATAGTTTGAAGTCAGGTGGAGTGATGCCTCCAGCTTTGTTCTTTTTGCTTAGGATTGTCTTGGCTATATGGGCTTTTTGGTTCCATATGAAATTTAAAGTAGTCTTTCCTAATTCTGTGAAAAAAGTCATTGGTAGCTTGATGGGGATAGCATTGAATCTATAAATTACTTTGAGCAGTATGGCCATTTTCACCATACTGATTTTTTCTATCCATGAGCATGGCATATTTTTCCATTTGTTTGTGTCCTCTCTTATTTCTTTGAGCAGTGGTTTGGAGTTCTCCTTGAAGAGGTCCTTCATATGCCTTGTAAGTTGTATCTCTAGGTATTTTATCCTCTTTGTAGCAATTGTGAATGGGAGTTCACTCATGATTTGGCTCTCTGTCTGTTATTGGTGTATAGGAATGCTTGTGATTTTTGCACATTGATTTTGTATCCTGAGACTGCTAAAGTTGCTTATCAGCTTAAGGAGATTGTGGGCTGAGGCGATGGGGTTTTCTAAATATACAATCATGTCATCTGCGAACAGAGACAATTTGACTTCCTCTCTTCCTAACTGAATACCCTTTATTTCTTTCTCTTGTCTGATTGCCCTGGCCAGAACTTCCAATACTATGTTGAATAGGAGTGGTGAGAGAGGGCATCCTTGTCTTTTGCCGGTTTTCAAAGGGAATGCTTCCAGCTTTTGCCTACTCAGTATGATATTGGCTGTGGGTTTGTCATGAATAGCTCTTATTATTTTGAGATATGTTCCATCAATGCCTAGTTTATTGAGAGGTTTTAGCAGGAAGGGCTGTTGAATTTTGTCGAAGGCCTTTTCTGCATCTATTGAGATAATCATGTGGTTTTTGTCATTGGTTCTGTTTATGTGATGGATTATGTTTATTGATTCGCATGTGTTGAACCAGCCTTGCATCCCAGGGATGAAGCCGACTTGTTCAGGGTGGATAAGCTTTTTGATGTGCTGCTGGATTCGGTTTGCCAGTAGGTTATTGAGGATTTTCGCGTCGATGTTCATCAGGGATATTGGTCCGAAATTTTCTTTTTTTGTTGTTTCTTCCAGGTTTTGGTATCAGGATGATGCTGACCTCATAAAATGAGTTAGGGGGGATTCCCTCTTTTTCTATTGTTTGGAATAGTTTCAGAAGGAATGGTACCAGCTCCTCTTTGTACCTCTAGTAGAATTTGGCTGTGAATCCATCTGATCCTGGACTTTTTTTGGTTGGTAGTCTATTAATTGCTGCCTCAATTTCAGAACTTGTTATTGGTCTACTCAGGGATTCGGCTTCTTCTTGGTTTAGTCTTGAGAGGGTGTATGTGTCTAGGAATTTATACATTTCTTCTAGATTTTCTAATTTATTTGCATAGAGGTGTTTATATTATTCTCTGATGGTAGTTTATATTTCTTTGGGATCGGTGGTGATAGCCTCTTTATCATTTTTTATTGCATATATTTTCTTCTTCTCTCTTTTCTTGTTTATTAGTCTGGCTAGTGGTCTATTTTGTTTATCTTTTCAAAAAACCAGCTCCTGGATTCATAAATATTATTACATATAGATTTATCTCATTATTTTTTCAATTGTGGCATAATATTTCATGGTATTGTTAGATCACGAATTACATAATTGGTCTTCTATTAGTGGGTATTTAGATATTTTCAAACAATGTGCAGTGAACATCTTTATTTGAAGTGATATTGAAAATATTTAACAATCCTTGTCATGGGTACTGGCCAATAAAATGGATCCCAACTTTCATGCTGGAGGGAGGTCCTAGGGGTGCCCTGCTGGGCTACGTATTAACCCTTTCATTGCTGGACCACAGACAAGCCCACTGCAGAGGGCCCAGTCGCTGAGGTATTCAGTGAGGCAATCAGCAAGCTCTGTGCAGCAACCACTTATCAGTTGGCTTAGAAGTATTTCTGTGTTTTAATAACCAGCATGGCTATAACTTTGCCTACTGGCTGACTTTACAGTCCGCTTGTCCATATATCTTTGAGCATTTGTGAGTCTATCTACTGCTTAAACTGCTAAAGTACAATTACTAGTTCAATAGAAATTTATATTTTATACCTAGATAATGTCAAATTGCCTTTCAAAAAAAGTGCACAAATTTATTCTTCCACTTAAAACCTTCAAAAACAATATCATTTTTCATCTTTGTCTATAAGTGTATATTCTAATGCTTAATTTTATCAAATGTCAATCTTTGCATATTATGTGTTAATGGAATTGTATACTGCTCTCTTTTATTTTGCATTTGTAAAGTTATGAGTGGGGTTGAGTGACTTTTTATAGGTTTATATGTTAGTTGGCCTTTTTTTTTGAGCCCAGCCACTTTGAGTTCAGTATTTTGTCCATTCTGCTACTGAGTTTTCATTAGTTTTTTAAAAATGAATCTTTAAGAGTTTTAAAAAGATGTATTAAGGAAATTAGCCCTTTACCACATTTGTCAGGTTCATTTTTTTTCAGGTTTATTGGTGTTTTAAATATGCAGAAAACTTTCTTTTCTATGTAGTCAAAATTATCAGCCTGTCTCTTTTGAATTCTAGATCTTATATCACTTTTTAAAAAGTCTATTAAAAACAGTCTTCTTAGTTCTTTTTTTAAAAAACTACTTCTATGGTTTTAGTTTAAATTTATTTATCCATCTGGAATTTATTTTAGTATAATGAGTGAGGTAGAAATCTCACTTAATTATTTTCCAAATGGCTAGCCAGTTGTCCCAATACTATTTATTGACTAATCAGGTTTTTCTCCACAGACCATACTAAATTCTTAAATGTACTTACATCCATTGTTAGATTTTTTGATATTTTCTATTGATCTTTTATTCTTATTCTGATATCATACTATTTTAATTACTATAAGTTTATGATACATTTTAATATTTACAGGATTTTCCACTTTATTACTCTTTCCTTTTAAATTTTCCTAAATAATCGAATGCATTCAATCATCTGTCATATAAACTTTTAATTTTTTTCACATTTCATAAAATTAGTTTTTTTGTTGTTGTTGTTGTCCCAGGTTTATTAAAAATATTACAGCATTGCAGAACGATTCGAACAGCTCCACGAGGGGTTTTTAAATTCATCCTAACTGGTGCCAGGCGCGGTGGCTCATGCCTGTAATCCCAGCACTTTGGGAGGCTGAGGTGGGCGGATCACTAGGTCAGGAGTTCAAGACCAGCCTGGCCAATATGATGAAACCCCATCTCTACTAAAAATACAAAAATTAGCCAGGCATGGTGGCGCATGCCTGTAGTCCCAGCTACTTGGGAGGCTGAGGCAGGAGAATTGCTTGGACCCAGGAGGTGGAGGTTGCAGTGAGCTGAGATTGCGCCACTGCACACCAGCCTGGGCAACAGAGGGAGACTACGTCTCAAAAAAAAAAAAAAAATTCATCCTAACTGTAGGCTGGAGTGACCTGCAGGTTGGACAGACTGCCAAGGTCCAAAAGTTTCGGTATTTCTGTACTGCCTGGATCTACTTCAATGATCTCCTGATCAAGGGGGCTCAGACCTCAGGAACATAATTGTCTCTTCTTTCTCTCTCCTCCTCCTACAACTTAATGGAGGTACCTCACACTGGGACCCTCTGAGTCTGCTCCATCAGATGGGTTACACAGGCTGCTATCTTGTTCCAGAGATTCTTGCAGGGCATAATGGCAATTTCCTCGCACACATGCTTGTTGGTGTGGAAGTCATTGCCCAGGCACGTGTAGTACTTTTCTATAATGACCCAGGCCACCTTTCTCATGGTTTTGGTGCGAATGTGGCCCATGTTGGTGGGTCCTTAGTAAACGCACAAAATTAGTTTTCTATTTGGGATCAGAGTGAACTCATAGATTAAAAATAATATCATTACAAAGTTCAGTCTCTCTAGAAAAATAATGTTGTCTTCCACTACAATGGCATCTTCAGTAGAATTTTATGTTGTCTTTACTTTTTAAAAAACTTTATTCCTGGCTAGACACAGTGGCTGACGCCTGTAATCCCAGCACTTTGGGAGGCCAAGGCAGGCAGATCACCTGAGGTCAGGAGTTTGAGACTAGTGTGACCAACATGGCAAGACCCCATCTCTACTAAAAATACAAAATTAGCTGGGTGTGGTGGTGCATGCCTGTAATCTTAGCTACTCAGGAGGCTGAGGCAGGAGAATGGCTTGAACCCAGGAGGCAGAGGTTGCAGTGTGCCAAGATCGCGCCATTGCACTCCAGCCTGGGCAACAAGAGCAAAACCGCGTCTCAAAAAAATGTTTATTCCTAGATTTTTGATTGTTCATTTCTATTGTGAATTGGATCTTTTTTCTTGTATAATTTCAAGCCAATTTTTTAGTGTGTATAGAAAAGTTATTGCTTTGTTTATTTTTTAAACTAGTAGGCTTACTGAATTCTAATTGTTTACCATTGTTTTAATTTGCTTTCTTGGGTCTTCCAAGTAAACAACCACACCACTTGCAAATGCTGGCTCTTGTTTAGGATATTCATATCTTTTATTTCATTATCTTGTCTAATTGCATTTTCCAAAATAGGAAAAATATCAGAGTATTAAAAAAGAGACGGGGAATTTCTCCAAGGACAAAATTACATTATGAGTCTTGGATAAACTAAAATGCTAAGAATAACTCTTGCTCAGGGAAGCTCCTTTTGTATATCATTTTCATTGTATAAATCACTCTTGGTTATATTTTCAAGCTCAGCACATTCTCCCTGCCCCATAATTGGTCTAATAATTTTAAAGTAAAAATTGATAGCTGTGGACAGCTATAAATAACAGGCATTAACACCATGCTTTCAAAATGCGCTTGTTTAGCTTTATTTTGCCAATAACTTAAACCATATGGAAAGGGCAAATTCTCCTTCACAAATGCATTCTAAAAATAGCATGCAGTAAATGATAGCATTTGACAAGTTTTTACCAATTTACTGATTCTCAGAGACAGGAAACCAAGTTGCTATAATCAGTTTAAAGTGAAAAAACATGCACCTTCCCAATCCAAGGTGTTTTATTTTTTTATCTTGTATTAAATCATGTTTATAGAACAGCAGCTTTGCCAGACAGGTTGCTGTGTATTCGCTTCTATTTTCTTTGCTACTGTTCCAGAAGCTGAAGGGTCAGTGATGAGATTGGTAACTTTTAGGAGCTTTAAGCTAAAGACATCAATGGACTTCCAGATATTCTAAATCTTTTAAATATCAAAGTGTGAAACTGATGACTGAGTTTCACCACATCTAAAACATTAACTTAGTTTCCTTAGCTGACATGCTGTGGGGCAGGTATAGGGACAGAACATGAATAGGAGTAATGCCCAGAAACTGATTATTTACACCATTGACCCCCTTTTCTAACAGGGATGGGAGGTGAAGGTAAAAGTACCTAATGACACCTAGATTTGAGCTGTGAATATTTATTTGCATGAGATAAAAAGTAACCCCTCTGATGTGCTTATGTGTGTCATGGCCCTTTTCCTATACATTGAACACTTGGACTTGGAGCATGAGCCGAAAGAGATGAGAAGATGAAAGTGATGCCTGTTAGAGGCTAAATGAAGCCAAGGTTATGACTGCTTGAAGAATAGGGAGTTCTATAGCGAGTTAATTCTACTATGTTTCACAGTGAACACAAGTAGTTCTTATCTACACTCATTGTGAAATTGCATATTCCCATTTTTTTTGTATTTTTTGTAGAGACAGAGCTACAAAAATTAGAAACATTAATGTATTTGGCTACTTTTTACGTATTTTTGTAGAGACAGGATTTTGCCATGTTGCCCAGGCTGATCTCCAACTCCTGGGCTCAAGTGATCCTTCTGCCTTGGCCTCCCAAAGTGCTGGGATTACAGGCATAAGCCACTGTGTCTGGGTGATGATCTGTATATATTTACTATTTTATTTGGATCTCTATTGAAGATTTATTTATTTTTTTTCATGAGGCTGCTATTCTAGGTACCTTAAGAAAACCTAAAAGTGACCAAATTTGGTGAAACTATTGAATGATCTAGATCCAGGTTTAAGGGATCTCGTAGTCAATTATTAGTAGAAGCTTTTCATAAGGACCAGGAGCATAAGAAGAGAAAGGAGACAGGTGAGAAAGGATAACATTACAGTCTATGCTTTGAGTGTTGAAAAGTAAAGATAAGGTAAGATAAGCAATGATGTAGGCTGAGATGGTTTCATAGGCCATTATGTTTGCTATAGATACTGGGTTATAGTTGAGTGCCAAGTTCTAAAAAATTGAAAACAGAAAGAACCTACAAGATAGTGATTTTCAATTTTTTAAGTTGACAAAGCAGCCATAACTCTTGGTACTCTGACATTCTACTCCAAAATAGTTACAGATTTATGACATTATATGGCAAGGAATAATTTTACCATCAGTAACTGGAACTGTATTTGATGTATGAGGGTTTCTGAATTTCAGAAAGAATAGTGGATAAAATTTACAATAAAATATATATATTAGGAGGATAGACATCTATCCTAGTTACTTACTTACCTAATTTAATTTAAGGGAGGAGCCTTGCTGGTTGAGTAATAATTTAAAATTTAATAATTTCGGCTGGGCGCGGTGGCTCACGCCTGTAATCCCAGCACATTGGGAGGCTGAGGCGGGCGGATCACTTGAGGTCAGGAGTTCGAGAACAACCTAGCCAACATGGTGAAAACTGTCTCTACCAAAAATACAAAAATTAGCTGGGTGTGATGGCAGGCACCTGTAATCCCAGCTACTTAGGAGGCTGAGGCAGGAGAATCGCTTGAATCCAGGGGCTGGAGGTTGCAGTGAGCCAGGATCGTGCCACTGCTGCACTCCAGCCTGGGTGACAAGAGCAAAACTCTGTCTTCAAAAAAAAAAATTAATAATTTCATGTCACATTATTTTTACATTTGCTAGAAGAAAAGAAAAAGCAGGCACCCAAATCTTAACAGTTCTAGAAAAATTTAACTTCGAGAAACTCCATTCATTAAATTAAATTCATTGGTTTTGAATAAGGAAAGAAAAGCTGAGATAGAAAAGGGGCTTTTTGCCTGGGCGTAGAGGCTCATGCCTGTAATCCCAACACTTTGGGAGGCTGAGGCAGGAGGACTGCTTTCCTCCAGGAATTTTAAGACCAGCCTGGGCAACATGGCAAAAGCTTGTCTCTACAAGAAAATTAAAAATTAGTCTGGCGTGGTGGTGCATGCCTGTAGTTCTGGATGCTCAGGAGGCTGAGGTGGGAGGATCACTTGAGTCCTGGTTGAGGCTGCTGTACGCCAAGATCACACCACTGCAGTCAGCCTGGGTGACAGAGTGAGACCCTGTCTCAAAATTAAATTAAATTTTAAAAGTCTTTTAAATTTTTATGCATTCTTTAGATATGCCCAGTAACTCTTCTGTGTATTTAGGATCTACCTTTTTCTAGGAGTAAAATATTGAAGTAGAAATAAACTGCCTCTATGATTTCTTCTTTTTTTTTCATATTTTGAGGTGTTTATTTACACATAAACACAATGATCAAGTAAATATTTTAAACCCAAAAATTTTCATTATTTCTTCTCCTCTGCCCAGGAATGGCATAGATCACAGGAGTACAAAGACTGGAGAGGGAAAACAGACAAAACTAAATATGGCATTTGTATCAGTAAAAAGCGAAGCTTTGATCTCCAGAATACAGTAAAAGCAATTAGATGCAGACCTTTTTGGCATGCCTGGTGTTTCCTCACTTTTGGGCCCAGGACACCATTGCCACTTTTTTGTAAGGCGAGGAATTACATTTTTGAGAATCCACTTCTCTGTGAGGTTCTGAGTCAGTTTGCCAATGTGAAAAATTTGCCGGAGAGTCGGAAGATGGAAATGAAGAGGAAGCAATTAGTCTTTTTAGAGGTGTTTGCAGCTTGATGCTTGGAAAAATCAGACATTCATAGTGGCTTTCCAGCAATTTTTTTTTTAATTTTACTTTAAGTTCCAGGATACATGTGCAGAATGTGCAGGTTTGTTATATAGGTATACCTGTGCCATGGTGGTTTGCTGCACCTACTGACTCATCCTCTAAGTTCCCTCCTCTCACCCTCCACCCCTCAGCAGGCCCTGGTGTGTGTTGTTCCCCTCCATGTGTCCATCTGTTCTCATTGTTCAACTCTCTCTTATGAGTGAGAACATATGGTGTTTGGTTTTCTGTTCCTGTGTTAGTTTGCTGAGGATGATGGCTTCCAGCTTCATCCATGTCCCTGCAAAGGACATGATCTCATTCCTTTTTATGGCTGCATAGTATTCCGTGGTGTATATGTATCACATTTTACTTATCCAGTTTATTGCTGATGGGCATTTGGCTTGGTTCTATGACTTTGCTATTGTAAATAGTGCTGCAATAAACAAACTTTATTCTAGGTATGTCGATAAAAATCACTCCCATGTTCTTAGTACTGGGAAACCCTATTGATGCTTTAGCAAATTAATCAGGACTCTTTTAGTAGTAAGAGACAGAAAACCAATTCAATTCATTTTGGGAGAATGAATCATAACTTATCGATACACGTGGCTAGGAAGGATACAAAGGTAAGTCATAAAATCCAGGAAGAACTGAACTGGAGTTAAGACTCAATGCCACCAGGACTCTGTTCATCTCTCTACTTGTCTTTGCTTAATTGATTGATTACTTTTTAATTTTTCTTTTCACAAATAAAGCCTCCATTCTGGTTTGTTCTATAGCAAAGCAAATGGTGCATTAGGAGTGGAGAAAAGGGGCCAGAGGTTAAGTTTCCCCTTCTCTCCTCCCATTCACCAAGGTGCATAACTTCTTCAGTACAAACAGTCTAGGTGTCAAGGATTAATCTTCTAAGTCTGAAGAGTTACAGCAGTTATCTAACCAGATGACTTAGGTGAAGGGGACCAGCATGGCAGGACGAAACCTCCATCACATTTCCCAATTTTCATGAGGTTATTCTGAAGAGTTGAGAAAAAAGTCTCCATCTCTAGCGGACCTACACAGATTGGCAATCTCAAAGACCCATTGAAAGTTTTGCTTTGCAACTTTTAGGTAAAAATGGATGATTAAACTTATACACATCCAATTTTAGTCCCCCCACAAATCCCCCCTAAAAAAAACCTACCATAAAAGCGGATTTTTTTTTCAAGAAATGAACCAAAAAAGATGGGAAATTAGAAGAGGAAAAAAATAGCAGAATATTTTGGGACCTGGTAAGCAAATGAAAAGTGGTACTGATTTGGCATATCTGAGAGAGCTACATCTCAAGCTTACAGTGGAAACAGTAAGGAATAAATTTAGTTTATTTCACAGAATCCCTTAAAATGTTGGGAATGGGTGACACACAGTGCTCTTGGAAGGAGGGATAAAGAGAATAGCTAAATTAAAGAGGACTAGTAAAAAACTATTTAAAAAGCAATTAGATCTTCAGATCGACCCATCCTGTCTATACAGCTAGCACCTTACTGAAAACAAGATGTTGAGCTGTCTAGTTCTTTTTGTCCACTTGGTTCTGAGAATCCTGGAAGCCAGGCCTTTATCATCCAGGAGGGACACTGGAGGAGTCTCCTCAGGGGAAAATAGTTATCCTCAAAGAATATATATAAAGATTATGAAATTGGGAGCTCATCAACAAAATATCCTAGGCAAATTATCTACTGTGAAGGTTGTGGTTGATAAGCACTGCTCATGCTCAGTTCTTCCAATAAGTGCTTTGGTTCTCTAACCTTAAAAATGGGCAGATAATTAGGGTTACTGGACAGTTGAGGAAAGACTTTAACATGGAATATAAAGGAAAAAGGAAAAAGCAACACACTGGAGAAAACAGAGGCTATGCAATGAGAAGAACACTTGACAATCATTAATATCCTCAGGGAATGTGGTGATAGTACAAACCTGAGACAAGCAAGAGCTCTTAGGAATTAAAAATATGAAAATAGACTTTAAAAAGTAATAGACAGATTGGAAGATAGAGTTGAGGAAATCTTCCAGAAAGTGGAGCAAAAATCCTAGAGAGTAGAGCAAAAAGATAAAAGAGTTGGCAGGAAGAGAAAAAGTGTGAACATTAGATCGAGAGTCCAGGAGATCAAAAACAATTATGATGTGCCAGTCAGGCTTTACATACACCAAATCATTTAATTCTCAAGAAAGCCTATGATGTAGGTACTTTTATTATTTCTTTTAACCAAGTAGAAAAACTGAATCACAAAAATATTAAAAGTCTCACCGTTTCTAAGGAGAAAATCTAGGTTTCAGGCCCAGGCAATCTGACCCCAAAGCGCAGGGATTTCACCACTTAACTTTTCTGCAGTTCAAGAAGAGAGAGATAGAGATGGAAATAGTGAGAGAGAGAGACAGAGAGAGAGAGAGAAAGAGAGAGGAAGAAAACTTGGTTTCCTGGATAAAAAAGACATTTTCAGACACACTAGGTCTCAAAAAAATTGTCTCCTATGTATCTCTGTTAGAAAGTGGTTAGAGGAAAGCTCCACAAAATCGAAGGAAGAAGACTTGGGAAGAGAAGAAAGGCAAAGAAAATCAGTCCCCAGGGTATAAGCAGTTCAGATGAGAGTAGGTCAGAATGCTCTAAGAATGGTTTTTCCAAGAGATGGAATTAAAAGACTACCTGATATGTCTAAACTTTTTTCTTTATTTTTCTTTTTTTCAGAGAAAGGGTCTTGCTCTGTTGCCCAGGCTGGAGTGTTGTGGCACAATCATGGCTCCCTGCAGCTTCTAAACTCTTGGGCTCAAGCAATCCTCCTGTTTCAGCCTCTCAAGTAGCTAGGACCACAGGCACGTGCTGCCACTCCCACTTAATTTTACAGAATGGGAGAAAATTTTTGCAATCTACTCATCTGACAAAGGGCTAATATCCAGAATCTACAATGAACTCAAACAGATTTACAAGAAAAAAACAAACAACCCATCAAAAAGTGGCGAAGGATATGAACAGACACTTCTCAAAAGAAGACATTTATGCAGCCAAAAGACAAATGAAAAAATGCTCATCATCACTGGCCATCAGAGAAATGCAAATCAAAACCACAATGAGATACCATCTCACACCAGTTAGAATGGTGATCATTAGAAAGTCAGGAAACAACAGGTGCTGGAGAGGATGTGGAGAAATAGGAACACTTTTATACTGTTGGTGGGACTGTAAACTAGTTCAACCATTGTGGAAGTCAGTGTGGCGATTCCTCAGGGATCTAGAACTAGAAATATCAATTGACCCAGCAATCCCATTACTGGGTATATACCCAAAGGATTATAAATCATGCTGCTATAAAGACACATGCACACATATGTTTATTGTGGCACTATTCACTATAGCAAAGACTTGGAACCAACCCAAATGTCCAACAATGATAGACTGGATTAAGAAAATGTGGCACATATACACCATGGAATACTATGCAGCCATAAAAAATGATGAGTTCATGTCCTTTGTAGGGACATGGATGAAGCTGGAAACCATGATTCTCAGAAAACTATCACAAGGACAAAAAACCAAACACCGCATGTTCTCACTCATAGGTGGGAACCGAACAATGAGAACACATGGACACAGGAAGGGGAACATCACACACTGGGGCCTGTTGTGAGGTGGGGGGAGGGGGGAGGGATAGCATTTGGAGATATACCTAATGTTAAATGACGAGTTACTGGGTGCAGCACACCAACATGGCCCATGCATACATATGTAACTAATCTGCACATTGTGCACATGTAACCTAAAACTTAAAGTATAATAAAATTTTTTTTAAATTTTTTTATACAGATAAGGTCTCCCTATTTTGCCTAGGCCAGTCTCAAACTCCTGGCCTCAAGTGATCCTTCTACCTCAGCCTCCCAAAGTGCTGGGATTACAAGTGTCAGCAACTGTGCCTGGCCCAATGTATCTAAACTTTTAAGGGGAGATTCAAGCAAGTGGCAGAGAGGTGAAGGACTGAATTGGAATTCATGGTAAGTATACCAAAAAAATTAAAATAAAGAAAAAATAAGGCAATTATTAACTCCAGGGATAGGGTAAAAAAATAAAAGTAAAGAAAGCAGAGTTATTTCAATGGTACAAGTTAGAAGAGCCTTTAAAAAGTCCTGATATGAACACCGAACAATGATCTAAATAAAATCATGCCTTAACAGTAGTGGAAGGATAAGGGATGGGAAACAAATTTATGTATGATAGCATAGGGAGAGGAAAGAGACCCACATGCTAAGTTCCAGTAGGAAGCTGGTAGATGATGCCTACTACTGAAAAAAGTAAAGTAGCATCACAACCATGTGTTTTTAGAAATCTGAAAGTAAAAAAAATTTTCTAACAGTATTATTTTTCATAATAGTTTCTGTGATTTTTGTAGAACAATTTAGCTCATTACGTATATGAACACCTGATAAAAATAAGAACAAAAAGATTTTCTTTTATTAACATTTTCTTATCACTAAGATTATTTGGAGTGTAAAGTCCTCTTATGCTGAGCTCAGTTAAAACCATTTACATATAGTAATTCGTAATTAGAACCCATACTATTATAATATATAAATGTCTTTTAATTTTATATCTCATAAAATCTCTTAAAAATCCCCTTATAACCATCTCATCCTTAATGTATTCTGTATTCTTATGAGCTAGGCATTATTTTCCATTTAAAACAAAGTTTCAGAGAATTAGAAAAATGTTTAAAATTGCCCAAGATCTCTTAGAAATTTTGAGAGAGTAACAAGATCAGAACATTCCAAATTCTTTGTCTTTATGCCACAAAATCATGTTGAATTTTCCCAAATATTTAAAAAATAATAAAACCCCAAATAATTTGAGAATGCCAAAAAGAAAAAAAAGAAGCAACAACGTTGGGACTATTGTAAACTAATTGTTCATATTTGACAAGGACTCATGAATTCCTGTTAGATATAAAAGTAGAGAAGTAAATTTCTTCCAAAGCTATGACAATCATAATTGACTAAAGACTATTATAAATAAATTTAAAAAGCAGAATGAGCAATAAGATCAAGTATATAATCAGTGGATAAATATGGTGAAGGCTAATTACAGTATTCCTGTGAAATCAATGAAGGGGAGAGAGCTAAACACACACACACACACACACACACACACACACACACCAAACACACACATACAACTTTATTCCAATTATTTTCTATCAGTGGAGCTCATTATTTCTGGTTTTGATTGGCTCTCGGTTTACTTCTTTTAGATCAGAATATTATTTAAATCTAGTTTATATGAAATTCTTTCTCTTTAACAAAATATTAAAAGAACGGAAACAAGTGAGCACATATTAAGTTGGCCTCAGATTTCTCATCTATAGAACTAGGATAACAGAACCCATGTAACGGAGTTGTGAAGGTTAAATAAAACAATGCACGGAAGCACCTGGCATAGTGCTTCAAGAGATTTTAAAGACAAACTCTAATACCAATGCATTTGCTTAGGTCTCTGTCCTGTTCTCCCATTTAGGAAAATATCTTAATGGACATATCAAGATTTTTAAGTTATGCAGGGTCCCGGTGCATAGTCTGGAAAGAGAAAATTGAGCTGGGGAAAATTGAAAAGTTGCTTTGTATAATATATTATGGGAACTTTCAATTGGTTGGGCATGGGGGCACAGACTGGGGGTTTAGAGGTCTTGGACAGGGAGGAGAGGAATGTAATAGAAGAGAAAACACAGTGAGAAATACCCAAAGATGGAAAGACAGCTCAGTTTAAAACAATCTTCTAGTGATTAATTTTACTTTTTTTGCATCTATGCTGGGCATATTTCCCTCCCCAAATGTTTTGTTTAATAAAAAGTTGGCTACTCACCCAACAGTCTTTTGTTAGTGGAGCTTTGGGAAATTAACAGGGGGTTAAGGATACAGACAAAGAAAGGTCACAGAGGCAAGGCAGTAAATAGGGATTGGGACTGGGAATGAAAGATGACTGGATCCTGAAGCCTCTCCCAGGCCCCCACCATCCTAAGGAATACCTGGGAAATTGTGGAGGGCTCTAAATTTCCCAGTGTATACAGAACAAGGAGCTAAACATATCTGTTTGCTTACCATACAAGGCTGGCAAATTTGGGCTTCTCAAGATTAACATCATTAGTGTTTCTTTCCTTTAGCTAAAATAATTAAAAGCACGAATAGTTAGAACAGATGACAGCTAGCCATAAGTGCTTCTCTAAACAATGACACATAATGAGTAAGTTTTCGTGGCATAGAGGTAAGAAATTTAAACGTTTAGAATGTTTAATGTTTTATAAAACTTTTCACAAGCATTAGCTCATGTAATTGTCACAAAATCTCTGAGGCTATGGAATGCCTTTTTATTTTTAATAAGAGAAGCAGACTTGGATATACTAAGAAATTTGCCCAAAGGATCATAGTGAGAATAGGCTTTCTGCTGTACTACAAACAAACACAAACTTTAGTGGGGTGGAGACAGGACAAATCTGACCTAATTTAAATTTTGCCCATACTCTTTCTGAATAGACAAATCAACTTAAAAACTTTCTACATTCCTAGTATTATTGCACCTGTCATTTCAAGACATTAATGAGTGTGATTTGGGTAATCCAAACCCAGAATATTTTTAAAATTTGCCAAAAATTAATGTGCATCCTAAAAGAGGTTACCCTCCAGCAGGATTGTTTTATCAATATTTTTATGAGGAGACATTTTACATTCCCTTCCATCTCCATTCCTTCTTTTTCCATTATAGTTTAATAAGAAAGCTAATTATTTTAATAATAAGCCCAGTTCTATAAAGAGGAAATCTTTAAGCCAAAGTGAAATAAAAGCTAGTCTGCAAATATATCATCTTATTATCAAAGTACTGATGGAAATATGGGGTCTAAACACAAATAAGGCAGAAATTTAATGCCATTTAAAAGCAAATACTCCGGGGAAGGCCAAAAGAAATTGGACTTAGGAACTGAACCATTAGAGAACCATTACAGAGATAAGAGACAATTACAGTTTATGTTATATGTTCATGACAGAGATATATTGGCTTGTGCATTCAAAAGTCTATGCATGAATAACTGCCTATTATGTGGCTCTGTATCATGTGTTTAATATTTGGTTTTCTTATAATGACCCATTGGAAGCACATAGGAAATCAGTTTGGGTACCATATTTCTATCTCCCAAGTATACAGTTCCTCCCCCACTGCCCCCACAATTGGCAGTGATTGCTGTTTACATGGTTGGTGTTGAAAAAGCCAACTTTTCCTGGCTTTCTGGTTTCTATTCATAAACAAAATGAAAACCTATTGATTAAACACTGGTGGAGGCAGTTTGTCAGCCTGTTTGTCAGCTTTCCCTTGAAATTGTATTTAAAATAATATGATATGAGTTTATGTTAAATCGATAGCTATTTTGCTTACGAGTTGAATGTGTAAAGGTTCTCTGTACTTGTGCTTTGCTAAGATTCAGTGCTACTGAATACAAGGCACTCTTCTACCAAATATATCATGCCAAAAAGTTATGTAACAATGGAGCCCCCAAATCTGGGCGATCACAGCAGCATGTTAGCAATAATGCTAACCTTTCTATATACCTTGGCATCATTGTTGATAAATGAAGATAATGATAGTGTATACCTCATGATGACTCAGTCAACATTTGCTATTTATTATTTCTGGTTTCTTTTTAGCATAATTTTTTCATGCTGAATGTATTTACTAAGATGTTTTTAGCTGCAAGTGACAGGCCAAGTTGGAGTGATCCAAACACACAGAAGTTTGTTTTCTCACTTAACAAGAAATCTGGAGATAGGCAGCTCCCTCAGAGGCTCAATGATGTCAAAGTGCTTGTTAGTAAATGTTTCTGGAATTCTTTTGGTTCCTGTGCTCCCCAGTCCTATCCATGATCACAAGATGGCTACAGCATTACTTGAGAGTATTCAGAGTGGAAAGGAAGAGGGCAGGCAGAAAAAAGATTTTCTTTCCCCAAGGAGTAGAGTATCTCCTTAGGTCTCATTTTTCCTGGACTGGGTTGCATGCTAACCTGTAGGCCAATAAAGAATAAGATTCCTATGACTAGTGGAGATTAGTAAGAATTTATTCCCTGGGCCTGGGGTTGGGAGATTACTACCCAAACAAAATTGTGGTGGTGTTTGCAAGGCAGAAGAGTAGAATGGCATTGGCAAGGCAAACAACAGGGTGGCTGACTGTTTTCCTTCTAAGGCTCCTTGTGATCAAGCTTGATTAACACCGTAGAGCTGAATTATTACTGGCCTATTAGTTTTTGTTATTTCAATATGTAGTAAAAAGGAAGTCAGGATTCATTATTTGTTTTTGGCTTCTAAACAACAAAATAAATAACAAGTCTATGAAGTTATATAAGCAAATTTAATGTGTGTAAGTAGGCCCTCTTTGCAGGGTGGGGGTGGTTTGTTCATTTTTCCTGATTTATCCAGATAAATGTTTTCATTCCTAACTATATTCTATATATTTATCCATGGCCTCTAACATAAATACAGATTTGTTTTTTTTTTAAATAGATTGAACAATAATTCCTGTCTAGAATGAATTACATATGTAATATTATGCAAGATATCTTCCAAGTCTCTTATATTTGAAGTTCTGCATACAGCTGATCGCCAAGAGAATTACTTGGCAGTCAATATTAAATGGATAAAAATGTAAGTGGAAATTATATGTAAAACAACTGAACAGAAAACCATATGCATTTGGAAACAATGCAATTATTTGATTTGAGAACTTGGTTATTTAGTTTAAACATTCAAGGAATTTGATTACTTTACATTGTGAATAATAGCTAAATATGAAAATGCCATTCACAGTGTAAATATCATTTCTTAGATTTGTCTTCAGGTTTTGTATTTATTTCATTTTTATTTTGTCTTCTACGAGGCAAGATTTTGACATCAGTACCATTCTTTCTCCTTTACCCACTGCTGCTTTTGGTAAAATGCACACCAGAAGGCTCCCCCATACCAATCATTTCTAAGGTATCATAGTAGCTGGGAGTTATACAAGTATTCATGAGAACACCTGATCATTCGCTCATTTTATCCCCTTTTGGCTGTTCAAGCCCCATTTCGGTAATAATATATTATGATATTTTATAAATTGTACATAACAATATATTATGTCTAAAGACACAAGAATATTCTGATAAAGAACTGAAAAATATTTGAGATGTGTCAATCAACATAGAAATAGAATCAAGTTCCTTTAAAAAAGACTAAATTTTTGGTCTGAAAGCTGGTAAACTAAGAATGCTTTATTCCTATAAAAGGTTTCACAAATGATTTCTAACATACTGTAAATATTTTTTTCAGCACTTTTAAGGAGGTTTTAATAACTGCCTGCAGTTTGTGTTCAAAGAAACTTTGATGAACTGAGTGTCCTATATGAAGGGGCTATGTAAGTCATTCACATGAAATGATATTGATAAGAAAATGTATACATTTGACATCCAGGCAATATTTTCTTTTTAGGAGGTTTTCAGGTCCAAAATACCTCTGCTAAAAATTAAACCAAAAGGCATGAATAAATAATCTTCAATCCAAGGCTTCATTTCTGATGAGGAGAGAATAGAAAAATACATCATGGCCATCAGCCCTGAGAGGTGTGGTGACTATATTCTGAGATTGTCGTCTGTGGTCTCCTAGATTTAATTGGCCTCCTGGGGCACATAGAATGTTGTGTGTTTGTCACACTTATAGAGATCTTGGCACAAACTATTTTCAGCTGTTTGGAAACTTAACATACAATAGAAAGGGCCTGCTGAGTCTGGCATTTGCTGACACAGCCTTGAAGTCAATGGAAAAGTCTGGCTTCTTTTTTGAGGTTCTCACAGTGATGGATCTGCAGACTGTAAAGTATACAAGAAGCTAAGAATCTCCCTTAGCATAGCCAAAGCTCTTCCCCACAGAGACTCCAGGGAGTCTGGCTAGTACACTCTTTCTGCAGGGCCCTGGAATATTTTCACCTTCTCCACTTGAATATTAGTCTCCACAAGAAAAGATTTTACAGCATTTTGCCTAAATTTGCCACACAGAGATTATGCAGAGGCGGCAGGCTGGTAACCTGAGGGCTGAATCTAGCGCACAGGCATTTGCCTTTGTTTGTTTGTTTGGATCTTCATAGCATTTTGCTTTGCTTTGTTTCATTAATTTGAGTTAACTGCCAGCTTTTAAAATTAGGACATTTCACATTTTAAAAAAAATTCCAGATTACTGATTTCTCTAGCAACACAAGGTCTGAGTTCCTGCTTGGCAACAGGTAACTAGGGCTGGGTAGCAGCTGCTCTAGTTTGAGGGGATGTGGGTCTCAAGTGCCAGAGCCCCACTGGAGGGCCTCTTGCCTTTACATTCCCTGTCTGGCTGTACTAGACACTTGAATCAGCAATAAACATGCCTTTAAAATATAAATAGAATATGCCTTAAAATAGATTTCAAACATAAGAAGCAATAAAGAATAATATTGTATACAACATAACCACCTCTTAGCTTGCTTAAGTGGTAACATACTTTTTTTTAAAAGAAGTGAAACATTACATATACATTAACTCTTCCTGTTTATCCTCCCCAAACCTCAATCATCTTTCTCCAACCATACAGATGACTACATTCTGATTTTGGTCTTTATCATTCCCATGCATGCTTTTTTTCTTACTTCTACTTTTGTCTCCACATAAATGACTTTTTTAAAATGTAAATAAGATCACGACTCCTTGTTTAACATTCTTCAATGACATTCTGCTGTGCTTTATAACAAAATCAGAGCTCCCTCTAATGCATAATTTCCAGTCTCAGATCTTACCACTCTCAGCTTCCAATGTGGCTTATCAAAACTGGAGGTTTCACCTCTATTAAGAATCCTCCCTGACCGCTTTATCTAAAATAGTCCTTCCATTCTGTCTTGCCTTCCTATTTCCAATTACACTGTAAAACATCACCCTGTTCATTTTTCACTTGGGTGTGATTCACACATCACACTGTGCAATCATATTGTTTGCTTATTTATTGTCTGTTTCTTCAACTTGAACATAAACTCGACGAAGGCAGGGTGCTTCTCTGTCTTGATCATGCTAGTACCTCCAACTTAAACTAGTGCCTACCATATGGATGGTGTTAATAAATACTTTTTGAGTGAATAGATAAAAATAGTTTTTCCTTCTTCTTCCCTGTAATTATCCTATGTGTAGGCTCTGCACTCTCTGATTCTACCTTGACTCCAAGGAAGAAAATTATTAGATATTGGAAAATCAGTCAAGAATAAAGTTCAAATTTTTCTAGACAGCTATTTAAAATATGTATAATTCCTCCAAAATTTTAGGAATATAAGCTAATGCCTTCCCACTGAATGAGCAGCTTTCTAGGTGAGCTAGCCCACAGGTTCTCGTCTAACTATATTAGTCCATTTCTACACTGCTATAAAGAAATACCTGAGACTGGGTAATTTATAAATAAAGGATATTTAATTGACTCACAGTTTTGCATGGCTGGGGAGGCATCAGGAAACTTACATGGCAGAAGGTGAAGGGGAAGCAAGACACGTCTTACATGGTGGCAGGAGAGAGAGAATAAGCAAAGGGCAAACTGCCTCTTTTAAACCATCAGATCTTGTGATAACTCACTCAATATCATGAGAACAGCATAGGGGAAACCAACCCCATCATCCAATCACCTTCCCCCAGATCCCTCCTACACGTGGGGATTACAATATAAGATAAAATTTGGGTGGGGACACAAAGCCGAACCATATTACTAACCAAGTTCTCTAGGGTTAATATACCGTCTTGGCTGTAGAACTATGCTCCTTATGGTGGTGCCATCCCCATTCCACAGATCCAGGCCCCCTCTTGGCCATGGATAATTATGGAGGATTAAGCATGGTAGCTGACTCTCAGGACTGTCTTGTCATCCCCTTCTGTTTTAGTGGCCTTTCCCAAGAACCTCCTTCACCCTCTATAGGCTTTCTCCCACAAATATTCAAGTTTATTTCCGTCCTGGAAGTAACGGTCCTCAAAAAGATAATAGGTTTAGCATCCTAGCCCTTTGCAACCTAAAACTTCCACACTCTACCTTCAGACCTCAGAAAGTCTAGTCCTTAAGAACATGGTGACATTCACTCATACTCTGGAGACTTTTCACATTCTGCTCCAAATGCATACTTTTTTCTAGAGTACAAGAGGTCAAAGCAAATTATATTTCTACTATGCCAGCCAGAATGAATGGAGAAGCACCCAGGATTGGGGGGTGAGGGATGGAAGTGGGAAAACTAACTCTACAACTAGGAATAAAAGGCACTGCCCAAAGGATATGATTAAGTCCACTATGGTCCAGGAAGCCATTCATTCCTATGCTACAACTCTAGAAAATGGGGCAGGGGTGTGGTTTTAGGAAAAAAATTGATATTTAAAGTTAAGCAAATGTTTATGTCATATCTGGTCTTGTAAGTGGTATCACATAAATTTTTTGAGAGAATAGGTAAAGAGTTGATGAGCCATCATCTACCATTCACATCCAACCAGTTCAGCCAGTCAGCCAGGATCCCTTCTCCTGCCATATGTCTCCCATTGTTTGAAGCTCAGCCTTATTTCAGCTTTCAAGAAGTCTACAGCTAGGTGAGTCCAAGGTTATAATTTCAGGAGCTCAAAAAAATGATCAGAGACCTGTTTTTTTTCTTCTTTTCCCCCAGCATCCTCAACATGTTGGTCTTCATCTTCAGGCTTTTCTGTCATGGTTGCAAAATGGCTGCCATTGTGCTAAGCATCACATCTTCATAAACCCCTATTAAGCAGTAGAAAAGAAGTGACTCTCTGCCTCTGTCCCATTTTAAAATTGAGAAAAAATTTTCCAAAAGGCTCCTAGCAAACATACCATTACATCTCACTGGCCAGTACTTCTACTTCTACTTTAAAATATCACTGACAAGAGAAATGGAGAAATCATGACTGGTTTACACTAATCAACATTCACTCTTCAGGGCTACTGAGGGGCCCATTGGTTATTAGGCTTCCAAACACCTAAACAAAATCAAACTTGTATTGACAATGAATTGAATCAAAATAAGAATAGCTGTTAAATATAGACAGCTCTTGCAGATGCCACAGGTACCCCAACCATACCTGCTAGGCCTACTCGGAAAGATTCCTATGGATAGGTCCTGTACGCACTCATGGCTTCCTATGTCACTATGTTTGAGAGTGTTTTCTGCCAACGGGAACTTGCTCTACCTGGAGGAATCTTCAACCAAAGAAAACAGGAAATAGTGGGTAAATACCTCAGTTTTCCTATTAATGGAACATTTTTGAGGCATCTCCCAGAGGGTCACCAGCAGGATGGAGCCCCAGTTGCCCACAATGGTTGTCTTTCCATTCATGAACCGTTCATTGACTTTCCTCCCTTCAGCGTCTCAATTCTTCACAGTCCTTCCTAAGATTACACCCAAATCTTTGTTTTGGGGTCTGCTTTCAGGAGAGCTCAACTAAGTCACCAATCAACGGTGTCTGCCTCCTGTAGCTCTGGCCCTTCTCTTCTGTGATGTCTTCCCTGATCTTCAATCAAAAGTTACTTATTGGGCCAGGTGTAGGGGCTCACACCTGTAATCCCAACATGTTGGGAGGCTGAGGTGAGAGGATGGCTTGAAGCCAGGAGTTTGAGATCAGCTTGGGCAACAGCGCAAGTCCCTGTCTCTAAAAAATTTAATAAAATAGCCATGCATGGTGGCATGTGCCTGTAGTCCCTGCTATTCGGGAGGCTGAGGCAGGAGGATCACTTGAGACCAGGAGTTCGAGGCTGCAGTGAGCTAGATCAGACCACTGCACTCCAGCCCGCACAACAGAGTGAGACCCTGTATCTTAAAAAAAAAAAAGTTACTTATTCCTTTGTGTGACCACTATATGGTACAAAGCATTAGTATAGCACATTTTAAGTGTGTTTCTTTCCTACCATACTGTATGTTCCTTAAAGTCAGGGACCCTGTTCTATTCATTGTTATATTCCTGTTGTTGAGCACAGTACCTGCCACATGGTAGGTGTTGATTAAATGTTGATTAACAGAACCCAGTATGTGGTTCCTTACCTAGGGACTCCTCTTAAAAAAAAAAATCACAATCCCTTGAGCCCCCACTGCAGTTGTCCCTCACCCTTCTCGCTTTCATTGTCATCACTTCCATTACTCTCTGCTTCAACTGCCGTCTCAGAGGTTAAATATCTGGATTACTCCAGGCAGGCAAGGTATTCATATGGGATAAATATGCTCTCTATAAGTTAATGTCCCTCAAGACATTTATTTTCTTTACCCGTGTTTCAGCATTCCCAATCACTGAGACAGATCTTTTAACCTAAACATTGCCTCACAGCTGGCAGATCGTCTCCAGACCCACTGAACTCCAGCTCAATGAGAAAGCCAATAATTCACTGGCCTAAAATATGGGCAGCAGGGCAGAGGGCTGCCCCTCTGCTGCTGCAAGGAAATTTTATTTGAGAAACTCTAATTCTTAGTGATATATTTACTATATTCCCATTTTTTTCTTAACTTTATTGCCTCAACAGTAAAACTAAAACCTATTTTAAGTATTCAAATAGAGCAAGTCAGAAATTTAAAAAAAAAAGTCAAATGGACAATGTAGGGGCTGCTATGCATTTGTCTTACTCTCAAAAATCTAAGTCTTATGAGAAAAAAATAAACAGAAAAAAATAGTTACTCTTGTCAATAAAATAGATGCCAATTTCTGATGCAGAGTGACAGTTCAGGGAGAAAAGATAAAAGCAAACTTGGGACTTTCAGAAAAATTTTTGAAAGAGAGGAAGAATGAGATTTTCAGACCAATATGAAGCTAGAGCAACGCCAACATAACATGGGATTAGTATCAGTGTACTAACAGCTGTCATGGTGAGGGTGGCTTCTCACACTGATATCCAGTTGGCATTTATTTCGAATGGGGTAAACAGGAATGGCAGGAGTGTGGAGCATGGGTGGGACTGCATTAAGTGTCAGACAGAATAATCTGTGAGATGAATGTGGCTCAAATGTTATGTCTTACAAATGCTGGACTTAAGTGCAAGAAGAAACATGCTGCACTCAAGATTTCAGTCCCGGGGACAGAGGCTGACTCAAAGCAGAGCAAAACGAAGCTTCAGTTTTAGGTTCCCTTCTTTTACACAGGTCCCTTCCAAGGACCAGTATCTAATTTGTATCCATTATTGTTTTTCTTTCCAAATGCTGTCCCTGACCCCGGCCACCAAATTGTATAAGCTTCAAACTCTAAAACACCTACATCTCCCCCTGCCAGACAAATTAATTTTTAAGGAGTTTCCAAAAGATGTTGATGAACATTATAAAGACATACAGGTTTTAAAAAGTATGTAAAGAACTGCAGGCTGGGTGCAGTGGCTCACGCCTGTAATCTCAGCACTTTGGGATTGCTTGAGTCCAGGAGTTCGAGATTAGCCTGGGCAACGTGGTGAAATCCTGTCTCTCCAATAAATACAAAAAACTAGCCAGGTGTGGTTGTGGCACATCTGTAGTTCCAGTTAGCCAGGAGACTGAGGTGGAAGGATCACTTGAGCCCAGGAGGTCAAGGCTGCAGTGGGCCATGACTGGACTGCACTCCAGCCTGGCCACAGATGGAGACCCTGTCTCAAAAAAAAAAAAAAAAAAAAAAAGAACTGCAGTTCTGAAAAACAAATATGAATGAATGAATAAATAAATACGTACATACATAAACTATATCACTTGATATTTACTTAGAGGCAAATTTTTATAACCCCTAATCAAGAGGTTTGAGATACTGTCTCTTTCCTTAAAGATATTATGGTGTAATTTAGGAATCAAGACATAGGTACATAAAAATAACTATTGTCTTAATATTGAAAAATGGGAGGTATTCATTTAGCAAATACTTATTAATTGTGCCTTTGTTCCAGGCACTGAACTAGGCCTCAGAGATCCAATAGTTAACAAAACAAAATAATCAGCCTTTGAGGAGCCTACAGTCGAATGGGAAAGAAATTGAAAAAGTAAATAAATGAATAAATGAAATAATTAAAAGTTATAAAAAGTTCTGTTAAAAAAAAACCCCTATCAGGTTGCTAAGACAGAGATTAAAGAAGACACCTCTTTTACCTTGGGCAGTAGTCAAGATTTGAGAAGGTAACACACTTGAAGGAAGAAACAGCCATGAAAAGAGATGAAAGGAAATATGTTCTGGGCAGATGTGTAAAGACCTGAGGTGAGAAACAGCTCAACATTCTTGAGCAACAGAGGAAGCCAATGTGGGTAAATACAGTAAGTGGCCAGAGACACGAGATGAAGCAAGCAAATGACCCTTGGTATGTTCTGCTTGCAAATGGAGATTTTTGAGTATTTGCTTCATTACATTTCCTCCTTAACCTGGGAAGTGATGGGATTGAAAAGCTAATTTTTATTCTTAGAACATAATAATACAAGTAATACAAGATCCAACCACTGCATCCCAAGAGATAGTTTATAAAAGTTACAGTAAAGGAAGAAAAATTAAGTATGTGTTGTTCTATAAAATTCTTATATCCCCTTTTCTGTCACATATATATATATGTAAGTATGTGTGTGTGTGTATATATATATGCCTGTTGATTTGTGTTTTTATCAAGTTAGAAGATGATGAAAGCCTACCTCTCAAAGTCTCAAATAAGAAACATTGTCATTGGATGTCAACACTATCATTCATGTGGGTCATAAAAGAATGGGGAAGGCTGTACTCCACTCCCACCATTGGAAGAAATGAACAACCATGTTCTTAGACTTAATTATACATGAATTTTTTTTATTTAAAAAATTATTTTTTAAATTAAACAATAAGAATTGTACATATTCATGGAGTACACAGTAATTTTTTGCACATATAATGTATAGTAATTAGATGAGGATAATTAGCATATCCATCACCTCAAACATTTATTTCTTTGTGTTGGGAACATTCAATATCCTCCTTATAGCTATCTGAAACTATGTAATAAATTATTGTCTACAAACATACCACCCTGAATGTGCCCAATCGAATGGACCCTGTTTTTTTTTTTTTTTTTTTGAGACAGAGTCTTGCTCTGTCACCCAGGATGGCGTGCAGTGGTGCAATCTCAGCTCACTGCAACCTCTGCCTCTTGGGTTCATGTGATTTTCTTGTCTCAGCCTCCCTGAGTAGTTGGGATTACAGGTGTGTGCCACCACACTCAGCTATTTTTTGTATTTTTAGTAGAGACGGGGTTTCACCATGTTGGCCATGCTGGTCTTGAACTCCTGACCTCAAGTGATCCGCCCGCCTTGGCCTCCCAAAGTGCTGGGACTACAGGCATGAGCCACTGTGCCCGGCCTGATGGATATTATTTAATCTTCCTCTCTTCAGTTAGGGGAGAAGAGGGGTAGGAACAGCAAGTACAATTGTCCAGAATTCTGAAATTAAAAAAAGAAACACTATCAGCTGAGGCCTGAGGAACTGTGTGGGTAAAATTTCATTATTACTCAATATTAACTTGGATAAAAATAATAAAAGGAATTTTACTGAAAACCTTTTGGCTGGCTTCTTTCTCTTGGAATTCTCTGTCTCCATTTTGCTTCTTAATGAAAGAATCAGTTAATTCCAGCTCAATAATAAAGAGGTAGGCAGGGGCCTGAAAATACCTGGTTTTAAAGCCAATGGCCTGGAGAGTAGATTTTGATTTAAATGTAATGGAAAGCCACTGAAAAGTCTTAGCTTGGAAAATTATTTTGTTCGATTTATGTTTTAAAAAGCTGTACATTTTAAGAAGCAGCACAGGCAATAAGTTCTATATAGGGAGGTTAGTGTGTGCTGATTATAGAGAAGAGTAGAGATAAAACTGGGCCCTTAAATGATAGGTGGATGACAGGAGAGAGATTAAGAGAGGGTATTCATGGTAAGGGCAATGAAACGAGAAAAGGCTTTGAGATGGGCTGGGTTGGAAGAAATATACCTGCCTGACTGAGGGATATTAAGTTATGATCAAATTGTAGTTAGAATCTGTTTATCAGACTAGGAACATTTAGGTAACAGTAGACAAGAAATTTCACATGCGTAATATAATGGAAGTAAAGCTTCAGAGACATGAATTTAATGGAAATGTGGAAAAAGACTTCTTTAGAAAGTGGAGAAGGAAGTTAAAAATTAAAAGAAATAAGAAAAATCAGAGCAATAAAATAAAGCCTGAAGTAAAATATACATTTCCTTTCTTATTTCCAGTTAAAACCTAAAGAAGTTTGGCAAAAGCTGTGTTATTCTTTCAGAGGCTGACAGGGGGAAACAGAGAAGCAAGATCAGGATAAATGCTGCTGGGGCTAACACTAGCTGAAGGATGGTTCCCAAAGGAAGGTGGCATGAATTAAAATTACACTTAACTTGGCGATTTCGGCTTGGGTATAATTGGAGTTGATATTCAGTGAGCTTAATTTGGAAGGTGGCAGGTGGTGGCTGCTGTCCTGTATATGTGTTGAAATAATCATTAGACAGACGGTAGAGTCAGGCAAGTATCCTACTGGGGATAAAGTAGAGGTTCCAGGAAGATACCAGAGGCTAGGTTATCTGTTAAACCCATGATGGAAGTTAAGCAATTTACCACAGTTTAGTCAATATACAAGTATCCCAGTTGCATTTTGCAATCTAGGTTCTAAATCCAAATAGGTGAAATACTAATGAAATATCCCAACCACTGGGGAAAAGAGGCACCTATGACATTGCAAGCCTTAGTTCCAGTGTTCTCAGAACCTGAACAAATCTGAAATGTCCTAATGCAGGGAGGGAGTATAATGTAAAAGAGTCCAAATACCTGGGCTTACATCCTGAGTTCTGTCACTTACTAACTGGTGACAAGTTATCTCTCTGAGGCTCATTTTCTATTTCTAAAATATATGGATACTCATACCTAAATGGCATGGTTGCTATGATAATGCTTGTAAAAGAGCTTGATACAGAAAATGATTCAATAAATGGCAGGGAGTTTGTTTTCTTTTAAATAAATGAGGTAATTAGCAAAAATGGTCTAGGGCCTAGATCAAGTGTTATTCTGAAGGGTTATTACACAATCTGAGATACTTATTCATTTCCCCAGTGCTCTAAGACAGAGGTCACAGAGATAAAAGAATGTTGTGTCTCATTGGACTACAAATGAGCATATACTGATGGCAAATAATGAGGAACATCAGACATAATGGCTCAGAAAGTCGAGTGAGTCCTTGGTGACCCTGGTCTTTATGTTCCTCTCTGGAAAGCCGGTATCTCATGACATTTTAGAAAAGGTTGCTCAGAGTCCAAAGAGAAACTGCTGAAAGCATTAGCCCCAGTATGAAGACATTTCAAGAATGACAGAGCATTCAGGTCACTTGGCAGTTGGTACAGAAAGTGTTTCACACTAAAGCACAGAAAACCCAGCTATTCCCACAAGAGAAGGGACTGTAAAATGTAAAAGACTGACATGATACTTTTAAGTAGAATAAGGGTAAAATCATGCTAAAAGTAAAGTTATTACAGGAAAAAATGGTGGGTATTGACCAAGTGATATAGTAGAGTTACTGAATTTGATCCTATAGAAGAGAGAAATGATTGTTTACACAAGTCCTTCTGTGTTCACCTAGAATGCTGCATTTCCACCACTGTAGCACTTACCATTCTAGAATGTAATAGACCACCTGTCTGTTTCCCTTACTAGATCCAAGCTCTGTAACAAGATGAAGTCAATCTAACTTTACAGTTCTATCCCCAGGATCTTGCACAGTGTTTGACACATAGTAGATGCTCAAAAAACACTTGATATTAAATGAGTAATCAAGCTAGTATCAAAGAAAATACATGTAGAAAATAAGGTAAATTTAAGGATTTTCAAAGGGAGAAAAAAGGAGATGCAATGTAGCACATAGGCAGATATATTAACAAATGGGGAATCAACTTCTCCATCTGTGCTCATGATGAAAAAAGAGAAGTGAGTAAAAAAAGATTAATTCCGAGTTGTGGGTATATAGTAAACTTTAAACTGTGGCCATAGCAGCTCAAAATCAGATGCAAGCTCAAATCAGATGCAAGCTCAATTTATGGTAAAAACCGTTGTCATTTTATTCTGGTTTATGACTTAAAAAGTTAAATATCATTGGTTCTTTTACATATTGGATCCGGTCTTGGCAAAATTTACAGGAAAAGGAGATAGATTCTTACACTATAAAACTCAAATGTAATCAAGCACAGTAAAAACAATATGGTTATTAATTTAGCACCAAAGATGACAAAACTCCAGGTCCAAAAATCTCACAGACTAACTTTGACAAACGTGACCCATGGGCAATGCAGGATGACCAGGAGGTGTTGGAATTGGATGTACAGATCTATTGCTATATGTTACAGCTGGGTGATTTAAGAGACCCCCCCCCCAAAGCTAATGAATATTACAAGGAACCAGAAACTCCCTTGACAGCCATGTATACATGTGTAAAATAACAAAGAATCTGAATGCAAGTGTTTGTACTTCATCACTCAGCCTGAAATTCTATCCAATTCATTCAAGTCCAGAGAAATGTGCAGCTTTAGCAAAAACCAGTCCATCCCCTGAAACAAAATATGAAAGTTACCACTGACATACCCACTTTTCTAGCCCATTCTTCATTTCAGATGTTCTTAATAGAACTCAGACACTGCATCTGATCAATCCATATTAAGGGGCCAGCAATATAACTTGACATTTCTTCTGGAAAATTACATGTGTTAACACAAAATCTGGGCATTTGCCACAGAGTTATTTTGTATTAAGTGAAAACTGCTGCTAGAAGAACAAAAAATTTTGCCTGAAGAAAACTTGGAACTTTTTATCCAGCTTAATTTGTTATAGAAATTCAAAAAATGAGACAGGATAATATATTGCTTTTTCTACGCTAATATTTATCCACCAAATCAAACTACTTTTGCTGTTTGTGTCCTTGCATTTTCTTTGATACAGTTTATCCCACATTAAATCTAACTTTAAAACAATAAACTTTTTTGAAAAAGTAATAAAACTTAGCTTGAGGGAAAAATTGACAAAGTTTGGATGGACTGGGATAATTGGACAACCAGACACAGACTCTTTCTAGAAAGACTGTGGTTTTATTGTGGATAGTTTATATCTTTTCCTAAGATATAAAATGTTATTATTTAATATCAAGAATAATTGCAATTCTTATTAATTTCAGGCTAATATAATAGATGTTGGAATCATTGTTTAATGTCACAATCATCATTTTCAAGACTTGGACATTTAAAAAGAAACTGTGTATCTACTGTAAGCCCTACCTCTTTAATGCATTCCTTAATATGTACTGATTTGGACTGGCCAAAAGATGTTCACTAATATCATTAATCCAATCCAATCCATATTTGCACAGTTTACAAGACAAAAACACAAGCTCAAATTGAAATCTCATATTGGCAAAGTCACATTTAATGATAGTAGATTAGATCAGATGAGCAAAAGTCATGGGCATCAGTGCTCCATGAATCATGACAGCTGTCTTGGGCTAGCCAAGTTCTGCTTTGACCTCTTTCACCTCTTTTCTACTCCAGCTCTTGAGTTTGGAAAGCTTCAGAAATTAGTCCTAGATCCTCTTCTTTTCTCTATCTAGACTCTAATCCCAGGTCATCTTAACCACTTAGAGGGATCTAAATTACATCTCCAGCTCAGACCATTCGCCTATACTCCAATTGCCTTTTATATATCCACTCGGATGTCACATATCCATTTTAGAATCCATTCTTCACAGGGTTATATTTTTAAAATAGGAATGAGATCATGTCTCTTTTCTGGTTAAACTTCTTCATTGGCTTCCATGTGTCTTAGAATAAAATTCAAATGCCTTACCCTGGTCTAAAAGGTTTGCCTGATGATTTCTTCCTAATTCTTCACATCCTCTCTCATTGCTCACAGCTATAGCTCCTCATAGTTCCTTGCAGGAACTAAAGTCTTTGGTCTTTCTATACCTTTACACTTGTTCCTGGACTGCTGTTTTCTCTGCATTTGTTCCCCTGAATTGTTTATTCTTAGCTCTTGGGCCAAGGTGCAAAGACAATCTTCTTAGAGGTTTTCTCTGAGCACCTTCTTAAATCTTGTCCCATTTGCTCTTTCTCATCACCCAGATTTTTGTCATCTCATACTAGTGACAATCTGTGACTGCAGTCATCCCTCAGTATATAAGGGTGGTTGGTTCCAGGACCCCTGCATATACCAAAATTGACCAACGCAAACTCAAGTCCCAGTCTACCCTCCATATATACGCAGGTCTCACATCCCACATATATTCCATACTACGGATGAAGAAAACCCCACATAAAAGGGGACCCACGCAGTTCAAACTCATATTGCTAAAGGGTCAACTGTATGTTATTTTAAAAAATATTTAAAATTCTATAAACACGAGATTGTTTTCCCAAACTTCCTCATTGTGCCACACTCCCTCTTCAACTGAGACAATTGTGCCTCCATTGTCTCAGGAAGGATTAGGGTTACTATATCATGAAAGCAAAGAAAAGAGGGTTCGGCCTATTACAGCCACAGCAGCTATGAAAAATGAAGTTTTTCATTTATGAGAGCTTCCTAAAAAGAAAGGATTTTTGAGGAAAATGCTTTTCCCTAAAGTTCTGAAGGAGTTACACTGTATCCATCCATGATGACATTAAAAGAAAATAGACTGAAAAGTACTGATGGTTGTAAATGAAGTAATGAATGAAGAAGTGTGGACAGTGTAAATGAAGGGTGAACTGAGGTGGATGTGAGGAGACTTGACCATTTTCCACAGGGTGAGTTAAAGGGAGGGAGAGACTGCAGGCCACCCTCTCTGCCTGTAAGACTCAGAATCAGACTTTCTGGGATTGAATTTTAGCTTCTCTGTCTACCAGCTGAGAGACTTTAGCCAGGTGCCCTAGTTGCCTTATCCGTAAGTAAAACTGAATTATATTTCTTACTTTATAGAATCTTGAGGATTATGACAGTTAATGTGTATACAGCACTTAGAACAGGATCTAATATTACTATCCACTTGATAATCTCTCATTCATTGTTTAAAATTGTGGTTAGCCTCATTGCCTCTTTGAAGACTTCCTTTAAAGTTATCCTTTTAATAATCCCCACCCCCTGACAAAATATTTGCACCTCTTTTTTTGTATTTACTTGAATTACTCAGTTTCATGAAGAAATTTACTGCCAATCCAAACATAAGAATGGGTGTAATTTTGCTCAATTACTTGCAATTCCTGTTAAAGGAACAAAGGTTTCTGTGATGATAGTTTCTATAGCAATATATTTAAATAAATTATGGAACTGCAGAATTTTAAATCCCAGATGAAGTTTATTTCCTCAAAGGAACTTTATCAGGCACACTGTTAATTTTTTAAAAAGAATTTGAGAGGATAATTTATAGGCCATTCTCAAATGTTACACTTTTATAAACTAAAAATTCCTCTGAGTGATTTATTAGTGGGAGAGGCATTATACACCCTTATGTTCTGAATCTAATGTTAATGTCTCCATCTTACACTTATGGCATCATTACTATAACACCATGAATTCATACTCCAATTATTCTCAATTGCATATTGTCATACCTTTTTCCTTCTGAGATTACTCTACTTAAAAGTACATCACATGCACTTGTGGAATATCTAGAAATCACATTAATTGAGTGCACATGGGAAAATTACTTAGCTTTCCAGGGTTTCTTCATGGTCTATACTTAGAGAATACATTAGCACAAATGAAGCAAGAACAATTAAATAAACCATAAGTCGAAGGAATGATCAACTTTATTATTTTTTTTGAGATGGAGGTCTTTCTATTTTGCCCAGGCTGGCCTCAAGCTCCTAGGCACAAGCAATCTTCCCTCTTAAGCCTCCTGAAGTGAGACTACAGGCATACACCACTGTGGGAATCACTTTTTTAAAACTGTGCGCTAGAAGGTAATGTGTGCCTTTTACATTATACAATTGCTACTAATCACTTACTGTAGAAGGCTTTTTAAAATACAGGTTGAATCAAAAACTACAGAAATTCTTTATAATTTGTCTTTAACAAAGTGCTATTGAAGCTATATACATATTGTGCTATATATGAAGAAGACTCCAGAGACTAAGTTTCTAATCATCAATGAGAATGATTCAGCCGTAATTTAAGTCTTTAAACAACAGTGCGATTTTAGCAATGTGTTCAATTTCATCTTGGTCCTAGGTGTTAACATACCAGTGATCCAAATAATTTCATAAATGAGATTAGGATCTTTTGCCTTTCCTTATGAAAATTTCTTTCTTTTACTCACACTGGTGTTATAGTTGTAAATGCAGAGTGTTCATAAATATTCATTTCCTTTCCAAGTGATTATGTTGCAACTCCAAGTGTATTGAGCATACTTTCTAGTCTCTATTCTTGGAACATCCTCCCTCTTCCTACCTTTCTTCCTACAGGATATACTTTTCCTTCTGCATCAAGGCTCCCCCAAACTCACCTTCTCCCAAAAACTTCTAAACCTAAATGTGAAGAAAATCATAATGACTTTCAATCTAAATCTCACAAGGTGGGTAAGTTTAATGTGAAAACACTAATTTGTCTTTTTTTTCCAAGCTCTCTCATTCCACCACTCCAATGATTCATTCCTACTATATAGCTCTGCCCTTTAATGCCCCTTAGCTTCTATTTTCTCATCAAACTTTACCTGCCTTGCATTCTATTCCTTCAGGGCTTTCTAGTGATGATTAGATCATATGAGAAACTAATTTGAGCTAATGTAATGTATGGAAGTAGCACTGCCTATGGTCTATAGGTATAAAACACATAATCTGAGAATGTATGAGCTCAAAGAGGGCAGAGATCATCACTCACCTGGCATGGGAACTGGAACCAACTAGCCAGATTCTACAATTAGGAAAAGGCTTTGTTTCTAGTTAGTTTGATAGCTTAAGGTATATATTTTAAGTTTTGGTACCTTAAAGAAGACAAATTTAATGAGCAATAAAAACCTTCTTAGAGAACACAGTCTTTAAAAAAATCACATGGAGTAAAGACATGTTATTGGAACCAAAATGTAATGAGTTGCAATTAAGTATGTAGCCATTGTAATACATTTCTTCTGATTAGATATTACTTTCCTTGAGCATGTTCTGACACACCAATTTAAAGGCCAAGTGACTTCATTCTTCCCATCATGGCAATTTCCCAGCATAACACACCCTGGAATGTATTATTGTGGTTTCAAAATGGGCTGTGTAGTGGCAATTTTGTCATAATTAAGATGTTTTGCAGAAAATAATAATGTGCCTATTAAAATATTAAGTGAAAGCTAATTCTAATTATAAGCATTGACATATGTGGAAACTTAAGTATATAAATATATATAATTTAATACACTTTAACATTTTATATAGTTATATATACATGTCATATTTTATATATCATAATTATATATACATATATAATTTTAAATTACATTTTAACTTTTTCCAGATTTAGTTCACACTCTGTGCAATTTATTTAGTTGGCATACTACTTCTTAAATATAAAATTTCTGAGGAGACTGTTGGTTGAAAAATAAATTAAATGAAGTTTTCATAAATTTTAAAAGGAAATAATCTAACAGCTATGGTAGGGTAGGGATTAATCAGCAAGGTCTCACACTGCTGGTGAAGATGTGTATTGTTAAACTATTTTCTGGAGGTCAATTTGGTCTTTATAGTGAACGTCTTAAAACTGTGTGTACCTTTTTATCTAAAAAGCCACTTCTAGAGTTTCATCCTAAAGAAACAGATAGAAGTATAAAGTTGTATATACAGAAGTGTTCACTGTATCATTGCTTATCACGTTAAGATAATTAGCAGTCATCTAAAAATACAAAGAGGGCTAGGTGCTGTGGCTCACACCTATAATCCTAGCACTTTGGGAGGGTGATGGGGTAGGATGGCTTAAGCCTAGGTGTTCGAGACCAGGCTAGCCTGGGAAACATAGTGAGACCTTGTCTCTATAAAAAATAAAAAAAAAATCAGCGGGGTGTGGTGGCATGTGCCTGTGGTCCCAGCTACATGAGATGCTAAGATGGGAGGATTGCTTGAGCTTGGGAGGTCAAGGGTGCAGTGAGCTGTGATCACGCCACTGTACTCCAGCCTAAGCAACAGAGCAAGACTCTATCTCAAAAATAAATTAAATAAATAAACAAATAAATAAAAATAAAAGTACAGAAAGAGAAGTCTGATTAAATATAGTATATAGGTACAATGAACAATTTGTGCTTTAAAATGATTATCCAGATTACATATGCTAACATGGGAAATGTTTATATGTGTTCAGTGAAAAAAGTCACATTACAAATATTATGTGTAGTATGACCCATTTATATTTTTTAAATACACATTTATACATGCATAAAGTAGACCCTGGACAATGAATATGGGGGTTAGGGACACTTCCCTCCTGAGAAGTCAGAAATCCATGTATAACTTTTGACTCCCCCAAAACTTTACCAATAGCCTACTATTGACCAGAAGCCTTACTGATAACACAGAGTTGATTAACACATATTTTGTATATTATGTGTACTACATACTGTAGTCTTATAATAAAGCAAGCTAGAGAAAAGAAAATTAATAAAGTCATAAAGAAGAGAAAATATATTACTTATTCCTTAACTGGAAATGAATCACTACAAAGGTCTTTATCCTCTTCAACATCTTCATGTTGAGTAGGCTGAGGAGGGGGAGGAAGAGGTGGGGTTGGTCTTGCTGTCTCAGGGTAGCAGAGGCAGAAGATGTGGAGAAAAGGGGAGGCAGAAGAGACAGCCACACTTGGTGTAACTTTTATTGAAAAATGTCTGTGTATCAGTGGACCCTCACAGTCAGACCTGTGTTGTTCAACCAGTATATAACTCTGTGTGCCTGTGTGTATATGCACTTCTTCATGCATGAAGTAAAGTTTACATTCACATCATCCTTCAGTAGAATCTTCCATGATGAAGGACTCCAATATGGTGGTCTCTAGCCATTCTTATGGCTGTGGAGCACTTGAAGTGTGGTTAGTGAAACTAAGAAACGGAGTTTTTAATTTTATTTAATTTTAATTACTTTTCATTTAAATATTACATAGGGCTAGTGGCTACCATACTGGACAGCACAGATTAAGAAGGGTGTACGCCATGATGTTAACACTGGTTATGATTTACTGTTTATTTTTTCTTTTTGTATATTTAATTTTTAAGGTTTACAAATGAATATGTATTACATATATGATAAGAATAAGGGTTCCTTTTTGGGGTGTTTGGGGGGGAAATTTGAGCATAGGTCCAGTAGTCTGAAGACCTGGATTTGAGCACTAGGTCAGCCATTTATTTGCTATATTAATTTTCACTTAAAGTTTTTAAGCCTATGTAATACCTGCAACACTTCATGATATTATCATTTCATGATGCTTTTTATTAAATTATCTAATGTTTGTGGCCGATGTCTTCGTTTAGGGAAAGTTAAGAATAAAAAGCATTATCTTAGAATTTCCATGTGGAAAAGGAAAGAACAGAGAAAAAAGAATTGTAAGATATTGAAATCAACTTATAATTATGATGTTTATAAAATAGAAAATGAAAACTAAAAGATTGCATAGAAAGAAATAAGAGTGGGCACATTTACCAAAAGCAAATGCAATTACTTGAGGCAGAGTTATTAATGTGAATGAAACCTTTGGCTTGTGTCTTATAGATAACTATTAACCATCTTAATAAGACATAATAAAAACAAAAACATTTGTTTAAGAATATCTCACTGATTACATGAGTTATCCAAAACATTAATAGAAGTCATGCACTCTGATTTAATTAAATTTCACTAATTAAATTTTAAAATACACATGACTGCGTAATAAAAATATGGCATTTTGTATGCCCAGTATATAATAACACAGTAGTTGAAAGGCAGTTCTCTGTTTTAAAAGGCTGGTAAAGAATCTTCTTAAGATAATATTTTGTAAATTTAGAAGAACCCTAGTCAAAGAGTTCTTAATTCAATGAAAGGGTCATTGCTTCATGAGGTCAACAGAAATGCCCTCATAGCAGTACTGAAAAAAAAAAAACTTCAAAAGTATTGACTTACCATCATGTCAGATGAACACAAAATTATGAATTTTATACTTAAAATTAAATCATGCATAGAATATAATGGAAGTTGGAAGCTGAGATTTAAAGAAACTCAAAAAGCTCTGTCTTCAATTTTCTGTTTTTTTTTCTTTAAAATGACCATAGGGAATAATGTTTTAAAAGACTGCTGAGTGTGTCTTAGAATATTTCTGTAGTATTCAAATAAGAAGCCAAAAGAAATGAGCTATAATTATGCAGAAAAATAGATATTTATTAAATGTATGAGGCCGGGCACTGTGGCTTACACCTGTAATCCCAGCACTTTGGGAGGCCAAGGTGGGTGGATCACGAGGTCAGGAGATCGAGACCATCCTCGCTAACATGGTGAAACCCCATCTCTACTAAAAATACAAAAAATTAGCTGGGCGTGGTGGCGGGCGCCTGTAGTCCCAGCTACTTGGGAGGCTGAGGCAGGAGAACGGCGTGATCCCAGGAGGCGGAGCTTGCAGTGAGCCGAGATCCCGCCACTGCACTCCAGCCTGGGTGACAGAGCGAGACTCCATCTCAAAAAATAAATAAATAAGTAAATAAAATATATATATAAATATATGAAGAGACAGAAACTAAGAAAAATATCTCAACTCTCCTAATGATTATTTTCAAGTGTTATTATTTTAATATCTGCCTTAGAAAAACTCATTTGTGATCTGATTCTTCTACGTGGCTACAAATGCATGAAAGACCAAAGGACTGCACTAAAATACATGAGAAAATAGATACTTTTCTAAACTCAGAGTTTTCCAACTTATAAATTCCAGTTCTTTCCTCTTAGGTTTCTTAAGGAATTAGCTGAAGTCATCATAAGCCACTAATAATTATTTTCAAGACCTGGGGGATTGGCCAGTTGCCAATGGGCTAGTAGTTGTAAGTGCTTAGAACCACAAGGAAGGAAAATAACAATGTTAGAAATTATAGATTCAAAACATCAACTATATAACTCAGAAAATATTGATAAATACTTCAGACAAATAGGTTATTTTGCATGTCAGTTTTATAGTTTTGCCTTTTTATCATAAAAGTATGAGATAAGATTGATTAAAATGAAAAAACCAAGATAAATTAGTAAATTTATCTAAAGTAGGTAATATTGGTAATGCTTGAAACTAAGGTCTTCGGCCTTTTATGACCATTCTGAGGCAGTATCACACTAAGTACTTATCTGTTGATCCAGGTACCTTTTCTTCATGCATTACCAGATTTAGGAAATGAAAGCCTGATGAATCTTTTCTTTTTTTTCCCCACCCCCGCAACAACTGCATAGGCAGTGTGGCTACTTCCGGGTACCCAATTATTCTTGCTTCAAGGTATGCACTCAATCACATGCCCCTCTGTTTGTAATACAACAGATCATTAACATAAACTTAAAAATAAACTCCAGTCTAGACCTGCTGATTCTTTTAACAGCATAAAATATCAAACCCATATGTAAGCATTATTATAAACTGCTGTTCTGAAATGTCAGGAAACTATTGTCCCAGAGACAGTGAATCATTAGAGCCACATAATTAGTTAGTTTTAAAGCAAAAATGTGTAACAGGAAAGAGATATTTGGCATGTCACTTGCAATTTGCTGGTTCTCCTCTGTTCTTGAGAATTCTTACACCAAAAGGAACAAACCAACTATACCAGGCAAATGAAAATTCAGGATAAAATTGATCAATAAACTTACCTGTGCTTTTACAACACCAGCACAGACAATTAGTTTGGGACTCTCTGGATCAAAAATGAAATGCAAGGTAAAGCTGCATTTACTTTCTGTGTTTTTCTTTGTGGTTATCAAATTACAACCTTGCTTTCAATGGCATCCACAGAAATGTTTTCATTTCCTCTTGAACAAGTAATGGTTAAAGACCAGATACTGATTTCCAAGATTTCCCACATAGTTAAAACCTTCTTACATGTATGATGGCACACATGAAAACTTGAAAGGGTCAACCATCTTCTTATTTCTCAGGGACGACGCTAGGTCATAATGTGGCATGTTTACCCGTTTTCCTATCTATGTGGAGAAAATTTCACAAAGGCCATTTCCAGCCTTTAAAATACTAACAGTCATGTTGGTGGTGAGGAACATTTGATTTGGTCAGGCCTGTCTCTGCAAGGTAAGGTTGAAATCTGGCAAGTTTGAGCTGTGAAGAAGACAACCATTCTTTATAATTCTGAGAGAATATACATTTATTTCCTTTATAGGGTAAATAAACCCAAAATTAATTTAATCACATCTTTAATAAGTTATTTCAATTTTCATATTAATCAGATTTGTAATGCCACTAACAGTGATCTTATTGAAAGAGTAAGCATGCAACAAATGTAGAATTAATGTTCAAATTTGAATTAGCTTTTTTCTGTTTTTGAGACAGGGTCTCACTCTCTTGACCAGGCTGTAGTGCAGTGACTTGATCTCTGCTCACTGCACGCTAGACTTCCCTGGCTCAAGCGACCTTCCCACCTCAGCCTCCCGAGTAGCTGGGAATACAGGTGCTCACTACCATGCCCAGCTAAATTTTTGGTATTTTTTTGTAGAGACAGGGTTTTGCCATATTACCCAGGCTGGTCTCAAACTCTTGGAGGCAAGTGATCCTGCAGTTCCACCTCCCGAAGTGTTGGGATTACAGGCATGAGCCACTGTGCACAGCTTGAATTAGCTTTTAATGTTTGAACCTCTTTTGGGCATTTATTATGTGCTTTACAGTAAGCTAAGTACTTTATCTACATTATGTTGGTTACCCCTCATTAATAATCCTGAGTTAAGGAGAAAAGGATTGTCTATGTTACACATACATTCTCTACATTAGCATTCCCTAATATGTTCCCTAGATGATTAGTTTTAAAAAACATCCAATGAAAATGAGAGCCCTGTGGTCAAATCTGTTATCTCCTCTTAGACATTTAAAACAAGGCAAAGATGTTCCCTTTACTACTTAAGTTCAGCGTTGCCCTGGAGATTCTAGCCAGTGAAATTAAGCAAGAAAAAGATGTACAGTTACTCAAGATCAGAAAGGAAGAAGTATAATTTTATTTGCAAATGCCACGATTGCCAATATAGAAAATCCTACAGTGTCTTAAAAAAAATCTACCAGAACTCAGAAGTGAGTTTAGTCAGGTTGCAAGATAGAATATCAATTATACAAAAATCAACTGTATTTCTAAATACTAGCAACAAACAATTGGAAGTTAAAATGTAAAGGAAACCATTTATATAACTCAGAAACAAAAAGTCAAATATCGCATGTTCTCACTTATAAGTGGGGACTAAGCAATGGGTACACATGGACGTACAGAGGGAAATAATAAACATTGGAGACTTCAACAGATGGGAGGGTGGGGGGTAGAGAGGGATAAAAAATTACCTATCGAGTATAATGTACACTATTTGGGTGATGAGTATGCTAAAAGCCCAGACTTCATCACTACACAGTATATCCATGTAACAAATCTGCACTTGTAACTTCTAACTCTATTTTTTTTAAAAAAGATTAATGATAGGCTGTTTTTCTATCAGTGAATGGAAGTGTATGACAAAGAAACACCTTTGTAAGCTAACCCTTAGAATATGTTATTATAACATGTTTCTTTCTCCATTGGGTCCTATTAAGCCAACCAGAGAAATACAGCAATAAAAGGCAAATGTAAGCATGCTTTCTTTAAAAAAATTAAAAGAAACCATTTACAATAGCATAAAAAAAATGAGATACTTAGGATATGTATTTTGAAAGTAGAGGGAGGTTTATAGGCTGAAAACTACAAGACACGAGTTAGAGAAATTAAAGAAGACCTAAATAAGTGGAGACATATACCAAGTTGATGAATTGGAATGTCAGTATCAATAAGATGTAATTTCTCCCCAAATTCACCTTTGGAGTCAACAAAATCTTAATTAAAATCCCAGAAGACTTTTCTGCAGAAATTAACAAGTTTTATACAAACTTTAAAATTTGTATGAAAGTGCAAAGGACCTTGAGAAGCCAAAGCCATTTTTGGAAAAGAATAAAGTTGGAGAACTCACACTACCTGATTTCAAGATCATAATGCTGTAAAGCTATGGTAATCAGTGTGTGGCAGTGGCCTAAAGATAAACATATATATATATAAACCCTTTTACAAAAGTGCCAAGAAAATTGAATGGGAATATAGTTTTTTCAAATAATTACCATATAACCCAGGAATCCCACTCCTAGGTGTTTTCCAAAGGCAATAAAAACATTATGTTCACACAGAGCTCTGTTTAACGAGTATTATAGCAGCTTTATTCATAATAGTCATAAACTGAAAACAACCCAAAAGCCCACCAACTGCTGAAAGGATAGACAAGTTGTAGTACATTCATGCAACTTAATACCACTTAGCAATAAAAAGGAATTAATTACTGATACATGCAACATCAAGATGAATCTAGAAACATTATGTTAAGTAGGAGAAATCAAATACAAAAGCTACAAACCAAATGATTGTATGACAGTCTGGAAAAGGCCAAATTATAGGGCCAGAAATCAGATCAGTATTTGCCATGGGCTGGGGATGAGGATAGGTTAATGACTACAAAGAAGATGGAGATAACTTTTTGGAATTATGAAAATGTTCTGTCTCTTGACTGTGGGAGTCGTTATACAACTGTATACGTTTGTCAAAACTCAAAACAATTATACATTTTAAATGGGCAAATTTTACTCCACGTAGATTGTATCTCAAAAAACGTAATGAGAAAAAAAGGCTCAGAAATGCTTCATTAAGAAACTAGTCTAAATGTTTTTTTAACTCATAGTTTTCTAAGATTATTTGTTATTTAAAATTTATTTGCTACTTCTTTGACCATCCTGTAGAAGTCTCTATCATGCTCAACTATATTAATTCTGGAATGTTAATCCAAAAGATATTTACTGCTACAGTACACACAAAAAGGCAATATAATAAATTAATAATTATAAAAAGAAAGAAAGTTTCTTAAATTAATTTTAGGATTATAGATAAGAAAGTTTCTTAAAGTAATTTTTAGGATTATGGATATAATAGAGGCATAATATTCCACATGTTTGAGTACTACCTGTAGAGAACAAGTATAGAATAGTTGCCAAGAGAAAAGTATTCACATTTAAGGAAAGTCTACTATTTATTAGATACCGCAAGAGCTGTTGAGAACACAGAGCTAAAAGACACATTTCTTGCCTTCAGGTTGCTCAGCAATAAATGTGAGAGAGAGGCAAGTCACCTGATATTGAAAATTAAGTATAATGAATGAGTACTACAGGTGTTTACATAGTTACATGGAAGCACTCAAGAGGTACCTACAGTTCTAACTCAGAGGAGCAGGCAAGGAATGGCTCAAAGAAAGGTTCCTTGAGGTAGTGCCTGAACGAGGTCTGTTGGCACAGGTTGACTTTAGGTGGCTACAGAAAGCGGGGGAAGGCAGATAGGAACACTGCAGCAGAAGAAAAAACATGTACAACACAGGTGATATGACCCTTGAGAGAAAACTCAAGTGGTTCTCCATTGTTGGAATACCATGATTTTTGTGGAGATTTTAATGAGGGCATGACTTAAATTTGGATTTAAAAAGGCAATTCTAATTGCAATGTAGAGATGTTTGGAAAGGTAAGACTAAAACACAGAAGCCAGGTAGGAGGCCTGTTATGGTGTTTGAGATGGAAAGGTACTATGGGTGGGTATTAACGAACATGGAAAACATGAGACATATGAGAGAAATATTTAGAAGCCAGATTTGATACTAGTTGAACACTGAGTGAATATTTAGAATGAGGTAAAACAAGGGGTTCTTTCTGGGTCCCGTGAAGAAAACACGGAAGTGCAATTCCAGATAAGGATCCTTCTCAAATTACTAGCACTATCCATAAAACAATATTTATACATTTCTATTCCTTACAATCTTTATTCCTTATAATTTTTATTCCTCACAATTTTTATTCCCTGCAATTCTCTTACAATGTTCAACAGGCAGGAGATTCTTAAAAACTGTTTGTTGGATGAATGAACAAATGAACAAACTAGAATAGTGGAGAACTAAATGTTAATAATTTCAGATTCTAGGAATAGGCAGACGAGAGAATTTTTAAATAGAACTTCAAGAAACTACAATTGTTTCTAAGGCTCTGAAAGTTCAATTTCTTTCAAAGCCTTAAGAGTCAAATCATATGAAACACTTTATAAGACTAAAGACTTAGTACTTTTTTTGTTTTTGTTTTTGCTTTTTGGTTTTTTTTTGTTTGTTTTTGAGACAGTGTCTTGCTCTGTTGCTCAGGCTGGAGTGCAGCAGTGCAATCATAACTCACTGCAGCCTCCAACTCCTGGGCTCAAGTGATCATCCTGCTTCAGCCTCCAGAGAAGATGTGACTATAGGCATTCACTATCATGCCTGGCTAATTTTTTTGATTTTTTTTTTGGAGAGACTGGGGTATTGCTTTGTTGCACAGGCTAGTCTTGAACTCCTAGGCTCAAGCGATCCTCCTACCTTGGCCTCCCACACCCTCAGTAGGTTTTGAAACTAAAGTATGATATAAAGCTGAAGATAGTAATAATAAAAAAGAAGTGGCTGGGTGCGGTGGCTCACGCCTGTAATCCCAACACTTTGGGAGGCCAAGGTAGGGATCATCTGAGGTCAGCAGTTTGATAACAGCCTGGCCAACATGGTGAAACCCGTCTCTACTAAAAATACAAAAACTAGCCGGGTGTGGTCGTGGGTGCCTATAATCCCAGCTACTCGGGAAGCTGAGGCAGGAGAATTGCTTGAACCCGGGAGACATAGGTTGCAGTGAGCCAAGATCGCGCCATTGCACTCCAGCCTGGGTGACAAGAGCGAAACTCCATCTCAAAAAGAAAAAGCAGCTCTTTAAGTACTATCAAAGTTACTTACATGTACCATTTCTTTAAATCTTTTCAAAACATTTTTATTTGCATTTCTCTTAAAAGAACTGTTAGAATTTCCCATTCCTATTTTAATAGATCTTATCCTGAAAAAAGCATTTGCATAATTTGTATACATTTAATAAAACTAACTCATGGTAAATTCTCTACCTACTGTTTAAATTATTTTAAATATTTTCTGTTCTTCCCCAGATGCCCATTCCTATTCTTACCCCTCTCATTTTCAGTCAAAGACCTCACTTCTCACTTTACTAACAAAATAAAGTCATCTAGCCTGAACTCCCTCATTTGCCTTCTCTATGCCTCCCAAACGACTGGAAGGAGATTTTCCTCAACAGGAGTTTATTTCAATAGTTCCAGTGAAAGTGATTGATTTTGGGGTATATCAGACAAAAAACTAAACATATACCTTCCTGATATTGTAGTACACAAATTGAATGTGGAACATAAAAGATGAGGTGGACATGCAACCTGACTTTGAGTGATTCAATTACAGTGAGGAAACTGAAGTCCAAAGAAGTTAAATAAACAGTCAGTGTAACCAAGGGCTTTTCTTCACTTTAAAAGTTACCTCCAGGTTCGTCGATTGTAAGAAATGTACCACTTAGGTGAGGGATGTTGATGAGGGAGGCTATGCATATTTGGGGGTAGGGGATATATAGGAAATCTCTATACCTTCCTCTCAATTTTGCTTTGAACCTAAAACTGCTCTAAAAAGATAAAGTCTTTTAAAAAAAAGTCCCTCCAAGCTCTAAAATATATTGTCCTATGATTAAACAGAAAGTCTATGAATAGGTTATGGGTAAGAGAAAGACAAAGGCTAAATAAATTGGCCACGATTTATCAAATTAAAAGTAGACTAGGGTTATTTAAAATCTAGCTATGAATAGGTTAAAAATAAAGAAGACCAGGTGAGGTGGCTCACGCCTGTAATCCCAGCACTTTGGGAGGCCGAGGCAGGTGGAACACGAGGTCAGGAGATCGAGACCATCCTGGCTAACACTGTGAAACCCAGTCTCTACTAAAATACAAAAAATTAGCCGGGTGTGGTGGTGGGCGCCTGTAGTCCCAGTTACTCGGGAGACTGAGGCAGGCAGGAGAATGGCGTGAACCTAGGAGGCAGAGCTTGCAGTGAGTTGAGATCCGGCCACTGCACTCCAGCCTGGGCGACTGAGCGAGACTCCGTCTCAAAAAAAAAAAAAAAAAATAATAATAATAATAAAGAAATATATTAGTGTGTATGTTGACTTATTCGGAAAATATTTACTGAGGGCCTTTTGTGTGCCAGGAAGTGTTCTGGGCTGTGGGGATACAATAGTGAACAAAACAAATAATAATCCTCCTTTTTGGGTTTATATTCTAGTGAGGGGCGATGAAAACATACAACTAAATAAACTGTGCATTATATCAAAGAGTGAGAAGTGTCATGGAATAACAAAGCAGAAAGGGGCATAGTAATTGGCCAGGAGTAGGGTGGAGGCTACGAAGCTGAGCTGGGAGGATTGCTTGAGGTCAGGAGTTCGAGACTACAGCCAGTCGTGGTGGCGGGCGCCTGTAGTCCCAGCTACTCAGGAGGCTGAGGCAGGAGAATGGGGTGATCCTGGGAGGCAGAGATTGCAGTGAGCCAAGACTATGCCACTGCACTCCAGCCTGGGCGACAGAGCGAGACTCCATCTCAAAAAGAATAGTAAGTTATTAGCAGTTTGCTGTAAAGCCTTATATTTAGGCCTGAGATAGAAGCTGTTGGAGGATTTTTGAGTAAAGAAATAATCTAATCTAACTTATCTTTTAAAGGGCCCATTCTGGCTTTTATATTGACTATAAGAGGACAAGGTGAAGCAGGAATCAGTAAAAAGGCAGTTGCAATAATCTAGGTGAGAGACAGAATGTCATGCACATCTGTGTAAAGAGACCATGAGCAGGCTTTGTGTGAGCAACAAGGCTTTTTATTTCACCTGGGTGCAGGGGGGCTGAACCCGAAAAAGGAGTCAGCAAAGGGTGGTGAGATTATCATTAGTTCTTATAGGTTTGGGATAGGTGTACAAAGTACATTCTTAAGGGTGGGGGAGAATATTACAAAGTACCTTCTTAATTGGCTGGGGAGAATATTACAAAGTACCTTCTTAAGGTGGGGGAAGAATATTACAAAGTATCTTTTTAAGGGCAGGGGAGAATATATGTATCAGTTAAGGTGGGCAGGAACAAATCACAATGGTGGAATGTCATCAGTTAAGGCTATTTTCACTTATTTTGCAGATCTTCAGTTGCTTCAGGCCATCTGGATGTATATGTGCAGGTCACAGGGGATATGATGGCTTCACTTGGGCTCAGAGGCCTGACATAGATGTGGTAGGAAGTGGTTAATGCTGAGAGCAGCTCGGTTGGGGAGACCCTAACCCAGTGGCACTAGAGGAATGAAAGACACACACACAGAAATATAGAGTGTGGAGAGGGAAATCAGGGGTCTCACAGCCTTCAGAGCTGAGAGCCTCGAACAGAGATTTACCCACATATTTATTGATAGCAAGCCAGTGATAAACATCGTTTCTACAGATTATAGATTAACTAAAAGTATTCCTTGAGAGAAACAAAGGGATGGGCCATAATAAAGGGATGGGCTCTGGCTAGTTATCTGCAGCAGGAGCATGTCCTTAAGGCATGGATCGCTCATGCTATTGTTTGTGGTTTAAGAATGCCTTTAAGCGGTTTTCTGCCCTGGGTGGGCCAGGTATTCCTTGCCCTCATTCCGGTAAACCCACAACCTTCCAGTGTGGCTGTCATGGCCATCACGAATATGTCACAGTGCTGCAGAGATTTTGTTTATGGCCAGTTTTGGGGCCAGTTTGTGGCCAGATTTTGGGGGTCTATTCCCAACAGGTTAAATTCTGGACCTATTTTAAAGGCAGAGCCAATAGGATTTGTTGACAGATTGGATGTGGAGTACAAGAGAAAGACAAGAAGGTTTTTGGCCTGAACACCTGAAAGGATGGAGTTGCCAAGAATCTGGAAGTGGGGACTATGGGAGAAGCTGGCTTAGAGGAGGCTGGAAGAATGGAATATCAGGAGTTCAACTTTAATCATGTTAAGTATGAAATGTTTATTAGACACCCAATTGGGGGTGTTAAGTAGGAAGTTGGATACAAGAGTCTGAAGTCAGAGGAGAGGTCTATGCTAGAGACACAAACTTAGAAGTTACTAGCCAAAAGATGGCATATAAAGCTATGGAACTGGGCTAGGTGTAGTGACTCATACCTGTAATCCTAGCCCTTTGGGAGGCCAAGACAGGAAGAATGCTTGAATCCAAGAGTTCAAGACCAGCAGGGGCAACCTCGGGAGACCTTGTCTCTATTTAAAAAAAAAAAGAAAATAAGCTATGGAACGGGATGAGTTTATTGAGAGTAAATAGACAGAAGATGTTCAATGACTCACCTTTGGGGCATTCTAATATTGCCAGGCCAAAGGAACAAATAAAGGAGTTTGAGAAAAAGTGACCAGCAGGTCAGGAGGAAAACCAAGAGAACATCTTGGAAGCCGCTGTTTAAAATGCTGCTTGTAGATCAACTAAGATGAAGACTGGAAATGAACCAGTGGATTTAGAAAGATGAAGGTCATTTCTGTCCTTGATACAACATATCTGGGGGATAGAGGGCACAAAATTCTGATGCAAGTGACAACAACATGTTTTATGCTTATTAGCCAAGAGAAAAGGAAATGAAGCAGGAGAGAGAAGAACTGCTGGAATGATGGCCTGAGCTGATTAAAAGGCTTGAAGTCTAGTGAACAACTGCAGGGGTTGACCTTATGTAGGAGCACAAACAACTCACAAATGAGAATAAAGGCAGAATATATGTTTAGAGAAAACAGCTTATGTTCATTTATTACTACTATTTTTCTTATATTTATATTTTCTTTGACATACATTTATTATTTTAAAAGTAAATTACTTCTTTCTGTTTTATTACTGTACATATTTTATTTTTACATGTAATAAAAAAATGGCTTTGTGGCTTTCCTACTTTCAGTCCAAAAAACCTTTCTGAGCTCAAGCAATTCTAGTGTGCTGTAACACTATTTCAAATGGCAGAAATAACTTGAATTCACAGAAGACATTCCAAGACTCTTTACTGTTTTTCCTTAACCATGAAAAAAGTAACCAATATACCTCATAAGGGTATTCCATAAACAGGGATATGCAGGAGTATGTGAAGGATAATACTCTTTTTAGTCTGTATTATTTATCCCATGTAATAATATACCCCAGGGTAATATAATACTCTAGAGTAAATAATATACAGGGAGATAATATTTGGCATTTGTTATATTTAGGCTAAATAAAATACACTGGTCTTCTTTCCTATGATTCATAATTTGGAGCAAGTAAAGTGATATCAGTAAATTATGCATACTTTTCAAATATTTTCAGTGATTCATCAGTATCTAAATATCATTATTATTAGATGAGGTCTCACTCTGTTGCCCCGGCTGGAGTGCAGGGGCATGATCATAGCTCACTGAAGCCTTGAACTCGGCTCAAGTGATCCTCCTGCCTCAGCCTCCCAAGTACATGGGACTACAGGTACATGCCACCATGCCTGGCTAATTTCTTAAGCAAAAATTTGTAAAGACAGGGGTCTCGCTTTGGTGCCCAGGCTGGTCTGGAACTCCTGGCTTTAAGTGATCCTCCTGCCTCAGCATCCCAAAGTGCTAGGAACAGGTGTCAGCCACCACACCTGGCCCTAAATATTATTAATAACCTAAATAACCTAAAATACCAGAACTAGCATCGGGTCTCACAAATTCAAGTTATATGTTAAATATAAATGGGAAACATTATTTTTCAAAAACAGTTTATATAATTCTATTTATAATGTACTCTGTGTGTGTGTGTGTATAAATACACGTATATATACGTGTATATATAGTCAGTTACTATTCAGCTACTTTGCATAGTAGCTGAATTTAAGCTTTTAGTCTGGTAAATTTACTAAAACAAAAAACAAAGCAAATCCCACATGTGCTATTGATGGTACTACTGAATGTATGACTAGATATCAGTTTTATTGATGAGATAAAAAACATCACCACCTTATCTTTTATTAAAATTTAAACAAACACAATTAAAAACAAAGTAAAATAAAACATTAAATTAGGCTGGGTGCTGTGGCTCATGCCTAAAATTACCCAGTACTCTGGGAGCCCAAAGCAGGAGGATCACTTGAGCTCAGGAGTTCGAGACCAGCCTGGGCAATACAGTGAGTCCCTGTCTCTACAAAAAAATTTTAAAAAAATTAGTCAGGTGTGGTGACACATGCCTGTAGTTCCAGCTACTTGGGGGCCTGAGGCTGGAGGATTGCTTGGGCCCAGGATGCTGAGGCTGCAGTGAGCCATGATCATGCCACTGATTCAGCCTGGAGGACAGAGTGAGACCTTTTCTTAAAAAAAAACAAAACACATTAAATTAATAAAATTACCAATCTTTTTCTATTTCTAGAAAATAATCCATGGATATCAGTAAAATTAATTAAAAAATGCATTTTATCTTGGGACAGCATGTGCCACTGACTTAAGTGTATTTTTCTTTCCCCCTCTGTGTGTGTGTGTGTGTTTTTTTTTTCCTGGTCTTAAATAGTGTTATTAGTTTGTTCAGGCAGTTGTAACAAAATACCACACACTGGATGGCTTAAACAGAAGAAATTTCCTCCCAATTCTGAATACTAGAAGTCCAAGATCAAGGTGTCTGCAGGGTTGTTTATTCTGAGGCCTCTCTCCCTGGCTTGTTAGATGGCCCTCTTCTGTATTTTCTTTTCTTTTCTTTTTTTTTTTTTGAGACAGAGTCTTGCTCTGTCACCCAGGCTGGAGTGCAGTGGTATGATCTCGGTTCACTGCAAGCTCCGCCTTCTGGGTTCACGCCATTCTCCTGCCTCAGCCTCCCGAGCAGCTGGGACTACAGGCGCCTGCCACCACGCCTGGCTAATTTTTTTGTATTTTTAGTAGAGACGGGGTTTCACCGTGTTTGGCAGGATGGTCTCGAACTCCTGACCTTGTGATCCGCCTGTCTTGGCCTCCCCCTCTTCTGTATTTTCATATGGTGTTACCTCTGTCTGTGCTGTCTGTATTCTAAGCTGCTCTTCTGGTAAGGACACCAATCATACTGGATTAGGGCCAACATGAACCAACTCATTTGAACTTAACCATCTCTTTAAAGGCCCTATGTCTAAATATAGACATATTGTGAGGTACTGAGGGTTAGGACTTTAACATATGAGTTTGGGGGGGACACAGTTCAGCCCATAAATAGGACAGTATAGTTAGTAATAGGGAAAATGCATGACTTGGAAAAGGCCTTAATTACTTTTCTTTACGTAGTCATAGTATTTTAATTAAATAGTAGCTCCATCAAATTAATCCCTTGAAATTCATTTTATTACAATAATTAGAATGTTCATTCTTTATCATTTTAAACAGAATCATCACTCTGTGTTCTTTGAAAAACCAAAAATGGTGGGATAGATTACACATTGCTTTATAATTTACAAGGAGCTTTCCTATTTTTATTCTTTTTTGAGTCTAGCAACCCTGTGAAATTGGTACTAATAAAAATTTAGAAAAATATGGCTAGGTCTAAAACTTTTGTCTTCCTATTCTTCACTCGAATGGCCACTTAAAAGGTCTCCCTGTGTTGTCCAGGCTGGTCTTGAACTCCTGAGCTCAAGTGATCCCTCTGCTTTGGCTTCCCAAAGTGCTGGGATTACAGGCATGAGCCACCAAACCCAGCCTAATTTAATGTTTTATTTTACTTTATCTCTAATTGTGATTGCTTTAGTTTAAATTTTCAGTTTAAATTATGCTATACATAAAAAAGAGAACAGCAGATGGAAATTTATGTGCATCAGAATTTGGGAGACTCAAAAAATCAGCATAAATTGTAAGGGATTTTCAAGAAGACTGACTTAGGCCTAAGCTCATCATTGCACAATGCTTTTTCAAGTACTGTAAACATGGCTGCCTGCATCTATAAAAGGTGGCAGAAGCAGGGTGAAATTAAGGAAAAAGGATAGGCTTATTTTGTAAATAGGACTAAGCTACCTTTCTGACTACTTACATTAGCACATAGTTTATAATCAGACTTTCCTCAGACTCCAATAAAGTTATTTTAAAGCTTTACACAATGTATAAAACTTCAGATGACTCCCAGGAGGATAGTGACTATGGTAAACTAAAATTCTGTACTCACTTTTAATGCTGCAATTAAGGGTAGAGCCACATTTCATAGGATCAGTGGCAAACACATGATATTCCTTCTCCTCTTCTGGGGATGTCCCCAGAGATCCATCACTCAGCTTGATCAAATTAACTGAATCATTGTTCCACTCATTGAGCCAGTGTGTTCACTGCCTAAAAATTCATAACTGTGCCAGCTGTGGCTATCACTATTATGGTGTGTTTTTTCCTGCTGGCTAATCCCATGCTTTTCAGTGAGCAAAACTATAAGATATTGTAATTGAGTTTCTCTTCAATTTAGGAAAATTCTTCATGCTGATTTTTTCATGTTGAAATCACTAAAGTACTATACCTTGGGGATAAATTCATGACCTGGCAAGAATAAGGAACAGAAGCATCTTTAAGAAGGGAATCTAAATTTATACTTCATGAAGTAAGGAAGAAACGTCTGGTTAAACCTGCCTCTATTTCCTCATCCTCCTGAAGCCACCCCCCAAAAAAATTAATAAGTTTACCAATCTTTTTCTATTTCCAGAAAATAATCCATCAATATTGGTAAAATTAATTTTTAAGAAAAAATGCATTTTATCTTGGGACAGCATGTGCCACTGACTTAATTATATTCTTCTTCCTCTACCCCCTTTGTTTTTTTTGGTCTTATATAGTGTATTAGTTTGTTTGGGCAGATGTAACAAAACACCACACACCAGATGGCTTAGATGGAATAAATTCATTTTCTCCCAACTCTGAATACTAGAAACAAGGAATAAAAAAAATATATATAACAAAAATGAAGAAAAAGAAAGACGATGAGAAATTTCAACAAAATTCTGGAGATAGAAAGCTGATGGAGAGTAGTGCCCAGTAAAGGAAGCTATAACCCAGTGCCTATATAGAAAGTTATCTACAAGATATATCCTTCCTTTCCTTTTTCTTTTTAGTCTTATTTGCCCTCCAGACACCCAGAAAGGTTTAAGACATGGAGGCACAAGGTGTTGGGATGTTGGTAGTGAAGTTTGCTGAAAACAAGGAGAATGGTTGAAAGTGGCTAGGTGCCCAGATTTTGTTTCCTGTCTCACAACCCTAAGCTAACTGATTTCTTCCCTGTTTTCTTCTGACTTTTCACTCTGCAGGATACCAATGTCTTAACCTCTAGTTGAATTATTAGGTATGAGAAGCTCTGGAACAGGGGCACTGGTCAGAGTGAAGTATGAGCAGGGAAAAGGGACTGAAGCCAAAGGGATTAAGTCCAAGTTTTCCTAGTGATTATTGGAACACCAGCCCCATTCCTCTACATTGCTCCTGGAACACAAGCACTAAGAGAGAATGTGATGGTTAATACCGAGGTGTCAACTTGATTGGATTGAAGGACGCAAAGTATTGATCCTGGTTGTGCCTGTGAGGGTGTTGCCAAAGGAGATTAACATTTGAGTGAGTGGGCTGGGAAAGGCAGACCCACCCTTCTTAACCTGGGTGGGCACCATCTAATCAGCTGCCAGCGTGGCTAGAATATAAGCAGGCAGAAAAACGTGAAAAGACTAGACTGATCTAGTCTCCTAGTCTACATCTTTCTCCTGTGCTTGATGCTTCCTGTCCTCGAACATCGGACTCCAGGTTTTTCAGTTTTGGGACTCAAACTGGCTCTCCTTGTTCCTCAGCTTGCAGATAGCCTATTGTGGGACCTTATGATCCTGTGAGTTAATATGTAATAAGCTCTCCTTTATAAATATATCTATCCTATTAGTTCTGTCCCTCTAGAAAACCCTGACTAATACAGAGAAGAAGACAATTCTTCTCTGAGGAACCAAATGACCCCCAAAGAAAAGATCTATTCAAATTGATGCTTGGGAGATACTATTTTTTTAAGCAGCTTAATTACCAATCATTATACAGTTGAGGCACCGTGTTCGCAAACATATAGAGCTTCCATACAGCATTTCAGAGTCTTACACTTAAATATGAAATAGCTAAGTATCATAAGACATTTAAGGAAAGTCTTCAATATGAAATACAGACAACTACTGCAAGCATAAAACAACAACAGCATGCTATAAAAACAGAACAGAGAACAAGGAAAGCTTTTGGAAATAAAAAATAGGATAGCCAAAAAAGTAAGTAAATAAATCAATAGGAGATTTAGAAGAGAATGTGAAAAAATTTCCCAGATAGTAGAACAAAACGTAAAAGAGATGGAAAACAAGAGACAGAGAGTAAAGAACTCAGACAATCTAACAAAAAAACCAGCTTTCAAACAAGAAAATGAGGGAGTGAAATCATCAAAGGAATTACACAAGAAAATTTCCTAGAACTAAAATGTCTAGAAAATAGTATAGATTATACAGTGATGGGCTGGAAGAAATATATTAGATTCTAAAATGCAAGATACTTGAACTAGCATGTTAGCCCCATTAAAATATCATAAATATGCATTTCTTGAAAATTGTCATTTCCTTCTAAAGCTGAAAACAATTTTAAATTACAATTATGTTAAATGACACTCATATCTCAGCTTTCCCGCCTAAGGACATTAAGGGAAAAATTCCAAAAAGAAGAGTGGGAGGAAAAACCCTGTGTCTTAGCAGGGTTTATCAGCAGGGATTTTATTGGTTAAAGAGGTTTCATTTTAGGTTATATGTGGCAAAAGACATGAAACAGGAGTGTTTACAATTTCATTTCATTCCAAGTCTTCGTAGAAAAGATAGTTTAGAGTAGGTAAATGCTTATTTTATAAGGGTAGGAAACCATCTGGGCTTTCTGGATATCTGGCTGAAAATTCAAGACAACTGTCTTTAGATTTTACAAATATAAAGTAGGTGGATTAAAGTGTGGATAAAAATATAAAGAATAAAAACTACCTTTGCTTCTTCTGAAATATTATTTCAAATCTACACGAGACTTCTATTTAATAGTCACCAATAAAATATTACACGATTTGCTAGATCATCATGTACCACAGCTGAATGATGAATGGAAAAGAAAATAGAAATCATTCATGAAGTGATGACTTCATTGCAGTGATTATTTTTAAACACTTAAAATTTATTTTAAGTGGTTAAAACATTCATGTTTATTTTTAACCACTTAAAATTTATTTTACTCAGGTAATATGTGCTTTCAGATATTTTCACATTTAATCTTCTTACGAACCTTCTGAGATAGGTATTATTACCTTCTATCAAATGTGACAGTCAAGGACTTATGCAAGATCGCATTGTCAATAACTGATGAAGCCAGAAATCAAGCCAAAGTTTTAGGATTCTAAGAATATCAGTGTTTTAGTATGTTGGCTACAATTGAAAAAATAACTAATTCAACACAGTTTCTCTTTGGCAGTAACTGTGAGAAATGGCGTGTCCTTATTTTTGTTATGTATTCATTCACATCATTATTTGCATGCCTACAATTTCATCTGGGTGTCTATTCCTTAATGACAATTTCTTCAAAAACAACTGTCTCCTTATAGGCTTGTCCACTGGTAATTCAAAGATATATTTCAGAAGCTCAGCTACATGAGTCTTTCAGCAAAATACTTTTAAATTTTACTGATTAATACTGTAATTTTTCTTCCTCAAATTAATCATTTCTTTCTCTTTTCTCACTTAAAAAAAACTGCCTATTTAAGTTAGTTTCAAGTAACTAATCTTAAATGATCATAATTTGAAGCTTTACAGAACAACTCTCAACATCAGACCAGTGCACTCTGGTTGAACTTTTGTTTTTCAGTTAATTGTGCTTAGTGTGCAGCTCAGGTTGATAATCTTGTCTGTGTTGACACTCAAATATCTACTCATTGATATTATGCTGCCAGTTTTAACTATTTTCATAAGTGATAAACCAAATTTAGCTCCTGATAGTTCCAAAATATTTAACTACTATCATTAACACTTCTCAAAAAATGATGCCAACATCATTTTTGTTTTTCATTTCCTAGCATTTTTAGAATGAGAAAACTCATGCTCAAAATTAATGGTTTAAGATGTTACTTGTCTGTTTATTAACCAAATGACAATGTGCAAGACTTTATATTTTAAAAATATATAATCTGAGTCTTCATATTCTATGCTCATGTTGAAACAGGCTAGATTTAATAGCAATCATAAATACCATTTCTGACTATAAAATTATTCCTTAATAAATTAGGTATTGTCTTAATCAGGGCAACCAATACATTAAAATGGATTATTTTCACAAGTTTGATTGAACATGTTGTGTATTTCAAAAGTGCTATACTCTTCAGAGAAAAGGTATAATTCTTCTTGAAAGTCTGCAGTGCACAGAGCTCTATAATTCATGAGATTTGTAACTTTTCTTCCTGTATATGGATGTTGTTTGATTTACTATTTTACTGATAACTTTAGCTGGGAAACTTGCCAGCAAAATTATTTTGTAACAGAAAATAGTATGCTTTGCTTTCAACATGACTATTGTAAAAAAATTGACTGAAACTAGACTATTAAGGCCTCTTTCCTCTTTTATCCTAAGGAAAGGAAGTTACAATAGAAGGCAAAATAAAAATAAGGAGAAAGCATAGATTTGTGAAAGGATAAGTCAGATTCAGAAATTTCTCCTAGCCTAGAGCATTGCAACAGATACTGCATGCAGGCAGAATTTTTAAGGGAGTCTCCTGTATCATCAAGGGTCTAGATTACATCATCATTGATTTAATCTTTTCCATCCCCTAATTTTGATTGTTTTGCTTTCCTAAAGCTGTTGTAATTTATCCCATGGGTTCTCAAAATAAGTAAAATTTAAAATAGAAACACTGCTTCTGTGTTTTCTTTATTGTCTTTGCCATTTGTTAAAATCACACCTATTTGTAGAGGTAAGAGTATCTTCTGCTCCAGTTCCAATGAAAATGCTTTTTATATATTCACTATTTTGTCACTGAGATCAAGAAAAATTTTTGCGATTTGTAAAATGAAAAACAAATAACACATTTACTGTGCCTTAGTGTAAAACTTAACCAAATGGATTTTGCTGAATTTATGAGACAAGAGCTATATCCAAAATAAATTTGCCAGAAATGGTTTGCATCATGAGATACTTCAAGTATAATTTTATTTTTCTTCTTAGATCAGACTGTAGCAAGCCTTCCCCAAACATGTTTTAAAAATAAAAAAAATTACAGTAGTTTGTACTTTCTAATATGTTCACTTCTTCAGAGATTTACTAGGAAAGAGAGAAAAAAATTCTTGAAGAGGATAATGAGTCCCAGCTGAGAATCATGTGCCAAGATGCTCAGTGACTGTTTTTCTTTAAAAACATAATGAGGATAGGAAACAAGTTTTAGTTAGTTGGAAGTGTTTCTTTAAAAAGAAATTTAAAATCTAGAAGTTGCCACCTTGAAAATAGGTGAGCTGCCATTTCAAATTTCCCTAATTTATCTAGTGGAAGGGATTTAGGAAGTTGTCAGCCATTCTTAAAGCCATGTGGTGCCAATCTAGGTGGAAGTTGTCACTGGTCTTTGGTAAAAAAAGTTAAATTTCCTCTATTGCAGGGACTGTTGTTTCGTGAATCCTTACAACTCCTTTGGTGTTAAATTAGAAATTTTAAGATGAAATGATGTGAACTAAATTGTAGCTGTTACTTTTAATGTCTTTGCTTAGCAAAATAATAAACTGGCAACTTTTATTTTTTTCTCTCCACCCTTTTCCTTAAAATTTTACTGGTTCACAAAGCCCCCAAATAAGTGACCACTGATTTAATGGTTCTTCTTTGTCTTTATACAAATACTTATTGAAATACTCTGGCAAAGATCGTCAGCATGACATACGGGTGTCAAACAGAGCTCAGAGTTTAGTGACCGACACAAGTAATAATTATAATTGATGAGATGGGTGCTTTTGGGGTGAGGGAAGCTGAGCATATGAGAAGGGCACATAACCCCAATCTGAGGAAGTCAGGTAAGGATTTCTAGGAAAGAGAAAAAAAATGTGAATGGGGTATGTTGTCCTCATGACCAAAGTATCTCCTACATGGTATTTAGGTTCTTCGGAAGGCAAATCAAAGGGTTGCTTTATCATCATGTTATTAGAGCAAATGGCTTCGATGAGAATCTGCTGAACTGTGATGCAAGGATCATGCAGCAGCCCAAACAACAGTTCTTTAGTAAGCGGAGATTCATTTCTCTATTAACGGGGTAGTAGGATTTTTTGAATCAATAAGTGATTTTCTTTCTTTCTCTTCTGAAAGTGAAACTTTTTTCACACTTCTCCAGGACCCATATCACTGTTTTAGAGGGAGAGAGTGTCAGGGGGGAAAACTAGGAAGGGGCGAACTGTATCTCTCTGGTTTGGGTTTTCAAAACGCATCAAAGAGGGTATACGTAGGTGTCTCTGGATAAATCACAGGTAAGACAATACCTAGAGAATAAAACACTGAGGATGAGGGGAAACTTCCCCTGAGACTAAAATAGTGCTCTCTCAGGGACTGGGTAGTAAAGGCTGGAGTAGAGAGGAAGAAGAGAGACCCAAGGGGAGCTGAGGAAAGCAGAGTGCCTCCCAGTGAGACAAGCCTTAAGTTTAGTCAGACTCTCAGAGAGGTGACAGTATCCAAAAAAAAAAAAAAAAAAAAGAAGTCTGGAAAGTGAGACTAGGGAGGGAAACCCAAATTCCCATGTGATCCAAACCAAGTTAAGAGAGGCACAGGACCCAGAGACATTTACGGAGAGAAACAAGGGCTGTATTGTGACCTGGAGGGCCATGGGGACTTCTCAATGCCTTGAGACTATATAAGAATGAATGATATAATTGGTATGGCTGTACTGGTTGATAAATTACCAAAACTGATAAATATTAATTACCCCGAATCACTCGCCTCCCCCAAACTAAAAGATTAATGCCTGGAATAGCCGAGGAGCCTCCAGGACCCCGTGTAAGCACTAAAGCCAGTGTCTGCTTTCTTTCTGACTGGCCGGTATATTGCTCATCTATTGTCATATAACATTTTACTCCCCAAATTGGCAGCTTAAAGCAATATTAAGCACTTTTTTTTTATCTTACAAAGTTCCTGTGAGTCAGGAATTTGGGAGCAGCTTAGCTGGGTGGTTCTGGCTCAAGGTATATCAGTTGAGATGTCATCTAAGTCTGTAGTCTTGACTGGGGCTGGAGGACCAATCCTAAAATGTCTCATTCCCATGATTGGCAAATAAATGCTGACTGTTGTAGGAAGCCTCAGTCCTCGCCACATGGACCTCTCTGTGGGGCTGCTTGAGTGTCCTCATAACCCAGAATGAGTGATCCAAGAGAGGGCAAAGCAGAAGCCACATGTCTTTTATGACCTAGCCTCAGAAAGTTATACTCCATCATTTCTGAAAAATATTCTATTGATAACACAGGCCGTTCCTATTCAGTGTAGGAGAGATTACATAGGGGGTACTAACCAGAAGGTGCAAATTACTGGGAACCATCTTGAAGGCTTCTACGACAGTTGGCGACCTTGCCTACAGCTTGTTAAATATTTTGAATATCACTTTCACACATGAGTCAGAGTAGCCTGGAAAGAGGTGGAGGCAGCAGGATGAGGCAAACCTCAAGCTGAGATTAAATTTTTGTCTTCCCCAAAGAATGGTACCTCAAATAAAAATTGAGCTTTACAGACAACCAAAAGAATGTGAGAAAATATTTACAAAGCATACATCTGACAAAGGTCTAATATTCAGAATCTATAAGGAACTTAAACAGTTGAACAAGCAAAAAACAACCCCATTAAAAAGTGGGCAAAGGAGATGAACAGACACTCCTCAAAAGAAGACATACAAGCAGCCAACAAACATGAAAAAATGTTCATCATTACCAATCATTAGAGAAATGCAAATCAAAACCAAAGAGATACCATCTTTCACCAGTCAGAATGGCTTTTGTTAAAAAGTAAAAACAAAAAACAAAAAAACAGTTGTTGACAAGGCTGTGGAGAAAAGGGAACACTTATACACCATTACTGGGAATGTAAATTAATTCAGCCACTATGGAGAGCAGTTTGGAGATCCCACTACTGGGTATATACTCAAAGGAAAATAAACCATTTTACCAAAAACATACCTGCACCCCTATGTTCATTGCAACACCATTCGCAATAGCAAAGACATGGAATCAACACAGGTACCCAACAACGGTGGACTGGATAAAGAAAATGTGGTACATATATACCATGGAATAGTACACAGCCATAAAAATGGATAAAAGCATGTCCTTTGCAGTGACATGGATGAAGCTGGAAACCTCATCCTAAACAAACTAATGCAGAAACAGAAAACCAAATTCTGTACGTTCTCATTAGCAGAAACTAAACATTGGGTATATGTGGTAATAAAAATGGGAGCAGACACTGGGGAATACAAAAGGGTACAGGGAGGGAGGGAGGTAAGTGTTGAAACAAACAAACAAACAAACAAACAAACAAAAACTACCTATTGGGCCGGGTGCAGTGGTTCACATCTATAATCCCAGCACTTTGGGAAGCTGAGGCAGGCGGATTTCTTGAGTCCAGGAGTTTGAGACCAGCCTGGGCAACACAGTGAAAACCTGTCTCTACAAAAAATACAAAAAATTAGCTGGCATGGTGGCATCCACCTGTAGTAGCAGCTACTGGTGGGGTGGGGGGTATAAGGCAGGTAGGTCGCTTGAGCCCAACTCTGGGAGTTCGAGGCTGCAGTGAGTCTTGATCATGCCACTGCACTCTAGCCTGTGTGACAGAGTGAGAACCTGTCTTAAAAAAAAATTAAAAAACAAAACAAAACAAAAAAACCCCCAAAAACCTCAAACTACCTGTTGGGTACTATGCTTACTACGTCGTGGCTGGATTCATTTGTACTTCAAACCTATGTAACAAACCTGCACGTGCACCCCCGATTCTAAAACAGAAGTTGAAAACAAACTGTTTTATAAAAGTGCAAATTTTGTTCTTGCACACCTGAGTTTGTGTACTGAGATTCATAACTACTGTGTCCCATGTAACTGCTCCCTGAAAAGAACTGCCAAAGTTTTCTTCTGTTGCTTTAATTCTTTAAAAGAGACAATCAGCAGCCCTCTTCTGTTGCTAAAAATTTTAAAAAGAGACAGTCCTTCTCTTTGAAACTCAACTTTACTAGTCATGTGAAGTCTAGGAAGCACTCTGCCTCCCCCCATTAGGTACTGATTTCATTATATCATTCCTTCTGGCAGTCCAGAGTACAGACTACTATTAATTACCTTCCCAGAAGAGCATCTGTGCAGCACAGCAGATGCTAACTAAGGCTGCCTTGGCATCCAAGAGAACAGCAAGATGACATTGAGGGGCTGCATATTTACGCAGCATTCATATTTCACACCTGTAATCAATTATCTACTGTTGGAAAATACTGATAAAATTTAGTCTTGCTTAAGTTTATTAACAAGCAACCATCAATGATAGTATGGCAGCTAGCCACTGAATTATCTAGGGGCATTCTGATTGCAGTGTCTTTGGAATTTTCTAGTATTTCAGGGAGAGCTTGAGTTCTAGAATTTTAGAAATGCTGCCATTTTTCAGAGTTATACTGTTATTCTTGGAAAGACATTTCTAAAATTCTAAATTACTTGGATATATTTGGCATCTGGGTAAAAAAGGAGGAAGAAATATGAAGTTCTAGGTAATTTACCAATGGTAGTAGTAGTAGTCTCCACCCATAAGAAGAATGAATGATTTTTGATTTATATTTCATAAAAACAAGCCTCTGTGGATTATATGTATTCTACCAAGTCTTTTCTTCAACACAAGGCAACCATTGCTGGCCTATTTATTATATACTAGAAAAAGACATTCTGTGCAGTCAAAATGGGTAATTTCCATATGTCAAATCACCAGTGACTTCTGAAGAACACAGACCCCTACCTCTCATCAACAATTTTTTACCTAATAGTGTTGAGGTAGTGCACCCCTAGAACGGAAAGATAATAATAATGGCTACTGTGGCAGCCATGAAGTATACTGTTTGAATCTCCCTTCAAAAAAGAACTTGCTGAAGTAGTGCAGGAAGTTGACAGCCTCCAGCTATTAAAGCCTTCAGGATTAATCTCAGCTTTTGAGCGGAGGCCATGCCCTTCTGGGTATTCCCCAGCCAATAAATGAGCATGTCACTACACAAGGCCTGGCAATTTCTGCCCATTGTGGGTCTCTTCTAATGGGCAATCTTTGCTCAGAAACTTCTCATTGAGTTGGCTGATACTTTGTCAGGTCTAAATCATGGTCTATGGCTCTTCCTGCCCAATCTTTCTTCCTACCCACTTGTCTTACACAGGCATTATATATGTGCCATGGTGTAAAAGTTCTCTATAACCAATTTTGCTTCCTCTTTCTATTTCATATAGAGCGCTCCCAATAAATTTCTTGCATTTCTAACTCCATCTCAAAGTCTGCTTCCCAATGGACCAAAACGACACAGCTACTGTTTACTAAGAACCTACAATGCAACAGAATATATCACAAGGTATTTGGGAATATTATTTAACCTCTCCTAACTGTTCCCTCATCTGTAAAGTGGGGTTGTTTAAGAATTAAACAAAATAATCTAGAAAGAGCAGTTTGTACAGTTCCTGGTATACATTAAGTACTCAATAACTGATATGTAAATTGAAAATATTATTATGCCAGACTCCGAGAAATTTTGTGTTTGTTACTTGTAATCCTTTTTATAATTGGCAAGTATTATGCTTGTTTTACACAGGAAACTAGCATTCAGTGAAGTCAGTTTGCTCAAGTTACTTAATGTACATTGCTAGAATGTGTAACCTGAGATTAAAACCCATTAATCTCCATAGATGAGAGGAATGTACATGTATGTAGGCAAAGAATCCATTGCTGTCACCTAGAATGTAAAGGTGCTCCACACCCTCTCTGGCAGGGTATGTACAATGTAATTAACACAAACTATTTTGGAGATTCTTTCATAAATTTAAGTCTATTCTTCTAATTTCATCAAATATATGACCTTAGAATCCATCAACGGGTGCTTAGGACTAAGCACTTGTCTAAAACTTAGAAGAGGAATATAGAATGGCACTGCTACCCCATGATGAGTACCAGTCAGTTATTTTTGTAGAATGGCTCTCAAATTGGGTTTGTCTGATGTTTTCTAATAACTCGATTGAGGTTCTACTTAAAATAATCTTGCATATTGCTAGAAAAATTTTATCAACTGAAATCACCCCCCATCATACCTCTATCCCCACTGGACACATGTTCAAATTCATTATTTAAAGATCCAAAATAAATGTGTAATAGAAACATAATGAACAGAAGGAAATTAAAATATTCCATTGCTGAAATAATTTCTAGAGAGGTGGCAGCAATTTAAGTGGCGGCTTTTGAAGCATGTCTATATTGTTCCTTACTTCAAAGTTTTGAGATAAACAACTTTAATAAAATTTAAAAAAATTATGTTACATAAAATTTTGAAAAATAGAGATCATGCTATTTTCTCAGGAGTGAGATGGTGATGCATAGGTCTAATAGAATGGATTTGGGGGTGGGCAGTTTTGTTAGACATTCTGCTGGGAAACTAGTCTTTTTTCCAAATAAAACCATGGTGCTGACCAAATAGGCCCTCTTAGGTACAAAAGAGAGTGTGATTTATGATCTCAAAGAGAAAATGACCACATTATGCTCAATGTGGCTGTTGGCCTTTAAGCCAATTTTAGCCGAGTAGTCAGCATGACCACAGAAAAAGATGACCAGTAAAGAAAATGACATTCTGGTCTGGTGACCGGAGTAAGATAGCTGAGAACTACATGTCTGAACAAATGACTTAGCCACTTGTAACTAGAGTAATGCTACCAAACTACCAAAGAGAGGGACTATTCAAAAATAAAAATTACATCAATAATAGACTAACATGCATAACGTGACATTCAGTATATCTTTGCATGAGTTTCCCATAATTTATTTATTGTAAATAAACACCTTTTTGAACATTTTTTTCAAGTAAAGGATTCAGTTATAGTCCTACTGTAGAAAGTAGAGTCTAGATGGTCTTCAGGGACTATCAGGTCACATTAAGAGTATTTAGGGACTCCTGGATATTTGGTAACCAAAAGAGATGTTTATGAAAATACATTTTTGCACAAGGAGTTACATTTACACAGATGTATGTGTCTATCAGAACAGAATATGCACTTCGGGGAAATTAAATACATATCACTTGAAAAAGTAGACTCTTAAGTATGGTTATAAATCTCAAAAAGAAACAGCTCTAATTTATAGCCCATGTGGGGTAATTCTGGGTGTACTCTTTCTGGATGTACTTTCCTTTTCAGTGCTACAGCCACGGCACAGAGGGGTAATTATCAGTTTGCGAAATATACTGTGAAAGGACCAAAGCAATCTCACTGGAAATGTTTCCCAGAGACTCCCCTTTCCTTTCTAAAATAATATAACTGGGTATGAAATGATGGCTGGCACATTTAAAAACATATATATTACAAATGACAACAAACTTTAAAAAAAATAGACATGCCTAAATGCTACAGTTGTGCCAGCAAAGGGGGGACTGGGTACTGATTTTGGGGGAAGCATATTAATTATACAGTCTTTTAAAAATGTAATAAAAACAATGTTCAGTAGATTCGTAAAACAATTCCATATTAATCTGGTTTTTGGTAAATAAAATTCTAAGAAAAATTTCATTCTGAACAAGATGCGTCACAGTGAAGGTCTGGTGACATGGAATGAAGGTTATTTTCTGGTGGCACGGAATGAATAATATTTCCACTTAAATAAAAAGGGATTATGGTTATGATCCACTAATTAGAAACAATGACATAATTTAAAAGCTTTGGTAAATTTTATAGGAGAGTTGTAGTGAGACCAACTTACTCTGATGGGCAACTGTCATAGTAAATAGGAGTTACAAGCTGTGTTACATAACATGGGACACTAATTCACTATGACTAAGACCAGGACAAAGCAGACAGAAGATTCTAAGTAAATGGTTTGATGAAGATGCCGAATATTGCAAAATCAACTAGAATAGTATTATGTTCCATCCTGTGAAACAATGTACATTGTATAAATGCCATAAAGTTTATTAAATTTAAGAGGTTGCTTTAGTCCTTCACAATGTCTGAAGATATTAATTGAATTAAGTGAACCATAAAAAAAAGTACTCTAAAGTTCTCTGTGGACTAATTTGGCTTATATCCTGTGAAATAATGTACATTGTATAAATGCCATAAAATTTATTAAATTTAAGAGGTTGCTTTAGTCCTTCACAATGTCTGAAGATAATAATTGATTTAAGTAAACCATAAAAAAGATGTACTCTAAAGTGCTCTGTGGACTAATTTGGCTTATATCCTACCTCAAAGAAAATGTGGGCTTATTCGAAGTTTTTCCTGTATCAATCTAGTTCATTCCGATTTATTGTCATTCCAACTCTTCAAACATAATCTTCCAGGAAAAAAACCAAATCACAATTTAGCTTCACATAAAAAAAATTATAGACATTTTCATTGTGCTGTTGATATCATTAAGTGAGATAATGCTTCCCGTGGTGTCTGACACATCTTATTCATAATGTGGGTACTAGTATAATCTAATATTTGGCTGCCTGGACATTTCCTTGGTATTTGTCACCAATATTGGGCAATGTTCAATCAGAAAAACTGGACTAAATATTTTAAACACATGTGAATGAAAATTTTCCCAATGAGTGAGAGAGGGAGAGGCAAAACTTTGAAGACGTCTTGTAAAGGAGGAGTTACAGAAGGTAAAATTGATGTTTATGTTTTCAGTGTTACAGTTTTATTTATAGAAGGTTTTTTTATTTAGTTATAATTACATGTTATACAATGTTAAAGAATATAGAATTCTTGTCACTGACATACCAGTTTTTTCCTAAGTGTGCCTGAGGAAGGCAAGTTTTATTAGACATGCAAAATGTTATAATCTATAAGCAATCATTTTCCCCACTTCAGAGTACTGTTGGTGACAAAATTTCTCCTAAATATATTTTTCTCATTAATATTTTATCTTTCATCTACGATCTAAACAACGGATCTCCATATGAATCACCTATCTTTGTTACCTGCTAGTGGCAGAAACTTGGGCAAATCATTTCACTTTAGGGCCTCAGGTTAGGAAATACGATATCCATTGGTGTTTTTTAAACTATGAGTCATGACCTCATTTCTGTGTCATACCAGTAGTTTTAGAAAATAAAATGTAGCTGACAGAATTTGAATAGAAAATGTAGGGGACAAGACACATGACAAAGCTAGTTTTTAAATTTTGTCTCAGTTTTAAATACATGTACACATACTATGTGACAATGCAAAACATATTCCTTTAGTATGAGTTGCAGGAAAAAGAGGTTTGAAAAATATTATTCTCAAGATTCATCAGCCCATTCTAACTCGAAAATGAAATTACTCTATTTTCCAGCTTAGAAATTCTGAAAATGATGACTTTTAACTCAGTGTCATACGGCTTATTGCTTGACAGACAATAGTAGCTAGCTATGGGATATTTAGTTGAAGTGATTAGAAAATATGTATTCCCTCAATTAGCTGTAACCTTTAAAATCCATTGCAAGGCTTTAAAAATACCTCCTTGGGCTTTCCCAGAGGTTTTAGACCCCTCAAACCAACCAATGAAATGTTAAGTGTCAATAATTTCATGAAAATATTAAGTGTCTCTTGTATGCAACATATTGTAGTAAGGGCTGAGAGAGAAAAAAATGAATTGGTATGGTCCCTGAATTCACTGAATTTATAATTTTTAGGAAAGTATCGGCTATAAAAAGAAAACATCCTATGCTTAACTAGAGTTCATATGTGTACTATTAAGAAATGTTATTCTTAATAATCATTAATATAAGCTGTCATTTTTAATCTGACTCATTCATTCAATAAACATTTTTACTGTCTCCAGGTATTTTTCTAGGCTGGATGTTCCAAGGTTAAAATAACAAAGTTGGTACTCTGAAGCAGCTTAAAGTGGTGTAAAATACAGAAAGTAAGCAAGTAAACAAACAAAAAATCAAATAGTGATAAGTGTCATTATGATGGATAGGCATTACCTAAGGGCTACTTTTTATTGGATGGTCAAGAGAGGTCTATGAGTAGATACACTTAAAACTGAGATATGAATGACAAAAGGAAGATGGTTTCTAGGAAAAGGAAACAGCTGGGCAAATGCCAGATACAAGGCAGATAGGATCTTGGTCTGTTTGAGGAATAGGAAGTAGATGAGAATGGCTGGCGGCTAGTGAGGAGAAATAGAATAGTAGGAGATGAGGTAGGAGAGGTAGACAAATGTCACCTGGTTGAGTAAAGCCTTGTAAACCATGGTAAAGTGTTTGAAGTACATTTTTATTGCCATGGGGAGCCATTTGAGGCCTATTGCCAAGGGACTTCTGCAGTCTGATTTTTTTTTTAAGACCAGTAGGGTTGTTGTATAAAAAAACAGATTTTACACAGCAAGAATGAAACAAAGGTGGCTAGGAAACTATCACAATCATTCAGAAGAGACGTAGTTGTGGCTTAGATTAAGGTAATAGCAATAGATATGAAAAGTAGATGAACTTTGGGAAGTGCAATATAGAATTTGCTGATAGACTAGATATGGGAGGTGGTGCCAAAAAAAGGAATCAAAGGTACTTCCTGTAATTTTAACTTGTGCAATTAGGTAAATGGTTTCCTCACCTATGACAGGGAAAAACAAGGTGGGAATGCGGAAGGTGACAGCAGGAATCCGCAGTTCTGTGTGGGATATGTTAACTTTGAGATGCGTATCAGCTAGCTATCTGAGTACGTCAAGCAACCAGACTGGGTTTTGGGAAGGTTTATCAGTTTGGGACTGATCAGCATATAAACAGTATTTCTAGACATAGGATGGTACCTCCATGAGAGTGCCACGCAGGGGCTTTAGCTGCAGCATCTGTTTTTATCTTGATTAACAACACAAGGTAGCTATTTTCTTTTTACACACATATTATTAGATTTTTATATATGAGCCTTTTTGATGTTTAGAGAGAAATAAGCTGAAAGTCACCCAGCTACTGAAAGGTAGAGCCTGGATTCAGATCTGGGAGTTCTTGTTCTTCCTATTGCACCAGGTTGCTTTACTGGAGCATTAAAATATGTGAATTTCTGAGTATTTTTTAACTTTTTGAATGAAAGATTTTTAAAAAGTCTGTTTAGAAAGAATGCCAGCTCATTCAGAATTGAATCCAAGTATATACATTCACTAGTCTTCTCTGTTGTTAAGTGACTTCTCTGGGGTCTATGGTTTGATGGTTTTTTTCCTTTTTTTAAACAAACAAACAAAAAAACCTCTGCGGTTGACTGGAGCCGACAGGTGAGGAATGGAGAGATGTTGGTCAAATAGTACAAACTTTTGGTTGTAAGATGAATATGTTCTGGAGATCGAATGTACAGCATGGTGACTACAGTTATAATTCTGTATTGTATACTTTGAAGTTTGCTGAGAGATTTTTAAGTGTTCTCAACACACACACACACACACACACACAGGAAATATGTACGGTGATAGATGTGTTAATTAGCTTGCTTGTGGTAATCATTTCACAGTGTATATTTACATCTAATCATTACTTTGTATACCTTAAATATACACAATTTTTGTCCATTACACCTCAATAAAGCTGAGAAAAAAAACCCTCCACTCTTTTGACTTGTGGGATAGTATTATTTCTACTTCTCAAATCAACTGCCCCTTCTTTACTGACCAATAACTTTCGGCTGCATTGCAGTGATTTTTAGTTTTTTCTCAGCTTACATATTTCCTCTACAATCTCATGTCCCCATTGCTTCAAATACTAAATATACGCTTATCATCCTCAAATTTTTTACTTCCTGTCCAGACATTTCTCCTTAAGTCTAGGAGATGACGTCCAAAGTTTCCTAAAAGCAATTAGTCTGGTGGGAAAGGAGGCTCCCCCATCCACCCAGGAGTAATGAGGAGCGAAGTTCAGGAACTGTGAAGGTCTCATTCGTACATTCATTCCTTATAAGTACTTACATACTCGCGACAGTTTGAAACCTAGTGTGGCATGCAGACATGGATGAAGCAATGACAGGCACGACGAGCGTTAATGAAGGGTATAAGCTAGCGCGAGGGCATTCAAGGGAACTTCAGAGCGCAAAGGAAGAATCCCACTTAGTCTCTCAAAACTTTGGAGTTTATCCGTTTAGTCGATTAAAAAGTGAACGGAAAGCAAATCCCATTACGGAAGGAGGAAAGTTGGGGACAAATAAGGGATTCGTGCAGAAGGCTGCACTGCGGCCGGCCATGAAGAGAATAAGGGTACTTAAGGGAGTGTGAAGAGAATGAACAAGCCTAGGTAGAAAAAACTGAAAAGCCAGGATTGACGGACACTAAAAACCCAGCATTTGTTAAAAATCCACGTCAACACACACACACACCTCACCCCGAGCCAGCACCGTAGCCCCGCCAGCAGCCAGGGTATCCTGAGATTGCGGGAGCGCCACGCACCGCCCACCTAGCTCCGTCCACCGTCCAGCTCGCTCCGCCCAGCTCGCTCCGCCCCCTTCCCCGAAAGCCCCTCCGCAGAGCCGCGTGCACGTGCGTGGCGGATACCGCCCCCTCTGCTCTCTTGGCCAATGAGAAAAAGCTACGTAACTCTCCACCGCCCGGTGGCGGGTCACGTGACTGCGTCTCCCCGCCCTCTCACCCCGCTGCCTCTAGGTTCTGGGAAGATGGCGAAGGTCTCAGAGCTTTACGATGTCACTTGGGAAGGTAACTTCGGGTGGGGGCGGGTGCGGAAAGACTAAAAGCGCTGGGAAGCCGTTCGGGAGTACCCGCTGCTTTCGGGGAGCTGGGTTCTCTGGTGTCTTTTTGGTACCAGAGCCCTCACTGTACGGGCCAAGCTGAGGTGGAGGCTGAGGCTGACCCTTCCCTTGGCCCGGACGCGTACTCTGCAGCGTTTCCCACGGTGTCTGCTCCTCGGTTGACCTGCCCTCCTCCGCGCCAGTCCAGCGTCCCGGGGCCGCTTTTATTTATGAGGCGGGCGGGAGGGACTTGGGGCTGGGGTTGTCGCACGCTAACTGGTTGCTGGGCGGTGCGGAAGAGGCGGAATAGGTGGTTACTGAAGCTTCTTTGGAGCCAAGAAACACAGGGCCTGTAAGGCCCTTTACTAAGTGGTGTGTAAGGATTACAGCTCTGTGCAGAAAAGCTGTGTAAAAGATGCGTGAACAAATGTGATTCTCATATGCCACTCTACATTTAGTTTTCTTCTTAAACCCGGGTTTCCAGTTTCTTTTCCTTTTAGTCTAGTCTCTGTCCCACTCCTTCTCAAAACACATTTACACACACAACACAACTTCTTTCTTACTCCCTACTAGTAGTTTCTTTTCTGAAGGGAAAAATAACTAATTAACTCTGGGCTACGTAAGTGCTTACGTGTGATGGTCACTTTTCCCTATCCTTAGTTGATCTAGAGTGGGATATGTTCTTTAAATCTGGGAACAGCCAAACCTTGGATCAATTCTGTGTGCTTAAGAAACTTGAGTTTCATTAAGGCGTGGAATTTGTGTAATTGGAATTCATATTCCCAGCATTTAACATAATACAGGAGACTTCAGTAGCTAATTTGCTTAACGAATGCCTTCTTGGGATGTTTTAATAATGACCTGAAAACATGTGGACCGAAAGTTGTATTTTCTGTTTTATCGTGAATAAATATATCAGTTATTATAAAGTTGTAAATCCGTTACAAATAAAGCAAAATTTCTTTGTACTTGAACTGAATTAAATGATTTATTGACTTTATGGCCTCTAGCACGTTGTGAATCTCAGTATTTATACCTGAATTGAGGGATTCCATTATATTAAACAACAGTGTTGATTTCTTACTGCAAAATCTTGGCTCTGTCAACACACAGTCCCCACTTCCAAGGAAGTCACAATCTAATGGAGAAAACAAACCTGTAAACACACAGTTTTAAAAGGCTTGTGTCAGGGTATCTTCCGTAAGCTGAGTCGTAGATAAATGGATGTTATTTTTAATGCTTTTTAAAAAATGTTTTAAATATTACATAATTTTTAGAAAATGCTATTATGAAGGTATGTTCATTATAGGTTTCCTAGATGATAGTAGCATATATAAAATCCTGAGGGACGAGTAGCTGTATACTACCAACAGACAAGGTGATTTAACTGAGTAATTGGACCTTACCCTGTGGTCATTCTAAAGAGGATTGATGTAATTAATTTGGAATAATAAATAATAACTACTACACAAATTTGTAGGAACAAAGAAAACATTTTAAAGTGCTTTGTAAACTGTTAAGTACTATATAAAAGGATGTGTTACTATTAGCTAGTGCTAATATGATTATGTCCTTCCTCTGTATGATCTGGCGGTTGCCCATGTCTCCAGCTTTATCTTGAGCCCTTCTCCCTCTCACTTTGTGAGCTGCCTATGCTGGCCTTTGTTGAATACCCTAAATTGCCATGCTGCTTCTTAAAGCTGGCACATGCTAGTCCTTCCACTGGGAGTGTTCTTCCCTCCTTGCCTCACTCTTGCCCCCATTAAACTTTATCATTTATCAATTCCCCACAAAGCTCACCTACTACAAAAAAGCCTTACTTGACCACTCTACTACCCCCTTCCCTTTCCTCATCCCCCACCAAAATTGAAAAAAAAAACCCAAACAATAAAATGAAGCAACAAAACACACCTGCAATCCTTCGATTATGTATTCTATTCTAATACTATTGAAGCACTTACCCAATTGTGTTTTGTTTTAAAATTTTGTCTCTCCTAAGATGAAAGGGACCAGGCCTGTTTCTTCACTGTCACTTCCCTAGAGCCTGACACATGGGGGCGGAGCTCAGTAATTATTTGATGACTAAATGAATTGTTAATGAGATTAATAATAAACACTAACACATTGTCAGAAAAGATTATAAGCCATTTTTCTAGCGTTGAAATAATTTCTTTAGTATCTTAGATACAGGTTTTAGTATCATTCTTCTCTTAGCTTGAAAATGACCTTTTTAGAGAAGCCTTCTCTGACCACCCTTTCCAAAAGCTCCTCCTTTCTCCCAATCTCCTGACTTTATCATATGGTCTTTTAGTTTTATTTGTATAATTTCACTATCTGAAGTTATGTGGATTTTCATCTTTTTACCCTATTATACTCTAAGCATTATGAGTATATAGGAACTTTATCTTTTTCTTTCTTTCTTTATCCTCAGTGCCCAGATCAGGCCTGGCACATAGGCATTTAGGAAATATTAGTTGAGTGATGAAGAACTCCAATATTTACTCCAAGAAGTAAATATTAGTGGAATAATGAAGTATAGTTCCAGTCATACACTATACTGCCTCAAAGAAGGTAGGAATCATTGGGTATCTTAAGAATTTACATTGTAATGAAGTAAATCTTTAGAAATATCTGGTAGTAATTTACAGATTGAATTTGGGTTGAGAGATCAGTTTGGAAGCTATCCTAGCAATTTTAGCATGGGGTGATGAAAGCCTGGGCATGGATAATAGCAGTGGAAATAGAGTAGAAGATGTAAATCTTCGAAATACTTCGAAATACTTCAAAACAATCCACAGGACTTAGATATACAAAACTCCCACAGTGGGAGTCAGAAACAGCACTAAAAAATGGAATGTCAGGTAGTATTAACAGAAGGTGGAATTAACAGAAATGTGAACATTGGGAAGGGAGGCCATATTTTTAGGAAATGAAGATGACTTGATTTTCGGATGCTGTGATTTTGAGGTAATGAGCTATCAAAGGTGAAAACATGTTTTCTTCAAGATGGTTTTATTTTTACAAATAATTTTTTTAGATAAATGTATTTAAGGCATTTCTAAAAGTAGTATGTGGTTAATAGTGCTACAAATGTATTTATTACAGCAGCACTCAAGAGTGTGGCAGGGTCAGCTATGTAAGGTGTATAGCTTAAGGTGTTTATAGGTAAAATGTTGCTTGTTTTGTAAGTTATATTTTCATACACAGTGTTTCTTGTTTTGTGTTCAGCTATTATATTTTAATATGTGACTGTGTGTCAGACTGCCGTTCTTAGAAGTTATGCTTTAAAAAAAGTTCTCTTTCCTATGAGTGTTTTTTCACAATAAGAAACACCTTTTACAAATTAACTCATACTCAATTAAGTATACCTATACATGAATCTTTGAGTGTATGTATAAACTGAAACCAAAGTTGCATTTACAAAGGATTCTAATGAGTATTGCTTCCATTCTGTTCATTTTGTTTCATTCTCCCCCACTGCCCCCCCACCCCCAACAGATGCTGGAAGAAATCCACTGAACCGATTTTATACCCTATTAATGGATTGTAATACACAGTTTGAAAAATACGTCTTCTGGAGCTCTGTGTGCATTAAAATAAATTAACCCTTTCCTTTTTCAAATCAGGTTGCCTTTTCTTTTAGAATAGCTGTTCCCAACAGCCTGCAGCCAATCTGACTAGATACTTTTATGGGACCATGAATAATTTAAAATTTATTATCCTGTAATTATCAACCTTTTAAAAGAATATGCTGGTTTATGTAAATGAATCTGTAAGTGGTATTTCCGAATATATAAAAAAATGAAGTGGAAAAGATACAGGATTGGAGGAAGTAGTTTTGGACTAAAGAAATCATAATTAAGTAGCAGGCATATTTTTCCATCTTTCAGAGGCCACCTCACTGCAGTGACATCTCATGCAAGTTGTCATGGAAGGAATAAACAGAACAATCATAGCGACTCTCTTAACCTTTGACCTTTAGCTCATCTCACAGGATTGCACAGTAGTTAATAAAATGTACAAGCAAGCAGTGAGAAGCTTACTTACATAGTATGTAATAAAATGACCTTGGCTTTGAGGAGCGAGCTTTTTGCAGGAAGGTGAAAGGGTAAAATGAAAGTTTTAAGCCACCTTTGAGGAAAGAGTGAGGGAAGAGCCTTTATTTCTTGTGAGAGGCTGAAACAGTTACCAGATTTTTTTAAAAAATAAAAGTAACTAGAATTTTTGTAGGGCTTCACATTTTATAAAATGCTTTACACGAATTTTCTAGTGTTTGGTGTCCTAAACTCAAGGGCCAAGCAGATGAAAATACATGTAGTTGGGTGAAAGACAATAGTGGTGCCTGTGAAGAACTGGTAAGTGTATACCCTTATCTAAGGGTAATCAAAATCAACTTAAAAACAAAAATATCCAAACTATTGTACGAACCAAGCAACTTTATATATATTTTATGTAATCTTAACTGCTCATCCCTGAGCTAAAGGTAATATTATCTCTATTCATTGGTATTGGAAACTAAGTACAGATTCGGTAAGTTATGTAAGGTCATGTAAAAGATGGAGTTTAGATTCAAACCAAGTGTATCAAGTCCATGTTCTTTCCAGTATACTATACGTCCTCTATGACTGGTGATATGGTTTGGCTCTGTGTCCCCACCCAAATCTCATCTTGTAGCACCCATAATTCCCATGTGTTGAGGAGGAGACCCACTGTGAGATGATTGAATCATGGGGACAGGTCTTTCCCATGCTGTTCTCATTATAGTGAATGGGTCTCACAAGATCTCATGGTTTTAGAAACAGGAGTTTCTCTACACAAGCTCTCTTTCTTTGCCTGCTGCCATCCACGTAGGATATGACTTTTTCCTTCTTGTCTTCTGCCATCATTGTGAGGCCTCCCCAGCCACGTGGAACTGCAAGTCCAGTTAAACCTCTTTCTTTTGTAAATTGCCCAGTCTCGGGTACGTCTTTATCAGCAGTGGGAAAACGGACTAATACAACCAGTTTCTTTTCTTTGAACTGTTTACTCCTTTCCAGTTTATCTTCTGGGGCTTTTTGTTTTGGTTTCAAATTTATTTATTTTTAAAATTGACATATAAAATTTAAAATTCTAGTGGTTTCTTTTTTTTTGCACCAGAATGATTTTCCTGTCAGACAGCCATGATTGTGTTGCTTTTCTTTTGCTCAGCATTTTTAAGTTGTTCTTCTGTACCTTTAAAAACAAACTTTAAAGTTCTCTAGTATGAAATAAAAGTCTTCCAAGAAACTCACTCTTCTTACTTCTTATACACTCATTTCCTGATCCTAGTGTGTTTATTTAATTCCCAGCTACCAGTAGTTCTTTCTGTATAGGATAACTTACTTTGTTATATGCCTGTTGAACTCCTTTTTCAACCTTTAAGAGACAGGGGTCTTGCTCTGTTGCTCAGACTGGAGTGCAGTGGTGCAATCACAGGTCACTGCAGCATCAACCTCCAGGCTCAAGTGATCCTCTCACGTCAGTCTCCTGAGTAGCTGGGACCACAGGCGGGTGCCACCATGCTGCCTTTTTTTTTTTTTTTTGAGACAAAGTCTTGCTTTGTCACTCAAGCTGGAGTGCAGTGGCACGATCTCGGCTCACGCAATCTCTGCCTCCTGGGTTCAAGCGATTCTCCTGCCTCAGCCTCCTGAGTAGCTGGGATTACAGGTGTGTGCCACCATAGTTGGCTAATTTTTGTATATTTAGTAGAGACAAGGTTTCGCCACGTTGGCCAGGCTGGTCTTGAACTCCTGGATCAAGTGATTGTCCTACCTTGGGCTCCCAAAGTCCTGGCATTACTGATGTAAGCCACCGTGCCTGGCCCATTCATCACTTCTAAAGATAGTCATAATACCAGTTGTAATGCTGTTTCAGTCTTCTAAAGGATCTGTTGCCCTTGTTCAATTAATTTTCTACTTTATCAAATTTGAGATACCACAGACTTCTACATGATTGTGAGTTTATTTTCCTTACCTAAAAAGCTGATTTTGTCTTGTCAGGTTTTTGACATCTATCGGATGTGTATGTGTGTGTCTGGGTACATATACACTTAAATGTCATGTTATTTTTTTCAGAAATGAGAGATAAAATGAGAAAATGGAGAGAAGAAAACTCAAGAAATAGTGAGCAAATTGTGGAAGTTGGAGAAGAATTAATTAATGAATATGCTTCTAAGCTGGGAGATGATAGTAAGTTCTTTTATTACATTCAGGCTCAGTACATGCCTCATTCATGGGCCTTTTTTTTTTTTTAACTGTTCTTTCATTCATGATTTTTCTACTTGTCATATTAATTTTCTTTGTGACTTTTTGTCCCAAGAATTTTAATGATAGTTTATTTTGAGAAGGATTTATAATTGCTTGGTAGTAGTAAGCTATCAAATAGGCATTTTGTTTTAAAGCTCACAGGGCTGCCAAATGTCTGGCCAAAATGTATTGTGTATGGACTCTTTTAGAACAGTAAAACTATTAAATAATTGGAGATTTTAACCTTACATTAACATATTTTACACTGCTGAAACATGTAAGAATGCATTCTTAGTTTCAGAGATAATACAATAAATCAGTTTTCAGTTATAAGTAATGTTCTCTAGAAATATCAGAAACTAGAATTCATTAATTTCCATTTGGGTTTGTTTTAATATTAAATTCAGTTTTTTTCCCCCTTTATGTGTATCTAGTTTGGATCATATATGAACAGGTGATGATTGCAGCACTAGACTATGGTCGGGATGACTTGGCATTGGTAGGTATTTAAATGAAGTATATATTTAATTTGCTTCATCAATTGTATACCGTAGTTAAGACTTAATGTATGGCTTATATGGAATGCTTTCAATAGCTAGTTTTGAGTGCTACTCTGAACAGTAAGTGGAACTAACTAGATATTTTAGGACAAAGTATCTTATATCTTTTTATTAGTCCTGAGAAGTAGCTGTTTAGTATCCCAGTTTTACTGTAAAGATTTAGTTACTGAAATTTATCTGCTTAGTAAGTGACTTATCCTATTTTATAGAGTTTAAAATAAGAAAGTTTAAAACAATTTTGTATTTTGTGTTATTGAATGACTTTCACAGAATGTAATGTTCAATACTGTTACACAATATTATAAACATATCTGACATAAGAAAATCCCGACGTATAGAACATAACATAAAATACTAATAATGTTTGGCCAGGCAAGGTGGCTCACACCTGTAATCCCAGCACTTTGGGAGGCCGAGGCAGGCAGACCACCTGAGGTCAGGAGTTCGAGACCAGCCTGGCCAACGTGGTGAAACCCCGTCTCTAGTAAAGATACAAAAAATCAGCCAGGCGTGGTGGAGCGTGCCTCTAGTCCCAGCTACTCTGGGGGCTGAGGCAGGAGGATCGCTTGAACCTGGAAGGCAGAGATTGCAGTGAGCTGAGATTGTGCCACTGCACTCCAGCCTGGGCAACAGAGCGAGACTCTGTCTCAAAAAAAAAAAAGAAAAAAATCAAACAAACCTAATACTGCTTTTAAAATAACACTGTAATGGTAGCTATGTTTTTGGACTCATGCTAGGAACGAAGCTAAATGCTTTACATCATGATTTTATTGAGCCTTCATAATTATTTCTTGATTTGATTTGTGTTTGATGTTATTATTATATTTATTTTATAAATCAGAAAGCAGAGGCATCTGTTAATGTTGTTCCTATCATCTTGAATTCTTAAGTACCGCTTCATGCTGCCTCTGTATTTAAACTGAAAGAAAATATGCAAAAACAAAAAATTGAAATACCTGAAAAAAATTCACATCTGAATTAGTATTGTCCTTTTCAAGGTTGGGTTGGCTATACATGTAATTCTAGTGGAGCTGTTAGTGATGAAAACATTCCACAAAACCTTTGTTGGATTACCTTCAGAACCTATGAGACATAGTCTTTTGAATATTCATAGAGGTGACCGTTTTATGTCTTGAGAGAGGTTTTTATTTTTATTTTTTTTGAAATAGCCAAATATCACTTGATAAAGTAGGAAGTCAAATTAGATAACACTATTGATTAATAAAGCAGTATACACAATTAAACAGTAACTTTATAATGGTTAAGATTATTTATACAGTTAGCTTGCTTGACTGACCAAGTAATATGATTTTGCTTGATATCAAAGAAATAAATGAACATATCTTCACTTTTGATTAACTTGAATATTTTTCTTAGTGTGGCAAATTTCAGCCACAAACTTTGAAGCTGTATTTCCAATTCATATTAAAACTTATTTTATTACCAGTTAATAGTTTCATCAGTAGTTAATGGCATTGTTTTGGTCACACATGCATTAATATGCTTCAGTGGACTATTTGTATCATCTTTAACATTTCTAGGACTTCCAAAACTTTGAATCCTTCATATGTTGCTGAGAATGTAGATACTCAGTAAATATTTGATTATTTATTTAGTCAAGTTGATGAGTCAATTATGGATACTTGTTCAAAGAAATTGGTATTCCATCCGTTTAATGTCTGTATTTTCTGACCCCAAATCAGGATATGTTGATTGAAAGGATGATTGATTGGCTGGGTGCGGTGGCTCATGCCTGTAATCCCAGCAGTTTGGGAGGCCAAGGCAGGCGGATCACCTGAGGTCAGGAGTTCGCGACCAGGCTGGCCAACATGTTGAAACCCCGTCTCTACTAAAAATACAAAAATGAGCTGGGTGTGGTGACAGGCGCCTGTAGTCCGAGCTACTTGGGAGGCCGAGGCAGGAGAATCGCTTGAACCCAGGAGGTGGAGTTTGCAGTGAGCCAGGATCGTGCCACTGCATTCTAACCTGGGTAACAGAGCAAGACTCCATCTCAAAAAAAAATAAGAAAGGTTGGCTGATTAATATAAAATTTCAACAGGGCAAAATTAATCAGTGTTTATGTTATTTGCTAGGAACTTGAGATGACTACTAAAAAACTTAGTTCTTACCAGGAGAATGCTTATGCTGTAATTAGGAAGAAAACGCCAGGCGCTGTTGTCATTTAAGTAGGGGCCTGACACATTATAGAAGTAGTTTTTAAGGAGGAATAATATGATATTAGTACTTAAAGAGTTATTAGTGGTTCTCATAATCTGTTCATTTTCCTGGTTAAGAGCATGATCAGTTTCTGAGAACTGATTGTTGCCTTCACTGTAATGTCATAGTGCTTCTTTCAATCCATTATTTGTTACTGATTAATTTCACTTCATGTTATTAGATGACACTAATGAAATTATTCAAGAAGACACATTGAAGACTATATAGGCCATCCATTGTAGCCCATTTAGTATAAATAATGTAATTACTACTCAACCCTTATTTTTTCAGTTTTGTCTTCAAGAGCTGAGAAGACAGTTCCCTGGCAGTCACAGAGTCAAGCGATTAACAGGCATGAGATTTGAAGCCATGGAAAGGTAACCAAATCTTATCAGCTGGCAGGCATGGAGCCTGTTAATCATGGTGGTGTTAATTTTTTTTTTTTTAATTCAGACATTCTAGAGTGTGTGGAATACTGTCTCAATATGGCTTTAATTTACATTTTTTGATGACTAATGAGGTTGAAAACCTTGTCATGTTTGCTTAGATATTCAAATAACTTCTTTTTGAAGTATCTTCTTTAGTCTTTACCCATTTAAAAAATTGCGTTATTTTACCTTTTTTACTGCTGATTTGTAGGAGGTCTTTATATATTCTGGATAAAAGCTTTGTCAGATATATGTGCTGTGAATATTTCTCCCTATTCTCTTGCTTGAATATTTTATTTTCTAAATGGTGCCTTGTGAAGTTTTTAGTTCTGATGAAGTTCAGTTTATCATTTTTTTTTTAATGCTTAGTCATTCTTTTGTCCTGTCCAATAATTCTTTTCTAATGTTTCAACAATATTCGGTAGTGTTTTCTAGACAATAGGAACATTTAAATTATGATTATTTTTAGTTTGTAAGAGTGCTTTCAGACTATTTTTCTTTTTGCCGTCTTTTAAAATTTTATTTTCAGTACTTCTAGATAATTGATTGTGCTGTACAGTTTAACTGTGTCCTTATATTCTGCCTATTATGTCTGTTAATTATTAACAAAGGAGTATGGAAGTCTCCAACTTTAATAGTGGATTCATCTATTTCTCCTTGCAGTTCTATTAGTTTTTGCCTCATGTATTTTGATGTTCTGTTGTTAGTCACATAATAATAAGGATTGTTGTGTTTTTCTTGAGAATGAGCCCTTTATATTATGTAATGCCTGTCTTTATCCCTACTGATTTTTCTTGCTCTGAGGTCTGCTTTGTCTGAAACTAATAGAGCTCCTGAGCTTTCTTTTGATTAGTGTTACAGCATATCTTTCTCCATCCCTTTGTTTTTATTCTGTTGTATCTTTGTATTTAGAGGGTTTTGTGTAGACAGCATTTAGTTGGGTCATGTTTTTAAATCCACTTTGATAGTCTCTGTCTTTTCATTGGTATACTTAGACCATTTACATTTAAAGTGATGATTAATAAAGTTGTTTCATTATCTGCCATATTCATAACTATTTTCTATTGATTGCTCTTGTTATTTTTTCTTTTGTCATTTGTTTTCTGCCTTCTCTGATTTAATTGAGCATTTATAGAATTTCGTATTTTCTCTCTCTCAGTGTATCAGTTATACTTCTTTTTAAATTTTTTAAATAGCTGTCTGAGAGTTTGCAATATATATTTAGAACTATCCAAGTCAACTTTCAAGTAACACTATACTGATTCACAGTTAGGGCAAATACCTTACAACAGAGTATTTTTAATTCTTCTCTTTCGTCATTTGTAACACTGCTTTCATTCATTTTACTTATTCATAAATCATAATCACCAAATATATTGTTGCTGTTACTACTTTGAGCAAACTGTTATCTGATCGATTAAGAATAAGTAAAATTTTATTTTACCTTTATTTATTCATTTTCTAATGCTCTTTCTTTCTTTATATATTAGAACCTTCCAAAGGTTCTAACCAATATTATTTTCCTTTTCTCTGAAGAGCAGCTTTTAACATTTCTTGAAAGGCAGGTCTGCTGACAGCAAATTGCTTTAATTTTTGTTTGTCTGGAGTATATTTCTCTGTCACATTTAATGGGCAGTTTCTCAGGATACAGAATTCTAAGTTGGTTTTCTCTCAGAACACTTTAAATATTTCCCTCTACTCTTTTCTTGTTTGCATGGTTTCTGAAGAGAAGTCTGATATAATTCTTATCCTTGTACCTGTATAAGTAATGTGTTTTTTTCTTCTGGCATCTTTTAAGATTTTCTCTTTGTTTTTGATTTTCTGTAATTTGAATTTTATATGCGTTGGTGTAGATTTTTTGCTATTTATTCTGCTTGATGTTCTTAGAGCTTACTGGATCTGTAGTTTTGTGTCTATCATAAGTTTAGGAAAATTTTCAACGATTAAACATTTTCTATATTTCTTTCTTTTTTCCCTTCTAGTATTCCATTACATATATATGACATCTTTTGTAATCGTACACACTTCTTGGATATTGTGTTCTATTATTTTTCTCTTTTTATTTCAATTTTGAAAGTTTGTATTGATAATTCTTCAACCTCCTGACTCTTTTGAGTTATGCCCAATCTACTGATAAGCCCAAGCCCATCAAAGGCATTCATCATTTCTTTTGCATTGTTTTTGATTTCCAGTATTTTCTTTTGATTCTTTTTTAGAGTTTCCATCTCTGTTTACATTACCCATCTGTTTTTGCATCCTGTTTACTTTTTCCATTAGAGTTGTGAAAATACATGTCATTGTTTAAATTCCTAGTCTGTTTATGCCAGTACTTCTACCATATCTACATCTGGTCCTGATGCTTGTTCTGTCTTCAACTTGTGTGGCTAGTTTTTACTTTTGTACTTTGGACAAATTGAATCAGTATTTTTTTAAGGGAAATTTTCTATAAGTACTATATACATGATTTGCTTTACTTAACAAAATAAGAATGTAGTAAACGTTTACTGTTATATGAAGATGGAAGACTTCGGTAACGATTATAAATGCATTTAAAGCAATTATAAATGCATTTAAATTAAAATATTAAAGCCAGTTTAATTTTTTTCTGTATTTACTATTTATCACTATATTTTTAAGGTAATAATTGTAGATGTTTCTTTTTCTTTTTAAATAGATATGATGATGCTATACAGCTATATGATAGGATTTTACAAGAAGATCCAACTAACACTGTAAGTTGGCAGATTGTCTTGAAAAAAATCTAAAGTTTAATTTAAAAGATAAAATTAATCGAGGAAATAATAGATACATAAGGAACTAGGTCTTATATTTTTAATTTTTAATTAAAAAATATTTTTATTTTTAATTTTAAATAGTTCATGATGGGCCACAGTTTATTTTAAATAGATTTAAGACTCTCCAATAAAATTTGACTTCTCACCCTCACCAACAGGGTGAAACCCCATCTCTACTAAAAAGCAAAAATTAGCTGGGTGTGGTGGCATGTGCCTGTAATCCCACCTACTCAGGAGGCTGAGGCAGGAGAATCCCTTGAACCTGGGTGGCAGAGGTTGCAGTGAGCTGAGATTACGCCACTACACTCCAGCCTGGGCGACAGAGCAAGACTTCGTGTCAAAAAAAAAAAAAAAGAAAAAAAAAAAAACAACTTCTAGAAGATACCGTATTAGAGAAGGGGCTAGTTGAGATTTGGAAAGAGTAGACTATGTGTTTGCATAAAATATTTTGAAGTTTATGAAATACTGAATTGTTTAATTTGTGCAGTTACTTTTTAGTTGTCTTAATGAAAAAAAAGCCATTTCAATAATTAGTATATGGAATTAATGAAGGCATTTTATTTTGTTTTTGCTTTTTTCTGCCTTATACATGAATAAGAAGAAACATACCCCTTTAATTTAGTGTAATTTTGAACAAGTATATTAGTTTATTGGATAGAATATTTGTTCTGAAGATACCTATATAGTAGTATTTGTTTGAAAAATACCCTGGTGAATTCTGTTTTTGATGTTGAGAACATTATAGTTTATTGCCATAATAGATTCCCTCAGACTTAACCTTTTAACTAAAAAGTTACAGAGAGACTTTAGATAATACATCAGTCATTTTAATGTTTTATGTCATTATTTCCACGCACACATATGCCTGCTAAAAGAAAATAAGTATTTTTAAAAATTTTAAACAAAAACCAGGTTGAGTTTTTTTCTTTTATAGAAGGAGAAATTGTTGTATTAACACAATAAAGATACATGAAGTTTCTCTCTTATTTGGCAAGTATTTCTTTAAAAATATACATTAAAAAATCTTATATAATGTCTGACTGTAGATTTTAAGATGTAAAATGCTTAATAATTTAACAACAGTAACTTGATGTCTGTAGTTTCTAGAGCACATTTATCTCAGGCACTGATCATAAATCCCTTATCTCTGCTTATTTCCTTTGATATTCTGTAATGATACTTATGTATTATAGTAGTTGGTATGTTTCTTAAATGATAGTTGCTTACTTTTAGTCTTTTCCCACCCCAGGGAGATTTTCTGTGGAAATTCCCTAGGGTTTTTGTTTTTCTTTTTGAGTGGGTGTGTGGGGGTTTGTGTAGGGATGTGCGTGTGTGTGCGTGTGTGTGTGTGTGTGTGTGTGTGTGTGTGTGTGTGTGTGTCTATGTATTAGTCCATTTTCATGCTGTCTATGTATTAGTCCATTTTCATGCTACTGATAAAGACATACCTGAGACTGGGCAATTTATAAAAGAAAAAGGTTTATTGGACTTACAGTTTCTCATGGCTGGGGAGGCCTCACAATCATAACAAAAGGCAAGGAGGAACAAGTTAAATCTACTGTAGATGACAGCAGGCAAAGAGAGCTTGTGCAGGGAAACTCCCATTTTTAAAACCATCAGCTCTCACTATCAGAGACTCTTTCACTATCACAAGAACAGTGCAGGAGATACCCGCCCCCATAATTCAGTCACCTCCCACTGGGTTCCTCCCATGACATATGTGAATTGTGGAAGTTACAATTCAAGATGAGATTTGGGTGAGGACACAGTCAAACCATATCATTCTGCCCCTGGCCCCTCCCAAATCTCATGTCCTCACATTTCAAAACCAATCATGCCTTCCCAACAGTCTCCGAAAGTCTTAACTCATTTCAACATTAATTCAGAAGTCCACAGTCCAGCATCTCATCTGAGATAAGGCAAGTCCCTTCCACCTATGATCCTGTAAAATCAAAGGCAAGTTAGTTACTTCCTAGATACAGTGGGGGTACAGGCATTGGATAAATACAGCCATTCCAAATGGGGGAAATTGGCCCAAACAAAGAGGCTACAGGCCCCATGCAAGTCTGAAATCCAGCGGGGCAGTGGAATCTTAAAGCTGCAGAATGATCTCCTTTGACTCCATGTCTCACATCCAGGTAATGCTGATGCAGGAGGTGGATTCCTATGGTCTTGGGCAGCTCCGCCCCATGGCTTTGCAGGGTACATCCTCTGGATGCTTTCACAGGCTGGTGTTGAGTGTCTTTAGATTTTCCAGGTGCATGGTGCAAGCTGTCAGTGGTTCTACCATTCTGGGGTCTGGAGGACGGTGGCCCTTTTCTCACAGCTCCATTAGGCAGTGCCCTAGTAGGGACTCTTGTGTGGGGGCTCTGGCCCCACATTTCACTTCCATACTACCCTAGCAGAGGTTCTCCATGGTAGCCCCGCCCGTGCAACAAACTTCTGCCTGGACATGTAGCCATTTCCATATACCCTCTGAAATCTAGACAGGGGTTCCTAAACCTCAATTCTTGACTTCTTTGCACTCACAGGCTCAACACCACGTGGAAGCTGCCAAGACCTGAGGCTTGTACCCTCTGAAGCCACTGCTTGAGCTCTGTGTTGGTCCCTTTCGGCCACAGGGGGAGTGGCTGGGATGCAAGGCACCAAGTCCCTAGGTTGCACACTGCACGGGACCTTGGGCCTGGCTCATGAAACTACCTTTTCCTCCTAGGACTCCAGGCCTGTGATGGGAGGGGCTGCCATGAAGACCTCTGACATGCCCTGGAGACATTTTCCCTTTTGTCTGTGGAATTAACATTCAGCTCCTTGTTACTTATGCAAATTTCTGCAGCTGGCTTGAATTTCTTCTCAGAAAATGGGGTTTACTTTTCTATTGCATTGTCAGGCTGCAAATTTTCTGAACTTGCCCTGTTTCCCTTGTAAAACTGAATGCCTTTAACAGCACCCAAGCCACCTCTTGAATGCTTTGCTGCTTAGAAATTTCTTCTACCAGATACCCTAAATCATCTCTCTCAAGTTCAGAGTTCCACACATCTCTAGGGCAGGGGCAAAATGCCACCAGTCTCTTTGCTAAAACATAACGAGTCACTTTTGCTCCAGTTTCCAACAAGTTCCTCATCTCCATCTGAGACCACCTCGGCCTGAATTTCATTGTCCGTATCATTAGCATTTTGGGCAAAACCATTCAACAAGTCTGTAGGGAGTTACAAACTTTCCCACATTTTCCCATCTTCTTCTGACCCCTCCAAACTGTTTCAGTCTCTGCCAGTACCCAGTTCCAAAGTTGCTTCCACATTTTCAGGTATCTTCAGCAACACCCCACTCTACTGGTATCAATTTACTGTGTTAGTCGGTTTTCATGCTACTGATAAAGACATACCCGAGAAGACTGGGCAATTTACAAAAGAATAAGGTGTATTGGACTTACAGTTCCACATGGCTGGGGAGGCCTCACAGTCATGGTAGAAGGCAAGGAGGAGCAAGTCACATCTTACATGGATGACAGCATGCAAAGAGAGCTTGTGCAGGGAAACTCCCATTTTAAAACTATCAGATCTTGTGAGACTCATTCACTATCATGAGAACAGTGCAGGAAAGACACGCCCCATAATTCAGTCACCTCTCACTGGGTTCTTCCCATGATGCAAGGGAATTGTGGGATTTCCAATTCAAGATGAGATTTGGGTGGGGACACAGCCAAGCCATGTGAGAGAGAGAGAGAGAGAGTGTGTGTGTGTGTGTGTGTGTGTGTGTGTGTGATTGTTTTGTTCTAGATAGCTGAGAACTTTCATTATTTTGTGAAGATTCTCAGAATATAGAAAGTTCAAGGAAAAATTTTGACAGTTGCAAACCTATCTGTAATAAAAAATAAAAATAAGAAATAGCTTCTATAAGCTAATGTAGATACTGAGAATAAAACGTTAAAATTGGAAAGTTTTTGAATGATTTCCTAATCTAACAATTCTAATAGCTTACTGTCTTAGTTCAACAATTTCTTAGAAAAAGCACCCATTTTTTTCTGAAGATTTTCTCCTGTACTTATTTCTTATTCTTAATTTATAAGACTTCACTGTGGTTTCAAAGATACTCATTTTTCTCTTAGCCATAGATTGAAAAAACTGAAATCAGATTTCTGAAAACAACTTCTGAATTTTATATTTCTCATCCCAGGTTAAAAATCGATGGAATTTAAGTCAATTTTGGAATTAGGAGTACAATATTTTGATTCTGTCTCAGTTTACATTGGGAATTTTTAATAAGTTATTTCACTTCTTCAGACTATAAGATAATATGTGATTAATTATTGCTCTGTCTTTGTAGTATCTTTCATATTTTATGGCTTTTTGTGACTTTTAAAACTGGCTAAAAGAGAAATCCAAATGGTTCCCCTCATAGAATATGTGTGAAGTGGTACAGATTGAACATCCTTAACCTGAAAATTTGTAATCCAAAGTGCCTCAAAATTCAACACTTTTTGAAGAATGAAATAATGTCACAGGTGGAAAATTTCACCCCGATCACATGTGATGAGTCACAGTCAAAACACAATGAAAACTTTGTTTTCTGCACAAAATTACTTAAAATACTGTATAAAATTGTTACCTTCAGGATATGTGTATAAGGTGTATAGGAAATGTAAACCAATTTTGTGTTTAGAGTTGGATCCTTATTGCTGTGATATCTCAGGTATACAGAAATATTCCAAAATTTGAAAATATCTGAGATGTGAAGCACTTCTAGTTTCAAGCATTTTGTATAAGGGATACTCCCTGTAGTAACTAAATCCCTTAGCGGTTAGGTAAACATTCGAGAGCAAAGCGACTTAATTCAGCTTTGCTAAATGTATTATTCTTGTATCAAACATGATCTAATCTTTTTTCAGTCCCTTCTTTCCTTCTGTAAACATGTATTGAATACCTCTCATGAACCATCAAAGAGTTGCTCTTAGTAAGAGTAGAGATACTGTTTCTGTTCCTATATCCTTAGGAAGCACTGTGCTAGACATTGAAGGAGAAAACATAGCCATAAAAGACCTAGAACTAATAAAGTCTATAAGTAGACTTCACTAATATGCAACAGCTAAAGTTACTCCACAGAAGACATCGCCGTTTCTTTTTCCAAAGCAACTTAGTATCTCAAAGGCGGGAAAGTCTAGTTTTATTCTCATTTACTGTTGCTCCCTGCATTGTTGAAAAGTGATCACGTGACCTTTTATTTGTCTTATGCCTCTGTGTTTCTGGATATCCAGTATAGAAATGAAGTTGTTCATTGAAGCTTTAAGCAGCTGTACTTCCTATTCACATGCATTCATTATTCTTTCAGAGAACATTTGTTATGCTTGCAGTGTGCATGGTAGTGAGAACAAACACAAGGATGAATTAGCCTTTTCTGTGCTTCTAGTGAGGTAGCATGATGTGATGAACATGCTGTAGACTTTGAAACTGATTTATTAAATTCTCTTTCTTTGATGACTTGCTGCATGGGTTTTGAGTCTGGAAGGCCTTAAAGGATGAGTGTGACTTAAATGATACAAAGACATTGTATCCCAAGTGAATGCATGAATAAGCCTTTATTAAAGTACAAGCATTATTAAAGTACAAGGCCTGCTTAGGAAAGAAGGAATAAGGTAATTAGAATGGAAGTTTCAAAATTTTTTATTTGAAAGAATGGTGGAATGGCATACCTTCTTCCCATCTTTTTTAAAGTTCTGAAATACTCTATTGAGAAAGTCATACACATGTTAAAAATTGTGGACAATATAAAATGATATGGTAAAAAAAAAATAAGTCTGTTCCTCTATCCCTGAGCTCAGGTCCTCCTTCTCTTAGGGAAGCACTTTTTTTTTATTTTGAGATGGAGTCTTGCTCTGTCGCCAGGCTGTGGCTCACTGCAACCTCCGCCTCCCGGGTTCAAGTGATTCTCCTGCCTCAGCCTCCCGGGTAGCTGGGACTACAGGCACGTGCCACCATGCCCAGCTAATTTTTGTATTTTTAGTAGAGATGGGGTTTCACCATGTTGGCCAGGATGGTCTTGATCTCTTGACCTTGTGATCTGCCTGCCTCAGCCTCTCAAAGTGCTGGGATTATAGGCATGAGCCAATGCGCCCGGCCAGGCAAGCACTGTTAATGATTTTTCTGTGTGATCTTTCAGAGATATTTTTCATGCACAAATAGGCCTGCGCGTGTGTGTGTGTGTTTGTGTGCATGTGTGTGTGTTTTGTGTGCGTGTGTGTGTATTCCTCTGACAGGGAGAATGGTTAGAAATGCAAATGTGGTATACTCTATGTAACAATATAGTTTAAAGATCATGCCATGTCATCACATCCTTTACATTATCCTGTTGAGTAGGATTGCATTGCGTGGATATATAGTCCCTTGTCTTGATGAAAAAGTTTCTTTAAGTCCCCTTGGTGAACTTGGTGAACCTTTAGGATGATTCTGATATTTCCTCTCAGAAACAGTTTTTCAGTGGATGTCATTGGTGGGATGAATCTTTAGAGGTGAAATGTCTGGGTCAGGAGGTCCATGGATTTTAAATTTTGATTGATGTTACAAATTTCCTTCTGAAAAGGCTTTTTATTCATCTGTACCCACTTTCTGTGGCATATGAGAGTGCCACTTTCCCCATATCCTGCCACGTGGTATATTATCAGCTTTTTTCTTTTAATAGTTGCCAGTCTAATTAGTTAAAAATGTTATTTTGTTATAATTTGCATTATGAGTACTGCTGAACATCTTTTAATATTGTTTTTTTTTTTTGAGAAGGAGTCTCGCTCTGTCTCCCAGGCTGGAGTGCAGTGGTGCAATCTCGGCTCATTGCAAGCTCTGTGCCGGGATTACAGGAGTGAGAACATCTTTTAATATTCTTAAACAGCTATGGGATTACAGGAGTGAGAACATCTTTTAATATTCTTAAACAGCCATTTGTATTTTTCTTTCTGAGCTGTCTCCTTTTACGCTTTTTTCAAATTTCATTTCTCATCTGATAAAGAGAGGGCAAGGTTCTGGTGCTCTGCCTAGTTAACTTTCTCCTCCTCCTCTTATTTACTTCTGAGGAAGACAGTATTTTATACCTCTGAGTTGATTCCTTATACAGAGTAGCTAGAAGTACAAAAAGAAGGTCTACATTTGTGAACAGCTTGGTAATTTTTAATTTTTATTCTTAGAGAATGGAGTATGAAGTCAAATTTTGATTAGGTAAATATCATCAGTTAGTTTTAGAGATAATGTGTCATCGAAATAGGATATATTTTGAAGGAGATGAGAAAAGTAATTTGGAGGCTGTTCTTAGGCTAGAGATTATGGGAATCTAAAACTAAGACAGGTGGAATTGGAGGGGACTGGGCTACTGTCAGCCTTTATTTTTTATGTTACTCAAGTACCAGTTTTGGCACTTTTTTTTTCGGCTTGCGTTTTGAAAATGATTGACTTTTCATACTTTGAATCTTCCTTAAGGGGAAAAAATTATATCCATTGAGTGGGAGAGTGCCCAGCATTTGGTAGGCTTCCAGCGAATACTTGTTGAAGGAATGCCTTTCAGAAAGCAGAGTAATTATTGTCTTTTAGTTGATTTCATACTTCAGAAGATCAGATTTTGTCCTGAATTGTGAACTCTGCCTATTGTGATATATCAAATATTTGAAGTTTTATTTATGAATTAGATGTAATTTCCTCTGTGCCAAGGGTAAAGATGGTTTTTTTCGGTGAGGGGAGGGTGGGGGTCGATTTTTATTCAGGCTTCTCACAGTGGTTAGAGCCACTCTATCTTCAGAACAGTCACAACACAGGAAATGCACCACTGAGACTGCCTAGAAAAGTCTGACCAGCTAAATCTTATTGCTTAAAATACACATATTCACAAAAACTGGTAAATGGTAACATGCCTCACACAGGAATGTGTTTGGATTTGCAAATATCCTGACTGGCTGTAGCACCAAACCCTCCACTAACCCCTCATTCACCTGGAACACCAGTGTCACTCACATTTCCCTGGCCCCCTAACTATTCCTTCAATTCCTTATAAAATCTCTCTCTGAGAAGGGTAGCCTCCTGTAGCAGGGGCCAGACTGTGACGTGGGAATTAAGCCCAGCTCTGCAGGTTGCATTTTCATCTTTTTCATCTTCTCACGCCTTGAGGGTAAGATGCTGCAGTGAATCCCACAGTTAACACTCAGCCAGTTCCCCCACTGTAACTGGGGAAAGAAACTTGAGAGGGTCAGAATACATCCATTTGATTAGTAGTTAACTGAAAAAGGGTTCCTTTTGGTAAAACTTTTTCACCTTTGAGTCATTTCAATGAGTTATTTGAGATTCTTTAAAAAAGGTAAAGGAAAGGCATCGGAGGGGCTTTGACACACTCTGGCCAACTCTGGCCATACGCCAGCCTGCTTGTGCCCATTGGACTCAGTGGAGGGAGGCAGGCAGGCCCTGAGCTACCTCCAGTGCCAGCAAAGCCTCCTCCTGGCAATTCTGGGTGGGGATGATGTCTGGGCCACAGCTAGTCCAAGTCTGTCATTGAAGATCCATTCAAGCTCCTGTTTGAAATTCCACCTTCTTCTGTCCCAAGTGGTTGTGGATACCCCCAGGGGTTGGTACGGAGGACCAGGTGCAGCCACAGGGGGCAGATAGGCTCAGAACATGTTTCCATTTACAGGAAACAGAACACAGGCCTCTGTGTGACTGTGGAGCAATGTGCAGATTGCAGTGATGAGTAGAGTAAAACCTCCACTTTGAGCTCAGCATCTCTGGTGAACACAGGGAACTGCAGGCAACAATGCTGCTGAATACACCCGAGTGCACAGTCAGACGTGTTCCGTAAACGGTAAATGTGTAAGACCAATTATCTTGAGAGGGTATCTTGCTCCAGAAGATGCTTTTAAAATGCCGCATTTTCCAGGCTTCTAGGTATAAACCTTGGGGGCAGGGAACCTGGATTCTCCTTTCCTTTTGCTGGTCAACTGTCCAGTTCCTTCTGGGTCCCTGAGTCTGGAGTGAGGCAGGGGGGAGGTTATAGATTGTATTTTGCCGGTAGGCCTTAATCCTTTAATCCTTTTCTAGGTAGTATCTCTTCCCCAGGTAGCCTATTTAAAATAAAAAAATGTATGTCTTTCAGAAAAAATTGCTAGCTAGCCCTATTCTGAGTAATATTATAGAAGGCATGTAGCCAGTTGGATGAAGATTTATTCATGGTCTTTAAAAGTTTGAAACAGATTATATAGGTTTCCGTTTATTGTTTGGCACTAGTGTATATATATCTTTAGTTGGGAAAATCTTACAGGAGCATGACTCTTCCAATTCTAGTCTTCATTCAGGGTCTAGCTGTCCTGTAGCCACCTTCCCTTTGATTGTTTTAGTAAACATCACAATAACCTTTATGCTCACTCCAAAGTTTAAACAATACTGTACTTTTTAGTTGTTCTTTCTCAATTTTATTTATATTTAACACATGTCACTTAAAAGAATGTGAATTCTCTGAAGCCAGGGATTGAACCTTATGTATTCGATGCTCTTTGAAGAAAATAGAATAGGATCTATGTTGTTGGCCAGTTGATTTACTTTTGAATAATGGAGTAAATTGTTTGTGGTTCGTGGTATTCTTTTAGTAGCGTGTTTTTCACTATCATACATGGGTTCTTCAGAACTATTGTTGCATTTCTTAATGCCTCCAGATTGTTTATTCAGAACATCGATTAAGGCTGCAGACAAATTATATGAATTGATATTGGCTAAAAATCTTCTAAACTTTGTGAGGTCAAAAAATGTAATTATTAGCATTTATTAAGGGATGATATAATTTGTTTATTGAGCTGTGATTTTGTTAATTTTTAAAAAACATTTAAGTGAAGCATGTTCAGTTAAAAGAACAACTTATATGGTCATCCAGATTTCTACTTTACAACTGAGAAAAAGCTGCAGCTTTCTACAGAACAGAGTATAAATATGAGGAAAATGGTGAAAGGGAGTGATAGAATTGAAGAAAATGATGATGATGTGATAATGAAGAAAGGAAATGTTTATCAGATATTTACTATGGACCATCACTGAGCTAAACACTTTACATATATTATCCCATTAATTGTCATCATAATCCTTTCAGATATTGTCTTTATTCTATAGGCATACAAGGTCATAGAGAAGTTAAGTGACTTGCCCAAGATCTTACAGTTAGTAAGAAATTCTGGATAGGTACTTTGATTTCAGAAATTAAGGCTCTTTATCATGAGGAAAGAAGCAATGGTAGTAAATGGGATTGAGAGTAGGTAGTTAATACACGTGACAACCAGCTGTTACCCCTACAGAAATTTTATTATTTAAATTTAGTCAGTTAACGAGACTGTACTTGCTGCTGTTGAAGAGTATGTGAAGACTAATAACTTGTTTTTATTTTTAAAAATCTAAGTATAATTTTTATTTTATAGAATATTATGCTAAGGAAGCTATGATAGAATTTTTTTTTTTTTTTTTTTTTTTTTTTTGAGACAGGATCTCGCTCTGTTGCCCAGGCTGGATTGCAGTGAGGCAATTATAGCTCACTGTAACCTCTGACTCCTGGGCTCAAGCGATCTCCCACCTCAGCTTCCTGATTAGCTAGTACTACAGGCGTGTACCACCACACCCAAGTAATCTTTTAAAATTTTTCGTAGAGATAACATTTTGCTGTGTTGTCCAGGTTGTTCTGAAACTCCTGGGTTCAGATGATCCTCCCGCTTTGGCCTTCCAAAGTGTTGGGATTACAGGCATGAACCACTGCACCTGGCCAAAATTGGTCTTTTTTACAAGCCTTTTTTGTGTGCCCTAAATGAGACCCAGAAGCCACAAGAAGCCTTGTTGAACCTCATTCTGGTTGCTTGATAATCATTCAAAACCTAGGGTTTTGTGTGGCTTTTGGGAGATAAGCTGCTGGACTCTTTATTCACAGTTAGACATTATATGAATAAGGAGTTGGACAGCTGAGTATTAAGTGTCCAGAGAGCAAGAGACTATGGCAAAAAAGAGACATGAACAGATTCAGGAGTCCCAGGATTTGCAATGTAAGTCTGGGCTTTGTTTTTTGTCTATGTAAAATGAAGAGATGTAATTATCACTGCCTGCTCCTCAGTTCTTTCCAATTGTAAAATTTGTGATGTATTCATTTATTCTGCAGATAGCTACCGATCTGCAGTAGATACTTCCTTCAGTGTCCAGTACTGTTTGGTATGAATGCGTGGAAACTAAGATGTGCGTTTCTATTTTTATCTTAGTTTTTTGAACCAGTGTTTTTGTTATTATAATTGGTTATTTTATGTATGATACCTTGTATATTGTTTAAAATTTTAGATATGCTTTGAATTATGTGGCAAAACTTTAAGACTTTAAGTGGCTTTTTTTTTTTGAGACCGAGTCTCGCTCTGTCGCCCAGGCTGGAGTGCAGTGGCGCAGTCTCAGCTCACTGCAACCTCCACCTCCCGGGTTCAGTTGATTCTCCTGCCTCAGCCTCCCAAGTAGTTGGGATTACAGGTGCACACCACCACGCTCAGCTAATTTTTTTGTTTGATTTGTGGCATTTGTATGCAATATTTTCTTTTTTAAAAATGTCTATTTATTTTTATTTTTGTAGAGACAGGGTCTCACTATGTTGCCCAGGCTGGTCTCTCACTCCTGGGCTCAAGTGATCTTCCCACCTCAGCCTCCCAAAGTGCTGAGATTACAGGCATGCACCACTGCTCCCAGGTGAATCCAACTGTTTTCAACAAGTTTTCACTGCTTACAGTATCTCATCTCTGCTGTTGCAAATCCTGTAAGGATTGGGACAAGATATAAATATCAAATAAAGCAAGTCTGTGCCAGTCCTTTAAAGATTGCTTAGTTAGAATTTTGTGGCAAGGTTTAACACGTAAACATTAAGTCTAGAACCAAATGTTAAAGAAAGGAAGATAACATTTATTTAATATTATTATATGCTGTGTTAGTTGCTTTATATTGATGCTTGAAGATAGATGGTATTACTGAGGTTTGTAGAGGTTAAAACTAGTAAGTGATAAGAGTTGGGATTCAGTTTCTTGTCTTTTGGATTTCAAAACAGACATTATGCTCTGTATATTGTCTATGGAAGAAGTAATGTCATGAAAAATGAAAGATTAAATTATGTTTCAGATTTTGGTGAAATCAGATATTAAATGGCCGAAAGTTTCCTGATTATATGTTAATTTATCCCTCATCTATTTGGAGGACTAGGGACAATGCTCCCATTTTAAGTCTAAAATTCTTAATGGCTTTAGGGTTTGAGTTACTTTCAGAGCTTTACTTTTACTTTTCTTCTGAGTTCTTGAGACTTTTAAAACTTTGCATTTATTGTGGCACATTTTTGTTTTACTTAGTAAACTTATTTTAAAAATATTTGCTTGTGCCTACTATGTGACAGGCATTGTGCTAAAGGCCTTTGCCATGACCTGATTAATTAAGGATATAGATTCTTTTTTTATTTTTTATTTTTTTTACTCTCAGGATATGCTTAAGGATATATATTATTAAAACATCATTTTTTAATTACCCAAAATATTATAAACATTGCTCTGACCCTTATTTATTAGTCTCTTGATTTCTCTAAACTTTCACTTTCATTTCTTCAGAGCCAAATCACTCTCTTACCACCCCGTAATGAGTAGCTCTTGATACTGTAAAGAGACCACATCCATTTTACTTCTGTCTGCATCTTGTGGAATATTATATCAACAATAAGAAATTTTATTCATAATTAATAAGTTTAGCTTGGCCTCAGTTATAGTATGGTTTATTGTTTATCCTTCTGTATTTGAAGCAAACATAAATAGAGAGGACGTAAATTTAATAATTTATACAGTATGCTCCAGTCCCTGACTGTTTACTTCAGCCAGTACTGCTTTCTCCTAGGCCTTTGCTCATGTGTTCTTCCCACTATGCAGTTTCCATAAATAACTTCCTGTTTTGTTTTTTAATGTCTACTTACTCTTTGTTTCAGTACACGTATCATATGTGGGACCGTCTTTGCTTTCTGTCTTTCCAGTTCGTCCACTCTGACACAGCATGTGTCAGAATCTCTTCCTTATTTTCATAACACCCTAGATATCCCTGTCATTGCTCTTACTGCATTAACTTTTTTATTTGATACGTTTTTGTCATGAGAATGAGCTTCTGCAAGGAATTATCATTTCTTTTTTATCTTTATATTTTCATTGTGTAGCACAATATTGGCAAACAGTAGAAGTCTGGTACATATTTGATGAATGCACAATAAATGGCATTGATTTTTATGTTTATCATTTTAAAAACTTTAGAATACAGCTTCTAATTGTTTTGCTTATCATACAATATTTATTTCAGGACTGTATTATTCTTGTGAAAGACTCATAGGTAGATTTTCTCTTAAAATTGTGAAAAAGTTGTCAGAAGACATATTTATATAATGATATTCAAAGGCCATGCCATGGTGAGATTTTTTTTCCCCTAATCTCCACTGTTCCTCCCCCTCTTAGGATACAGATCTTATGAATGAGACAGAGTAAAGGGCTTTAAGTTGGATAAAGATTAAGATTCCCTGCTGGTTAATAATTATCAGAATCTGGATGATTATTTATTTGGATGAAACGATGCATACATTGTGTGCATCAAAAGTAAAGCATATGTGATTGTTAGAGGAATGTTTGAATTCCCCAGTGGGATGTCATGGGGTATGTTTATAAACTCCCACTAAGCAGTAGTTCTACAATGGAATTTCTCTGGCATTGAGATAATAATTTGCACAGTCAAATTACCTTCTTTACAAAACCCCAAGGAATCATAAGGGCCTAATCCTTTATTAATGTCAACCCACAGGCTGCAAGAAAGCGTAAGATTGCCATTCGAAAAGCCCAGGGGAAAAATGTGGAGGCCATTCGGGAGCTGAATGAGTATCTGGAACAGTGAGTATTTTACAAGAGGATTGTGTTTTGTTATTCTGATAAATCTTTTTTAATTAAAATGGAATTTGCATTTGATTTTCCTGTTTGTTTTCATGCTGTTCATTTACAGAATATCTACACACTTACTTTTTTTTCTTTTCCTCTCACCAGATTTGTTGGAGACCAAGAAGCCTGGCATGAACTTGCAGAACTTTACATCAATGAACATGAGTAAGTTATTAAACACACAACATTTTGTTGAGTGCAGTTTTCATCACTGTAAGTTCAGAAAGCACTGTGGTTTCCAAAGGATTGGTGAGAGGGTGTGAATCATGTCATTTGAAATGAGAAACAGAACAAATCAACAATTAAATGAAAAAGAACAAATCAGTAATTCACTGGTCATAATAAGTGAATAGCTTTAACTAGGTCATTTGTGTTTTGCCAAATTGTTTATGTTTAGGAAATAAGTTTTTCTTTCAAATATAGATGGCATTCTTTGGAAATAAAAAGGCCTGCATTTGCTAAGCTAAGTTTATTTTTGGTAAATCAAAATTGTGAATTTTTAGAGTTCAGATTGTTCTTATATACAAAGAGTATTATACTCCCTGCTGTTTAAAAATTCTGTCAATTGTATGCATGTATTAGCCTTAGTACTAAGAGAATCAACTCTTCCAAAGTAGAAGCATTCTGTTGCCTGGGTAAAAAACTGAGAATAATCAAGAATGTTGAATGCTCTAGGATCTTGCTTATTGGATGTTTAATGTTTTTGTTAGCTTTTTTATTGCTGTAGTGACAGGAGGAAATCCCAGTGTGAGAGGATTAGTCCAGAGTCTTAGTGCAAGTTTTCTAATATTACAGCATTAATGCTAACCTCCATCTAGAGGCGTGTTTTTTATTTTTTTTCTTAGTTCTTCTAAATCTGAAGTATATGACATTGTTTCTTTTCCTTCTTTTTGACAGAATAGAATCAGATTCTCATGCGCATTTTCTTGTGCATGAATATTTAACCTTGTTCTCATACTACAAACAACTGATGAGAAACAGAATGAAGACATTTGTCTATTGTCTGTGGTCTATATATATAATGTGATCTAGAGGATTGAGGTAGTCTATTTGCATAAGTCTAAGGAAAGTGGGAGCTAAAATAAAAGTAATAGCTGTAATTTAATGAATGTATACTATATTCTAGGAACTGTTTTTCAAGTTCTCTGCTATACTCTGAAACAGATATTCTGGTTTTGATTAGGAAATTATTTCCTGAATCACATTCAGTATAGATGATATGCTTGTATGTACACATATGTAAACATACTCATGATTTCTTACACATGTGAAACAGTATATAATACTTATATTTAAATACATGAAATTGAATTTTTAGAGTATAGTAAAAATAATTAGCATTAATTTTATTTTGTTTCTAAAACAGGTGACAGTCATTTAACATTTTTTGTACTTTCTAAAGATTTTCTGACTAAAAGCATTTTAAAACATTTCAAATCAACAAGGAAATTTTTTTTTTCAAGTTAAAGGAATACCTAATGCAGAAAATTTGAGAAACACAGTAAAGCATAAAGACCAAGACAAAAATTACATGTAATTCCAGCATCCTAAGTTAACTATAGTTTGTTTGGTTTTTGTCCTTCCTTATCTTTTAAAATAAAAGCCCAAAATAAAATTATCTTCCGTAGTTTATACTTTCCCTTAGTTATATTTTGTTCAAAAATTTCTTGTCACTGTAACAATCTACAGTGTGTTTTGAATGGCTTTATATTATTTCATCTTACTAATTTACCCTAGTATTTTTAACGAGTTTCCTAGGGAGATATAAAGGTTGTTTTATATTTTTATATATAATGCTGTAGTGATCATTTTTATTTTGTTTCCTTGGGTTAAATTCTTTGAAGTAAAATTGCTTGATTAAATAAGATGTACATTTTCTGTGGTTTTGATAAATAGTTCCTGATTGTTCCCTAGAATGGTAACATCAATTTACTTGCACACCAGCATTTACTAGAGTCCCTCTTTAACAACACTGGATACTATGATTCTTTTTTAATCTTTACAAGTTTGATAGGTGAAATTGGTTCTACCTTTTTAGTTCATTTTTACGAGCTCTTTTTATAAAGGAGAGCAACCATTTGTCAAAAGTATATCCTTGTTATATGCTTTTTAAATACTGACTTCTTAAAATTATAGAAACTTTACATTTTTAGAAAATCAGATTCATCAATTTTTAACATTATCATGTCTGCTGTCCTTTAATAGCTTAAAAATATATCACCTTTTCCCCCTACTTCATTTGCAATTTTATTTTTTTGCATGTATTTCTAATATTTATTTCATCATCAAATTTAGGTTATACCTTATTTTTAACCTACCATTAAATTTACTTATTTTTTTCACCATGTGGTACCACCTTCAGTTTTGCTTTGTTTGGAATCTAAAGAGTTTATTGAAACAGAGGTGAATGTACACTTAAGAGAAATGAACTGAGAAATCTCAAAAAATGAAGATTTACAAAGATGTAGGAGCACCTAAAAATATTTTTTTAGAGAAAATGATAATTATGGTCAGCCTACCCTTTTATCTAGTATCACAAAACTCTTTTTGGTCTTAAAGCTAGTTAGTTACAAAATGACCATTTTTTTTTTCTAATTGAACACTTAGAAGGAATATTTATGTTTAGGTGACTGGAAATGCATATCTACAGGTTTTTTTGAAACTGTGAAAATTACAATCAGTTCACTTGATTCATTTGACATGTTTGAGCAAGTCATTATAGGAGGCAGGAATTTTTTGATGGAATGTTAAATTATCGTAGGATATCAGTTTTAGCACCAGTCTTGGGGACACAGTGGCAAAAACGTAGCAGTTTCGAAAATGTCAGATATATTTAACATTCGATATTCCTTTCTGCATATGAACAGTTGTAAGCTTTTTTAAGTATAATAGGTCGCAGGCAGCTTTGGTAGCCTATATCTAGAACTATTTTTTTTCTTTAAGAGACAGAGTCTACAACATTTCCCAGGCTAGACTTGAGCTCCTGGGCTAAAGTACTCTTCCCACCTCAGCCTTTTGTGTAGCTGGCACTACAGGTGTGTCACTGTGCCCAGCTCTGGAATTTTTAAACTCCAAATAAATATCTATAGTATAATTTTCATATAGCCCTATTTAATGTTTCTATAGAGAGAAAAAGGGATATAGAATTGTGCCATGTAACCTTTTTATATTTTTAAGTTACTTTTATAAGTTTGTTTCTGATTTATAGTTTGTTTTTAGTTATTCCAGGGATATATGTTACATCCATTGACCATATTGAGACACTTGTTCTAAAGTTTTAAAACTACAGTTAATTTTTTTGTGTCAGCACTACCAATATGTATTATAGGTTAAGTATCCATAACCTGAAAATCTGAAATCCACAATACTCCAAAATCTGAAACTTTGAGTGCCAACATGATGCTCAAAGGAAATGCTCATTGGAGCATTTTGGATTTGGGATTTTTGCGTTAGGGATGTTCAACCAGTAAGAATGCAGATATTTTAAAATCTGAAAACTTCTGAAATCTGAAACATTTCTGGTCCCAAGCATTTTGGTTAAGGGATACCCAACCTTTGTAAGCAAAAATACATTCACATTATGAAAGACAAATTTTTTTACTTCATTTGTTATTGAAACTAGATACTATACAGCAAGGAACAGTTAGTATTATACATTAATTATGATTGTGATTATAGTTCCTTTTCATAAGTCCAGCCTTTTAAAATTCCATATCAACGGAATTACCACAATTCTTTAAGGAAAAATTGTGATGTTGGTAAAGTAACACACAGTACCAAATACTGTAACCTTTAGTTATATATACTTTTGTAAGGAAGAGAAGAAAACTTTATTTAGTTCTAGTACTGACTCTAATATTGTAATAACAATTGTTATTCTGTTTTAAGTAGATTCAAATTATTTTTACTTCTCTATTCTTAGTCTTGTTGAGTCACTGTGTGTAATGAATTAACTTCTCTATGCACCTAGAATAGTACTGGCTATGTATTATCCCTGACAAGACTGAGGAAATAGTCACTTTCTGCGTGGCCTAACAATGGCCTAGAAAAGCTGGACTAGACCATCTGTTGAGCTCCTTCTAGCTCTAATTTTATTTAATTCTATATTTTATCCACAAAATTAGTTTGATACTGTACTTTATAAAATTGGGGGAAGGAGTCCTTTTCTCATATGTGATGCTAATTGATTTTTGAGAAAATATCTTGGTATTCATTTTACCCTAAGAGCTGCTACTACCTGCCCATTTTATCTTGCTTTATGCACCAGTGTCACAGTTGTGCTCAACCCATTTAAATGTCTAAGAACTTTTATTCTTAGTCTCAATATGAATTTTTGGCATCATACTATTAATAATTAAAGGAACACATTTAGAAGAGAACTGTCTTTTGATAAAGTGTTTAAGGTAGAGACAAATTTTCCCTTTTCTTTTCGAGTGATAAATATATATTAGGTAGGTAGTCATAACACATTTGTTTTAGACATTTATTCAATCATTTGTTCAGTCTTATTAAATACCTATCATGTGTCAAGAACCAATGCTAGGTTTTGAATTTAAAAATGGAAAGGGCTAAATAGCTGCATGATCTTGGATGAGAGTACACACACACACACACACACACATACATATATATATGTGGTCCTTCATAAATCTAAAATGCTGTAATTATTAGGTAATCTGCAGGGTGTATTTTTTTTCCTCAGTCCCTTTGGGTGTGACTGCTGTACACATTTTCATGTTACCATTGACATCTTCAGTTTTTCAATGTGATGTGTAATGCATATAAGCAGCATATGTAGTGGTTGAAGAGTACAGGCTGTCTGGAGTGGCACAGCCTGGGATTCAGTTTACATCTCTGTGCCTCAGTATTCTCAGCTCTAGCATGTTGATAATAATTTCCTTCTTCCTAGGGTTTTGGTAGGATTAAATGAGTTAATACATGTAACACATTTAGAACAATGCATGACACGTAATAAGCATTTAGTAAAAGCTATTATTAGTATACATGTGTGAAACAGGAAAATAATTTTTAAAAGTATATCAGGCAGTAGTGTAAAGGTAGATCCCTTTGTATACTGGTAAATGCCAAAAATAACTTTAGGTAGCCTCTTTTTGTTGGGTAGTGTCATCACTTCCTCACTGGGAAGAAATCTTGTAACACCTGTGTTCATTAGAATTTCCTGTAGATAGTGAGGATAGTCACATGGCATTAAACGTTTAAAATATATTTAGTGAATTACAGTCACATGCTTTAAAATGTTTTTCCAGAGCTCTTTCTGGCAGTTCTCTTTCCTTAGGTTTTCAGCAAGATTTTTGTTTATTCTACCACAAGATTAAATAATAGTACAGTATATATCAAAACCAACTTGATCTGTTTTTCATGGGCTTAGAAATTTATAACTTCATTATAATTTGGTATTTGACAGTGAACTTAAGTAATGAGAGAAATCTTTGTAATAGAATATGTTGGTAAATATATGCCTGTGAAGAATTTTTAGTGAGTAGAGAATATTTAATAAAATGTTTATTTTCTCCTTACACATTAGCTGTTTGAATATTTTTTTAAATGATCAGTCAACTTCCAGAAGTTGTTTTATATACAGCTTGATCCAAGGTCTTGAAGCCCTTCTTATTAGTAGTGATGGGATGTAGTAGGAGTGACCCAGTTTTTGAAATGTAGTATCTATTGATTGTTTGCAGGCTGCTTTAAGATTTAAGCCTGTGTTTATTAATTTCATGATAAAATTTAATGTCATTGATATTTATGAATTTCAGATGACAAATACTTTATTAATAAAGCTATGTAAATTATATTGGGAATAAATTGTTTAACATGACTAAAGTTGTTTTTAAATTATTTCAAGGTTTAACTAAGATAAAAATTTGTGACTTTAAAAATTAATTTCTCCTCTTGATGTGTTTTTAGCTATGCAAAAGCAGCCTTTTGTTTAGAGGAACTAATGATGACTAATCCACACAACCACTTATACTGTCAGCAGTATGCTGAAGTAAGTGTTTTCAGAACAATGGCATATAATTTTATTTTGGTTACTATTCGGTGTTATTATGGAACTAAGAATATTTCCTTGATGTTAAGCAAGTATATAAATATTTAAAACATCTGATGAGCATTGAATTGTGGGAATAAAAGTTTAAAATTTTTAACATTGCAGTGGTAATACTGACTTAAGACATACTTAAAACAGTGAAATTCCTTGTATTTTTATATTTGTATACTATTTTCTTTCCTAATTATAAGTTATATCACATTTGTCACCACTTAATGGCTTGTGAGACATTTATAGTGATTATGATTGTTAAATCCATATTCTGGGAAATTTGTATTAAAGCCAATTGGGACATAAGTATTTATTTAATTTGCATATTATTAAGAATAGCAGTACAACTGAATGCTATAAGGCTAGAAGGACTTCATTATTAAAGAATGTCCATGCAGATTATAAAAGGACAATTCAATATTTAAGTCCACATTTATAATGCCAGTAATAGAAAATACAATGTGAGGTGAAGCATTTGCGAGGCAGCTGAAATAGAAATTATTCTGGCTTTTTATTGCGGCAGCATTTTTGTTTTAGAAACTACTCAGTCATCTCAATGTTCATAGAATAGAATAGCTTTTTTGGGGAAGGTTATGTTTGAAATTTTAGATTAGCTTTAAAAACCTTTAGGTGAATTCTTTTAACATCTTGTATTTGTTTACAGAGAATATCTGTTTCGATTACTGAATGCCTATGGTATGATGAAACCATGCTATATTTCAAAGTAGTAAAATAAACAGTTTTCAGCACTTTGCAATTTTTAACAGGTTAAGTATACCCAAGGTGGACTTGAAAACCTCGAACTTTCAAGAAAGTATTTTGCACAGGCATTGAAACTGAACAACAGAAATATGAGAGCTTTGTTTGGACTTTATATGGTGAGTTGAGGTGCATGTTTAATGTTATTTTTAAAAATCTGTCACTTAAAATCCATTTAACTATCCCCTTCAATCACTCCTCTCCTGTTTTTTGTATTTTATTGATAAGCATGTTTTTTTCTGTAATTAATTCTGAGCAATAGCTTGTGAGCCAGTTTTCTTTTTGAATGTTAACACAGCCTAGCTGTTTGACATTCTTTTTTTGTAAACTATCTTTTATATCAGAATTGAAATCTGCCCTTATAAAATTAAATAGTGACAGATAGGAAGAAAACATGATTTCTTGTTTTGATATTCTTGGGTTTATGCCCAACATTATTGTATTTCTTCCCTAAATTATAGTTGTATGAGGTATTTTTAAACAGTGCCAATAAAATACATTAGAAATCAAATCCCTAATACATCAAATTAAAACATTTTTTATGGTGTAGAAAAACAGTTTGGAAATTGTGGGAAGTATGTAATGACCTATTGTTTAGGTATGCCAAATGCTGAGCTTAGAAAAGTCAATTAATAAGAGCTGTGGGAAATAGAGGAATAATCTGCTGACCTTTAAAACATATATATAAAGTGAGCACCTCCCTACAATAAGAAACGCTGGGAGAAATAAACTTTAATATTTTATTTATCCTGTTCCTTTGACTTCTTGATGAGTGTCTTCTTGTTGCAGCTCAGTGAAAAGGAACTGAGTGAAGAAATGGAAATAGGAAGAAACAAAAATGAAACAATTTTTAAAAAGGAATGGCAAAATATGGTTAGAAGGTGGTTCAAATGAATTTCAAGAAAATTTTCCTGGATTTTAGCAAAGCCAATTGCAATGGCTTGAAAATACGCTATAGTAGAAGTATCTCTGTATCAAATAAATACTAATTTTAAAAACTAATATACAACAAATTAATAATAGCTTATACATGGCACTTCATGTGCTGGGCATTGTTCTGAGCTCTGTTTTTTATTTTAAATCAATAAATCCGCACATCAACTGTTTGAGTAGGTGCTCTCAATACTATCCTCAGGTGGTGAAACTGAGACACAGATTTAATTAATTTGCCCAAAGATGGGCACAGAGCTCCTAAATGATCGAGTTGGGTTTCCAGCCCAGGAAGTTAACTCCAGAGTTTTTCTCGTAACCACTGCATCTGCTAAAATTCATAAGAAGAAGGTAACATTAAAGTCATAGAGGTATAAAAATCAGATTTGGGGATATAGATTCTTCACTGGCAGAGAGGGAGACATAGGTGAAAGAGCCTATAGCACAGGCTGGCATAAAACAAAGGCTTAACCTTTTTTTGAATCACATGGTCATATTCTTTTAAGAGTAAAATATATTTAAGAATAGGAATCAAGTTATATCTTACTCTTCACAGTAATATATACATTTAATAATTAGCATATGATTTTGGGGTTTTATGGATTCTTTCACAGATCCCAGATTAAGAACCGCTCATTTAAATACATTTTTAAAAAGGAGAGGGTGGATCAAATTGCAGGGACTAATTAGTTCTCTGAAACACAGTTTGAAAACTCATGGTATAGTGAAAAGAGAAATGGATTAGAGATAAGGATCTTCTTTATTTCGAAGACCCATTATTTTGCTTTGGTCAAGTTAAATCTCTCTTATTGGACTTAAATTTCTTTAACCTATTAATGTAGGATGTCAGGCTAAATTATTTTTGAGTTTCCTTTTTCTATAAATATTCAATAATTCTATGATTCTGACATAGCAAGTTATGTAATTCAGTAATAAGAAATAACACCAGTAATATCCTACAGTGGTAAAGTGCTTTTGGTTTATAAAGTGTTCTTCTAGAGCTTCTTTATTTAAATGATATGGAATTTTACCTTTAAGAGCTGTTACAGGTACATAATTAAATAATTTTAGGTATTATTTAAAATATCTTTTCCCTTTCCACTATTTTGGATTTATACTATATTTTAAAATATATTTTCATTTTTAAGCACTAATATTCAACTTTATGTTTATATTAAAAATTATTTTAATACAGTTTTTAAAAATTCTTTATTATCCCATTGCAACCATGTCCCTTATGTTTTTGATTATCTTGACTAGCAAAAAAGGAATTTTGCTTTTGATGTTTTTATTTGTTTTTAGTCGGCAAGTCATATTGCTTCTAATCCAAAAGCAAGTGCAAAAACGAAAAAGGACAACATGAAATATGCTAGTTGGGCAGCTAGTCAAATAAACAGAGCTTATCAGGTTAGTATTTATTGATCATTTTGCTATGTAGGTCAGTTAATGTATTTCTTAGTTTTGTTACTACAAACTACAAAGTCGTATGTCTAGCATTGGACTTATATATGCCTTTGGGGCTTTATCAAATGTGTTGTGTTTTGAATTAATTTGTAGTTTTAAGATTACCTTTTTTTCCCCTCAAGAGGAATCTGTTAGTATTATTATTTCATAATTAGCCTTACCATATGGAAATCTCAGTGGTTCTGCATTTGGCAAACGCAAAGTAATTCTAAAAACTCAGAAAGGATAAATAAATATCACGTCACATTTCAGAAGCAGATTGGGTATGTGAGTGTATTATTAATCATAGGTATCTCAAGAAATAGAAAAGAAGGAAGAAAGCCTTAAACTAATCAAACTGCATAACAAAGTTTGTGCAGTCTGCTTACACTTCAGATCCTTTACTGAAACTTCTCCATTTGTATCTTAGTTTTCTAAAGTTCGTCCTTAGCAGATTTTTTAGGAAATTATTTTTCGTTAGAAATTTGCTCATGGGAAAACACATCTTTTTATGTCTTTAGCCTTATTTGTCTATAGCCTTTATATTTAAAGGACAATTTGGCTTTTTATATACCCGTTAATACTTTACCTAAGTATCTTAAGCATACTGTTCAGTTTTGTTTTGTTTTTAATATAGACGAGATCTTGCTATATTGCCCAGGCTGGCCATGAACTCCTGGCTTCATGTGATCCTCTTACCTCAGCCTCCTAAGTAGCTGGGACTTCAGGTGCAGGCATCACCATGCCCAGCTATTTCATTCTGTTTCAGAATAAAATGTTGCCGTCAGGAAATATGATGCCGTCTTGACTTACTTTTTATCATAAGTGACTTGTCTGGTTACGCAAAGGAATTTTTTCTTTATCTTTAAAATCCAGTAGTCTTACTATGATTTGTTTTATTGATTATTCTTGGGTCAGTTTTCCCAAATACACAGTACACCCATTTAGTACATCAGTTTAGCCCTTTTATTTGAGAAAAGTTGCTTTTAGAATTACAAATATTTTTTTCTCTGCTTAGTTTTCTTTTTCAGGGTTTCAGTAATACGTGTATTAGACTTCATTTTTCTATGTCCTTTATTCATTTTCTTTCAAATTATTTTGTCATTTTCTGTATTTTATAAAAATATGAATTTGATTCATATTTTTCTTTCCTCCATGTTTAAATGAGGTAGTTTTCCTGGACTATTAGGAGACAATGTTTATGGAATGGCAGGGAGTTGGAGATAGGTTAGGGTAGCTTTCCCAGCTTGGCTATTCTATGGCCGTCTCCTTTTTTGCTAAAGAGAATTCAAATATGACCTCTTTGTATAGCCGGTCTTTCTTAGAACTGAGTATGAATGGCCAGTCTGTCTTAGAACTCAGTGTGACTCAGAAAGATTTTCTGGCTTCAGCCCTCTGTTCTGTTTCTAGAGCCCTCAAAGTCTTGAATTCTGAGGTGTTGCTCTCACTTTAAATGTTACATATTGTTGTTACAGTTTGTGTTTCTTCCTTTTTGTTTTGTTTTCTTCTGGGATTGCTGCCTCTGGGCATCACTCCTTTCCTCACCCCTCCTTGTCTGAACCATCTCTCCTTCTTGCCCTGGTGTTTCTGCCCTGTTCAGTTTGGTTTCAGTTTTTAATTGTTTTTCTTCAGGGTGTGAGGTTTTGTCCTTCTGGAAGAGGATGTTTGCTAGATATTTTAGAAATTTTAAGATATTAGACGGTTAGACTTGTCTAATCTCACATTTATGAGCAGTTTTTTACATTTATCTTTGTTTTGGAGCTTATGAAGACTTCTAGGCCATTGGCAGCTGCATCATCTCAGGTTTTCTTGTTTAGTGGATTAAGAATTCATAATTTGTTTGGTTTTTGGTTTCTTGTAGAGTAGTAGGTTGTCCTCTATTACTTTCTATTCCTCCTACCACACAGTTGTTAATCTTTTGTTGGTCATGCTGCTCTTGATGACATAGTCACATTCTAGGGTTTGGAAAATTGACTGTTACCTAGTTTTTTTGAAAATGTCACCTGTGGGCGTGGGTTCTGTTATGTTGGTTTTGGTGCTGGCTTTTTGTTGTTCGTTTTTGCCCTTCTGGTTGGAGAAAATTGAGAAGATTTTACAAATGTAGTGCCTCCATAATCACATCATTGAAAGTCACCTTTGTGTATTTTTATTGTCTGTTATAGAGCATGTTAGTTTTGTTGGCATATTCTAAGTCAGAGTATTTATAAATATTAGTGAGACTGTGCTTCTTCAAATGCAGTTTGGGATAGCTCAGATCTGTAATGGAGTTCCACACAGAGTAGGCTTGGGGGTGTGTGGGTGTGTGTGATTTATGTAATATTAAAAAAAAAGATTTGTGTAATATAAAAGTAACGTTATGCATACTACATAATTGTTTTTAAGATATGAGAAACAGCTACTCAGAGTGCTTTTTTGACATAACTATTTTAAAATCAATTTTTACTAAATTAATAACATAGAAATAAGAATTATAACAGAAAAAAGGATGCAAGTCATAAATGTGCCTTTCAGTGACTAATATAAGGTAAATGTATCCAGGCTAATAAATATAAACATTGCAGCATCCCAAAGCTCTCTTGGTAAGTCCTCTTAATTTCTCCTTTTGTATTCCTTAAGAGTACTCACTTATAACCCTATAGTTTATGGAATCAGCCAGTATGTATTCATTTTTGTCTTGCATATTTCTATCATTATTCAGTTTATGGGATTTATCCTTGTTTGTGTCTGTAGTTCATTCATTTTCTTCTGTAGTTCATTGTATGAATGTTATAATTTAGTTATTGCTATGCATTTGGAATATTTTCTGTTTGGGCTATTTTGAATAAACTATACTGAATATTGCTGTACAGGTCTTTTGGTGGAATATATGTGCAGTTCTGTATACCTTTGAGTGAAAATATGGGTCATAGAATGTATGTATATTTAACTTTAGTAGTTAAAGGCAATTTTCCAAATTAGTTTACTCCCACCAGCGGTAAGAGTTCTAATAGCCCCACATCTTCACCAACACATGGTTCTGTCAGTCTTTGTAATTACAGCCATTCTGGTACATGTGTAGAGTGGTACTTCATGGTTTTATTTTGCATGTCCCTGATGATCAGTTGCCATTTGGATGTCCTCTTTCGTGAAATGTTTTTCTCATTGGTTTGCATGACTTATTTCTTTAGTTTTTTGCTTATGAGCCCTTTTTTAGTTATATGTATAAGCAAATATGTATAACTTCTTACTTTTTTGCTCATATGATCTTGATGAATAGAAGTTCTGAAATGAAATGTGTTCGAATGCCTCAGTCATTTGTTTGTGTTTTTTGTGTTCTGTTTAAGAAATCTTTTGCTACTCACGGTCATAAAGAATTCTGTGTGTCTTCAGAATTTCTATTCTTTTACTTTTCGTATTTAATCCACAACCCATTTGGAATTGATTTATTTTTAATTTTTAATTTTTATTTTTTTAAGACAGAATCTGGTTGGTTCTGTTGCCCAGGCTGGAGTGCAGTGGCATGATCATGGCTCACTACACCCTCAACCACCCAGGTTGAGTTATCCTCCTGCCTCAGCCTCCCAACTAGCTGGTACTGTAGACGCATGTCACCGTGCTCGGCTAACTTTTAAATTTTTTGTAGAGATGAGGTCCAGCTGTATTGCACAGGCTGGTCTCAAACTCCTGGCCTCAAGTAATCCTCCTGTCTCAGCCTCCCAATGGAGTGCTAGGATTATAGGTGTGAGCCACCGCATCTGGCCTGGAATTGATTTTTATGTATGATGTGAAATAGGGGGTCCATTGCTCCCCATATGGATATCCAGTGTTTCTGTCCATCTTTGTGTTCCATCATGAGTCCCGTCCATGGAAGCTAGTTCAATGTAGTAAAGAGAAGATTACAGATTTGAACCCATGTTGTCTGGGTTCAAATTTTGACTCTGATATAATTATTAGCTATGCAAACTTGGATAAATTACCTAACATCTCTTGCTGTATCTTTTCTTCTGCAAGATGGCCATAATGAAATATTCTGAGAATTAAAGAAATTAAAACATAAGTTATTATGTTTTTCCTTTTCCCTGTCTCTTCAGTGTGACAAGACCCCCTTGAGGTATATTGAGATATAATTTACATGTAATCAAGTGCATATATTTTAAGTATACAGTCTGAGTTTTGACAAATGTGTACATCCCCTTACCAGCCCCCCACTCAAAATAGCATTTCCATCACCCAAGAAACTTTCCTTCTGCCATTTTGCAGTCAACCTCATCCCCCACTGGGAGACAGACAAGCACTGATCTGATTTTTATCACCAAACATTAGTTTTGCTTGTGCTATAACTTTGTATAAATGAGTTCATAGGTTATGTGCTCTTCTGTGTCTGGCTTCTTTCACTCAGCATGTTTTTGAGATTCATTCATTTACAGTCCATTTCATTTTTCCTATTACTTTGTCTACCCATGTATTTTCCACAAATTATGTAAAGGTAAATTTAAGCCCAAGCAAGGTATCTCAGTTATTACAATGCATGAATCACTGACCTCTGAATTTGATAAGCAAGTTTTTATTGTTTGGTTGTTTTTGTGTTTTTTTCTGGTGAGTTTTCTTATAGATCTTACAGAGAATTATGAAAGATTTACTTAAGCAAAATCTAACTGTATGAAAACAAAAATACAGTATTTGTGAATAATGTAAAAGAGTATATAACTTTCAGAGAATGACATTCTTGATAACTAGGTAAATCTTTGGGATCTCAGTGAGAATTTCTTAATCATATCTAGGAATATAAACCGGTATAGAGTATATAATATTTCGTATGGGATTTTTCTACGTATTTATAAATTAGGGAAAATTAGGTTTCAAGAACTGCTTTTCTTTCTTTGTTTCCACTTAATGATGAAACAGAATATGGCTACTATTTGCTCGTCAATTAGGTAATTGGTTTAGCATGTTCAGTAGAAGCAGACACATTTGATTAATGCACATGAAAAACTTTAATGTGAACCTACTCACAATGATTTTCCAGATAAATCCTTCTTTGTTGCACTGGTAAATCTGTGCTAGTGATTTATATGATATTTATGATTGCAGCAGTGATTCTGTTACTATCCTTTTGGGAAACAGAAAATTAAATCATGATTTGAGGGAAAAAATGATTCTGACTTAATCAGTTAAATTGCCATACAATTCTGGAATAGACAGAATAATTGCATGTCAGATTAAATTTGAAGTGATAGATTTGTATTTCCAACTTTCTTTTATTTGTTCTGACACAAGTAAATTTATTTGGTTTATTCTAAATTGCACTGGTTGTGAGTAATGTTGACACCATCTCAGTTGACTCTTTAAAATTAGCTAATTTTAAAAGATCACACTGTATTATTTTTATGTTTAAGTATAAACCAAGAAAAATACTGTATTTAAAAATACATGTTATGGTTTTAGCTCTACATAATTTTTTTTATTTTTACTTTGCTATTTAAAAGCAATTAGAATAAATGTTACGTGGTAATGTTACTATGTGATGTCCTATTCTGTACCCCTCCCCCAACCCATAAAACTTTTTCTCAGAATTAGACCTTTAAGTATCTGATTAGGACCGTTCCTATTTATGTTTCATAAATGGTGGTAAATGAAAAAGCTTTCTGTTTCTGGTAAATCCTTGTGTAAGTGAATTTATTAACTGGATAACAGAAGTAATAAGCATGCCTCACAGCCTTTAGTCCTCAGGGGAAATTATAAAAAGACAAAATTTTAAATGTGATATTGCTGTTACCATATTTAACATATGAATTCCTTAAATTCGTGATGCCTTTTGAAAGGCAAGGTGATCTTGATTTTTATGAGAAGCTTTTTTTCTTTTTCCTCTGGCATTTCCCCTAGAAACATCCTTTATTTACTTTTTCAAATCAGGATTCAGCTACAGAAACTAATCTAATGGTTTAGAGTGTAGGAAGTGAGGGAATCATAATGTTAAGCTGTAGCCAGAGGGGTCAGAGACAGGTTACCAATTCCTGAAGCTTGTTACTTCTATGATGTTACCTGTGTTTGATCACTTAATCTTTCTGAACAGGTCATGAGAAGTTTGCCAAATTAAGTTAATTACAGAAGACAAGAAACACATCATAAATCAAGTACTAAGTGCTTAAGACAGCATTGTTACTTGAAGAAATGATCATTCACTTGAAAATGTATTGAGTGGTTTGATGTTAACTTGAAAACACTAGATGTTGCTAATACCAAGTATTTTAATCATATTTAACCAGGGAGAAAATGGGTAACATATATATATATAAAATATATACATAATATATAATTAATATATATACATATATATAATATATATAGGTAACATATATATATAAAATATATACATAATATATAATTAATATATATACATATATATAATATATATATGTATATATATATACACACACACACACATACACACACAATAAACTTTCTCCCATCTCCATCAAGGAACACTTACTTATCTAGTAAATCTTTTGTTTTAAATCAGACTGATAAATGATGGGAATTGTCAGTCCAGTTAACAAACTCATTTTGAAATCAGCATGTGGTATTCAACAGTGTTTCCCTCCAGCGGTTATGTGTATGATATTGAATTTAATATGCCATGAATTTGCTTTTAAATACACAAATATAGGGTATATTTTGTGTATATATTGATGTATTTATTTTGTTTTCATAGTAAAATCCAATCCCAATTAGTTTTATAATGTAAATAAATTACAATTAATAAAGTAGAAATGCATATTTTAAAACATGTTTACATTGTTTTAATGTGTAGCATAGGTTTTTACTTGACAGCTCTTTGCAGAACCATATCATTTAGTTAACTAATAAATCTGGAAACTTAAAAAAAATTATGAGCTACTTTAAATAATTTTAGAGAGTACTTGCAACTTTAAAATGTTTAGTGAAATAACTTGTATTTGTATTGTACCTTTGTTTGAAATTGTAAAAATCTGTTTAGACATCAGACAAGTGGAAGTGGTTCACACTGCTACACTACATAAATATAAGCTAAATTGCATTTTAAAATTATACTTTTTATTTCATTATTTTGGTCTGAATAAGATAGTTTCAAATACATGATTTTATGGGTTATTATATTATGTAAACACTTAAACTGGCCAAGTGTGCAGTGAACTCTCTGTACACTTCAGCTGAAGGTAAGACCTTAAAGGAAAATGTCCTTAATACTCAAATTTTATTCTTATTGAAAAAGCAAAGAATATATTTGATTTCCTACTAGTGATAAAATAGTCAATGTTAAGTTTCATTAACAGTGTGAAGATTGTCATTTTTAACCTGCCACTGAAATTGAGCCTAATTGAGCTTTTTTTTTTTTTTTTTAATTAGTTTGCAGGTCGAAGTAAGAAGGAAACCAAATATTCTCTTAAGGCTGTCGAAGACATGTTGGAAACATTGCAGATCACCCAGTCTTAAGGTTTCAAAAACTCTTTGACATTAGATTTCACAACTGCACAATTGAACTTATTGGCCTGTAACTTATTTACTAAATGCTCAGTGCTATTTATATACTACAGTAATTTTCTGTTAAGAAGGCAGTTGTAAAGAATGTGTTTATATAAACCTAAAAATGCCTTTTACTGCTAAGTGGGGAGATGGGGGAAATCCATGGAAGAGAGATTTAAGACTTATTGATTGTACATCAGTCTCTTCATATCACATATACATGTATATATATAAAACTCTAATGTAGTATAACCTTGTTAAATAAACCATGATGATTTATTAAACTTGCATATGAAGATTCTAACTTCATTTTGTTATACTCACAGTGGATATATTGTTTAAGAACTCAGTTTCTAGTTAACTCCTTACTGGTGATAGCAAAGTCACAGCATATGTAGCTGACCGAAGCAGATTATTTTGACTTTGTTTATATTGTCGAATTGGATTTTGCTGTACATTCCAGTGGGCTATTTGAATTGTTTTATCTGCTGTAATATCCTTCTGATGAATCTTGCTTAAAATATGTCATTCTCCAAAGTTCAGCAATATTTCTTTGTAAAATTTTTGTTTTGATATAGGACATAATTGAGATTTTTACATATAAAATGCCTTAAGATAAATATGTGTTACGACACTTTAACTTTTATGCAAGTTATATTTATTGAATCCTTTAATAGTAAATTACATGAAAGAATATTAAAGAATCATAAAGAGTAGGGATTAAAGGGGTTGTAGTTATTTTTAATTTTGAAAAAAATAAGAAAATTAAAACTATCCTTAGAAACAAAAATGTTAAAATTTTCCTATTCTATCATTACCTTAGTTAGAATTTTTTATTTTTCTCTTTTCATAATAAACAACCATTATGCTACCTTCAACAGTATTTGACATGTTTCAACAAAATAGAAGAGACTTGAAAGTTAAATTTCATTTAGACACAAATCAGTTTTTAAAATAGCAACTGTTCACCGCAAATATTTATGGTATTTGTTTATAATAAATATATTTAAATTTATTTTTACTAAAAATATACAGAGGCATCTACAGACTTGTCATTGCTGCTTTGGACAAGTGGGGATTGTGGAGGAATTGACAATCTAGAAGTGTTTAGAAAGAAAAGTATTGTCAATATCAGCTTCTTTTAACCTTTTGAATAGTTCTGCTAATAAATTATTCTCCATATCTAGTCTAATCTTTCATATTACAGTCATTTTCGTTTTATTCTGCCACGAGTAATAGGCAGCTGATTAATATATTCTGTGAAAGAACTCTTCTCATCTGAAGGTAATTCTCTACTAATCTTTATTACCACAAAGATCCCGTCTTTGTACACATGAAATTAGTAACTGCATTTTCAACATGATGAACCATTTGAAATTTACATTTTCTGTAAAGAAAATAGTGCCTGCACGTTGTTTCACTACCTTTTCCCCTTCAAACCTCCTCCCCGTCAGTCACTGGATTAGTGTTTACTCTAGCAATTATATTTGTGTAATAAGTAATTCAGTGCCTCTTATAGCTGTCTGCCTTAGTTTCACTTTTTTTTTTTTTTTTTTGAGACAGTCTCGTTCTGTCACCCAGGCTGGAGTGCAGTGACGTGATCGCAGCTCACTGCAACCTCCTCCCGGGTTCAAGCGATTCTTGTGCCTCAGCCTCTGAGTAGCTGGGACTACAGGCATGTGCCACCATGCCTGGCTAATTTTGTATTTTTAGTAGAGATGGGGTTTCACCATGTTGGCCAGGCTGGTCTGAAACTCCTGGCCTCAAGTGATCTACCCGCCTCAGCCTCCCGAAATGCTGGGATTACAGGCATGAGCCACTGAGCCTGGCCAGTATCACTTTATTTTTTCAAAATTTTAATAACTTCTTTCCAAGATTTTATATTTGTTAAGCACATTGCCAATCCTTAGTTATTTATAAACTTCAACTTAAATGTACTGATAATCCCATTACAGCAGGCAGTTGCCTACAGCTATTACCTTTATTTCTTCTTTAGCAGTACCTTAGTTTGATCTGATAGTGGCAAGGATCCCTCTTCCTCAAAGAGATTAGGACCTTACCCCAACTCCAGAGGTTGCACCTTCATTGATCTGAAACAGAAGTGGTAGTTTAATTCTGTATAGTCTGATTAGTACGAGGCAGAACTTTTTGCAGTGAAGGAAATCAACCATCCATTCTGTCTCTCTATTGTGGTAGCTACTAACCATATGTGATATTGAGTACTTGATATGTGACTACTGCAATTGAGAAATTGAATGAAATGAACAGAACCCTACTGAGAAGGGCTTTCCTTTCAAATTAAAAAATCAGAGCTTTGTGTGGTAACAGTCATTGCCTCTTTCTCCTCTTTCTGGCCAACAGCATGCCTAAAGGTGCAGCTGCCATCAAACAACCATGAAACAGCAAATGTGAGAATGAAAGTTACATTTCAGAGATAGAACTGAAGGAGGATTAAGGGGATCCTGGGTCCCTGATATGGCATTGTTGAACACCCAAATCAAGATGAGCAATTGCCAAACTCCCCAATTATTAAATGAGAAAAAATAAACTCCAGATTGTTTAAGACACTGTTTGGTTTCCTGTTACTTTAGCCATGTATGTTTCTGACTAATATATCTGCTTATCTACTCTTCAACATTTTTTAAGTGTAAAACTCTTATTTTAGACATGTCAGGGATGCTATTTCAGAATCTAATCATTTAAAGCAAGGAGATAATTCCATATAACGAAAGAAGTAATGTCTTAGTGCAGCTCAGCTCCTAGCATTCTAAGCCAACAGAGGTGAAAAGGGGACATATTTACACAGCTTAACCATAAAAATAATACTGATTTGGGGGCACAAGAGGATGTAGAGAAAAATATAAAGGGAAGACCAGTATTTTAGTATGCTGCAAGCATATACTTCAACTTTTTATTGACAAATATTTCAATTAATCTTTTTGTCTTATATACTGTAGCCCACATATCATCAAAGTAACTTCATTTTAATTCATTTCATAGAACCATAGGATTTTAGACAGGACTTTGGAGATGATTTTGTTGTACTTCATTTTAAGATGAGGATATCTGAGGTTCAGATAAATTAACCTCTTGTGTTACAGAGCATGGACCAGACCCAGGATGTCAGGGGTTTCCAAGTCAGCATTTTTTCTGGTATCCTCTGCTGCATCTGGCTATCTTGTGATGTTCTAATTTTAGAGTGACAAAAATGAGAACCAGTTATATGCAAGGATCATAGCTTGTTAGCAGATCAGGGATTATAATTCAGATGTTCTGATTTGTAAAACAATTTTTAATTAAATAAAAAGGTAAATTATATTTTAATTTAAATTGTGTTTAAATTATTTAAGATGTTATTTCATTTACAGTAAATATGAGAACGATTTCAAAATATTTAGAATATAATATAATGCCATTTTGCTCCCTCCCCCTCTGCCCCCATCGTTAAAACTCTTGCTGTTTTCCATTTATTGGCTCTTAACATGGCCTTTGAGGGTCTATATAGTATCAGAATCAAGGAGAGAATTTAGATTTCTTTAATTGTAAATGATGTCCTTCCACTTTCCCACACTTTGAATTCAGGTACACTTAAAGTCCATGAAGTTGTTATACTTCCTTCTTCCACAAACATTCAGCATCTACAAAATAATATATGATGAAAGACTAAATGCGTTCCTCTTAAGATTAGGAACAAGATAAGGATATGCACACTCACCACTCCTATTCAGTGTAGTACTTGATATCCAGTGCAATAATATAAGAAAAGGGGATAAAAGGCACAGAGATTGGAAATGAAAAAATTAACTTTATATTTGCATTTAACATTATTTTCTACATACAAAGTTCTAAGAAATCTCCAAGAACTTACAAGAACTAGTGAATTTAGTAAGATCACAGAATACAAGATCAACCACACAAAAATCAAATTGTATTTCTATATGCTAATACCATTTACAATTTCAAAATGTAATACTAAGTATAAATCCAACAAAACACCTACAGGACCTTGATGAAGAGTCAAACTCTAAAATATTGAAGAGATTTATTTTGAGCCAAATATGAGTGACTAATGGGCTGTGACACAGCCCTCAAGAGATCCTGAGAACATGTGCCTAAGGTGATTGGGTTACAACTTGGCTTTATACATTCTAGAGAGACGTAAGACATCAATCAATACAGGTAACATGTACATTGATTTAGCTTAGGAGAGTGGGACAACTGGAAGTGGGGACTTCCAGGTCATAGACAAATCCAAAGATTTTCTGATTGGGAGTCGGTTATTATTGATAGATACTGGTGTCTGGGATATGATAAGGGGTTGTGGAAACCAAGGTTTTATGCAGATGAATCTTCCAGGTAGCAGTCTTCAGAGAGATAATAGATTGTAAATGTCTAGACTTAAAGAGTCTGAAACATAACCATTTATATGGATTGGAAGACAATATATTAACTAAGTTGCCCCCAAGTTGATTTATGGGTTTAATACAAGTCCTATAAAAATCCCAGAAGGATTCTTTGTTGAATGATTCTGATTCTAAAGAATCGGAATAAAGCTCATTCTAAAATACATTAAAAAGCAAAGGAACTAGAATATCCTAAGCAATTTGAAAACAATGTAGTTGGAGGAATCACACTACCAGATATTAAGACACATAAGTACAGTAATCGGGACTGTGATATTGGTACTGATTGTGTGGTTTTGGTAGTGATAGACACATAGCTCAGTGATAGACGCAGAATAGAGTACAGAAATAGACCTACACAAGTATGAAAAACTAACGTCTGACAAAGGTACATAAGCAATTCAATAGATGAATTGTGTTAGAAAAATTGAATTTCGAACAAAGGGTGTTGGAACAATTGAATAGTCATAGCTAAGAAAGAAAAACCTCAACCTCAACCTTCTACCTTATAAAAACTTTTACTCCCTAGGCATGGGGGGCTCGTGCCTATAATTTCAGCTAGTTGGCAGGCTGAGGTGGGAGAACAGCTTGAGGCCAAGAGTTTGAAACTAGGGTGGGCAACATAGTGAGAACCTCTCTCTAAAATTTTAAGAAATTAGCTGAGCATGGTGGCATGTACTTTCAGTCCCAGCTACTTGGGAGGCTGAGGCAGAAGGATCACTTGAGACCAGGAGTTTGAGGCTGTGGTGAGCTGTCATCACACCACTGCACTCCCGCCTAGGCAAGAGAGCAAAACCTTGTCTCTAAAACAAAAATTAACTCAAAATGGGTCATGTTCTTACTGTAACATATAAAACTGAAACTTAGAAGCAAACAGGAAATCTTGAGCAAGGGTTAGGCCAACTGGCATTAAAATTCCTTAAAAAAACATTGAATTTTGTAAAAAATAAAAACATTTTGTAGAAGACCCTGTTAAAGAGGATGAAAAGGCAAGCCATAAACGGAAAATATTTGCAAGCACATGTTCAACAGAAAACTTATGTCCAGAATATATAAAGAACTTGCAAAATTTATTAGGAAGAAATAATCCAATTAGAAAATGGGCAAAAGACTTGAACAGACACTTCATCAAAGAAGCTGTACAGATAATAAGCACATGAAAAGATGTTCAGCATCATTATTAATAGGGAAGTGCAAATTATAACAAGATACCATTGAACACCTATTAGAATAGCTGGTAATAACACATGCTGAGATATGCAGAGCCACTTTCAGACATTTTGTCTGAAATTGGAAATTTTACATTTCCACCACAGGTTTAGCTACCTGGGAGGTGGAGGTTGCAGTGAGCTGAGATCACGCCACTATACTCCAGCCTGGGTGACAGAACGAGGCTGTCTCAAAAAAAAAAAAAAAAAAAAAGTGAAACTAAGGCAGACAGCTGTAAGAGTTACTGAATTACTTATTACACAGGTTTAGCTACACTGGAAATCAGTTTGTCATACACTTTTATATTACAACTGTCATGCACCTTTTATTGGGAGAGTTTATCACTTTAATTATATTTTCAGGTGATTATCTGTCTCTCTTAGTAGATTCTTAAGTTGCATGAGGGCAGAGACCCTATATGTTTTTGTCCATGTTTACCTTTTTAGTTTCTAGCATGATGCTTGCATATGGTATGTATTTGAATGAATTAAAAATACTGTGCACATTTAGGTATAGTTTATTTAACAAACCTTACTTCCAGAAGTAGCTTAATTCCACTTCTTCACTTAGTTCCCTACTAAAAGAAACTGCAATCAGGAAGTCACTTCAAAAATCCAATCTGCAGGCCAGGCATGGTGGCTCAAGCCTGTAATCTCAGCACTTTGGGAGGCCAAGGTGGGCGGATTGCCTGAGGTCACGAGTTTGAGACCAGCCTGGCCAACATGGTGAAACCCTGTCTCTACTAAAAATACAAAAATTAGCCAGGCCTGGTGGCCAATGCCTGTAATCCCAGCTACTTGGGAGGCTGAGGCAGGAGAACTGCTTGAACCTGGGAGACGGAGGTTGCAGTGAGCCAAAATCGTGCCACTGCACTCCAGCCTGGGTGGCAGAGCAAGACTCTGTCTCAAAAAAAAAACAAAAAAACAAAAAACCTAATCTGCATATCATGAACAACACAGTAATACTACTAAGAGGATCATGTATATAACACATAAAGAATAGGAAAAAATAATTCTTAGAAATTTGACTAGTTTGAGAAATGTAAACTGGAGCCATTCTTAGCCACCAATTTTTCCCAACTCTAAAGATTATGTGAATGCCAAGAGAAGTTGATGGACTATAGAAAGGTCTAGTTAGTGGTTCTCAAAGTCTGGTCACTTGGAAGCTTATTAGAAATGAAAACTGTTGAGTGCCACCCCATATCTACTGAATGAGAAACTTGAGTGGGGTTCACTTTGTGTTTTAATAAGCCTGTCTGGTGTTTCTGAGGCCTGCTAAAATTTGAGAACCATTGGTTTCAAATAGACTGTATTTTGAAAACAATGATTGAAAGAAGCAAATGATTTCATGGAGATCTGCATGTTACTTTGTTTCTTACATTGTGATTGTGTGTGGCATTTTTTAAGTTATCCCCTCTTCTGATTTATATGTTTTCCCCCATCTCCTATTCTATTTTTTTGGTGGGGAGCAACAATATTCTCCCTAGATGCTATAGTAAAGAACTGAATTACCCATGTTTGTTTTGTATATTGAATATCTTTCTCTTAATAATTTTAAAATTAGTACAGAGAATTATACTATTATTTTCTTTCTCAGAAGCCAAGGTGAATTCACTTGATTTATATTGACTGCTTTCAACAGCTTTTTAAAAAAACTTATAATTCTTAAGGGAGTGAATATGGGCCAGTGGTTTGTTTGCTTGTTTTGTTTTGTTGTTGTTGTTGAGACTGAGTCTAGCTTTGTCACCCAGGTTGGAGTGTAAGTGGTGTGATCTCACCTCACTGCAACCTCCGCCTCCCAGGTTCAAGCGATTCTCCTGCCTCAGCCTCCTAAGTAGCTGGGATTACAGGCACCCGTCACCACACCCAGCTAATTTTTGTATTTTTAGTAGAGATGGGGTTTCACCATGTCGGTCAGGCTGGTTTTGAACACCTGACCTCACATGATCCACCTGCCTCGGCCTCCCAAAGTGCTGGGATTACAGGTGTGAGGCACTGCACCCTGCTGGGCCTGTGGTCTTTAGAAAAAGAATTATTTCTTTATACACATATGTTCATATATGCATCTCTCTATGTATATATGCATATTTGTATTTATTTAAGAACCCAATTGTAATAACCACAGTGGATACAGAAAGTATGAACTTTGTATTATAGTGAGCATAGTAGAAGACAAGAATAATGTAAATACTTTTATTTACTTATTTTTTAAATTATACTTTAAGTACTAGGGTACATGTGCACAACGTGCAGGTTTGTTACATATGTATACATGTGCCATGTTGGTGTGCAGCACCCATTAACTCATCATTTACATTAGGTATTTCTCTTAATGCTATCCCTCCCTGCTCCCCCACACCCCATGACAGGCCCTAGTGTGTGATGTTCCCCGCCCTGTGTCCAAGTGTTTTCATTGTTCAGTTCCCACCTATGAGTGAGAACTTGTGGTGTTTGGTTTTCTGTCCTTGCAATAGTTTGCTCAGAATAATGGTTTCCAGCTTCATCCATGTCCCAACAAAGGACATGAACTCATCTTTTTTTATGGCTGCATAGTATTCCATGGTGTATATGTGCTACATTTTCTTCAGTCTATCACTGATGGACATTTGGGTTGGTTCCAAGTCTTTGCTATTGTGAATAGTGCCACAATAAACATACGTGTACATGTGTCTTAATGTAAAGACTTTTATACAAATTGTTTTTTAATATAAAAAACTGATTAATAATTAGATTTGGATGCCAATAAAAGTTAAATTAGAAGCATATTTCTATAAACCACTTGCAGCCACAAATAAATAGGTGAATTCCAATAGGGTCATTACATCTCTACTACTCCATATAATAATATGTAAACATCACAAGTAATACGATTTGTATTCAAATCATTAGAACCCTGAAGAATGTTTTCAGCTCAACAAACTGCTGCCACCAGCAATAAACTTGGAGACATTAATCTTGCAAATAAGTCACTACTGGGGAAACATCTACCTGCAATAGACCAAGTAATGGTGAGTATTTCCAAACAGAATGGATTCATAACTGAAGAAATCTGAGCTCGTGCATAACTAATTTGAGAGATATAATTAGGCAACTTAAATATTACATGAAAACATGGGTAAGAATTATGTGAAAATGTATGCATATCATCTTTTGAAAACCCTAGGTAAAAATGTGTACTATCAACATCATATCTGTTTGAAATGAAATTGGAGGTCTCCAGAGTGGTAACAATAGCCAGTGATTTCAAGAGTTGTACTCAAATGACAGCTGATTTTGGATTTAGTTTCACTATACTGATCTATCTGTCATACATAGTATGCCAGAGAACATAGGAGACAACACAGCCCCATTGGCTGGCAGTTTTCTAATAGCCCACCTACTCTGACCAAAACCAAACTGCACAGATAAATATGTCTCTAGTTCTTATGAGAGGAATAAAAATTGGTTAGTTCCAAATAGAGGCATTGGGAAAGACTGTATAAGAATGTCTTACTAAAACAAACTTCAAATAGCACCACTGATACGATGATTTAAGAAGAGTAATAGCAGTTGGGACATAGACATGGTACCAAACAAATGGTTGCCTCTTAAGTGGTACCCAGGAGTCAGAGCTGTACTTAGAAACAGGCCCTGTGGTATCAGCTGGCTCCGGGGAGAGTAATCTGATGGTCACCTGGCAGATTTAACGTTGCTATCTTTTTATGTATGCAGAATTGTTCTCAAATATTAAGGGCAATGAAATACATATATTTGGAAAGGACTTCAATGCCTACACAAACACAGTCTTTCAAATACTAGAAAGAGAAGGAATTTCTGAAAATACAAATGTTAAAGATGTAAAAATAGTTTAAAACAATATTCTTTTTATTTGGGGTGTATACTGCTAAATATTTCATTGTTTTACTTTATTATTCTCTAAATAATAAAGATTTCCCCACAAGGAAATATTTACTAGTCTAAAAAGACTCATAATGAGGTATTTTGTGGCTTAAATTATGGCCTAATTTTGTTTAATGGCTTTGAATTTGTACTTAATTTTTTCTTTTTATCTTTTTTTTTTTCTTTTTTTTTGAGTCTTGCTCTGTCGCCCAAGCTGGAGTACAGTGGCACGATCTGGGCTCACTGCAACCTCCGCCTCCCAGGTTCAGGTGATTCTCCCACCTCAGCCTCCCAAGTAGTAGCTGGGGTTACAGGCATGCACTACCACACCTGGCTAATTTTTAAATTTTTAGTAGAGAGGGGGTTTCACCATGTTGGCCAGGCTGGTCTCAAACACCTGACCTCAGGTAATCTGCTTGCCTCAGCCTCCCAGAGTGCTGGGATTACAGGGGTGAGCCACCATGCCCGGCCATGAGTTTGTACTTAATTTTTTCTATTAACAAACCTCAAATGTCAGTGGACAAATTTTCAATTCAAAGTTTTAACAGTCATTGATTAGAAATAATAATAAAGTTTGATTTTTCAATTGGATAATTTTCCTCCTACAAGCTTGTAGAAGTACGCCACCTAGAGTTTTAAATTTTTTAAATTATAAAAACTGCAGGCTGGTTTTTTCTTACTTTTTTTTTTTTTTGGTCTGTTATTTTAAACTAAAAGTAGGCATATTTTAATCAAAATCAAGCCAAATATTATAATAATCGTGGAATTTTATCATAAATTTTATCATAAATCGTGGAATTTTATCATTCTTGGTTTTTACATGTAACTTTCTCGAGATTGCTATATAGGGGATAGAATATTTTTGTTCAATATTTCCGGATTAAACAATTCACCTGTATGCCCACATAAGATGGATAATAAATCATGCTCAGGAATTGTAAAGTCTGATTCAATGATATTAGGACTAATTTTAATATGTTATTATCTGTACCAATTCAAATATATATAAATACTTGAAAGATATAAATAGATCATTGTGTGTGTGTGTGTGTATATATATATATATATATATATATATACAATCACAGTGTATGTTAACCTTGTTGTGTTCAATGGATTTTTAAAAAGTTTAATTGCAGATGACATAGCCATTGAGTAAGCTTAAATACTGGAGATGCGAACATTACCAGTAAGTAACGTTTTTCAAATGCTAATAAACTGTGGATGAAAATAACTTTTTATTTGGCTTCTTATGGTTTTCGGGTGGACATGATACATGCGTATTTCTTGGGAAAAAATCTAGAAAGAATTGGTTTTATAATTTATCCATAGACCTAAATATCTTTATTGAAAAGATAATGAATAAGATGTTGAAGCCTATAGGCTTCTTCAACTAGGCAGTGTCAAAAAGCATTGAGATGTTATAGTGCTTATGATGGAGAAAGATATCATTGAAAAAATTGTAAAACTTTGTTTGGATTTAAAACCAAAGCTATTTGCAGAGGTAAACAGCCTTTATCTTATTCCTGCTTTAAAAGATTCTGTTCTCTTCTGGTTTTTATATCTGTTGATATGTAATGCTTGAAATTTTTACTTTTAGATGTTTAGACTTTAGAACAATTATAGGCAAAGGTTGTTTTCTGCAAGATGGCCCACGAGAAATCAGATTATCTAAGGAAGTACTGCTTTGATTTATTGGTGTCCTGAATTAATAATTTCTAAAAGCTAAACGAAAAATTCCTGTACACGAGGGGAACTTGTCTTCAATTTCCTTTTCCTTTCCCATACAACATCTGACATATATTGAGCCCACAGTGAATGCTTATGAATATTTGTTGATTTCATATTTTGTCTCCAAGCCAGCTAATGGTGAGGAGCTAAATGTCATTCAATTGCTAAACTTTAACACTCAAATTAGGTTATCAGACTATGAATTTGGTTAGTAAAGTTGGAAAGCTGTTTGTGGTTTTGTTTTTTAATTGAATGTGGCCAATTTTATTTAAGGCTCAGCAGGAACTTTGTGATAGCAGTTATCTATTCCAGCAGTTCAGAATGAAAGACTTGGGAAATTTCTCAGTCCATTAAGAATATGAAGCAGACAGAAAAATTACCCATTGGGTAACAGTAAATGTTGGTGTTAAACAAAAAACAAAAAATGTATTTTTCAGTTTTAAGGGATGCATAAATTTTATTTATAGTATAGCCTCAGGACTGAATATGCTGCCTAGAATGTCTTCCAGTTGCTATGGGGAGTTCTGTTATTTGTCAATGTAGGGTTTCCTACTTGGCAGCATTATGTATTTATGATGGCATCTGTGTTTTCTGGTTGTTGCATTTGCAGTGAAACTTGTATTTTGACCAGTTGAAGAGAGAGGGGAAAAGAAAGCAAATTAAACTTGACTTCTTGGTAACGAAGCAGTAGCTTCTTGTTACTTGCATCATTATATTCCAAGAACACCAAATGCAACTGCAGTTGTGTGCCATACTTACTCTAGATATAACTGACTACATTTGTAGTATAATAAAATTTTATAATAATATTAAAACCCAAAAGTTAAAAAGAGTATTATGCTTTGTCAGTTTACATGGCATTTTTTCAAGTGGAATTTTAATATGGGAAATTAAACTATGTAGAATGATGTTTTTTGTTTTCTTTTTAGTTAAAGAAAAACTATCATCACCTATACCATTGTGTAAGTTTTATTAGAACAAGTGAAAATCTAAATGAACTAGTTTAAAAATTGTTTCCCTTCAAATTTTATGAGAGAAATAGAATAAAAAGTGAACTCATAAGTATCTGGTATTTCTTCTTAAAAATTTTTTCAGTATACGTTTTAGATTTCGTTTTACTACACACTTAGCTCAAGCTTGTCTTCTAAATTAATCTGCATCTACTACATTGACCTATAATGCTTGATGATGTTCATAAAGATTATCTTCAGTCATCCTAAGAGTGCCTTTTTAATATTAAGGACATAGAAGCACCCTCTTAGTATTGGTTCTAAATATGAGGAATGAACTCTCAAATGCTCATATATTAAATTATATTCTCCATAATTTGTAGATTTGCAGATTATGTTCATTGTAATTTGTGTATTTCTTTTTATCTGTTGAATAATGGCAGTCTCAGAGGCAAAGTTTAGTTAAATATCTACTAACTTAATGTAAAGCATTGTATATACTCTAACTATGGTACACAATTATATTCCCTGGTTTCTGGAAGCTTATAAAATGAATATACCAGTGGTCCTGGTATGTACAAAACAGAAGGCTGCATGGAGACAAAAATCTGATGCTTAGATCTTGCCTTCAAGGAGCTTGTAATTTAGTTTGTAGATAATGCATAAGAATGAAAATTATTTCCATATAATCAGACTATGGCTTTCCAGTAGGTCAGTATAAAAGTGATTTTTTTTTTTTTTTTGAGATGGGGTCTTACCTTTTTTTTTTTTTTTTTGAGATAGGGTCCAGCCAGGCTGGAGTGCAGTGGCACAGTCTCAGCTTACTGCAACCTCTACCTCCTGGGCTCACACGATCCTCCCATCTCAGCCTCCTGAGTAACTGGGACTACAGGTGCGTGCCACCATGCCCAGCTAATTTTTGTATTTTTTTGTAGAAACGGGATTTTGCCATGTCACCCAGACTGGAAGAGTGACTTTTAATTGCCTAGTGAATTAATATGTTTGTGATGTATATCTTCAGATGAAGATGCCACTAAAGATTGGAGGATTCTGTAAAGACAAGGGAGAAGGGGCTTGGTCTTGATATTGAAAGTTGGATAGTATTTATTTATTTATTGAGACAGGGTCTCACTCTGTCACCCAGGCTGGAGTGCAGTGGCCCAATCTCCCTTTACTGCAAGCTCCGCCTCCTGGGTCCAAGCAATTCTCCTGTCTCAGCCTCCCGAGTAGCTGGGACTACAGGCACGTGCCACCATGCCAGGCTAATTTTTTGGATTTTAGCAGAGATGGGGTTTCACCATGTTGCCCTGGCTGGTCTCGAACTCCTGAGCTCAAGCAATCTTCCCATCTCAGCCTCACAAAGTGCCAGGATTACAGGCATGAGCCACCACGCCTGGCCAAAAGTCAGATAGTTTTAGATAGAGTGTTGGCATTCTCAGTAGAGGGAGCAACTTATGCATCAGTCTTAAAGATGAGAAAACAATATATATATTTTTTAAATTTTATTATTATTATACTTTAAGTTTTAGGGTACATGTGCACAACGTGCAGGTTTGTTACATATGTATACATGTGCCATGTTGGTGTGCTGCACCCATTAACTCATCATTTAGCATTAGGTATATCTCCTAATGCTATCCCTCCCCCCTCCCCCCACCCCACAACAGTCCCCAGTGTGTGATGTTCCCCTTCCTGTGTCCACGTGTTCTCATTGTTCAATTCCCACCTATGAGTGAGAACATGCGGTGTTTGGTTTTTTGTCCTTGTGATAGTTTGCTAAGAATGATGGTTTCCAGCTTCATCCATGTCCCTACAAAGGACATGAACTCATCATTTTTTATGGCTGCATAGTATTCCATGGTGTATATGTGCCACATTTTCTTAATCCAGTCTATCATTGTTGGACATTTGGGTTGGTTCCAAGTCTTTGCTATTATGAATAGTGCCACAATAAACATACGTGTGCATGTGTCTTTATAGCAGCATGATTTATAATACTTTGGGTATATACCCAGTAATGGGATGGCTGGGTCAAATGGTATTTCTAGTTCTAGATCCCTGAGGAATTGCCACACTGACTTCCACAATGGTTGAACTAGTTTACAGTCCCACCAACAGTGTAAAAGTGTTCCTATTTCTCCACTTCCTCTCCAGCACCTGTTGTTTCCTGACTTTTTAATGATTGCCATTCTAACTGGTGTGAGATGGTATCTCATTGTGGTTTTGATTTGCATTTCTCTGATGGCCAGTGATGATGAGCATTTTTTCATGTGTTTTTTGGCTGCATAAATGTCTTCTTTTGAGAAGTGTCTGTTCATATCCTTCGCCCTCTGTTTTATGGGGTTTGCTTTTTTCTTGTAAATTTGTTTGAGTTCATTGTAGATTCTGGATATTAGCCCTTTGTCAGATGAGTAGGTTGCAAAAGTTTTCTCCCATTCTGTAGGTTGCCTGTTCACTCTGATGGTAGTTTCTTTTGCTGTGCAGAAGCTCTTGAGTTTCATTAGATCCCATTTGTCAATTTTGGCTTCTGTTGCCATTGGGTTTGGTGTTTTAGACATGAAGTCCTTCCCCATGCCTGTGTCCTGAATGGTATTGCCTAGGTTTTCTTCTAGGGTTTTTATGGTTTTAGGTCTAACATACAAGTCTTTAATCCATCTTGAATTAATTTTTGTATAAGGTGTAAGGAAGGGATCCAGTTTCAGCTTTCTACATATGGCTAGCCAGTGTTCCCAGCACCATTTATTAAATAGGGAATCCTTTCCCCATTGCTTGTTTTTCTCAGGTTTGTCAAAGATCAGATAGTTGTAGATATGTGGCATTATTTCTGAGACCTCTGTTCTGTTCCATTGGTCTATATCTCTGTTTTGGTACCAGTACCATGCTGTTTTGGTTACTGTAGCCTTGTAGTATAGTTTGAAGTCAGGTAGCATGATGCCTCCAGCTTTGTTCTTTTGGCTTAGGATTGACTTGGCAATGCGGGCTCTTTTTTGGTTCCATATGAACTTTAAAGTAGTTTTTTCCAATTCTGTGAAGAAAGTCATTGGTAGCTTGATGGGGATGGCATTGAATCTGTAAATTACCTTGGGCAGTATGGCCATTTTCATGATATTGATTCTTCCTACCCATGAGCATGGAATGTTCTTCCATTTGTTTGTGTCCTCTTTTATTTCCTTGAGCAGTGGTTTGTAGTTCTCCTTGAAGAGATCCTTCACATCCCTTGTAAGTTGGATTCCTAGGTATTTTATTTTTCTTTGAAGCAATTGTGAATGGGAGTTCACTCATGATTTTGCTCTGTGTTTGTCTGTTATTGGTGTATAAGAATGCTTGTGATTTTTGTACATTGATTTTGTATCCTGAGACTTTGCTGAAGTTGCTTATCAGCTTAAGGAGATTTTGGGCTGGGACGATGGGGTTTTCTAGATACACAATGATGTCATCTGCAAACAGGGACAATTTGACTTCCTCTTTTCCTAATTGAATGCCTTTTATTTCCTTCTCCTGCCTGATTGCCCTGGCCAGAACTTCCAACACTATGTTGAATAGGAGTGGTGAGAGAGGGCATCCCTGTCTTGTGCCAGTTTTCAAAGGGAGTGCTTCCAATTTTTGTCCATTCAGTATGATATTGGCTGTGGGTTTGTCATAGATAGCTCTTATTATTTTGAGATACATCCCATCAATACCTAATTTATTGAAAGTTTTTAGCATGAAGCATTGTTGTATTTTGTCAAAGGCCTTTTCTGCGTCTATTGAGATAATCATGTGGTTTTTGTCTTTGGTTCTGTTTATATGCTGGATTACGTTTATTGATTTGCATATGTTGAACCAGCCTTGCATCCCAGGGATGAAGCCCACTTGATCATGGTGGATAAGCTTTTTGATGTGTTGCTGGATTCGGTTTGCCAGTATTTTATTGAGGATTTTTGCATCAATGTTCATCAAGGATATTGGTCTAAAATTCTCTTTTTGTTGTGTCTCTGCCAGGCTTTGGTATCAGGATGATGCTGGCCTCATAAAATGAGTTAGGGAGGATTCCCTCTTTTTCTATTGATTGGAATAGTTTCAGAAGGAATGGTACCAGCTCCTCCTTGTACCTCTGGTAGAATTCGGCTGTGAATCCATCTGGTCCTGGACTTTTTTTGGTTGGTAAGCTATTAATTGTTGCCTCAATTTCAGAGCCTGTTATTGGTCTATTCAGAGATTCAACTTCTTCCTGGTTTAGTCTTGGGAGGGTGTATGTGTCGAGGAATTTATCCATTTCTTCTAGATTTTCTAGTTTATTTGCATAGAGGTGTTTATAGTATTCTCTGATGGTGGCTTGTATTTCTGTGAGATCAGTGGTGATATCCCCTTTATCATTTTTTATTGCGTCTATTTGATTCTTCTCTCTTTTCTTCTTTATTAGTCTTGCTAGCGGTTTATCAATTTTGTTGATCTTTTCTAAAAACCAGCTCGTGGATTCAATGATTTTTTTGAAGGGTTTTTTGTGTCTCGATTTCCTTCAGTTCTGCTCTGATCTTAGTTATTTCTTGCCTTCTGCTAGCTTTTGAATGTGTTTGCTCTTGCTTCTCTAGTTCTTTTAATTGTGATGTTAGGGTGTCAATTTTAGATCTTTCCTGCTTTCCCTTGTGGGCATTTAGTGCTATAAATTTCCCTCTACACACTGATTTGAATGTGTCCCAGAGATTCTGGTATGTTGTGTCTTTTTTCTCATTGGTTTCAAAGAACATCTTTATTTCTGCCTTCATTTCGTTATGTACCCAGTAGTCATTCAGGAACAGGTTGTTCAGTTTCCATGTAGTTGAACGGTTTTGAGTGAGTTTTTTAATCTTGAGTTCTAGTTTGATTGCACTGTTGTCTGAGAGACAGTTTGTTATAATTTCTGTTCTTTTACATTTGCTGAGGAGTGCTTTACTTCCAACTATGTGGTCAATTTTGGAATAGGTGTGGTGTGGTGCTGAAAAGAATGTATTTTCTGTTGATTTGGGGTGGAGAGTTCTGTAGATGTCTATTAGGTCTGCTTGGTGCAGAGCTGAGTTCAATTCCTGGATATCCTTGCTAACTTTCTGTCTCGTTGATCTGTCTAATGTTGACAGTGGGGTGTTAAAGTCTCCCATTATTATTGTGTGGGAGTCTAAGTCTCTTTGTAGGTCACTAAGGACTTGCTTTATGAATCTGGGTGCTCCTGTATTGGGTGCATATATATTTAGGATAGTTAGCTCTTCTTGTTGAATTGATCCCTTTACCATTATGTAATGGCCTTCCTTGTCTCTTTTGATCTTTGTTGGTTTAAAGTCTGTTTTATCAGAGACAAGGATTGCAACCCCTTCCTTTTTTTGTTTTCCATTTGCTTGGTAGATCTTCCTCCATCCCTTTATTTTGAGCCTATGTGTGTCTCTGCACGTGAGATGGGTTTCCTGAATACAGCTCACTGATGGGTCTTGACTCTTTATCCAGTTTGCCAGTCTGTGTCTTTTAATTGGAGCATTTAGCCCATTTACATTTAAGGTTAGTATTGTTATGTGTGAATTTGATCCTGTCTTTATGATGTTAGCTGGTTATTTTTCTCATTAGTTGATGCAGTTCCTTCCTAGCCTTGATGGTCTTTACAATTTGGCATGTTTTTCCAGTGGCTGGTACTGGTTGTTCCTTTCCATGTTTAGTGCTTCCTTCAGGAGCTCTTTTAGGGCAGGCCTGGTGGTGACAAAATCTCTCAGCATTTGTTTATCTGTAAAGTATTTTATTTCTCCTTCACTTATGAAGCTTAGTTTGGCTGGATATGAAATTCTGGTTGAAAATTCTTTTCTTTAAAATGTTGAATATTGGCCCCCACTCTGTTCTGGCTTGTAGACTTTCTGCCAAGAGATCAGCTGTTAGTCTGATGGGCTTCCCTTTGTGGGTAACCCGACCTTTCTCTCTGGCTGCCCTTAACATTTTTTCCTTCATTTCAACTTTGGTGAATCTGACAATTACGTGTCTTGGAGTTGCTCTTCTTGAGGAGTATCTTTGTGGCGTTCTCTGTATTTCCTGAATTTGAATGTTGGCCTGCCTTGCTAGATTGGGGAAGTTCTCCTGGATAATATCCTGCAGAGTGTTTTCCAACTTGGTTCTGTTCTCCCCGTCACTTTCAGGTACACCAATCAGACGTAGATTTGGTCTTTTCACATAGTCCCATATTTCTTGGAGGCTTTGTTCGTTTCCTTTTATTCTTTTTTCTCTAAACTTCTCTTCTCACTTCATTTCATTCATTTCATCTTCCATCACTGATACCCTTTCTTCCAGTTGATCGCATCAGCTACTGAGGCTTGTGCATTTGTCACGTAGTTCTCGTGCCGTGGTTTTCAGCTTCATCAGGTCCTTTAAGGACTTCTCTGCATTGGTTATTCTAGGTATCCATTCATCTAATTTTTTTTCAAGGTTTTTAACTTCTTTGCCATTGGTTCGAACTTCCTCCTTTAGCTCGGAGTAGTTTGATCGTCTGAAGCCTTCTTCTTTCAACTCGTCGAAGTCATTCTCCGTCCAGCTTTGTTCCATTGCTGGTGAGGAGCTGTGTTCCTTTGGAGGAGGAGAGGCGCTCTGATTTTTAGAGTTTCTGGTGTTTCTGCTCTGTTTTTTCCCCATCTTTGTGGTTTTATCTACCTTTGGTCTTTGATGATGGTGACGTACAGATGGGTTTTTGGTGTGGATTTCCTTTCTGTTTGTTAGTTTTCCTTCTAACAGTCAGGACCCTCAGCTGCAGGTCTGTTGGAGTTTGCTGGAGGTCCACTCCAGACCCTGTTTGCCTGTGTATCAGCAGCGGTGGCTGCAGAACAGCGGATATTGGTGAACCACAAATGCTGCTGCCTGATCATTCCTCTGGAAGTTTTGTCTCAGAGGAGTACCCGGCCGTGTGAGGTGTCAGTCCACCCCTACCGGGGGGTGCCTTGCAGTTAGGCTACTCGGGGGTCAGGGACCCACTTGAGGAGGCAGTCTGCCCGTTCTCAGATCTCAGGCTGCGTGCTGGGAGAACCACTACTCTCTTCAAAGCTGTCAGACAGGGACATTTAAGTCTGCAGAGGTTACTGCTGCCTTTTGTTTGCCTGTGCCCTGCCCCCAGAGGTGGAGCCTACAGAGGCAGGCAGGCCTCCTTGAGCTGTGGTGGGCTCCACCCAGTTTGAGCTTCCTGGCCGCTTTGTTTACCTACTCAAGCCTGGGCAATGGCGGGCACCCCTCCCCCAGCCTTGCTGCCGTCTTGCAGTTTGATCGCAGACTGCTGTGCTAGCAATGAGCAAGGCTCCGTGGGCGTAGGACCCTCTGAGCCATGTGCAGGATATAATCTCCTGGTGTGCCATTTGTTAAGCCCATTGGAAAAGCGCAGTATTAGGGTGGGAGTGACCCGATTTTCCAGGTGCCATCTGTCACCTCTTTCTTTGACTAGGAAAGGGAATTCCCTGCCCCCTTGCGCTTCCCCGGTGAGGTGATGCCTCGCCCTACTTCGGCTCATGCACGGTGCACTGCACCCACTGTCCTGCACCCACTGTCCAGTACTACCCAGTGAGATGAACCTGGTACCTCAGTTGGAAATGCAGAAATCACCCATCTTCTGTGTCACTCATGCTGGGAGCTGTAGACTGGAGCTGTTCTTATTCGGCCATCTTGGCTCCACCCCCTGAGAAAACAATATTTTTTAGAGGCACAGTGAGTAGATTTTTCTTACTAGGATGGAGAATTTTAAAAAGCAAGTAGAGAGAAGGAAGGGTGGGAGGTATTACTATATTAGAACAAATATTTATCTAGCACTTTACAATTTATAAGAGATTTCTATGTAATTCCCATTTGATCTAAATACCTGTGATCCAGTATTTTTATTAATCCTATGTAAAAAATAAATATAGCACTGAAGCAGTTGGGAATTATTGTTATAAAATATAAATGAGCAAAACATAAATTTAACCTTTGATGAGCTAAAGATAAAAATATAACAAAAATTAGGGTGGGGTAGAGGGTAGGTGCAAGGTAGAGTGTGATAATTTAATCTTTCATTACAAAGAGGCTGATTAAAGTTAAGACACATGGTTTCAAAAGTGACATCAAAGATTCTTAACATTTTTTTCTCAGCCTTAGAGAGATGCTTTATTTAGCAACCATATCTTCTGTGGAGGTGAAACTTTATCTGAATTTCAGTATTGTTTTCCATTTATTTTTAAATTTTATTTTTACAATAATCATGATTATTCAATTTTCCTTAAATTATATCTGCTCATCTGAGGTTTCCTTTTACAAATTATGTATTTGTAAAGATGCTTAATAAAAGTTGGCAATGGCTATATTTGGGTGATGGGATATTTGTAGATTGTTAGGGTTTTTTCTTGGCACTTTTTAGTGTACTTTCTAAACTGAATGTGCATCATTTTTTCCTAAAACAATAAAGACATTATTCTTAAAATAAGAACTTCATGCAACTGATGTTCTGAGGAGTATACTTTGGGGACCACTGATATTTATCATTATTTTCCAACCTTTTTGGATGAATGATCTCTTTCACAATAATGTATGATCCTGCCAAATAAAAATAAAAATTATTTTCCAGTTTTTATATGGCATGTAATAAAGTGATTTAGGAAAAAAGTTTTTATAATTATTATACTTTATTAAACATTAAATCATATTGGGTATTATTGTCACTATAGTTTATCTTATTAATATTGTTTTCCGGGGTGGGGGGAGTACAGGAAATATTGATACACTTTTAAAGAATTATAATCAGGCAAATTAAACTAATGGGTCCGAGGAAGGTCATTTTGAGGCAAATTTGCATTTATCCTATTTCTACCCTCATTATCCTATATTTCAACATTTTCTCATATTTCTTCATTCATTGACTGATTATGGACACAAATTATGTCTTAAGGGACCAGAAATAGATGATTTAAAACGAAGTAATGATATGAAGTTGTGACCAGCAGTGCTCTGTTGAGTCTGTCAGTGACTGCACCTGGAGCACCTTCCTTTGATTTCTGATGATTACTGTTATTTTCACTGTGCTTCCACTCCCAGGCTCTCCAAATGCTCCATTTGAGATTAACATTTTAAAAATAATTTTTATTTACATTAAAAAATAAGTACTGAAACAGTTACTATTATTAACTTTAATATCATGATCCCCTAGGAGAACTTCATGAGCCCTTAAGGATTACTATTTGGAAAATGCCTAAATAGGAGCTGATGAAGGCATCGGCTTCCATGCAATTCTTAAGGAAAAGAGGGAATGTAGAGAGAGAAGAGCAGGTTAAGGGGCTAAAGTATCAGGCTTCTTATCCCAGCATTTTGGGAGGCCGAGGCTGGTGGATCACCTGAGGTCAGGAGTTCCAGACCAGCCTGACTAACATGGTGAAACCTTATTTCTACTAAAACTACAAAAATTAGCCGGGCATGGTGGCCGGCGCCTGTAATCCCAGCTACTCGGGAGGCTGAGGCAGGAGAATCTCTTGAAGCCAGCAGGTGGAGGTTGCAGCGAGCCAAGTTTGCACCACTGCACTCCAGCCTGGGCGACAGAGCAAGACTCAGTCTCGAAAAAAAAAAAGTTGGAAGCAGAAGTAAAAAACATGGTAAAGAATGAGAACTAAATAAATATAATAATTGAGAGGTCTGCATTAGATGTGGCAGGGAGAACAAGCAAAAAGAGATTTCAGAGAAGATCACTGGAATTGGCAGAGGCCTTGAAGGGCAGAGTCTAGCATACAGAAGATGTAAAGCCACATTCTGTGAAGGTAAGTAGATGTGTTTACCTCTTTTGCACTGTACTGGTGCATTATGGGGTAAATGTGTATTACTTTTCCTTGTATTGCTTAGCACAGAGTTTTGCCTATAGCAGGCACCAGACTGTGGGCTTGGTAGTACATGACTATTGGTGATTACAGATCAAAAAGGACTTGAAATGATCAGTTTAAGGTCTTGATGGGTATTGAAGACTCAAAGGATGATGGCACCCTGGGAGTGATCCACAGAAGGACAGATTATTTGAAGATGTTAATAACTAAAGACAACATGGATGTTAAATGATGAAAAAAAGTTGGATGGAAAATAAACCATTGGATCTGCCTCTGGAGTCCAAGAAGAATATTATTCTTCCTACCTCCCCCTTACTCTGGCTCTTCCTATTGTAGCCACATGGGTCAGTAATGCCATTGAAAAACAAAATTTTAGACTAAGTGGGGTCGCAGAAATTTTGGTCTATCTTAAATTGATGACATCTTATTAAAGAATTTATTGTATAAAGTGTGCTTATTCTGGCATTTTTTTAATGAAGAAAAAGTGTAATTCAGTGCACATTTATGAATTTCAAAGATCAATAAAAATGGGCAAAGTATATGAACGCATAATCCATAGAAGAAGATATCTGACAAATGCAGTTCAATAAATATTTTTTTAAATAAAAATTAGCCTGTGGTAAGAATTGAAATGGAGAAAGAAATAGAAGGTAGCCAGGTTACCTACAGCTTTGTATATGACACTATAGAGCTAGGACTTTATTCCATAGATGAGGGAAGTCTGCTAAAGTGTCTACATTGAACCCATTATTTTGCTAGCATTGTAGTTGATGTACCTAAAACAGACTTGAGCCGGTAGAGTAAGTAGGCAGACTTGTCCAAGTGAGAAAAAGATGAAACTGTGGTGAGGATAAAGAGAGAAAAGGAGCAGATTTAAGAAATATTAAAACTTGAAAGTACTAAGACTTGATGATGAACTAGATGTGTTAGATAAGAGATAGCATGGAGTCTAGTAAAAGTTCTGTTTTTCTCACTCGTGTGACTGCCTCAATAACACAAAGCTTGATAGGAAATAAACATGAGATAGCACATGGATCTATTACAAGTTTTTGAAATTGAGCTTGAAAAGCTACTTCAAAAAATAAATTCTAGGCCAGGTGTGGTGGCTTATGCCTGTAATCCCAGCACTTTGCGAGGCCAAGGTGGGAGAATCACTTGAGCCTAGGAGTTTGAGACCAGCCTGGGCAACACAGTGAGACCTCTGTCTTTACAAAAAATAAAAATAAAAAATGAGCCAGGTGTGGCAGCTTAGATAGGAGGATCACTTGACTTTGGAGGTTGAGGCTGCAGTGAGCTATGATCATGTCACAGGGTCTCTTTCCGTCATGCAGGCTGGAGTGCAGGGACGCAGTCATAGCTCGCTGCAGCCTCATCCTCCCAAGCTCAAATGGTCCTCCCACCTCGGCCTCCTGAGTAGCACAGCACCACCATGCCTGGCTTTGGTGTGTGTGTGTGTGGATATGGGGTTTTGCCATGTTGCCCAGGCTAGTCTTCATCTCAACCCCTGAGCTCAAGTGGTCCAGCTACCTTGGCCTCCCAAAGTGGTGGGATTACAGGTGTGAGCCACTGCGCTTGATTAAAAAAAAAAAAAAAAATCAAAATGTATTTGTTTTTCAAATTGGTGCTACATGGAGTTAGGAAGTTTTGTATTAGTCAATTAGTTGTATATGGAATGGCATCCATCCTCCAAACTGAAATCACAAAATAAAATTTGGAGACAATTTTAAAAATAGCTTGAGGGAGTAAATGTTGATTGATTATCTATAGTAATAATAGACATGGTAAAATATTTTCCTCAAGTGTGATTAAATACAGTTATTGTAAGGCTCTAGCCATTCAGTTCCAGTTAGTGTCTAAAATAAGAAAAATATTTATTTATATCTTACTTAGAGAACTTAGAAGGGGTACATATCTCATTTAACATTTCCATTTTGTATTAGCAAACACAGTTTTAAATTTAGAGATTCTAATAAAGAAGTTCATTTCAGGTATGTAAATGTTATCCCATGTAAAAACATTCTAACATTCAGTTTTCGTGGCATATGGAAATGCTCTTTCAGAAAGCTATGTAAAACATTTTGAAAAATCCATTTAATAACATGAAAATATATGCTGAAAAGTGATTGATGTCTTCTACTTTGGCACTGCTGCTTACTCAGAGTCAATTGATATAAATTCTATCTGTGAACATTCAAGTTTAACTTCATTTGGAATACTATCAAATAGATTAGACTGAATAAAAGGTAGGAAACAATACCAATGTGCAAAGCAGTGGCACATCTGTAAATGATGACATTATATTACAGGCTTAATAAACCGTTTCATTTCATTTTAGCTTTAGATGCAATACTTCATATGGCTCAAAGTAAATTATTGAATCCTGGTAACAAGGAAATGAATAAGATTATTAGCATTGCAACAAAGCTCTGAAACAAAATATAATTTGGAAAACACAAAGCTGATTATATGCAGGATAAGGAAAAAAATTAGAAACACTTTGTTCAATCAGAGCCTTGCTTTTGAAAATGAATAAAAGGAGTCAATATATTACCATATAAAATATTGTACTTATGAGACCTTCATTTCTAAAGAACGAAGGATAATGTAAGATCTGTATTTTTATAGAGTGGGAGTAGGACCTAGTGCCCCCTTTCCATTTTAAATATGCATGTGCCCTGTCTTAATACTTTAATCTAAGACTGATTCTTTTTGCATTAAAATTCAGGTAGACTAAAGGAAAAAATTACATCTAAGGGAATCTGGAACAGATAAATGTCTTTTAGTACCTGAGTTACATATTACATGTTCCAAAATACTTGTCTTCCACTTTTACATAAACCCAGAGCCTCATGTTTTCCATAAGCAACAGGGCAGAAAACTTTTGTAAGTTAGAACTGCAGAGTAAATGAAGTAAAGTAAAACACTGAAATTATGCACAACCTCACTTTCCCATATGGCAAAATAAAATATATTGTTCTATAACAGAAATTGTAGTGCTTATAGAAAATATTCTATACCACAAAGCATTATATTTTTAATAACGTTAATTCCCAGTGAACAAAGATATTAGTAGGAAAGGAATTCCAAAATTATTTTCCTACTAAAATTCTTTAAGGTTCCAAAATTCTTTGAACCTGAGATATGAAGTAGAATCTGATTTGTACCTATGGTGAAAGATGACCTCCTTAGCTTACCAAGTGTTCTAAGTGTTACTGATCATTTCCTCTTCCTGAATCACTAAGTACATCTCTGATTAGCTATGGTGTTTACTGAATTCTTAGCATTATTCAGCTTCCCTTTAATCAAGTGGAGCCTTGTTACAAATCCAGTCAGTTTTTTCTTTGACATGAGTCAGTAACTAGTTCTTGCATCTGTAAAGCTAAAAATCCTGTTCTGCCATTTGCTTGCCTGGCAGTTTAGTACTGAGTATGATTTAGTTAGAAGGATGTTTAATGTTAGGGATGATTTGGATTGCATGAAATAAGATAGTCAGCTGGTGGAAGCCAACTCAGGCCACACATATTTAAGACTGAAGTGCTGAACCTGCATGGTGCATGTAGCTGTTTGGAAAGTTGCCAGAAAGGAGTCACACAGCCTATGTGCAGCAGACTGGGTGTGGTCTAAAATGGCCTGAGGTTTCCAAATCTCCTGGCGTTTTTCCTCTTTGGATAACACCAAAACAATTTTCTTCATTATTGAAGCATCTGGCTAGCTCTACATTTTCTTTTTCTTATGATTAACTCAGGGAGAAAAATTTATTGAGGGGGAAGAAAGTTACAGCCTAATCCAAAATTTTTGCAGAAGATAAAGCTTAGTGGTACTAGAATGCACAAGTCTGTGTTTGTGTAGCTCTAAGATGAGGAAAATAGCAGTATCTTATTGTGTTCAGAAAGTAGAAAAATTTGAGTATAGTAAATCCATCAATCTCTCTAATATTTTCAGTAGAGGCTGAGTTCTTGCTTCAATTGCATTGCTACTTCATTTCTTTAACACCCATGAATTTACTAGCTTGTATCAAATCTAACTTTACTTTGAATGCAGTATATAAGTAGTAATAAGTTTTCCTTTGTAAAGCCTGAGCTACTCAACAAAAGTGTATTCTTTTACTTCTTAGGCAGTTGATCAGAGCTGTTAGCTCATGTTTCTGTAGATTGAACTTTAAAAAAAGTTATTCCCTAATTCCACGCTACTATTTTATTTATCTCACAGTGTGAGTGAGGAGACCTATCTATTAGCTAGCTGGATTTTTAAAGTAATTCTTTACTCCGTATCTGGGAAAATCATCCCATCTTACTCTGTGTGAAAAATAAAGCTTCTCCATACCCATGTTGATAGAGTTATTACCACACTCTAGGTGAATTACTGCTGCTTTTGGTGTTGTGAAGAACCACATCATATTTCTCAAGTGGCAGGTGTCTCCTTTTTCTCTTTCCAATTTTAATTCCCTTCCAGATGCATATCCCTCCTAATCTTTAACCTTGCCTTAATTATAAGAATTAAAATTATGTCTGTTGACTGAACTTAGTTCTTTTAGTGAAATAAAAGTCGTCACAAATTGACACATCCCTTTGGACATATATAGGTGTATTTACTGATGAACATCAGTTATTATCATCAAACTGATGCAACTGCTTTCAAATAAAGAAGCCATTTTATGTTAACTATATACAGAACCCCAGTTTCTGAAATTGTTTATGCGCAGTGTTGTTTTTTTTTATCCCAAACCAGCCTTCTAACAACATTGAGCATCTGAATAAACACTGTCTCAGGAAATAAAGAAAGGCATTGTATACTTCAGAGATCCCTGAAAGTTCTTTTGTTCCACACTAGATATAGCAACCCTTGGTTTCTTAAAGGTTTTCTACTGTATTTTTACTGTATTCTTTTTTCCAGAAACCTGAAACAATACTCCTGTACACATGAAAAGTCAGATTAGCCATGTAGGCCTAGTTCAGCTGTATGTATTTAATGAAATAAGTTTTTCCTTTCACTGTAGAAAAGAAGCACAGTAGAGAGCTGGAGACTCTACATCAGAGATCCATAAGCAGTAGAACAGAGTTAAAACAAGAAGATATTATACAATATGGGAAGAAAGAAAATTGAGTTGACTACTAAAGAAAGCTGGACATCGGGATGTATATTTTTGGAGATTAGGTACCCAAATTACCCTTTAAAGCAGAATTAAAAAATACTACATAAAATAAAACATTTACATATTTTTAAATGGCATTGATGGGTTGGCAAAAAAAAAAAAAGCCATGTCTAAAAAGAAACCAGGAACCATAAAAGATAATGTGGTATGTACTTTTGTTCTGAGAACTTCTGCTGAATCCTGGAATACTGGCTTTCCATTTTGACAGCTTCTTGGGACATGGAGAATACTAATGAAAACTCAGGGTCCATCGATGGTAGGAAGCCTAACAGGATACCCCTACACAAAGCTGAAGATGTGTAAAGGTGAAAGAAAGAAGGAAACACTAGAGACATTTGCCTGCATTAACAATAATGCTAGATAAGGCCAGGTGCAGCGGCTCATGTCTGTAATTCTAGCACTTTGGGAGGCCAAGGTGAGTGGATCAACTGAACCCAGGAGTGTGAGACCAGCCTGGACAATATGGTGAAACCTCACCTCTACAAAAAATATAAAAATTAGCTGGGCATGGTGGTGTGCATCTGTAGTCCCAGCTACTTGGAGGGAGGCCTGCCAAGGCAGGAGGATGGCTTGAGCCAGGAAGGTCAAGGCTGCTGTGATTGCACCACTGCACTCCAGCCTGGGTGACAGAGAGCCTATCTCTAAATAAATAAAAATTTAAAAATAACAGCAATGCTAGATAAGTGGTGGAAGAAAGTAAAAACTTTTTTGAAAATATAACAGTAATGCCCGATAAGTGACGGAAAAAAGTAAAAACTTCCTTGAAAATATATAAGCACAAGTTCGCCCTCAATGGGTCTGAAAAAAACTTGAGAATTTAGCCTAGAATGTTCCTGGCTAGTTGTGCACCCAGGGGACTGGCAGAAACAAGGAATTTAGTTTCCATCTAGGCCTCAACCACATTCTATCTACAGACATAATTCCAAGGAAGATATTTGCAGTCAAAAATCAACACCCAAGGATGTCATAAGTAAGAAAGCAATAGACCCCAAAACCATAAACATTGGGATTCTCAGGCAGAATATACAACCATATTTAATGTGATTAAAGAAATAAAAGAGAACCTTGAAAACACAGGTAATGTGGATTTTAAAAATAACTACTAGAAATAGAACTTTTAGAAACTATTAATAATTAAAATTCAAAACTCTGTGGGAAGATTAACCAGAAGACTATATGTGGCAGAAGACAGAACTGGTGAAGTAATTTCTGAAGAAAATGTAAAACACAGTCCAGAGAAACAAATGAAGACTATGATACAGAAGTTAATAGTTGTGGAGAACGGAGGGAGAAGGTCTAAAATACTTTTAGTTAGAGTTCTAAAAGGAAACTATAGAACCAATGGGGAAGAGAGAGTAGAATTCAAAAAGAACCCCCTAAGTTGTTGAAAAACATTAGTCCTCAGATCAAGAAAGCTAAACAATAGCCGGGTGTGGTGACATGCACCTGTAGTTCTAGCTATTTGGGAAGCTGAGGCAGGAGGATTCCTGGAGCTTGGGAGTTCAAGGTTTCAGTGAGCTATGATTGTGCCACTGCACTCCAGCCTAGGTGACAGAACAAGACCCTGTCTCCAAAAAAAAAAAAAAAAGAAAAACGAAAGTCAAATAAATTCTAAGATTAAGATTAAGAACTTCCCTTCATCAAAAATCACCATAAAGTGAAAAGATAAACCACTGGGAGATGATACTTGCAATATATATAACAAACAAGTGATTAGTGTCTCTCTAGAATATATATATGTATATAATGTGTATAATGTATATAATATATACATAAAATATATAATTATGCATAAATGTAATACATATAACTTGCAATATATATAACCAAGGTATTAGTGTCTCTCTCCAATGAATACATACATATTTTATATATATAATGTATATATGCACAAAAATATATAATTATACATAAAAATGTTATATAATCATATGTAACATTTTTCTTATGAATTAAAATAGAGAAATGGACAAATTCAACTTATTTCAAACTGAACTTACTATCTTCTTCCAGAGAGCAGCTCCACCTACTAACTCAGGTGAAAAAACCTCCAAATTATCTTAAACATCCTTCTAAATTATCTTAAACATCTTCCTTTGCATGCCTGTAGCCAATTAATCTCCAACTTTTGGTGATTCTATATCTGAATTGTTTCCTAAATTGTCCCCTTTTCTTCTAGTTCCACTGACACTAACTTGGTTCAAATCTTCGGATACATATTCCCTTTAGCCTAGGGAAATACAATTCTAATTGATTTCCCTCTTCTTCCTTCATTATTCATTCTTTTTGCAGTGCCAACAGAAAGTTGTTTTTTGTTTTTTTAACACAGAACAAGCTTGTCATTCTTCTATTCAAAAATTCACCATGGTCTATAAATTTTGACTCTTCATTTTTCAGTTTTATCAAATTATGCATACATATAGCTTAAAGAGTCATGGCCACTACTATTACTACTGCTATAACCATTTGGGTTCTCATAATGAATTTCCTTGGGGGTTTCCAGTGTCTTCTGATCAAACGAAAGAGATAGATAAAGATTTTCATAGTCCATTTTAAAATTTTTCATGAGAATTTCCTTGTCTGTTTATCTTGGTCTGCTATTTGAAGGGCTTAGGATGCCTTTCCTTGTCTTCTCTATTCTGCCTCAGGGACAACTTAAGTCCTATGTAATTAGTTTTGATAATACTTTATATCAAAGCATATAACTATATGACTTAATTTATTACATACTTGGCTTTATTTAACTATTTCATATTTATTATTATTATCTCTTCAGCGACTTCCCAGGCCTATAAAATGCCATCTGAAGTAACTGCTTTCAAAATTTTCTTTCTGAATATTTTTATAATGTCCAGCACCATGGGTTAATCCAGTAACATGAATTATAGATACTTAAATAACATATTAATTGGTCTAAATTTTAGGTGAATACATAAAGGAAGGAAGAAACTCAATCTTCCAGTAATATATACAGTTTTTGGAAATATAAATGCTGCATGGCTGATCATGCTATTTTTCTACTCATCCTTTCTTCCCTCCTCAAGACATTTTCTCCAAGAAGTCTTTTTCAAAACTTCGCTTTATGGTGGTTTTGGAAAAAATAAAATAAAGCAGGTTGACTCAGGGGTGGCAGAAAAGAAACCTTTAGCCAGCCAAAAAAAAAAAAAAGTCTCCCTTACTCCCTCAGCAGAGTTGGATTCCCAAATAGTCACAAATCAACAACAGTTAATGAGGCTGTTCTTACCACTAATAGTGCTTTACATTGCAGGGATTTCTGGTGGATCATTTGGCATTTTCATTTCCTTGACATATGCAGAAGGCATTTAAAGTTGTCAGATTAAAGATATTTCTATTACTTTAGACTTCTTGGAAATCTCAAGTGAAAAAGTACCATCATGGCACATGGAGGAAAACTAAATCTCTCCCTTTCCTAGTTTAGCTAATTTTTGTTGTTGTTATTGTTTCAACTTCAGATATAGTTGGGAAAATATGTGTTTATTTTAAAATTAGCAATATGTGTTTATTTTAAAATTTGAAACAATTACTTTAAATATGGATTATTTAAAAGTTTTGCTAATTAAAATAAGGTATCAACACAGTGAATTTTCAGTATTTAAAAAATTAAGGTATTAACTGTACCCACATTCAAGATAAAAAAGGAAGAGATTCTGCTAAAATGTAGAATTTCGACTGATGGATAAAAACATCAGAAAACACTCTGGAATAAAATTCTGTTCATAGGCTGTGGTTACAAGTGCCTATTTTTAAACAACTTTATTGAGATATAACTGATACACAAAAAACTGCACATATTTCATATACACAATTTAATGAGTTTGGACAAACGCATATACCCTTGAAATCATCACTACAGTCAAAGTAGTTATCACATCCATCACCTCCAAAAGTTTCCCTATGCTCTTTTTTGTTTGTTTTTGTAGTAAGCACACTTAACCTGTGATCTACCCTCCTAACAAAATTTTTACGTGCACAACACAGTATTGTTAGTTGTAGGCACTGTGTTGTAGAGCACATCTCTATAACTTATTCATCTTGCATAACTGAAACTTTATACTCATTGACAACTCCCAATTTCCTCCTAACCCCATCCCCTGTCAACTACCATTCTACTCTCTTTCTTTGAGATTATTTTAGAAACCTTATATAAGTGGAATCATGTAGTATTTGTCCTTCCGTGACTGACTTCTTTCACTTATCATAGTGTCCTCAAAGTCATCTAAATTTGTTGCATTTGGCAGATTTCCTTCTTTTTAAAGGCTGAATTGTATTCCATTGTATGTATTAAATATATACCACAATTTCTTTTTTTAATTATTTTTTAAAAGGTTTTAAGTTCAGCAGTACATGTTCAGGTTTGTTACATAGATAAACTTGTGTTATGGGGGTTTGTTTACAGATTATTTCGTCACCCAGGTATTAAGCCTAGTAAACATTAGTTATTATTCCTGATCCTCCCCCCTCCTCCCAACCTCCACCTTCTGATGGGCCTCAATGTGCATTGTTCTCCTCTATGTGTCCATATATTCTCATCATTTAGCTCTCACTTACAAGTGAGAACACGTGGTATTTTATATGCCATATTTTCTTTATCCATTCATCTATCAATTTACATTTAGGTTGTTTCCACATCTATGCTATTGTGAATAATGACGCAGTGAACATAGGAGTGCAGATAATCTGTCTGAGATCCTGACTTCATTTTTTTGTGTGTATATACCTGGAAGTGGAAATTTCTGGATTGTATAGCAGTTCAATTTTTAATTTTTAGAGGCACTTCTATATTGTTTTCCATAGTAGCTACACTGTTTTCTATTCCCACCAACAGTGTAAAAGGATTTTGATTTTTCCCTGATGATTAGTGATGTTGAGCATGCCTATTGGTAATTTGTATGTCTTCTTTAAATAAATGATTATTCAAGTCCTTTGCCCAATTGTTAATCAGGATACTTGTTTTTAAATTCGATTTGTTTTTGTGAGTTCCTTATGTGTTTTGGATATTTACTCTCTATCAGATATATTGTTTCCAAATACTTTCTTCATTCCATAGGGAGCCTTTTTATTCTGTTGCTTTCTTTGCTGCACAGAAAGCTTTTTCATTTGATGTAGTCCCACTTGTCTATTTTTCCTTTTGTTGCCTGTGCTTTAGGTGTCATATCCAAGATGTCATTTCCAAGACCAATGTCAAGAAGCTTTTCCTTTATGTTTTCTTCTAGGGGTTGTACAGTTTTGGATCTTAGATTTAAGACTTTAAATCCATTTTGAGTTTATTCGTGTGTGTGGTGTAAAGTAGGGGTCCAATTTCATTCCTTTGCATGTAGATATCCAGTTTTCTCACCACCATTTGTTGAAGAAGATTCTTTCCCCATTGTGTATTCTTGGCACCATTGTCAAAGATTAGTTGACCATATATGTGTGAGTTTATTTCATCACTCTCCATTATGTCCCACTGGTCTATACATCTGTCTTTATGCCAGTACCGTACTGTTTTAATTATTGTAGCTTTGTAATATATTTTGAAATCAAAACATGTGATGCCTTCAACTTTGTTCTGCTTTCTCAAGACTATCAAGGTCTTTTGTAGTTCCATATTAATTTTAGGATTGTTTATCCTATTTCTGGAAAAAAAGTCTTTGGAATTTTGATTGTGATAGCATTGAATTCATAGATCATTTGGGGGTAGTGTAGATATTTTAACAACACTAAAACTTCCAATTCATTAATGTGGGATGTCTTTCCATTTATTTGCATCTTCTTTAATATATTTCATCAATGCTTTGTGGTTTTCAGTGTACAAGTCTTTTACCTCCTTGGTTAGGTTTAATTCCTGAGCAAATTATTCTTTTTGATACTGCTATTAATGGGATTTTTTTCTTAATTTCCTTTACATAGTTCGTTATTCGTGTATAAAAATGCAGCTAGGGCTAGGTGCAGTGTTTCACATTTGTATTCCCAACACTTTGGGAGGCTGAGGTGAGAGGATCATTTGAGCCTAGGAGATCAAGACCAGCCTGTGCAACATAGGGAGACCTTGTCTCAAAAAAAAATTTAAAAACTAGCTAGGCATGGTGGCACATGCTTGTGGTCTCAGCTACTTCGGAGGCTGAGGTGGGAGGATCGCTTGAGCCTGAAGGTCAAGGCTGCAGTGAGCCATGATCATGCCACTGCACTCCAGCCTGGGTGATGGCGTGAGACCTTGTCTCAAAAAAAAAAAAAAAAGACAATTTTTACACGTTGGTTTTATGTCCTGCAACTTTACTGAATTCACTTATCAGTTTTAAAAGGTTGGTGTGTCTCGTGTGTGTGTGTGTGTGTGTGTGTGTCTAGTTTTTAGGGTTTTCTACACATAAGATCATGTCATTGGCAAACAGAGATAGTTTTACTTCATCTTTCCTATTTGAATGCCTTTTATTTCTTTTTCTTGCCTAATTGCTCTGGCTAGGACTTCCAGTACTATATTGAATAGAAGTGGTGAGAAAGAGCACCCTTGTCTTATTCCTGATCTACAAGAAAAGCTTTCAATTTTTCACTTTTGAGTATGAAGCTGTGAACTTGTCATATGCAGCTTGTATTATTTTGAAGTAAATTCCTTCTATACCTAGTTGGTTGAGAATTTCTTTTTTAATCATGAAAGGCTGTTGAATTTTGTTAATTTCATTTTCAAACTATTGAGAGTAATATGTGATTTTTACCCTAATTTCTTTTAATGTGGTGTATCACATTTATTGATTTGCATATATTGAATCATCCTTGACATATCAAAGATAAATCCCACTTGTTCATGGTGTATGATCCTTTTAACATCCCATTGAATTCAGTTTGCTAGTATTTTACTGAGGATTTTTGAATCTATGTGCATCAAGAGTATTGGACTGTGGGTTTTTTTTATTGTAATGTCTTTGGCTTTGGTATCAGGGTAATGCTGACTTCATAAATGAGTTGAAAGTATTCCCTTCTCTTCAGTTTTTGGTAAGAGTTTGAGAAGGATTGGCATTCATTCTTTATATATTTGGCAGAATTCACCAGTGAAGCCATTTGGTTCTGGAATTTTCTTTGTTGGGAGATTTGTGATTACTGGTTTAATTTCCTTAGTTGTTATTTGTCTGTTCAAATTTTCTATTTCTTTATGAGTCAGTCTTGGTAGGTTGTATATTTCTAGGAATTTCTTCATTTCTTGTAGGTTTTACAATTTGTCAGCATATAATGGCTCATAATAGTCTCTTATGTCCTTTATGTTTCTTGGCTTTAGTTATAATTTTTCCCCTTCATTTCTAATTTTATTTATTTGAGTCTTATCTGCTTTTTTTGGTTAACCTAGCTAAAGGTTTATCAATTTTGTTTAAGTTTTCAAAAAACAAACTCAGTTTTATTAATTTTTAAAAATATTCTCTATTTAACTTATTTCTGCTCTAATCTATTATTTTATTGCTCTGCTAACTTTGGGCTTAGTTTGTTCTTCTTTTTCTAGTTCACTCCCTTTGTGGTTGGAAAAGATACATGATATGATTTCACTTTAAAATAATTTTTCAGACTTGTTTCCTGATCTAACATGTGATCTGTTCTGGAGAATGTTCCATGTGCATTTGATAAGCACATGTATTCTGCTGCTGTTGGCTGATATACTGTCTACATGCCTATTAGATCCAGTTGGTCTATAGTATTATTCAGGTCCATTATTCGCTTATTGATTTGCTGTCTGGCTGTTCTACCTGTTATTGACGGTAGGGTTATGAAGCCTCCTATTATTATTGTATTGCTGTCTATTTCTCCTTCAGTTATGTCAATATTGGCTTCATATATTTATGTACCCCAATGTTGGTGCATATATATTTATAATTTATATATAATCCTGATGAATTGATCCTTTTACCATAATATAATGTCCTTCTTTTTCTCTTGTAAAAGTTTTTGACTGGAAGTCTATTTTGTCTGATACAAGTTTAGCCATTCCAGCTTCCCAATCAAATTCATCATTTTTTCCATCATATCTGTGTTCTGTTTCTTGGTTAATTGATTTACTAGTCTTTTAGTCACCAAAGTATAAAACTTGGACTCCTTTCTCTCCTTCATGGTCATTAGTTCTGCAGTTCTGTCTCTGAAAGGCCTCTTGAATTTCCTTTCTCCATTCACTTTTCATTTTCTTGATTCAGAGCTTTACTAGCCCATTGCATTATGCTCCTAATTGGTCTTCTACTCTCTCGAGCTTCTCAATGTGCCTTTCAATAACTTTGAGTATTTTGCATTAAGAACTTTGATTATTTTGCACTTGTTATGACATTAACTCTAACTTTATTAATAGAGCAATTAAGGTTCTTTCTAGCCTCAGTATTGTTATTGTTGGTGGTCAAGGGTAGGGCTTTAAAGCACACAGACCTGGATGAAAACTCCATTTTCACCACTTCCTGTGTAACTTACTCAGACAGATTTCCTAACTTTACTAAGACTAGTTTCCGTATCCACAAAGTGGTAATTATGAGAGCAATAATAATTTCCATTTCCTAGAATTTACGTAGGGATTAAATAAGCTATAATCCACTTAAAGTGCCCAGCATGTAGCATACACTTAATAAGTTAGCTTTCATTTTTATTTTTCTACCATTTCATCCACCATTCCTATTGCCTTATATGCTATGAGTTTTTCAGATTTCGTCAGTCTTTCTTCCTATGTTTCCCCTTCTCTAACTGATAAACTTGTTTACTTGTTTTCAAAGTCCGACTTAAATGCCACTTCTTCAGTGAAGGTTTCCTTGGCTGAACTGACTTAATTAATCACTCTTTCTTCTGAGTTTCCTGTTGCATATTCATACTAACAATTGGGTTCATAACATTGTAACATAGCTGTATATTTGAAAAGGCTCTTCCCCTTATACATTGTATACATGCTCAAAGGTTGAGACCATATCTGGTCCATCCTTATATCCTCAGTACCTAACAAAGTGTTGAATGAAAGAAAATGCAAATACTTCCATTTCTATCCTGATTTTAAGCTCTGTTCACCTTGAACTAGTTACCTGAAAATATTGACAGCTGAAGGTCTTTCTCAAGGATAATTTAAAAAATAGTAAATTGACAACACACTACTAATTTAGCAGTACTTTAGAAAGTTTGGAAAATGAAAGTAAAAATTTACCCACAATCATGCAGTTGTCACAGAATTTCTATTTTTTTTTTTGGTGTTTTTCTTTTAATAGTTTAGCTGTATATTTGCATAGCTATAATTCCAGTACATATTTAATTTCTTGTTATGCTTTTTTAAAACACCATTATGTTTTAGATACTTCATATGCTATTATGGAGCATTTATAACCATTGTTTTAAAAAGCTACTTAAATCTTCAAGTGAGTATTGAACAATTTGAAATTTATTGTTGTATATTCCCATCTACCATTTTTCCTCTTTTTGCTAGTATAAATAATGCTGTAGTAAAAAATTGCATGACAGTAGCATTTTATATATGCTGGATTGATTCTCTGATATACATTTCTCAAAGTGAGATTAATGATTTAAAAGTGATTCACTTCAGTTATATGCCATGCTAGGATTGTAACTACAGTATTTAAACAGACCATTAATGAAATTGGAATATATTAGGGTGGAAGGACGAGGAGGGAAATGTCTTTTCAATAAAATTATATATTCTTTAAGAAAAGATACTTTGCCTTACAGTTTTTTGCTATCTCCTCTTGTAAGAAAGCAATGTTTATTTATTAATATTTATTTACAATTTATTTATTGAGTACTTTAAGTGCTGGGCATATTCAAAAGGATAAAGCCAGCTCTCAAAAAACTTACAGTTGACTGGGAGGAACAGACATGTAAACAGGCAACTAGACTATACAGAAGTAAAGACTTCAATGAGTGTAAGTGCATCCATGTATTAAGAAACACACAGAAAGAACAACCAAACATAATGGAGGGTTCAGAGAATTCATTCAGAAAATCCTGGGCTAGTCACGAGAGACACAGTACTGAAGTTCAGGGAGCTCCAAGTCTGAGAGAAAAGACCGACACATATTTCCAATGGAAACTTATTTTTGTAATGACAATCTTGAAGTACTTAGAAAATACTTTCCAAATCACTAAGAAAATAGTGAGCCATTAGCAAGTACTTATTGATCATCTATGATGTCCCAACAACCAAGTAAGCTTGGTATGTTTAGCTCTGTTTTAGAGATGAGAGAACTCAGGTGCAGTACATTTCAAGAATGTGCTCAAGATCACACAACTAGTAAATGATGAAGGAAGTAGTTGTACCAAAGTTTGGAAAGTTTAGAAAGTTTGGAAAATAAAAGTAAATTTTTTTTTTAACCCAGAGTTTAACTTTTTTCAAGGAGTTGACAATCTGGATGGAAGGATGACTAATACAGTTTAAAAATAGAGAATAATTAAACCCAGAATGCTATGCTATAGTAGGGACTATGGGTACAATATTTAGAGGATAGTTTAATGGAGGTACTAATAATTAGACTTCAAGCAGAGTGTTAGATTTGAGTTAGGTCCTGAGGAAATTTCATAGACAAAGTGGAGAGAAAATACTTGGTCATGGAGTAGCAGAGCAAAATAATGCAGGGATAAAAAGCAGAATGGTAAGTTCAGGGTATTTTCAATGTTGCATATATTTAACTTCTTCAAATTTAGTAACCCATTTCCAACCATTATGAGCAAATAGACTTTATTATGAAAATCTATTTTAGATTTTTGGAGACTTAAAAAAAATCTGTCCTGAAAATTTGGGCACAGTGAGGGTATGCAGTTGATCGAAAGTTCTGGAATCCAATATGCTTTCTCTACTACCACACTGCTCTGGGCAGGTGAGGTGAGGGTAATGGGGGTGGGAAGAGAGAAAGCCTAGAGTACTGGGTATTCTCAAACTGTCTCCTTTCCAAGCATGAAGCAGACCCAATTCTGCTTAGCTTCCCAGATTGCAGGGCTGTCAGATGGAAAGGAAAAACAAAGTATGTGAAGTTTCTTTTAAGGTACACACATGTGGATTGGTGTTTCCTTTCTTGGCTGTGGGAAGGCGCCTTCATCACAGTACAAAGGAATGTTCTTGATACTGTGGGGATTTGCTGGCACAAGTTATAATGTGCCACAGAAGCACCTTTTTTCTCTTTGCAGAGTTCTGTAGGATAGGTGACAGGACAAACACACAATAGGCTTCTGAGATATGATGTACAGAGCCTGAAAAGGAAGGGAGATAAATTTGCTCTTTTATCTCAATCATGCTCTTATAATGAAATCATATTGTTAAAAAAAAGCATTTTATAGTTCATAGACATTAGCTTTTTGGCTAGGATATGAGGGCCGCTCTTTTAGCAGACAGGTAGGCCAGAAGGTGTAGAAAATGAAGCTTAAAGAACTGCTTGATTCCAAGAGGATTCTTGGAAGGTCATTCAGTAAATGTCCTTAAAATCTATTTGGGAGGTCTTTAAAAATAGGAGTGATAAATTTGTATATTCTTTGACACTTTTTCACATGTTTCTGCCTACAAATGGATGCAGAGAACTAGATTAGATAACTTCTACTCCAGCCCTGCAAATCTATGCTTACATTTATATCGTTTAGCCTCGGGGTGTCTAATCTTTTGGCTTCCTTGGGCCACACTGGAAGAAGAATTGTCTTGGTCCACACATAAAATACACTAACACTAACACTAACTGATGAGCTAAAAATAAAATTGCAATAAAATTTAATGTGTTTTAAGAAAGTTTAAAAATTTGTGTTGGGCTGCAATCAAAACCTTCCTGATCCACATGTGGCTCATAGACCACAGGTTGGACAAGCTTGTTTTAGCCCAAAGGAACTGGCCTTTAGATATTTACAAATATTTAGTAGAAAAACATTGAAAGTCTGCCTTGTAAAAATAAAATTTCACAATTATTAACATGTTTAAAAATTGGATTCCTAGGATGGAAGTTTTAGAAATTCCTGAAGGGCTTGTTAATTGATACAAACATACCTAAATAATCTTGTTTCTTTGCAGTAGTGGGGGTACCTTGAGATATTTTGCACTTGACACCTACATATAAAAACAAAGTCTGCCAATGAGGGCTATGTTCCTTATTATGCCTCTGCCTTGCATTTGTATTTTGGGCTTGCATCCCTAAATAAATGAGCAACTAATCTTCACAAAACTTGGGTCTTCTGCCAAGTATAGATATTATACGTAAGTATAGATGTTATACTTAAAGAGTCATTGCATGCTACTACAATGTTTATGAAGCCTTTACATTCTCTGGTTGTGGTTTCTAAATGCCTCTAGTTAAAGTGCTGAAATTTCAAGCAAATTGGAAATTGTTACTTCCATATAGGTCTCTTGGGCTCCATTCATTAAGTAAACACCTGCTATGTGCCAGGCACAATTCAAAGCATTAAGAATACAATGAGAAGGCCGGGCGCGGTGGCTCACACCTGCAATCCTAGCTACTCAGGAGTCTGAGGCAGGAGAATCCCTTGAACCCAGGCGGCGGAGGTTGCGGTGCCTGCGCAACAAGAGTGAAACTCTGTCTTAAAAAAAAAAAAAGAATACTATGAGAATATGAAAGACATTGTCCTTGTCACTAAATATTTATTATCTGAACTCCTAAGCTCTTTAGACAATCCAGTAATAATTTAACATAATTAGAAGAAATTTCCTCAGTAAAAAGCTAAATTGTTTTCAGAATTATTGTAATACAGTAGAAAATTTGGAAATTGGAAAGGACCAGTGAATGTTTCCTTTTGAGTCAAGAATACATTTTAAAATGACTAGTAGTTCTAGATAAATCAGGTTTTCCAACTTATTCATAATGTGGAAGAATAGAGTATATTTTCATAGATCCTGCAACAGCAGCTTTGGTAAGGGAAGTATGCAACTAAAACCAATTTCAAATTTTGTTTCTGATTTCCAGAATGGTTTTCTGTCATAACTCTGGAAAACCAGCGCCATGAATTTTTAAAATTATCATTAGGCAGCTCTGGCATAATTTATGTTAAGAGGTTTTGGCCTGTTTATGTACCCTGGAATTTGCCAAAATTAGTAATGTGATATTCCATATTTCACAAACCTATAGAGCAATATAAATAAGGACACATGCCTATTGGGGAGCACTGTTTGTTTAAATTCTTGTTTTGTGGCATTCATGAAATGCAGGGGACTTCCAATTCAAATTCTACAATATTAGGCAGCAAGTTGTACTGTGAACCAAACCAGATGGTGATCAGCTCTATTCCTATTATCAATTCAGTGCAGCGATGGTTACCAGATCTTACTTGTGACGTTAACATTTGGAACAGATTAGCAGCAGTTAGCCTGAAATAAGAAACCTCCATTTTGCTAAAAGGTTCAGAACATATCATGTTGTAAAATCAGAAAGACTGGTAAGAAAACTTATGGAGGAAAGAGTTCACTGTCTACCTTGGTTTTCCCCTGCAGGACGTGTTATTTCCCTTTTATGAGTGTCTATTCAATGGAAATTTAATGTGGGGTATTGAGAGGATTAGGGCCTATTAGTCTATCACCCTCCTGAGGTGCTCTGTCCCTCAGCTTGTCGAATTTATTTCACTGTAGCCACGATCAGTCTAGGCCTTGGGACAAGAGGGATTGTCTGCATTTTCGGAGGTTTCCTTTGCAAGAAGTTTATGCACACACATACATACACACAGCCCTTACAAGTTCAGAGTTTCATCCAGGCTCTGAAATTCATGAAACATTTGAGCTGCCTAGATCTGGCCTGTGGATTTGTATGTAATTGGCTAACTGCTTTGCTTGATCTGTCAATGCCATGTGCTGTCTACTTCTCACAGATTTTTTTTTCTCTTGGCATCTCTTGGTCAAATCAATTCCCAGGGCTTTTATAGGACCAGGAGAAACCAGGGTGTGTCCAGCATTTCCAATTTTGTACACAGGTGAAAGCAAGTCAAGGTGAACACTAAAGGGCAGCAAGTTTTATTTATTTATTTGTTTATTTTTGATTATACTTTAAGTTCTATGGTACATGTGCACAACGTGCAGGTTAGTTACATATGTATACATGTGCCATGTTGGTGTGCTGCATCCATTAACTCGTCATTTACATTAGGTATATCTCCTAATGCTCTCCCTCCCCCCTCCCCCTACCCCACAACAGGCCCCAGTGTGTGATGTTCAAGGGCAGCAAGTTTTAGAGTACAGCTATCAGAAAGAAATGTTGAAATAGACATATGACTGAGTTCAACTTCTATTCTACAGTATAGAAAACTGAGGTACTGAGAGGTTAAAGGATTTTCCCCAAAACACACAGATGATGTGAGTGGTAGAGGTGATGGGAAAAGGCTGTGAATGTTGCTAATATATCAGCATTCTTTTATGACCATGATTCAGAGACAGATAGGAAAAGGTAGACCCTCTACTTTCTATACCCAAATGGTGGCAACCCTGCTCTTGTTCTGGTAAGCCAAACAGCCTACCAGAGAAACCATTCAGAGAGACAGCTACCTCTGTGCATTTCTGTTTATTCTTTAGCCAAGACTTTGCTTCAGGGTTGATTGAAAAGCCTTTTGCCTGCTTCTAGGTGTGATAGGAAATATAAATTCCTCTTTAGGGATGGATTTTTGAAACCTCTTGCACTGTGCAGAGTTAGGGAGGACAAAAACAATGCCTATTTCCAAGAGGATAAGAATACTTCACCTGGTCTACTTGAACTGAATTTTGGGATGCGGTTGTTAGGAAAGCAGATAATGAAGTTAAGAGATCTGGAGGAGAGTGACAAGAAGAGGTGAGAGTCGGGAGGGAGAGAGAGAGAGAACCAGGCAAGGAACAAGTACTACAAGAAGAAGATTGTTCTTTATCATAAAAGTAGAAGAAACATTTTTAAGCATTTCTAACTAAGAATAAATGACATGATAGGATTTACATTTTGGAACTATGTGGCTGCAGTCTAGAAGAAGGATTCTTTTTATTTTTATTTATTTTTTTATTATACTTTAAGTTTTAGGGTACATGTGCACAACGTGCAGGTTAGTTACGTATGTATACATGTGCCATGTTGGTGTGCTACACCCATTAACTCGTCATTTAACATTAGGTATATCTCGAAATGCTATCCTTCCCCCCTCCCACCACCCCACAACAGGCCCCGGTGTGTGGGTGTGTGATGTTCCCCTTCCTGTGTCCATGTGTTCTCATTGTTCAGTTCCCAACTGTGAGTGAGAACATGCGGTGTTTGTTTTTTTTGTCCTTGAGAAAGTTTGCTGAGAATGATGGTTTCAGCTTCATCCATGTCCCTATAAAGGATATGAACTCATCATTTTTTATGGCTGCATAGTATTCCATGGTGTATATGTGCCACATTTTCTTAATCCAGTCTATCATTGTTGGACATTTGGGTTGGTTCCAAGTCTTGCTATTATGAATAGTGCCACAATAAACATACGTGTGCATGTGTCTTTATAGCAGCATGATTTATAATCCTTTGGGTATATACCCAGTAATGGGATGGCTGGGTCAAATGGTATTTCTAGTTCTAGATCCCTGAGGAATCGCCACACTGACTTCCACAATGGTTGAACTAGTTTACAGTCCCACCAACAGTATAAAAGTGTTCCTATTTCTCCACATCCTCTCCAGCACCTGTTGTTTCCTGACTTTCTAATGATCACCATTCTAACTGGTGTGAGATGGTATCTCATTGTGGTTTTGATTTGCATTTCTCTGATGGCCAGTGATGATGAGCATTTTTTCATGTGTCTTTTGGCTGCATAAATGCCTTCTTTTGAGAAGTGTCTGTTCATATCCTTTGCCCACTTTTTGATGGGATTGTTTGTTTTTTTCTTGTAAATTTGTTGGAGTTCATTATAGATTCTGGATATTAGCCCTTTGTCAGATGAGTAGATTGCAAAAATTTTGTCCCATTCTGTAGGTTGCCTGTTCACTCTGATGGTAGTTTCTTTTGCTGTGCAGAAGCTCTTGAGTTTAATTAGATCCCATTTGTCAATTTTGGCTTTTGTTGCCATTGCTTTTGATGTTTTAGACATGAAGTCCTTGCCCATGCCTATGTCCTGAATAGTATTGCCTAGGTTTTCTTCTAGGGTTTTTCTGGTTTTAGGTCTAACATGTAAGTCTTTAATCCATCTTGAATTAATTTTTGTATAAGGTGTAAGGAAGGGATCCAGTTTCCGCTTTCTACATATGGCTAGCCAGTTTTCCCAGCACCATTTATTAAATAGGGAATCCTTTCCCCATTTCTTGTTTTTGTGAAGAAGGATCCTTAGAAGTCAAGAGTAGGCTGGGCATGGTGGCTCATGCCTGTAATCCCAGCACTTTGGGAGGCTGAGGTGGGTGGATCACTTGAACACAGGAGTTCAAGACCAGCCTGGCCAGCATGGCACAACCCTGCTTCTATCAAAAAATACAAAAATAAGCCAGGTGTGATTGTGGGCACCTGTAGCCCCAGCTACTCAGGAGGCTGAGGTGGGAGGATTGCTTGAGCCCAGGAGGTTGAGGCTGCAGTGAGCTGAGATTATGCCACTTCCCTCCATCCAGCCTTGGCAATGGAGCGAGATCCTATCTCAGACAAATAAACCAACAAACATACAAACAATCTGTCAAGAGTAGATGAAGACTAGTTAGGAGGTTAACACAGGAGGAAATTACATACTTCAGATGGATGAAAACTGAATGAGCTGCTCCTTCAAGTCTTTGTTCTACTCATTATCTATATCTACCCATTTCTAAAGCTATATTTTTTAAAATAAAATTTGTTATACCATATATATTAAACTCTGAATTTTTAACTTAACAATTTATTGTGAACATTTTCATCATTTTTTCTGTTATTTTTTAATGACCACATAATATTTCCTCATGTGAGAACATCATAATTTATTGAATCATCCCCTATTGATAGATATCAAAATTCTTAATTTTTCAATGGACACTACTGTAATGACTATCTTTGTAAATATATCTTGCCTATATTCATGATTATTTCATTGGGATAACTTCCTAGAAATAACATTTCTGGGACAAAGAGCAATCAAAAGTCTTAAATTTGCTGGACATTGCCACATTGTATAATACATGGCAGCAATTCAAGTTCCTTTGGCAGTACCCAAGAGACTGCATGTGAGTTGTACCCAAGAGCTGATCTCCAAGAGGCTGCATGTGAGTTGTATGTGTTGTGCAGATCTCCACACTGCATGTGTTGTGATACTTTCTTATTGTGTGACATACCTTTTAAATAATCAATGCACCAGTTACTTCTCTTGTACCAGATATTAAAGTTAAAATTTGGAATTGGAAATGAATTGTAAAATTTGAATTAAAAACCTATTTTTTTAATTAGTGGTAGATCTAGACTGATCAGATTCTCCAACTAATTTATTATGTGATAGAATAGATAAAAGTTTATCTATCCATATCCAACAAATACATTTGCTAGCTATCAGTAAATATAATCCCTGCCTGCAAGCAATAAAAAAAAATAGACTTTTAAAGAGCCGTTTTGGTTTCATAGCATAATGCAGGTATTTTATAATTATAAAAAAAAAAGAAAAAAATCAGGGACATAAATATATACGTACTTTTGAAGTGAAAAAATATTTTTCTTTAAACTTTTTATAAGGTAATATTATAATTGGTTAATAATTGGAAGTACCTACAATAAGGAACTATTATTTAGTAGTAGCCACAAATATGGTGAAGGTAAATGAAATTATTTAGATCTAATGACAGATTTAAAACAAAACATAAGCAGCTGGGTGTGGTGGCTCACGTCTGTAATCCCAGCATTTTGGGAGGCTGAGGCAGGCGGATCACCTGAGGTCAGGAGTTTGGGACCAGCCTGGCCAACATGGTGAAACCCCATCTCAACTAAAAATATAAAAATTAGCCGGGTGTGGTGGCGGGTGCCTGTAATCCCAGCTACTTGGGAGGCTGAGGCAAGAGAATCACTTGAACCTGGGAGGTGGAGGTGGCAGTGAGCCGAGATTGTGCCACTGCACTCTAGCCTGGGCAATAGAGTGAGACTCCATCTCAGAAAACAACAACAACAAAAACAAAAAGAAACCATAAGCAAAACAGATGCTATGTTTATTACATTTTTCTTTCTTTTCCCTAGTCAATATTCATGAGAATTTGCCCTGATGGAGAAAAGATTTTCAGTGTATTGGCTACCAGAGAATTTTTATTCTTACTGTGGCATTTATGTTTCTAATAAGATGAACATATGGCAGACTTGAAAGAAAATAATTTCTGTTTAATACAATTACTTTTTGCATGTTTACATGCCACAAACTTTTTAATTAAAATAATACCTTACTCTGATTCTTCTTTTTTCTAACTTCAAACACAATTCTGTTAAATACTAGATACATAGTAGGTGCTTGGTAAATGCTTGATTAACTCATTGACCTGGAAAGCAGCTGTTAATAGGTTGAAGATTCTCATCATGGATCTGCCTTGCTGTGAAAAGTAGTAGGCATATAACAAAATACTCTTTCTTGGGGCCAGAAGAGCATGTTTTATATAATCAAAGTGAATGCAATAATTTAAGATTTTATTGATATTGTAGGTAGCAACAGCAACTGTTAACATCTCAGTAACATCACCAGTTACTATGTGTTTTAAGAAGTCCACTTCTACTACATATTTAAATTTTCTTAACTATCCTGTTTTCTCATAAAAAAATTAATAACATTTTGGCAGAGCCAGCCAACACAAAAACAATCTAAACATGATTCTAACCAAATCATCAAATAGGAGGCATATATATACGTATATATACATACATATATGTATATATATATGTTTTGTTTTTTTTTTTTGAGATAGAGTCTTGCTCTGTCACCCAGGGTGGAGCACAGTCATGCAACCACGGCTCAGGGCAGCCTCAACTTCCCAGGTACAAGGGGTCCTCCCAGCTCAGCCTCCCAAGTACCTGGACTACAGGCATGTGCTACCTGCCTGGCTAATTTTTTATTTTTTGTAGAGACAGGGTCTCACTATGTTGCCCAGGCTGGTCTTGAACTCCTGGGCTCAAGTGATCCTTCCACTGTGGCCTCCCAAATTGCTTGGATTACAGGTGTGAGTCACTGCACCCGCCTGGAGGCTTATTTCTTTGAGGCTTCACAGGTCCTCATTTAATAGGCCCTTTCCTCTTTCCTACTTGCCAAACACCAAGACGCCTTTGGTGTCTCATTAGACACAACATTTTCTCTGTTAAATCCTTGTCAACTAACACTTCAGAGGGAGAGTTTAAGATATTACTATTTTCAGGAGTAATTGCATTTTATTAAGAAGATCCTTGAAAAGAAAAAAAACTTTATGACTTAAAATAGCAATGTATAGCAGGAAGAATTTTAGATAATAAACTATGGGTGCCATGTGGAAAGTTCTTTTTACCTTTGGCAAATCATACCTGATAAGCTGATACCAAGTTGATTGACATCATCTCTCCTTTTTGTCAGGATTTTAAGTTTTTTTTTTTCCATAATCTGCCTTTTGTATCTACTGTTCTCCTTTCTCTCCTAAATAAAGAAAAAGCTGGCTTTTTTTCTGTGATCTGCCTTCTGATCCTACTATTTACATGAGATTTGTGATGACCCAAAGGCCAAATCCAATGGGTACTTTTTAGTTCCCATCCAGTTTAACAACTTGCTAATGACTTTCCCTTTTGAATTTTTTTTCATTGCAGCATATCATTCTCTTAGTTCCCTTTCCCCCTCTTCCAATATATATTTTTTCCAAGCACCTTCATTAGCTTTTTCTCTTCTTCCCACATGGCGTGTTGGTACTTCCCACATATTGGCAAGCCTCTTCTCATTTTATCCTAGAGTTTCTCCTTGGGTGATTTCTTTCACTCTCTTGTCTTTAGCTCTTCTCTCAATGCCCACTACTCGCTGACAGCCTACTCTTTCTCTGGAGCTCCTGAACATTGCCACGTGTATCCTCTTGAGATGTAAATGAAACAAGCTCAACATCAAGCTCATTATCTCCTATTTTTGTCTTCTTTTGCATTTTCTATCTCAATTAGTGGCATCACCATTTGTTCAACAACTCTCCCCTCCCAAATCTGCTAGATAATTCATATTTATCCTTGAACTCTCACTTCTACATCCAGTTGACCACTGGATTATTTTGTTGGTCCTTCTAAATTTATTTAACAGCTTCTCTCAATCTTCAGTGCTCATCCTTTAGTTTTTTAGACTTTCACCTCCCCTAACCTGTCTTACTACAAAAGTCTTCTAACTGTAGGCAAAGTACCTACATTGTTCTCTTTCAACAGTAGGGTTTTGTCACTGCTGCTGGATGTGTTCATTAAATGCCCCTTTATTTAAAATTATGATAGCTCCCCATGCTTACAAGCAAATCTTTCCTTCTTTCATTCATTCAATTAAAATAATGAATACCTACCAAAAGGCTGAGACTGGGTAAATATTGGTGAACAAAGACTAATACTCTATATTGTTTTCTCTATTCAATGATCTAATTCCAACTTAATTCTATAATACCCCTTCTCCATACCCCTCCTCACTGCCTCCACCTCACACTGCTTCATTCTTTAAAAGGTATTCTTTACTTCAAGTATTCAGTTGTGTTATACATTCTGCTAAAATATCATGCTCTACCATCCTGAAGGCAGTCTTTCAACCCCTTCTTGCTTCATAAGAACAGATCTTGGACCTGGAACACTATTTTACCAAGGGTTAAAGAGTTTTCACAGCCTGTGCTGGTCTTGTCATCTTGTGGGGGAATAACCTTCCTGTTTCAGACTTCATGTGCATTCCTTTGTTCTGCTTAAGCATGTGTGTCATGGCACCTCGCCAACCCCACAAGTATATATCTGTCCACTGTGGGGAGGTGACAAGTTCCTTCTGCAATAGCACAAGAGGGGTGCATCAGGCCAATTGCTTTGCATCAGCTGCTAGGAGGGACCAGCTGGCCATGGGACACTGACACCCACTACTGAAGCCGATCTTGCTGTGTCTCATCTCTGTGGAAGGAAAGTAGTATTCCATCCAGTGCTTGACAACTGCAATACCAAGACACAGTGGGCAGAAGTGCTTGGATTTCTACTCTTTATAATAGGCAACAGATGCCACTTGCTCAACACATAACAAGTTCCAGTTACCTGGTAGCATTTCTAGAACGCACATTACAGTATTCAGTTAACATTGAGTACTTAATGAATGCAGTTCTCCTTTTCCTGACTTCCTTCCAGTCAGCCTCATCTTCTTTCTAATATCTGAAGTGTGAAGGAATTTTTAAAAATTTCCCTTTTAAAGCACATCTATTGTTAAAAATCATCCTCGTTGTAGTCTCACTCTATAACCACTGGAAGAGATGATTTCCTCTAGTTGCTCTAGCACAGTCAGAAATTTCCCCACCATGGAAATGTGTGCATGTTTGTATTGCTTTCTTATTTTTGATGTATGGCAAAATTTTCATGAATTAGAAAATATTTTGTTATTGAACATCTGTAGTTCCAACATTTTATATAAAAGTGGCTTTATCATATTTTATATATCCTTGTGCCTAAATGAAATCACAGTGTTAAAACATTTGCAATTGCTTTTAAACCCTTAAGATATAAACCCCAGCTTGGCATTGACTGAATGAATGTGTTCTTGTCCAATTTGTGATATGGAGAATCACACTATGTTTTCGTTGATGCTGTTAATAATTATTGATCAGACTGTTTTCGTTGATGTTGTTAACTATTCTTTGAGCTTTCCACCATTCAGCCTTTATTATTCAGGTCAACTTTTCTATGATACCAGCTATTATCCAACTATCTTTTAGAGCTGGACATAAAAAGAGTAAGAAAACCATATTTAGGAGAGTGGTGGAGAAGACAGAAAGAAACAAGTTTGAGTATTAATCAAGGTAGAACAAGCCTACACTTCACAGCAAACAGACCTCTAGATCTCTTTGGCTTAACTCAGTGGGCCCAGGTGACTCTCTAGGAAAGTTTCTTCCATATATTAACTTGACCATTGATGCTACTTGGGTCCTGTGGTTTCACTGTCTCTTCACAACAGTAAGACACCTTGGTAGAAGAATAGAGTGAATGGAGGGTTCATAACCTTCAAATCCTACTGGCCAGAGCTTATAAGGCCCCACCAAATTGCAAAGGCTGAGAGTGGTAGTCAGTATTGCCAGTGAAAACATACCTAGATTTGTCTAAATTTTGAGGAGGGGGTCAATCATGAGAAAGAACTTGAAGTCTAAGAGGAAACTAACATTTATTGGGTAGCTTTCTGTAGAAGTTCCCAAACCTTTTTTATTTATGGCATTAAATATCTCAGTATTTTTCTGAATGGATTCCTCAGCCGAAATAACTAACTAACAGTGCCATGGATTGAGTGATTAGGTCCAAACAACTTAAAATGTATTTATACACTAACTTAGTAGCTGTTTGAAAATAATACACATACGTTGAAAGAAAGATAATAATTTTTATTTCAGGCTTAACCACAGATATTTACTCACTAATGAGATGTGTGGGTTTCTTGGACACTGCGCACCTCTCAGACCTTGGAATCATATTGGATCCCACCATCTTCATTTCCTGTTCCGAACTGATTTTCATGTTTACTGGCTTTTTATCCAGCCACCACCAAAACTTAGCTCAGCAGAGATATGACATCAATGAAAGAAATGTAGTATGATCTAATGTTGAAACTCTACACTACCTTGAGCTAGTAGTTCACACGGTGGCTGACAGGTTTCAAGTATTGCAATATTTTCCTCAACACTTTAAAATATCCCATGGCTCCCATGTAAGCAGGCTGCAGTGCCCTCGGGTGCTTCAGTGCATGATTTGGGAAGCATACGTCTGTTGGCCTAGGTACTATATATAAATCACCTACTTCTTAACAGTTTGGAAGGTAGGTACTATGATTTTCAAGTTGGATGTGGAAACTAAAGTTTGAAAGGGGGCATGCATTCTACCCTAAACCTCCTAGTTAGTAATTAGCAGAGCAGAGGCTTGAACCCAAACCTTCTGGCTTTAAACCCCATTGCATCATGCCGTGTGTCATGAGATTTGCAGGATTAAGGTTTTCACAGCTCCCTCTCCCCATGACCTTTCCCTGGTTTCAAGCAACATTGAAATTAGTATTTTTTTAAAACATGTGGAAATGCTTGAAACTCATGGAAATGATTTTAAGTCATGTCTACTTTTTAGCTTTAAGGCACACCTGCTAGAAAATAAATTTTGCTGAGCAGAGATTAAAGAAGTTTACAATGGCCTTAAAATGGCCCCAAGAAAGATTGTTTAAGATTTGAAATCAAGACGGTAAATTTCTAATTAACTTGTAATTATTTTACTGCTAATTTTTAATGTGACATTTAGTAAGAACCACATATCACTTTTCTCCAGCTGTCAGGACAGGTCCTATAAACTAAACCTTCTTCACCAGCTGTTGCCTAATGCAGTATGGTCCATGTTGGAATTTTTTCAACTCCGCCTGAACCTTATTGCTAAGTCTCAGCAGACCCATGCAAAAGTGAACCATAACTATAATCTTTCATGTTACTCATAGCTCTATTTAATTATCTGAAATACTACCTGATAAATAGTGCAATCAGAAGAATTTCAGTTTAACAGTAACTACTTCCACCTCACTTTTCTGCTCTCATCTGATTTGAAACAGGTTTTGGATTACTACCTCTAAATTATGTAAACTCTTAATCAATGATTAATTTAAGAATCTTCGAGCTGCTGGTGTGTGTGTGTGTGTGTGTGTGTGTGTGTGCATGTGTGTGTGTGGGTGTGTGTGTGTGTGTGTGTGGTTCTTATGTGTCAATAAATTCAGCCCTAGTAAAACACTCTTTTTTTCTTCCCTAGACTTTTTAGGCCTTTATTTTCTCCTCAGCTTGTTGAGGGGATAAAGGATAAGTAGATGGAACCAAGGAATAGTAAATCCTTGCAAAAGAAATTTGTTTTCAAAGAAATTTCACTTCACATATAACTAAATGTATATTTGCATTAAATGCCCCTAACACAGGTTATAATTCAGAGAAACATCTGAATAGTGGAAAAACTGTTCTCTACTTAAAAACAAATTCATCAGCAAATGGGAATAGACTAACATTTATTAAGCACCCTGTAAATGCAAGGCATTTAACATCTATTACTTTGTTTGAACCTAAATATAACACTGAGAGCTCAATTTTATGACCTTCATTTTGCAGAGGAGGAAACTGAAGGCCGAGAGTTTTAGGAAATCTTCCAAGTTTATAAGTGAATAAATGTTAGTGTTTGCATTCAAAGTCAGGTGGGTCTCACTTCACAGCCATGGCTTTTGCCTACAGGACTGCACTGCCTTCAGATCATTTATGTTTTATAATGGTGATTGTATATGAAAACAGGGTATTAATTTTTTATTTATCAAATATTTATTTGGTAAATAAAATGTGACCAGCACATTTATAGGAGTGAATTAATGGAAATTATGATTATTGACATTTATTAAAGCTATATATATGTATTTTCTAAAAGCCAGTGATTTATTTTCAGCCTTTTTGTAATTTTTCATTAAGGATCTCAGAAAATCCCAGTGTGTTGGTGAGGATCTGCAATATTGAAAAAATGTTGGACCGCATCCCAGGAGACCTGTGTTTGCCTCTTCCACTTGCTACCTCTGTGGTCAAAAGAGTCAGTTTCTGTATTTGTGGCTCAGTTTCTTTATTTGTATAATGAAGGGATTGGAATATATAATCTCTGAGATTCTTCTGAGTACTACAATTCAATGATTTTACTAAACACACTCAACTTTTATAGGTCGTTCCCAAAAATCCATATGAGTAAACTGAAATGCTGGTGGTGTATATAATTCAGAGCTGATGAAACACCTTCAGATTTGGCTTTGGAAAGTATAAATGAAGTACAGTGAATAAAACTTTTAAAACACGATACGAATTATATTAGTTTTTTACCACTTAGAACAAATTACCACTCATTTTGTATCTTAAAACATTATACCTTTGTTATCTCCCATCCATGGTTTAGATGGGTCCTCTATTCAGGGTCTCACAAGGGTACAATTAAAGTGATATGGCTTGGCTATGTCCCCACCCAAATCTCACCTTGAATTGTAATAATCCCCACATGTCAAGGGCAGGGCCAGGTGGAGATAATTGAATCATGGGGGCAGTTTCCCCATACTGTTCCTGTGGTAGTGAATAAGTCTCACGAGATCTGATGGTTTTATAAATGGGAGTTCTCCCACACAAGCTCTGTTGCCTGTTGCCATGTAAGATGTGACTTTGCTCCTCATTCCACCATGATTGTGAGGCCTCCCCAGCGATGTGGAACTGTGAGTCATTAAACCTCTTTCCTTTATAAATTACCCAGTCTTGGGCATGTTTTTATTAGCAGCATGAGAACAGACTAGTACACAAGGTGTCAGTGAACTGAATTTATTTCTGGAGCTTGGTCTTTTCCAAGCTGAGGTCAATGGCAGAATTCATCTTTTTGTGGTTGTAGAATGGAGGTCCCTGGTTTTTTTTTTTTTAGCTGTCATCCAGGAGCAGACAGTGTTCAGCTCTTATAGGTTGCCTGCAATTTCTTGCTGTTTAGTCCCCTCACAAGCCTTCTTAAAGTCAAGATATTTACTTTTTCAAACTTAACAAGGGATAGTCTCTCCCTCTGTCTGTTAAGACAGAGCCTTATATAACTCTCCTGGGTTGAATACTGTCTCCCCAAATTCATGTCCACCTGGAACCTCACAATGTGATTATATTTGGAAATAAGGTCTTTGCAGATGTAATTGGTTAAGGTAAGATGAGGTTACACAGGAGTACATAGGCCTGATCCAGTGACTGATGTCCTTATAAAAGAAAACAGATACACACAGACACAGAGGGAAGATGGCCATATGACAATGGAGGCAGAGATTGGAGTTACGCTGGTACAAACCAAGGAACACTAAGCTTTGTTGGAAACCACCAAAAGCTGAAAGAAGCAAGGAAGGATTCTTTCCCTAGACCCTTCAGGAAGAGCATGGGCCTATATGCACTTTGACTTCAGGTTTTGTGCCTCCAGAACTGTGAGAGAATAAATCTGTATTGTTTTAGGAGGCCAAATCTATGTTAACTTTGTTTCAGCAGCCTGAGGAACCTGATGTAATAATGTAATGAAATCATGAGGATAACATTCTATTAACTTTCACAGATAACAGTAACCAAATCAAGAGAGCGTTTGTCATATTCTGTCCATGGGAAGCAAGTCACAGCTTCCTCCCACCCTATAGGGGAAAGGACTGACTGGGGATCACCTTAGGATATGTCTGCCACAACAATGCAAGGTTATAGTGTTTTATCTTATGAAAGTGGGCCTCTTTATTGTGTAAGAATTCAGCAGCTCTATCTAATTCCCTTCACAATCTCTAGTTATTTCAAAGTTATATACACAGGTATTTGTTTTATTGAAAAGTTTCAGCATAACTGTTATCTTCTTAAATGATTGCTCTGTTCTTCAGAGTCCATCTATCTTGACATTTAATTGTGCTCTTGTCTTTTAAAAATTGATTTGATGATATATTAGCTGTAGGTTGTTTTAAATATGGAAGTTAGCTGATCATTTGAAAATATAAAGCAGAGAAACAGAGAAGTTTATTAGCTAAACTCTGCCCTCTTAAAAGCATCATTAGCCCTCCAAGAGATGTTCGTCAGTTGACTCAATTTCATTAAGGACCTACCATATATTCAGCATTGCACAAGCTTATTAAGTGTATTTTAGTACATCCTCCCTATTTTAAATGATAAAATGATATGGTTAAAGGAAAGTTGAGACTTGTCAGCCAGCAAAATCACTGCCTTCAGATTACTCTAGGATATACTTATACAAAACATTAGTAGATTCCGCCCATATTCTTAGATTTCACAGAACTGCAGGCCAGGGTTAGCGAGGACCAACAAAGCGAAGCAGTGACTCTATTTAACTATGGATATCCTGTGGTTTTTATATTGATTCGTGAATCCAAACATTTACTGATACTATAAACTGCAGTCAGATTTGTAAACTAATGTTCCAGACACATCTTTCATAATTTCAGGTGGATTTCTTTGTGGGATGTCAGACAAACATGTGTTTTTCTTTGGGTACTGCCATAGAGCTCCCTTATAGGATAAATTTCAGCCCTTATTCAGTCTTGGAGAAAAATAAATGTTTCCCAGTATATGAACTTAGTGCATATCATGTTGCATAACTATTCTGGGTGCACAGTCCCTGTATATTTTGAATATTCTCAAAGATTCAAACTTTCCATTCAGAGATAGTTTGTTTGAAACTCTATTCAGTTTTGTCAGAGATAGAGGTTTACATACTTTCTTATATGATGCGGTCAAAATCCAGTCCCTAAACTATCCTTGATTTTATAAAGACCATAATTAAAAGTCTTTCTTCTTGCCAAATTCCTAATCTTTAACACTGCATGAATAATCCTTTAGGGTAATGGTATTTAATACTGTTAGAAAGAGGTATAAAATGCTATAATTTCAGAAAGATTATTTAGGCAATATCAAACAGGAAAAAATAAGCACACTTTGGGTCCCTAAACTTAGAATTGCCAGGTAATGTGAAAAGAAGTTCATATGGTCAAGTTCCCTGGCTCTGGATTTTAGCAAACTGAAGTAGTGTTCTATAGGCCCCTGACGAAATTTAGATGATCAAAGGCAGCATTTCTCATCTGCACTTTCTGGATTGGGTCTCTCAATGAGAGAGATCAAAATCTATAGATAAAATTACAAGCTCTGGAGTCAGTTGGCATGTGTTCAAAATTCAAGCTCTAGCAGTGTTTAGCTGTAAAATGGGATCGTATAATAGAGAATTTGTAGTGATTAAATAATGAATGTAAATTCATAGCATGAAGCCTAATGGATAGGAATTGCTACCTATATGTTAGCTAAAAAGAAGCAATAAAATAAAATTTTCACTCAACACTCACTTCCAAGTGTCTGTGAAACAAACTTAAACTATGGCTAAATTTACAAATGATCTTGGGGTTTTCTTTGGCATAGAATACTTTGGCACCACCCATATAGGTAGAAAGAAAAAAAAAACATTCATTGGCTACTTGCTGTATGTCAGGTGATATGCTAGACTCTTTGCATTAAACTCATCAAATTCTCAAAATAAATTTATGAGATGTCTTCATTTTAAAATAAATTGAGGCTAAAACAGTAATAATAATTGCAGACCTGTGATTTCAGTCCACATTGGTATGACTCCTTAATCTGAGCTCTTCTTGTTCTACCATACTGTTCTCAAAAGGCAAAGTCCTGTGTAGTTCATGACTTCTGTGGACCATACAGAGATAAAAATAAGAATGGAAAGTGATGAGATTTCTATCATACAAATGTCATTTCCTGTGAAAAGGCAAAGATGATTTCAAATAGTGAACAAGCCTAGAAAGTTTTTAAGGGGCTTTGGAACATGATAGAGACACACAATCAGACATGTTCTCAGACTAGTTCATGTAAGTCTTTCCTTTGTCCTCCCTCCCACATAGAAATGCAGTCACAGTCACCTAGACCAGTTTGTGTCTATTGGCAATCTTGGGATCATTTAGATGGGATGAAGGTAGCTGGGAATGGTGGATTGGAAATAATTACATTTGCATTTTGAAAAAAATCACATGAACTGCCGTGCAAAGAACAGATTAGAGAAAGGCCAGAGAGATGAACATGGGGAGATAGGTTAGGAAGCTATTGTCATAGTCCAGGTAAAAAATTGTTATTCTTAGAGTAGACCAGAAATAAGAGGATGAGAAGTTAATGGATTTGTGTTAGAGGTTAGTGGGACTTTGTGAAGGACTGAGTATGCATGGTGAAGTTAGGAAGGTTCAAAAGAACTCTTAGTTCTGCAAAGTTCATTGAGATAGGGGAAACGGAAGTAGAATCACATTTTAGGGGATAGATCAATACACTAGTTTTTGTATATGATCAGTTTGGATAGGCTGAGTTTGGATATGCTGAGTTTGAGACTTCCAAATGGAGATGTAGGATAGGACATTGAAAATAAAGATGTAAAGCTCAGAGAATAGTTCTGGCTAGAGACATGCATTTGGGAGGGTGACCATAGCGCTGTATGTATGGTGATGGAAGCTATGGACATGGATGTTATTTTCTCAGAAAAGCATAGAGGGTGAGACAGAAAGATTTTCTGTGAACTAGGCTTGTGGAAGTCCAACCCTGTGATGGTTGGGTGGATGAGGATGAACCTGCAGAGGAAACAGAGGATCAGAGATGGAGAAGCAAAACCAAGTGACTGGGGTAAGAAGTATTGCAAAAGAAGACATGATTAAGGCATGTGGCAGTAGATGAGGACTGGAACATGTCCACAGATTTTGTAACATGGAATGAATTAGTGACCTTAGCAAGAGCTCTTTTGGTGAAGTGATGAAGGAATTTTAGAGGTTAGAGGAATAAACAGTAGATAAAGAATTGAAATAATGTATAGAAAAAACCCAACCAACCAACCAAACAAAAAACCTTTTGAGAAGAAGTTTAGTTGGGCTTTTAGAACCCAGGAAAAGCAGTTAGGCTTTCTCTTTCTTAGGTCAACTTCTTTGTTGTAACCTAACAAAAAAGGAAAAAGAGAGAGAGAGAGAAATTCAAGCCAAGGGAAAATATTCATAACTTTTTAAAGTAGCCTGATTCTTCCACCTAGAGATTTTGAACTAAAATGTGGAATGTGGATCTATTCCAGGCCAATACAGAGGAACCTTCTTACTTGAGGAGGGGCAGACAGGCAGCAGGGCACAGTTATGCTGGTGGTGGGTATTCTAGTTGGATGAGACAAAAATCCAGTTTAGCTAAACTACCCTAGAAATTCCCTCATTGTCAGAGCTTGAGTTCTTGATGTTCCCAAGCCAGAGGAGAAAAATCCTTAGTACAAAGCAGAGCAGCATAAAAACTCTATTTCTTAGCAGAGAGAGAATAAGTAATTTTGTTTGAGTCAAATACATGTATGATATGTTTCTCCTTCATTAGTTTTTGAGTACCAACTTGGTAGAAAGCATATTACCAGTGTTTTGATTACTCTTCAACATATTTCTGCCTATAAGCTTTTTGAGGTGAAAGAGCTTATTCTTTTTTTTTTTTCATTTGGATACAGAGTATCACTGTGTCTCCCAGGATGAGTGCAGTGGTGTGATCATGGCTTACTTCAGTCTCAAACTCCGAGGCTCAGATGATCCTCCCACCTCAGCCTCCTGAGTAGCTGGGACCACAGGCAGGTACTACCACATCTGGCTAATTTTTTATTTGTAGAGATGTGGGTCTTGCTATGTTGCCTGGGCTAGTCTCAAACTCCTGGACTCAAGTGATCTGTTCACCTCAGCCTCCCAAAGTGCTGAGATTACAGGCATGAGCCACTATGCCTGCCCATAATTTTATTCTCAATTCTTAAAAATCATATTTTGAAACTTAATATACAGTAATGTTGGCTTTCTTTTGGTGTGCAAGTCTGTGAAGTTTAACACATGCATAGATTCCTAAGCTATCACTGCAACCAGAGTACAAAATCATTCTATCATCCCAAGAATCTTCCTCAAGCCAGTTGTAACCTCTTCCCACCTAAGTTTTTGTAACCATTGATCTATTTTGTGACACTATAGTTTTATCCTTTTGAGATTGCCTCAGCTACTATGAAGAACAGTATGGAGGTTCCTCAAAAAAACCAAAAATAGAACTGCCATAAGATCTAGAGATCCTACTGCTGGGTATATGTCTAAAAGAAAAGAAGTCAGTATATCAAAGAGATAACTGCACTTTCATGTTTATTACAGAAGTATTCACAATAGCCAGGATGTGAAAGCAACTTAAGTGTCCACCAACAGATGAATGGGTAAAGAAAATGTGGTACATGTACACAATGGAGTACTATTTGGCCATAAAAAAGAATAAAATTCTATCATTTGCAACAACATGCATGGAACTGGAGGACATTATGTTAAATGAAATGAATTGGGTACAGAAAGACAAATATTGCATGTTCTGATTCATACATGGGAACTAAAAGAAATTAAACTTATGGAGAGAGTGGAATGATGGTTGCCAGAAGCTAAGAAAGGTAGCAGGGAGAGAGCGATAAAATAGGGTGGTTAATGAGTACAAAAACACATTTAGATGGAATGAATAAGATCTAGTATTTGGTAGCACACTAAAGTGACTATAGCTAATAATAATTCTCTGTATTTTTTTTAATAACCAAAAGAGTGGAATTGGAATATTCCTAACACAAAGAAGTCATAAAGTCTTGAGGTGATGGATATCCCAATTATCTTGATTTGATCATTACACATTGTAAGCCTGTATCAAAATATCACCAGTACTCCCTAAGTATGTATAACTAGTAGGTACCCATAATAATTAAAAATTTTAGAAAATTGAATCATAGAGTATATAACTTTTTGAGACTGGCTTCTTTTACCGAGACTAACACCTTTAAGATTCATTCATGTCATTGCATATATAAATAATTCATTCCTTTTATTGCTGAATAATATTCCACTATATAAATGTATCACAATTTGTTTACCCATTCACCTATTCAAGGACCACAGTTGTTTCCAATTTTAGCAGCTATAAACATTTGTGTACAGGTTTTTGTATGAATATAAGTTTCCTTTCTCTAAAGCAAATAGGAGTAGAATTTCTAGACCTTATTCTAAGTGTGTATTTAACTTTATAAAACACTGTCAAACTTTTCCAGGGCAGCTATACTTTGTATCTTTGTTTTAAAATTAAAATGAGATATACATCTATGATAATGGCTACAATTAAAATGCTGACAATTTCAAGTGCTGACAAAGATGTGGAGCAACTGGAACTCTCATATTGCGAGTGAGAATACAAAATGACACAGCTGGGTGAAAAAAATGGGAATCTCAATTCAATTAATTATAGAGACAAGGTCTTGCTCGGTTGCTCAGGCTGGAGTGCAGTTGTGCAATCATAGATCACTGCAGCCTCAAACTCTTGGACTCAAGTGCTCCTCCTGCCTCCACCTCTCAAAGCGATGGAATTACAGGCATGAGCCATTGCCTCCAGCCTTTAAAATTTTTTTTTTGAGACAAGGTCTTGCTATGTTGCTCAGGCTGGTTTCAAATTACTGGGCTCGAGCAATCCTCCCATCTTAGCCTCCCAAGTATCTGGAATGGCAAGCATGCACCACCACTCCCAGAATTACAATCTTTGATAACTTAATCACGGAAGTGAGATTTCTTCATTTTGCCATATTCTACAAGTTGAGCATCCCTTATCTGAACTGTTTGGGATCAGAAGTGTTTCAAATTTCAGTATACTTTTTGATTTTGGAATATTTGCCTATACATAATGAGATATTATGGAGATGGCACCCGAGTCTAAACACGAAATAATTTTGCTCATGAAACAAAGTTTTGACTGCAACCCATCACATCAGGTGTGGAATTTTCCACTTGTGGCATCATGTTGGCACTCAAAATTTCAAATTTTGGACCATTTCAGATTTTGAGTTTTCAGATTAGGGATGCTCAAGCTGTGTTTGTTAGAATCAAGTTATTAGGTTTAGTCCACACTCAAGGAAAGGGATTTACACAAGGGCATGAATACCAGTAAGGATGGACCACATTGGGAGCCACTTGAGAAGGCTTATGACAATAATAATGTAAAGAACATGAGAAGAAAAAATAATATATTCACATATAATAATATGTTTGCATAGATATTTATCATTTCTATTGCTCTTCCTTTATTACTGATGGTTCCAAATTTCCTTCTGTTATCATTTTACTTTCTGTCAGTGAAATATCTGTTATCAATTATTTCAGAATGGATATGCTGATAATGTATTCTCTTAATTTGTCTTCTATTGGGAAAGCATTTTCTTCACCTTTTTTTTCTGAAGGCTATTTCACTGCGTACAGTAGAGCAGTCTGGGTTAACAGTTGTAGTTCTTTAAAATGTATTCAATTGCATCTGACCTCCATGTTTTCCAATTAATCTGAAGTGTTTTCTTATAAATAATATGTCATCTACTCTGATTACTTTCAGATTTTTTGTCTTAATTTTTAGCGGTTTAATTATGATAGATTTCTTTGAGTTTCTCTTGTTTAGGATTCCTGGGCTTCTTGAATCTGTACATCTACATGTTTCACCATATTTTCAAAGTTACAGCCATCATATCTTCAAAAAAATTTTAGCACTGGACTCTTTCTCTTCTTTGGTATTCTAATGGCACAAGTATTAGATCTTTTGACATATTACTATAAAATGAGGCTCTGTTATCTTTCTCCCAGTATCTTCTTCCCTTTTTTGTTGTTGAGAATTTTAATCTTTTCTTTGATTCCTAGAGTGCTCTCCTTTATTTATTATAAGGTCTTTGTAAGATAATTTCAACATCTGTGTCACTTCAGTGTTGCTGTCTATTGGTTGTCTTTTTCCATACAGATTGAGATTTACTAGTTCTTTATATGACAAATAATTTTAGATTGTAGGCTGGATATTTTGAATGTTACATTATGCAACCCTTGGTTTTGTTTAAATCCTATGGAGAATGTTGATATTTTTTGTTTTAGCAGGCAATTGGCCCAATTTTATCTAGCTCACAAGTTCTGTCCAGCCTTCTGTGAATTGCAGTTCCAATGTAAGCTTCATTCTCAAAGCCTTTGTAAGTACTTTTCTGATCTGTCCAATGTACACACCACCCAATGGCCATTCTAGAACCTATCTCATAGTTCAGTTCTCATAGTGTTTGTTAAGCTGTTTAGGATCCAATCGATGCATATACAACTTGAGAAAAAGCCTAGGAGTTCATAAATAATTTTATGGGGTTACTTTCCCAAGATCCTTCCTGTTCCTAGCACTTTCTAGTTTCCTGATGTTCCCAAAGTTGATCTTCTGGCTAGGATGATGGAGCTTTATTTAACCTGCTTTGCTTCCCACTTGTCATAAATGCACCTACAATGGGACCCCTTGTTGAGAGGAGAGATAGAGAAAAGGGCAATGGGGTTTCATCCCACCCTAACTGAATCTGAGTTTCCTTACTCACTGTGCATTAAAACACATTTTCTTGTTAACATTATATTATTTTTAAACTTCTTTGAAATGAGTTTGGAAGGGAAAGTCATTTTGCTGAAAGCTTGCACCTTTCTCATTTGAATCAAAGGACCGTACTCTGTCTGTTACCAAGCATCGGAAACACATGGTGGGGCCAGCTGCCTCAGGTAAGTACCGTGTACTAAGGGAATTCTTTGCAGAAGGAGAGATCTGAAATCAACTGCCAGATGAGGAATCAGACAACAGGGGGAAAAAAAAGAGAGAGAGAAGAGTACAAGAAAGAAATGGTTAGGGCATCTGATAGATATTGGTCTTGGTGTGATGACCTGATGTTGAAGTTAAAACACCACCACCAGCCCTAAAGTTAGGTTCATGTAATTTTTAGTTGTGTTCAGTCTTTATGGGACAAATTCCAAATCCTACAATGGCTTCACTTTGACAGGCCTTTTGTCTATTCAAACCATATTTCTTTCTACTACAGGTTAATATTATTGAAAGATCATATTTTGATGTTTCTGGTTTCTGGAAAGTTTGTGAGATCAAAGTAAATGAAAACCAGGACTTTTAGCTATGTTCTTACCACCTTTTCAAGGTAAGGGCACAAAGGAATTCTATTCATAGACAAATAAATACTTTAAAGATTTAGTTTTATGTGAATAAAATCTTTAATAAGTATTGTCCATTTTAGACTCTGAACTGGGCACTTAAAACCATGTGATTGGTTATTAGAATAAAAATAAAATGATTTTTAAAAATAAATAAAACCTCCTAAGTGGGGCAGAAAAATGATGTCATTGAAATCTGAAAACTGTCTTTAACAGTTTATGTTTATACAGTGATATCCTGCTGATGTCTGATGTAAAAGAAAAAGAAAAAAAACTTCTTAGAGAAAATTAGTTACTTGAACTAAGGCTGCTGAATGCATTTAAATCCTGCAATTTTGGCAGAATATCACATCATCTAAATGGGGGGAGATAAACTCGAGGTGTAAAGGATATGAAATGCAGTTTGCATTCTTGACTTCCCAGACAGTAGATTGCAGAAGGTGATAAGTTAAAGCTTCTGAGGAAAAAGGTAAACTAATTCTGGAGCTGCCAGTGATATATCCTGGCTGGACTAAAATCAAAGTATTTTCATTAGCCTAGGCAGCCTAAAAGACATAGTGTTATTTTATTTTTTAAAATATAATTTCCACCTTGTAAATACATCATGATATTTCTTATTGGAGAACTTGCAGTTGGGTATAATTTTAAAATGGCTCATGTTTTTAGCAATGAGGAAAAAATAACCTTGAGCATAAATAACATGAATATTAATAATGTTTAACTAAAGAATGAAGAATTACATCTTAAAATAATTCCTGTACTCTCTTCATAATCATGCATTATGTATGAGAGGCAAAGTGCTGAGCATCTCTGAGGATAAAAAGTGATTTGTTATGTGAAAAATACCAAAGTTCTTTAGCCAATCTAGGTACAAGTAGACTGTTAGGGAGAAAGAGCATTGTACTATTACCACTAACTGCAAGAATGTATCATACTCATTTAGTCTGTGCTAAATTTTGTCATGTAGATATCTTTAGGGCGTTCTGGGGTAGTGGATAAGGGCTTAACCCCTACTGTTAGCCTCTCTAGGTGCCAATCCTGGCTTCACCATTTGCTTTAGGCCATTGTCTGTTTTCTCTTCAGCTTCATGTACCCCATCACAAAATGGGACTATTAGTGTCTATTTTATAGATTTGTTGTGAGCATTAAATCATCTCATGTAAAATGCTTAGCTCAAGAATCTGGCACTCACTAAACATGCCATAAATGTTAGCTACTACAATGAATGACATAAAGATTCTATAGAACAAATCATTCAGTAAAAGCTCTTTCCATGAGAAAAAAAAAGTCCTATGAAAGAATTCTACCTTGGATAACATTTGGTCCAGCATGTTTAGGATTGCTGGACTCTGGTGTTTCAAAATCTGGCATACAATCAATGGATTTTTACTATAATTAAAAAAGTTATTTAGATTGTATTTATAAAATTAAGTTCTATTTAAACATTTACAGAAACTGGGAAATCTGCCCATGGACTCTTGGGTTTCTTAAAAACTCAGCTTAAAAATCGTGAGTTATTTTTGCTCTTTTCCACTTTCCCTATACATAGGAGAGATTCATGTACAAAATTTAGTAACATTTCACTGCTTACTCCAGAATCAGGATATTTATCTTATTCTAATGAGACTGTTGTCTCAGATGGAAGACTTAAAACAAAATCTTTCTGAATATTTTGAATTAATTTTTTATTCTTTCCATTGAATCTAATAATCAGCGTTTCAGCTATGCACTTTTTTTTGTATATCGAGATGGCGGAGTAGAACACATAGCTTAAATAAGAGTTGCATGTTTAAATGTGAAAGTCATCAAGAAGGGATTGACCATTGGCTTCCTCTGACAAACTCTTAGGATTAAAAAAGAATACGTTGTTCTCCCTGCTTCATACTCCCATGATGCTTGGTCATAATGGTGGTCAGTACATATTTTATAATGATTGAATTCAATTCAGTTTTGCCTGTACTTGCCTTTATTTTTCCTCTCACTGATAACACAGGCTCTTCTTCTGTGTACACTTCAAGGCTTGGCTCAGTTTCTTTCTCTTTTCCTGAGAAACTTGCCACAGTGTTGATCTTTATAGTATCCATGGCTCCTTCTATACAAGTACGGTATCCTTTATAGTAGTTCTATATGTCTTTCCAACTAGGTGAGGGCATATAATGCATCACTGATTCTTTTTTCCCCTGGCCCACACTACTGAATATGTTATATGATCTCACTAAGCATTTATTTGTTTGTTCATTATACATGAGTGATTCAAATGTGTGACTCTAAGCCTAGATTTCTGCAGATACTTTGTTAGTTGTGAATTAGGACTGATATTTCTGGAAGTTTATAGATGAGATACTTCTTTGAATATAAAGATGCAATAGTTTTGTTCCATCAAGTTTAGCCAAGCTTTCATAAGCATAGCTTAAGGCTCCATGGAAGTCTGGGATTTTTGTATCTGCAGCTGTTACTAGGGTGTTATTTTCATCTTGGAATGAGTAGCAGAAATGCTACTTTACTTCATTAACTCTGAAATACTGAGGGCTTAGTCTATGTTTACTAAAAGTTTTTCAATGCCAATTGGAGGCCATAAGAAGTTCTTGGGTTCTGTTTTCCATAATTAACTAATTATGTGCCTCGCCTCTCTGTTTTATAGGAATCACAGCTATTGTTCAACTCACTGGAATTTGGTGGAAGTTGGAAGAGTTTACATCTCATAGTAATCTACAATTCAATAAATGTAATAATTGCATGACAGGAGCTGCTTCCTCAACAGTGAGGTAAAAAAGAGGCATAAAGGAGGCCAAGAAGACCACCGTGGTGAAGCATGAAAGTAAAGGAGATTTTTAGCAATGAAGACAGAGTGTCCTGAGGTTTTATTCTTATGCACGAGACCCAGATTTCCTGGAAGAGCCCCTCCTAAAGGTTTGGCTCTGCACAAGCTCCAATATTCCTACTAAATTATATCACAGGAGCAGAGACTGGAAGATTGTTTGGATCTCATTGAGTGAGTTGCTTCTATTGCCCATTCCACAAATTATCTGCTTCCTGCTAATCCCCTCATTTGCAGATTCGGCAAACAAACACGGCTTCTGTGTGGATTTCCAAAAAAGTAGGCAGAAGAGAAAAGAGTAGGACTCATGACAGAGCTGTTACATTCCAGCAAACACATGAAGCATTGCATCCCAAAGAGGCCACAGACTAAGCCTTAGTAATAAGGCATCCAAACTCTGTTACAAACATGTGGAGAGCTATTCTGGACCTTTGCTTCTGAAGTAAAATCTAACTGTTACTTGGTCTCCACAAACAGAAGGCAAACTATTTAGTTTGCTTTGAATATGAAATGGAAATTGGAAAAAAAGTCCAAGACCAGATGAATTTACAGCTGACTTCTACCATATGTACAAAGAAGAGCTGGTGCCATTTCTACTGAAACTGTTTCAAAAAATTGAGAAGGGACTCCTCCATCTCATTCTATGAGGCCAGCATTATCCTGATATTAAAACCTGGCAGAGACACAACAAAAAAGAAAACTTCAGGCCAATATCCTCGATCAACATTGATGTAAATATCTTCAATAAAATAATAGCAAACTAAATCTAGCAGCACATCAAAAAACTAATCCACCATGATCAAGTAGGCTTTATTCCTGGGATGCAATGTTGGTTTAACATGAAGATCAATAAATGTGATTCATCACATAAACAGAACTAAAGACAAAAACAACATAATTACCTTAACAGATGCAGAAAAAGCTTTTGATAAAATTCAACATGTTAAAACTTCATGTTAAAAACTCTCAATAAACTAAGTATTGAAGGAACATACCTCAAAACAATAATACCCATCTAGGACAAGCCCACAGCCAACATCATACTGAATGACCAAAAGGTGGAAGCATTCCCCTTGAAAACTGGCACAAGACAAAGATGCCCTCTCTCACCACTCCAATTCAACATAGTATTGGAAGTGCTGCCAGGGTAATCAGGAAAGAGAAAGAAATAAAGGGCATCCAAATAGGAAAAGAGGAAGTCAAACTATTCCTGTTTGCAGACAGTGTGACTGTATATCTAGAAAACCCTATAATTTCAGCCCAAAAGATCCTTCAGCTGATGAACAACGTCAGCAAAGTTTGAGGACACAAAATCAATGTACAAAAATCACTAGCTTTCCTATACACCACCAACAGCCAAGCCAAGAGCCAAATCAGGAAGGCAATCCCATTCACAATTGCTACAAAAAGAATAAAATATCTAGGAATACACCTAACCAGGGAGGTGAAATATCTTTATAATGAGAATTACAAAACACTGCTCAAAGAAATCAGAGAAGACACAAACATGGAAAAACATTCCATGCTCATGGATCAGAAGAATCAATATCATTAAAACAGCCATACTGCCCAAAGCAATTTATAGATCCAATGCTATTCCTATCAAACTAACAATGACATTCTTTACAGAACTAGAAGAAAAACTTTTAAAATGCTTATGGAACCAAAATAGAGCCCGAATAGCCAAGCAAAAAGAACAAAGCTGGAGGTATCACACTACCTGACTTCAAACTATACTCAGTGCTACAGTAACCAAAACAGCATGGTATTGGTACAAAAACAGCCACATAAACCAATGAAACAGAATAGAGAGCCCAGAAACAAGGCTTCACACCTATAGCCAACTGATTTTTGACCAAGCTGACAAAGACAAGCAATGGAGAAAGGATTCCCCATTTAATTAATGGTCCTGGGATAGCTTTTTAGTGATATGCAAAAGATCGAAATTGGACCTCTTTCTTACACCATATACAAAGGTGGATTAAAGACTTAAATGTAAAACCCAAAACTATAAAAAACCCTGGAAGACAACCTGGGCAATACCATTCTGGATACAGGAACTGGCAAAGATTTCATGAGGAGGACACCAAAAGCAATTGCAACAAAAGTAAAAATTGACAAATGGGATATAATTAAAGAGCTTCTGCACAGCAAAAGAAACTGTCAACAGAGTAAACAGAAATCCTACATAATGAGAGAAAGTATTTGCAAACTATACATCTGACAAAGACCTAATATCCAGCATCTATAAGAAACTTAAACAGATTTACAAGAAAAAACAAATAACCTTCTTAAAAAGTGGGCAAAAGACATGAACAGACACTTTTCAAAGTAAGACATACATGTGGGCAAAGGACATGAACAGACACTTTTCAAAGTAAGACATACATGTAGCCAAAAAACCATATAAAAAGAAAGCTCAATATCTGATCAGTAGAGAAATGCAAATCAAAACCACAATGAGATACCATCTCAAACAAGTCAAAATGGCTACCATTCAAAAGTCAAAAAATAACAGATGCTGGTGAGATTACAGAGAAAAAGGAACACTTATACACTGTTGGTGGGAGTATGAATTAGTTCAGTCATTGTAGAAAGCAGTGTGGTGATTCCTCAAAGAGATAAAAACAGAACTACCATTTGACCCAGAAATCCCATTACTGGTTATATAACCAAAGCAATATAAATTGTTGCATCATAAAGACACATGCACACATATGTTTATTGCAGCACTATTCACAATAACAAAGACATAGAATCGACCTAAATGTCCATCAATGGTAGACTGCATAATGAAAATGTGGTACGTATGCACCATGGAATACTACGTAGCCATAAGAAAGAATGAAATCATGTCCTTTGCAGCAACATGGATCGAGCTGGAGGTCATTATCCTTAACAAGCTAATGCAGGAACAGAAAATCAAATACCACATGTTCTCACTTATAAGTGGGAGCTAAATGATGAGAACTCATGAACACAAAGAGGGGAACAACAGACACTGGGGCCTATCAGAGGGTGAAGGTTAGGAGGAGGGAGAGGATCAGAAAAAATAACTATGGTATACTAGGTGACAAAATTATTTGTACACCAAACCCCCATGACATGCAGTTTACCTATGTAACAAACCTGCACGTATACCTCTGAATCTAAAATAAAAGTTTGTTTTGTTTTGTTTTGTTTTTTTAAATAAACAAACTGGAAATTGTAGTTGGGTTTGCCTCTGGCTGTCACAATGATCAAGGTCTGAGTTTTGTAGCATTTTCTCCCCAGATATTGCAAACATTCTGTCTACTTCTCTAAAATGAACTCATTTATTTAATTTTGATATAAAGGTCCCTAGGATATTGTTTTTACCACTATCATCCTATGTACAAGGCACTTTGATCTCTGTTTGGGGTACAAGCACTACCAAAACCAAAAAATTCTGAGGCAAAGTCTTGTTCTTTTCCTTTGTACCAACAAACTCACGAGGGTTAAAAATCCTCAGCCTATTTGGAACCCGATACTTCTTAGAGGTAGCATAGTACACTGCTGGGAGTGAGCCAGCTGCGATGTGTGCAGAGCAGCACTCCCCACAAACTGCTTATATCATCTCTGTGTAACCACACACATTTATTAGAAACTTACAGGAGAATGCTAATGAACACAACACTGCACAGTCTCCACACTCAAATAGGTTTCCATCTCCTGTTACTTCTTAATAACCAGAGCAGGAAAAAGGTAAGGATTAAACTGTTACCCACTTGCAAAGACTCTGGAAGAATTTGCAAAGACTTCAGTAAGTTGGGAAACACTTACTCCGCGTCTTTTTCTTATTTTTCTTCTCTCTCTCCGTCTCTCATTTACACACACACACAACACAAAAACTCAACTCTGAATCCACAGTCATATGAAAACTCCCTTTAATAATATGCTTCTAGTAAAATACATGAAAAAGAAACCTCTCCACCCAACCACACAAACTAGAGATATGGAACCACAGAAGTGAAGATCTAGTCATCAGTAATTCTTTCTTACAGCTTACCTGCTTCACATGTGCTGCAATTTGAGTTCAATTTCTTTCATTTTGTCATGAGATAGCAAAGAAGCCACAGTTCTCTGAAACAGTTACTTTACACTATGAGTGCAGAGAATTCCCACTTAACTAGGCAGGAAGAGGCTGGGAATTGTGTTTTGGTTTGCAGACGTGACTCTGCAAAGTGCTGCTGACTCCTGAGAAGCAGGCAATGGGTCTCACTGAACATCTGCATGGAGAATCTCAAGTTCTTAGATGGTTGGATAGGTAGAGTTGGTGTAGAGGTAAAATGTACCTTTTGCCTTTGCACCTCTCATCTACCTGTTTATCACTCTATTTTTTCATCTCCTGACATCCTTTCCATTGCAATTCTAGAGGGATAGCACTTTAAATTGCTCTTCAGCTGCATAAGATACCAGTTATGCTGGCTTCCACTTTCACAGTATTCTCAAATAGTATCTCTTCCCTTCTAATAATGCCACCCCTACTTTCTCCTTACAGAGCAATTTCATGTGAGTTTTAAGAGAACAGCCTGTTGTCTGAACTAATTCACACTTAAGTATGAATAAGCCTTCTTATTACTTCCAGAATGTCTTCATTATTACCCAAAAGAATCAATAGTTGGAGACATTTCAGAAACCATCAAGTAAATTAAACCAGGCAGTTTGGGGAAGATTTTCTGGGGAGGAAAAGGCAGTGGGGAGTTGTTTTATTTGGTTCTGAAACAAAGCAAGGTCTGTTACTGAACAAGACACCCTCTAAAGGCTGGTACTGGGAAGTCACCCAGCATGAGATGTCCTAGATGACAGTAGGAAAGGAGCGTATCCTTTGGGAAGGGAACACCAAAAAATGAGTTAGATATAAAAAAATTTAGACATTTTCTAGGCCAATCTTCTCATTGTATTAGTGAGTACAATATCGATTAAGGATCACTACTGCCTTAAGGACACTTATATCATTCCATTGTCCATCAAAAAAGGAGGACTTGATATCTCAAGAAGTAATTACAATTTACTTCTAATGGAGAAGTGATTTTATTTTTGTGTCACTGCTCCATTGAATCTTTCAGGCATTTTACAGGGAGAAGAGCACAACTGGTAAAGACAGAAAAGAAATGGGTGAAGGTGCTGGCCGCGGCTTCTCGCTTCACAATGATGAGCATGGCATTTTATCTCTGATCTTCAGGTCCTCATTGGTTATAATGGGATAATAATGATAATACATACTGCACAGTGTTGTTGTGGTTGTGAACAGTCACTGAGTTAATGCAGAGCTTGGGAAATTGCTAGGTTGGGAGGCTCTCTCAAATTTTAAGTCCTTTCTTTCTCAGTCCTTTCTTCTCCTTTTAAGCCATAGGACACCTGGCACTTGAGATCCAGACTACACACTGGACCTAGATAGACCTTGCATAATCTTGATTTTTTTCCATTTGAGTGTTTGTATATATGTATCTGTGCATGTGAGGTTAAGGGGATAAGAGTCCTGGAGTCTCTAAGGCCTGGGCATTGGAACTGGACCATGAAGTACATGTCGGTGAATGACAGATTCATTTTGCTCTGCACCACCTCCAAAGAGACATGCAGATTCTTCATCCTCATGGGTGCACCCCTGTATAAACACCATACCAGACAGGACCTGCTTGTTTAGAGATCATCATTGCATCTCTCACAAAGGCTAAACAAGATAGCGTGAATGTCCCTCACTGGGGGATTGCCACACCTGCTGGCTTGAAAATGCTTAATTTCTCAAGACTGCACGAAAGTCCTAAGCTATCATGAGTCTCTGCATCTAGTCTCTTCATAACTCTTGACTAAGCCAGCTCAACTTCTTCCTATCCCTCTCCAGCTAAAGCTACTTTCACTCACTACTTTTTTTTTTTCTCTGCACATATGTCTGTTTTCCAGAGGTTTAACCACAGCGGCATAAATATTTTTTCCCTGAGAGCTGACTATAGGGAAATAAGATAATTCAGTCAACTAGATTTTCTTTTTGTGAGTAGAGAGGACTCAGAGAAGCTTCAGTAGGGTGGTACAACATCCTTCTGGGAAAACATCAGTCACACTAGTGCAGATTCCACTAACCAAGGCTACTGATGATTGAAATTAGAAAATCCCTGTGATTCACCAAACTTGAATCCTTGCCTAAAATACAGCACTATGTCTATCATTATCCATTTAAAAAAGCTAACTGAAAGAGTTTCAAAAGGTTTCCTCAAGCAGAAAAGAATTCCATATTTTCAGGATTGGCAAGATGGCTGTAATGAGGGGTGGTGAGACTGGGGGATGGGAGGGTGGTTGGGGGTGTCAGATGTTTTCCACCCTAAAGGTATGGGCTGATTTTACATTTATTACCAGTTTTCTTTAGATCCTCCGTGAATAGTTCCATTAGGCACTTTAAGTTTACTTCATAGAAATCATTCCCTGCTTGAGAGCTAGAGCTAGTATTTTCATTCCTCTTATTTTTTGGCATAATTCTGACTCTTCAGAACAGCTATTCATTTTCTTTTTTAAAAATTTGTCCTTTCTTTCCTTCCTCCTTCCCTTACTCCCTCTCAGTTTTTAAAAATTAAACATTCATAGAATTAAATTGATCATAATTCTCACTTTATAGCAGAATTGACCCATGTACCACTTCCCTTTTGCATTTGATTCCTTCATGTGATTTTATTATTCTATATGTCCCCATCTCCAAATCCATTTTCCCACCAAAGACATTTATTCTTGTGTATTTAATGGGAGTTTTTCCGAGCCATTTTTATATATTTATTTGCATATATACATTCATAAGCAATAAATAGTATTGTTATAGGTATGTGCTCTCCATTTACAGAAATGGTCTCATCTGATGTACCTTGTTACTTTGTTTCACTCAACATTATGTTTTTGAAATCTATCAATGTCAATATGTCGCAGAAGTTCATTCTTCTTGATTTCCATGTATTTCATCAATTTCCCTATTGATAGCTAATTAGTTTGTTTCTAACTAGGACAATGCTACAGTGAACATGCTACATATATATTTTTACCAGTATAAAAGGTTTCCTTGGCAGGGGATGTTATATAACAGAATTATAATCACTAGGCTCACAGTAAGCAAGTAGTCAACTTTTGTAATTATTTCCAATTTGCTCTTCTGTTTGGCTGCATGAGTATATGCATCCACACAAAGATTCTTACTGCCATATGTTTTACTCATGATTCGAGACTGCTCAACATTTTATTTTGGCCAAAATTATGGGTATGAAGTACTATTTCATCGTTATTTTAGTTTGGCATTTCTCTGATTGCTAATAAGGTTCTTTTTCATTTGTATATCAGGTACTTATGCTTCCTGTCTGTGGATTGTATAGTCATATTCTCTGCTAATTCTACTATTGGGTTTCCCATCTTTTCTTGCTGATTTGCAGGAGACCCTTGTACAGCCTATGTATTCTTTGCCAGATGGAAATATCATCTCTGGATCTGTCATCAGAGAAAATCAAATCCATAAGACTTCCCCTTTATGGATTTGTGCTTTTACATCTTACTTAAGATCCTTCCCTGGATGCTGTGAAATTAGCCTTTTATATATTATTTTTTAGTTTTGATTTTAATATTGAATATAATACTGCAATTCATACCACGCAATGCAAAAATAAAAAAGTATGAGGATTAGAAAAGAAGTTGATAGAAGTATTTGTATAGAACATTCATAAGAATCAGCAGGAAATTATTAGAACTAGTAAAAATTAGCAAGATATCTGGGTAACATCAACTAATTGCAAAATTAAATTTAACTTTAGAAAATCAATCTCACCATTTTAACAGAATGAAGGGAAACAATTATTCAATCACCTTGACAGATGTAGAAAAAGCATCTAATAAATTTAACAACTAATAATAAAAATATTTATAATAAATCTCACATGATTCACTTAAAATAGGGGTACATTATACCCTAAAAAGTAACAATTTCTCTGTCTTTTAAACCAGTTATTATTAAACAGAAAATATAATCCCATATATAATGGCACTAAATCTTAAAAAATGAATAAGACTTTTACAGAGGAATATTTTAACACACTATTGGAGAACACACAAAAAAGATCTAAATGAATGGAAAGCTATACCACATCTCTGAATGAAAAAATAACATGGTGAAGACAATATTTATTCCCATTCTGATCTGTAAATTTAATGCAATTCAAATAAAAATTGTGGATATCCCTAGCAATTTAGAAAAGAAGAGAAAAGATGAGAGTAAACCTTAAGATAACAAGGTTTACAGCAAATATGTGACAATTAAATTACTCTAGTACTGGCACAAGAAGAGACAAATAGACTATTAGAGTAGAATAGAGGTTCCAAAATCATGCCTATGTGCAGATTCAAAACTGATAAGAATAGATTAGTTACTTAAATCGTTCATGAAACAGTGGATTATTTAAAAAATAATGTTGACCTATAAAATAATAATGACAATTAACACTTACTGAACATTTAGTGTGTACTAGCACTGTTTCAAATGTTGAAATACATACTGACTTGATCTCATAAGAACCATATGAATATTCCTAGCACCATTTTACAGCTGACAAATCTAAAGCACAGGTACAGAGAGATGGATAACTTGAAGACTCCCAAGCATGGATTCCAACCCAGACAGTTTGGCTTCAGTGTTGGTATATATAACAGCTATTCTACACATCCATCTCAGAGCTATGTTGGCTCAACCTAAGTGGAAAAATACAATTTAATCCTTACTTTAAACAACACACACCCACAAAATTTAATCCTTACTTTAAACAACACACACACAAATAACCTCCAGATGAATCATCCTCTCCCCTCCCCTCCTTTATTTATTTATTTATTTATTTATTTATTTATTTATTTAATTTATTTATTTTGAGTCGGAGTCTCATTCTGTCACCCAGGCTGGAGTGCAGTGGTGCGATCTCAGTTCACTGCAACCTCCACCTCCCGGGTTCAAGCGATTCTCCTACCTCAGCCTCCCGAGTAGCTAGGACTACAGGCACTCAGCACCATGCCAGGCTAGTTTTTGTATTTTTAGTAGAGACAGGGTTTCACCATATTGGCCAAGCTGGTCTCGAACTCCTGACCTTGCGATCTGCCCGCCTCAGCCTCCCAAAGTGCTGGGATTATAAGTGTGAGCCACCGCACCCAGCCGCCTCTCCTTTTTTAAAAACCCATACAAAAGCCAATATTTCTGGTCCCTGGTACCTGCTGAAATTCACTCACTTTAAAATATGAATCTGAAAACTCTAAATTTCGTGGAATCTCCCATTCACATCTGTGTTCATTTTTAATTTTAGTTTTTCAATTTCCTTTGCTCAACACCTTACAGAATAAATGAATTTTTCGTTATCAAAAATTAACCATTACATTACAAGGAAAAAGTAAAGAAGTGATGAACCATGCTGGATCTCCATCAGAATAGAACCTAACATCTAGAAGCACTGTATACTTCCAGATAAGTAAGACTTATTTGACAGATAGGTAAGACTGTTTAAAAAGGGAATTTTTGCCACATATTGAGCTGAACACCCATGGAAGTTCTTGAGGTCATGTTAGCTAAATATCCGAATGTTTTCTGAATATCAGTTATGGCAGGAAACAAAATAGCATGTCATCTCTAATGACAGAGTCTAAAAATAAACGTGTGTACCTAGAAATTCAAAAATTCATCTCTGCCTCTCAACCAGTTGGAATAAAAATACTCATGTGGATTCAAGATGCCAAGATAGGGATGGATAAGGTTTCAGTGAATAAAAATATCTAAAAAGTTTCATTTTTCTACAGTATATTGAATTATAAATGAAAATATTTCTCTGACACAGCTAAACTCTATGGAGCTTTAGTATTCCCTCGTATTTTCCAATTCACCATCCATTATCTTGGATATAATCTTTTCCTCCAACCCAAGGACAAGGAGTTAAATAAGCAGAGTATGAACAGGGAACTCACCCATTAATTGCATCTCTCAAAAACATTTATGAGAGAACATAAACTACCATAGAACATAAACTACCAGAAGAACAATAAACTACCATAAACTAAGAACATAAACTATCATAATTAATGACCATTACAATTGCTTTTCCTCTCTAATATTTGTTATCCCCAAACTCCTGGGAGCCTTGTCCTCAGTGGACACAAACAGCTCTTGTCCATGCCATTCTGTCCTGAACAATATGAAGTCATGCACATTTTACTCCTAACACATATCTTCTCTCCCAAGACCAACAGAACCAAGGAATGGAACATTTCTTCCATAATGAATGAGGTTCTCAATCCATTCACACATCCCCTTTCTTAGATGGTATTGGAGAAGTAGACAGAGAAGAAATTAAGTAGGCAATGCATGTTTGCAGGGGGTGGGGGCTGTGCATCTGTGTATGTTAGTTACATGGGCACATATACGCTCATGTTTTGTCCTCAGCCCACCAGAGAGTTAACATTTCTGCCACCCTCCTTCATAGATAAAAATTGGCAAAGAAGAAGTAGGGTGTAGAAACACACCTGAAATTCCTTAAAATAAACCTGTATGTTTTTGACTTGCCATTTGTAAAACAGTGTTCTTTCATTTTTTAAAAAATTGGCTTCCTGGAAGACACCAATAACACAACCCTGAATCACAGCCAATTTTGAGATTATATCGCCTTTCTGATTTCTATGTCCTACTTAAAAATTGTTCTGGGAAATAAGAGGCTGGAAACTCAACTAGATAGACAAAAATGTCTGCCTGCAATCTCTACTCACCTCATGTTTTTATTTGTGAAGGATTTCCATATTTCTTAAATTTAATGAATTTTAATTGAACCATAGAAAAATAGAAAAGACTTTGGCTTTTTTAAATGGGAATCAAGTTTTATGATAGATATGCTTGATTATAAGAAGTTACTTTCAAATGCTATTTAATTACCCAATTTCAAATCTTCTGTCCTTACTTTGGGCCTGTGGAGGGGAAGAATGTGAATTTCAATCTGCCATTACAAATATTTACTTAAAATTGGTATCACATCTTTGATGAACAGAATTTAAGTTCCACTGTAGTGATGTTAGTAATCTAAAAGTGGTATAAATACAGTTATCAAATACTCCAAATCATAGGTGACCAAGAGAGTAAGCAGCCTATGGTTTTGAGGAGTCAAGGAATAGTAGTGTGATAATCTTACTAGACCATTCAAGCTGAGATTATGATTCTGAATGTGGTCTTATGATTTAGAGGGATCCTGAACTCTTATCTTGTTATAACATACATAGTAAGTGCTTCTTGTAAACCCACGAAATTCCATCTACTAACTTCCTCAACAAAATCAAACGTTTATGCCTGTCATCACTGCAAATCTCACAGAACCACAGAAATGTCACTAGGGGTTATTCCACTCATGTTTTCTGTCAATGATATTGAAATATCAGTGCTAACAGCACTTTTCATTTAAGGTTTTGAAAAAAAAATGAGACTACTGTAATGAACCATTTTGGGAATTTGGATTCTAGAAACAGTATTCTTAAAACTCTGAGTTTTTCTAGGTAGTTGATCTGATTTTTCACTTATGTAGGCAATTCCCAGGGTAGATTTAGCACTTTGCTTGTAATTGATGTTTGTCCACTCTCCTCATCCCTGTATAACTTGAAAACAAAGATAATTTCCAGCTTTCCAGGCACTCCCCAGACTACAGAGTGAGTCTAGGACAGTGCACCATTCAGGATGTGTCCAAGGGACATTGAATTGTATTATAAAGGCAGAGAAAGCTTGATCTAGCCGAATTTTCTCTTCCCTGTACTAACTGTGGGGAAGGCAGATGGGGATGAGTGAAACTAGTCTTAGTGAGCTGGCCAAAATTCTTGCCTTTAAGTAGCAGCCAGACATTATTACATTTCATAGTCATTGGAAGCACAATGTCACAGAACTTGAAACTGACCTAAGAGGTCAGGTAGGTCCAGGATTTGTATAAGACATTGAATATATCTCATCTCATATATCACACCAATGGGTATGAAAACAACACTCTTTTGTTTTATCTTTACTTTCTCTGTTTTTCATCTCTCTGTTTCCTTTTTCCTGCCTTCCTGTGAGTTACTCAAGCAATTTTTAGAATTCCATTTAGATGTATCACTATTGTTTTTGAGTATCTTTGTATTTTTTTCTTAGTGGTTGCTCTAGGTATTACATTATATTTACCTAAGTTAACAGTTACTAGTGTAATTATTAGATCAGTTAGAGTGAAGTATAGAAACCTTCCTTCCCTTTATGTTTCTTTACTCTTCTCCATTTATAATATTTTAAATATTTCCTCTACATACATTTAGAACCACATCATACATACAATATTATAATTTTTGCTTCAACTGTTGAACATAATTTAGAAAACTCAAGAAGAAAGAAAAGGCCTATTGTATTTAGCCACATTTTTTTCTACCATAGCCTTTCATCTTTTTTGATGTTCCAAGTTTCCTTTTTTAAAAAAATATTTTCTTTCTGTTAAAGTACTTCTTTTAGCCATTTGTTTAAGGTAGGTCACCTGGTGAAAAATTCCTTTGGATTTCTTTCATCTGAGAATGTCTGATTTTTCCTTCATTCCTGAAGGACATTTTGACTGCATATAGGATTCTGGGTTGACAGTTTTTTTCTATACATGTTAAATGTTCCACTTACTTCTGGTGCTCATGGCTTTTGATGAGAAATCTGCTATTATTTGAATTCTTCTCTTACACAGTTTCTTCTTGACTTATGGTGGGGCTGCATCCTAATGAACCATTGTAAGTCAAAAATGCATTCAATGCTGACAACACAGCAGATGGTCCTGGATTTATAACTAACCTTTTTTTCGACTTTACAATGGTGCAAAACCAATACATATTCAGTAGAAATTGTAACCCTATTGTAAGTCATGATGAGCTCTTCAATCTATGATGGAGTTATGTTCTTATAAACCCAATGTAAAGAAAAAAAATTATAAGTTGAAACATTATAAGTCATCATAAAGTGTGGTTTCTTTTAAATTGCTTTCAAAAAATTCTTGAAAAAATTAGTTTACAGAAATTTGATTACATGTCCTGGCATAGATTCTTTGGATTTATCATATTTGGGGTTCACTTAGCTTTTTGACTCTGTAGGTTTGTGTACTCTGCCAAATTTGGAGTGTTTCTCAGCCATTATTTTTTTGAGTAATTTTTTTCCTTTTCCTTCCTTCCTTCCTTTTTTTTTTTTTTTTTTTTTTTTGAGACAAGTTCTTACCTTGTGGCCCAGGCTGGAGTGCAGGGGCATGATCATGGTTCACTGCAGTCTGACTTCCTAGGCTTGAGTAATCCTCCTATCTCAGCCTCCTGAGTACCTGGGCCTGCAGGCACACACCATCACACTCAGCTAGCTTTTGTTCATTTTTTGTAGAGATGAGGTCTCCCTTATTTCCCAGGCTGGTCTCAAACTCCTGGCCTCAAGGAATCCTCCTGCCTTGGCCTCCCAAAGAGCTGAGATTACAGGCATGAGTCACCATGCCCAGTCTTTTGAATAATTTTCTATTCATGTCTTCTTTCTCCTCTGACGTTGGGACTCCTATGACAAGAATGTTATATATTTTTTGTTATAGTTTCACGTGTCCATGAAGGTTTTTTTTCTGGTCTTTTAAAATTTCTTTTTGTTGCTCAAATTTAGTAATTTTGTATTGTTCTATCATCCAGTTCACTGATTCTTTCCCCTGTCACTTCCATTCTACTACTGAATATATCCATTGATTTTTAAAATTTTTAATTTTTATAGTTTTCAGTTCTACAATTTCCATTTGGCTGTCCTTTGTATCTCTATTTCTTTGCTCAGATTCTCTCTCTCTCTCTTTTTATTTAGTTATTTCCTAACACCATAATCTATTTTTTAAAATTTGTTTTAAGCATGTTTGTAATTGCCTGTTGAAACATTTTTTTGGTGGTTACTTAAAAACTTTTTTTCCGATAATTCTGCCATCTCTGTTATTTTAATATTGGCATTACTTGATTGCCTTTTTCAGTCAGTATGAAATCTTCCTAGTTCTGGAATTTGAACCTGGACATTTTGAATACTGTGTACTGAAAACCTAGATCTTATTTAAACAATCTCTTTTAGCTGGTTTCCTGTTGGTCTGTATTGTCACCTGAAGGGGACACTTCTTTCTACTACTAGACGAAGTTGGGAGGATTCACTCCCCATGAGGCATCCATTGATCCCACAGCAGGGGCTTTACCTCATTATTGTTGGGAGGTGATGAAAACCTTGAGTCATAGCTTTTTTCTGACACCACTCCATTAGAGAGAGAGAGAGAGAGAGAGAGATGTACTTCATTTCTGCTGGGTGGAGGTAACAGTCCAGGGTCCCTATGTGGTTTTCACTGATACTGTGAGGAATGCAGAGCCTTGTTACCACCTAGTGGGGATAAAGGTTCCAACCCTCTCCTCAGTTTTCCCTGCCACAACCCTGGTGGCAGGGTTGAGACTCCTCATTGCAACCACTGATGGGGAAAGTCTAGACTCCCCACTGGGCCTTTGCTCTCGGGTATGGGGTATAGGGATGGGTGTCATAGTTTTTTGTTTGTTTTTTTCTGTGGTGTTTACCCAGAGTAGCACAGCTATTTTTCAAAAGTTTTCTATCTTACTAAACTGCCATTTTCTTATTCTTTGGCTAGAGACTGTTCTTTAGCAGGAGACTGTTTTGTTTTGTTGGTTTTTGTCTGTGGTCATTGTCTTTTGAGGTTGCCAGCTTCTTCAGCTCAAAGCCTGGGATAAATGAGGCAAAACAAAAACCCAGGATAGTCACTACCATATTGTTCCTTGGGTCTTAATGCTCCTGGCTGACTTACCATCTTCTCTCCATCTTTCAGAATCTTTTATGTTTGTTCTACATAATGTCAAAGGTTTTTCTTTGTATATAGCAGGAAAGGTAAGAAAAAATATGTTCCTTCTCAAAAAGCCCATACTACTTAAACATGAAAGAACAACTCCATCAGGAACTCCAGTAGTCCCTATAATGTTGGAGAAACTATTTTGCCTCTATAAAATATTTTGGAAGATCACTTCACTAATATTGACAGCCTCAAGTCAGTTACTTCTTTTTCCTCATCATGTTTCTATTTAAATTTTCTTATAAATATTGTATTGTTCTTTTCAGAGGCATATTGGTTTGAACTTTGGGAATCCTTAGCTTCACTGTGCTGTTAGCAAAACCACTGGATTTAAGATATTCCTAGACTTCATTGTAACCAGTGAAACCAGTATATTGAGTTGGGTGTAGGCATGAAAATCTTTTATTTTTCCAATACGTCTCCATCAGGGATTCCAGTAAATTCTCATAATGTGAATTTGTGAGAAAAGTCCAAGTTGTTTTGTAGATGTTTTGGAGAAATATATTATAACACTCTATATAGTGAGGAAAAAGTTGAATTTCTGCTTTATATTCTATATAAAGATAATCAATACATAGTCTTATTTCTGGACTATTTATTTTGCCCCATTAGTTTTTCTTTTTGTCTGTTTCAAACCAGTTCTACTCTTCTATTGTTCTGTCTTTCTAATTTGTCTCAATACTTGATATTGAGTCACAGCTATTTGGATATTTTATTCCTCCATATAAACTTAAAAATGTTTTCAAAGTTCCCCTAAAAATTTCTACGGACTTTTAAAAAAACCTTGGTATTGTATTAAATTTAAATGTGGTATGTTTATTCAGTTCTTCTTTTTTGATAGTTAAAAGTGCTTGAACAATTCCATATCACCAATACCTTGTCCACTTTTTATTCATTTACCCTCATCTTATAGTTATTTGATTTCTGTAATATGGTAGTATATTTATAAATTTGATTAACTCTTATTAGTTTCAATGGCTTGTTGTTTCAGTTTTTTTTCCTGTACATTACTATATCATCTTGACATGTCTTGCACCTTGCAATCATCATAATCCATACTTCTCTTTCTTCCTGCATTAAGATGTGTATTATCAGAGATATGGAAATTTTTATTTTGTTCTAGTTCTTAAAAGATAATGTAGTTAACCTTGGGTTTTTAGTAGATAAATTTATCAAGTCAAGGAAATTCCTTTCACTTAGTTTTCTGAGAATTTATTCATGAATATGTATTGACCTTTATCAAATATTATTTTCTTCATCTATTGAGATAACTTTATGATTTTTCCTTTTAGTTTATTAATGCTGTGAATTTCATTAAGTTTGCTAATATTGAACAATCTTGGATTGTTTGACTATACTATACTAAATCATGATATATTATTTTTTTACAAGTAGATACAGTTATCTGATAATTTATATACAGATTTGCGCATGTTTAAAAATATTCATAATTTTCTATTCTTCTATTGTTCATCTATTTTTGGATTTCAAGTTACACTAGCTTTATAAAATAAGTTGAGCTGCTTACCCTTTTCTTCTATTATTCTGGAACAACTTGTATGTGAAAAGGGATTATCTCTTCTTTATAGTTTGGTAGCACTCAACAGCAAAACCATGTTGGACCAAGGTTTGGTCATTTTTTGGAGGAGGTGTTCCTGATTCACATATGCAGTTCTTTAATGGTGATTCATCTAGTCAAGTATTATATTTCTTCTTGGGTTTATTTTGACATATTATATTTTCCCCAGAAATATATCCATTTATGCTAGGTTTTCAAATGTCTTGACATATAGTTTTAATAATATTTTATTATCTTAAAAATCTCTATTACATCTATAACTTATTGCTAGTAATTTTTTCCATGTTTTTAAAAGTAGTATTACTAGGGCCTTTTCTGTTTTATTAGTCTATTCAAAGAATTACCACTTAGTTTTGTTAACTATTTAAAATAAGCTTTATGTAATTGTTTTCTGGCTCTGTCTTTGACTCAGTTATTTTATAGCTTTCTTATTTTTAAGTAGATTTAAAACTCTAAATACTCTTTTAACATAAGCTGTGATGCAACATTTGGTAGGTAGTGTTTTCATTGTCATTCAATTTGAAGTATATTATAATTTCTACATTATTGCTTCTTTGTCCCAAGAGTACTTAGTTGTGTATTTTCATATTCCATATATATTTTATTTTTAAAGCTATTTGATTATAATAAATTTTTAATTTTATCATATTATTGTTAGAGAAAGTACCTTTATGCTATTAATTACTTGGTATTTGTTGAGGCTTCTTTTGTGTCATAGTTGTTCTAGTACTAGTTAGTTTTTACAAATGCTTCATATGTGCTAAATATACTTTCTCTCTTTTTTTGTTGTTGGGTGTAAATGTCTCTATATAGCTATTAATTCAAAATAATTGATTATGTTATTCGAATTTTTTATGTATTTATTTATTTTTGGTTGCTTTAAACTATTAATTTCTGAGAGAACTGGATTAAAATTTCCAGCTACAAATTTTTCTATCATTTTAAAATTATTTTCTATATTTTGAGACTATATTGTTAGGTGCATATATATTTATGATCTTTTTCTTTTTAATCTCTGATTCTTTGTCCTAGGATGTAATGTTCTTCTTTGCATGTGTGTGAGGGTGAAGGCATTTTTGTTATGATAAAAGATATAGATATTTACAGATTCAGTTACACAAAGTAGGAAACCATACATCATATCACTTCATAGAATGAAAATTTTGCTGGGCATATCAATTTTGGCATTTTCCTTCTTCTTTTTCTCTTTTAAAAAATCTGCTTACCTGACCACTTGTGCATAATTCTGCCAATATATCTCTTCACAACAGGTTCCAAGTGACTGGTACAAAAGCTTCAATACTTTTCTTTTGAGCATTTATTCTGAGACTGGGTAAAGATTAATTTCCTGGGTACAGATATTTCCCACCAGAACATGCTTCTGGGTGCTTGAAGTCTAATCCATCTGCTGACTTAAGATTTTATGTTTCTGGGCCGGGCGCGGTGGTTCACGCCTGTAATCCCAGCACTTTGGGAGGCCGAGGTGGGCACATCATGAGGTCAGGAGATCGAGACCATCCTGGCTAACACGGTGAAACCCCGCCTCTACTAAAAAAAATACAAAAAATTAGCCAGGCATGGTGGTGGGTGCCTGTGGTCCCAGCCACTTGGGAGGATGAGGCAGGAGAATGGCGTGAACCTGGGAGGTAGAGCTTGCAGTGAGCTGAGGTCGAGCCTCTGTACTCTAGCCTGGGTGATAGAGAGAGACTCTGTCTCAAAAAATAAAAATAAAAAAAATTTTATTTTATATTTCTGCATTATTTAAGCAATAGACTTAACTTGCAAAGATACTTATTTAAACCTATTAGGGTGGTGGGGAAATATACTATATCTAAACTGTAAAAAAAAAGGAAGCCTAAACTTTGAGAAATCATATGCCAATTACCAATTGACATTGTTAGTAATGAATTTATTTTTTAGAGCACACATGTTTCTTTTTTTTCCAACATTATGAATGAACTGCCTTTTGTAAAGCTAATTGGTTTCATTTGTATGGTCATTTCTGAGTCTTCAGGTTACTTAACCTATTAAAAGCTTTCATCAAATGTGATTCATTCCTCCTCCTTGGAATACTTCCTCCAATTGTCTTCTAAGACAAAATTTTCTAATTTTTCTCAGACATTACTTCTTCTTAGTTCCCTTTTTCTGCTTCCTTTTTATCTTCCTGATCTGTAAAGGTTGAAGTGTCCCAGGGCTCAGTTTTTGTGTCTCTTCTTCTCCATTTACTCCAGCATGATACACAATCTGATTAAGTGCTATGGTTTTAAATAACATTTATATGCTTATTACTCTTGAATTTATTTTTATTTGGTTTAAGCATATAAAATTTTTGACAACCATTTTTTGATATACAAATATGGTAATTTAATATGAGTAAATGTAAAAAACTATATATAATGTGCATATATATATATATATGCACTCTATATACATATTGATTTGAACTTCTAAAACATAGGATGTGCAATTAGCTAACTCCTAAATTCTTGTCCTCTAGTCTCCTCATAGAAATCTACTCATCTGATAGTACTTCCTGCATTCTATGAATTCCCAATCTATCATCAAATTCTGTCAATTCTATCTGTAAAATATATCCCAAATCCAATCAATCTTGACCAGTCTTACTGCTCCCAATTTAGCTTTAAACTGTTGTGATACATGAACATAGAGTGTGGAATGATGGAAAATGGACACTCAGAAAGGTGAAAGAGTGAAACGGATGATAAAAAATTACCAAATAGGTACAATGTATGTTATTTGGGTGATGGGTACTCTAAATCTTATTTTACTGGTGCACTATCTATGCATGTAACAAAATCACACTTGTACTCCATACATTTATAACTACACTGTTGTGATAGGCTGTATTAGTCAGGGTTCCCCAGAGAAACAGAACCAACAGGATATGTGTGTGTGTGTGTGTGTATCCTATATATCCCAAAATACACATATATTTTTATTATGGGAATTGGCTCATGCAATCATAGAGGCCCAAAAGTCTAATGATACGCTGTCTGCAAGCTGGGCAACCAGGAAAACTGGTGGTATAATTCAGTCTGAGTCCAAAGGCCTAAGAACTCAGTGTTGGGGAGTGGTGTAAGTCCTGGAATCTGAAGTCTTGCGAACCAGGAGTTCCAACGTCTAAGGAAGGGGGATGAATGCTCCAGCTTAAGAAGAGAGAGAGAGAATTCACCCTTCCTCCATCTTTTTGTTCTATCTAGGTCTTCCAAGGATGGGATGATGCCTGCCCACATTATGGAGAGCAGATCTTCTTTACTTCGTCTACTGATTCAAATGTTAATCTCTTCCAGAAACACCCTTTTCACACATCCAGAACTAACGTTTCACCAGCTATCTAAAAAACCAATGCAGGAGCTTCCCTTCATTGGTCTTTTATTTGTATAACATGTTACTTGAAGAATGAGTCAACTCACTTGTGAAATGTTAGAAACCATGGCTCACTATTGGTGGTAACGTTTGGGTGAAGGGAAGCAGTAGGGCAGAAATTACTCATTTTTTCCTCAGAATATAACTTCTTTGCTATAGTCACAGTGTGTTCTAAGTGGTCCACGGTACTTCTAGTAATGTGCTTTTCCATTTGATAAATATTGTAATTGCTGTACCTTCTCCTCCTTCCTTGGCACACATTCTTTGTGCAGCTTGGACTTACAATTTTAATGATACCACATTATACTGTACTAAAAACCATTTACCTTTATAAATAAACACTGAACTTAGCTAATGGACCAAGGTAATGTCCTTTTTTTTTTTTTTTTTTGAGTCTCGCTTTGTTGCTCAGGCTGTACTGCCTCCCGAGTTCAAGCAATTCTCCTGCCTCAGCCTCATGAGTAGCTGAGACAGGAGTGCGCCACTACGCCCGGCTGATTTTTTTTTTTTTTTTTTTTAGTAGAGATGGATTTTTGCCATGTTGGCCAGGCTAGTCTCGAACTCCTGACCTCAAGTGATCCTCCTGCCTTGACCTCCCAAAGTACTGGGATTATGGGTGTGAGCTACCGTGCCCAGCCCAATGTAATGTCTTGACTCTTCTTCCCTTCGAATGAGTTTCTCTTCAAACAGTATAATGCCTGTGAAGCTAAGCAGGAGTCATTATCCCCAGATTTCTGGGCCACTCCTCAATCCCAAGAGGCCCAGACATGTTTCTCTTACCATCAGTCCCCTGAAATTCTCATGAAAATAAAACCAGTAGGTCTGCCTTCCTCACCTGCCTGCTAAGATATACCTGGAATACTCTTCAAATATTACTAGAAATCGCTTAAAAAATTGAAATGATATGCAAATTTTTACTTTAGACAAAATGAATAAAGATCAGTTGCTGTTATGTTTGGAAGAAAAAATGGGCCACATTATTGTGTAAGTTTATTGGGGGCTATGCATCATTTCCAAATTCAGGAAGTCATGGTTTCCTGCTAGTACAGACTAAAAAGCAGTAGCTGAATGGATTGGTAGAGCTAATTAAGTCATTTAAAATTATTGTTTCCACTTCTTTCAATAAAGGATATATTTATTTTCTTTGTAATATTTAAACACAGCAGTTATAATTTAAATAAACAAGTAAAAGAATGCACAGACTTATTCACAAAGCAAGCTCACTGTTCTATATTTAAAAACTTTTTAGCCGCATTCAATGAATTCCGGTGGGATTTGGTGAGTTTATTTTCTTTTCGGTTTTAATTAGGAAACCCTACTGCATTTGTAGGTAGCTATGCTAGAGGAATAGTTATGTTTTTATTTGATTATATTTGATGTTAGTGATTTTTTATTTAATGAAATTTTAGTGATGTTATTTTGTCAGTTGGATTTTGTTTTTAAAGAGCGGAGCAGGCCGCTGCCACCAGCACAGCGGTGCTGGAGCCTAGAGGAGACCTGGGCCACCACTTCGCCTCCCCTGTATCTCACTGCCAGTCGCCTCTGTCCTGGGACCTGTTCCAACAATCTGTTAAAACATGGTGGATTACTATGAAGTTCTGGGCTTGCAGAGACATGCCTCAACTGAGGATATTAGAAAGGCATATCGAAAACTGGCACTGAAGTAACACCCAGATAAAAATCCTGAGAATAAAGAAGCAGAGAGAAAATTCAAACAAGTAGCCAAGGCCTATGAAGTGCTGTCAGATGCTAAAAAGCGGACATCTGTGAAAAATATGGCAAAGAAAGATTAGTTGGCGGAGAGGAGGTGGAAGTCATTTTGACAGTTCCGTGAGTTTGGCTTCACATTCTGTAACCCAGGTGATGTCTTCAGGGAAGTTTTTGGTGGAAGTTTTTGACTTCTTTGGATTTACTTCATTCAGGTCATGGGGGTCTCACTTCATTCTCTTCCACCTCATTTGGTGGTACTGGGATGGGTAACTTTAAATCTCTATCAACTTCTACTAAAATGGTTGGCAGGAAAATTACTACAAAGAGGATTGTCGAGGATTGTCAAGAAGGAATAGATGTTGAAAAAGACAGCTAGTTAAAGTCCTAAACGATAAAAGGTAAGAAGCAGCTTCTGGCTTGGGTAACAAGTAATTCAATGCATGCATTTAACAGAAATGTTAAATAATAACAAGTGCCATTTGAGGATTAACAGGAACTGTTTTTTTTTTTTTTGTTTTTTTTTTTTTGAGACAAAGTCTCGCTCTGTTGCCCAGGCTGGAGTGCAGTGGTGTTATCTCGGCTCACTGCAACCTCTGCCTCCCGGGTTCAAGTGATTCTCCTGCCTCAGCCTCCCGAGTAGCTGAGACTACAGGTGCATGCCACCAAGCCCAGCTAATTTTTTCGTATTTTTAGCAGAGACAGGGTTTCGCCGTGTTAGCTAGGATGGTCTTGATCGCCTGACCTCGTGATCTGCCCAACTCGGCCTCCCAAAGTGCTGGGATTACAGGCGTGAGCCACCGCACCAGGCCAACAGGAACTTTTTTTTAAAGATTTCAAACAAACACTACTTTCAGTTTAATTGTACCTAATCTAAAGTATTTACAAACAGCTCAACAGAGCCCCTATTTGTCATAGACTTTTGAGTTTATCGTTGGGACCTTTTTTTGTCTTTAAAATTGTTGAAATCTCTGTGTGCACTTTGCCTTTTTATTAAACGTACTCCAAGGTGAGACTTTACCATTTTGTAGTAGGATGAGATTGCATACTAACACCAGCATGGATTTGCTTTCCCGTTGTATCTGAAATGTGAGCCTCCTAGTATTGTCCTGCTGTGAAGTTAACATTGACAGGATGAATCTTCTACAGCAACAGGCTTCAACCTTTTTGGCACCAGGGGCCGGTTTCATGGAAGACAATTTCTCCACGGTTGGAGTGGGGGTTGGGGATGGTTTTGGGATGATTCAAGCACATTACATTTATTGTGTAGTTTATTTCTATGATTATTATTGTTACACTGTAATATATAATGAAATAATTATACGACTCATCTTAATGTAGAATCAGGGGGAGCCCTGAGCTTGTGTTCCTGAAGTCCCATTTGGGAGTGATGGGAGACAGTGACAGATCATCAGGCATTAGCTTCTCATAAGAAGCATGATGCCTAGATCCCTCACATGTGCAGTTCACAGTAGGGTCCACGTTCCTATGAGAATCTAATACTGCACTGATCTGACAGGAGATGGAACTCAGGAGATATTGCCAGCAATGGGGAATGGCTGTAAATACAGATGATGCTTTGCTGGCTTGCCCACTGCTCACCTCCTGCTGTGTGACCCAGTTCCTGCAGGCCACAGACTGCTACAGGTCAGTGGCCCGAGAGTTGGGGACCCCTGTTGTACAGAAATAACTTCAATTTTTTTTTCAGTATTTAGTAGTGAAAGATATTAATTAAATAATGGTAATACATTTTTGGTTTAATATAAATTAAGAATGTTTTCCAGTTGTGCATGAATGCTGGCAACTTGATACGTTTTGACAATTGTTTAAATATGTAATGTTAAGCTTAGGTTTAAAAAAGTATAGCTGTGGCCAGGCACGGTGGCTCACGCCTGTAATCCCAGCACTCTGGGAGGCCGAAGCGGGCGGATCACCTGAGGTCAGGAGTTCAAGACCAGCCTGGCCAATATGGTGAAACCCCGTCTCTACTAAAAATTTAAAAAATTAGCTGGGCATGGTGGTGTGTGCCTGTAGTTCTAGCTACTCAGGAGGCTGAGGCTGGATAATTGCTTGAACCTGGGAGGTGGATGTTGCAGTGAGCCGAGATCACGCCACTGCCGTACAGCCTGGGGGAGAGAGTAGGACTCTGTCTCAAACAAAACAAAACAAAACAAAAAAGGAAAGCTGGTAAGCTGGGTCTTTGTGATTTGCTTAAAAAAATAAAAAAGAAAGAAAATTGATGTGAATGTGTTTGGTGCATTCTTTCCTGAGTGGAAGAAAAAAAAAGAATGGAGCAAATGAAACCAAATATTTACTTAAAGTCATTTTGAATATTGTGCAAGTATGTACTTATTGAGAAAGTTGAACTTTCTCTAAGATAAATCCCCTCCAATGTCTACATTTTAACTGCAGATTAGTTTGAGATTGGGGCCTTGTGAAACAAAATAAGTATTCAGAAAAACTTTCTTTTATTTGTGGTGGTGAGCAGAGGCAAGAAGGAGGGGAAAGGCCTGCAGTAGATGAACCATCCCCTGAGATTTTCTAGGAGGGGCCACTAAGAATTTTCTTTGGATTTTTCAAGTGTAAGGATGTATCTGAATCACTTCATCAGCTCATTCTCTACCATCATAGCCAAGAATGAAAAGACACTGTCAGCAGCCTGGAGTCAGCCATGAAACCGAAGCTCCTCAGGGATGGGTGGCAATACCAGGGTCCCAACAAAAACTTTGTTCCTGGGTAGTTCTCCTCCTTCCTGCAGTTATTAACTCAGAACTTCTTCCTCAACAACTTCTTAAGAGATGATAAATGCATCCCTGGTCTTGTATCTTTCATCCTGAAGTGCACAATGATTGCCTAAGACAAACACTTCATGAACTGTCTCTTCTTGAACTCTCTCATTTCTGCCCTGCTTTTCAGAGTTGACTGACCACTTTCTCTACTTCCCCACACCCTGTTTTCACTTTTACCTCTGTCCCATTTTACCCTTTGAGGCCACCATTCCATTATTAAAAGCATTCTGAGATATTGACCCTTCCATTCTCTTCTTTCATTTCCTTGGTTTACCCTAAACTTAGAATCCTCAGATTCTGGAGCTATAAGGGATCTTAAGGGTTAATTTGCTTCACTGTCTTATAGATGAATAAAGTCCAGAGAAATTAACTGTTCAAGGTTATGTAGCTCCATACGAACACTACTAGGAGTATTTTCACTACATATCTCTCAAGTTTGTTAATATTATTATTATTTTTAGTAATAATTTATATCTTATTTGTTGGCATCATATAATATAGTAGAAATAAATTTGATGTTGATGTGAAAAAAGTAATTTATTTATTGAACATGTACTATGTGTCAAAAATTGTTCTACATACTGGAAATTCAGTTGTGAATAAAGTAGGAAAAAACCTTCAACATTCATGGACTTTGCATGGTGGAAAATAGATTCTAAATGGATGCACAAGTAAAATATATAATGGTTGTCATGGTGCTGCAAATTTAAGTAGGGGGTTGGGGGAGACATGAAACCAAGGCTTTGGAAGTGAGGAAAGTGAATATGCTGGACCCAAATCAAAGAACCAGAGGCCTTTCTTGATTGATTTAATTTTTGCTAATGAAGGATTGCCAATTATAATTCTTCTGAAGTCTTTTTTTTCTTCCTTCTGATAGGAACACTGTAAAGTTATTTGGTAGAAAGTAATGTAATGAAAGGGTGATTTTGCCCTGGCTGCCACCCTCATTACTTTCATTTATTTTTGTTAATCTCACTCCTCAAAGAGGCATGATTCACCATTGATACAGCAGTCACAAGCTAAGTTAATTGAAATCGAAACTTGAATTTCTTCATTTTCAAGAACTGAGTTTCTCACTCGAAGGCAAAAGATGATTAATCGAGGCTTCATGTAAGAGAAAAAACATGGTGCAGGGGCAGCCTGGAGCTGCCAGGGCTTCAGCTCAAATACCCATGATATGGACATTCACAGAAGAGGGCGACAGCCTGGAGACTGAAGAGGGAATTGGCACAGAAAACAGAGGAATAAGTGCTGACACATTGTCTCTGTTTTTTCCTAACCCAGTGAACTAGGAACTCACTGTACACTATTTTAAAACTGAGGAGGATGGGCAGTCTTTAATTATATGGGAGTGATTAAATAAGAAAATAGTATTTCTCAATAATTTTTCTTAACTTATGCTTGTGCATACATACCATAGCAGGGGAAAAATATATACAATAAATTTCCCCTTGTGTTTTTCCTGCTTCTCCTACAATTTCTCCTTCCTTTCCCAATTCCCTTCTTCTTCCCGCTCTTAGTGTTGGTGTTGCTTAGGGTTCCATCCTTTAATCACTGCTGTCCTTCCTTAGCTTCTATCCGTGGGTAGGCCTGCCCATTTGTAGGGCTTTAGTTGTCACCTTAATGATGACACCCCAATGTCTCTCTTCATACCTCACCTCTACGGTAACTAGAAGTAATATTTCATCCTCAGATCATAGGGATGCCTCGAATGTCTTAGGTATGGAAACAAACCAAACACCTTTGCTCTAAAAATTTGCTCAACCTTTTGAATCTCCATTTCACTATCCATCCTATCTCCCCAGCCAGACACTTGACTCGTTTTTGATTGATCCCTTTTTATTATCAATAAATTGCTGATACTTCCAGTCATATGTCTCAATATTCCTTTCTGTCTGTTCTTGCTTTCCATACTTATAGATATACTCTCATTTAGAGTCTCATCTCATCTTTCTCCTCCCTTAACCCACTCACATCCTCCACATTTCTGGAGAGATCTTTGAAAATGCAAGTCTGACCCTGCTAATATCCTGCTATGATCACTTCCCAAAATTGACAATATCCTTTTTTTTTTTTTTTTTTTTTGAGATAGAGTTTTGTTCTTGTTGCCCAGGCTGGAGTGCAGTGGCACAATCTCAGCTCGCTGCAACCTCCTCCCGAGTTCAAGTGATTCTCCTGCCTCAGCCTCCCAAGTAGCTGGGATTGCAGGCGCCCACCACCAAGCCTGGCTAATTTTTGTATTTTTAATAGAGACAGGGTTTCACCATGTTGGCCAGGCTGGTCTCGAACTCCTGATCTCAGGTGATCCACCTGCCTTGACCTCCCAAAATGCTGGGATTATAGGTGTGAGCCACCACGCCCGGCCGACAATATTCTTTAGGATCAGATTTTTCATATCTAAAATCTTGCTTTCTGTGTTATGGTTATGTATCTTCATTTTGGAAAAAAGAAATAGTAAGGATATTAAAATGACAGAACCACATAATCCAGGAATGAAAGTTTTTTCAAGGTTTACTAATGGAACATCTATCACCTCTCTGAGGCATCCAAGCAGAAGCCGTGCATCAATTTAGAGTGACTAAAAGTAGAGGGCATTTAAGTCTCAGGTATGATCTGAACTAAATTAATTCTCAGACTTCTCCCAAAACCACTTTGGATTGTTTTATTTGGTGAAATCCTACTTATATTCTAGGCTCAGCTTAAATGACATTTCCTTTATGAAATATTGTCCTGTCTTCAGCTAAAAGTAATTTTCTTCAGCTTTATTTTCTTCTTTACTACAGAACAGGAATATATATATATTTTTGTGACGGAGTCTCACTCTGTCTCCCAGGCTGGAGTGCAGTGGCACTGTGTTGGCTCACTGCAACTTTCATCTCCTGGGTTCAAGCAATTCTCTTGCCTTAGCCTCCCAAATAGCTGGGATTTTAGGCGCCTGCCACCACGCCCAGCTAATTTTTTTATATTTTTAGTAGAGACAGGGTTTCGCCATGTTGGCCAGGCTGGTCTCAAACTCCTGACCTCAGGTGATCCCTCAACCTTGGCCTCCCAAAATGCTGGGATTACAGGCATGAGCCACTGCATCCACCCCCAAGCTATATCTTTAAGGAGACTTTAGTTCAAATCCTGGCTCTAGTACTTACTAGTTTTGTGATCTTAGAAAGGGTGATTGATTAATGACTGTGAAACTTGGTTTCTGCTCCTATAAGATGATAATATTAATTTATGCTCCTAGGATATTAGTGAGAATTTTTAGAAAGAAGTAGATCTTTGGTCTAGAGGTTCTAGGAGAAATTCACATCGAAGGTCGGTCATTCAGCTTGCTGGGAGAATTCAGTCCTTGTGGTTGTATGATTGTGGTCCTTGTTTCCTTCCTGGCCGTCAGTAAGGGACTTTTCTCAGCATCCGAGAAGCTTCCCACATTTCTTCCTACGTGGCCCCATCCATCTTCAAGCCAGATTTATATATACATAACATGTATATCACCTCATATATTATATTTATTATATTATGTATATGTATGTGTCATTAAGTGACAATGTCACACACACATTATATATACAATATCTATTATATATATGACACACACATACATTTTATATTACTTAACAATGAGGATACATTCTGACAAATATGCTGTTAGGTGATTTCATCATCATGCAAACACCATGGAGTATACTTACACAAGCATAGATGGTATAGCCTACTACACATCTAGGCTATATGGTATAGCCTGCTGCCTCTAGGCTACGTGTACTGCCTCTATGCTGTACAGCATGTTACTGTACTGAATACTGCAGGCAATTGTAACACAGTGGTATTTTGTGTATCTATACATATCTAAACATAGAACTGGTACAGTAAAAATATGATATAAAAGATAAAAATAATACACGTGTATAGGGCATTTAGAATGGAGTTTGCAGGACTGGAAGTTGCTCTAGCTGAGTCAGTGAATGAGTTGTGAGTCTACACAATTGTTGACTTTATAAACACTGTATACTTGGGCTACATTAAATTTACAAAAACAGTTTTTCAATAATAAATTAGCTTACTGTAACTTTTTTACTTTATAAACTTACATTTTTTAACTTTTGACTTGTGATAGCTTAAAACACAAACATTTCACAGTTATAAAGATTATTTTCTTTATATCTGTAGTTTATAAACTTTTTCCTATTTTGAAAAGTTTTTATTTTCATTTTTACTTTTAAACGTTTTTGTTAAAAGCTGAGACACAAACACACACATTAGCCTAGACCCACATAGGGTCAGGATCATCAATATCACTGTCTCCCACTTCCATATCTTGCCCCACTGGAAGGTCTTTAGGGACAATAACACACATGGAGCTGTTGTTTTCTATGGTAACACTGCCTTCTTCTCGAATACCTCTGAGGAGCTTCCCGAAGCTGTTTTACAGTTAACTTTATTTTTTACCAAGTAGAAGGAGCACACTCTAAAACAGCAATACAAACAATATTATAGTAAATACATAAGCCAGTAATATGGTGGTTTATTATCATTATCAAGTATTATGTACTGTACATAATTGTGTGTGCTAGACTTTTATATGACTGGCAGCACAGTAGGTTTGTTTACACCAGCATCATCACAAATACCTGAATAATGTGTTGTTCTATGATGTTACGATGGCTATGACATCACTAGGTGATAAGAATTTTTCAGCTCCATTATAATCTTATCAGGCTACTATCATATATGCAGCCTGTCATTGACTGAAATGCTGTTATGTGGCATATGACTGTAGATAGATAGATATGCACAAACATACAGATGTATATATACACATATATAATTATATATACACACATACACATGTATATAAAGAGATTTATTATAAGAAATCGACTCACACAATTATGGCGGTGACCAAGTCCCAGGATCTGCAGAGTAAATTGGCAAGCAAGAGATCCACGAATGTGGATGGTTTATCTCAGTCCAAGGCTAGAGCCTGAGAACTAGGAGAGCAAATGGTATAGTTCCTGGCCAAAGACTGGAAGGCTTGGTACCAGAAAAGTCAATGTTGCCACTTGAAGGCTGTTAGACAGGAAGCATTCTCTCTTACTCAGGGAAGGATGATTTTATTCGTTCTATTCAAGGCTTTAATTGATTGGATGAGACTCACCCATATCAGGGAGCACAATCTGCTTTTCTCAGTCTATTGATTTAGGTGTTAATCTCATCCAAAACATCCTCACAAAAAGATCCAGAATAATGTTTGACCAAATATTTGGGCCTCTGTGGCACAAACAAATCACATTTCATTTATTGAACATTTATTCTATGACTGCTTACTACTCTAATTCATTTAATCTTTACAAGTTACCTTATGGGCGGGTCCTACTCCCAGCAGGATTTTCTATATGAAGATGTGAAGAAGAGAGAGAGAGACATTAAGAAAAATTCCCAGTGACTCACAAACAGTAAATAGCAGACCCAGGCCTTTAATCCAGCTGCACTTCTCAGACTCAGCACATTGCTCCTGTTGCTCGATCATCTGACCAAAGAAGATGGAAATCCAGCAGGTTTTATCCAAAGGAACTGAGTCTTTGGTGGACCAACCCAGGTGCGTTTCACTGATGTATCTATAAATGAGCAGTTGGCTCCCTGGAGGAATGTAGGAGAAATTTTCTAGCAATGTAAAATAATTAACCATGTTCAGATCTTTAGCAGACTTATGTGGATTAGAAAGATGAATTAACAGCATATTACTTATTGAAACAGCATGAAATAACCTCTATTTGTGGGGCCAATACAGTGGGTAGAAATAAATTCCCAAAAATAGCAAATACAGACTCAATTACATCACATTTTTACCTGTCCCTTGCTAACATGATTAAGTAAGTGCTTCCAGAATAGTTGACAGTTTGGTCATGACCAATTCCACTAATTATAGGGTACTGGAGAAATCATTTAGATGCCAGAAAAAAAAAAGAGAGAAAGAGAATTGTATGATCTAATGAAGTTTTCCCATCTCCAATATCTGTGAAACATATTATTTGGTAATACGTTAGAGATGCATATGTAATTTGAAGTAAATTAATATTATAACCAGGAGTGTCTATTTTGGGACCCACATCTAATTGCAGTTGGTATGGCATGTTTGTCCTTGAGTGCCTGCCTGGTTACCAGGAGAAAGTCTGTCCTGGGCTCTGCATTAGGCAGGAGACACTGCTTTGCCTGAGCCTGATGAAGGCTTGCATTACTGAGTGGCTGAGGAAACTTCGGTGGGTCACAGTGCCTCTCAGATACATCTCTTTGAAAAGATCACTGACTAGGGTCCTAAGTCTTTATAAAAATTATCAGTATTTAACAATGATAGGGAAATCAACATAGCATGGAGATTTCACTAACCCAACGGAAGAGCTTTGTTTATCGCCCATGACACAGCTGCCCGTTAAAGAGTTCAGATTTGCAAGTCTTAGAAGACTGGCAAAGGCCAGGTTGTGGAACTTTACACTGGTTCATGAGAATAAAAATATTTCTTAAGACAAGGCATTTTTTTGCCTTTGACACTATAGGAATATTGCCTAGGGACCATAAGCTTCTCAGGGGCCCATAAAAATACTTGAGGCTTAAAAAATATGAAAAGATAACAGCAAAGTTGAAGCTAATAAATGTTTAACGTATACAAGGTATAACATCATGTTACTCTATTACCTATTAAATTTCTTATTAATTAAATATTGTTTTTGAAAGCAGTTTGTTGACTGGATATTTTTAACTTGCCAAAAGTCTCAAGAATAAATGATGACTACAGAGAATTCGATGCTACTTTATTTATTTAATTATTTTAAATTAAATGAATTACGTGTTTTACTTAATTTCTACAACAAATTATGAAGATATTCCAAAATTTTTACATCAAAATAGTATATTAATTATCTTTAACAAGTGACATAAAGCTTTTAAAAATATATGCGATACAAACTGCATGGTACTTCTAGCAGTAAGGTTGTCCAAAGCTAGACTAGGTTTCGAATGAGTCAGAGTATGACGATAAGCAACAGAAAGATTTCTATGCAAACAGCATCAGATAAGTCCAAGAAAAAGCATCTGAGAAATCTAACCAATAGGCAGAGTCCAGAGGTGGAGACTATGAAATATGGGCCATGAGGGAAGGTTGTCAGCAGGTACCCATGCAATACTTACCTTCACCAAGAGAGGACTGGCAATAGCAACAAGCCATGGTCACAGCCTTAGACCAGCAAACTAGGGTTCAGAGTTAGGGCTTTTTTTTTCTTTTTTTTTTTTTCTGAGGAATAAGTCAAATGTTGCATTATTACAAGGCAGCACAAGGTAAAGTTGACCTCGGTAGCAAGTTTGACTTGCTTAAGAGTTTCATGAGTTTTAAGCTAGAACTCAGTGTTCCCCCTGACCACGAACAGGTTCCAGTCTGGGTAAAGATTAGGATGTGAGAATCAAGAAAGTCAGCAAGTATTAATTAAGCCCTTACTATGCACCAAGGCTGTGCTAAATTTTGGGAATACAGTAGAGAACAAGCCAGATGTTAACTACTATGCCATACTGCTTAATGTCTAATGAGAAAGACAGATATTAGACCAATAACAAGTGGGATAAGTGCTACTGAAGAGAAGCACAGGGTGCTAAAAAAGTAGAACAAAGACTATGGGAGCAAGAGATCCAAACAGATCATTACAGAAAAATCAAACTAGATCAAGCATGCCTAGAGCTAGAAACTTTATTGACAGGATAATCTCCTTCAGGTAGGGGACATCACAGCAGAAGCTGCTGGAGGACTGGACAGGAGCTTGGCATGAAAGCATTTCTAAGGATTTTGTAGGACAGCTATATCAATCAGGGCTGAAGAGTCCTTGGTTAGCCCTGAGTGGACAGGATCTTCCCTAGGGCAACATGTGACACTGAGAAATGCTATCTTGAAATATATTTAAGGGGCTCTGGATTACTGTGCTTATTCTCATAAATGGGCAATCATTTAAAGATTGTACTAACACTGTTTGTCAGACACTTTGGCTATTATACTTGCCAGTGACTAGTTAGTGTCACCTTACTGGATTGTCCTGTTGATAAATCTGTCCCTTTTATTTATTTACTTTTTTTTTTTGAGATGGAGTTTTGCTCTTGTCACCCAGGCTGGAGTGCAGTGGTACTATCTCAGCTCACTGCAGCCTCTGCCTGCTGGGTTCAAGTGATTCTCCAGCCTCAGCCTCCCAGGTAGCTGGGATTACAGGCGCCTGCCACCACAACCAGCTAATTTTTGGGTTTTTTTTTCAGTAGAGACAGGGTCTCACCATGTTGGCCAGGCTGGTCTCAAACTCCTGACCTCAGGTGATCTGCCTGCCTTGGTCTCCCAAAGTGCTGAGATTACAGGCGTGAGCCACCGTGCCCAGCCCCTTTTAGTCTTTAACATGCAACTTAGGCCCTTGAAGCCTCAGGCATCCATAACACATGTATAATTCTTTAGAATTATAAATAAGTTGTATTCAACACCAATTAACATCAACATCAAAAATATTGTGCATGGCACACATCTCATGCAAGCAGCAAGCACTGACTGTACAAAGTACGCTCAATTGGAACTCTCCCAGCCCAAATGACTTCATGCAGAGAAAATAAATAACAGTGAACAGGCAGTATGATTTGGGTAAAGTAGACTTTTTTTGGGTTTTGTTTTGTTTTCTTTTTCAACCTCCAGCAGCCCTTAGCACAATGCCTTACTCATTAAATATTTGTTAAAATGAGTAGTGTACAGAACTTGGTGTGTTTTTCCAATGCCACATCTGATTCTGAAAGTCAACCACTCCAAGTTAAATCACCTAGCATTTTTATTTTAGAGAGAGTACTCCTCTCCCTTTGCCTTCCTCTGAAGCAGAGAGACAAAATGTGATAATGCAATCATTTGCACTGAGCATGTTCTGGCTGAAAGGACTTTTGTAGTTTCTTTGAGTCTCAGAGAATGGTATTCATTGTTAGTCTTTAGTATTTGAAGATGACCTCACTGATAGGATTTTATCCCCAAGTGGCTGAAAGAGCTGTGGTCTAGGAGGCGTGTGGGTGTGGGAAGGCTTTTCTTTGGTTTGTGGGGCCTGGTATTTGTAGTGCCACCTTTCTTCAGGCTGCTTGTCAAGATAAGTTGGCTCATGTCTGTTAGTTGTACACCAGGTTCCTCTGTTGGCAGGTGTTCTATTCCAGAATTCCATAGTTATCGACAAATGGACTATGTCAACACAAGCTTTTATTGTGTTTTGAGGTACTTTTGGAGCCTCTGGCAGCTGCTCTCATTTTGCAGAGCAAAACTGCTGCTGAAGGTTTGGTAAAGGTTAATTTTTAAATGGATTCTATGCTGCTATATGTGGCATCTCCCTTGGTATTTGAATCATTCAGCACATAACCCCATCGTTAGATCATTTTTTTGTGAAATTTTTGTTGGTCACCTTTAAAGCTACATCAATCACTTGGTAATGGAAAAAAAGTCAATGTAATGATCTGCTTTGAAAATAAACAGTCTAACTTGACTTTGGCATTGAGAGCCTATTATCATGTGGTAACATCATTCTATTCCAATGACATTAACTGCTAAGGATGTTATCGTGGTGGAAAATATTTCAATTTTGTTATCGGAACAATGAAGCTGTGATATTTAATTATGAAGAAGTATGTTTAATTTGGGGAATCTGGCACGTTGACTGCCACAGTTTACTTGTCAGAAGCCTGGGCAATGGTAATGAAATTTGGACACAATATTATTTAGTGACCCACCAAAGTTATTGATTCAACAGGTTTTCTTGCTTTCTCATGTTTTCTTTGTAATATTATTTCTTCCATTAAGTCCGTTGATTAACAAATTAACTAATTAATGAACCCAATTAATACATTGCAGTACTAGCTAGTAGAGAAGGGCTAGGGTATGAAGAATAGCATCTCTGGCTAGTTTTTACTTTTGGAAGGTGAGATCTGTTTAAATGACACAGCAAGAAAAGCACTTCCAAATTGAAATGTTAACAACATAAGGGGAGTTTTTTCTCCCTTCCCCCACACATTTTGTGTTGAGAAAATTGAAAATAAAACAAAGCAAATAGACATATGGATTATACTGATAAACATATTAATGTGATGAATTAAAGCTGATCATAAAGTGGTAGAGTCAGTGCCACTGAAATAAGATTTGAAATGCAATACAGAGTATGGCCTGTTCTACAGTAACTCTTCTGCTGAAAATCAGCTGTAGCATCCTCCCTTCTTAAATGACCTTCAGTTACAGCTGCTGGCTAGCCAAGAAATAGCTGGGCCCCCTTTCCTGAGTACCTATTATGTGTCAGACATTATACTTGGTCTTAGGGCATAAATGGACAGTACAGACATTGTCCCCAAAGTGCTCTCTATCTCATGGGAGACAGGCAGAATAAATGATGAGGCTTTTTGTTTACAATGTACAATAATGTAATACATTAGTAAGAACCAGTTAATCAGGAACTCAGAGAATCCTGCAATACCTGAGCCAGAAGAAACTCAGAAAGCATAGAGTCCACTCTTGTTTGACAGTGAAGCTTCTGAACATCTGAGAATTGCAGTGGCTTGCCCAAGGTCATGGAGCAAGTTGGTGGCAGAACTAGGACCAGCACCCAGTCTGCAGGACAGTGTTCTTTCTGCTGCTTTACACTCCTTTCAGAGCTCTAGTCCCAGCCTGGTGTCAAGGGGATTGGAATTCTGCTGCAGAAGGAGTTGCAGAGGGAGACTTTGCTTCACAATTTCCCTTGGTTGCAAGCTGTGATGTGAAAACTTTATGTTTCCTTTTTGTTTATCTGGGGGCGAAGGATAGATTCCAGGAGAACCTGGCTAATGGCAGGCTGTTTCTGCAGCTGGGCCAGAGATGCTCAGTGCCCTGGTTTTGGCTGCTGAAACATTCTGAGTCATTCACTTGGAGTGTCCCCAGATTCACAAAAGTGCCACAGGGACCACAAAGCAGAAGCTTTGTATATGTGGAAGGCTGGGAAGAATGGAGGGGATTGTACTGAGGGCTACCACCAAATTCACATGGGAGGTGTGTTCTCACACATGGTATAAGAACACAAAAATGCCCTTTTTTTCCAGACAGGGGGCCACAATCAGAAGGTTGGTGACATCAAACTGTGAAGAAAAGTAGCCCTGCCTGCTTGTGAACGAGCATAGGTAATTGACAGAAATATGCTCTTTCTGGCTTGTTTTTGTTTGTTGTAAACTATTTGCTATTTCTAAAAACTGTATGTATTTATGGTATAAAACATGATTTTTTTTTGAAAACTGGGGATTTGTACATTGATCATGAACCCCACAAGGTAGATGCTCTCACCACCCCCTTTTTGTACAGAAAGAAAGTGAAGCACAGAAAGGTAAAGTTGCCCAAGGTCAGGTAACTAGTGGGCATCCAAGCTGCCATTCAAACTCGGCAGCCTGCTTCCACAGTCCGTGCTCTTCCTCATGTGGCCTCTGGCATTTGTCTCTGGAGTAATTTCACACTTTCTCCTTTCCAAGGGATCTTGAAACAACATGATGTTTTGATGTACATATACATTGTGGAATGGCTAAATAAAGCTAATTAACATAGGCATTATCCACGAACATCACCTTTTTTGCTGGTGAAAACATTTAAAAGTTACTCAAATCTGTTCTCTTAGCAGTGGCCTTTCTGACTTGTACTTCTTCGCTTCAGCTCAGTGCTTTTTGTCAGTTCTCTTAGTATATACAAGCCAAAATCTTCTTAGTCCGTAGACTCTCTAGAATGTCTATCAGAGAGAAGTCATTAAATAACTGGTTTTAAATAACCCAAAACTTTGTAGGTTAATTCAAAAGTGAGTGCTGTGTAAACTTGGCATTGTTATATTTTACAGAGAAGCCTTATTTTGTTCTGCCAAACTTTATTAAAAAACAAAAACAATATACCAATGGACAGAATTTTCTCTGCCACTTGAGGAGCCCCTATCCCAAACCGAAACTACTGAAGCTGATCACACAGGCATACACATCACTGGTAACTCTATAAGAAATAAAAGGAAAAATGAATATGTCTGGTTACCACAAGCCCATGTAATAATGCATGGCTGTGTGACACAGAAAACGGTATATAGGTCAAAAATGCCTTGGAAAAATACAAATTTTTAAAATATGGAATATGTAGACCTTAATCCACTTGGTCACATTTTTATATTAACACATGAATGTATTATATTTGCAGTTAAGTAGGAGGCAGCATGTTGGAGAGGGAAAGTGAGCATGTGAGTCACACTATGAAGGTTAGGATCCTTATTCAGACCCTGGGAAGGTTACTTAATCTTTTTGAATCTCAGTTTTTCTTTGGAAAAATGAGAAATTTATTTATGTAAAAGTCTTGGCACAGCATTCACCGCATTATGGGCATTCAGTAAATGTTAGTCCAAGTTTCCTTCCTAATTCCTGTTTTTTTTTTTTTTTTTTAAACAATAGCACTCTTACAATTGAGTCTCTTGGTGGGCATATCTGTTTTATTATACAATCCTAATAGAGAAAAGCTCTCAGAAGACCAACCTGGAAGGAATGCCCCAAGAGAGGCTGCAGGTTCTGTCTGAGATGTAAAGGAAAATCAATCAAGAGCAAAGCTGCAGAGAAAGAGAGAAAGGAAGAAACCAAAAAACACATCTTTCCCCTTTGTGGTATCAGTCAGTGTTCCAAAGGCACGGCCATCCCATCATTTATTGTCCAAACTGGGATGCTTTTGAAAGTGAAGAAAGACAGGGAAAAATATCAAGTCTGGCAGGATGCAAAGGGAACAGACATCCATCCTGGACTGTTCAGAGCAAACCAGGACATATAGTCACTACATCTACAGGAGTTCATTGGACCTCACTCAATGTGAGACCACAAGATTTTGGCCTAAATCCCCAGTGGGCTCCTAATGGTTAGACACACTAGGGTCAGTTACACAACCTTCCTGAGGCTCAATTGATTTGTTTGAGGAAGGGGGTTAATGAGAGCTATGCTTCAGGGCTGTTCTCATGGTCAAAGAAATACAGCACTTCATACAAGACGCTGTATAACAAATGGAGAATATGTTAGGTTCATATGGCATACAGAAAGATGAGAAGGGTTTGAGAATAAGGAGACAAGTGAATCTCCCGAAGGGCAAGAGTCTCCCCATCCCTGTCTTCAACTTCACAAAACTTAGAATATCAGGGCAGTGGGGGAGAGAAATGAAATGTACAATCATCTTGGGCTAGTTGCTGTTAATTTTGTATTTGGTTAACTAATTCTATTAAGTATTTTTGCCAGATATACTATTGTTATATATATTTTTTATCTAATCAATTACATGATAATCTAAAAAACTGAATGGATCAGAGATCAAGAAGGAAGACATGTATTTGGGGAAAAGACTATTGCTGAATGTGTGCATGCTGGCAGTGAATTCAGATTAGGAGGGTTCAGCTGCAATAATTTGGGACTAATTGCTTCCTCTTCCCTAAAATGTATAAATGGCCATGGAGATGCTGGAGCCTCCTACCAAAAGGGGAGCAGTAACCCCTCCTTTGCCCATCTCTCCTACTCATAGGAAGATAGATTTCCAACTACAAATAAATTCATGTCTGATGTGTGTGCTTATATCACGATAGGTGTGAACTCACCACTAGTTAGGTAACATTTTGAATTCTCATATTTTTCCCCAATCTGCCCGCTATTCTTTATATACATGAATACCTACTTCCGTTTATTCCAAACTACCCAGGCAAGGAAACACTTTAAGAAACATACCACTGCTGAGCCTTGAATAGGTATCCAAATACCTGATCAGTATAAATGCCATGTCTACAGACATCATCATCCTGAAATAGGTTAGTTGTTAAAACAAAACAGGGGATGTCTGAATATTCTGTCATGCATGATTATTTATTTGTCTGTGTGTTTACTTTTGTTGTGTCTGTATCAGCAAAGGAGAGGAGGAAGTTGAGATCTGGAATGTTTTAACAGTAGATTAAAAACTGGACCATTAATGGTTATTGAAATGAGATTAAAACACGTTTATGAGAAAGAACCGCATTGGTGGGATGAGGTTGTCCACTCATTGAACTGATAACACCATATTTTCATTGACGTTTCTTCTTAAAGCCAAGCCATTTTAAAAAGCCCTGCTTTTGTAAGCGTGGGTGTTTTCCACCTGCCTTTTAAGAAATAGTCCTGGGGAGGGCAAGATGGCCAAATAGGAACAGCTCTAGTCTACAGCTCCCAGTGAGACCAACACAGAAGGCAGGGGATTTCCGCATTTCCAACTGAGGTACCCAGTTCATCTCACTGGGACTGGTTAGGCAGTGGGTGCAGTCCATGGAGGGTGAGCAGAAGCAGGGTGGGGCATCACCTCACCCAGGAAGTACAAGAAGCCAGGGACCTCTCTCCTTCAGCCAAGGGAAGCCATGAGAGACTGTGCTATCCAACCCAGATACTACACTTTTCCCACGGTTTTTGCAATCCGCAGACTAGGAGATTCCTTCCTGTGCCTACACCACCAGGGCCCTGGGTTTCAAGCACAAAACTGGGCAGCTGTTTGGGCATTGGGCAGACACAGAGTAGCTGCAGGAGTTTTTTTGTTTGTTTGTTTTTCTGTACTCCAGGGGCGCCTGGAACCCCAGGGAGAGAGAACCGTTCACTCTCCTGGAAAGGCGGCTGAAGCCAGGGAGCCAAGTTGTCTCGCTCAGTGAGTCCCACTCCCATGGAGCTCATCGAGCTAAGAACCACTGGTTTGAAATTTTCGCTGTCAGCACAGCCATCTGAAGTTGACCTGGGATGATCGGGCTTGGTGAGGGGAGGAGCGTCTGCCATTACTGAGGCTTGAGTAGGCAGTTTTCCCCTGACAGTGCCAAGGAGGCCAGGAAGTTTGGACTGGGTGTAATTCACCACAGCGTGGCAAAGCAGCTGTGGCCAGACTGGATCTCTAGATTCCTCCTCACTGGCCAGGGCATCTCTGAAAGAGAGGCAGAAGCCCCAGTCAGGGCTTACAGATAAAACTCCTATTTCCCTGGGACAGAGCACCTGGTGGCAGGGGCAGATGTGGGCGCAGCTTCAGTGGACTTAAACGTTCCTGTCTGTCTGCTCTGAAGAGAACAGTGAATCTTGACAAGGAGGATTCTCCCAGCATAGCGCTCGAGCTCTGCTAAGGGACAAACTGCCTCCTCAAGTGGGTCCCTACCCCCTTGCCTCCTGACTGGGAGAGATCTCCCAGCAGGGATCTACACCTCATACAAAAGTGCTCCAGTTGGCATCAGGCCAGAGCCCCTCTAGGACTAAGCTTCCAGAGCAAGAGGCAGGCAGCAATCTTCGCTGTTCTGTCACCTCCACTGGTGATATGAGGCAAACAGGGTCTGAAGTGGACCTCCAGCAAACTGCAGCAGACCTGCAGAAGAGGAGCCTGACTATTAGAAGAAAAACTAACAAACAGAAAAATAACGTCCATATCAACAAAAAAGACCCCCATACAAAAACCCCATCCAAAGGTCATCAGCCTCAAAGATCAAAGGCAGATAAATCCATGAAGATGAGGAAAAACCAGAGCAAAAATACTGAAAATTCCAAAAACTACAATACCTCTTCTCCTCCAAATGATTACAACTCCTCTCTAGCAAGGGCACAAAACTGGATGGAGAATGAGTTTGATGAATTGATAGAAGTAGGCTTCAGAAGGTGGGTAATAACAAACTCCTCTGAGCTAAAGGAGCATGTTCTAACCCAAGGCGAGGAAGCTAAGAACCATGATAAAACGTTCCAGGAACTGCTAACTAGAATAAACAGTTTAAAGAAGAACACAAATGACTGTATGGAGCTGAAAAACATAAAAAGAGAACATCACGAAGCATACACAAGTATCAATAGGCAAATCGATCAAGTGGAAGAAAGGATATTAGAGATTGAAGATCAACTTTCTGAAATAAGGTATGAAGACAAGATTAGAGAAAGAATGAAAAGGAATGAACAAAGCCTCCAAGAAACATGGGACTATGTGAAAAAGCCAAACCTACAATTGATTGGTAAACCTGAAAGTGACAGGGAGAATGGAACCAAGTTGGAAAACACACTTCAGGATGTTATCCAGGAGAACTTCCCCAACCTAGAAAGATGGTCCAACATTCAAATTCAAGAAATACAGCACCATTAAGACACTCCTTGAGAAGAGCTACTCCAAGACACATAATTGTCAGATTCTCCAAGGTTGAAATGAAGAAAAAAATGTTAAGGGCAGCCAGAGAGAAAGGTCAGGTTACCTATAAGGGGAAGCGCATCAGAATGACAGTGGATCTCTCCGAAGAAACCCTACAAGCCAGAAGAGAGTGGGGACCAATATTCAACATTCTTAAATAAAATAATTTTCAACCCAGAATTTCATATCCAGCCAAACTGAGCTTCATAAGCAAAGGAGAAGTAAAATCCTTTCCAGACAAGAAAATGCTGAGGGATTTTGTCACCACCAGACCTGCCTTACAAGAGCTCCTGAAAGAAGCACTAAATATGGAAAGGAAACACCGCTACCAGCCACTGCAAAAACACACCAAAACATAAAAACCAACAGCACTCTGAAGAAACTGCATCAACTAATGTGCAAGATAACCAGCTAGCAACATGATGACAGGATCAAATTCACACAAAACAATATTAACCTTAAATGTAAATAGGCTAAATGCCCCAATTCAAAGACACAGACTGGAAAATTGGATAGAGCCAAGACCCATTGGTGTGCTGTATCCAGGAGACCCATCTCACATGCAAAGATACACACAGGCTCAAAACAAAGAGATGGAGGAATATTTACCAAGCAAATAGAAAGCAAAAAAAATGCAGGGGTTGCAATCCTAGTCTCTGAGAAAACAGACTTTAAACAAACAAACATCAAAAAAGACAAAGAAGGGCGTTATATAATGGTAAAGGGATCAATGCAACAAGAAGAGATAACTATCCCGAATATATGCACCCAATATAGGAGCACCCAGATACATAAAACAATGTCTTAGAGACCTTCAAAGAGATTAGACTCACACACAATAATGGTGAGAGACTTTAACACCCCACTGTCAATATTAGAGAAATCAATGAGACAGAAAATTAACAAGGATATTCAGGACTTGAACTCAGCTCTGGACCAAGTAGACCTAATAGACATCTACAGAACTCTCCACTCCAAATCAACAGAATATACATTCTTCTAAGCACCACATAGCACTTATTCTAAATTGACCACATAATTGGAAGTAAAACATTCCTCACCAAATGCAAAAGAATGGAAATCATAAGAAACAGTCTCTCAGATGACAGTGCAATCAAATTAAAACTCAGGATTAAGAAACTGACTCAAAACTGCACAAGCACATGGAAACTGAACAACCTGTTCCTGAATGACTACTGGGTAAATAACAAAATTAAGGCAGAAGTAAAGAGGTTCTTTGAAACCATTGAGAAGAAAGAATGTACCAGGATCTCTGCGACACAGCTAAATCAGTGTTTAGAGGGAAATCTATAGCACTAAATGCCCACATGAGAAAGAATCAAAGATTTAAAATTGACACCCGAACACCACAATTAAAAGAACTAGAGAAGCAAGAGCAAACAAATTCAAAAGCCACCAGAAGACAAGAAATAACTAAGATCTGAGCAGAACTGAAGGAGATAGAGACATGAAAAACCCTTCAAAAAATCAATCAATCCAGTGGGTGGTTTTCTGAAAAGATTAACAAACTAGATAGACGGCTAGCCAGACTAATGAAGAAGAAAAGAGATAAGAATCAAATAGGCACAATAAAAAGTGAAAAAGGGAACATCACCACTGACTACAGAAATTCAAACTACCATCACAGAATACTATAAACACCTCTACACAAATAAACTAGAAAATCTAGAAGAAATGGATAAATTCCTGGACACATACACTCTCCCAAAACTAAACTAGGAAGAAGTCGAATCCCTGAATAAACCAATAACAAGTTCTGAAAAGTTGAGGCAGTAATTAATAGCCTACCAACCAAGAAAAGCCCAGGATCAGATGGATTCACAGCTAAATTATACCAGAGTTACAAAGAGGAGCTGGTACCATTCCTTCTTCTGAAACTATTCCAAATGATAGAAAAAGAGGGACTCTTCCCTAACTCATTTTATGAGGCCAGCATCATCCTAATACCAAAACCTGGCAGAGCCACAATAAAAAAAGAAAGTTTCAGGCCAATATTGCTGATGAACATTGATGCGAAAATCCTCAATAAAATACTGGCAAACTGAATCCGGCAGCACATCAAAAAGCTTATCTACCACAATCAAGTCAGCTTCATCCCTGGGATGCAAGTCTGGTTCAACATATGCAAATCAATAAATGTAATCCATCATATAAACAGAAGCAATGACAAAAACCACATGATCATCTCAATAGATGGAGAAAAGGCCTTCGATAAAATTCAACACCCTTTTATGCTAAAAACTCTCAATAAACTAGGTATTGATGGAACATATCTCAAAATAGTAACAGCTATTTAGACAAACCCATAGCCAATATCATACTGAATGGGCAAAAGCTAGAAGCATTCCCTTTAAAAACTGGCACAAGACAAGGATGCCCTATCTCACCACTCCTATTCAACATAGTATTGGAAGTTCTGGCCAGGGCAATCAGACGACAAAGAAATAAAGGGTATTCAGACAGGAAGAGAGGAAATCAAATTGTCTCTGTTTGCAGATGACATGATTGTATATTTAGAAAACACCATTGTCTCAGCCCAAAATCTCCTTAAGCTGATAAGCAACTTCAGCAAAGTCTCAGGATACAAAATCAATATTCAAAAATCACAAGCATTATTATCACCAGTAATAGACATGCAGAGAACCAAATCACAAGTGAACTCCCATTCACAATTGCTACAAAGAGAAAAAATACCTAGGAATACAACCTACAAAGGATGTGAAGGACCTCTTCAAGGAGAACTACAAACCACTGCTCAAGGAAATAAGAGAGGACACAAACAAAGGAAAAAACATTCCATGCTTATGGATAGGAAGAATCAATATCGTGAAAATGGTCATACTGCCCAAAGTAATTTATAGATTCAATGCTATTCCCATCAAACTACCATTTACTTTCTTCACAGAACTAGAAAAAACTACTTTAAATTTCATATGGAACCAAAAAAGAGCCTGTATAACCAAAACAATCCTAAGCAAAAAGTGCAAACCTGGAGGCATCACGCTATCTGACTTCAAACTATACTGCAAGGCTACAGTAACCAAAAAAGCATGTACTGGTACCAAAACAAATATATAGACCAATGGAACAGAACAGAGGCCTCAGAAATAACACCATACATCTACAACCATCTGATCTTCGACAAATCTGACAAAAACAAGCAATGGGGAGAAGATTCCTTATTTAATAAATGGTGCTGTGAGAACTGGCTACCCATATGCAGAAAACAGAAACTGGACCCCTTACTTATGCCTTATATAAAAATTAACTCAAATGGATTAAAGACTTATATGTAAGACCTAAAACCATAAAAACCCTAGAAGAAAACCTAGGGAATACCATTCAGGACATACACATGGGCAAAGACTTCATGACTAAAACACCAAAAGCAATTGTAGCAAAAGCCAAAATTGACAAATGGGATCTAATTAAACTAAAGACCTTCTGCTCAGCAAAAGAAACTATCATCAATATTGAACAGGCAACCTACAGAATGGCAGAAAATTTTTGTAATCTATCCATCTGACAAAGGTCTAATATCCAGAATTTACAAGGAACTTAAACAAATTTACAAGAAATAAGCAAACAACCCCAGCAAAAAGTGGGTGAAGGATATGAACAGACACTTCTCAAAAGAGGACATTTATGCAGCCAACAAACATATGAAAAAAAGCTCATCATCACTGGTCACTAGAGAAATGCAAATCAAAACCGCGGTCATATACCATCTCACTCCATTTAGAATGGCAATCATTAAAATGTCAGGAAACAACAGGTGCTGGAGAAGATGTGGAGAAATAGGAACACTCTTACACTGTTGGTGGGAGTGTAAATTAGTTCAACCATTGTGGAAGACAGGGTGGTGATTCCTCAAGGAAATACCATTTGACCCAGCAATCCCATTACTGGGTATATACCTGAAGGTTTATAAATCATTCTACTATAAAGACACATGCACATATATGTTTATTGCAGCACTATTTACAAAAGCAAAGACTTGGAACCAACCCATAATGCCCATCAATGATAGGCTGGATAAAGAAAATTTGGCACAAATACACCACTATGCAGCCATTAAAAAGAATGAGTTCATGTCTTTTGCAGGGACATGATGAAGCTGGAAACCATCATTCTCAGCAAACTAACACAGAAACAGAAAACCAAGCACCTCATGTTCTCACTTATAAGTGGGAGTTGAACAATGAGAACACATGGACACATGGAGGGGAACATCACACGCTGGGGCCTGTCGGGGTTTAAGAGGCAAGGGGAGGGTGAGCATTAGGACAAATATCTAATGCATGTGGGTCTTAAAACCTAGATGACGGGTTGATAGGTGCAGCAAACCACCATGGCACATGTGTACTTATGTAACAAATCTGCACGTTCTGCACATGTATCCCAGAACTTGAAGTAAAATTAAAAAAACAAAACAAATAGTCCTGATTTTTAAAAACCTATTATTATTTTCCTTTATTTTTCTGAGGAATAACGTACTTTTTTTTAGGTTTTTGAGTGTTTTGAGTGTTGTTTTGAGTGTTTGTATTGAGTGTTTTTATTTTAAGAATAAATTAATATATACATATGCATTTATATTTTCATTGAGACCTTATGTGTTATTTCAATAAAGAAATTATATACAAGTATATTTTTACCAACCCCTATGTATGATCAATGAATAAGTTTCCCTGAGTTTTTTATTGTATTACCAATTCTGCCATTCATGTGATCATCGTGTACTTAAAAAGAGGCTCAGTTTTGCAGTCTTTAAAATTGTAAGGTTAACTTTGAAATCAGAATTGAACAAGTGAAACTGAGATCTTTATTTTCCAAAAGAAATAACATTCAGTTTGATGTATTTAAATCAGAAATAGGTAAGTGCCCCATTCCCTTAGTATGAAAGGAAATCGTCCCAATGCCATATAAATGTTATCTTAAAATTGACGGGGTTTGGTTTGGCAATGAAGCTTCCCAAGAATAACAGAGTCTGGCTTCTCTAAGCCTTTTTTCCTTTTCCTTTCTTTTCTTCTTCTTCTTTTTTTTTTTTTTTTTTGGCAGTTCTTATTCTGACAAATTTTTTGGAAGTTCTTCTGTAATTCTTGGAGAACACCTTCAGTAATGTGCTTGTGTGATTAAGAGACACATCTCGGCTAGACAATTTAATGCATGTCTGGTAGGACAATTCAGCCTGGCCAGAAGTTCTTGGCAAGCTATTGCCTATTACCAGAAAATCAAAGGAGTGAACAAGAAATTTCCCAACAACTTTCCCTTTCCCTTTATATTATTTTTTGAATTAGAGTAAAATGGACCTTTTTGTGTGTTTGTGTACAACTGTATGCCTTTTATTTCATCTTACCTTATTGCACCAGCTAGGACTTAACAGTGTGATGTTGAACAGGAGTGATGAGAGTGAATATCCTTGACTTGTTACCAATCTCATGGGGAAATTTTCTCTGTCCTGAGTGTTAGGGAACCCCTTTCCCGCTGCTGGAGCCAGAACAATAGGGCTGCTCCTCTAGCTCTTGCTTTGCCTGCCTATGCTATTTTTGGATTTTTGACTGCTTTGTGTTCCAGCTGGGTGATAGCAGAGGAAAGGGAAGTTGTAAACTCACCACTAGTTAGGTGACACTTTGAATTCTGATATCTTCCCCCAATCCACCTGCTACTCTGTACTTTTCAGTTCTCAAACAGCTACTCCCTGTATCCTGTCCTGGCTTTTTAGCTGCATTCAGTGGGAGAGTCAGGATAGAATGTGTTTTTGCTTTTGTTGCTATTACTTTTGGCATCTTCATCATGAAATCTTTGCCTGTTCCTGTGTCCAGAATGGTACTGCCTAGGTTGTCTTCCAGGGTATTTACAGTTTTGGGTTTTACATTTAAGCTTTTAATCCACCTTGAGTTGATTTTTGTATATGGTGTAAGGAAGGTATCTAATTTAATTTTAATCTTCTGCATATGGCTAGCCAGTTATTCCAGTACCATTTATTGAAAAGGAGTCCTTTCCCCTACAATATAATTTTTGATATATGCATGTAATGTCGAATGATTAAGCCAAGCTAATTAACATATCTATCACCTTTCTTATTATTTTTTGTGGTGAGATCTTTGAAATTTACACTTAACTATTTAAGAATATGCAATATATTATTATTGACTATTGTCACCCTGTCAGCACTTCTCTTTTTCTACTCCATTCACTAGGCACTTCTTGGCTTTCCCAGTACTAAAAGGTAGGGTTGGAATGTGGAGAAGAGCTAAGGGTCAGGAAAAGTGTTACTAGACTGGCACTATTGTGAGCTAACATTGGTCCCAGCATTGCTGGATGTTTAAAGCTAAACCGACACTCACTTGCAGAGTTTTCAGGTGCTGCTCCTTCACTTACACATCTCTCACCTCCAGTTCCATGGCACAGATGATGCATCACCTCCACACCAACTCTCAGTGTGAGTCTTCCAACACTTGTCCAAGTGGCTCTTCTGTGCAAAATTCATTGAAGACTATTCCAGGTCAGGGCATGCTTTCTGTCTTTCCTTACGTACACATGTAGTTCACAGGATAATACACTTCATTTCCCAAAGCCTAACTCTCTACTCTGCCTTTTCTTGCCCTTTAAGTCTCTCGGTATGGGTCAGTCCATAGTACCATATCCCCTAAGCTCCTCACAAATGAAGCTATGCATGTGTTCTTGAATCTCTCTGGACTAATCCCATACCTGGTGGGTCTCATAGCCCATTAACAATTATCTCCAAAAACGGACTCCAATTTTCTACTCATGTGTCTCAGACTCCCCAACCTATTTTACAGGCTGGATGCTAATGATTAGCTGTAGTTCACAAGGTCTTCTCTGCCATCTTCTTTACAAGTCCTACTTGGGTAGGGTAGTAGCTCACTTTGGAATGTGAGTGGGTAGCTTAGCCAAAATGGGAAGAGAAAGAGTCCCTTTTTAATCCCTATTTATAATTTACATTTATAAGTTGTCATTTTGATCTTTATATAACTAACCACCATGTGTTAGCGGGAGGAAGATAAATCATTTATCAAACGTAGCTGGAGACTTAACAGAGAAACAGACAAGTTACAGATGTATAACAAGATACTAGTTAGATGCTTTACCATGTTTTTTCACTCTGATGGTCTCAGCCTTGAGGGCTTTCTATACACGTTGTCCTCAGGATTGATCACTTCTGCAGAAATGAGAAAAGAAAGCAAGAAATCATTGTTCTGCTCTGAGTTTGAAAAGCCTGGAGATGTCAGGCTTTCATATAATTTACCAAAAAGTGAATGAATGCCTATTGATTTAAAAATGATTTTACCACCATGCAGAGAGGCTGAGGATAGATAGATACTTCATGAGAAAGGGAGATGAAAATAGAAAGTTGAGCAGAGGGTTAGGGATCTTCACGTTTCCCTTGATCCAAGTGTACATTGGTATAGAAGCTCTAGATAGATTTCTGGGGCCTATGGAGCAAAGATTTGTGTCTTACTTTGTAGGAGCACCACAGGAAATACTGCCCACATTTTAGAGATCCCACATCCAGGATACACAGAGGTTGGAATAGCAAAGCAAAAAGGCAGGGAATGGTGGAGAGATGACCTGAGACAAGCCTCCAAACTCTCTGGGAGAATATTCAACATTTTCCCATAACCATGAGAAAAAAAGGGGAGGGAGAAAAGCTGCCCAGAAGAGGTCTTGTGGAACACAAACTGTGTGGCCCTTGCTACTGGATGCCACACAGCACCCCAAGTCTCATCAGCTTCCAGAAACAGTGAGTTCAGTGGCCAATGGCCAAGAACAGGCTAGACACATTAAACCTCAGCAGGGCCCAGGGAGGCCAGGTGATTACTATGGATTGGACATGTGCCCACTCCTCCCACCTCCAACTTCCTGGATACCGTGGTGTCTGAGCCTCCTCCAACATCAGACACCACCCAAGTAGAAGGGAAGGACAAGTGGGGAGTGAAATCCCTGAATTAACTGACACGTGAACAACAAAGAAACTAAGTTTTAAACTGGAAGTGTCTGAAACAGGCTAGATTAAGCTTTCCACTGCTGCCCTGGAAATTCCAGTTTTGCATAACTGAGTCTATGACTGTGAAATTAATATCAATTGTTTATTTAGTATACTTGCCCTCTAAATTGTGAGCAAATTGAGGGCAGAGTCCAATTTTCATGGATTATTTTATCCCTATGACCGAATAAAATGCTTGAAATAAGGTAAAAAAAAGAGGCAACAGGTATTATATAAAATTAATATGAAATAAATAAAACTTGTAATTTATTATTTAGTTAGTTGTCTCCTGTCCTGGTAAATCAGACTGCTATCACTTAAGTGAAATCTTCAGCTCTCCAGTTCTTTTTTTCTCTGAGACTGGGTCTAGTCTCAGTTTTCATGATAGCAAGTGAACTTCTGTGATAATTTTTCTGATACTTCTCTTTTTCCCCTCTATCTTTGCCATTCTGTTGTTTGAAGATGAGAGTTACCTATATGATTCATTCTTCACTCTCACAGAATAAAAACCTAACATAAACATGCAAAGCTGGAGAAAGGAGTTAAAAAGGAAAAGCAAACAGGAGTAAAAGAACTCTGACGAAAGACAAACACAGTAATTCTTTACTGTAAAGGCTCTCAAAAAATGTTTTTGTACTGTAATATGATCCTTTCATTACCATTAGGAAACAGTTTTCACATAAAGACAAATGGACCTATTCTAAATGTCTCTGAACAGTCAACAAAACTCTTTTCTGCATGTCAGGAAATCATTTTACAGTGCCATTTATCAGTGATTTCTCTTCCATCTCAGCTGTTATCTCTTTTGTGATAGAATGAATGGAAACAACTGTGCAGGTGACAGAATTCCCCCACCAACTTTGATAAGACACCTTGTTAAGTAATAATTTTCTACTTAAAGTGTTTCAATTCTCAGTGTAATTTTTAGGAAACACCAAGACTTCATTGACAGCAAGAGTCAATGACGGTTAGGACATCGACAATGTCATATGATAATGACAGTCAATGACAGTTAATTCATGGACAGTCTTTTTACCCAAATGTGAAAAGGACCTTCAAAATCCCAAACCATTGAATAATATTTTCAAAGCATCACATGGGCTTACTGAAAACTTTCTTGCAGAATTCATTTTTAAAATATAGCTTGTATAATTTTTAACATGAAATTTGATTAAACCTTAATTATCTGTAGTTTCTGCACTCTGAGACAATTTAACAGAGCTCTGCTATGCAGGTTTTTGCCTATCAGAAAAAAAGACTAAACAGGTTCCCAATTAGAAAGGATCCCATTAGAAAGGATCCCAATTCGAAAGTTATGATTTTTTATAAAAAAAGAAGAAGGAGAAGGAGGAGGGAGAGGGGGAGGGGGAGGGGAAGGGGAGGGGAAGGTGGAGAAGAAGGAGAAGGAGAAGGAGGCCAAAGGCCAATCACAAGGATAGACTTTAGTTTTCAGAAAACACCAGGATAGACTACAGAAAAGGCAGAAATAATTGCAATTTTTAATGATGAGTTTTTTAGTTTCTATGCCTTTCTAATTGTTTGTTAAGGATATGATCTGGCTTAAATGAGATGGGCTGTTGTTCCCTTGTAATAAGACCGGAAAGATAATTCTTCTGTATACTGGAAAGTATAAAATGATAATGAAAATGTAAACTGTAGGATCAGACTGCCATGTTTAGAATCTCAGCTTCCCTGCTTTCTAATTATGTAATCTTAAGCAAATGAAATAATCTCCCAGTATCTGAATTTCCTTAGTGAGAATCCTAATGTATTTACCTCAAAGAGTCGTGAGGATTGAATGAGTTAATATATTTAAAGCAATTAGAACAGAATGTGTCACGCTGTAAACATTCAACTATGCTGGTTATTTTGAGCAATTACTGAGGATTGGATTTTATTATTACACTCTAGAAATAACCACCATATTCAGCTAGTCTTGCTATACGTTATGGTCAAAAAGGATGGTTTAAGATCAACACTCTGATATTCAACTCATTCATCCTGCAAGATGTCAAGTGATATTTACTTGGTTTCTATCCAATAGTTCAGTACAAAATAAGACATTTATTTACCCCAGGATACAGAAAACTCATCTCAGAAAGCACAAGCATAGACTGTTCTGAAATTAGACATTATCCTTATAATGAATTATTATAATTGGCTTTATATTATTCTGAGAGATGATGGCAATTCACAGCTGAAATTCTTATGGCATGCCATATAGGATCTAGAAGTTTAAAGTTTTGATTAGCCATTCATCCATCTGTGGCTTAAAACCAGGCCTGTTGCAAAAGAAAAATGTTGGTACTGCATGTAAGTTCTTGGCCATTCAAGTGAGGTGGCCTTTTATTCAGATTTGTGTCTTGATTAGATTCTTCACAAGAAAATGTTAACCTTACTTTCTGCATAGTTGGTTGTTAAATATGTAACACAAAATATTTGTACTGAATTCATTCCTGAGGAATGTTCTTTGAACTCTTCAATTATCAATTTTTATTTAAAAAAGAAAAGTTATTTGTGATAATATTTATGGAAAAATATCTAAAGGACTTTCAATATATTTCAATATTTCTTTTTAAAGAACACTACCAAGAGTGGGGCAGTAATGCTATATTGTTGTAAGTCATTATAAAACGAATTTGAGTAAACAGTGTTTCAGCATTGTGCCTCATCCTATATTGAAAGACACCATAGAAATACGTATTCAAAATTAATCGTTGTCTCTATTGTTGGTGCATTGTTAGGACATTATTCACTACATAAAAGTGAGCCATAGAAAAGTTATTTTAGTTTTCTTAGAGAAAAGGTTGACCTCTCCATGATAACAATTCTTTTTTTAAAAAGAAATCTTATGTGGCTCCTTTTTTGCTTTGGCCACTAAGAGTATTGTTGTTTCTAGCAACTTTTTAGATTATTCCTCCCTCTCTCCCTCCATCCTTTCCTTCCTTCCTTTTTTCTTTCCTTCCTTTCTTTCTTCTTTTTACTATAGAGTATCCTTTTTCTTTTTTCCTGCCAGCTTTATTGAGGTGTAATTAACATGAGAAAATTGTATCTATTCAAGCTATATAAAGTAATTATTTGATATACATATACATTGTGTAATGATTACTACAATCAAATTCATCAGCACACCATCACCATACATAGTTACCTTTTGTGAGTATGTTTGTGTGGGGAGTAGGAGGGAGGGCAATGCTGAGGACACTTATAATCTACTTTCTTAGCAAATTTCAAGTAAAAAATACAGTATTATTGACTATAGTCACCATGCTGTACATTAGATCCCAAGAACTAATATGTCTTAAAACAGAAAGTTTATTAAGGTACTACCTTTCTAAATTTCATTAATTCAGAAACAAAGAAAATGCTCGTACTTACATGGCAGGCTTAGTCTCTTTGCACTACTACAACAAAATATACTTGAGACTAGGTAATTTATAAAAAAAAAGAAATTTATTTTCTCACAGTTATGGAGGCTGGGAAGTTCAAAATCAAGGTGCTGACAGGAGCAGGTTTGGTGTCTGGTGAGAGCTTCTCTCTGCTTCCAAGATGGCGCCTTATCACTGACTCCTCCAGGGGGAAGAATATTGCATCCTCACATGGTGGAGGGCAGAAGGGCAGGAGTAGCTTAATTCTGCCTGAAGCCTCTTTTCTCCGGGACTTAATCTCATTCATGAAGGAGGAGCCCTAATGACCCAAGTCACCTCTTAAAGGTCCCACCTCTTAATACTACCACATTTACTATTAAGTGTCAATACATGAATTTTGGAGGAGACACATTCAAACGATAGCATATGCCGAGGAAAACAGAAATGACTGCTTATGGCTGGAGGGAATCAATCCAGAGTTGGGCCACCCAACTATACTTTGCTTCCCTGAAAGCCAAGAGGTCAGCATGTTTGTGTACCAGAAAAGCATTCATGGCATACCACTGGAAAGCTCTGCTGTACGACATATATTTATGATAGCCTTTCAAATTGGATACATGATTGAAACCATCCTTAAAATCTTTGTGGAAGGAGGCAGGAAACAAACAAACAAACAACAACAACCCCCACCCCCAATAATCAAATAATTGGTCAAAAGCAGAGAAAAAACAAAAAACTTAGAGCGCCAAGATAATAGAAATGCAGAATAGAGTTTTAGTAGCAGTCAGGTCATCAGCATTTTGCAGAGGTCTCTAAAAAAAAAAGAAAGCTCTTCAGTAATCCTGTGACTTACTATGTAAGAATAAATTTGACTTCAATGCCCAGACAAAAACTCGGAAATCTCTGACTTGTAAGGAGACTGATATGGCTAAGACATTTACCAGTAGAGATTAGTAGGAAAAGAAGATTGGAGACATAAAGAAGTATATTATCAGAAACTGGAAAACAGAGGAAGAAATATGGTTATTGCCTACTTTTTAAGGCATAACTGGATAAAAGTTTTTATAAGCTTTGTAAGGAGGAACTAGAAACTGACATAAGAAATACACTGTAAATAATTTGAAATTAATTTTGAAATCTATGCCTGAATCAACATTTTAGTAAAATGCATATAGCATTCAGTATATAATGTGCTTTTAGCCATTTACATTTATTTACTTTTTGTTGTTATCTTTAAGTCTAAAAATGAAGGATCCTTGCGGTTATTACAATTAGATAACTGACAGAGTATCCTTCATTCTTTCAAGCAAGATTTTTGATTTCAGAATGGAACAAAATCAGGTGGTTTTTACTCCTTAAAAATGTTATTTTAACAGACTTACCTCTCCCTCTGGATGTGCTACCCAATGCAATTGCAGCAACCAAGTAGACTGTGCTATCTATATGCTGAAAATTCCCATACTAACATCTTCAGCCAGTCAAAACTCTGGACTTGAATATACAGTTTTCCACTCAACATCTCTGCTAGGCTACCTTGTAGATATTCTAATTTTGAAATGCCTATAAATAGTCTCCAGACATTATTCCCACACCTCTTCCACCCAGAACGTTTCTCATCTCAGTTGATGATAATTGCATCTTTCCAGTTGCTCAGGTCCCTAATTTTCAAGTCCCTTTGACCCTTCTCTTTACTCCCCATGTTATAATCCATCAGAAAATGTTGTTGGATTTGTAGTAAAAATACATCCAGAATTTAACTACTTTCTTCCACTTCCTCTATTTTTTTCACTCAAGTCTAGCCCACACTCACCTGCTACTGTATAATTGCAATAGCCTCTAACTTGTTTTCCTACAGCAGCTCTTAACCATTTTTTTTTTTTTTTTTGAGACGGAGTCTTCCTCTGTCGCCCAGGCTGGAATGCAGTGGCGCGATCTCGGCTCACTGCAAGCTCCGCCTCCTGGGTTCACGCCATTCTCCTGCCTCAGCCTCCCGAGTAGCTGGGACTACAGGCGCCCGCCACCACGTCCGGCTAATTTTTTTTTGTATTTTTAGTAGAGACGAGGTTTCACCGTGTTAGCCAGGATGGTCTCGATCTCCTGACCTCGTGATCCACCAGCCTTGGCGTCCCAAAGTGCTGGGATTACACTGGCCTCTTAACCCTTTAAAATCAGTTTTCAACACAGCAGCCAGGGTAATCCAGATCATGTTACTTTGTTTTATTATTGTTTGTTATGTTTATGTAAGCTCTATAAGACCATTGATTATAGTTTTGTTCATTATGTATCATAAATTCCTAGAACAGTATCTGGCCTATGACTGAACAAATGAATATCCATTTTTCAAAGAGAGCGCTGATACTTAGAGAAAGAAAGAAACTTACTTCCTTAATATCTCATAGGGATTATAAGAATTGAACCCAGGTCTTTGGACCCCACTCTGATGTTCTTTTTCACTATCCTATACTTCCTCCTAGATATGTTGACAGAATCCTCAGGGTGAATATCAAGATTTATTTTGAGGAAGGGTGTTAAACTGACTTGCAGAAGTCTGAGTTCAAGTTATGATTCTGCCCCTAAACAGGCCGAATCTGAGTACCACAATTTTTCACTTGCAAAAGGCAGTTGAACTAAGATGATGTCTAAGGTTCATTGTGCAGCCAAATATTAATAAGTCCAGTGACACTACTCAATATTTCCCAAGTCTTCAATAGCAGCATAAATAACTGTTATTTGAAGGCATCAGCAGGACAAGAAAGCCTACTAAATATGCTACTTGCTTCTTAGATTCCTGTGTATAGCCAGTTCTAGGAACCTTGTAAAGTGGGGCAAGGTTTCCCAAGGCTGATTGCTAACTGGTGACATTTGGTGCAGCTGGCACCCTCACTGGTGATATACGCAAATGTGGTTGTTTGGGTAAAACAGTGTGACATCTAATTATTTATTTTATGTTTTTGCTTTGTGAAATCAAACTCATATCCAAATTAGGGGTATGATGCCTTAAGATTTAGGACAAGCTTTTGTGTGGTTTTTTTAGCTCCTTAGGCTAGAACTCACTGTGTGTATATATATATTTGTGTAAGTATTTGTGTTTATTCATCTACCTCGAATACAATGGGTTTTTTGTCTAAAATACACTTTTCCAATCCCAATTTGCTCCTCATTCCAGCCAAACCAGTTTTATGATGGTTCCTCTTAATCTCCCTTTTATTTTTCTTGATCCTTTTTTCTTCCTTTCTTCTATTTTTCCCCTTCCTTCTTTATCTTTCCTCTTTTTATCTTTCACTCATACTATTTTCCTCAAGAAACGTCTACCCTCTTTCTGACAATGCTAACCCACCTCTATTTAAAGATGCAATTTACTTATGAGAAGCCTTATCTGATGGTTGTACTCAAGTCAGAGCACTGATTATCTCTTTCATCCCCAAAGTTTCTGGGGATTCTGTTTATTACCGTTAATATTTTATGACTTGTTCTTATTTGTTTCTTTGTTGATCATCTCCCTATATAGTCTTACACGTTGTGGCACTCACTAGATTTCAAACTTCTTCAGTATGCTGACCTTGACTTCTGTAACTCTTAAGTTTTCCTTTTCACATTTGAGTACAGGTTTGGAAAGAGTGCAGAAAGCTCCCTAGAAGTCTTTGTTTCAGTCATCTATTGTGTCATAACAAGCCACCCCAAAACGTGATGCTTAAATCATCCATTTTATTGTACTCATGGTTTTGGAGGTAAGGAACTCAGGAATAGCTTGACTGGGTGGTTTGTCTTTTATCCCTATGGTGTCAGCTGAGGCAGTGGGACTGGAGGATATACTCCAAGATGACTTTCATTCACTGTCAGGTGCTATGGTTTTCCTTGGCCTGCCTCTGCCTGCATGGCAACTCACCGTCCAGAGCCTTTCCACTTGGCTTGGGCTTCTCACAGTGCAGTAATCTTGGGGTAATCACATTTCTTGCATGTGATCACACTTCAACCCTGTGCTTTATTGGTCAAAATAATCACAGGGCCTCCCAGATTCAAGGAAGTGAAGAAATACACTCCAGCTTTTGATGTTCAGAATTGGACAAGGTCACATGACAGGAGAGCATGCAGAATGTGTATCATTGTTGAGGTCCCCTTTGAAAAATATAATCTAACTAATCTGCAGAGGAAATTCAACAGTTTCATTTGAAAGTGCATTGGCGTAAAATGCACAATATATACATCGAGGAGTCAAAAATTAGAATGTCTAAAATGAATAAACCAACCACTTTAGACCAACCAGCCAATAAACAAACATATAGACTAACATTTTATTAAGAGAATCTGCGCAATTAGATTCTGGTCTCTGGTCCACCTGATAACTATAAAATGATGGCCTGTTGGTGTTATGGTAAACTATTCTTTGATTAAATTGAATGCAATAATCACTAATTATATTGTAGAAGCTCTTGCTGTATCACATATAGTGATGACACCACCCACCATGGTATTCTGTCCATAAATGGCCTTGAATTTAGTTTAAAGTCGAACTTCTTAAGACACTTATGACGTTTTCAGTTTGGCTCTTCACTTTCAGGTGGCATCAATCCCAATCTTACAGTATTCTTTTAAGTTCTGCAAATCTGTAAAACAAGCAAGAAAATGGATTGCATTATATTACTTTATTCACTTAACATGTATCATGTTTAAAATGCTTTGTATGCTATGTGTGATGAAAAGATAGATTTTGGTTAAATTGAATAAAATATTCTAGTTCTATCGAGATCTAAGATTACAATCCTGTGTGTATGTGTATGTGTGCACATGTGTCTATGCATGTATTTTTGTGTATTAGGATTTGAGTGAGGTTGCTGATGTAGGCTATGTAGAGAACTAAACGGCCAGGCGCAGTGGCTCACACCTGTAATCCCAGCACTTTGGGAGGCCGAGGCGGGTGGATCACAAGGTCATGATTTCGAGACCAGCCTGACCAACATGGGGAAACTCCATCGCTACTAAAAATACAAAAATTAGCTGGGCATGGTGGTGCGTGCCTGTAGTCCCGGCTATTCGAGAGGCTGAGGCAGGAGAATCGCTTGAACCTGGGAGACGGAGGCAGCAGTGAGCCGAGATTGTGCCATTGCACTCCAGCCTGGTGACAGAGCAAGACTCTGTCAAAAAAAAAAAAAAAAGAAAAAAAGAAAAAAAAAGAACTAGACAGTCTGTCTTACAGGTTTAAGAAGAACATTGGTATTGACTCACTGGATCTTATTCCCACCTACTAAATTAGAAGTTCTTTGAGGTCAGTACTCAGATCAGTAAGAGAGAGTATTCATCTCTCGTTTCCCCGTGGACTGTGGCAATAATACCTGGCACATATTAAATATGCAATAAATATTGAACACTCAAGCCTTTGGAGTAGAGTTTCTATGCAAATAGAATTGCTCCTGCTGGTAAACTAATACTGGTTTAACCACACTTGGAATTTGAGGTCAAAATAGGCTACTTCAACTTCCCAGAACCTTGAGGAAACTTGTCCCTTAGGGCTGTTTGGCTCATTGCGTTTTGTGTCAGTCTTGTAGTGCCTGATCTCCCACCTTGAGTGAGCCCATTATTTACACTCACTTACCTGCCATCTTAGAAACTGTAGATAAAGAATCTTTTCCAGAGGTCTTGGAATCAAACATCCTTCACTGAAACATTACTGGATATGGAATGAATCAGAAACATGTGGATTAAATTTCTCTGAAAATTTCTCTGGTTATAAAAATTAAGGAAAAAAAGTGTTTGGCCAGATGCATTGTGGGTAATGCCAAACCCAAATTGTATGAAAAATGTGTATGCTGCTTAGGTAAACAAACAAATAAAAAAATAAACAAATTTTATTTCCCTCTTGCCTTGTAAAACCCCATATTCACTGTAAAAACCTTGAGTCAGTTTGAAGCTAGGTTTTATAAAAGGTCTTGCAAAGTTTATGGTTTCCCTCTTTGATCATTGGAGACAAAGAGTTATACAGATAAATCCTTCTGAGAATGCACATAAGCAAGGCTGAAGTTTCTCTATAGATTTCAAAGGATTGAATGAGGTAAGATGTATTGGTAAGATTTATTTGATTTCTGAATATTAACTGGAAATTTCATCTAAAATAAGTTCTTTCAGGAGAGAAGCAGCTGAACCTGAGTCCAACTGTTTACCTTGTTTAAGTTTAACGTGTTTAAGTTAAACTATTCTTAAAATATTCAGGGCTGGGTGTGGTGGCTCACACCTGTAATCCCAGCACTTTGGAGGCCCAGGAAGGGTGGATCACTTGAGGTCAGGAATTGGATACCAGCCTGGGCAACATGGTGAAACCCCATTTCTACTAAAAATATAAAAATTAGCTGGGCTTGGTGGCTGGTGCCTGTAATCTCAGCTACTGGGGAGGCTGAGGCATGAGAATAGCTTGAACCCAGGAGGCAGAGGTTGGAGCAAGCCAAGATCATGCCACTGCACTCCAGCCTGGGTGACAGAGCAAGAAAAAAAAATTCAGAAGCTTGGACATGATAGATGTTTATGAAAAGCAGGAAAATGCCTTTATCATTGCAACAACAAACAGACTTGAAAGTAATTTAGTTCCTAAACCCTATTTAGTAAAAAGGAAGAATGTGAGGGTCAAAATAAACCTCATTGCAATGATTATTGTCATTCTGCTCATCCCTTCCATTAAAATCCTTCAAGCAATTGCTTAAGCATGTGTGTCCTTGTACTCAGCATAATTTAAGAAGAACCATGTGGATATGGTCCCTACTACATAGACTGACATTGGCTAGGGTATACCCTAACACAGAGCTCAGAACAGAAGAAGAAAGATAGTAAGAAAATAAACGGGCCAAAAATATTTCTGTCAGTGGCTGTCGCCCTTTAGTGTGCATTAAGTACCACCTGAAAAGATCATTAAAAATATAGGTTACAAATGTCCCATCCCCTACCCAAAGATTTTGACCTGAACTAGGACCTAGGAACCTGCATTTTCAACAAAGATTCAAGTTGATTCTGATGAAGATTATCGAAGGAGCACAAATGTGAATTTAGCAGGTAAAAGAGAAAACTTACTGAAATTAATATTGAGAAGGACTGAGATCATCCTTCCCCGAGATGGGGGGAGATAAGGGTGCTGACTCTACCTATTTAGTGCCAGTTTGTGTAAATGCTCTTTTTAAATTATAATTATGGACCTCCAGAAATGCATCTGTTCATTCAATAAATATTTATTAAGTGCTAAATATGTTGTGAAAAAATAGAAACATGAATCTATGCCCTCATGAATCTTACATTCTAGTTGGAGGGTACAGTCAGTAGAAAGATAATAAATAAAATAGCTTGTATAATAGATCAAGTAGTGATTAAGTATCAAAAAGAGAATGTGGGAAAATGGGTAAAATTCTTGAAAAAGTGGAGAGAAAAGGCCTAGTTGAGAATGTGACATTTGGGTAGAACTTAAAGAGTCAAGGAAACAGAACAGCCACAGGAATGCCTTAGAAAAAAAGTGTCCAGGCTGGGGAACCAGCAGTTGGAAAGGACTTGAAGTAGAAGTGTGTCTGGGTTAGCAATGGAGTGGGCCATGAAAAGAGCAGAGGACAGCAGGTAGGGGAGAAAGGCTAAACAGGAGGGGGCTTAAAGGATCACAGGCTTTGGCTTCTCCTCTGAATAAGTTGTATGAGAGGCCACTAGAGGGTTTTGAGCAAAGACAAAACTCACATGAATGTTTCCAACATATTTGAAGTGGAAATTAAAATACCAATTCAGTTATTCACTCTGCCTCATTTACAGAGCTCAAGGTATGATACATTTGTGCTGGGGAAATTTTGGATGAATGGTGCTCAGAGAGTGGAAAGGACTGGATAAAATGTGAAAAACCTGATCCTGTCCTCAAAATATACTACATTCTATGTGGGATTATATGAATCATTTAGTCTCTGAACAACTATTATCCAGAGCAGTCAATATTTGCCTCAATTTCTGGAGTTTTAAAGCATGTAAATATGGAGTATTTTCATTTAAACATGAAGTAAATGAGAATTTGGTCATGTTAGAAATGTATCTGAGATCCATGGATTAAAGTATAGGGTGTATATCTGCAGTAGGTGAAATTTCCCATTTCCATTTCCAAAGATTTAGGAGTTTAAATAAACTTAGATAAAGACTTTATAGGAGACATTAAGAACAATAAATCTGAATCACTAACTTTCCTAAGCTAGGGTACAAGAAGATACAAACAAGTCATGTAAAATATCTGGGAATAAAGTGTTTCTGACCTCTCCAACATACTAATTATTCATCACAAGTAAATTATAGTTAGTATTTCATATTATAGAACCTTGGGGTATTTTTTAGTTTTCTAGGATACAGTTGTGCTCATAGAAAACATAATGGTGTTTCAAATTAATAGATAGTGCTCTTGCTGGAATGAGATTCAATACACAAATAAGAGCTGGTGACAGAATTTGGTTAAGTGAGGACTTTTATATGTGTTGTTGCCGATTTTTAATTCTTCCTCAGCAACGTCTTTGGTTTCATCTCCTTTCCAATTAATTAACAATGCCAGGTAAATAGTGTGACTAAATTTTTCTGTCAATTAACTGATATGTCATCTATCACCAGAAGGTATATCTTCAAATACTTGTTCATGACTTATATGTATTTTTTAAGGCACTGTATTAGTCTGTTCTCACACTGCTATGAAGAAATACCAACGACTGGGTAATTTATAAAGAAAAGAGGTTGAATTGACTCACAGTTCTGCATGGCTTGGAAAGCCTCAGGAAACTTACAATCACAGCTGAAGGGGAATCAAACACATCCTTCTTCACAGGGCGGTAGGAGAGAAAAGTGCCGAGCAAAAGGAGGAGAGTCCCTTATAAAACCATCAGATCTCCTGAGAACTCATTCACTAACATGAGAACAGCATGGAGGTAACCACCCCCATGATTCAATCACCTCCCAATGGGCCCCTTCCACGACATTTGGGGATTATGGGAGCTACAATTCAAGATGAGATTTAGGTGGGGACACAGCCAAACTATATCAGGCACTGATTCTTGGATTCTTTAATCTCACATTATTTCTATGTTAAAAAAAAATGGTATTAAGGATGCTGTCTATATTTCATAGATTCCTTGATGTTAAAGATATTAAAACCTACTTAACATTATTCTACTTCAAGAAATATTAAAATAATTAAAATAATATTTAACATAATTTTATGAAGGGTCATAAGAATAACAAATGGTGATTATTTGATAACCAAATATTAAAGGGAAAGTATTAGTCTCATTTTCCAGATTAAGAAATGAAACTAGTTGCTTGCCAATTGCATGTAGCTAACCAATGTCAGATCTGGGTCAAATCTAGTTTATCTCACTTTCAGTGTTGGGCTCTGGAATGTTCTACAAGATCAGAGCTTTAACAGGAGTCAATCTAAGAACTGGTGGACTCTATGATGCATTATCAAAAGCCTTTAGACTAAAGCTAAAGTGACCTATCCAGCTCCACACATGCATTTAGTATAAAATAGGGTCAAGGAATGTTAGAATGGGAAAGAGCATTAGAGAAGGTGGTTCAGCTCTCTCGTTTTAAGATAAGAAATGTGTTTTGTGAGGTTTTTATGCTCCAGCTGCATCCTGGCTCTAGTTTCTTCTTCAAGTTGAAGAAGAACTATTCCCTAACTCAGTGTTCTGTAAGTCATTAAAGCCTAAATTTGCTTGACATGATTATTTGAATTATGCCTCATTGGCATTAAAATAATAAAAAGTCCAGTCTTCTGCTTTCTAAGTCAGGTTTTCTAGTAGCAATCTCAAAATCTTGCCACTTCTGCCACTTTGCTACCCAGCCATTGAAAAACATAAACTTCTGAATTATAAAAATAAAGAATTCAAAGAAAAAAAGCAGTATTTGATTGAGTTGGCTGGGTTTTCTTTACTTCTTTCATATTCAAATGGACAATTTGTACAATTTCCCTTACTTTGATCCTAGCTGCCTACACTACCAAGTTGCAGGCACAAATTACTTGCCCACTTCTTCAACCACAGACTTTGAAGGACTGGGGAAAAAAAATTCAACCATTGTGAAATTTCCATACTGAAAGTGCCTACTTTCAGTTGGTGCTACTGACTTGGACCATATGAGAGGAGGCAGCTCCAGCCAGGGCTGCCCCCAAGCCACTCACCCTGCCAAACCTCTGGGTCCCACCAACATCATTTCCTGAATGATGAAGCTCCCCATGTGTGCCCACTGGCATGCTCTTAGAAGATCAGGAATATCCAATCAGGAATCAATTAATGGGAGAGAAGAATACAACACAGAGCTTTCTATTTAACTTGGAACTATGATAATCACGAAATGGCTCTGGGTATTTTGTGAATCAGATTGCTGTCAAATCCACGTATTTTTTTATTTGGATACACTTCAGTGATTTTACTGTTCTTTGGTAAAAACTGTTTGATGTTCAAAAACCTTGAAGCCATTTAGACCACGTTGTTTCCCTTTTTTCAAATAGAAGTTTGCATTTTGTCCACCACAAAGAGAATGCAAATGCCAAGAGGTCTGAATTCACTTTCAAAGTCCAAACCCACAAACTCTGATTGGCTTTTCATCTTGGCTAGACACATTCCCCAGGGCTCTAGACCTTACATCAAATGGGACAGTATCATGTCCTAATGAGGAGTATAAACTACAAGGTAGATTACCTGAATTCAAATCCCTTGACTGAAACTTTGAGCACATTACCTCATTTTTCTTAGTCTCAGTTTACTTCATCTTCCAATGGGGTAATAAGAGTAAAAATTTCCTTGTATTATTGTATGTGGAGCATTTAGGAACCTGACACATAATACTCAATTTTTGAGAATATTGGGAGAAGTACCATTTTCATAAGGTTTTTTTTTTTTTTTGTATGGGGTATTTTTTTAAATATAAATGAACTGAAATAATCTTTAATAAGACAATTTTTAATAAAAAAGATTAAATAAGCTATTATGCAATGTTATAGACTGTCAGTTTAAAAATCAATAAAAAGTTGTGAATGAAAAATATTTATGCAACAATTTCAGTTCAACATATTGCAATACTGCTGCCCTTTCTTTCCCTTTTCTTCTTTTTTATGCTTTAGCCCAAACTAAAGTCATTCCCATTTTCATTAATCTTAAATCAATATTTTCTTCTTATATCCCTTAGTTCCAATACCCCTGAGTGCATATCAAGGGGATTTGATATTTTTTAGCTTAATTTTAAGAATAATTTTCTCAAGGAAATGTTCTAATAGTGGTGAGAGGCTAAAAGGGAATAGAAACAAGACTCGCAAAGACAAGAAAGCAAGATGAAAGGAGGAATAGGTTTACAGATTCCAGAAAGAATGACCTAGAATATTCGACTGTGAAAATTCCTGTAGGAAGAGGGAGGAGAAATCAAACTTATGTAACATGTGAATGCTACTAAACCATCTGCAATGTTTTAGTAGAATTCACATAGATCCTGATAATAGATGAGTTGTGTAGCTGTGGGGGGTTTTGTGAGAAACTCAAAGTTAGGACTCAAAAATAAAATTGACTTTAGCAGGAGCACTGCATTGGGGTGAGGGGCCAGCAGGTGGGCATTGAGTGTTACATTTACTTCACAGGAATATTAAAGCATGTGATTCATAGAAGAGCCTGAATAAATATATGTCAAGTAAAATGAATAAATGAATGAACAAAAAAACAAACAAAATACAATAATCAAATAGGTGTTAGTAGTATAATGTAATTAAATTTATATTTTTATTTCAAGTATAGAATTGTATGAATAGAATGTTCTGAGACCTGCACCATACTAATAAAAACTGCATTATTAAAATAATATGAGACCAAAGCATACAATACTGAAAGGTCAATATTCTGGACTCTCTTGAATGAGAGGGGAAATAAACTGAAAGTGTCATTCTTTTCCATTCTCAGTTTGTTAGAGGGGATACATAGAAAAGTAAACTGGCTTAATAAATCATCAGTTCCTACCCTTTCTATCCCAGGAGACGCTGAACAGCCCAGAGGGACGGAAGCTACAGAGAGGGCAAAGACCAATTCCAAGGATGGCTTGGAAGGGACAGCCATAGGCTCAAAGGCCTAGAGGCCACATATCTCCTGGTAGCAAAGCCTTCACCTAGGGAATGGTTAGCACTCAGACCATTATTAAACAAGACACATTTGTATACTAGAAAGTGGCCTCCTAGGAAATTTCCCTCATAGAAATTCACTCACCTCAACCTTCCAACCACATAAACCAAAGCCCTTGGACAGGAAGAAGCAGCTGAGGTTCCAGTTAACAGGCCCTTACTTTTCAGCCACTTCTCTATTGACAACTACTCAACTGTAACTGTTTAGGGTTTTTACTTCCAGGCTGTTGTAGGTGGCATTCCCCAGTAGGAGATTTTGAGATGGAGATTAATGTGCAAGACATTTATTAGGAAGCATCCTGGAGATCAATACCGGTGGAAGGGAGAAGAAGAAAACAGAATTCTGTAGAGAGAGAAGTTGAAACGTGATGTTCATACCAGCATAAGAAGGTTTATCATGCTGAAGACCTCAGCATGTCCCGTGGGGAGCTCTGGATGTGGGATGACACTTTAGAGTTGGGGTAAGGTTTCTGGGCTTTTATATACCTGCAATGATTGGGATTGCATGGGAGCTTTTTTTTTTTTTTTTTTTTTTTGGCGTGATCTCACTGCTCACTGCAACCTCCGCCTTCCAGGTTCAAGTGATTCTCCTGCCTCAGCCTCCTGAATAGCTGGGACTACAGGCACGTGCCACCACACCCAGCTAATTTTTGTATTTTTAGTAGAGACGGGGTTTCACCATGTTGGCCAGGATGGTCTCAATCTCTTGACCTCGTGATCCGCCTGCCCTGGCCTCCCAAAGTACTGGGATTACAGGCCTGAGCCACTGCGCCTGGCCTGGATAGGAGCTTCTTTTGAAAGTAGACATGATCTTAGGCAAAGCGTGTTTCTTCAGCTGAGATGATCTTCCAAGAGTGCTCATGGCAGAGGGCCGTGCTCTGGCAGTACTGCCAGCAGCTGGGGAAATAAATTCCTCATTTCTGAAGGGGAATCTGGGCAGCACACCATACCATTCCACACAGGTACTTCCTACGTATTTGTTGCAGTTTCCTTTTGATGTCAAAGTAAACAAATAAAGAACAGTAAAAGTAACTTTATTCCATAAGATGACATTAAATCAGGCGGAATACAATGCTTAGCTACAATCTGCATTGTAGAATCCCAGTTGAACATTTAACTGACATCATGCACTCATTTTATTTTATTAGATGATTTTTGTCCAAAAATTTTATAAGTATTTAGTGGAAAGGTTGGGAGAGATTTTTTTAAATAGGCAATTCTGATATATAAAATAGGGCAAGAATTATTTTATTATTTGATCTGGCATTATGGCAGATATATGTTCTTGGAAAACACTTCCGTTTCTGTTTCCACTTAACAAGATCTTTACCGTACAGTGATTTTCATGCCAACATAAGAAGACACACCAACACATACCACCTTAGAAGTGAACTAGCTTCCAAGTTTGTTGCTAAGCTGATGCTTGGAACTTTGATTTGTTATGTAGATTTGTGCTTAAGTTGATTTAAGTTTCACATAGTTGTTGCTCTATGATGTAGCACTATTGTTGCCAACAGATGGTATTGTTCTTGTAAAATTCTGAGTGAATGATCCCCCTTAGATGATTATTATAAATAAAGATACCTGGAGTTGGTTAATGTCATCTGACTATATATATTTATATATAGTGACTATATTATATATACTGACTATATATTTATAGTCAGTATAGTGACTATATTTATATATACTGACTATATATTTATATATAGTGGTAGAGCAGAGCAATTTAGAGTGGAAGAGGAGATGATCTATTCTCGGCATCTTGGAACTCTTCCGTGATGTCACATGTCACCTGATCACTGAAAGATAAGTAGGGGTTAGTGAGGCAAAATTAGGAACTGAGGAGTATCATTGCGAAAAGAATTTCATGCAAACGCAAGCAGATGCAAAGGCCCTGAAGTAGAAGGAGCCAATGTGGGTGAGGTTTACTCTTTTCCTTAGTTTGGTCCTTTGGTTTCATGAAGCTTAATTAATTTGGAGCATAAGTAGTACTACGGCCTATGGGTTGCTCTTCAGGATCTCCTCTAGTTTTGATGAACTCAGTGTTAATGCTACTGATAACCTTTTTGTTTTAAAGTAAATCCTACAAATTTGGAACCTCACACAGAAGCAGCTGCTATTGCAGATGCTTTTGATTCTGGGGTGTAGGAAGCCCCACTACCCCACACTGTCTAAAGGGGACCTCCTGTCCATTTGTCAGCCTGTCTAAGATTCCTCCATTCAAACCTCATTTGGTTGGCTTTTGAAGGCTTCTTGGTTTTATAGGGAGTCATCATTTCAAAAGAAGATATAGCTGAGGGGTATTATAATTTAGCAGAAATTTAATCTTCCTACAGCTGATCTAACAGGAAGAACCCAGACCCCATAAAAATGGAATGAATGGAATATAAGGAGCCCTAGGGAGATGTGGGGGAGAGAAAGTGGGGGAATCAAGTCCTCAGAGAAGGTCTTGGAAAGAGGAGGAAAAAATATAAAATAAAAATTTTACCTACTTGAGAATTCAGCCTTGGGACTCCCCTAATTTCAAGAAAAGTTTACCAGTGTTGAACCCCGCTATACCTCAAGCAGTTTTCCTGAGACCTTTCTTTTCCCCACCCCCATTCTCCCAGCTTGTGTCCTGGAAGCACCAGCATGGGTCGTGATGCTAAGATTTATAGTGCAGGTAAAAGAATGAATGATTCATCCCTATCTTTACTGCCTTGAAGAAAGATGAAGAAGAAACTGCATCCCACAACAAGCTTTTGTCCTCTGTATTTTAAAATTGACAGAAGTAGCTGATTCAGGCACCCCATTCTCCCTCACTGCCTCTCTCACAGCAACTTAAAGCCTTTTATGCCTATTGCCTTTGATATACTCCATGATTCTTTTATCAACTCCAGAGGCTATATTTTGAAAGTAAGGCCTACATTTTAAATGATATATGGAATGGATTCTAGTGCTGAAATATTTTGGAGCAGTAGCAATGGGCAAAAAGGGTTTTGTTGGTGGGGATTCTGACCAGTTCCTAGGTTGTGTATATTTTGATGAGTATAATTTCCTTGTTAGGTCTTTGCTTGAGGCTGGTTTTGGAACTCAAACTTCACTGTAAATGGAAAATCAGTTTTGCTACAATCTTATTCCTCTGGTTCTCAGTTTTATCATCTGTGACCTAAGGAACCACATGATAGACAATCATAAAGGTTCTTCTGTTTCAGCTTGAATGTATTGGTTTGTGTACTATATGAAAGTAGCTCTGTGGCTGGTTATCAGTACACTGGAGTACTTCCGTAAAGGTTTGGTTCTGTGCTGTTTGTTGTTGCTTGGTAAATCTTTCCCACCACTGTGCAGTCTGTAGGGACTGACGCACTGAAAACACTACATATTAGTTGAAGAAGATGACACAGAAAATGAATTGAAATGCCATTTACTTTCTCAGCTCTGAGAGGAGTTACTTATGTTTAGTATGTTTTATTAAACTAGAGAAGGATGATTCAGTGACCTTGTGTACTGCTTTGATTTTTAAATGGCTTAATGGGACAAAACAGACATAATGCTTCACCCAGTTAGCAAAATGTGACCCACAAGAGTGAACCATCATTGTCAGCATCATTGCCCAGTACTTGTTAGGGTGATAATGCATGAGACACCCCAGGCCCCATCCAAGAACCTGGTAAACTGTAGTCTCCTTTCTAAAAGTGTTGATCTCTAAGAAGGAGAATTATTATTCTATATTTGTATGAGACATAGAAGTTTATAGCACAGTTTTATACTTTCATTTAATCTTGAGAAAAATTTTATTGCATAAATATCATCAAGCCTATAGGTGAGGAAATTGAGATACAGAGAGCTTATATAGTTATTAAGTGGTAGGGTAAGTATTCAAATTCAGATATTTATGTTTTTATATCCAAATGGCAAAATAAGTATTAGAAAATAAAATACTGCTTTCCAGGAATAGAAACTAGAAACAGCAACTAGGAGTTTTGAGTAATAATTTTTAAAAGTCCAAGAATAAGCAGAGTAAGAAGTTCAGTTACTGAAAGTTGGAAGGCATGAAAATGTCCTGCAGACGGTTCTGAATCTTCTGTGAATTCCACATGCAAATGCAGGTGTTGCTTCGGTTGTGTGACTCTGTGAGAGGGCTGAAGCCTGTCCACTTTCCACAATTTCCAGTCACCAAAGAAGTGCATGGGCCACTGTGACATATGTGACAGGCTGTGCAGCAAGCCAGGTGCTGGGAGACCCCTGGCCACAGCTCTTTGTGCTTTTTCTCTCTGTATGTGGGTGAGCAGTGGTGGAACAAATAGTACATTTTTCATCCTAGCTCCAGCTTTCCAGTAGGAGCTTAAGCATAGCTCCTGCTCTGAAAGAGTTGAAGCCTAGAGTAAGGAGGCCTCAGAGTCCAGCCCTCATGTCCCAGGAGAGCAGTTATTTACATATATGCATGCTTCTGTAATTTGAAGCTACACCATTTTGCTGTTGTTCAAAACGTAAAAAAGTCATTTATGTGTAAGATCTTCAGCTGAATCTTTTAAATGTCTGTGTATTTCGAAGATTCATATAATGTATGAACCACATAACTCTTTGTGGGAGAAATGTAAAAGGAGGAGAGTCTATGTTGGAATCAGAGACAAAAGATGGCCTATGCTTTTTGCTGCTACTGCTGCCTCTTCTTTTTCTTCCTCTTTTCCACCTCCTCTTCCTCTTCTTCCTCCTCCTTCTCTTGCATTAGTTTGTTGGAAAATAGTCTATTTGTCATAGAGGTAGGGGTAATTATTTATTTACCTTGCTATTATCATTGGTACAGCTATCACTGTTTGTCTTAAATTGACTTTCCATATATCTGGCCATGTTAATGCATGTATGTTATACAATAGTTTCAAAATCTGATGTTTATTTTCATCTACATTTTCTCTGAGTTCTTTACTTTACCTTAGTTAACTTGAAGAATCTGGCAGATAATGGGCAAAAAAGAGATAATCATTGAGTAAAATTTTTTGACCATAAATATGTAGAATTTCCAGGAGGTTAATACAACAGATCAGCAGATATCTCTGCACGTGTAAGATTGAGTAGAGTTAGGAAAATTGCCCATGGCTATTTCTCCGTGGGGTGGAGGGTTGTAATGGGATATGGGTAGGGATGGAAAGATATTTATTAAACACCTGTCAGCAACTTTCAGATGCATGATCTCATTTAAGCCTTTAACAATTTTAGAAGGCGGATATTCCCACATCATTATACATGTATGAAAAATCAGGCCCCAAGAAGTTGATTTGCTCCAGATCATATCCTTTGTGGTGAAGCTGGCATTTAAACTCAGGTCTGTATGTTTCCAGGTTTGTGTATATTCTTTCTAGTGAATCAGAAGTCTCGGAAAGATATCGCTTAGTAAGGACATTTGGCTTCCTAATGACAGCACATTCATGATATGATTATTAATCCTTTTTCAATTTTTGGAATCCTTGTCTGAGGGGACAGTGTTTACTTCTCTTCCCACCCCTTTCACATCCCTACTTTGCCTCCTTGATAGGTTCTTAGTAAGAGTAAAGAGAAAGAAACTAGCATCATGACATAGAAGTGATATTGTGAGAATGATCAATGTCAGTAAGAGGAAGTGTTTATCTTTCAGTTTGAGGAATCCAGAGGATCTAAAGTCTCCTGAAGCCTTTTCTCATGCCACTCCTGCTGCTCCCATGATGCCTGGTCCTTGGTGATCAGATGTAGGTAGAGTTGGCATCAAGGAAACTATGAGATTTGAGATAGCAGGAAATTTCCAGATGCCCAGCTGAATTTGTTTTGATTTGAGTTGCCTCAAAGTAGACCCCAAGACTAAGCCTTGGATACAGGTAGTCTGTTTAAGAGGTGATCACAGAAAACACAGGGAGGAACTTGGGAAGTGAAACAGGGAAGTGTGAAGAGCCAATACATGGTGCTTAAATGAACAAGTTATTGCTGTGGGCTCACTAGACTCAATTCCACCGAGGACTCTCCAAGAAAGTGAATGGGTTGGGGAGGCTGAGGCTGAGTATTTATTTATCAATTCCTGTTTTGTATTAATTAAAGTTTGACCTGAGAGCTTTTAAGTCTCCTGCAGTTCTAGGTTGTGCCTGTCTTTGGTAGGTCCTTCTTCCAGGTCCCCCTCCCTGAAAACGCCCTCGGGCAAGGTCTAGAGAGGCCCAGGTGGGAAGTTGCCCATTTTTTTGTGTGAATTTTACTGTAGCTGTAAGTGAACTAGACAGCCAGGAAGTATGAAGCAGGGTATCAGCTGCGTCTGTTACACAGGGTTCTATGATGGGAGACTTGATGGGAAAAGTACAGAAGTGCTTTGCTGTATCCATGTGGACGTGTGGGTGATTAGCAACATGACATCTCTGCTGAGGTGTAGCTTGTACTGTAGTCACAAGCATGGATTCTGGAGGTAGCTCTGCATTCAAATCATCTTTGTTACTAGTTGGGTGAACTTGGTTGAGTTATTTAATTTCTTAGTGCTTGTCACCCCATCTGTGTAAAATGAGGATGGTAATAATAAAACCTACCTCAAGTGTGTGGGTGTCAATTTTGAAAGTGAATACGCACAAAGCATTTACAACAGAGCCAGGCACAAAATAAGCACTCAAGCACTCCTTATTTCTGGTCATGATGGAGATGCATATTGCCTTTTAAAATTTACATATGTAGAAAAATCTTCCTAGCGAATTTTTTTCACTAGAATGCTTTCTCTTACATTCCACAACCAAATTCTGCTCTTCCAAACCCAGGATTTCACATATATCTTAACACGTAATCTACTCAAATTTTGAATTCAAATTTTAAGAGGTGAAAGTTTATAAAAGGGCAAAACGAGAATAAGTTTTCAAAACCCGGAAGTGCTGATGTTGCCATAAACAGTCTAGGTACCCTCAGAACTTCACATAACAGCACCCATAGATTCCATCACATTGACAATGATGCATGACAATGACCACTACTGATGGAACATGGGTGAAACTCCCTCTATATTATCTTACCAAGCCTATAGGGTAGATGTTGTCAGCTCAGTTCCTCAGATGAAGAGACAGATTCAAAGAGTTGAAATAGCTTGCTCAAGATCCCACAACTGGTAATTTGTGGGGATAGGAGGCTGACACCAATGCATGTTTTTTAACCACTATATGCAATTAAAACACTGCAACAAACTAAATGTTATCCTCCACTGACATCACTTGAGATACTGTATACTTAGGGTGGCTTTAGAATTGAAGCTTGTGTTGAGTTCCTGCTCCACTATTTGTGGCTTTGGGCATCACTTAACCTTTCTGAACTCATTATGTTATATGCTTTCTGTAAAAGAGGAATAATGGCCTCTACCCCATGACTTATTTTGGGAATTCTGTGAAGTTATCTTAGTATTTTATAGTTTGGTATAATGTAAATTTGATTATCTTAAAGGATAAAATTTTGAAATGAGAGGATGGGAATCTATCTGAATAAAAACAGTAATAAGAGACTTAAATTTCTTTCATAATCAACTTTATGCTACATATTTCAGAATGTCAAATTAAAATTCTTTTCCCCTTTCTTTCCTCTTATTGATTCACTTCACAAACATATATTAAATACTTACTGTACACCAGGCATATTTTATGTGCTAAGAATACAAAGATTAAAGTAATATGGTATGTACATTCAAATTGCTTAAAGTTTAGAATCAGAAATCATAAATTTTCTCAAAATAGTGGCAGAAAAACTATGGTGGTGTGGTTTTATTTTGCCAACCTCTCCTTTTACAAATATTCTGCTTTCTACCTTCACAGAGAAAAAAAACTAACCAACTCACAATTTTATTGGTCCTCTACTCCTTGTTTAGAAATAGTTAAGTGTAAATGCTTTTAAATTAGTTTTGACTGTATGTCAAGGCCCTGTGAGGAGGATATGTGCTCATTTATAGATAGACACTTCTGTCTACAAATTAGGTCCTTTCTAAATGCTGTGAAACATTTAGGTCTTCAAAACTATTAAGAGTGTTGTCTTTGGCTCCAGATAAGCAAAACAAACAAACCCTTTTCCAAGTGGGCACTAGTTCTGCTGGCTTTTGTTGGCTTTTGAAGCTCAAGGAAGCTAGTAGTCTTGAAATGGCTTCTCCCAGAAACTAAGAACTTTCTAACGGGCTTCATTGCTGGTCTCCAGTATTTCTCTTAGGTGCAGATAACAGTGTTTCTATGTTGGCTGTGAATAGCCTTTAATGGTTTCCTGATTTGTGTTAATATTTACACTTGTATATAATTAGTTGTTTATTTACTCATCTTAGGCCAACACTAGCCTTAATATATTAATACATATTTTAAGTATCTTTCACTCCTAATTGATCAGTTGCAAGTGCAAATAGAGTTTGAAAATGTATTTCTAATTTTCAGGGGAAAGTTGATGGACTTTCCTGTTAATTTACTAGTTTTGATGCTTTCCTCTAACCCAGTGGTTCTCAAAGAGCCAGAATGTCCCCTGGATTTTTCTCTCATGGGACATTTGGCCATGTCTGGAGACATTTTTGATTTTTACAACTGCTATTGCTGTCCTGTAGGTAAAGGCCAGTAATACTGCTCAACACCCTACACAGGGCACTCCCCCTAAAGCAAAGAATTATTGGAATCAAAATACCTATAGTGGTGACTTTGAGAAACTGTGTCTAATCTTATTCTTATCTGAAAACTTTGGGAGACATAATAAGATTCTTCAAAGTTAATTCTTCCAGCCATAGTCAGATTTCCCAGTGCCAGGATATGCATAGTCTTGACAATTTACTTTAGTTCATCAGCAAAGTAGGAGAACCAACAGCACCCTACCCAATGAATTGTATTATTCCAAAATAAAACAAATCAGAATTTTGACCTCCTTTTATAGATTCTCTTGCCTTTATTTTAAATATTGTCTGTGTATGTAAGGGAACAACATCATAATCTATTCATTAAGAGCTTTAAAGTGTTAACCTGGCCTTGGCCAGTCAGATAGAAAGGTAGCAGAATAATGAATGCAATAACCTACTGTTAAAGAATTTGGGTGATCCTTGTGAACTACTCACACTTTTTCCAGAAGCTTCTAAAGGTTTTCTCACATTAATACCTTTGCTTATATTATTCCTCTCTTCCTTAAGTATAAAAATTGTATCTGTAACTGAAGGCCCAGTTGTCTGTAGAACACCTCAAGAGAAAGTGATTACTTCTTCCTTAAAGAAAATTTGTGGATTCCAGAATGCTGTCCTCTGACATGTCAAAATAGATATGCAAATATATTCCTAACTATACATATCTTATTTAAGGTATACATAGTCTCTTCAGCTAAATTTTAAACATTTCAACAGTAGGACACTCTATTTTATATCTTTCATTTTTCTCATAACACCTATCTACTGAACATGTAATTAATAGGCATTGAGTATATTTGGATTGGTCAGCCATATCTACGTTTTCCTTTTCTGTGGAGTTAAAGACCATAGTAAAGATAAAGGTATGTAAACCTTTATTATTCCTTAACTGTATAGGAACTGTGTGTCTATAACGTGCTGAATGAAATTATTCACTGTTCCTTCTTATTTCATTACCCCTCAAATGCCATCTTTCAGATTATTTTATTATATTTTAAAGTACCAGAAAAAGATAGAGATAATGTATTAGCTAAATGTAGGAAGACAGAGAGAGAGCCATACTTACTTAAATTAACCTATTTAGTATATTTGAAAACATTTAGATTTTCTGCAGAGTTTTCCCACAGAATGTTCTGTCTTGTTAATGAAAACTCTGGAGGGAGAGAGGTGGAGGGTGAGAGGTGAGGAAAGATAAGAATTTGGATGTGTGTTTCTCACAGGGCAGCAAGTGGTGGGAGACTTTGACCTAGACCCCTAAAGCTTATCTTGCATATTTGTTAATCATGTGGAAGAGGGAACACACAGATTTTAAACTGTTAACCACAACACAAACCACACATGTGAAAGGGTAGGAATGGAACATGAAAGCAAGGTTCCAAGTTTTTCAATTCTGCATTTTTTTGAAAAACTTTTCCTATGTTCATACCATAAAGAACAAATCAAAATGTGATGAGGTAAACATTCTATATAGTCATGCGATGAGATCACAGTTAAATACTAACATATTTCTTTCCAGTATTCCCTTGAAAGTGTTTGCGTCTATTGCTTTCCAGTTCACAAGTAGCTTTGCTCTTCCCTTCTTGGTACTAAAAATTATCTTGGACCGTTCTAGATTTTCTTTTCCAAACAAAACACAAAATTATGTATTGCAGATGTGAATTCTTTAGATTAAACATAGGATCATAGTTTAAGGTTTAAAGATAAGGTATAGCAGTCAAAATGTTTGCAGAGTATACTTTATCAAATATATATCATTTAATATCCCCAATGTGCCTACACTGTTGCCCACTATGCAAAATAATTCTTGTTGTTGTCTTGCTCTTGATAAAATCTAGTTATTTTTAAGTCTCTCTACCCAATATTAACCTGCAAGCAAGCTTAATGTTACTATAGGGATGGAGTCTGATATGCCTAAAAAAATTATATTTGGAAAATATCAATTATGTCTTTTCTCAAACAAATACATTCCTTAAATACAGGAACAGTATGTAAGGGGTACATAGTAGGTCAAGCAAACTTCATATAAACTTTATGTATACTCCAAATACATAATCAGTGTATAATTGAATCACTCAATAATGTAGACAATTGACTTGACCTTAAGACCTGGTTTACTGAGAGCCAGAATTGGGATTATTTCTATTAAACAATAATTCAACATCTCATTCAGGCTTCTTAGTTAGATTCACTGATGACTCAAGACAAATTTCTTTTAAAATGATAACTTGTCCACTATTCTATTGTTTGTATTACAACTATTTTCTACATTATTTACATTATTACATTATTTCTAATACATTTATTTTCTATAAAACATGATTCTGTTTGTCTCTATATTGGAAAAAATCCAGAATGCTATTGTATGATTCAAAATAAAGTCATAAAATTCTGCTCTGAATGTCCCTCTTACAATTCAGAATTTTATGATATTATGCACCTCTTAATTTCATTAGATTTAATATCATTTTGTTGGCTTACATATGTAACAAAAGCCTAGAGAGATACCTGATTCCTAGATGGGCTGGTTGCAGTATTAATGTTTGCCATGTAACAATCATGTTTAAATTAGCCGTTTACGCTGTGTAAGAGCAAGTCGTTTATTGGTGCCTCATCAAATGTGCATTATTTCTCCACTGCTTTTCATAAGATTTCAGCAGCTGAGGGTGTGATGGCTGTGGAGGTGGTCTGGGCCAGTGACCTGAGGACTGGAAAATCATTGACAATCTGATATGGAAGATGGCTACACACAACGTTATCGTTCTTCCTGGCTCGTAAGTGAAGATAAGAGGCTATGGCAGTGAGATTTCCATTTGTTGAAATGTATGCTATAAAAATTCAATGTTTTCTTGCTAGACCCTATCTGTCTATCTATATATACAACCTGCCCATTAGCCACCTCATACATTTTATCAACACTTCATACTTCATTTTCTTCCTTTGACCTCAGGAAGATTCCCAAATCATTCTAAAGCCCATTAGTATCTCTGAACACTCACAAGAAATCCATAAATGATTTCTTAATGGTCATTACTAAAGAAGATTAGGTAATTTTGGATTGGCTAGAAGTCATTTTGTGGAGACATAAAAAAATCTTTAATATGCAAATTCTCTTGTTCTCTTTTGTTAATACTATCATTTTCCCTTTAAGTGTGTAAAAATAATTCAAAATGTTTACCACTCAACAAATCAGTACAATCAATGTGCAAATTCCATTTTCTTTCTCCGTTATTACTTGGGTTTTTAGAGAGAACAAGGTTGCAAAACTACTATAGTTTACAACTAGAGTGAGGAATCTTTCAGATTGACCTCCCTCCTCCCACACTTCCAGATGGTCCCTTGAATAAAGCAAGCTATAGACAAAGGGCTCTGTCATATGGTATCCAGCTCCTGTGGGCATCTATGCCATCTGGGAAATGATCTATAGTGATGTGGGAGATAGTATGACATAGAAACATGGGATTTAGAACAATACAGAAGGAATCCAAATTCTTGCTTCACCATAGTTGAGCTGTGTGCTTTAAGTAAGTCACCTGTAAAGTAGGGATAATGCTAATCATGACCGCCTATGGTTGTTGTAAAGAAAAAAATGAGATAACAAATTAAAATTCCTAGCACAGTGCCTGTTATACAGTAAGCACTCAATAGAGTTTAACCATTACTCTTATTTCTGCTTCTGTACTCAAGAAAGTACATTGAGAAGACTTCTCATACTCAAAGGGGAGGAACCTTTTGCAATGTGGTCACTAAAGGAATACTTCAAGAGGGTTAAGAAAAAATATCCTAAATGAGAGACCAGAATTTTCACTGAGACCCATAGTGAGGGGAATGATGCTGATTATTGGGGCTTATTAAGAGTCAAATTGTCCATGCATGATGGCTCACACCTTTAATCCCAGCAGTTTGGGAAGCTGAGGCGGATGTTTGACTTGAGGTCAGGAGTTTGAGACCAGCCTGGGCAATATGGTGAAACCTCGTCTCTTCTAAAAATACAAAAACATTAGCTGGGTATGGTGGTGCATGCCTGTAATCCCAGCTACTCACGAGGCTGATGAGGCAGGAGGATCGCTTAAGACTGGGTGGTGAAGGTTGCAATTAACTGAAGTGGTGCCACTGCATTCCAGCCTGGGTAACAGACCAAAACACTGTCTCAAAAATAAAAAATAAAATAAAATAGTCAAAGCAACTTTACAAATAAAGACTCAGAATGGCTTGCAGTTTGACTCCCTGAGTTATGCTCAGGATCATCACTTACCTTGGTACATTAGTTGATAGTCTGGTCTATAATGGAAGTTGACCTAAGTTGCAATAATCTGGTTAGAGGCTATAGAGTTATCTCAAACTAATTTATCACCTTTTTGAATGTATAGAAAAAACATTTGTCTGTATTTGCACTCAACCTAGAACACTTCAGGAACCAAATGTTTAGGTTCTCGTCCTGCAAAAACTCAGTTCTCTGCAGACACCAACTAAGTGTCCTGTAATTGAATTCAATTTTGATACTATCTACCTGGGGTTAGTGCAGCTTCATCTATGTCCCTGCAAAGGACATGAACTCATCCTTTTTTATGGCTGCATAGTATTTTATGGTGTATACATGCCACATTTTCTTTATCCAGTCTATCATTGATGAGCATTTGGTTTGGTTCCAAGTCTTTGCTATTGTAAATAGTGCTGCAATAAACATACATGTACATGTGTCTTTATAGTAGAATGATTTATAATCCTTTGGGTATATACCCAGAAATGAGATGGCTGGGTCAAATGGTATTTCTGGTTCTAGATCCTTGAGAAATTGCCACACTGTCTGCCATAATGGTTGAACTAATTTATACTTCCACCAAAGGTATAAAAACATTTTTAGTTCTCCACATCCTCGCCAGCATCTGTTATTTCCTGACTTTTTAATGATTGCCATTCTATCTGGCATGAGATGGTATCTCACTGTGGTTTTGATTTGCATTTCTCTAATGACCAGTGATGGTGAGATTTTTTTTTCATATGTTTGTTGGCCACATAAATGTCTTCTTTTGAAAAGTGTCTGTTAATATCCTTTGCCCACTTTTTAATGGTGTTGTTTGTTTTTTTCTTGTAAGTTTGTTTAAGTTTCTTGTACACTCTGGATATTAGACCTTTGTCAGATGGATAGATTGCAAAAATTTTTTCCCATTCTGTAGATTGCCTGTCCATTCTGATGTGCTAACTAGAATAACCAGTTTAGAGGAGAACATAATTGACCTGATGGAGCTGAAAAACACAGCACGAGAACTTCATAAAGCATACACAAGTATCAATAGCCAAATCAATCAAGTGCAAGAAAGGATATCAGAGATTGAAGATCAACTTACCAAAATAAGGTGTCAAGACAAGATTAGAGAAAAAAGAATGAAAAGGAAAAAACAAAGACTTCAAGAAATATGGGACTATGTGAAAAGACCAAGCCTATGATTGATTGGTATACCTGAAAGTGACAGGGAGAATGGAACCAAGTTGGAAAACACACTTCAGGATATTATCCAGGAGAAGTTCCCCAACCTAGTAAGAAAGGCCAACATCCAAATTCAACAAATACAGAGAACACCACTAAGATACTCATAGACAAGAGCAACCCCAAGACACATAATTGTCAGATTCTCCAAGGTTGAAATGAGGGAAAAATTATTAAGGGCAGCCAGCGAGAAAGGTCAGGTTACCTACAAAGGGAAGCCCATCAGACTGAGAGTGGATATCTCTGCAGAAACCCTACCAGTCAGAAGAGAGTGGGGGCCAACATTCAACATTCTTAAATAAAATAATTTTCAACCCAGAATTTTATATCTGGTCAAACAAAGCTTTATAAGCAAAGGAGAAATAAAATCCTTTCCAGACAAGAAAATGCTGAGGGATTTTGTCACCACCAGGCCTGCCTTACAAGAGCTCCTGAAAGAAGCACTAAATATGGAAATGAAAAACTGGTACCAGCCACTGCAAAAACACACCAAAATATAAAAACCAATGACACTATGAAGAAACTGCTTCAACTAATGTGCAAAATAACCAGCGAGCATCTTGATTACAGGATCAAATTCAGACATAACAATATTAACCTTAAATGTAAATGGGCTAAATGCTCCAATCAAAATACACAGACTGGCAAATTGGATAAATAATCAAGACCCATCAATGTGCTGTATTCAGGATATCCATCTCACATGCAAAGACATGCATAGGCTCAAAATAAAGGAATGGGGGAATATTTACCAAACAAATGGAAAGCAAAAAAAAAGCAGGGGTTACAATCCTAGTCTCTGAGATAACAGACTTTAAACCAACAAAGATCAAAATGACAAAGAAGGGCATTACATAAAAGGATCAATGCAACTAGAAGATCTAACTATCCTAAATATATAGGCACCCAATACAAGAGCACCCAGATTCATAAAACAAGTTATTAGAGATCTACAAAGAGACTTAGACTCCCACACAATAATAGTGGGAGACTTTAACACCCCAATGTCAATATTAGACAGATCGACGAGACAGAAAATTCACAAGGATATTCAGGACTTGAACTCAGCTATGGACCAAGTGGACCTAATAGACATGTACAGAACTCTCCATCCCAAATCAACAGAATATACATTCTTCTCAGCACTACATAGCACTTATTCTAAAATCGACCATGTCATTGGAAGTAAAACACACCTCAGCAAATGCAAGGAAATCATAACAAAGAGTCTCTCAGACCACAGTGCAATCAAATTAGAACTCAGGATTAAGAAATTCACTCAAAACTGGAGGACTACATGGAAATAGTGGGTATTTACTAATAGTGAGTTATTTACTGGGTAAATAATGAAATTAAGGCAGAAATCAAAAAGTTCTTTGAAACTAATGAGAAAAAAGAGACAATGTACCAGAATCTCTAGGACACAGCTAAAGCAGTGTTAAGAGGGAAATTTATAGCACTAAATGCCCACATCAGTTCCATGTCACAGGAGTCATGAGTCTACCCCAGCAGTTCAGGACACAAGGCAGGAACCAGCCCTGGACAAGACCCTGTTTCATTGTGGGGCACACTCACTCAGTCACATACACCTACACTCACTCATACCGGGACCAAATAGACATGGAAATTCACTTCATGTGCACATCTTTAGAATGTGGGAAGAAATTAAAGTCCTGAAGAAAAGCCACTTGGACATGGGAAGAACACTACATGGAGAGTGGCATGGGCTGGGAATAGATTTTTTTTTCCATTGTTGTTATCATGAATAGTATTGAACAAGACTACCAGGTTATTCCAGGACGTGAGGTACTTTGCTATGGCAGCTCTAGCAATCTAACACAGATGCTTAATAAAAAGTGTCCTGAAGTGGTGTTGGTGAGGTCATGGGTGCTGCAGGTAGTGGAGTGTGAAGGAACACAGCCTCCAAGCCCGAAAGGGTATTGCCAGTTTGAATGTGATTTGATTCTGTTAGGTCACCTGGGAAAAACAGGATTGTAGAACTTTACCCTCCTTTAGCTTTCCGAGAATTTTTGAAGCATGGTTAGAATAACTCTCCCATTTGCTTTCCACTTGGTGTCAAAAGCACACTCAAAACACTCAGCATATTTAGGTAGAGACTTGTATTTGGTTTGAGACTAATGGGAAGAAGCTATGAAACTTACTTCTAATTTATCTTCTTTTCCTTGTAAATTGGTTTAAGTTGCTTAAAGATGCCGGATATTAGACCTTTGTCGGATGCATAGTTTGCAAACACTTCTGCCCGTTCTGTAGGTTGTCTGTTTACTCTGTGAATAGTTTCTTTTGCTGTACAGAGGCTCTTAGGTTCCCATTTGTCAACTTTTGCTTTTGTTGCGATTGCTTCTGGTGCCCCTTCTTTTCCTTATTCCTCTATTTTTGTAAATCAATCTCAGATGTTAGAAAACATCAAATAGAAATGTTTCTACTTTTGTTTTGACCAATACAAGCCACTGGGGGTGTAGATAGTTAGATTAAATTAATTAATAACATATCCATTCCAAGCTGTTTTTTATCAGAAATTTATTGAGCTCTTACTATAAGTCAGGCATTGTGCCCAATTGACATTAGAGCTTCAACCCAGGTAAGATTTTGTTCCTACCCTCATGGGAGGCTTACCATTTCAACTGGGAGGCAGGTGAGTGAACAGAAGGCCACAGTAGAGATTAATAGTTACAGAATAACTCAGTGATGCTATAAGAATGCACAGGAAGGACGTTATCCCAGCCTAGAGAATATTGGAGAGGCTGTGACAGGCTTCAAGCTGTAGATGATACAGGACATGTGAATGAATTTTTTCAGGAAGATTAAGTATAGGGGAAAGGAAAAAGGATGGACAGTAACTAGAGTGTATGATAGGACAGAAAAAATGCTATCTTTAAGAAAGAAGAGGTAACAACACTGTGGTGCATACTTAAAAATTTGCTAAGTGGATAGCTCTTGTTTTCTTATCACAGATAACAATAACAAAAATAATTAATAATTTGTACTCTATTTTCTTGAATTTTTCCATGTTTACCAATGACAATGCATATATTTATCATTAGAAAATGCAATGATGTTATAAATTTTAAAAGATGATGAGAAATTTATAGAAAATTAGTTTATTTAAATAAACCTCTAACTACCATTTCAAGGACCATGATTAAATAAAAATTACCTAAGAAAGAAAGAAATAAGTGAAAGTCACATGAAGTAGAAAATGAACAAATTTGGGAGTTAGGATTCATTCACTCATTCAATGAACATTTATTGCTCATTGTTAGATTAACATGTTAATATGTTAGATTAGTCATTTTGGACTTCATGGAAAAGGCCTAGGTTTGCCTCTTGGCTGTGTCATTTTCTTACTATGTGGTTTCTGAGTAAGTCAGTAACCTAATGTGGGAGTCTCTGAACCTTAATTTCCTTATTGACAAAATGAGAGTTGGACCAGGATCACTCTCAGTTCTAAAATGATTCTCTGATGAACATTAAGTAGAACATGTTCTTCTAGTTTGCATGAGTAAAATTTAAGATTGGTTCATTCTAGTTCAGAACACCGTGGGCTCAGAGTTTACAAAGTTAATGATTCCGTACTGGGAAGAAGAGTGTTCAAATAATGGTCCCATTAGGCAGCAATCCTCTTCTTTCAGAGTAATAAAAAAATCACACATTTATGACTTGCATGAAATAAAAACCTCAAGCCTTGGTTGTTTCTGTGAAAAATCTGTCATCTCTGTGCAAAGTGGTTTTTATCACTCAGAGGATTACTGTAATAATCGCTGACTTTTTCCCCCACCATTTTATACTTGTTCTTTCCCCAAGAAACAATAGGATTTTATAGGATTTTTACATTTCTTTATGAGCCATCATTACTCAATTGTGATAATACTAAGTTTTGAAGGGCAAGAACCATCACTGGCTCAGGAGAAATTTGTCAAGCAAATAAAAAATTTGTGCTGCTATCTCTTCCCTCTCTGATTAGGCTAAGCATCACTCCTTTCTTTTTCTACCTGAATCTCAGCTGTCTTTTCATTTAGGTTGGTTGGTAATGAATAACTGACACTTATAAGCTAGTAATTATGAACTTAAGATTTGATCTCATGTATTCCTTATGAGAATCCACAATGAATATAACATTATCCTTTTTCACAGGTAAGGAAATTGAGACTCTGAGATATTGGATAAGGTTCTCAACACCATATAAGCAGTGAGTGCTAGAGCTGGGATTGGAACCAGTTTTGTTTATCTTCCAGTCTTTGTTCTTATCCATCTTACTATGTTCTCTCTCTCTGGAAGATTTAGCTGGCTCCCCAGTGAGCATGCTTGTGGAATTGTCAGCATCAATACTGATTTCCAAATGCTCTCTAATGGATCTTAGCCATGTTCCTTGCCTTGTTTCAGTGGTGACCACCCTTGTGTAAAGATTTGGGGCAACTAAACCTCTTTTGCTTGCCATGTCATGAGGCATAAATTTTCTAATATATGCATTTTTAAGCAATCAAGCATTATTTGGATAGGGCAAATGTTTGGTATTTTATTTTATTTGGTTTCAACAGGAAAATTACTTTGCAGAAATCTTGAAGAAAAGTATCTTTCTCTAAAGGAAGTGAATACAAGCCAAAGAGAGAAAAGCAATTTACCACGTAGAAGATGACAAAAGTTACCGGCAAACTGAGGCTACTCACTGACATTTCCCATGGGCATCAAGAGAAGAGGAAGAGCATGGGCACAGAACACAAAGCAGTCACCTGGAGTGTTTTTATGGCCATATGACTTAACATTCTGGTGGGAGAATTGCAACTGAAACAGAATAACTGGAGAAGCCACAATAAAAAACTCTCCTCCCCACCTCCATCCCCAAAAAATGGCATTTATAGAATACCAGCTGATGAAATAAGCTTAAAAGCAAGAAGAGAAAAATCATGTTTTGGCACTTGTAGAGGGAGTTGCTGGGCATGCTTTAACATTATTTAGCTTATATGTTCAACCAAATGCTACTCCTATTTCCCCCTATAAATTACTCCTCCTCTCTCCCAACACTGTACATTAGCTCAAAATCCATGAATCATTTTGGAAAGACAGCTGTCCTGTGGGCCTGTTGTAACTTTCTGAGACATCCTGCAGAATAAGGCTACCCACACCAGTTGGAAAGATATTCCACTCTTTCCAAACCTTTTCCTTTGTTCATGGATGGGCTCTCCATTTCCCTCCTTTACTCTGGCAATGTGGCTGATTTTCAGGGGACTCTTCACTCTAAGAAAACCGAGACCACTGCTCCTCTTTAGGCATGTGGGGAAAGAGTTTCCTCAACTTAACATTTAGGCATGTGGGGAAAGTTTCCTCAACTTAACATTGCAGGTGGCCTAGATTCAGGCCCCAGAATCTGGGTAATGCAAATGAATCTGCACAGTAATGTATTCACAGCACCAAGGAGCCTCCAGATGAATTGCACTTCAGAGTGAAGAAGTCAGCATCACAGTCTGAGCAGTAGAGGTGATCTGAGAGTTTTCTGTCCTTCCCAAAGTGAGTCTTACACGCTGGCATGGAGGGCTATCAAGAATATTCTCTTCCTTCTTATTGTCACGTAACATTGTAGCTGGCCTTGTATATGCATTCATATTCACCTCCAGTCCCGATTCTATAGCTTTCCAGTCCCATGCTGCCACAATTTCAAATGTATCATGGTCAAATCAAGTTCTCTGCCTTCCCTACTCAAGTGGCCTCTCCCTAAATCTCTCCTGTATCTGTTAAAAAAGTAACCCTTGGCTCCTCCCTCAAATTTCTCTCCTCATCTTTTCAATGTCAACTCAATTTAAACAACAACAACAAAACTCCAAAACAATTGCTTCTTCCTCAACAGTATGGCTGGTCTTAGCGCATTTTTTTTTTCCTGTTACTGATGTTCTCCCAGGCTTTCCACCAGAGAGACTGAAATTATGTCCTATCTGAGACTGCTGCCTCTGGTCTTTTCTTCCTCCGATCCTTTCTGCATACCATAGAGTTATGTGCTTCTCAAGGCAATGTTTTCCTTGGGTTTCTCCTCTGTTCAGAAGCCTGAAGTAGGATCCAGCATCTCTTAAATCATCTCACAATGCTTTGCTAATTTTTTAGATGTTATAGAAAAGGTCTTCAAATTTAATTTCTTACTATTCTTTTAAACACACCTTTAGACCAGACAAGACAATTCTCATTCACCTCGCCAACACTGGGTTTATTTTTAATATCATATCTCTCCTCACTTAGAAGGTTTGCAAATAGACTTTCTGTTTAGCTGACATCTATTCATTAAAACCAAAAATCTCAGCTTACGTCCCTTTTCATGAAGATTTCTCTGACTATTCCAGCCTGCAACCTTGACTAATTTTTTTACTACTTTGGATTTCTGTTGGTCTCTCTCTTCTGATTGAATGTTGTCTTGCATTGTTCTTGAATACTTTAATGACACTTAATCTCATCTTTGCAATTAGACTGTAAGCCCACTGAGGATCAGAGACTACTCTAAGTTCTTCAAATGGACAGAGTGGCTAATTTTTGTGATGTCCTTTCCTTCATTCCTTGATAAAAGATAAAATTTACTACAATTTGTTTTTAAGCAGCCCTTTAAAATCTATGGAGTCCTTTCATATACATTATCTTTAAACCAGAAAGTCCGGTAGACATTTAATTACTTTATATTCTCAATCAGGAAAAGTAGCTCCTCCCCACTCTGTAGAGTTGCAAGGTCTCCTTGGGAAAGGCTTTAGTACCTATTTGAGTAAGTGAATATATGCTGAATAGAATGCTGCAGTAACAAAAAGTTGCAAGGAGATCTTCCATCTTATTCTTTAAGCCTCCCATCAGTATAAGGAATTAGTGGGAGTGGGCTAGCCTGTATGAGGAGCCCAGAGAGTTGGCAGAGAAGGAAGCAATTCTGTTCCCTTAGTTTGTTCTCCCTCAGATTCACAACTGGGGAGCTCTGTTAGTATTAGGGTGGTCCCGACCAACCATCAATGACAAGTTTTTAAGTAAAGCTAACATTAAGATCAGAGAAAGATGGCACTTAGCAGAAGGAAAAGAGTGAGCATTATACTCTGTATTTGAAGCAGCTGCCATATCTATGTTCTCCATTTGGAATCAGCTTTAATTCAACTCTCCTTGGGAATGACTTTCCCTGAGGAACAAAAGACCCCAAAGATCTAAAAACTAAGGCTGTAGCATTTTGGAAGATCAGGCCTACCTGAGGTTCAGTATGTTAGTCTGTGAAGAACCCAACAGCCAGCATAAAAGGGGTCTGATTCCCCATCAAGTTTCTGGACACAACCATTGGAGATCACTTTGCCTAGGATCGACATTGCCTGAGTGTACTCAGGAATCACGCCTTATATAGCACATTCTGCTCTCCATCCTGAGGAAGTGGCCGAGTAAAAGAAGTGAAAGTGCTTTGATTCTGGGCATCCAGATCTCTTTACTGGCCATAACACCAGGGAATGGGTTCACCCCTCCTCAAAGAATGAAAATGAAAGGAAAGGAAAGTTTGTCTCAGCTACTATGTGTTGACCATGATCGGTCAAGTCAAACCCAGCTTCCAGTAGCTCTCTACCCTAGTAAGCACTCCTTTCTCTCTTGGATACTATTAAGCAAGAGGTTCCTTGGAATTAAAATATAGATAGGATTAGGGCTTTGATAAAATGCAGATCAAACTTCTCATTACTCCTGCTATTCTTGACAAGCGAAAGTTCAAGCATTATATTCTCTAATTTGAGGGTTAGTCTATATTCCAGATGCATGCAGAATGCAAAGATTGTTCCATATTATTTTAATCTTCACAATAAGCTTATAAATCAGAAAGGCCAAATAGCACTTTTCCCATTTGAAATGTCAGCTCTTTGTAGCTGACAGTTAAGAAATACATATTTATTATATAATTTTTTAAAATATGCAATCTCCTTTTTGACCAGGTGTGGTAGGCAGAATAATGGTACTCAAAAATGCCCACTTCCTAATCTCTGGAACCTATAAGTATGTTATTTTACATTGAAAAAGGACTTTGCTGAAGTGATGAAGTATCTTGAGATGGGGAGATTATCCCGGATTATCTGAGTGGGCCCAGTATAATCATAAGGATCTTTATAAGGCAGGCAGAAAGGTCAGAATCAAAGGAAATGTGATCTCAGAAGCAGAGAGAGACAGAGACAATTAAAGAGATTTGAAGATACCATGTTGCTGGCTTTGAAAAGAAAAGGGCCACAAGCCAAGGAATACAGATGGTATGGAACAGCTGAGAGTCAAGGAAATAAATTCTCTTCTAGAGCCTACAGAAGGAAAGAGGAGGGCAGGACTACTGACACCTTTACTTTAGTACTTCTGACCTCTAGAAATGTAAAAGAATGAATTTGTGTTGTCTTAAGCCACTAAATTTGTGGTAATTTGCCATAGCAGCAGTAAGGATCCAATATTTCAGGGTAAGAAACAATTAATGACAAGTCTTTAGCCAAAACACTGAAAATGTGATCTATTTTACCGCTTGTATATTTCTGGGTGGAAAGCAAAGTTGGTAAAATAATTGGTGGGAAGAAAATTTTTTGGTGTTCTCCTAACAGATAGGCTGATTGTGTGTTTCTAGTTTCCTGGTATTACCAACCTCTCTTTGCAGACACATTCAGCTAATGCAGCCAAATGCTGACTGCACTTCTACGTGCATGTCTTCACATTTCATACTTGGGTGTGAAAGTAGAACTGTGGGAAGGGCCAGTGCAGATTCTGAAGGGTCAGTGAAAATGTTTGTTTGCCTAAAGCTTTTCCAAGCTAAATTCAAAGTCCAGTAATATCATGTCATTTCACAATTATTAATTAAAAATGAGAATTTGCTTTTGTAACCCTGCGAAGAACTCTGCTTAGAAATTTGTACATACTTTTCCACCTCTAGGGGTTCAATTTCAAAGTTTTTAAGGTTGTCTATTCAACTTTATTGAAGAGAAATAAGCTTCATGCTTAAAAAATGTTCTTTTGTTATTTCATTTTTTACTAACACTCTATTTTGTTGTTAAGATTCTAGGAAAATATTCTCATAATCTTCATGTTGTTTTTCTTATTACTTGTTTTGCAGTTTTTCAATAGATTCAAACTAAGTCAATCCAGATCTAAGTAACAAATTTTCAGTAACTTGGTGAAATTTCCAAAGTCTCTAGCATTAAAAAAAAAAAAAAAAGTTTATCGGGAATAAGTAGTCTTGAATTCAGACACAACTATAATTCCATAACATATTCAGCTACACTAGGTAGGAAGCTTGAAATATTATGTGTAGCCTCTTACTCCTGATAATTACTAACAATTATTGAGCACTTACTGTGTGCTAGGCACTGTATTATGTATTTTACACTTATTGGCATGTGTAATTTTCACACAGGTCTGTGATGCGGTGTGGTGGGCTGATCGCATTAATAGTCCCATTTTTTCACACACTCTTGCATCCACACCCTTTAGTAATTTCTTTTAACATTGACTGAGGCGTGACCATGTGACTTGCATGGCAAATGGAACAATAGCAAACTGATGCAAGTGGAGACTTGAAAAAGTGCTTGCACATTTCCCTTCTGTTGCTGGGATCTCTGCCACCACCAGTGAACAGGCCATCAGTCTCCTGGAGAGATATGAGACATATGTGGAAAGGAGCCAAGATATCCCAAGCAAGGTCATCCTAAACTATCAAGCCCCAGCTTCTCTTCTGGGTAATCGCAGAAGCCTGAGTGAGCCCTTACTGAGATCAGCCAAGCCCAGCCCATCTCAGATTGCAAGGAATAATAAATGGTTTTGGGTTTAAACTCTAAATTATAAGGTAGTTGGTTACTTAGCAATAGTTACCTGGTACATGTAGCTAATACTATTATTTTCAGTTTATATATGAGTAAACTGAATTTTAGAAGGATTAAGTATCTTGCTCAAGGTTTTGCTTCCAGACTGTTTGACTCTAAGGCTCATGAGCTTAACCACATGCAATCAAACTACAATTTGGTGAACTGTGAAATGAGTTGTTCAACCTAGAAATTGATAGACTAGTTCTTTATACACACACACACATTACATATATGCATGTATATGTCTGTGTGTTCATATACATGTGTACACATGGTGTTCCCTTCTGAAAGGGCAGACATGAGTATAATGAAATAAATAAATGTGGCATCACAGGACATTAGGTGATTATCATTGATTAGTTAATTTTACATGGGTGACACTCCACCTTTTGGGTGGGATAATTTTCCTATCATATAGGGCTCTTCTTATGCTATAGGATGTTTATAAATCTGACCCCATATAATGTTACTAATGCCCCTCCAGTCATAATGACAATTAAAAATGCACCCACAGTACTTTTGATGACTCATTTTGGTCCCTACGTATTACAGGAAATTTCCGAAGTTTCCTCGATCGGGAATAGGGAAGGGAGAGAGATATTGTCTTCAGCAGAGAACCACTCTTAGAATTTTTAATGTATTGGATTTAATACCAAATGCATGTGGGGTTTTTGTGGGTATGTATGCACTAATTTAAAATAATTTTAATTTAACTTTTAAGGCTTAATAAATTATTATCAGGCAAACATCTTTGATATCACCACGCAGGGAAAGAAGTAGTACTTTGTCAGTTAGCCTAGATACTTCTTCTATGTCCCCTGTCTCATTCGTAACCCCCTCCATACTCTCAAAAGTAACTACTATTCTTTTACTCTTTTATAGTAATCACTTTTTTTTTTTTTTTTTTTTTTTTTGGTGAGACGGAGTCCGGAGTCTTGCTCTATCGCCCAGGCTGGAGTGCAGTAGTGTGATCTCGGCTCTCTCTAAACTCCAACTCCAGGGTTCAAGCGATTCTCCTGCCTCAGCCTCCTGAGTAGCTGGGATTACAGGCAAATTTTTGTGTTTTTAGTAGAGACAGGGTTTCACCATGTTGGCCAGGCTGGTCTTGAACTCCTGACCTCAAGTGACCTGCCTGCCTCGGCCTCCCAAAGTGCTGGGATTACAGGCATGAGCAACTGTGCCTGGCCTATAGTAATCACTTCTTAAATTTTTATTTTAGCTTCATCATTTAAATGTATGTCTCTACTCAGTATATTTATTTTGATTATATGTTTAAAATATTCTATATCAGCCTTTTTTCAATCTAAAGTTATTCTCTTCATCCATTTCTTTTTCTCAAAATTGATCTGTGGAAGAACCTTGGATATTTACTTATTTCAGGCTCAGGGCATTAAATATATGAGATTAGCAAATTTTTTTTTGGAAAAAAAATCACAGTAATATCTTTTATATAGTCAACCTATGCACAGTTAAGTCAGTCTCTCACAACTGTGCATTGGTTCAGAAAAATATTGTCATTTTGGCCTAGTTGGTATCTTGGGATAATGACCCCTGACTTTCATCAGTTAGCATCAGGGCCAAGAAACACTTATGTAAACAGTGAGATTAATAATTATTTCCAAAACAACAGGCTTTGATTGGCTTCCAGGGATGCTATTAACAACTCTTAGCCCATACCTATTCAAGAATGATGTCATCACTTTAGCCATTTATAAATCACTTTTTAGATGATATAAAGTGATACTGAAAATAACTTTTGCTTTCAACTTTTTCTCCCTGCCCAATTGTTACTTCATGACTTTTTCCTTCCAAATTAGAAAACAATCAAAGCCTGGTTATTTGTGGGATCATGATGCTATAGTTTGGGCTGCTTTGTTATTTTCTTAATTCTCTACTTTAAGAATGATTTTAGAAGATCAGCTTACAGTATAATAGAGAAGGTAAGTAGCTATTTGTCCTTTTGAAGTTGGCAGGTAGATTGATTGCCTGGAAATCTGAGTGCTATTCAAAACCAACATATTGTGTTTTCTGGTTGTAATAACAATATATACTCATTACAGACATCTTTTAGGAAAAATACAAAGAAAAATAACAAAAAATACAAAATACATGCCTTACTGATACAGTTCATTCTCATTTTTCCTGTAAGCGTATATGTTTAATGATGACTTTCAGGGACAGCATGCCACTGCCACGGCCCAAATCCTGTCCTGTTAGCACTGTGACAGTGCTGCTTCTCATTTTGCACTGTGTGCATTCCTCTCTCCTGCTGTGCAGTCCATGTGCTACTATACTCTTGAGGTCACACTGTAAGGGCTCCCACCATGTTAACTCACCCACAATACAGCTTTGCCCATAATTCTGCATGGGACTGTCTTCTGTTGTACTCTTCAACAGAAGTATATCTCACCCCAAGACCTTTGGACTACAGTGAGCAGACTTGTGGGACAGGTAGGTTCTCAGGCCGCCTTGGTCTGGATAGTTAATTTGAAAGCCAAGTAACAACTAAATCTATTAATCTATAGCCCAATCCAATAATCTTTCTTGCTAGCTGTCATGGAAGCCTTCTCCTTCATCTTAAGTTGGAAAAGAGCTCATCATTAAGGGGCTTCATAAACTTTATTCCATCTTTATTTTTCATGTGATCTCTTAGCTTCCTAGGTCTTTTGAGGGGAGCACTGAACTGCTCTCAGGGAATAATATCAGTGTAATATATTAATAATTAATATTTTGTATTTGACACGCCTGGCACAGTGAAGGATCAGTAAGTGTTAGTAAATGTAATGATTAGTAATCATCATTAGCTGAAGGATCCATGTATCGTTCAAATGAACATGATCTGTAAATAGTTAGAAATACAAAAACAGATTTAGGAAAATATATGTGTTCAGGCCAGGCGCCGTGGCTCATGCCTGTAATTCTAGCACTTTGGGAGGCTGACGCGGGTGGATTGCCTTAGATCAGGAGTTTGAGACCAGCCTGGGCAACACGGTGAAACCCTGTTTCTATGAAAATACAAAAAATTAACTGGACGTGGTGGTGCATGCCTGTAATCCCAGCTACTCAGGAGGCTGAGACAGGAGAATTGCTTGAAGTTGGGAGGCGGAGGTTGCAGTCAGCCGAGACTGTGTCACTGCACTCCACCACAGAGCGAGACTCCATCTCAAAAAAAAAAAAAAAAAGAGAGAAAATATATGTGTTCAATTATTTGTGTGATACATCTGTTAATTGCTTGAATGGTCCTAGAAAACAATCGACAAAGCTGGTAAACTGCAATTGTCTGCACACTTTCGACTTTATTCAGAAGACACATATGGCTTTATCAGTTCATTCTCCAATAATGCATAGTGTTCAACAAATTTGTGTAATAGGTTTAGAATTAATTAACTACTGAGATGAATACTCGTTTGAGAGCCACAAATACACTTTACTATCAATCTAGCTCCCAAAACTACTAGCAGAAGACCTAAAAATAGGTAGCTATTCAATAAATATTTAGTGAATGAATGAACTCATGAATTTAGTTAAACAGTCACACTCAGGAATATTGCAAGGCACATCTGTTTTCAGCTCTTCTAAGAAAAGTAGGCTCAAAGGCCTATTATATCATGAAAAGTTATTAAATTCATTGTAGGAATTGTTACAAGTTCACGACTGCGCTCTGAATGATAATCTGGTAAAATTAGAATGATAATCCCATAGAAAAATAAAACATCTCTTAACTCATTCATTTATTGGTGTACTCAACAAACATTTATGAGCACTCACTATATACCCCTTACCCCTACCGTCAATATTAAGCAATGGGAATATAACAATGTAAAAGACTGGCATGGCTCCTGCTGTTATGAAATTTGCAGTCTAATGGAGGAGACAAATAAATAGCTAATTTCAAGAGTATACAGTCCACGCTAGAGAAATACATAGCCTAACCCAGTGGTCTTCAAACTTAGTGTGCATCAAAATCATTTGGAAAGCTTTTTAAAAACACAGATTGCTGTACCCAACTGAAGAACTTCTGATTCAGTGCATCTGGGATGTATGCCAAGAAGTTGTATTTGAAGTTCTCAGGTGATGCTGATGCTGCTGGTCCAAGGATAACACTTTGAGAACCATTGACTTAGACTAAAGGAGTGTTAGGCTGAGCTAAACTCTGCAATCTCATTATTTCACTTATAACTTGAGGCCAGGGTAATTCGTTGAAATACTAATTTGTATAGATATATTTATTCCTTCCTGATTTTCAAGGACAGAGCTGATCTTTAGCAATTTTTTGCCACACATATTTTTGGAAAGTGTAAGGCAGAAGCTTTTTGAACTAAGGGGCCTTTTGTAAACATCTACACTCCATTTCAAAGAGTTTATGAGGCCAGGTGCAGTGACTCATGCCTGTAATTCCAGCACTTTGGGAGGCTCAGGTGGGAGAATCACTTGAGGCCAGGATTTGGAGACCAGCAACATGGCAAGAACGCATCTCTAAAAGAAAAAGAAAACGAAAGCAAGAATGCATATCCCATTCACAATAGACAAAAGAAAAAAAAAACAACCTAGGAATACCTTTAACCAAGGAGTCAAAAGATCTCTACAAGGAGAACTATAAAACACTGCTGAAAGAAATCAGAGATGACATAAACAACTGGAAAAATATTCCATGCTCATGGATTAGAAAAATCAATGTTGTTAAAATGGCCATATTGCCCAAAGCAATCTACAGATTCAATGCTATTCCTATCAAACTACCAATGACATTTTTCACAGAATAAGAAAAAACTATTCTAAAGTTCAGATAGAACCAAAAAAAGAGCCTAAGTAGACAAAGCAATCTCAAGCAAAAAGAACAAAGCTGAAGGCATCACATTTTCTGACTTCGAACTGTAACATAAGACTACAGTAACCGAAACAGTACCGTATTGGTATAAAAACAGACACATAAACCAATGGAACAGAATAGAGAAGCCAGAAATAAAACCGCAAACCTACAGCCTTGTCGATCCTTGACAAGGTCGACAAAAACAAGCAATGGGAAAATGATTCCCTGTTCAATAAATGCTGTTAGGATAACTGGTCAGCCACATGCAGAGGAATGAAATAAGACCTCTACTTTTTACCAGATGCAAAAATTAACTCAAGATGGATTAAATATTTAAATATTTAAATGTAAGACTTCAAACTATAAATTCTTAGAAGAAAACTCCATTCTGGACATTGGTCTTGGCACAGAACTGATGGCTAAGACCTCAAAAGCAATTGCACCGAAACCAAAAATTGACACATGGGACCTAATTAAACAAAAGCGCTTCTGCACTGCAAAAGAAACTGTCAACAGACAAAGCAGACACCCTGCAGAATGAGAGAAAACATTTGCAAACTATGCATCTGACAAAGGTCTAATATCTAGACTTTATAAAGAACTTAAACAAATCAACAAACAAAAACAAACAACCCTGTTAAAACGTGCGCAGAGAACATGAACAGACACTTTTCAAAAGAAGACATACAGTGGCCAACAAACATATGAAAAAAATGCTGTAAATCACTAATCATTAGAGAAATGTAAGTCAAAACCACCATGAGGTAAAACCTCACACCAGTCAGAATGGCTACTATTAAATAGTCAAAAAATAATAGATGCTGGTGAGGCTGCAGAAAAAAGGGCATGCTTACATATTATTAGTGAGAGTGTAAATTAGTTCAGCCATTGTGGAAAGCAGTTTTGATATTTCTCAAAGAATTTAAAACAGGACTACCATTCGACCCAACAATCTGATTATTGGGTATATATCCAAAGGAAAATAAATCATTCTACCAAAGAGACACATGCACTCACTTATTCATCAGAGTACTATTTTCACAATAGCAAAGACTTGGAATCAACCTAGGTGCCCATCAATGGTAGATTGGATAAAAAAATGTGGTGCATATACACCATGGAATACTACACGCCACAAAAATGAATGAAATCATGACCTTTGCAGCAACATAGATTCAGCTGGAGGTCATTATCCTAATCAAATTAGTATAGGAACAGAAAACCAAATACTAAATGTTCTCACTTATAAGTGGGAGCTAAGCATTGGGTACACGTGGACACAAAGATGAGTAAAATTGACACTGGAAACTCCACAATATGGGAAGGAAGGAGTGGGGCAAGTGCTGAAAAACTTTTGGATACTATGCTCAGTGCCTGGGTGATGGGATCAGTCACACCCTAAACCTCAGCATCATGCAATATACTAGTTGCATGTATTGGTATTGAGATCTAGCAGAAAGAAGAAATTTTGGTTGTGCTAGAGAAATCTGGGGTCAGTGATCAGAAATCTGTGATCAGAGGAGAAGCTTGACCCATTTCATGATCATGTACTAGAGACATGACAAGATCATGTCCAAGAAACATGGCAAAAATGGGGCATCAAAGGAAAATGGTTCTGGGTCTGAGGGCTCCCAGCCTTGCCTGTCATTCCCTTACCCAAAACATGGAGCACAGACACAACAGAGGAATCAGACTTACAGGAGCCACACAAGTTGTGGAAATGGACATTCAGACATTCTAAGAGATAACCAAGGGATTAATTTATCCCCATCCCCAGGAATCTGGTATGATGTAAGACTGAGCCCCTGACAATGCTGGAGGAGGAGAACAACACAGCAGAAAGGGTTTCTTGCTAGGTGAACACAGGGAAGCTATGGCAATGATTTAAATAGGTTGAATTGTAATGAATAAGTATTATTTCCTACATGTCTAAGTTTGTGGGCTCAGATTTATGCTTGCCTCTATTAGTTAATGAGACAATTATAAAATTATTTTAAGAGAAATTATAAAACCAGTAAACCACTTGATATATATTGTTCACGAAGTTTTTTTTTTTTTTTGGAAAGAGTCTAATAAAGAACTTCATACTTAACATGGGCTCAAGAAATATTTGTTAAATTGAAATGACTGTATTAGGATGTTTCAAAATTCTCCATGTGTATCCATGCTAAATATACACTTTAGGACAAGTGACATGGTATATTTTAAGAAAGTCAGTGTAGTGCTTGGGTTGAGGGAATAGGTTTAGGAATCACCTGCTTAGATTCAAGTATGTTATACAATAATTATATAACCTTAGACAATTAGCTAAATGTTTTGTGCCAAGTTTGCATTTGAAAAATGAGTATAATAATAATAATGCCCACCTCTCAGTGTTGTCACCAAGATTAAATGAATTGTGTCTTTGAGTTTTAAATGCAAGATTTCAAAATTAGTGACAATGTATAGGCTGTAGCCAATTTGCATGGGTGAGTTCATGAATAAGTTCCAAATAGACAAGAATATGCCTTTTATTGTATATTCTGCTTACAGACTTGGAATTCAGAATCTTTCTCAAAAAGCCTAGAATTTGTTGTTATTGTTGTTAAACTGTGATCTGTTTTACAGTTTAATGAACTGAGATTCTGCAAAATATTCAGGCATTAACAGTGACAGTTTTAACATTGGCATAGAAACACTCTCAAGATATTTAAACATTAGCTAACTTGATTGTCTTTGGACTTCAATGCTGTCTTTATATATTTTTGTCCTTCATAACTCAGGTTATAAAAATATCATTACCTGAGCTAAAAAATGGCCAGGGCAACCACCCATATTCCAAGTATGTTCTATAGAACATTACATATTACATTGGAGAATAACACAGGGGTGGGTTCCTCCTTGGTTATTTCATTATATTAAACATCTGTACATTTCATTTTAGCTTGTATTATAGCTGGCTTTCTTGGTTACAGGCACACCAAGTATCCATTCCCCAAACAAGCTCTGTTTCTTGTAACTCACCATCTCCTTTTTAATTCCTTAATTCCACTGGCAATTTGGAGTGGTCTGCTTACTCATGTTGTGTCTGCAGTTCTGGAGTCTTAGCCCTTGAGTCATGTAATTTTGGAAATCTTTGCCTTCTGCCTTATGTATTAACAGCAATCAGGCAGCCTCTTAAGACCTTCCTGGAAACATCCCAAAATACCTCAGCTTTTATTTTGGTTTTAGTTTGAAGAAATATCAGTCAAGTTATCCCTGAGCTCCTAATTTTGACTGGCCACCCAGATGAAGACAGCCTTAGAGATGTCTAGTTTGGCAAATCAGCATCCTTGGCAGCAATTTGTGGATTTTGTAAATGTCACACAACCAATTTGTATTATCGAGGTACCAAAATCACAATTTAGCTTTTTATTCCAAGGAAAACTTTTTCTATGACTAATGTTTAGTACTAGAAATTCCTTCCTTTCTTGTTTAGCTGATCAATGAAAGGCTAGGTTTTAAAGTAGGAAAAAAAAAGTATGGGATTAAAGATTCACTAAGTAAAGAAATCTATTTTTAAAAAAACATTAGTAGCAATTGAGGGATAAACGAGTAAATGAAACTCTATAATCAGAGTTTATAGAATATTTCTTAATACATGTATTCAATACAACCTTTTTAACCTACTATATACAGGATACATTGCTAAGTCACAGAGAAAGTGTGAAAAACTAAGAGCCATTTTTTTGCCCAAAAGAAGCTTATGGTCTAGGATGAAAGGCAAGAAGATAAACAGGTGATTTCAATATAGAGCGCTAAGTGCTATATTAGGGGTAAGTACTTAGTATAATGAGAACACTAAAATAAAGCACCAGGAACACTATGGGGTTTGGGGTTAGAAGAATTTTCCTGGAGGTATACATATCTAAGCTATAATAAGAAAGGGGTAAACAATTTGGCCAGGAAAAGATAATGCATTTTGAGCATTCTAGGCAAGGGAAATAGCCATGCAAAGACCTCAGTTATTCCAATCAAAGAGGGAAGGCCTTAGACGTTCTCACTCACATATTATGTTAATTTTGGTAAATTGAAAAATAGCCACAGGTTCTTCCCGTTTTTTTGCATCCAGGTTCTTACAATGTGATGTCACAAATCCTCCCATAAAGAGGTGGGGTATATTTTTCTACCTGTTGAGTCTGGGGTGGCCATGTGACTTGTTTTGGTCAAAAGGACATAAGCAAATGTGGAAACTGCTTGTGCATTGGAGCCTGGCCTCTTTCTGAGCTAAAGGCCTGAGACCACTATGTTTTTATGAGCATGAGCAAGCCTGCAGGGGAAAAGAGAGATCACATGGAGGAAAATTGAGGCATCTGGGCTGACAATCTGCCAACTGCCAGGTAGGTAAGAGAAGCTGTCTGTGCGAGGCAAAATTAGCTTCACTACCCCGCAAAGATGTCCATATCCTAATCCTCAGGACCTGTGAATATGTTATTTTACATGGCAAAAGGGACTTTGAAGATATGACTAAGCATTTTAAGATGGGAGGATTATCCTGGATCATCTTGGTGCGTTTATTATAATCACAAGGGAGACAGGAGACTCAGAGTCAGAGAAGATGGGGTAATGGAAGCCAGGGTAGCTGTCATAGAGAGATTTGAAAATAGTATATGGCTGGCTTTCAAGATGGAGGGAGGAGTCATGAGATAAAGAATGTAAGTGGCCTCTAGAATCTAGAGAAGGCAAGGAAGTAGATTCCCCTCTAAAGCCACGAGAAGGAATACAGTCCTGTGGATATCTTAATTTTAGTCCAGTTAGACTTCTGATCTTTATTTAGAACCCTCAGGAAATACAAACTATAACAAGCAGTTTTGGTCTTAAGTTACTACGTTTCGGGGTGATTTCTTACACAGGAACCGCTAAACAATACACTGATCTACAAGTTCAAAATAAAAAATAAAGCAAAAGAGTATTTATATTAAGCTACTTAAAAATAGTCATTTTCTAACTCTCCTATGGACTTTTACGTGGGTTCTTTACATCTTCTGAGATTCCAAATGAGGATTTCATCCATTCTTTCATCCAGTACAACCTGGTTGTCTGTTGTCTGAATAGTAATGAACTAGACCCTGCAGCAGAAATTGGGAACTTGTTTCTGCTTTCAAAGAGCAATTATGTTCCTAGAAGTCTCATCTTGAGCATGTTGCTTAAGTCTCTAAATTTCAGTATCTGCATCTTCAAAAATGGGATAATAATAGTACTTAGCTTAGAGAATTGCTTTGAGACTCAGATGCAAAAATGCTTATAAAGCACTCAGCTTTACATGACATTCAATAAGTATTCAATAAATGCCAGCAGAATTGAAAAGAGATGAGGGAAAACTAGATGGCAAATAAAAAGTAGGAAAGACAGTAATATGAGAAGTAACAATAACTCTTATTTATTGTTTGTGATGCTCTGGAAAACTTATGTTTATGTTTAGTAATAGTGACAAAAACTCTGCAAGGTAGATTTTGTTATTTTTACTTTACAAATGCCAAAATTGAGATTTCAAAGGTTAAGTATCTTATTAGGTCGGTGCAAAAGTAATTGCAGTTTTGCCATTACTTTCAAAGGCAAAAACCGCAATTACTTTTCACCAACCTGATATCTGACACCAGACAAGCAGCCAGTAGCACCAGGTATCTAACCCTGCACTGTCTAATCCTAACGTCCTTTATCTCCCTGAAAACCCTAAGTTTGTGGTAGTTTTAGTTGGTAGTTACACAGTCTTACTTCTGCACTGTTCAGTAGCCAGGTGGCTGTGGCTTAGGGTTTTCAAGTCCAGTGGAGCCTTCAATGTTGCTTGGCAATTTTTTTCACTAAATGCGGGTTAACAGCCTCAACCTTTTCTCTTTGAGTAGATTATTTTGCCTCGGCTTTCATAGACAAAATAGAGGCCATCAGATATTAACAGTTTCCCTTCCCTACATTATAAAACTTCCCACAGTAGTATCCATCCTTCTTTTCTGTATAAGGGAAAATGAGTCAATATTTATCAGCTGCATGCTTTTTATATCTCCAGCCTAACCTGAACTCTTGAACCACACTCATACTTCTTATTACCTATGAAACATCTCTACTGGGTATCCAATAAGCTTTTCAAACTTCACTGATCTTCCTTACCAAAATCTGTTGTCCCATCATCTTCCCCATGCCAGGTAATGGCAACTCACATCCCTCCAGCTCTTTAGGCTACACACTTTGGAGTTATCCATGCCAGCCAAGTCATTATCATTTCTTGTTTGGATTATTTCAATAACCTCCTAATTTATCCTCTTTCTCCCTCCAACATTGTGCACCTGCAATCTATTCTCAACACAGTATCTGGAGTTATTCTGCTAAAAATGTAAATCAGATTACATTTTCTGTCCCAAACTATCTATTGTGTTCTCATTTCATGCCAAGCAAAAGCCAAAGTATTTGCAATGGCCTATAAAACTCCATACCATTGGGTTCCCCATTGCCTCTTTGACCTCACAGCCCACTATTCTCCTCAGTTGTCCATCTCCTTGTTGTCCCTTGACTATGTTGGCCTTGTTTGGCCTTGGGCCTTTGAATTTGTTCTTCCCTTTGCCTGGAACAGTCTTCTCCATGAAATTTGCCTGGCTTTTCTTTTACTTACTTTGGATTGTTGCTTGAATGTTTTATTCTCATTGAGGCATTCTTTTTATTTATTTATTTATTTATTTTTTAGATGAAGGCTTGCTCTTGTCCCCCAGGCTGGAGTGCAATGGCATGATCTCAGCTCACTGCAACCTCTGACTCCCAGGTTCAAGAGATTCTCCTGCCTCAGCCTCCTGAGTAGCTGGGATTATAGGCACCTGCCACCACACCCAGCTAATTTTTGTATTTTTAGTAGAGACAGGTTTTCACCATATTAGCCAGGCTGGTCTCAAACTCCTGACCTCAGGTGATCTGCCCACCTCGGCCTCGCAAAGTGTTGGGATTACAGGCGTGAGCCACCACACCTCGCTCACTGAGGCATTCTAATCACTTTATTTAAAATTGCTTGATACTCTACACCGTTCTGTATCTCCCTTTTATGTCTTAATCTTCTCCATAGCGCTTACTACCATCTAACATTCTGTATATTCATTTTGTTTGACTCCACCAACTAAAATGCAAGATCCATAAAAATGGGATTAAAAAAAAGTACCACTATACTTTGCAGTGGTTATGACATTGCTGGAATATAGTAGAACTTCAGTAAAGAATTTTGAAATGAATGAATCTTTTTTTCCTTGCTAAAGAACTTTGTTTACATGCTGAATCCAACTTTACTGCCCTCTTTAGGAACTGATTCATCAGTTATTCTCAGAATTTCCTGTGTTTTTCCTCTCTTTCATCTGAATATAGTCTTTAGGCTATAACTGTAATTAACAATCACTAATCTCTTTAAAAATATCTTCTCTGTGGTTTCCAGTTTAGGCTATTTTTCTATGAAAATTACAGTAAAGAAACACAAGATGGAATGAATGCCTAGGAAAGATAGGAGGCTGGAAGACAAAATGAGATTTTAAAAAATATCTGGAAATTAGAAAGAGGATGAGAGCAAGATGAAGGATGAGGCAGAGGAGTAGAGGCAGCTATAGCTCAGAATATATGGAAGGGAGCTTTGAGGTGTGTGTGTGTATGTGTGTGGTTGGGGCACTGTCAGCTTATCTTCCTGGTGGTGCCTAGAGAATATGTGGACCCCCAGTTGACAAGGAGAAACAGCAGTAATGAGAAGTAAAGCTAAAAGGAGAAGAGTTATTTTTTTTTGATATATGTGTATGCATTGCATCAGTCTGTTCACCCATTTCCTCTCCCCATTGTTATACACAGAACTGTTCACTGGTGAGCTGGAGAGTACGTTGAGATTACAATGACTTCCTTATACACCCAGTGTTACGACCATGTGTCGCTAAAAAAAAAAAAAATCCTAGTGCAAAAGTCAATATATTTGCTGACACTCTACTAACTACTTAAAATCATGCCACATTTCAGTCTTCTTCATATTTAGGTCTTGACTTCTATGAACAGTTGTTTTTGTTAGATTTTTATAATTGGATTTTTGCTAGAAAGAAAAAACATTTTTTACTCGCATTAACTCTTTCAATTTCACAACAAATCTAAGAAAAATGCAACAACAGGAAAATTAAAACAAATGGAAACATTAAAAGTATCCATCAATATATACAAATATTGGTTAAGTAAATTATAGTGTAATCTTACTATATATCATGCAACCTTTAAAAGAAAGGGAAGTAGATGTGTGTGTCCTGACACGGAAAAATACTGAAGATACATTTTCAATTGAAAAAAGCAAAGTGCATGATGGGATAAGTGGACTAGGCACATGGACTGGGAATTAGAAGGGAGTGCTTAGAACACAGTCACCTGGAATATCTGAAATATCTGAATACCTAAAATATCTGAGAGCTTTCAGTTTCTGCAGATTGATGCAGAATGCAAATGCCAGGAGGGAGAGACCCTGACCACCAGAGTGCAGGATGGTGCTCATTCTCAAACAATTTGGTTTTCTGGGTATCATAAGAAAAATATCCAGAGAAAACAGAGACACTGGGAAAAGATAGTTGCAGTAAAGAAGGCAAAAGAAAGCAAGAAAAAGAAAGAAGAAAAGCCAATTGTGCAGAAAATCCAGGAATCTGCCCCTAACACAGCAAATATTTTCTGAGATCTCTAAGCAAAGAGATTCTTTTGGAAGACAAACACTCAGGACAAAGGCTGTGTATCAATTTGAGTATGACCCACCCCATGTCAAAGAAGGAATTGAGTAGACTGGCTGGACAGATATGAAGGTTGTATGGTTCAGATGAAATCTAATAGGCCATTTTGGATCTGCCTCACTGGATTCACAGTAGACAGTGCCCTGTGTGAAGAGCGAAGATGAATTTTCTAGCGACTTGCTAGACATAAAAGAAGACTTCTTTTAGTTTATTTCCTCTGGAAAGCCTTGTGTTCCCGACTCCTAACTTAGAATACACTCTTGAAGATGTTGATGTAAACGAAGTTTGTATCTTTGATGGACTTGTGGATGAAAGCATTCAGAAGAAGGTGACATTTCAAAAGGCCCAGGAATACTCTTTCAGGACAGCCCACTTGTCTGTCATTCCAGGGATACATGACCAGACACCAGAGTGGAAATAACTCTCATTTAGGGATGCTGGCCATCAATCAAGTATTTGATATTCTGTCCACTTGAGACTCTTAACTGGCCTGAAGCATTGAAGACAGGAATTTCTTCCAAAAAAGTTATATTCTTCAGAGCACAGTGGGATGATGGGCCTAAGATTGCAGCTGCAGAACAAAGCGCTGGAGGCCCTGACCAAAGAACAGGGCAGAGGGTGGCAGTGACACACTTGCCTTTACTTGACATCTTCTTGGATCTTCACAATAAGCTACTAATGACAGGGACCACATTTTGTACTCTTTTTTATCTCCCATACTTCCTAGTTCACAGGATGTACTTGTATTTATATTAAGTAAAAAAGTTTATGTAACAAGGAATTAGCCCAAAACCACATGGCTTTGGATGTGTCTTAATTCATCTTTTGTACATATATCATTATATGTGAAACATCTACTCTTTAGAGATTGTTTAAATAATAAATAATTATTGTTGTATAAAAATTAAATAATTATCATTATATAAGAAAAAAGCAAAGCACAGCACAGTGCATAAAGATGATTCATTTACTCTGTTGTGCTTTTTTAAAGAAGTATAACAATAGATACATCTATTTTGGTTATGTGCAAATATCCTTTTTCTGAAGATGAATTACACAAATTGGGATTGATGATTAGCTTTGGGATAGGTGGGAAGCATGGAGGCTTTTGCTATTTATTTGTCAATTTTCTAAAATGTCTGTACCATTGGGTAGGTGGGAATTTTGTCGTGTTTGTATTTACCTTTCAGAATATGTGCATATATAATATAAAGATGTATTGCTTATACAATTTACATTAAAACATACTTACATAAATAAAAAATATTAAAAAGCAAACAGTGGTTGAAGGTAGAGGGGTTTGGGACCATTGTTTTCATTATAAGACAGCATACTTTTGATTTTATTTATTTATTTTTTATTTTCTTAGATCTTGAGCTTGCATTACTTTTACTTAGTGGAAAATAACAATAAAGATGGAAAAAAGGATAAAGGCAGCAGAGGAAAAGCATTTGAGAGCTTAGGCCCAGGCACCAGACTGCCTAGTTTTAAATCTTAGGTCTGCTACTTACTAGCTGGATAACCTTGGGTAACTTACTTACCTTGTCTGTGTCTTAGTTTTCCTATTTGTAAAATGCAAAATAGAAATACTTTTCATATAGGGTTATACTGAGGATTAAATTATAGAAATTAGTTAATATGGAAAAAGTGCTTTATTTAGTATCTTATACATAGTAATCACTGCCTGTGATATATTATAAATATGTTCTTAGGTAAAGAAAGGGAAAAAACACATAAACCACTTCAATCTGTTTTATTTTCTCCACCCTGACCCATGTCTAGTTTGACTAATAATTCTAGGGTTGGGAGTCTTTTCAAGAAGAAGGAGAAGACCAGGGTTGAAGCTGAGCAATGGTTTGGGGCCTCTGAAAGAGGAAAAGGCAATGGGAAGAATTTTTCAAAAATAAAAATTGCATTCTAATTATTATGCCTGAATCAATACCTTTATTCCTTCTTGCCATCCTGAAAAATCTTTGTCCTTTTTACCAAGTGTTTTTTTTTTTATATTCCACCTAATTTTAAGGAATGGCCAAGCCCTACTCCCTCCAGGATGCCTTTGATAAAGTTCCTGGTGCATGCAGAACTCTCTTGTATATATTGTTTTTCATCACATTTAGTTCCATCGTATACTGTATGGTCTAATTACAGGAACCACAGAAATTAGTTGTAATTTATCGTATGATAGCATTATGTAGAAATACATCAGTAATGTACTAATTACTATAGGTTTTCAGTATGTTTATTAGATTGGTAGTCATTTTTTTATGAAAGAACATCGATTTTCCTTTGACCTAACATATCTTGTAAAATCTTGTACTTTCTTTTTCCTTATATTCATAAGTAAATCTTTAGAAGTGGAAAGCTACATTTCATAATAGCAGTTTCCATTTCCACAGATGAGTTACTCCTGAACCCATTATAAATGGCTTTCAGTCCACCATTCTGCTAAAACTACTTTCATTGAGGCATGCAGTAACTTCTTACTTGCCAGAGGCAAATATGTATTTCAGTCCTTATTTTACTTAACTGTTTAACATCAATGTCTTGACCACTTCTGGAATCTTCTTGAATCTTCTCTGCTGGAATCCCAGGACTTTGGGAGGCCAGGTTTGGAGAATAGCTTGAGCCCAGGAGTTCATGATCAGCCTAGGCAACATAGCCAGACCATGTCTCTGTAAAATAAAAAAATTAAAAAAAAAAGAAGAAAGTTAAAAGACAAATTTTTAATGATCTGTGGTACGTTTAAAAAGAAACACTTAGAAAGTGACCTTGCAAAGCCAAAATCATTGATGGCAAAAAATTTTTAATATAGTTCTTAGAAAATGCACCTCCATGGAAATTCTCTTTTACTCCCCCAAGCTGCTGGATTCCAGGAGAATTTCTTCTTGGCTCAATTCCCACCCTTGGCCATTCTTTCTCAGTCTTCTTCATAGGCATCAACATCTAAGAAAATCTTCTGCAGGTCTTTCCTGCCACAGCTGGTTATTATAAGTATCAGAAATATAAATTATGATAAATTGGATAGTAAACAAGGTTACCATCATATTTAACAGAAAGGTTCTTAAGAACTGAAACATTGTAGAACAATATAGCACATCAAACAATATATTCTAGGGAAAGTATCATTATTGAGATAATATCATTTTGAGCATCCAGGATTTTGGAAAAGATATTTCTATAGGAAAGTTTAAAAAGGCTGGGCACAGTGGCTCATGCCTATAATCCCACACTCATGAGTGTGCCAGGCACACATCATTTGGTGGTGCTGATAGGGGCCAGAAGTGCTCTTATTCCTCACTCCTCTTTTCATTCAAAAGGAATTTTCCCCTCTCAGCGGTTTACTTTCGTCCCCAGGAGAGGCAGACTAATTTCAAGATTGGTGAGTTTCGAAGGAGAATCTGGCAAGTGTAGCTCCTTCTTCTCCCCTTGGTCTTTGGGATTTGCCTGCCTGCAGAGAATCTGCTCTAGTGGACCATATGGAAATCTTAGTGGTAAAGGTTGTAAACTTGCTTTTCTTCCCCCACAGTGAGTGGGTGAATAAGTTTGCTTAGTTCAGGGCTCATAATCGGGAAGCTCATTGTTGTCACATGTTCCCTGGGAGTCCTACTTTGATCTTCATCTGGCTCACTCCTTTGCCCATCTCAATTGATTTAGATTCAAGAGGGAAAACCAGGGGGTTTATTTAATAGTCCATTCGAACTTCAATATCTTCTTCCACATAGAGTTACTCTTCACTATATGTAACCTCATACACTGAAGAAAACTATCATTTCACAAATGTATTGTTCTACCTGTGGTAGTTTCAGATAGAAATCTTCCTATGATTTCATTAAGACAAGACATAACCACTCTTAGGATGACTTCATTGTCCCGAAGAGACCAAAGTACATCCCTCAGTGATGCCTAAGCATACCTCTCTCACGATCATAAATTCAGCTTAGAATTCCTGTGGTCACACATTTTGTTCTCTATTTTTGCCATGTAGGTAACAAAATAAAGAAGAAACTACCACCTAAAAAAGTAGAAAAAGACTAGAAACGTGCAAAAGAAATTCTGCTTCCTTCTTTGGAAAATTAGATCTTGTCCAATATCATATGATTCTCTACTGTTCTAGGATTTTCTCATATTGAACTTGAATGAAAACTTCCAAATTCTGGTAAAAATTTTTTCCAGAAGCCATTTTTATAAAAAAGATAAAATTTGAAATTAAGCTGAGAAATCATAACAAATGTAAACCTCTTTTCTTTGTGGTTTTCTCTATTATGTAATAGTCATAAAGTGCATTTTATAATATTCACTTTTTGGTATGAAAATATTAGTCTTTTGAGACAATTCCAATCAGCATCCCTAATTTATATGTAAGGGAAATATTGAGTCATTCCAGGTTAGAGGGAGAATTCTTGGCACAGTTAAAAACTGAAATTCTAAGATTCTAATCCTAAGCCATATGGGGTCCAACCAGCTTAATATAGCAAGATGTTCTCAATAACTACCATGGTGTTATTCAGGGACTGAGAGAACCAAAAGTTAACCAGACCTGGTCCTCATCCCTGAGACTCTTGCTTACAAGCAGGAGAGGTAAATGTGAATTCAGAAAATTGTCTGATCCTCCTCTTCTGAAGCACCAGCATAACAAGTTTGGGTATTGGCCAAATGGATTAGTGCTATGTTTGGGTTCCTGGATGCTGGATCTTGGGTTTGTAAGTGCTCTGAAGCAACCAGAAATGGGAAGAATTAGTTGGAAGTAAAAATATGAAAACAACCCCAAACCCCAACTAAACCAAGAAATAGACAATAAAAAATATTTTTGGACCGGGCGCGGTGGCTCACCCCTGTAATCCCAGCACTTTGTGAGGCAAAGGAGGTCAGGAGTTGGAGACCAGTCTGGTCAACATGGTGAAACCCCATCTGTACTAAAAATACAAAAATTAGCTGCGCATGTTGATGTGTGCCTGTAATCTCAGCCACTCAGGAGGCTGAGGCAGGAGAATAGCTTGAACCAGGGAGGTGGAGGTTGCAGTGAGCTGAGATCGTGCCACTGCACTGTAGCCTGGGTGACAGAGTGAGACACCGTCTCAAAAAAAAAAAAAAAAAATATATATATATATATATATATATATATATATATATATATATATTAATTACATATATATATTTCGAGAAGTCCAAGGTCTATCACTTTTAGAAGTGGAAGTCAGCATAAATTAAAATTTGAAGGAACAAGAGTCTGGTAGACACTAAGACCACATAGAGAATGAGAACAAGGCAGAAGGAAAATGAGAAGACCCCAAATCATCGCAGAGAACAAGCTGACCAGCTTGTGACTCATTCCTGGTGGCTGCTGGCCATACAAATTATGAGCTTAAGGCCTGTATTGGAATTATGAGCTTAAGCCAAACACTGGATCATCGTGGTACAGTGGAAAGAGGACAGGGATTTCAGCAAATCATACAAGTAGTTGTTAGTTTCAGCAAGTCCATGTTTCAAACTGGTACATCAGTCTTTCCACCTAGAAGTATAAGGGTTATGTAGGAATGGGGTACCTAAAATAATCAGGAACATTGGCATATACACAGGATTTTTGGCCTTATTATATTTGCTTTCTTTTATGTCATGTGCTTACCTCTAGATCTGGGAGTGACTGAGACCAGCCCTAATGTGCTGAGATAGACACATTAGAAATGAGAGAAATGAGTGGGTCTCTAAAGAGAAAACTGGGATACTCTTACCCAATTTAGAAGAAAATAATTCCAGACTGGTAAAAACAGATGTCTTCCACAAAGAGGAAAGCCAAAATATCAAATGCAGCTGATGACAAGGATTATGAGGAAAAAAGATCTCTGAATTTATCAATAGTCCTGAATGTGAGAAAGGCAGTGGGCTGTTCTAGGAAAGCTTTGCAGCCAAGCAAATGCCAATCTGAATCCTGGTTGAGCCTCTTCGTAATGTTGTAATCTCTGGCAAATCAAATAATCTCTCTGAGCCTCAACTGTAAAGCCAAAATTATGATTACTACCTAATAACTTGAATACAAAGATTAGAAAAACATAGGTAGTTATCATTAACAGTCTTCAAGAGAATAAACATTTCAGTGGTGAGGATTGAATGGAGAGGAAATAAAAATAATAGAAATATACCCCTGATACAAGAAAAGTAATCAATGAAAGAAAATAGAGAAATCCGATGATAGCTAGAAGATGGCATCAAGCTAAACTTACTTTTACCACGGCTTCCACCTGCCACTATAGGGCAGATCTGTCACAATAAGGCAGAAAATATGGAGACTTGGTAGAAATAGCCAACTGAAGAAAAATATATAAAGAAAGGAGTTAAATGTGATAAACCAACAAGTAATTTAACATTTAATATGGAGAAAAGACCATTTCTCCTTCAAAACTAAAGATAAGGACAAGATGGCAGAGGGAGATAGAGATGCTGAGGTAAGATGTGGTTTGATCCTGAGGTGTGGCCTTTATAGATAGCCCACTAACACACACACACATACAGACACACATATGCACTGGACACTTGGGTCCTTGTCTTACTGAAGTTTTCTAAGGCAAGTGCTGACTCCTGTCCAATGTCTCCTCCTAGAAGGATTTTCCTTCTTTGTTTCCTATGAAATGATCCTCCTTGGATTCTCATTCTCTCTTAAACCTTGTCAATATCCTTTCTTTCTGGTTGTTTCAGAAAAGCTGGTGTTCTCCTGGCTTCCAGTCTTGGTCCTTTTCTGCCATTTTTACATGCCTGGGTGAGCTTGCCTAGCTTCCCATTGCTTCAATTTAGTCTCGAATATTGGTAATTCCAAGATCTATGTCTCTGGACGAAACTCTTCTCCAGCACTCAAAGACTTCTTATACAACTAATTGGTTACAGGTTGTCTCTGGCTAAATGTCTTTCAGTCTTAATATGTCCAAGATAGAACTCTATATTCACTCAAACCACTTCCTGCTCCAACCTGTGTTGCCCAGATACCCCTCAAGGAGGACTTGTATCCAGTAGCTGGGAATGTTGTCAGCAAGCAGCCTCAGTTGTCAGCTCCCACAGGTTTCTCCACAGCTTCAGAGAGCCATCTCACCTAAGACCATGCCGTTCCTGGACTGGTCTACATCCAATTACTCAGTACAGTGAGAGCACAAAGCCCCAGCCATTTCAGCTCCCTTCAGGACAACTTTGATGAGCCGTATGCTACCCAGAGCTCCTGAGACATTGACCAAGGCATCAGGCCTGCATTGCAATTCATCTTCTCCTTCCACCTAACCCCGCTTCCTCTGCCTTCCTTCTACAGAATTTGATCTCTAATAAATACTTGTCATGCCAGTCTTTGTTTTGGCATCTGCTTCCAAAGAACACAACTTGCAGCACACCAGGACCTACTTGTTTTCCAAAGCAGAAATCTAGATGTTATCTCTCTCCCACCCCACTCATTCACCAGTCATCAAAGACTGGCAATTCTTTCTCCTAAATCTTACCATTCTAGCTAGTTTCTCTACTACTCCCTACTCATTTCCAATATTCTAGCTCAGCTTTTGCATCCTTGGCAGGCCTATCTTAAACTTGATGGTTAAGATTCCTTCCATTGAATGGGCCCAGATGGGCCATTGTTTTCCTCTTTGCTGAATTGCAAGTTTACAAGTCTCTCTCCTTTATTTAACTGTCTGCTTCTCTGGGCTAGATGCCAAGTCTTATTTTTCTTCTTGGTATTCAACCTTCCCAAAACTTCACTCACACCCTCAACTCCATAGCAGAAACCTTACCCAGTCCCTGACACTTAGAGAAACTCTGTATGCATTTGGGTAATTAACACATCAATAATATTGTCCAGGTAAATAAGATTTAAACAATACCTAACGTGATACTGTTTAAACCTACAGTTAGATAGTTCTGCCTTACAGAGAGCTTGTCTATAAAATGACTTAAACACATCATTCACACATCATAAACCTGCCCCTTTTTCATCTTTTTGTTATACTTCATTGTGAAACAGTTAGCCGTAATATCCCCACAGAGAGTATTTCATGCAGGTAACTCAGTTCACTGGGAGAAGAGAACAGATTTTAACCGTTGCTTATTTTGTATATTTGTAGCTCCAGTTTGCCAAGTCTGAAAAAGTTACCATCATGTTATGTATATGCTGTATATATAACATGGAAAATTATCTGTGATCAAGGGAAATAACTAAATAAGGGAGGTTAGGATCCATCCATGTGATGAAATGTGGTTTAGTATTAAAAAGCAAATCCATTCCCAGAGATTGACTAGGATGATACTTGTAAAATAATCTCATATGGTTAAATTTAGGGACCTGAAAAAAATTCCACCTAACCATCTCCTCTGTAGCATTTTCATTTGATTATAATTTGAATATATTTTCATTTACTTTAAGCCTTTTCCTTGGAATTACCTATTCCAAGATTCTTAAATCAGTGGTAAGAGAACTGTTGGCCAAAATTATGGCATCCCTTGTACAAATGATCTTTTTAAATTATACGACTCTGCTTTAAAAGCAGCTTTATGCAGCCAAGATGTTTTTAGTTTATGATTTGCAAGAATTGCTTTGTGATTTTTGCCACTGAACCTGGTCTTTTATCTTTTTCCTCTCCCTTGCAGCTCTTTTTTTTTTTTTTTTTTTTTTTCTATCTTTGCTGAGGTCATCTGAGAAAGATGGAGAGGCTTATCAGTAATGGCACATTGGTCTTTTTGTTTGCAATTTAAGATTGGAATCTTTCAAAGAAAATGGAAATTGGCATGGATCACTCTTATCCCTTAGAATTTCAATTTTCATTAAGTAGATGTTTATGGAGCAGCAGCTTGAACCAGGCACTGAAAGTACATGGGTTCATATGTCTATGAAACCATGTCTTACGGAGAAGACATTAAACCCTATTAACAATTCCTAATCTGTGTGATGAATGCTGTAAGGGTAAGCACAGAAGGCTCTGGAAGCACTAAATCAATGTCTGATTCCACAATGAACGGGGCAGCCTCCTTTCTGGGTAGGTGACACTTAGTGTTTAAAAGAAGAATGGGAATTAGCCAGGGAACAGGAGGAAGTCATACGTTAGACAAGCTGGAAAGGACCTTCTAAGGAGGAAGGAGTTTGTGAAATTGCAAGAAATTCTCTATTCCTTATAAGGAGAGTGAAAGGAAGGAAATAATAACAGATGAGACTGGTGAAAAAGGATGATACAACTATAAGCATTTACAATTTTCCATCTCTGATTTTCTACGAAATGTGGATTTCAGAGATAACAGTCCTTCTTTTTACAGTGGGGTGAAAGATAGAGATGGAAAATGAAAGCAGCTGAAGATTACCTTATACGCTAAAAAAGATGGATAGACCCATTGGGAGAACAAAGGATTTGGGAGATAGAGCCTTCCACAGTCAGGATGAAGAAATAAGCAGGTGGAAAAGTTGAGGAGGTGGTGGAGATAGAGGGAAAGAGAGAGACAAAGAGAGATGGAAAAACACACACACATACAAACACACACATAAGACAGAAATAGTGAGAGACACATGATAGAGAGGTAGGGACACCTAGAGAGAAAACAAACAGATAGGCAGTGAGGGAACAAACAGAGACAGAGATCGAGACATTCGTTGAAAGACAGACATTAAACAAGGAGACAGAGAACAGGAAAGGCAGCAACTACTACAGACATGAGAACTTTAAGGAAAGGGAGTTGCTCTTATTGAGGTTTTTAAGATTTCTTGTGTATTGTGTTACATAATGCCCTTCGTTTTTCCACAAAGAGTTTAGTAGAACTACCCTGCTTATCAATGTTTTTTGACTTAGAGTTTTTCTTCTGGATGTATTACCATGGTCAGCCTGGCTCCATAGATGCCCAGTTATGTACTATAGTGGTAAGCAGTGATGAGATTAGGGAAGGCCTGTGTGCCCCATTAGGGTTTGAGGTTCCTTAGAGACCAGCTTATTGTAGTTAGAAGGTGAGATTTCTCTGTTTTGACCCCACAATTTATGCATAAAAAGCTCTGGGGAATCTGGTTGCATCTCAAGAAAAGCAGCTTGGGCATCACCTGGCCTGGGAAGTCTTTCCAATCCTTGCAGACCTGGTTGGTGCCCTACTTCTGTGTTCCCACAGTACTCTGACTCACCCTGTTTACCACAGGTAGAACATGGGGGAACTCTATTCACATGGGGTGTAGCCTTGTAGTATAGTTTGAAGTTGTAATGTGATGCCTCCAGGTTTGTTGTCTTTGCTTAGGATTGCCTTGGCTATTCGAGCTCTTTTTCGGTTCCATATGAATTTTAAAATAGGGTTTTCTGCCGAAAGCAATAGCAACAAAAGCAAAAATTGACAAATGGGATCTAATTAAACTAAAGAGCTTCTGCACAGCAAAAGAAACTGTCATCAGAGTGAACAGACAGCCTGCAGAGGAAGAGAAATTTTTTTCCATCTATCTATCTGACAAAGGTCTAATACTTAAAGGTCTGGATATAAGACTCTAATATCCAGAGTCTACAAGTAACTTAAACAAATTTACAAGAAAAACAACATTAAAAAGTGGGCAAAGGACATGAAGAGACACTTCTCAAAAGAAGACATTCATGCGGTCAACAAACATATGGAAAAAAGCTCAACATCACTGATTTAGAGAAATGCAAATCAAAACCACAATGAAACACCATCTCATGCCAGTCGGAATGGCGATTACTAAAAAGTCAAGAAACAACAGATGCTGGCTAGGTTGTGGAGAAAAATGAACGCTTTTATACTGTTGGTGAGAATGTAAATTAATTTAACCATTGTGGAAGACTGTGGTGATTCCTCAAAGACCTACAGGCAGAAATAACATTTGACCCAGGATTCCCATTACTGGGTATATATCCACAGGAATATAAATCATTCTATTATAAAGATACATGCACGCATATGTTCATTGCAGCACTATTCACAATAGCAAAGACAGGAAATCAACCCAGATGCCCAACAGTGATAGGCTGGATAAATAAAATGTGGTACATATACAACATGGAATACTATGCAGCCATAAAAAGGACTGAGATCATGTCCTTTGCAGGGAGATGGATGCAGTTGGAAGCCATTATCTTCAGCAAACTCACAAAGGAACAGAAAACCAAACACTGCATGTTCTCACTTATAAGTGGGAGCTGAACAATGAGAACACGTGGACACATCAGAGGAAACAACACACACTGGGGCCTCTCAGGTTGAGCAGAGGGAGGGAGAGCATTGGGAAGAATAGCTAGTGGATGCTGGGCTTAATATCTGGGTGATGGGTTGATCTGTGCAGCAAACCACCATGGCACACATTTACCTATGTAACAAAACTGCACATCCTGCACATGTACCCTAGAACTTAAAAGTTGAAGAAAAGATAAAATAAAATAGGTTTTTCAAATTCTGTGAAGAATGTCATTGGTAGTTTCATAGGAATAGCACTGAAGCTGTACATTCCTTTGGGCAGTTTGGCCATTTCAACAATATTGATTCTTCCTATCCATGAACATGGAATATTTTTCCATTTGTTTATGTCATCTCTGATTTCTTTGAGCAGTGTTTTGTAATTCTCTTTGTGAAGCTATTTCACCTCTCTGGTTAGCTGTATTTCTAAATATTTTATTCTTTTTTGTGGCTATTGTGCATAGTATTGAGTTCTTAATTTGGTTTTCAGCTTGAATGTTGTTGGTGCATAGGAATGTTACTGATTTTTGTACATTGATTACATTGATTTTGTATCTCAAGACTTCGTTAAAGTTGTTTTTCAGATCAAAGAGCTTTTGGGAAGAGAACATGGGTTTTTCTAGGTATAGAATCATATTATCTGCAAACAGGGAACGTTTAACTTTATCTCTTTCTAATTGGATGCCTTTTATTTCTCTCTTTTGCCTGATTTCTCTGGCCAGGAATTTCTTCCTTGCTTTTCTAATTCACCAAAGCCAAGTCTTAAAGATTCAGTGGCCTACAGGTATCTGCTAATTAATATTATTGTCCCCATATAACCTAGAAGAAACAAGTAGAGGATGTTAAGAGACCTGCTCAATGTGAGGGTAATAGTAAGTGGCAAAGCCAGGTCTAGATCATAGATCCGCTAATGTTTGTGTCTCCGCTATTTTGACTCTACAATATTACTTCTCACCTGAATGGAGTTCAATTAGAAAAAGGATATAGATACCTGACCAAACACAGTCTGCATACTTAAGCTGTCTCTAGATTACAAGGAGATCAAGTGAAAATTGTACCTGGTTTGATCCAACTTAAAGCTTTTTTTTTTGATAAACTATACCGATTATCTCTCTTGCCAATGGTCACATACCTTGATATCCTTGTTTTCTCCTGCATGTTAGATATAACTTACTATGAATAGTGAATTACAGTGGAACAAGCCAAGTTGAGAGGTTACAGCATTTGAAATTGGCCTCTCCTACTGTATGTGCATGTTCTGTGCCAGAAACAGACTCATTTACAGGAGAGAGGAATAACTTCGACCTGAATTATTATATAACAGACAGTAACTGGTCCAGCAGTCTGGGATGGGTGAAGAAGTTGTCTAATGAGGGAATTGTTATTTCAATTGGGAAAATAGCCTTGTTATAGGGAGTGTGAGAGCAAATGATAATCTGGAATCCTGGATAAGAGAAATGGGCATCAGGGAGAAAGAGTAGCAGGAAGCAGAGGCCCTACCCCTTTGCCTACAACAAGGAGAGCACAGTAGAGAACTAAAAAATGCAAGGAAGGTTTTATTTCCAAAGATTTCTGAGTACATAAATAGCCTAAGAACTCAGACACTAAATATGCATGAAGAAAGTAATGGCTGGACTAACAAAAATGGTAAAGATATCAAGTCAAAGAATGGTAAATGGAGATGCTTAAAGTTAGTATGCCTAAAGTTAAGATTGGTCCTTGCTAATGTGGTTGTCTAAGTGTGCAGACTGGAGTCAAGATGGAAAGAGAGAAGAGGGTTGCAGAGTCTAAGGAACAGCAAAGGCTTAATACTTCTTTATTGAATAGATAACAGTACTATTTTGGAGCGTCTGACTTAACTGCTGATACAGACATGTACAAAGAGATGGAGAAGTTGTTCTAAAGGATACTTGATTCAAAACAATATGCTTGCAGCACAAAACCAATAATGCAAAATGTCTGTTAATATATGAAAGACAGGGGTAATGCTAAGAATATATCATTCAATTAGACTATGCATAAGGAATAAGTAAATATTTTGATTTACTTACATTGCCAAAACAATTTTTTAAAAGTTTGTTTTTATTGCCTTGATGTTGAATAGAAGACTGTGGAGGGAGACAAAATCACCACAGAATGAAACATTTAAATAATAAGAATAACTGAACTTTTAGGCACAGGTCTCATTTATTTGGACTGAATGAATCCAAACTCTCCAATTGAAAGCTATTTTAAGAGAGAGCCTGGTGATATAGTCTTCCAAAAAGCCACCACCTTCAGAAATAGATTCTGTGTGTTATCCAATAATCAGCTGGCAACATAGGTGTTTATCTAAGATTAATCTAATAGACTTCGTTTGCTTAAAAGCTAATCATTGCTTAGGAGCCACAGTAACTACGAGTTGAGTGATTACAGTGCACGTGTTGGCAATAATTCCTAAAAGAATTTAAAAGCGTCAAAGTCAAGGACAAGAACTGGTAATGATTCTCTGGAGTATGGTTTGAATATTAGTTTTGGTTCCCCACCAGGGGGCTTCCTGGACCCCTTTAAGGGCAGCAGTCAAATAAAATGCTTTGTCCCAGCTTATGGACAAAGGAGTGGATGTAACGGACTTTCTTTTGCTCGTGTAATCTACTACAAGACTCATGCTAATGTACCCCTGCATAGCTTTATAGTGTGACTACCTAATCTACTCTTCATCATCTTAGTATTGAGAGATGGGAGATTAGACAACAGAAAAAGGAGATTAATACAGACTTTACAAGACATAATGTGGTCACATCCCATCTCTTGGCCCAGATTTAAGAGCATTGGGGTTTTAAAGGCCCAGTGGCTTAAAAGCAACTAACCGACCAGACAGAATCCTACCCAAATACTGCATTACATTTACCACATGAGGAAATTTAGCATTATAAATAATTCAGCCCAAGTGGCACTTCTCAGTGCAGATGAACTCAGGCCATTTTGCAGCATTAACTCTGATGATTTTTGTTCAAACTTATTTTCTAGTACAATCTTGGTTCATCTTTAATGGGCTACTTACATCATCCATTTAAAATAGTTAGGTTCATCCTGCTCTCCCACAGAAACAATGCCTATTTCTCAGAATGATAGTTGCAAGGAGAGGTCTAATTTCCCAACATAGATTGATTTGTGTGTGTGTGCAATGAAAAGAATCTATGTGCTTTTCGAAGTGGCCAGGGTCACAGTGGCTGTAATCTCGTTGATCTAGATTAAAAACAGACTCTTGTCCTGGTATGCTGAGTATGAGTCCCAGTTGTGTAACAAGTGGTTATTCCACTTTTGTGAGTAGGCACATAAGACTGACCAATATCTCAGGGAAGCAGAAAAAATGAACATAAGATTGTTAAGTGTTTTTGGTCAAGATAGAATATTATAGTAAAATGATGTATTTTCCCGTCATATGATAATGCATGTGAATTAAACAATACAAATGCTACCTTTAGATTTTAATTAGAATGATCATCAGTTACTGAGTAATTTTTGATGAGTCACTCTTTTTCACTAATAGGAAATAAAAACTCCAAAGATAATGGAAGCGTTTCACTGCTACATTTAAATATAGATTTCTGGATTATTGTTGTAATAGGTAACTTATTAGTTGGGTAGTAGGAACTACTTACTGACTTCAGGATTTTCCATGATAATATAGTTATGATAAAGGGAATTTCAAGGTTTTGCAAATTATAGACTGGTAAAATTCAGATCCCTTAGATATTTTTTAATGGTCTCATTCATCATTTCTCCTTTGTCTGCATAGTTTATAAAAGTAGAATTCCTAGCTCTAATTCATCTTTGGAATGTTATGTAGATTCCACACCTCTCCCTACTGCCTACCTACACCCTCCCAGCCCCATCCCCTGCCAGATTTCAGCATTCTGCTCTCTGTTCTTTCCCCTCTTTAAATGAACGAAATTGAACGCCTAGTACCTCCTCCCATAATACTAAGAAGCAGAACAATGCTGTCATCTGCTTCATTTTATGGACACCAGTGATTTTCCTGTAGTGGAATAACTCTTGATTAAATATTTTCCATGCTCCTCCACATTTCCTGGTTCTACAGCTCTTGTTTCCCTGACTTAAAGCAAAAATATTGCTTGGCTAAGATACCATGCTCTATTTCAAATCAGTTTGCCACTAAAATTTGGTTATTGGAATGTCCTTTAAAAGGCAAACTACCCATATTTGAATATTACTCACAGGATAAAAAATCAACCAGCCATCTCCTCAGTATGTTCATAAATTTAATAAGTGATTTTTCAAAGAGCTTTTTATAATTATCCCTCTTTTAGAAATATAACCTCAAAGCTGATTTCTAGTTATGGCTTAATACATTTATCAAAACATAAGTTAATATATAAAGGCACATTTATATTATCTGCAACATTTACCTTTTCCAGCTAGAGAAACTATGTTGTTTATCAGTTATTGTATTAATAATAGTCATTGGTTAATGTTATTAGGGAAGTTATACCATTTTCATGACATGTCATAACAAAATAAGCCACAACAGCAACAATAGCACCAGCTCTAACTCTGGTACTACTACTACTATTGGTAATTCTGTGTCTACTGGCCCTGTGAGATAAGCCTGACAGCTACACTTATTCCCATTTTAAGGATAAGGAACCTGAAGCTGAGCACACTTCAGTGACTTATTTTAAGGTCAAAGCACACACCCAAGGTAGAAGCAAGGAAAGAAACCAGTTTTTCTGACTTTCAAGAATACATAGTTGGGTACTGGGTTTTTGTTATGTTAACAGCACCTGATATATCGGGGAAGTTTGACTCTTATCAAAGCAAAATAAACATATTTATACAAAAAATATCACATTAAAAACTTTTTTGTCAATCTTGAGACTCCAAATTTCATCATTGGTATGACTGTTTTTTCCCGTCCTCCAGAACTTTGTGTTTCTGCTTGGTCCTAAAGCATTGGAGAAGCTTATTCAGATAATCGGTCAGTAGTCTGCCACAGTTGAACTGCAGTTACAACATTAATCCAGTTTACATTGTAATTTAGTCTGAAGTTCTGCTGTTTCTGTGCTGCACTTGGGCACAGAAGATTTTTATGACCAGGGAATCTTGGTGCCTGAGATCTTGGCTCCTTACACACCCTACTCAACCATTCCCCCTTTGAAGTCTTGCCACTTTCTTAGGTTGCTGTTAGAGCATATGCAGGCAATACTTAGGGGACTTATAGATCTCTCTCGTTTTTCAGGTTATGTTTCAGTTTATCAAATACGTAACTTCTCCTTTCTGCCTGACTTCCTGACCCTCAAAGCATTATTTTCTTTCTTTCTGCCTAAGACTTTGCCAAAGTCGCTGAGGCTGGGGTTGCAGCCTGCTCAAGAAGGAGCGGATATAAGGAGGACACACACAAGTTATCCTGCCGAGCACGTTACAATGAAAAGGTCATCATTAGTGGCCCTTTTAGTCATTTAAAACATTTACTGAGCCCAAAGCTTTCACCTTCTATTCTGGGCTGAAATGCAGAGAAAATTTGGGCTGGTGATATTTGCATATATGCTGTAAGGAGTAGAAGAAAATCATATCCTTCAATTCTTGGTAGTAAGTGGAAATAACTGGTGACTCTGAGCAGATTCTGATTAGAACAATAAGATATTAGCTTTGTTTTCAAATTTTAATAAGATTTTAAGTAAGATTTTTGAAAGCAGAGGAAAGTTTATATACTTGACTATTTCCATTGTCAGTTTATCATTGACAGTCACAAATCAGAGGGAAGTGACAATCATCTCCAGAATGAGAGAATACAGCATTCTTCAGAAGTAGTGCATGGGGCCAGGCATGGTGGCTCACGCCAGTAATCCCAGCACTTTGGGAGGCTGAGGTGGGCGGATCACCTAAGGTCAGGAGTTCGAGACCAGCCTGGTCAAGATGGTGAAACCCCATCTCTACTAAAACTACAAAACTTAGCCAGGCATGGTGATGCATGCCTGTAATCCCAGGTATGGGGGAGGCTGAGGCAAGAGAATCACTTGAACTCGGGAGGCAGAGGTTACAGTGAGCCGAGATTGCACCACTGCACTCTAGCCTGGATGACAGAGTAAGATTCTGTGAAAAAAAAAAAAAAAAAAAAAAGGCAATGAATGGCTTAATTCCTTTTCTTTATATTCATTTTTTTTCTGTACTCAGGAAAACTATTCATAGTATAGTAGAAGTATAAATAAAATGTTCACTCTGAATCTGGATAAATTATTTGATCTGCTGTCAAAAGTCCTTTCTTTATTTCATAATAAAAAGTGTACATGATTTATTCCAGTTTCAGTTCCCCTATGAACAAATAGCCAATTCTAGTGCTGTGTTCAATATTTTTACTTCAGAACATTGAGTAGGCATTGGGTCAGAAGCACCACCTGCTTAGGGAATGATTTGCCCTGCAATGTCTTTGGAAAGAAAGGAGTGTCTTAGTTTAATCCAGTATCATGTGTTGTGTATCACAGTATGTGAGAGCTTTAGATCATCGATGGAATTTTGATACTGAGTCTCCCATATACTGCAGTGCTGTGTGGTTGTGGCTGAGTCTTAATGCACCATATGATGTCACTTCCCCATTATAAAAACAAATGAAGAGAGTAGTGATTTATTTTGATACTTTCTTTACTTGCTTCTCAACTCCCCACAAGATCTTTAATAAAACTGGCTCTTCAGAAACAGATTAAGAAGCCTTGAAAATAGTTATATACGACATCTTTGTGGAAAGTCAGGATACAGAAAAACATGAAAGATGGATGAATTTGGCGGTTTGTAACATGTTACCAGAATCTATTTTCATCCCATGTTCACCGTAATATTAGGACCCAGCAATGAATTTTAGGTTAAAGAAAAAGAAGGAAACCACAAAAAGAAAAAAGAAAATAATCAGAAAGTAATTGATTTATAAACCTTTATGTTCTGTTTTAAACTCCAAAATCCCCATAAGAGCGAATCAAAGTTCCAAGAATGACCAATTGTGCTCATTAATAATAAAAAGGCACACTAGAGAAGAAGTTGAGAATATCATACCTATGCTTAGTGATATGATGTTTTGAAAGTGAGTATACAGTTGGAAAAATACAGTTTCATTAGTCCTCTCAGTGGTTTTTGAATCAGGGAAGAACGCTGAGACCTGATGAGGGTTCATACAAAACTTGGTTGAATGCAGTTGCAAAATACATCACCTAAACTATAGGTAGGGACTGGTGATGGCCAGTGCTCACTCTTGGAAATATTTTCTTTAGTGTTTGACTAGGAGTTATCCAACTGTTTTTATAAGGCACCTCCAATTTGGCTTAGAATAGAGCCAAAAAGTTAAATACTAGCTCAAGCTCCCACAATATCTTGGTTTTCTATGTGGCAAGACAACAGGATTTTCACTTTGCCACATTGCCCATGGAGCTGTACCACCCTCTTGCCAAGGTTAGAAGGCCCCCTGGGGCAAAAGCAACTGTCCTGTTTCTGTTTGTGGTTGGACTGAAGATGTTCACATGGCTAATGACCCCTGTGCCCAAAAGAAAAGCAGGTGACATTAAGGTTCATGCAATATTGATGTGTTAAGAGGGTTTTCACAACTCAGGAAGCTCTCTTAGCTGAGTTGGTTCTCCGAAAATGTTGAGTCCTGTTTTCCGTGGCATGGTGCAGCTGATGTTGTCACTCTGTGGTCAGGAGCAGGAAAGCTGGTGGGGTGGAGAGAGATTAGTGGTCTGGAAGTATGTAATTGGTATTTCATGGCAACAGGGAGTTGACAGCCCTCAGGGACCACAAATGGAGGGGAGGACCAACAGCTCAACTAGATTAAAACAAACTATGATTGAAAAAAAGTAAGAGAGAAATATATTCAAGCAGTTAAGAATTTGATAAATTACTCTATAGATGAATTCCATATTGCCTTCCATAAAAGGTAAAGTGTTAAATGAGATAATATATGTAAGGAAGTTAGCCTAGTGCCAGGATGACAGTGATTAATCAATTGAAAACCTGCCTGCTTTTAGTATTATTCTGTATGGGGAGCAGTTGGGTATAACTTAAGCTTAGCACAAGTATTATTTCATTTAAATTTTCCCCTTATTTGTACTAGAGAATTTAATCCTTATTTCAGATCTTGTACCTGACACTGTGGGTGGAAAAACTCCACTCATGAATTTGGAGCGGGCAGGCACACGGCTACGGCAGTTGCCGTCCAACTGAGTGTGGTTAGTTTGTGTAACTGAAGCCAAGCAAAGCTAAGGCAGTGCTAGTACATGGATCCTTCTGTTAGACTAAATAAAGAAGAGTGAACCCATTTTTATGGGGAGGAAAAGAAGAAAAAATTGTTCCTAACAGTAGGGGATGGCTTGAGTCTAGGAACCTCAGGCTGTGTCTAAATTTTATCAAATATTCAGATGAAGCTGCACAAAAATTTACTCAATCATCCAGATGTTTCCAGAAATACAATATTTTGATTTCATGTAGATGAAATCAGGGAAAGATTAGATTTTATTTTTCTGGCATTGTGAGACACAGTCTCAGTATCTTTCTTATTGTCTGGTGTGTCTCCCTACTTAGGACTATGTTGTGGGGACCAGCACAGCTGCTTTCTGGGGTTGTCAGTCCCCGGCCTGGGCCACTCTTGAATCTATAAAGGGCTGTTTGTTCTGTGTGAAACTCACTCAGGATGGAGCCCAGTTTGACATTTGGGTCATTGGAATGTGCCAGCTGAATTTAGTATCCTTGTGATTTCAAGTCAAAGGATTAAAATATACAAAGCCATGGAATTTAACTTTCCTCCTATCCCTCAGATCTCTCTGAAGGAGATCAACCAACAAGGGTCCTTCTGATGTTCAAAGAAATTAAATAACTTTACATTCACAATGATGCTATATCCTGTGTCAAGAACAGGTTAGCAAGACCAGTTCTTCACTCAGGACAAGATCATAAAGAATGAGCAGGATGGGAATGGGTTTAGTACAACATGGGTCACAAAGCAGGTATTCCAGATGTTGGCTTTTGAGTGAAAGAGTTGGAATAGTTCAAACACAGATAGTTTTGACATGAAGATCCAGATGATTAAACACAACTTTTCAACTTCATTTATCTTATGTAGCAGAGACGTAAATAGAGCATAACCTCAGTCTTCTGAAGGACATAGATTCAAATTCTAAGAAAATTGGATCCACTGTATTTCATGAAAAGAATGCCCAAGGAAGTAATAGCATGGCTAACTCCATAGATATAGCACTTGCTGAATTAGCTAGTCTATTTAAAAATCCTATGAGCTGTCTCTGTTATCCTCACACACAGATCATGGAAGTTGATCTTACCAGGGTAAGATTCTTCTGTGGTAGTCAGTACCTGCCTTGTATTATGACTACACACTTGGAGTACTCAGTACCTACTGGAAATACTAGTTTCGGACTTTATTGTCACATGATCTCAGACACAGGGCCTACAGTGAGAAGCTGCTGTGTAGCAGTCTACATTGGAAGCATATTGGCACCAAGAAATGAGGGGAATATTTTGAGCCCAGGCTCTAACTAGGAAGTGAATCTTCAGGACACCTAGGGCTGAATGTAAACATCTCTCACGATGGCAGGGAATCTGGCCAGCAGAGAGCATAGCCAGAGAGTAGTCAGCTGAGGGAGAGAGCCAAGAAACAGGAGCACGTATTTTGGAGAGAGCTTTAGAAGGAAGAAAAGTGCAAAAGCAATCGAGTGATAAAGACTATGCTTAAAATGTACCTAAAGTAAGCCATCAGAATAACCCAATGCCAGAGAAAAGTAGAGGGGACAAAAAGAAAGTACTGTGGGAAATACAGAAAATCTGCAGACCTAGAAGAAGAATTCAGCTGAGATCAGAACAGATATTATTGTCTTTGTCATTTCTCTGGCCAGTTCTGCTGTGAGGAATAGTGGAACACTGTTATCACAACCCTACTGGATAGTATTTAGCCTATTGTTAATACTTTGATTTAAGTTTGGGTATGGCAAATATAGTTCTCATGTTTATGAATGGGTTCAAACATTTTAAAAATTTCCTATTATTTTTATAACGTCCCAAGTTAAACATTTTGTTAGATATGAATGCCTAGACTAGGTAAATTCAGCTTGAATTTTACAGCTAAATACTGATGCCTGGAGTTGACAAAACTAGGTAAGAACCAATCCTTAGAGACTATTGTTTCCACAAGCAAGTATGTTATCAGAAATTTTTACATTGTGCTATAATTGTGTTTTTATATCTTTTTTCCCCATATACATGAGCTTTGTGGGGCTGATACTGCAACTTACTCATGTAAATATACCCAACATTAAACATAGGGTATTGTTGGTGCTTCATAAGTTTGTTAAATATTGATGTGTTTGTATGTGTATATGTGTGCATCTCTGAATATTAGTGGTGAAAAGAGAGTGTGATCCAAAAAACAAAGTGAATTATACTGGAAACAAATATCCTTGGCTTTTCGTCTTGCATGTTGTAATCCATCAGCCATCACCTTGCTTCCAGGAACATTATACTAATTGTCATAGGTTGTATATGTCTGACTCATGAGATCATTTAGTGAAAAGTAATAATACTAAAGAGAAAGAGGCCAGTAAGTCTGAAGATTCAGCCTCATGTATTACTCCATGGAAGCTATTCAGAAATTTCTATAATCGAACCATGTGCTTAAGGTCAGGCCTTGTCGGTAGATTATAACTAATTGTGGGACTTGATCTATAAGAGAAGTTGACAGATTAACATGTCACTTGGACCAAAAATACTTGTAGTTGTGTGAACTGAACTGGGCCCCAGATGGGCAAGGTCAAGCTGTACAACTCCAGAATGGCACCACTCACATTGTCCTCTATGTGAATTGTCCTCCGTAGAGTTGTGCTGCAGACAATCTGTGAGTTAATACACGCAGCTCTGGAGGGGAGGTGGATTCCAATGTGTAGCAGATACTGTCAGTGCCTGACCCATGTCACTCAAATATCTCAGTTTGCTCTGCCTGACTTTCAACAGCCAGATGAGCCCAAGGATTTATCATTTCCAATCCCCAACCCTCAGTTGTGAAAAGTGGCAGATCAGAATTACTGAGGAGTTAATACCCTTAGCCTTCACCAATGAATATGGAAGTTGGTGTATATATACCCCAGATCCCTTGCCTCCTGGATGAGATCATTCTGAGACATATGTTTTATATGTTTCCTAGAGTTCCCCTGTGGGAATAAGCTCCAGTTGCCCACTGTGGCAGCTGGCTCAGCAGCATATCCTTCATTGACTACCTTTTGTTTATGGTGTCATCTCCCCACTTTCCTTTTGGTATTGCTTGTACTTGTATTTGAACTTGAATCCTGATATCAGTATCTTCTTCTGGGAGACCTGAAACTAAAAGTAAAATCCAGATCTGCTTTAAAATTTTCAGAATGTGGATGTGATTCTGGTAGCTTTGGAGGGGAAGCCCTCTTTCTTGTCTACTGAAGTTGGAGTACTGGCCTTGATCAGCTGCCATGGTACAATGGACACTCCTGCAAAATGTAACAGGAAACCCTCTTAACTGCCATCTATGTCCATCGAATAAACAATTTAAAATCGCATTAGAGTACCCAGCGACTCACAAAGTGCTCAAATGAATGTTGTTTTTGTTTCTACCCAATATTACAGGCTTTTTAAAGTAATCTGGTCACAACTTTATTCTGTTTTCAGAGCACAAGGGAATTAAATAGAAAAATAAATCTTTTCTATTAGCCTTTCAGGGAGCTAAATGGCAGGAAAATTTAAATTTAGAAAAGGTGAAACAGAAACTCAGAGGATGTGACACAGCAATTAAAAATACATTAGGAAATGCTGAGTATGCTTACACTTAGACAAACAGGGCATAGGCCTAGGCCAGTGCTATCCACAGTTACTAAAACATACTCATTCCAGGGGATGCCACTTATTTGGAAATAGGCAGGACCATGTAATATTGAAGATAGTTTAGTATAGAAAATTAAGATAATGAGATAATATTATTCATATTAGTTATAATATAGGAGCAAAATAATTAGAAGAAGAAAGAAAAACAAAAAGGATAGGCAGAGAATTTGATAAACTGGCTCTTTTAAAAAGGACATACATGTAAAACACTCTTGTAAAAGGTGGAGGAATTTAGACTTGAAATAATGAAAGAGGAGGATATTCAAGGGGAGTATTTATTGTAAAGGAGTGGGGAAAGATATCAGGACTGGCTGGCAGAAATGGAATGTGGCAAGTCAGTAAACTCAGAACATATGCAGGACCGCAAAATCCTTTGTAGGGTCACTTCTGGGGACTTTATCAGCTTATGTCACTACTCCACCCAACACCCCTAAGAGCTGCCCATCTGCTTCGGAATAAAGCCAAAAATCCCTCCAATGGGACCCTACGTGGTCTTGTCTCTTACTTCTCTATCTTCATCTCCTATGACTCTGCCTCTTGCTGCCTTATTTCTGATGCACTGGCCTCCTTTCTGGGCCTCAAACATACCAGGCACAGTCCCCCCTCAAAGCCTTCACACAAGCTGTTCCCTCTGCCTAGGAGGCATGCACACGGCTCACTTCCTCCTCTCCTTTAAGTCTTCTCTCACATGTAAACTTCCCAGTGAAGACTGCTGTCATAATCCTATCTAAAATTTCAATCCTTCCATTGACCACCCTGCCCTATTATATTTTCAATTAATATTTTTCACCCTCTAGTAAAATGTGTAATGTATATTATATTTATATTTTATTTAACTCTCTCCTTCCCCCTTCTCAAACTAGAATGTAAACACCTTGAGGGCTGGAATTTTGTCTACATTTTTTCATTGACCTATCTCAACGAAAATCTCACCTGCAACAATGCCTAACGCATAGTAGGAGTCCAGTGAATATTTATGGAATGAATGAATGAATAAATAATGACTTCTTGTTTCTTCTGGCAGTCATCAGCACCAGGCACAAAACAGTTGTTGAATAACTGAATGAAAGAATCAATAAATGTTTATGAGCTTGACTTAGAAAGTCTTATAGATGTTGAGGAAAAGTTTCAATTAGCCTGGACGTTGGTCACAGACACCAAAATGTAAATCAAAACATTATTCAAAGATCAATTATTCTTTCCAGCTATTGGCACTTACAGTTTAACCTTCAGCTGTAAAATACGTCATCGTAAATCTCTTGACTCCAACATCTCACTTTCCTAGGCTAGGAGATAGGAATTTTACTTAAATAAAATTTGTGACGTGAATACAGTTTCTGGGAGAGAATTTCTGGCATGGCTAGGAGTTGTCTGGCCTAGAAAGAAAGGAACCTAATCTAGTTTCTCTACTTTCCAACTCAGTGGTTACAAATAATTAGTTACTTAAATCTAGATTTTTGTAAAATTGTAATTAATTAAACAAATGTGTTAATACTGACTACAAACATAAAAATATTAATCTTCTCAAATAAAATATATTATTTTCAAATGAGGAACATTAACATATAAAATGTATTATACGTATCAGTGAGCTAGAAGTATGTTAGAGTAAAATATTCTTTAAAAGATTTGAAAATACAATAGCTTAAATTTAATGTGAAAGAAATTGATTTGGGGCTGAAGTCAGTTTCAAAACGGCCTTAGTATTCTGTTGTTTTTTTTTTTTTCTGAAACAAATGAATCATGCACAATCTGAAAAGATGACTTTTTTCCAGAAATGCCTCAAACTTGACTGTTTTCCAGAAATGCCTCAAACTCCAGCTATGTTTCCACCATTACCTCGCAGCAAGAGGGAAACTGACAAGTAATGACAGTTATTCTGACTGTGTTTTTACTGCAAAATCCATCTTTCTGTACTGATCAGCATATTACTTTTACTTGAGCCATAGACTGAATATGGCTAGTTGCCTTTAGAGCCATGAGATTGGATCAGCCCAGGTCTTCCTAGGTCCTTTTAAATAAGACTTGCATATAAGGAAACATTCTTGTAGATGAGCTGTGACCAGCAAGCGTGACCCAAGTTTTGACAATTTATTGTTATTTTTTTCTATTACTAACTTGTAGTGACATCCCAATTTACCATAGACTTGAGAGATATCCAGGTAGATTGTACTTTGACCATGGCCATGTGTAGATTTCAAGCAGGAGGCCAGTTTTCATGCTGCCTTTCTCTTGGAGGGGATGCTACTTAACAGTGTTGTCTATTTTCCTTCCAAAACAAAACACTATACCATCAAATGCATTAATACTTACTTATATTTTCAACAGATTATCTCTTTTCATAACTTTTAATCACACAGGAGAAATTCTTATAGGATATTAGGTGAAAAGTGCAGATAACAAAAATAATGGATTCCAATTGTATAAAAATATATACAATTTGAAAACTGGCTTTGATAATTTAGTTTTGTATTAGAATATCTTCATTTAGAAATCTGGAAACAAAAAGTAATCCTACGCTGCCATTATTATTATTTATTTTTAGTTTTTGAGATGGAGTCTCACTCTGTCACCCAGGGTGGAGTGCAGTGGTGCAATCTCAGCTCACTGCAACCTCTGCCTCCTGGGTTCAGGCAATCCTCCTGCCTCAGCCTCTCAAGTAGCTGAGATTACAGGCACCCACCCCTGCACCCAGCTATTTTTTTTTTTTTTGTATTTTTAGTAGAGACAAGGTCTCGCCATGTTGGCCAGGCTGGTCTCGAAATCCTGGCCTCAAGTGATCCTCCCGCTTTGCTCCCACTGCCATTATTATTGTCATGCCCAATTTGCTTAGGTTCTCTTTTTTTTTTCTTATAAAGCTGACTTTATTGCTTTATAAGATTTATTGCTTTTTAAAATTTATATATTTATTTATTTATTTTATTATTATTATACTTTAAGTTTTAGGGTACACATGCACAATGTGCAGGTTTGTTACATATGTATACATGTGCCATGTTGGTGTGCTGCACCCATTAACTCATCATTTAGCATTAGGTATATCTCCTAATGCCATCCTCCCCCCCTCCCCCCACCCCACAACAGTACCCGGAGTGTGATGTTCCCCTTCCTGCGTCCATGTGTTCTCATTGTTCAATTCCCACCTATGAGTGAGAACATGTGGTGTTTGGCTTTTTGTCCTTGCGATAGTTTGCTGAGAATGATGGTTTCCAGTTTCATCCATGTCCCTACAAAGGACATGAACTCTTCATTTTTTATGGCTGCATAGTATTCCATGGTGTATATGTGCCACATTTTCTTAATCCAGTCTATTGTTGTTGGACATTTGGGTTGGTTCCAAGTCTTTGCTATTGTGAATAGTGCTGCAATAAACCTACATGTGCATCTGTCTTTACAGCAGCATGATTTATAATCCTTTGGGTATATACCCAGTAATGGGATGGCTGGGTCAAATGGTATTTCTAGTTCTAGATCCCTGAGGAATCTCCACATTGAATTCCACAAGGGCTGAACTAGTTTACAGTCCCACCAACAGTGTAAAAGTGTTCCTATTTCTCCACATCCTCTCCAGCACCTGTTGTTTCCTGACTTTTTAATGATTGTCATTCTAACTGGTGTGAGATGGTATCTCATTATGGTTTTGATTTGCATTTCCCTGATGGCCAGTGATGATGAGCATTTTTTCATGTGTCTTTTGGCTGCATAAATGTCTTCTTTTGAGAAGTGTCTGTTCATATCCTTCGCCCACTTTTTGATGGGGTTGTTTGTTTTTTCTTGTAAATTTGTTGGAGTTCATTGTAGATTCTGGATATTAGCCCTTTGTCAGATGAGTAGGTTGTGAAAATTTTCTCCCATTTTGTAGGTTGTCTGTTCACTCTGATGGTAGTTTCTTTTGCTGTGCAGAAGCTCTTGAGTTTAATTAGATCCCATTTGTCAATTTTGGCTTTTGTTGCCATTGCTTTTGGTGTTTTAGACATGAAGTCCTTGCCCATGCCTATGTCCTGAATGGTATTGCCTAGGTTTTCTTCTAGGATTTTTATGGTTTTACAAACTACCATCAGAGAATACTAAAAACACCTCTGCACAAATAAACTAGAAAATCTAGAAGAAATGGATAAATTCCTCGACACATACACCCTCCCAAGACTAAACCAGGAAGAAGTTGAATCTCTGAATAGACCAAAAACAGGCTCTGAAATTGTGGCAATAATCAATAGCTTACTAACCAAAAAAAGTCCAGGATCTACCAGAGGTACAAGGAGGAGCTGATACCATTCCTTCTGAAACTATTCCAATCAATAGAAAAAGAGGGAATCCTCCCTAACTCATTTTATGAGGCTAGCATCATCCTGATACCAAAGCCTGGCAGAGACACAACCAAAAAAGAGAATTTTAGACCAATATCCTTGATGAACATTGATGCAAAAATCCTCAATAAAATACTGGCAAACCGAATCCAGCAGCACATCAAAAAGCTTATCCACCATGATCAAGTGGGCTTCATCCCTGAGATGCAAGGCTGGTTCAACAAATGCAAATCAATAAATGTAATCCAGCATATAAACAGAACCAAAGACAAAAACCACATGATTATCTCAATAGATGCAGAAAAGGCCTTTGACAAAATTCAACAACCCTTCATGCTAAAAACTCTCAACAAATTAGGTACTGATGGGATGTATCTCAAAATAATAAGAGCTATCTATGACAAACCCACAGCCAATATCATACTGAATGGGCAAAACCTGGAAGCATTCCCTTTGAAAACTGGCACAAGACAGGATGCCCTCTCTCACCACTCCTATTCAACATAGTGTTGGAAGTTCTGGCCAGGGCAATTAGGCGGGAGAAGGAAATAAAGGGTATTCAATTAGGAAAAGAGGAAGTCAAATTGTCCCTGTTTGCAGATGTCATGACTGTATATCTAGAAAACCCCATCGTCTTAGCCCAAAATCTCCTTAAGCTGATAAGCAACTTCAGCAAAGCCTCAGGATACAAAATCAAAGTGCAAAAATCACAAGCATTCTTATACACCAATAACAGACAAACAGAGAGCCAAATCATGAGTGAACTCCCATTCACAATTGCTTGAAAGAGAATAAAATACCTAGGAATCCAACTTACAAGGGATGTGAAGGACCTCTTCAAGGAGAACTACAAACCACTGTTCAATGAAATAAAGGAGGATACAAACAAATGGAAGAGCATTCCATGCTCATGGGTAGGAAGAATCAATATCGTGAAAATGGCCATACTGCCCAAGGTAATTTCTAGATTCAATGCCATCCCCATTAAGCTACCAATGACTTTCTTCACAGAATTGGAAAAAACTACTTTAAAGTTCATATGGAACCAAAAAAGAGCCCGCATCGCCAAGTCAATCCTAAGCCAAAAGAACAAAGCCGGAGGCATCACGCTACCTGACTTCAAACTATACTACAAGGCTACAGTAACCAAAACAGCATGGTACTGGTACCAAAACAGAGATATAGATCAATGGAACAGAACAGAGCCCTCAGAAATAATGCTGCATATCTACAACCATCTGATCTTTGACAAACCTGACAAAAACAAGCAATGGGGAAAGGATTCCCTATTTAATAAATGGTGCTGGGAAAACTGGCTAGCCATATGTGGAAAGCTGAAACTGGATCCCTTCCTTACACCTTATACAAAAATTAATTCAAGATGGATTAAGTTCTCTTAAATAGAAGAAGTTCACAATTACTATTAGCTCCTCCTATAGACCATATAAGCTAGTCTCTGGACCACTCCAAGGAAAAGAAGTACTGGGGCTTAGGACTTCAACATATGAATTCTGGGAAAGACACAGCTTAGTCCATTATAGGAAGTGACTGCTTAATGAGTATGAGTTCCTTTTGGGGTGAAGAAAATGTTCTGGAAATAGTAGTAATGGCTACGTAACACTATAAACATGCCAAATGCCACTTAGTTCTACACTTAAACCAGTTAAAATGGTAAATTGTATGTTGTGTGTATTTTATTAAAATAAAAAAGTCATCACCTAGTCATGTTGATTTGATCTTGGGAAATGCTTCAAATCAGAATACATCTTGCCATCTCTACCATTCTAGTCCAAGCCACCATTACTTCCTGCATGATATATGTCAATACTTTTTAACTACATTTTTGTGTCCATCTTTGCTCTGCTTCAATCTTTACTCTGCCCTAAAGGCAGATTTTTTTGTTTATTCAATTGTGTTACTCCCTGATTAAAAATTTTCAGTGGTTTCTCATTTTGTTTAAAATCAAATACAAAATTTCTGGTTGTAACTACAGGTTCATTATGCTCAGGTATTGGCCTATATATCAGCCATATTTCTTTTCCACTGATTAATTTGCTTTAGTTTCAATCCATTATCTTTTAATTTTTGAGCAATCCCGGATCATTCTCATCTCCAGGCTTTTGCATATGCTATTCTCTTCACCCCCACTATGCTGCCTTCACTTTTTACCTACCTAACATCTATCATCATTCTTAACTTAAATGTCACTTTTCAAAGAGATTTTCTGTGATTTCTTCATCTAAATTATTTTCTTTCATAGCACCCAATTTCTTTCTTCTGAATACATAGAACAACAAAAATATTAACCACTAATTTATATTTATCTGTTTATAATGTTTGTCTCTTCCACCATATTGTAAGCCCTATGATGGTAGCAACCATGTTTATTTGGTTCATGGCTATATCCACAGCATATAGCACAGCATGCACTACATAGTAGGCACTCAAAAATATTACTTGAATGAATAAATAAATGAAGAAAATGGTAGAGTTAGACTAAAAGATTTCAAAAGCTCTATCCACCTAGAGATTATGCAGTTTGTAATTAAATTACCTTATTTTCCTTAATTTTAATGATTGCTTAAAAGCTTACAAGTACTTACAATATCCCATAAATACTCTTATAGTGCTCTAGTGTGGCTCTTAAAATCTTTCAGTTAAGCACACACTATGGACCAACTCCTGCTGAAATTGGAGTTTGACTCAATAAAGAAATAAGTGGATATTAATAATAATGAAATACAATCTATAGCAGATTTAATCAATAAAATGAGAAGTTAGCCTTTGTTTTCTTTAGTAAGTGTATTAAGGAATAAAGAAAAGACTGAAGAAAATGAAGCAAGAAAAAAGATATAGCTAAGGATGGAATTAAAGAAATTTTGACAGATGGTAAAAATAACTTGCCAAAAATAATAATAAAAAACAAATGCAGGATTATCTAAGAAGGTATAAATTACTTTAAATGACTCAGAAAGAGGTAAAAGTGGAATATATAAATAACCATACTGAAGGTCTATTCTTATAAACGACATCAGCTCAAAATGATTTATAAGCCAGTTCTATTCAACCTTTAAGGAACAGATAATTACTCTGTTAAACTTTCTGAAGCATTAAAAGTGTTGAAAAACTTTAAAATTAATTCAATTGAGCTGCATAATCCTGTTAAAAAACAGAAAATAAAAGAAAAAATAAGAGGAAACTATAGTTCAGTATCATTTATAAACATAATTACAAATAAGTTAAATATTTACAAGTTAAAATTAGCATTTTTTTCAGACAATAATGTAAATGATCAAACAAGTTTTATTCTAGAAGTGTAAGAATGATGTAGCATTCGGAAATTTATTAATATAATTTACTAAATTAACAAATTAGAGACCATTATACAATTATGTTATTACAAAATGGTATTACTCATGAATCAATCCATTCTTTTAAAAATTGTATTGTTTTAAATTGCCAAATAAACATTGTACATATTCATGGGGTACATAGTGATATTTCGATACATGTAATGTATAGTGATCAGACCAGGATAAATTAGTCTATCCATCATCTCAAACATTTATTTCTTTGTAATTTCTCATTTATTATGATTAAACATTTATCATATTCTCCCTCTACCCTTCCCAGTCTCTGGTATCCTCTATTCTACTCTTTACTTCTATGATATCAACTTTTTAAGCTTCCATATATAGTGAGAACATGCAATGTTTAACTTTCGTTTGCTGGTTTATTTCACTTAACATGATGTATCTCAGTTCCATCCATGCTGCTGCAAGTGACAGAATTTCATTCTTTTTTATGTCTGAATAGTATTCCATTGTGTATATATACACCACATTTTATTTATCCATTCACCTGTTGTTGGACACTTAGATTGATTCCATATCTTGGATATTGTGAATATGACTGTGATAAACATGGGCTGCAGATGTTTCTTCAATTTAATGATTTCCTTTGCTTTGGATAAATTACCAACAATGGGGTTGCTGGATCATATGGTAGTCCCAATTGTAGTTTCTTGAGGAACCTTCATACTGGTCCTTATAGTGGCTGCACTAGCTTATATTCCCACCAACAGTGTAGAGGAATTCTCTTTCCTTTGCATCCTTGCCAGCATTTGATATTTTTTGTTTTTCTGATAATAGCCATCCTAAGTGGGGTGAGATGGTACCTCATTGTGGTTTTGATTTGCATTTCTCTGATGATTAGTGATCTTGAACATTTTTTCATGGATTTGAACCCATTTATATGTCTTCTTTTGAGAAATATCTCTTCAGATTTTTTGCCCATTTTTTTTTTCCTTTTGAGATGTTTGAGTTCTTTGCATATTCTGGATATTAATGCCCTGTCAGATAAGTAGTTTACTCCCAGTCTGTAGGTTATTGTTTCACTCTGCTGACTGTTTCCTTTGTTGTGCAGAAGCTTTTTAGTTTGATATAATCCCATTTGTTTATTTTTGCTTTTGTGGCCTGTGCTTTTAAGGTCTTATTCATAAAAGCTTTTCCCAGACCAATATCTTGAAGCATTTACCCTATGTTTTTCTAATAGTTTTTTTTTTTTATCATTTTGGGTCTTATATTGTATCTTTGATCCATTTTGAGTTGATTTTTGTATAGGTGAGAGGCGGGGGGTTCTAAATTCATTCTAGTTTTAGTCATTTATGCCAGTACCATGCTGTTATGGTTACTACAGCTTTGTAGTATATTTTACGATCTAGGTGTGGAATACCTCCAGCTTTGTTCTTTTTGCTCAAGATTGCTTTGTCTATTCAGGGTCTTTTATGGTTTCATGAAAATTTTAGGAGTTTTTTCTATGTCTGTGAAGAATGTCATTGGTATTTTGATAGGGATTACATTGAATCTGCAGATTACTTTAGGTAGTATTGTCATTTTAACAATATTAATTCTTCCAATTAATGAGCATGGGATGTCTTTCTATTTGTTTGTATACTCTCCCATTTCTTTGATGAGTGTTTTGTAGTTTTTCTTGTAGAGATTTTTCACTTCCTTGATTAAACTTATTCCCAGGTATTTTGTTTGTTTTTTCATAGCTATTGTAAATGAGATTACCTTCTTGATTTCTTTTTCAGTTACTTTATTATTCGTGTATGGAAACACTACTGATTTTTGTATGTTAATTCTGTATCCTGCAACTTTACTGAATTTGTTTATTTACCCATTCTAATAAGTTTTGGTAGAATATTTAAGTTTTTCTATATGTAAGATCAGTCATCTGCAAACAGGAATAATTTGACTTTCTCTTTTCTAATTTGGATGCCCTTTATTTCTTTCTCTTGACTAACTATTCTGGCTAGGACTTCCTCAACACCATTTTTAATGAAGTCAAGCTAAAAATAAGTAAGTTCTTCCTTAATTTAATAAAAGAAAAAGGAAAAACTTAGCAAATAGCAAACATAATACTTAATAGGGGAACATTAGTGTATTTTAATTAAAGTCTTGATCAAAATAAGGGTGCCTAATTCTATCATGACAACTGGAATGGGAGTCCTAACAAATGCAATGAGGCAAAAAGAAAAATAAGTTAGAAATATAGACCAAGAAACTAACACTTTTACTATTTGCATACAATAGAATTGTCTGAGAGAAGGAATGGAACAATATTTAGTAAAACAGGTTGATACAATGTCAAAATACAAAACTCAATCTCTTTTCTATTAACAATAAAATTTTAATTAGAAAAAATGAAAGAGAAAATAATCCAACTAAATAGCAATAAAATTATTAAATATATCCACGAATAAGCAGAAGAATGTGTAAGGTTTTTATAGGGGATATTATGTAATTTTATTGATGTACATATAATAAAGCCTGAATAAAAGCTTTAAAATATGAAAACTCAATAAAGGTGTTAATTAAACTTAAATAAATGTATAAATTAAAGAAAATCCTAATTAAAATCCCAGTATTTTTTAAAAATGAAAGTTATGAGTTTCTTTTAAAATTCTTTTGAACAAAAAAATGCAAGAATATCCTAAAAAAAATTAAGCAAGATAAACAATGGGAGCGTAAGTTGGGAAGTTTTGTTTTATACTTCTTTTTTTGTTTTGTTTTGAGACAGAGTCTCGCTCTGTCGCCCAGGCTGGAGTGCAGTGGAGTGATCTTGGCTCACTGCAAGCTCCACCTCCTGGGTTCACGCCATTCTCCTGCCTCAGCCTCCCCAGTAGCTGGGACTACAGGCACCTGCCACCGCGCCCGGCTAATTTTTTTTTTGTATTTTTAGTAGAGACCAGGTTTCACCGTGTTAGCCAGGATGGTCTCGATCTCCTGACCTCGTGATCCAGCCGCCTCAGCCTCCCAAAGTGCTGAGATTACAGGCGTGACCCACCGCGCCGGCCCTGTTTTATACTTCTTAAAAAAGACAGAATTGTGCTCTTTATTGGAGGGAAGTATTATTGGGGCAAATATTACAAGAAAACTAGGTTTAGTTTTGGAAGATGATGTTGTCTTCCTTTAGCTGGGTGAGTAATTGCTTTGCAAATCTCACTCAGTCAGGTTCTAAGTCCAACATTTGTAGAAAAAAAAAAAATAGAAAACTTCACCTTGGCCCTAGACCAAACTCATCCTCTTATACAACATACTGGAAGTTCTATATTTTGAGGGGATTACTGGACACTACTCAGCCAGTACAAAGCTCATGCTGCACATTTTTATCCTTATCAGACTCTAAGTGTTTATTATTAATTTTTGAGGAATCCAGAAAGGAAGATGGTGAGTAATCAACACTCCCATAAGGAAGTTGTTTGTGAAATCTCAAAACAAACCAAAAAGCAAAAAGACACCTGCTAATTACAAATACAAGTTTAAAATTGTACTTTAATTTAATTTCCAATATTTGAATTTCAAATTTAAATTCAAGTTTAAATATTTCGATCCTAAATTCAAATTTAATTTGAATTTTAAAATAATGGGAAGGTGGTGTGGTAAGGTAATTTGCTCTCCATTTGTGCTAAAAAATTTTATCTCTACCTCACATAAAATAACTTCCAGGTGATTATACAATCACAAAAAACTACTGACATTAAAGAAAAGTGCAAGAGATTATTTTGACAATGTGGAATGGAGGGAACCTATAAAAGCCAACAAACCTATAAAACCCAAAAGCCATTAAAAATGAATGAATTTCTCTAAATAAAAATTAATAATTTCTGCACAAGGAAAGATCCATCAACAAAGTTAAAAAACAAGCAGCAGACTGGGAGAATTTGCGGCAAACACAACAGAAAAAGTTAAGTCCTTTATTGCAGCAGTCCCCAACCTTTTTGACAGCAGATACCAGTTTTGTGGAAGGCAATTTTGTCACGGACAGGGTCGAGGATGTTTTCGGGATGATTCAAGCACATTACGCTCGTTGTTCACTTTATTTCCATTAGTATTACATTGTAATATATAATGAAATAATTATACAACTCACCATAATGTAGAATCAGTGGGAGCCATGAGCTTGTTTTTCTGCAACTAGATGGTCCCATCTTGGTCTGATGGGAGACAGTGACAGATCATCAGCCATTAGATTCTCATAAAGAGTGTGCAACCTAGATCCCTCGCATGTGCTGTTCACAATAGGGTTTCATACTCCTATGAGAATCTAAAGCCACTGCTGATCTTGCAGGAGGCAGAGGTCAGGTGGTAATGCAAGTGATGGGGAGTGGCTGTATATACAGATGAAGCTTTGCTCGCTCACCCACCACTCACCTCCTGCTGTGTGGCCTGGTTCCTAACAGGCCACGTACAGGTACCCGTCCATAGCCTGGGGGTTAGGAACCCCTACTCTAGGGGTTTCTATGGTTAAATAAGGAAAAACAAATAACCTAATAAGAAAAATGAACAAAAGTTATAAATATGAAATTCTTCAAGAAAATATAAATGACTAGCATACATTTCAAAATGTGCTTAAGTTCATTAGTATTGAGGTGAATTCAAATCGAAGTAGAAATGAGCTATCTTTCTCCATCAGTTTAGCAAAACTTAAAGAGATCGATAATGGCCAATGCTGACTGGTATGCAAACTGGTGCTCTCAAGAAGTATTCATCAGTATTTAACCTGGCTCTACATTTCTGAAGTCAATTTGACATTATCTTTCAAACTAAAGATTTATATATTATTCGACCAGAAAATCCACATTTAATATCCTTATTTTCTTCCACAATGAAGGCTTTCTTAGATACTGCCCTTGAGCGTGTGAGATCACAACTCATGTTCACGCTCAGTCCAATCAAGGATGTTCCAAGGCTCCTCCTCACATGTTCAGCTAAAGTTTCCCAATCATACTCCCAGGCAGCTAGGGGAGCAAGGGCTTCCAGTCTCAGCCCCATGGCATCACAATATTGGTATCCCTCCCCTATAACAATTTAGGCAAAAGGTCAAGAACTCAAAATAGAAATGAAGTGGGGAGAGCAGGAGTACGTATGTGAATGGTGGGTTTTGGAGCAAACTACAGAGGATGTGCCTTGGCCAAAGGAATCTATATTTATAAAAGAAATATTATTTTTAAATGTTGGTTCATTACTTTAAAACAAAGGAAATGAAATTTATGGGGAGCAAAGGAAACATAATTTGCTTCATGGGCAATTTCTTGATATCTCCTAATCAAGCCTTGCCACCAGTCCAGTATTACCTTCATTTGTGGTTAGCTTCCCCTAACTGTTCCTGCAGTCTTGACCAGCCCACACACCTTATATAGGACCATTGCAATCTATTGTAGGCTCTAAAGGCATTGAATATCTAAAAGCAAACTGTCTCATCATGGTTTCTTTTCCTAGAGGGCTCCTTGACTCCTCTGCAGATGTACAAACCTCTTCTCTAGTGTCAAGTCTGTATGCCAAGGGAATGGGGGTGATGGTGAACAGCATTAAGCTACTAAAGCTCCAAGCACTCTTCCTTTTGACAAAGGTGCCCACTTATCTTTTCATTACAAAGTCACTTAAGTGACTCTTCCCAGAACACTGTAAATTTGCTACAACTTCACTTCTCTCTCTAGAAAGAGATGCATCTGATAAGTCCTGCATTGGAAAAAATTAAACTTCTGTGTTCTAATCCCCCAGTCACATGAAGACTAGTAGGAAAGCTATATATATCAAGAAATGCGGACAAATACCAAATACAACATGTGTTCTGCCTTCTTACAGAGAAAGGGTTAAGGAACCACACCTCCAACTTAGAGGCCAAGGTTACTTTATTCAGTTAGGAGAGGAGGCACTGTTTTCATAGAGTAACGAACCACAGTTTTTCTGCCCCACAGAATTCTAATGCTGTCAAGTATGGTAAGACAGATGATCCTATGTAAAATGATATTTTACAAAGCAAAACAGATATAACTCAGTAACTGTGCATCTAATTGACTTAATTGCCTCATTTATCACATGACTTAAGTGAGCTGATGTTTTCTACTCTGCTTCACCCATGTAATTCTTGAAATATAAGAGCCAAGACATGGTGCCAGGCATGAGCGAGAAATCCTCTCTCCTGAGAAAAGATATCACTGGAATGATGTTGGCTTTGGATTCCAGTTTATTGAAAAATCAATGTCCATTTGTGCGACCAACACATATGGCTTTCTTCCAGGCTGATGATGGCTTTGGGAGGCTGGCAATCACCTAATGAAGTCAGATCAGCTTACCCGGCACCTGAATTGCAGTTGGCAAAGTGACTTTGTCATTAAAACCCAGTTTATCATTCCTGTTGGTGTTGTTCTTCCCACTTCACCCCCTCCTCTCCATTTCTCCAGAAGCCACAGTATTGTTTTTCTCTTATGCAGATAACAGACCAATGGCTCCAATTTTTAACATTTCAAAGGGACTCATGTGATGTTTGGTGCTCAAAGGATAAACAACTTTTTTATATGTCTGTGTCTTTTATGGGTTAGAGAAGTACATAAATACATATATATACATACGTACATGTATATACACACGTATATATACACTCAAGACTGAGTAGGACTACACACATATGTATGTAGTGCTACTCAGTCTTGAGTCAAAATAGATGATTTTAAAAGTCAGAGCCAGGTTTGTAACAGGCTTAATTGAAATTCATCAGTTTAGCTGTCTTGAGTAAATCAGCAAGGCTAACTTTGTCTAATGTGTTCATCCATACATTTCTATAAACAGAATCCAGCTCACATTTTACATATGGCTTTAAAAAATTTATCACTAAAGTAATACCATTTTCCCATTATTAAATGGAGTGGCAATCTAAATTACAATACTGTTTTTTTTTGTTTGTTTTTTTTTAGTCCCCCAGTGTTCTCTTCCCCTGGAGAATGCCATCAGAGTGATAGTCATTGGCAACAGAAGCTCTGGCAAGGCAGGTTTTTTGTTTTTTTTTCTCTCCCTGAAATCTGCCAAGAGTAACAAATAATTCTGTCAGAAAGTGAGCGGTGGCTCAAGCCTGTAATCCCAGCACTTTGGGAGGCCGAGGCGGGCAGATCACGAGGTCAGGAGATCAAGACTATCCTGGATAACACGCTGAAACCCCGTCTCTACTAAAAAAATAAAAAATAAAAAATTAGCCGGGCATGGTGGCAGGCGCCTGTAGCCCCAGCTACTCAGGAGGCTGAGGCAGGAGAATGGCTGAACCCGGGAGGCGGAGGTTGCAGTGAGCTGAGATTGTGCCATTGCACTCCAGCCTGGGCGACAGAGCAAGACTTCATCTCAAAAAAAATAAAAAATAATAATAATAATAAAGTGCCAGCTCAGCCATGAAGCATGGTTGCTGGGTTCATATTTGGTTCCATCATGTGAAGACTTCTTTTTGCAAGGATAGCAGGAGCTCACAAAGTTAATGAGAGGATAGAGAACCAGGCATGGAGGCTGGGTTTAAACCAAGACACTTCTATGCCAAGAGGGAAGAATCCAAAATCTTTTAGTCCAAACAGACTGGTCTAGAGCTACTGCTTTACAAAGGACATGGAGGCTGCTTCTGTTGCTGCTATGAAAGAATCTAAACGGTTTCTTTTGTCTCTGTTTCTTGCTGAAGAGTCACAGTCCCATGTTGGCCGGGCCTGGGACATTTGCTTCCCTTCTGGCTGGTGGTGCTCCAAAGAGAAAGGATGTGATCTCTTTGGTTTCTTCCCACAAGGAAAAGGTAGTTGTTGGGAACCTGCCCCGTATGATGAAAGTCATCTGCAGTCAGACGAGCAGCACCTAAACCGGGAGCTTGTGAAAGAAAACTGCCAGTGGGTTTCTGAAGGGTTCAACATGTGCCTGAAGTGCCCAGAACATGTGATCAAAACAAGGAACTGAAAGCAACAGTGAGTATATGGTCATTTGTGTTCAGCATTCCCATAGAGTTGAAATCTAAAACAAAGATCTGAAGTTCGCAATGACTTCAGCAGATCTGAACTGATAAGTATTATAAACTGGAAATGTTCATTGGCAATTTGAAGGATTCAAGCTCCCTGCAATCTTGATGAGTGAAAGAATGAAGTCTACTGAGAGTGATGCAATAATGAAACATGCAAAATAGTTTCTTAGGAAGCATAATAAACAGGCAACCAAGGGATAGGGAAATAATCTAGTTGGGAAGTAAAGTCTATTGTAAAAATCTCAAGGTTAGGAGGAAATATAGACAGGACATAAATTCACAGTGTTCTACAGTTGTAGTAAGGCATATCACCAAATGGATATAGGAGACATAAACATCATTCCAATATATATATGGAAATTGCTCTTTTTACATAGTACTTTATCACACAATTAATTTGTTTTTCCCATGCAGTCCTTGTTTATAGCAATATGTTGATTCTGGGCAACAGATTTTTTTTAAAACTCTCAAGTGGGAGAAATAAGAGAGAGGGAGAGGAATATACGTTGAGTGAATGTTCAAATAATGTTCCAGGCATTTTTTCATGTCTTATAGTTTAATTCTTACAAGAGACCTTCCATGTAGCTGTGAGCTGCTCACATTCCAGATAATAAAGCTGAGATTCAGAGAGGTGTATGAGATTTGTCTAAGGTCACATAAAGCAGAAACCGATTTTTGTGCATGTGTATGTAAAGAGTTGCATGAAGTCATAGTCAGGATCACACTATCTGCTGCCCAGTCTGACTTCTGGCTCATCACTTCAGTAAAACAACACTAGCAAAGGTTAACAGAAATTTCCAGGTGATGAAATTCAGTGGATATTTTTCAGTCCTCAACATCTAACTTCAGGCTCAGAAGCATCTCACTCATGATACAATTTTCTCCTTCTTGAAACCTGTCTTCTACAGGGTGTCACATGTGAGTGGTTATCTTTTTCCTTCACCAACCAATCCCATTTTGTTCTCTTTCCAGTGTTAACCACCCCTTACTGGCATTCCTCTCTTCTTATTCTTTTTGCTATTTCTGGATGATCTTATACAGGCCCACATTTAATAACCAATGAGAAGCAGATATCTTAATGAATGCATTCTAGACCAGACCTGCAACTTTTAAGTCCAGTCTAATCTACAAAATGACCTATATGATACCACTTTTCAGAATATCAATAGTACTCTGAAATTAAAATGTTAAAACTGAGCTTATAATTTGCCCCAGCCTGCAAAAAACCCCCAACCAATCAACAAAAACAAACAAACAAATAAATAAATGCATGCTTGATCTTTTCCAGCATCTTCTGTCACAATGAATGGTACCACCATGAATCACATTTGCAATTTTATACTTATTTGCATGATAATTGCCTGTTAGTCAAAATGTTAATATTGCATCTCCAATCTGCTGCAGCCCTATTCAAAACAGTGGGAAAATACCTGTGAACTAGACAGGCAGTAATCCTATTGTCAAGGATTATACAATCTAGGAAGGGAACACAGTAAAAAATAAAGAGGGCAAATGCAGTAGAGTGTGGCAGAGAGGGCTGCTTTAGCTAGGAAGTTACCAAATAATTTGAGACTTGGATGATGAAATGAGGCAGCCACATGACTCTGTGAAGGAAGAATGTTCCAAGGAGGAGGAGCAGCAATTGTAAAGGTGCTGAGATGAAGATAAGTTGTATTTGTCATAAGAGCTACACATAAGCCGGTATGGCTGGAGTATTATATAAAAGGATAGTGAAGGGAGATAGGGTCAGAAAATTCTGTAAGACAAGGACATTCACATCAGATCTTTGGAGTAAGAAAGAAGTAAAATAACAACAAAAAAGAAAGCTGAGTTAGCAGTTGAAGGAAAAGTTACATTTACTTTAAAAAGTTAAACCATGAAAGAGTTTCAGATAATGGAAGTGGCCTGGCATACACTCAATCTCCGTATCTACTTTCATACTGTCCCCTTTTCAAGGATAATTGGAGGCAAGACATGGAGGCCCTTTAACTGATGTCTCTAAAGTCACTCCATGATGAAAGGGCAAAAACGGATGAGTTCAGAAAATTGTGAGAAGACTGGAAACGTCAGCTAATACATTCCTTGTATACAAAAGATTGAGCATAGAAATTCTACTGACATCTAATTGTTGGCATGTGCAAGCTAAGTGTTACCAAATGCCTTCCTAAATAGGTACGGGGTGGTGTGGAAAGAAATGTTTCTCTGTTGACTAAATGGTGAAAGCAGCAACCTATTCACTGAATTATCCTTAGAGGCTGAATGCTAATTGATTTTATGTGCATGTCAAGAAGTCAATCAATGGCAGGCATGCAGCAAAATAGCAGAGTAAAGAATAATACACGAAGCAGATTCCAGTTAAATATGGAAAGCATCTAATCTTATCCCTGGAAATGTCTACTTTAATGACCACGTAGCTGTTCTTTTTGCCAGTTTGGCATCTATAAACTTCAGCAGAGTCTCCTCAATTTCATTCTGAACATTTATAGATGCACATATATTCTTTCAAAAGGAAACCAACATTGTAACATCATAACCTTTAAACATTTTATTTGTATAAATTTATGAGGTACAAGTGCAATTTTGTTACATGCATAGAATGTATAGTGGTGAAGTCAGGGCTTTTAGCTTATCCATCACCTGAACAATATACATTGCACTCATCAAGTAATTAAAGTGAAACTCGTGTCATGTGAAATTGACCACTTTAAAGTGTACAATCAATGGCATTTAGTACATTCACAATGTTGTGCAACCACTACCTCTATCTAGTTCCAAAAGGTGTAAGCAACCCAATGTCTATCAATAGATGAATAAACAAGTGTGATATGCCTGTAAAGTTGAATAGTATTCAGCCATAAAAAGATATGATACTGATACATGCTGTGACATAGTACTGATACATGCTGCGATGTGGACAAACATTGAAAACATGCTGAGTGAAAAAAAACCCAGATACAAAAGGTCACATATTGTATAATTTCATTTATATGAAATATCCATAATAGGCAAATCCATAGAAACTTCATAAGTTTTTATATGAAGAATGATGCTGAATTCTCCTTTAAGAACTGTGAACTTTTGTGAATGTAGGAGCTGCACCTTATTCATCTGTCTCCTCAGCTCTCAGTATACAGTTCCTGACACAGAAAGAGAAGGCTCGCTGTATTGCCAAGGTTCTTATCAGAGAAGTGGAACCAACAAGATACATGCATACATACATACACATATACCTATATGCACATACATATACATGAATGTTTATAGAGATTTATTATAAGGATTTGACCGTACACAACTATGGAAGAGGAGAAACAGTGTATGTGAAGTTTAGTTCCTGAACTTGGTGCTGGGACATGATGCCCACAGGCAGGTGGCTGGGAAGAGAACATAGTTGTGGAGTGGGCGAAGCAAAGACAAACTGGAAGCTGAATTTGAGCTGGAGCCCTCAAAAATGAACTAGAACCCACAAGCATTCCCCTTTGCCTTCAAGTTTCCAACTTTCATGATGAGAGTTTTCTGCAGGAATAGCTGGTGCCCCTTTGTCAGGAAGCTAACCACACGCTGGGCCAGGAGTCAGAGAAGATGCAGCAGGATCTGGATGAGTTGGGGGCCTGGCTGCTCCACTCTCCAGCCAGGAAGCCAAGAGGTCAGCACCAGCTGGCATGAGCTGCAACAGCAACAGTGCTTTGTGCTGCACCAATCTTCTCAGTACCAGAAGTAGATAGCTGGGATTTTACTTCTGCTTCTTCATCTGGGCTTGAACTGATCACATGAGGAAAAAAAGGTGGATGTGGGAAATGAAATTCCAGTTTAGCTAAATTAATGCAATGCAAATTTCGAACACCAAGGAGATTCGTAGAAGAAGTTAGTAAGGAGGTGTAAGAAGCAGCATTTTGGCAAGCACTTGGGTACTTACCTTGCCTATAGAGTGTGTGAGAAGTATTTTGCAAGGACCTTATATAGACCAGAAAATGGATTGGACATTTTACCAGCATTCTTATTTCACTATATCTTCACAATGACTCTATGTCATAGTTACAATTTTTATTACCATAACAAAAATGAAGCAGGGAGGCACAATATGCAGGTAAGTCGTGATCCACCCTTAGCCTAGGTAGCAAGTAGCTGAGCCAGGAAACTGAATTTAGATCTAGCCCATTACAAAGCCCATGCCCTATCCACTGTAGCACACTACACCCCACCTTGATCTTCTCCCAATTTGTGTATAGTGAAGTTTTCTGCTTCTCTTGTTTCCATCTTCCTCCCTTTCTAAGGAACTAAAAAAAGGGGGAAGGGGCAGCATGGGCATACTTTTCTTCCCCTGTAACTGATATATAGATGACCCAGCTGTGAAATTTGTACTTTTTCAGTGATGCCCATCAGAAATGATAGGAAGCTCAGCATCAGAAAATGGGGTCTTCTCTTTTTTCACTCTTAGGAGTGAATTATTCTCTTCCTTCTGGTGCCTGTGCTCTGCCCTCTGCTGTTAAATCCACTTTTATCACCTACTCCGAATAATCTACCCTGAAGCTATGGACAAGTCAAATTCTGAGACAGAATTTATTCACTTGTTTGTTGAATCTCACAAATTTCCATCAAAAAGTATGACATTTTCCAATGACAAAATGCTTGACAGTATCACAAAAAGTCTTCATATGTAACTTATATAGCCAAGGATGTAGATCAATAAACTGTATACATTATTTGCCTAAGATGAGGCATTAAAGTGGTAATAGCTAATATTTTCCAGCACTTACTCTGCAAATGGTTCTGAGACAAAAGTTTTATATGAATTATTTTCTTAATCTAAATGAATACCTAATGGAAGAGGTAATTATACATTTCTATATTGCAAATGAAAAATCTGAGGCTTAGAGAAGTTAAAAAACTTGTTCAAAGGGTAGTGAGCTAATCAGATCTGTTTGATCTCAAAGCACTTGGTCTGCATGTTCATGAGATGCCATTTGAAACTCATTAGCAAATTATTGCTATTATTTAATGAATATCCACTGAGTGCCTGCTAGGTGTGCAAATAGCGGTAGCAAATTGAAACACCATGGTGCGGCATAAAATGAGAAATATAATTACAATCGTATTTTTTGTCTTCTAATAACTCTCTTCAAAGTCAGTTTCTGAAAGACATACTGTAGTAACATTTGGCAGATGAAAGCACAGTCTTTGAAGGATCTATCCCAAAAGGATGGGAATGCAGTAATTCCCTCCAAACCCCTGCTCTCCAAAGATGTTAAAATTGCTCATTTTAATAGACAGCAATTAAGTAAATCTCACAACTGCAAATATAATTGACAAAATTTATTCAGTTTCAGCTTTTTGAATGCACAATTTGTGTACACAAAACAAACTAGTAAATAACAGGCCTTATTTGTGTTCATTTTATCTTTTCATTACTATACGTTGTGAAGATAGGGACCTCTACAATGGAAGAATCTAACTTAAGGTAGCAAAATGCTCATGAAGATTTCTGCGGCTAGTCCAGCAGATTCCGTCTTCACCTACTTTAGATTTTACTTTTGCTGCTGGTGCTGTCATTTCCACTGTCCCTAAAGTTCTTGTTTTCCTTTTCATCTTTGATCTTTAATGTGTCCACAGTAGAAAGGCTGTGGAACTGGATTAGAATGGGAAAGGAGACCAGGCCACGGTGATCTTCTAGAAGATCATCTGTCTCATTTTCCCACACTGCACACTGGATTCCTAACTGCAATGGTCAGTGGATGTCCACTTGGTCTAGGGTTTTACTAGGATTCTTTAACCCAGAGCTTCAACAGAGCTCTGTGACAAAGGAGTCACAGATGACTCCTCCATAACACAGGATGAGAACTATGGTTTGGCATAAATTTTAACTTATGCTAGTTATGTGGCTATTGAATTATATATGACAGGCAAATGGGTTCTGATATAAGCTTCAATTCCTCCTTTAAAACATTTATTTTATTTTATGTTTTTGGAGACAGGGTCTCGCTCTGTCATCCAGGCTGAGGGCAGTGGCATGATCATGGCTCACTGCAGCCTTGACCTCCTGGGCTCAAGCAACCCTCCCCTCCTCAGTCTCCTATGTAGCTGGGACCACAGGCTCATGCCACCACACCTGGATAATTTTTTATTTTTTGTAGAGACAGAGTCTCATTATGTTGTCCAGGCTGGTCTCATACACCTGGCCTCAAGAGATCCTTTCAAAACGCTGGGATTGCAGACATGAGCCACCATCCCCAGCCAATTCCTTCTTACTATGTGAATTAATTTGGCTGGGTATGGCTCAGAAGTAATCTTTCATAATGTTTGGGGATTTGTTTGTTTGTTTTTTTCTTTGTATGAGGTCTACTGATCCTCTTTATTTGCGTTTGTTTTGTTTTGTGATGATGTTACCCGTAGTCTCTTCTTATTTTGCAAGTTTTTTCAAAGTATACTATATCAACTGAGTTGCTTAAAGGGAAATTACTTTCTTCAATCTTTCTCAAGATGACCTACTACTGATCACCCTTTACCCTGAGTGCCTGCCCTGAGTGCCTGGACTCTGTGTCTCTTGTTCATGTGGTTTTTTTTCCTCCTTAATCACGAAAGTCTGTGTCCTGCCTGTGCTGTGGCAATACTTTCCCTGTATGGAATGGCTGCTATGTATTATCTCTCACTTTCACAGTAATCTTTCAGAATGGTATAATCATTTCCATTTCATTTTACAAATAAAATAAAATACTAAGGCTCAGAGAAATTCAGTTACTTTTATAAGGTCACACAATCAAGATTAAAATCTGTTTGACTTTCAAGCTCAGAGTAACTGAAAGGGTGCTTTATCCATTTCCAAATTTAGTGAGAAAATTAACTATTAGACTGGATAGAAATATATAATCACTGTGAGGCATAAGGCTTGGGTTCAAGCCCTGCTTCCATCTTTACTATATGCTTAATTATAAATAAGTTACTTGAACTCTCTAGGAAACAGTTTCCTCAGCTGTAGAATGGACATAATTACGTTATTTAATTCTCTGGTATATCATGAGGACTAAATGCAATACCACCTGTGGTATGCTTAGGACAGTGGATGGCATGTAGGAAGATTTCAATAAATGCTAGCTGCCATTACTATTGTTGTTACTGTTATTTCCTATCCAAAATGTAGCCTTCTATTACACAGAAACATGGTTATCATATTTACTCAGAAACATCAGTGGAAGTCCTTCATGACTGTAGGAGTTCAGAGGTTTGAGTGTTTAACCATTTCATACCCTCTGTCACATAGGGCCATATCTATGCTGCAAAGGAAGAAAATATTTTTAAAATTAGTGCTTTCCAAACTATGGTAATATTACCACTTTTTTTTTCCTGTACTGACTCTGTTCTTAAATACGAAGTAAAATGTTCACCAAATACTAAACAATGCCTAAAGTAGCCTCATTCTATAAATCCCTATTCATGGAAAACAATCTTGGCTTGGCTTTGGTGTCTGTAAATGTGAGGATTAGACTCCCTGGAAAAGCTGACCAGACAGCAGTTAACAAATAACCCTCCAGCAAGAATAATTCCCGGATGAGCTGGGCAAGATCAGGGCTCTCACTTCCCATAAATCTTTGACCAGGCATTGCCCTTCTTTCTGGGAACTACCATCATTGCTTTCCCTCCCCTCCCCTCCCCTCTTGTACCCTTCCCTCCCCTCCCTCTTTTCCTTCCTTCCTTCCTTCCTTCCTTCCTTCCTTCCTTCCTCCCTCCCTCCCTCCCTCCCTCCCTCTCTCCCTCCCTCCTTCTCTCCCTCCCTTCCTACTAAGGAATTAAAGCAGACATCAAAACCAAATTATAGGACTAAACATTTTGTATGCCAGTGTCTGTAACACTATGTGTGCTATGTGTATGTATGTAAACTTGAAAAGTTAGGATCTCAAGGGCAGGGACTGTGTGTGGTCCTACTCTCGACCATGCCTAAAACACTGAGAGGTCACACTCTATGCCATGGCCACAGAGTAACTGAGGTGGGTTCTGTTCTCAAAACAAGCAAACAAGTAAACATTATCAGGAGTTAATCTCACACTTGGTGTTCTATGACATTGGCCAGAATACCTCAGATATATTTGGGGAACAATTATATTGAAATAATAGACATAAAGGTAATGAAACACTGGGCCTCCTGTTCTACTGTTAAGGATGATCTCTGCAAAATGAGGAGAAGGAAGCCTGGGTGACTTAATCAACACTCCCTTCTGCTTTGCTGTACAATGCCTATTAGATGCACAGTGGTCTTAAGCACTTAAAATATTGAGGTTGATCCTAAACTGTCCTTCTGGAATTGGGTATTCTCTGGGGTTTATCTATACTAGAACATTGCTCACCTTAGTGAGGTGAGTCAGCCTTTCCCAGTTCTCTATATAGCTTATTAATTGAGCTGTCCCTCTGCCAGTGGTTTCCAAACACAGGTCTATGACAAGATTTCACTGGTGTGAGGTAAAGTGAAAATAATAAGCATAACATAGAGACTTTTTCTTATGGCTAAATTTATTCAATTGAAAGCAAGACCATTTACTCTGAGATTATGTAATTCCTATATTTTGTGACAAAGAGGACTTTCTTTTATGAAAGGATCTGCATAAGAGAAGCTTCAGAAAACCACGGTTTTAAAGTATGGGAAATGGATAAACTGCTCTAGGCCATAAATGGTGTGTGTGTGTGTGTGTGTGTGTGTGTGTGTGTGTGTTCATTGTGGGGCACCCACGTCAAGGGACCATGTGACTGGACAGTCCCTAAAGGAAGCTTCTAATAAGAAACTCAGTGGGGGGATGTTAGCACCACTCAGATAGATGCTAATGCAGAGGGGTTATTCCACACTTAGAAGGGAAAGCTATTCTACACTTACAGAAAAGCCTTTAATTGTCACATTGCCTATTGCTGTTTTGGGATGTATTTTCTTTCTCTGGGCTGCTCTTGGTGTACTTTAACATTCAATTTCACCGAAATAAAATTGTGCCCTAGGAATGGCCTTGATGAGCATCCAACGACTAAAAGAGAATATGAAAAGAAAACAGTGTGATGGTGTTCCTAATAATGGTGATATATTAAAGGTACATTATGGCTCAAGTTTTCTAGAACACAGAGTGCATGGCCAGTGTTGATCAACACTGCTTTACTGAGAAGTGCAATCAGATAGCAAAATAAAGGAGAGAAAAATAAGTATTTCATATACATGGGGCATTTAATCATCTTAATCAAAATGAAGTGAATTCGTGATGTAGTTGAAATTCTGAGAAGCTGCTTTAAAATGCCATTTTTGGATGTCATTAGTGTTTATGAGAAGTGAGTGACTGTGCTCAGGAGGGTAAATGACTGGCCCAGGTTTACACAGCTGGAGCATGGCAGAGCCAATCTCAAAATCAGGCTAAACTCCTGAGCTAATGGGCTTTTATCATTCCTGCAGATTAGTGATACAGAGCTTTTTGAGGAGTATCTGGAACAAGGATTATTATTCTCATTTTGGAGAAAAAGGAAATAGATGCATTGAGGAATCTAGTAATCACTCTAAAAACAAACTAGCAAATCAAATCCAGCAATGTGTAAAGAGAATTATACACCTTGACCAAGTGGGATTTATTCCAGATGTGCAAGGTTGAGTCAACATTTGAAAATCAATTAATGTAATCTATGGCATCAACAGACTAAAGAAAAAAATACGTAATCACAATAAATGCAGAATAAGCATTTGACAAAATCCAACACCCATTCATGACTTAAAAAAAAAAAAAAAACAACTCTCTACAAGCTAGGAATAGAGAATTTCTCCAACTTGATAAAGAACATCTGTAAAAACCCCACTGCTAACACCATACTCAATAGTTATAAACTGGGAGATTTCCTGCTGAGATCAGGAAGAAGGCAATCCTGGTTCACTCTTCCTTTTCAACATCATACTGAAAATCCTAGCTAATGCAATAAGGCAAGAAAAAGAAATAAGGTTTACAGATTGGGAAGGAAGAAATAAATTGCCTTTGTTTACAGATGGCATGATTGTCCATCTGATTTAACAAAATCTGATTTAACAAAAGAAACTTCCTGGAACTAACAAGCAATTACAGAAAGATTGTAGTATACAAGAATAACATACAAAGGTCAATTGCTTTCCTATATACCAGCAATGAACAACTGTAAATTGAAATTAAAAGCACAATATCATTTAAAATAGCACACCCCAAAATGAAATACTTAGGCAAAACTGTAACAAAATATAAACAAAATCTATGTGAGGAAAACTGCAAAACTCTGATGCAAGAAATCAAAAAAGAACTAAATAAACAGAGAAATTTATGTTCATGTAAAGAGTCAGTATTGTCAAGATGTCAAGATTGTCAAGATGTCTTTTCTCCCCAAATTGATCTATAGATTCAATGCAATCTCCATAAAAATCCCAAGAAGCGATTTTGTGGATATTGAGAAATTGTTTCTAAAGTTAATATGGAGTGGTAAAAAAATCCATAATAAACGACAACATTTTGAAGAAGACAAAGTTGGGCAGTTAACACTACCCAACATTAAGCTTTACTATAAAGGCACAGTAATCAAGATCATATGGTTGGTATTGGCAAAAGAATAGGGAAATAGGCCAGGCATGGTGGCTCATGCTGGCAATCCCAGCACTTTGGGAGGATGAGGTGGGCGGATCATGAGGTCAGGAGTTTGAGACCTGCCTGGCCAACGTAGTGAAACCCTATCTCTACTAAAAATACAAAAAATTAGCCAGGTGTGGTGGTGGGCACCTGTAATCCCAGCTGCTTGGAAGGCTGAGGCAAGGAGAATTGCTTGAACCTGGGAGGCGGAGGTTGCAGTGAGCCGAGATTGAGCCACTGCACTCCAGCCCTGGCGACGGTGTGAGACTCCATCTAAAAAAAAAAAAAAAAAAAGAAAGAAAAGCCTCAAAATAAACCAACACAAATTTGGTGAGCTGATCTTGACAAAGGAGGAAAGGAAAAAAAAATGCAGCAGCAAAGGTAGCCAATGGTTCTGGAGAGCTGGCCATCCACATGCAAACAAATGAATCTGGATACACATCTTACACCCTTCACAAAAATTAATTCGAAATGGATCATAGACCTATATGTAAAACACAAAACTGTAAAACACTAAGAACATAGACTAGGAGAGAAATTTTTTTTATTTTACTTTAAGTTTTAAGGTACATGTGCACAACATGCATGTTTGTTACATATGTATACATGTGCCATGTTGGTGTGCTGTACCCATTAACTGGTCATTTAACATTAGGTATATCTCTTCATGCTATCCCTCCCCCCTCCCCCCACCTCACAACTTAGATTTGATGACGACTTTTTAGATACTATATCAAAAAGACAATCCATGAAATAACTTATTGGTAAGCACGTTTTTTCTGTGAATCTAAAACTATTCTAAAAATAAAGCCTGTTAAAAAACTCAGGTAATAAACAGTGAGTGGGTAGGAATTTTGTTAAAAAAAAAAAAAGAAGCAGAAGAATAAGAAAAAGAAAAAGAGTATCAGATCCCTAGAGAGAGCACTGGAAGGGGTCATGGAGAGTTGATTCTAGACCTTGCTCTGCAGCTAGTCAGCAGTGTATTTCCTTGGGAAAGGAATAATCCCTCTAGGCTTCATTCCTCATGTACAAAACGAAGCAGGTGGAATACGTGATCTCTAAAGTTCCTATGTCCCTCCCAATGCTCAGTTTTGGAACAAAGCAATCAAGGCTACCCTTAAGGAAGTTCATATAGGATTTAAGGGGATCTGAACAGATCCTCTTATCCCAAATTATCATCTTCACTACCTGATGTGCCCAGTATTAGAGATTCACTTTTTTGTTGTTGTTGTAACGTACATTTCCTTGAGTATATTAAGATGAAGATCAACCCCAGCCCTAACTCTGCTTCTCAATACAGTTGCCCTTAGGAACTGTTGTATCTAAAGGCATAAGGTTAACTAGGGTGTATTTTGTCAGGGAAGAGGAATCAAAGTAAAATCTGGTATATGTATCAAGTGTTTGAAACATTTAAGTAAATGAATGGATGAGTCAATAATTGTAAAGAAGAAGGGTGTAAAGATAAGAGAGCTACAGATGTACAGAACTGCATTAGGGTCATAGAAGGAGGGATGAACCCTAAAAAAAGAGAAGCTCCAAAGATAGATTTGCCTGTTTCATACTTATGCCTGTGGCTAGCCCTGAGGCCTTATTACTCACCTCTTCTTGTCAATCATTCATTTATTGAGCACCTACTACATGCCAGAAACTGTACTCAGCATCTGCGGTCAATGGCAAGTAAACAGAGGGAATGAATCTCTTTCTCAGAGCTATTTGCCTGGCTCCTTGCTAAATGCCCTTACGGCAGGGTAGATACCAGGATTTTTGCTAACTTTCCAACTCTTGACATCCTTCTGTACTCATACCAAACTCAAGAAAGAGTTCAAATGCCCCTTTCATCTAACTTCCCAATCTTCATTGCTTTGAAGGCTAGCAGAAGTAAAACTTTTCCTTGGTTCCCCTACTGTGAATAAATGCTGCCCCCTTCTGGAATATTGGCAGAAGTATAAGGAACTGACAGCAGTGAAAATTCTTACAGTTCATGGAAAATTAGGGTTAGAAAAGACTTTAGTTAAGTCTCATTGTTTTATCCATGGGAAGTTTGATGCTTGGAAAGGTCAACTTGCCTGTTTATATCTTGGAAGAGAAGAGAGTTAGTAATAACAAGGAATGCAAGAGGGGACTGAAACCTATGCTTTCTATTAGGTTTCCTCCTTTCAAGTTTACTAGACTGGGGACAGGGTTATAGATATTTTCATTGTTCCTATGCATGTGTTTATCTACACATTTCCCCTCATTTTTCATCCTATTCATCCCATGCTTTCATCTCTTTCCTATTTCCTGTTTTATAGTGTAGCGATAGGCAGGCTCACCTTGAGAACCCAATGCAGGTTAAGAGCGGTCTCAAGCAGTGCCTCTGTCCATGCACTTGTGTGTCTTCTAACTTTTTATCGATTTGTGATATCTTTTATAGATTTCTGGGGAAGGATGTGTAAAAGTACACTCTTTATTTATAAATTTAGGTCTACAGGAACAGATCTACCATTATCTTATCTTCCACTCATTCATTCAGTAAAAATATATTGACCATCTACTTTGTGTTATATGTTGTGAATACAAAAACAAAAAAGACAAAGTCTCTGTTCCCTAGGAGTTATCACTTATTGGAGAAGACAGAAAAGTAAACACATGATCAGAGGCAGCAGCATGGCAAAAGCCCTCCAAGAGGAACTGTCAGAACATAGATGGAGGCATCAAACTCAGACTGAAGGAGGGAGGGAGGTTACCTGCAGGAGGTGGTGTCTTACCTTCCAGGTGTCTGAGGATTATGTGTAAAATAAAGGGGAGTACAAGTGTCAAACTGTCAGCAAAGTTTTCTAACATGCCTGTTCCATGCTTTAACCCTTGAGAGGCCTCAGAGATTTGTAAATCTCAAAGTGAAAAATATCTGCTTAGTGATCACTGAAATTCAAGGATATAAACATCCGATATAATGTATGAGGGCAAATTTTACATGTCAAATCACTTAGAAACATCACTTTTAGTAAAATCATGATAGCATCGAATTTTCTTTTCATCTACTTCTGTAATTGATATTAACATATTTATACAGCCCAAATTAGTCCCACGGTTTGTAAAACCCTTTTCTTTACTGAGTATCTGTGTCAGCTTGTGATTAGCAGACTCTATAGGGTGTCTAATAAAGAAAAAGACAACATAAAACTGGAAAAAGACCTAAAAGTGTGATGGAAGTCAACGAACTTGATGCTTGCAAAATGTTCTGAGAAGGAAGGTTATTTATCTGTGTTAACAACGCCTTGAAGTCTGTTTTAGTGTGTTGTAGTGGAATGCAGATTTAATTCAGAGAAATGTGATTAGGAGAGAAAAAGGAGTTGTTAATTCCTGGATGGATCTTGGGCAAGTCATTTAATCCCAAGTCTCAGACACAGGGCTACCTCTAGCCCATATGGTTCTTATATACAAATTAGGAAAAGGCTCCCCTGTCTTTGTGGGTGTAGCCCAGCTGGCACTAGGCTTGATGAACAGAATGTGGGATGGATCTCAGCCTTCTCTTACTCCTTAGTTGTGTCTCTTTCTGTAATGAATAACCTCCTCAAGCAGATGTAGATGCCCTGGCCAGAAATCTTAACAGTAAAATGGAGCTCGTACATCTTTTATGTACCTTACAAGGTGGCTGCAGGAGTCTTATGAAAAAAAAAGTATATACATAACACACATGAGTTGTATTATACCAAATCTAATGCTCCATATTTGGAAGAAGGAGTTCAGTGAGAGTGTTGTATCAACAATCACAGATACTCTCATTAGAGATGCTCACAAGAGAACTTACAGTTTCTAATTAGACACCTGCTGCAAATGTCATTCAGGATGGCCTGAGGATGTTCATGTTCTGTGGAGTACAGCAACTCTGATTTCTTGGAAGGATTCTTTTGCTATCAAAATTCCAAACAGCAGAGCCCCAGCCACTTCAGAGAATTCTGAATCCTGTTGCCTAAATTAACAGGTGGCTGTAGGCAGAGGACTGTGTTGGCAGCCAATGGCCGCAGGTGCTGAGAGCCACCATTGATCTACTAAGCACACCAGAGGCACAGCTAAGCACAGTCTCATCTTTCTTTTGCATTGCATTGCATCCCAAATATTTGCTATTTTTTTCTAGAAGAATTAGCTCAACACGTATCTGTTTTAAAAATATTTCTAATAACTACGTTTTAGGTTTTATGGTTCCATTTAATTTATAAAAATTCAAATTACTGTGGTAAAGCAATTAAGTTTTCATTCTTTAAACCAAAATGGGAGGATGTACTCTGATTTTATACCTATGACACACACTCAAACATACTAGGCATGCTTCCTCATAGGGTCTTTGAACTTATGATGTATCTATAATACCTGGAATGCTCTTCCCTGCATATCTACACAAATAGCTCATCACCTCTTTTAAGTCTTGGAGGTTTGGTTTAATAATGTCAATGTACAGTAAATGTTTATTGAATTGAATTGCACATTGAAGGTGGTGGGAATCATTGACCCTTAATAGGTTATTTTGGACCTATTACTTTTTGAAAATTACTTAAAAATCTCTCTATATAATTATCCTTCTATTTAAAGCTGATGTTTATTACATTCCATTATTCATAAGTAGCTTTAAACAGGATTATCCATATTTTTTCCAAGTGTTTCTGCTCTTTAGTAATCTGACAGACAAGCCAACTCCTATGTTTAACATTAGCTTCTAGAATTACAAGGGGTGTGTGTGTGTGTGTGTGTGTGTGTGTGTGTGTATGCAAGCACATGCATGTAAAATAATATTTGAAATTTTTGGTGATATCCAAGACACTAAGATAAAAGTACAAAATAAAAAAGTCACAGGGGCAGTAGATGGATAGAGAATGACAGTGATCTAGAGGCTTTGGACAGCCATTCCTTTTCCCGCCTTGAAGTATTACCTTCTCATGTACCTCATACTCTTTACTTAATCCCTCATCCCAAGTTCATGTCCTTTGCAGGGACACGGATGAAGCTGGAAACCATCATTCTGAGCAAACAATCACAAGGACAGAAAACCAAACACCGCATGTTCTCACTCATAGGTGGGAACTGAACAATGAGAACACTTGGACACAGGGCGGGGAACATCACACACCGGGGCCTGTCGGGGGGTGGGGGGTAGGGGGAGGGATAGCATTAGGAAAAATACCTAATGTAAATGATGAGTTAATGGGTGCAGCAAACCAACATGGCACATGTACACCTATGTAACAAACCTGCATGTTGTGCACATGTACCCTAGAACTTAAACTATAAAAAAAAAAAATCCCTTATCCCCACCCTTTCCAAAGAAATCTTCCAAATTACTTGGATTGGCCAAATCATGGTGGAAATCACATTCTAAAAAACCAAACACGCCAAAATTTTAGCAGTTGTTTTAAAGTTTACATGATCTCTCATGTCTTTAATAGGCCATAATGTGGTTTTAAAGCCTATGATGTACACATTTTTAAATAAACCCACATATATATGGTGAACTGATTTTGTTAAGAATGCCAAAAATACACGATGGAAAAAGGATAGTTTCTTCAAAAAATTGGGTTGTGAAAACTGGATATACACATGCAAAATAATGAAATTGGGGCCTTACTTTACATCGCACACAAAAATAAACTCAAAATGAATTAAAGACTTAACTGTAAGAACAGAAACTCTAAAAATCTTAGAAGGAAACATAGGGTAAAATCTTCTTGTCGTTGGTTTAAAAATGACTTCTTGGATATGACACCAAAAGCACAGGCTGTGAAAGGAAAAATAAACAAGTAGGATTATATCAAAGTAAAACAATTCTGTACCAGCAAAGGATGTTTTAACTTTTAGGTTCAGGGGTACACATCAGGTTTGTTATATAGGTAAACTGTGTGTCATCGGTTTTGATGTACAGATTGTTTCATCATCTAGGTAAGAAGCATAGTACTTGGATAGGTAGTTTTTCCGTTCTCGCCCTCCTCCCACCATCCACCCTAAAGTAGGTACTGTGTCTGTTCTCTTCTTTGTGTCCATGAGTACCCAATGTTTAGCTCCCACTTACAAGTGAGAACATGCAGTATTTGGTTTTCTGTTCCTGTGTTAGGTCGCTTAGGATAATGGCTTCCAGCTCCACTCATGTTGCTGCAAAGAACATGATCTCATTCTTTTTTATGGCTGAATAGTATTCCATGGTGTATATGTAACACCTTTTTTTTTTTTTTAATCCAGTCTACTGTTGATGGGCATTTAGGTTGATTCCATGTCTTTGGTATTGTGAATAGTGCTGCAACGAACATACACATGCATGTGTGTCTTTATGGTTAAACAATTTATAGTCCTTTGGGTATATATCCCATAATGGGATTTCTGGGTCAAATGGTAATTCTGTTTTTAGCTCTTTGAGGAATCACCACACTGCCTTTTGCAACGGCTGAACTAACTTATACTACCACCCTTTTCTCCGCAGCCTCACCAGAATCTGTTATTTTTTTGACTTTTAAAATGATAGCATTCTGACTGATGAAAGATGGTATCTCACTGTGGTATTGGTTTGCATTTCTCTAATGGTTAATGTTTAGCATTTTTTCATATGCTTCTTGGCTGCATATATGCCTTCTTTTGAAAAGTGTCTGTTCATGTCAGGAAAGGAAAGATTTAACAGAATAAAATGCAGTCTATGGAATGGGAGAAAATATTTGCAAACCATATACCTAAAAGGGGTTAATTTCTAAAATACACATGAAACTTCTACAACTCAATAGCAAAAAAAAAAAAAAAAAAAAAAACCAACCCAAATAACATGATTAAAAAATAGACAAAAGACTTGAACAGACATTTCTCCAAAGAAGGCAAACAAATGGACCACAGGTATACTAAGGAAAATGCTCAACATCATTAATTATTTAAAAATGCAAATCAAAACTACAATAAGATAGATATCATGTCACACCTGTTAGGATGGCTACTATAAAAAAACATAAAAAGCATTGGTGATGATGTGGAGAAATTGGAATCCTTGTACACTGTTCGTGAGAATGTAAAATTTTGCAGCAGCTATGAAAAACAGTATGGATGTTCCACAAAAATGTAAAAATGGAGCTAACTTATGACTCAGCAATCCCACTTCTGTGTATATATCCAAAGGAAATACAATTATTATCTCCAAGACATATCTGCACTCCCATGTTCATTGCACCATTATTCACAGTAACCAAGATATGGAAACAATCTAAGTCTCTATCAACAAATGAATAGAACGAGAAATGTAGCATACACGTACAATAAATATTACTAAGCCTTAAAAAAGAAGGGTATCCTGCTGTTTGTGACAACATCAATAAACCTAGGGGACATTATGCTAAGTGAAATAAGTAGTATTTGTGAAAGACAAATACTGCTTGATTCTACTTACATGAGGTATCTAATATAGTCAAACTCTTAGAAACAGAGAATACAGTAGTGGTTGCCAGGGGCAGGGGAGTAAGAGAAATGGGGAATTGTTGTTCAGTGGCATAAAGTTTCATTTATGCTAGGTGAATAAGCTCTAGGCGTCTGCTGTACAGAGTAGTGCCTATAGTTAACAATACAGTATTGCACACTTCAAAATTTAAGAGGATGAATCTCATATTAAGTGTTTTTACTGCCAAAACAAAACAAAATCAAACAAAAATACTCCCCAAAACAAAAAAACAAAGGGAAATAAGGAAAATTTGTGAGGTGTTGGACATGTCTATTTCCTTGATGTGGTGATGGTATATTGTGTTTGGATTGTCCAAACTCTTCAAATTGAACATATTAAATATACGTAGTTCTTTGTATATCAATCATATTTCAATAAAGCTGTTAAACAATAAAACAAACTGCTTTTTAATTTGATGTTTCTTGACAATACAATATTATGATTATGAATCTAATCACACTCTCAGGGTCATATCTCAGATTTACCACTTACTGTAAGTGACTTTAGGAAAATTACATAATTGCTCTGGGTCTCAGGTTTTCATCTGTAAGATGGGGATAATAACAGGATTACTTCCCAGAGTTACTGAGAAGAGTTAATGAGATTGCATCATAAGGTGCCTAGCACACTGACTGGCATGCAGCAAAAGCTTAACAAATGTTAGCTCTAATTATGTTTTAGTAAAGGATGCGTTTAGTATATTCTTACATGTTTTTTCTGCAGTGTTTCAATGCTTAGCATTGTCTGCTTTACCTTTCAATCACTAGAGAACTATAGGGACCATGATTAGACTGCCAGATTCTTATCTTAACATGTGATGAGAGCAGGAGATTGTGGTATCACTGATGAACTGTGCCAGAATCTCAGGGCAAGTCATGCTTGCCACTGTCTACTATATGGAACTGCATGTGAGTTCTGGTATCTTTAAACCCATTTTCTTCCTTGTCAGGTTCACAACTAAGCCAACTGTTATGGCCAGGGTTAGGTTCCAGCTCATGCTGAGGTCTGAAGGGAGTGGGTAGATGAGCAGATAGCTGAAAGAACACTTAGGGGGCCGTAGGCAGGTGAAATGCAGTTTTATTCAGCAGCTCTCTCATCAGCAGCTTACTCACACTAGTTCTTCTACACTGTTCGCCTTGTCTCAGCTGCTTGAGCTGGCTACTCCCACACACAGCTGCACGGTTGGCTCTCTCTTGCCGTCAGGGTCAGCAGCTTAACTCTTTCTCTCTCTGGGTATGAGCGAGCGGAGCTGTGTTCTGGCTCCCCACTGTCCATCTGCAAAGACACACAGCTCTGACTGTCTCTCTCTCTCCTTCTCTGGGTGCAAGCATGCCTGTACAGTGTTAGCAGGGCAATTATACCTTTTACAGACAATAGTGGCTTAGAGCCAAATGATGAGCCTTCCCATGTTATGGCTACATGGCTGTGATAACAAGCGGAGTTATATGCCTGCGCTCTAAAATCATTGAGTCATGTACAATGTAAACATCCTACCTTGGCCTATCCTTGACCAAAGCACAGCCATGTTCTTTACATTCCTCTTATTTGTTTTTACCTTTCAGAATATCAACTATTCAAGGGCAAGGGAGAATTAACATTTGTTTAAAACCTACTCTATGCTGGAAGTTGAGCTAGTGACTCTAATATACCACAATCCTTTTCATCCTCATTTCTACATATAAGAAACTGAGTGAAGAGCTTAAGTGATTTACCTGAAGTTGTAGAGTTATTAAGTGGCCAGCTGGAGGTTCCACTCCTGGTCTCTCTCTTTCCAAAGCCTCCCATGCATTGTGAATTAAAAGGATATTCCATAAAGAACCCAAAGAGAGAATTTTACTCTCTATTCCAAGCAGACTGTTACTTTTATTCCAAAACACTCTCCCTGTCTTCTACTTATAGCCCTACTTCATCCCTAGGTGTTAGCACAGGTGCCACCTCAGTTCCTTCTTAACTGATCTAACCTCTACAACCTTTTCTTCTCAGCAATTTTGGTTTGAGAGCAAGCATTGTTTGTGGTAAAGGAGATATGAGAAGGCAGAAGAGCCATAATATTGTGACTTAAATGTGACCTTGTGAAGGAGAGAAGAAAGGAAGCTTGGTGGAATTGTCCCAGGCCACCTTGCAGTCTAGAAGTTTGGCAAGGCCACTGGGGAGTCCTTGAGTCAAAACCTCTAGGCATGGATCTGCCTTAGTGTCCTGTTGTGCTCAGTCACTGCCTGGCACCAGCCCATGTAAGAGGGAGGTCTCCTAGGGCCATTCTTGAGGCTGTCAGGAGAAGACATTACTAACAGAGAGACTATAATGAATAAAGTTATGAAAGTAGGAAAAGGCATGCCATTATAAGAAATGTGCCCAGAATTCTAGTATGGCCCAAGTCTAGGGTATGGGTGAGACTATGTTGGGGGATGGGAGAGTTGCATATCTATATCTATAGATATAGATATAGAGATATATCTGGAGGCAGAGGGAAGCTTGGTAATGTAAGACTCGTTGTCATTGTGTGGTCTGGACCATCAGCATCACCTGGGAACTTTTTGGACATCAAAATTGCAAATTGCAAATTCCAGGATACCCACCCCCAGATTACTCAATCAGAAGCTCTGAGGGATGGGGCTTGCAATGTGTGTTTTAAGAAGTCCTCCAGGTGATTCTGATGCATGCTTAAGTTTGAGAACCAGGGCGTAATAAGACACTGAAAAATCAGGTATGAGCTTAACCAGAAAATATTATCAATCCAATGCCAACTCTTTAGGGATACGCTGCACATGGTTTCCCCATTGTTTAAATCAGTGTTTTCCAGCCTGAATTATAAATTGTAGGCTTGAAAACTAAGCTCTCTATCTTGAAACTATGTAAATATCTCATTCCTTATCAAAATGTCAGTTGATTCATGTATGAATTTATGTCTGTTGACTCATAGTTTCATGTTTTATTCACATGAATAAAGCTTCACCAAGTGAAGCCCTTCCCATGCTGCTCTAGCACTGGCACACCATGGCAGATGGGCCTCCTTGTGGATGTCCTCCTCATACTGCTCGAGCTCTGAGTACGCATATCAGGCTGCTCCCTGAGTAAAAGCCATTCTCATCCTGATCCAGTTTTGACACTCCATGCTAAGCATTATCACATGATCAGGATTATGGTTCAAAGTAATTGCTTCCTGGTACACCTTGATTCATTTAGCCTCCCATACTACCATGCTATATATGTGTGTGCGTGTGTGTGTGTGTGTTGTATTTAATACAAGATGAAAACTCATAACAAGCCTGTCAACTAAAACCAGGAATCTATTGCCAAAATCCCAGAAGAATCTGTAGCCCTTAGAATGTAACAGAAAAGAAACTGGGGATGGAGTGAGGGGTGAAGCTTGTGGGACATTGCTTCCTGGAGGTAGTGTTCTCTCTGGTCAGGTGTAGAGACATGAAGAGCTCTGGTAACAGTGCATGCTAGGAATTGTAGTTTTATATTTACTTTCCTGTAATGAGACCTGGGATTCTGCACACAGAAAAAAATATGTCCCCCTAGGATCTATTCCAGAGTTATTGACGATGTTATTGGAGTCCACAAATACATGAACTTTTGTTGGTTGGTTCATTGGTTTTAGTTTCCCTGGTGACTCTAGATTTGAACATCTATTTGGGAACCACTGTCTTTTATGGATCCTTAACAGATTTTGGCAATTTGGCTAAAAATTTAGCAACTGAAATAGCATATAAGAAGATAAGGCCATAGGAAATGGGCTGAAAACTGAGACAAGAATAGACTGAGATGATAGAAAAATTGAATTATATACAATTATAAAATAATGAGATAGAAAAGGAGACTGGTTAAGAAAAAATTCTAATGGCCTTAAACTTACAGTGGCAAAACTTGACAAAGAAAAGAGATGAATTAATTGGGTAAAAAAATAAAATGGCTATGTGCAAGACCAGAAAGATGCATTCATTCAATACATATTTTTTATCACCTATGATGTGCTGGGCTGTTGGAATACAGTGGTGAACACATGATACATGGATTCAGCTATATAATTGCACTCACACACTGTAAAGGAGATAGGCACTTAATAAATATTCACAAAATACACATTAAAACTGTGATAGCAGCTATGGGGAAAATCTATGGGTGCTATTAAGGGCATACATATACCATGTTAAAATTTGTATTAGTCAGGGTTCTCCAAAGAGACAGAGTCAATAGGATATACATGATATATGAGAGGAGATTTGTTAGGATTGGCTCACACAATTATGGAGGCTGAGAAGTTGCAGGACAAGCCATCTGCAAGCTGGAGACCCTGCAATGCTGAAAACATCAAACTCAGTCCAAGTCAGAAGGCCTCAGAGCCAGGGAAGCTGATGGGGTAACAGTCCAAGGCCAAAGGCCTGAGAACCCAGGGGGCCACTGGTGTAAGTCTTGGAATTTAAAGGCCAGGGAGCCTGGAGTTGTTGCATAGGGACAGGAGAAAAAGAGTGTATCCCAGCTGCAGCAGACAGATCAACACATTCACCTTTTCTCTGTTTTTGTTCCCTCCAGACCCCCAGCAGATTAACGACACCTTCCCACACTGAGGGCAGTTCTTTCCTACCTGGTCCCCTCAGACTCACATGCTAATCTTCTCTAGAAACACCCTCACAGACACCCCAAAATAATTCTTTACCAGGCTTCTAGGTATTCCTTAATCCAGTCAAGTTGATACTAAAATTGACATAAGACTAATCTGGTCTAAAAGAGAAATAACAAGGTAAAAATGTATAGATATTCTAGAGGAGGACAATAACTGAATAACTGAAATAGAAGACAATAATAGAATAACTGAAATAGAAGAATTAATCTGTCACAGTGGAATACAATTGTATGGAGTTCAAAATACTAGGATAGTTAGATGAAATTCTCGGCAAAATTACCAAGAAAGGAGATATAGATACCCTCTGGCACAAAAGTTAAAATCTAAGAATAAAGAAAAAATTCTTCAAGTGACAAGGGAGGAACAGGTGACTGACAAAGATAGAAAATGAGTTGTCTCAGATGTTGGCGAGGCAGCAAAGAAAAGGGAACGCTTATACACTGTTGGTGGAAATGTACATTAGTGCAGTTACTGTGGAAAGCAGTTTGAAGATTTCTTAAAGAACTCAGAACTACCAGTTGAACCAATAATCCCATTACTCTATGAATATCCAAAGGAAACAAATCATTCTACCAAAAAGACACATGAACTTGCATGTTCATTGCAACACTATTCACAATAGCAAACACATGGACTCAACCCAGGTGCCCATCAATAATAAACTGGATAAAGAAAATGTGGAATATATATACCATGGAATACCATGCAGCCTTAACAAAGATCAAAATCATGTCCTTTGCAGCAACGTGGATGGAGCTGGAGGCCATCCATGTTTCCATTCTATTTTTAATTTACTAGTGATTTCCTTTACATATTGAAAAATCATTCAAATTACATTTTTCTCATTATTACATGACATAAACACAACATAAACACAACTCCGATATTTAAGCATTCTATATTGTATCTTTTCTTTTTTGTCAAAAGCTACAGAGCTGTATAAAATTTCCTTTGTAGAATGTGTTTCTATCTATATTACCTGCTTTTTAATTTTCTTTTTTAAATATCAATTTTTATGTTATGCCATTTGGCATATAAACATGTTTAGTGATTTATATCATATAACAAATATCTTTATTTAAGCTAAATATCAGGTACTTATGGACACAAAGATGGCAACACTAGATGCTGGAGGCTACTAGTGGGAGGAGGGAGGCGAGGGCTAAAACACTGCTAGGTACGATGACTCACTGCCAGGGCCAGGGGATCATTCATACCCCAAACTTCAGCATTACACGATATACTCAGGTAACAAACTTGCACTTGTGGCTCCTGAGCCTAAAATAGAAGCGGAAAAAGAAAAAAAAATGAGTTGCCTTTAAACAGTTCTGCAATGGGAAATTTTGGGAAACAGTGAATCATCATTTAAAAAAAACTGGAGAAGAAAGGCCTATAATACAATCATTTTATAGTCAGACAAGTTGTCTGACAAGTTGTGTTTATGTCATGTAATAATGAGAGGAATGTAGTTTGAATGACTTTTATATGTAAAGAAAATCACTAGTACATTAAAAAGCGAATGCACACTTTCTATATCACTGGAAATAAGTGAGAAAGCATAAAGTATAATAAAAATACAAAAAACATATACAGGCAAAGATATATATAATAAATGGGGCTAAACTTTTTTAAATTAAAAAAGTCTAACCAAATGCTGCTAAGAAGACATAAAACAAAAATTAAATTATATAGATAGCTTAAAAATAAACAGGTTTGCAAATATTTATGAGACAAGTAACCCTGGTGACAATTTTAATAGCAGACAATATAGAATTTGAAGTGAAAGATATTCATTAAGCCATAGAATACAAGTTTACTTTGAAGAAATTGTAATTCATAAGAAAGATAATAAATCACTAAACATGTTTATATGGCAAATGACATAGTATAAAAATTGATTAAAAAAAGAAAATAAAAAAGCAGGTAATATAGACAGAAACACATTCTACAAGGTAAATTTTATACAGCTCTGTAGCTTTTGACAAAAAACTGCAATGTAGAATGCTTAAATATAGTAATTACTAAGAGCAAACTTCCAAATACATTTCAAACTTTTACTCCATGAACAGAGAACATGCTTTGCCTTCAAACATCACTACACAGTAAATCAAAATATGCAATATGTTCCATGATGTAAAAAGTTACATAGGATATATTCCTAATAAAATGAAATATTAGAAATTGATTTTAAAATTTCAGTACATTAAAACTATTAAATAATTAACGAATTCAAAAACTCTTTCATCACCTACAAAAGAGGTAACCTGTTTAGAAATGGTGCTAAAGGGGCAAATGAGATATTAAAGTGTCTGTTCTCTGTTCTGACTCTGAGTCACAGAGAAAATTAATGTTAAAATTATAGATTAGAAATTTTAAAATTAGAGGACTGTACATCAAAGTTATTCAATGCACCCAATGTTACAGTGAGAGGAAAATTTACAACTTTATGTTATTTCATTATTAAACAAAACAGCATATTCATCTATTAAATGAGTATTTAACTCAAGAAGTTTAGAAAAATTAGGTAAAAAGCATGCAGGAGAAAATCATCAAAGAGAACTATTAAAAATAAAATGAGAAATTATTTAGTAAGTAAACAGCAAAACAGTAACATTGGTTTAAAACATCAAAGGGGAGTCTCTTTAAGAATTAAAAAAAAACAAAAAATACATGTAAAATATATTCAATAAAAAATGGAACATAAAAGTTTATAAAATTAATAATCAGAATATATATAAACAGAGAGAGGGAACACTGAAATATTTCAGAGCATATTATACATATTTCTACCTTGATAAATTTTAAAACTCAATGAAAATGAATGTTTTTCTAAATAAATGAAATTATAAAATTTGCCTCATTATGAACTATAAGCCAAAAATCATGGGGAAAGTATAGCTCCAGAACATGGGAAATATTAAATCTCTTATCAATCATTCATATAAAATTTGCATGATCTTGACAAAATCTGACAAAATGAGCACAAAAAAGAAAATTACATATCAACGTTACTTATATTTAATGCAAATAAGTATCCTAAATAATTACAAGCATGCTAAATTTTAACAAGCATAAAATAATAAAGGAGTTACTCAAAAAAATCAAATTAAAAATTTAACACAAGAAAAGGAATTAAAATATTATATTCCCTCAATAGGCCCAATAAAATATATGTAATCATTTCAATAGATGAATTTTAAAACCTATGAAATGATCAACTACTATCAATTCAAATCTTAATATATTTATTCAGAAAACAGTAATTGAACATCTACCATATGGAAGTTTCCTTTCTTGGTACTGGGGATACAGCAGAGACCAAAAGGACAAAAATCTCTGTTCACATGGAGTTGATATCTTAGTGGGAGAGTCAGATAACCTGAAAAATGTCAGTTATGTAGTATATTAGAGCTCATAAATGCTCCAGAGAGAAACAAAGGGTGACAGGCAGATAGGGAATGCTGGGGATGGGAGAGTGAGTTGCAATTTTAAACAGAATGATTAAGGTGGCTTTACTGGAGAGATGCCATTGGAACAGGGACTAGAAGGGGCGAGGGAATGGTCATGTGGGGATTTGGAGGAAAAGGACTCTAGGTAGAGGGAACAGGGCCCTGAGTGGGAAATATGCCTTGGAAATATGCTTAAGGAATAGCAGGAGGTAAGTGTGCCTTGAGTGGCGTAAGGGAGGAAGAATGAGAGGTGGTGAACTGGTTGTATAAGACCTTCAGGGGCATTTTAAGGACTTAGGGTTTTGTTCTCAGTGAGATGGGGAACCATTGGCGGTTTCTAGTGATATGATCTGACTTAGGTTTTTTTTTTTTTTTTTTTTTTTTTTTTTTTTTTGAGACGGAGTCTCGCTCTGTCACCCAGGCTGGAGTGCAGTGGCGGGATCTCGGCTCACTGCAAGCTCCGCCTCCCGGGTTCACGCCATTCTCCCGCCTCAGCCTCCCGAGTAGCTGGGACTACAGGCGCCCGCCACTACGCCCGGCTAATTTTTTGTATTTTTAGTAGAGACGGGGTTTCACCATTTTAGCCGGGATGGTCTCGATCTCCTGACCTCGTGATCCGCCCGCCTCGGCCTCCCAAAGTGCTGGGATTACAGGCGTGAGCCACCGCGCCCGGCCCTGACTTAGGTTTTAAAAGGACCCCCTGGCTGCTGTACTGTGAATAGATGAAAGAGTGGTACCAGTTAGAAAAATATGCAGTGTATTAATATAGTATATTGATACAGCATATGGATATACTTTAAATAAATATATATACATTGGAGTGTGCTCAGAGTTTTATTACCTACAGTGGTACATGAATGAAAATGCCTGCAAACCTCTGTTCACAACAGCAGAAAGCCAGCAGCTGGCTGATAGTACTTGGGGAAGAGCGCAGACTCCTCTTGTGTTTAGTTTTGAAGAGCTAATTAGTGATAACACCTGCTAGAAACAGAACAGCTGTGATACACTAGGATTTTTGACAACACTAACAGAGAGAGAGAAATGTGGGTGGGACCTGAGTCCTGAACTGTGAGAGGTGCTCTGTGTAAAGATTTGAAGCTGAAATGTTGGTATATGTATAAGTCACCTGATGTTTCTTTATATTCTTATGAACCTTTAAAACAACATTGAGGCAATCAACATTTAATATGTATGAAATTTGAAACATGGTATCGATATGAAAATTGTAGTTTCTATTCTTATTTACACATGCAATTTATATTCACATAGTTTAAATGTGCTCATTTTTAAAACAATCAGAAAAAAAGCAATAAAGAGATAATGAATGAAATGTACCCATTATGTCATACTACAAAGTTAGATAGCTAGTTAATAACATTTTGTGTGTGTATATATATATACGTATATATACGTATATATACACATATATATATATTTGTATCCTTGTAGTCACATATGCAGTGTTCCGATAAAAATTACATAAATCATTAATGCATATTTTGAGAGTAAACTCAATTAGAGTAGAGCAGTTTTTAGAAGACATTTACTTTGAAATACTTTTTACTCTGATTCTCTTGATATAGGTTCAATTGACATATTCTGGTGGAGATTAAATTGGGGAGACGCATAAACACACAAACATTTACAAAAATGGGACCAGATCTTTATGTTGTTTACTTGTTATTTAGATGCATTATCATGATTAACTACCTATTTTGTTAATATTTTTAAAATTAATTTTGTTAAATATACATTCTCACAAAAGTGTTTAATATCATTGTAGTCTTCCACAATATAATACTTTATTGGATCGATCTTCTATTTTGGCAGCTCTGCATTGTTTAGTATTTATTTCAATTTTAGAGAGCACCACCCTCACCGTTCTTTGTGGCACATCTTTGCACATTTTCTTAATTGTTTTCTTATTCTGGTTCTAATCAAATGGAGGATACAGTTTTTCAGATGTTTTTATTTCACAGGAAGCCATAAACTTATTGTTTTTATATTTAATATATGGTTTTCTAACAGAGTAGAATGCAAAATATGCATACAGTTTAAATATCCAAACTGGAATTTCAAAGAAATTTCAAGCCATTGGCAGGCTACTTTGAGAGTGGAGAGGCTAGTGGGGGGTGGGGAAAATCAGATTTACTTGTATCATCAAAGTTTCTTTGGTGGATAAATTTGAGAAGCATCCTCTCAAAGTAGAATTTTTAGAAAAAAATGGCATGTATTTTTTATGACTTTTGATCCATATTGCAAAATTTTCCTCTAAACAGGTTATACCACTTTATATGTGTAAACACTGTTTCGATTTGTTGGAAGGTAGTATAATCTTCCACTGAAAAGGCTATTTAAAGTATATTTTTAAAAAATCATGTGCACAAATTACTACTAATTGAGTTTCTACATTTTTCTTTATTCTCATGATAATTATGTCATCATCTTGAAATGTTGTTCATGTAAACAACCTCTTTGGAACTTTAGCTAATTTTTAACAAATACAATGTTCTTAATTATCTGACTTCCACAAACAGACAAGGGTTAAAGTGAATTTCAAAATCACTCCACAAGGGTGGGCAGACCAGCTGTCCCCAAATTTTGTAAAAAAAAAAAGTATTTATAGATATCCAAATTTATTTTAAAATAAAATAATCACATTCTGTATCAATTTTGATTTTTAAAAATCCTCCTAGCTTGTCAGATGGTTGTCAGCCCAACTACAGTTAGAACTAAACATTGTTCTGTGAGCACAGCAATGAGAACTCTTAAGTGGACAGTATTGTGGGAAATGGTTAAATAATAGTCTACAATCAATTCTGATTTGGAAAAGACATAGTATAAAACCTATTATGAGATGCCACCTTTTGTTATTCACTGGCGTGCCTTTCTCATATCAGTATAACTTCTTATGCTTTATGAATAATTGATCTAATAGTCCCCATAGCCATTGTAGAAATATTTTAAAGCTGCAAACATAATGTAAATTCAAACAAATTAGGTAGTCTATAAGCTCTCTGAAAGTAGGACAGTCTCATCTTTGTCTCTTTAGTGCTCAGCTCGGTATTCTACCATAAAAAAGACGATCAATATAAAGTTGTCAAATAAGTAAAATGAGGAATACTGCCCCCAAATTAAGATATAACTATTTATTTATTTATTTATTTATTTATTAGTTTGTTTGTTTGTTTGTTTGTTTAGTTCAAGACGGAGTCTTGCTCTGTCGCCCAGGCTGGAGTGCAATGACACGATCTCTGCTCACTGCAACCTCTGCCTCCTGGGCTCAAGTGATTCTCCTGCCTCAGCCTCTGGAGTAGCTGGGATTACAGGCATCCACCACCACGCTTGGCTAATTTTCGTACTTTTAGTAGAGATGTGGTTTTACCATGTTGGCCAGGCTGTTTTCAAACTCCTGATTTCAAATGATCCGCCCGCCTCGACCTCCCAAAGTGCTGGGATTACAGGCGTGAGCCACCGTGCCTGGCCAAGATATAAAATTTAAATACCCACTTCTGAGATGATTTTCAAATTCACTAATTTAATCAGCATTAATTGAATGTCTCCTATGAGTAATGTGCTGGAGATACAGTGGTGAATCAAACATTGTCCCCAACCTCTGTATCCAAGACATTTGCAGCCTTTGTGCAGCTAATGAGACAGACATGCTCCCCAAACCCCATCTCTCCTCTCTACCAAGAAAGACACTCTGTCTCACTAGAATCTTATCAAATTCCAGCTGGGACACACTAGCATAGATTTATACTAGAAATTAATAATTACAACTACCCTACTTCTTTTCTTCCTCCCTTTCTTTGCTCTAGCGACACTAGTCATCTTTCTGACCGTGGATTCTCTAAATACTTTCCATTCTTAGGAATTTTGTCTTTGCTGTTCCATCGATGTGGAATGCTCTGCTTCAGGATTTTCTCACTCGGGATTTGGGTTGAAAGCCATCTCCTTAGAGAGATCTTTTCTATTTTCTCCTCCCCAGTCTCAACTAACCATCCTCACTCCAGTCACTTTGTGACATATCAGACTGTTTTATTTTCTTCATAGCAATTACAACTTTTCTAAATTATGTGGTTTACGATTTCCTTCATACAGAATATAAATTCCATGAAAACAAAGACTTTTTATGAAAGCAAATTTATCTTGTTCACCGCTGTATCCCAGTAAGTAAAAGGGACATTCAGATTTCTTTGCAATTCTTCCTTTCTGTTTCTCCTTGCCCCTTCCCTGATCCACAAAGAACCATTGATCTGCTTTTATTTACCTTATATCAGTTTATGCTTCCTAGAAGTTTATACAAATGGAAGCATGCACTCCTTTTTGCCCACTTGGCCCATCTTTCACTCAGCATAATTATTTTGAGATTCTTTGATGTACAGTGTGTAACATTTTGTTGTTTTATGGGTCATGATTTTGGTGTTGAACACAAGAAATCTTTGCCTAATCCAAGGTCAAAAATGTTTTATTCTCTGCATTTTTCTAGATATTTTGTGGTTTTAGATCTTACATTTAAGACTATGATCAATTTGGAGTTGTAGTGTACCTTTGTGATTATATTGGGCCCATCTGGTTAATCCAGAATAATCTTCCCATAGCAAGATCCTTAAGTTAATCACATCTGCAAAGTCCCTTTTGCCTTTTAAAGTAATATATTTACAGGTTTGGGGATTAGAACACAGACATCTTTGCAGGGTGTGAGGAGCACTATTTTATTATTCTGCCTACCACAAATGAATTCTTGTAAGCAACTAACCCTGGATCTTTCATATACAAGTGACCTTCCTGTTGCTCTAAAGTGGCTTGCTATGGTGAACAACTTGAAGACAGGAATGTTAAGACTGAACACTGACCAAAACTTTGCCACCAAAAACTCACCCGATTTTTAATGGAAAGAGCGTAGGCTTAGGAATCAGTGGGATTTCGGTTTAAATTTCAAGGATTTCAGTTTTGGCTGTGTGATCTTGAACAAGTTCATTTACTCTCTACCTTCAGGCTTCTATTTCAGTAACAGGGTAATAATGCTTACCTTGTTGATCGTTTTGAGGACTAAAGAGCTAAAGTAAGTTAAAATGCCTGTATAGTACCTGACACAATATGTATGATGCTAATTTGCATCTATCTCCCAGAAACCTTTGCTCCCACTAAGCTGTATTTTTTTTTTAAAAGGGGATGCTTTATTTATTGCTGATACTTATAGTGTTGTTTTTATCTACACTAAAATCATTCATCTTCATATTACTATCATGGCTAAGAGCACATTGATGTAGAGGTTAAGAATTATAGAGCCCTAGGTCTAAACCCTGATGGCTGCATATGCTAGCTGTGGAAGATCAGGTCCTTTGTTTACTCCTCAGTGCTCTTACCACTTAAATGAGAAAAGTGTTAGGACTGACCTACCTCATGATCTTGTGAGGATAACAGAGGTGCAGGTAGAGTGTTCCTTACAGGGCTGAGCACACACGCATCTCTTTCCTGGGCTGGGTACAGTCTGTGCTGCAGTGAGCTCATTTGACCCTTAGAGGGAGCTCCATGTGAGTGAGAATCCTGTGAGGCAGATGAGATGTGTGGTGGTGTTTTTTATTCTGGATTCTGTTTTTAGCAAAACTGATTAAGGGGTGATTTAAATTGCACAGATTCACTGCCATGTGATGTTATATATGCATTTGTTAAATTCTGAAGCAGAACATTAATTTAGGTTCAGTCTGAGTTAACAATAATTTCAATTATTTCACAAAATGTTCATAATGTCCTTGGCAAAATCAGAAAATTCAAATAAATTCACATACCAGAGTAACCTTCAGTGGCTGACCAAGTTTGTAAATCTAACAACTTATGAAATCTATTTTTCGTGTGTATGTGTGTGTGTGTGCATATATATATATATGAATATGTTTCACTAAAATAGGCAAGGCAGCAATCATTTTGAGTCTTTCAAACCATAACCTTTCAAAGAAATTAATTCTTCCTGTGACAAAGATTGCTGAGGCAATCAACTATAAATGGCTTTCACGGAAACAAGTCCAAATAGAAGGGAGTTACAATTAACTTCAATGCTCTGAATAGCCTACAGAAGCCCTAAATTTATTTTCAGCGTATTGAAAAAATGAAAACATAAAACCAGAAAGATGGTACATTCAACACCAAAACCAAGATGAAATATTAATAAATAAAAAGAAGGCACATTAAAGGGGGGACTTAATGTGAAATTTACTCCTCACATGGCAAGAAAAAGATGATGTAGTTTAAAAATGTTTCTTCCAGGGAATTATTAAATTCAATTTTTAAAGCAATTATAGATGAACTGTTTTCTAAAGTAAACGAAGGTGCTCCTGCCTTAGACATGGTGAAACTTCATTTGACTGTGAACTTATATTTGCAACAGTTTGGTTAAATTTCTTTAACATGATGAGGCATGATCCTGAGTTTGAGCCCCACAGTCCAACTTTGCTGTTTCCTTCACACACCCTGTACTTTCGAGGTCTTCATTATTTGCTTGATGATTGCTTCTAGTAAAGATTCCTCTGTCTCCACCCTTGTTTGCTGCCAAACCTCCACTTAGGCTGGCAGAGTTCAATTATCCTATTTTCTCAATAATCCTTCCCAATCTTCCCCCTCCTCCTGCACTTCATGTAAATCTATTTATTTCATCATCATGTTTCCCAAAACACATATTCTATTCCAGTTACTGGTTTATAGGCTTGTCTTCATGACTGAACTCTTTATTTTGTGTGAACAGTGACAGTCCCCTTATTTAATTGAGTATCAACAGAACCTCCCAGAGTGCAGAACATCATAGCTATTACATAAATGTTATGAAATCAAGTTGGATTTTGTATGGCTAGATACAGATGGTGCCATACAGATGTATCCATGATCATTTTTGAGTCTGTGGGATGATGCCAGTGATGATAATGGTGGTAATTAAAGTACATAAAGAACAACATATACAAAATTAAGAGATGATTAAATTTTTTCCTTCTTTCAGAAATAAAAAGTGATTCATTATTATGTTCATTATAAGCAAGTTCATTTATTAAAATGAGTTTATTGATATTTTAGGCAAAAGCAGAACAAGTTAAAATTGCTTATACCTAGACTAAAGCACCTCACTATGCATATCCAGGGAAATCTTAGGTACAGAGAGAAAGTGCACTTTCATGGTATATTTTGGGGTGCACTGGGCAGACTCCAATGGCTGAAGCTTCCTCCCATCTCCTTTATTTATTAGCTTCTGCGTCAGTCTCCATGCAGAAGCTAGAGTGATTTGACTTATTTAAGGAAGATATCAGACCATATAATTTACCTGCTTAGGACTCTCTGATGGCTTCCCAATCCTCTTAGAATAAAACACAACCTCTTTTCTTCAGCCTCTAGGCCCTGCACAGTCTGGCCTCTGCCAACCAGCCTGGGCATTTCTCACTGTGTTCTGCTTCATTCACAAGCTACAGCCAAACTCTCCTTTCTTCTCTTAGTTCAAGACACCATGTTTAGGCCCACTTCGAGCCATCTCCCCTGGAATGTTTTTCCCTCACCTCTTTAGAAGACTTGCCCCACCTTGCCATTTGGATCGCTCATTAAAGACACTTCCTTAACCTTCTCTGGTTGCCTAATCCAGATAGTTCCTCAAATCTTTCAAGAATGTCATCTTGTTTTGTCTTTATGATAGCTCTTAGCACTACCAAAACTTTTCTTGCTATTTGTTTATCTTTGTGTTTCTCTCCACTGAAAGTTATAATTCCTAATAAGAGATGCCTTGTTCATCTCTGTGTCTCAGAACCCCTAAAAGGAAAATAGGGGCTCAAAACCACTTCTTAAACAAATGAATGGGTAAATACACCACAGGAAACACAACTACTCATTCTTTTTAGTTTTCTTCCCCCTAATATTCTTTTAAATTATTTCTTTGGGCATTGGGGATAAGAACATACTCAGCTATGTTCTCTTAAATGTTTAGAAAATTAGACTAATAGAAAGTATATGCATCTTGAGATGTAAATGGTGAAAATACTCAGCTATCCTAAGACAGGTATGTAGTTTCTGCTAGAATCAAGGAGATGTAGAGAATATAGGAACTTGCTCAAGGAGATTAGCTGAAAATGAAATGAAAGAAAAGATGAGAGGAAAGTAGGGTCAAGAGAAGCTTTCTGTTTTTATTTCTAAAATGAAAGCAATATGTCTTTAAACATGTTATAGGGGCAAAGATTATATTAATTAATCAGGATATGTGTTATTGCAGAAATTTGAGATTTATTTTTCACATCTAAGGTGCTATAAATTACTCAAAGGATAATGTAACATTTTGTAGGAAGTACTAATATGTAATTATTGCCATAATCAGGGTGAGATTGTTGGATATTTATGAAGGAAGGGATCAGAAAAGAATTTTTGTATACCATGTGAGAACTTAGGTGAAGAATGCACCTGGGTAAATAAGGATTGTAATACACAATATACTATCAGATTTATTATGGACATTTCGGGCCATATTGATTGGGCCTGCTTCTTGTGGCTCAACTAGTGAGACCCGGGGTAAAATCCCTTTTCTGCTTAGTTTTCTTCATTCTTAAAATGGTAAGACTATATATCATCATCTCTAAGGTCTCTAACCAGTCTAAAACCTCTATACCTAATGGGAATGTTGTAGAATGCATTGAAAGCAGGAGGAAAGCATATAAATGAGTCCAGGTAAGGTAAAATTCATCTACTGCAAAATTCTGCCTGATGAGTTTATGTGTCACTTGGAAAGCACATGACCTCTTTTAAAGTATAGTAAATCAATTGTCAAATAGCACTAACAACGCCCTACAAGCAATTTAAGATTGCAAAATATTTCCTGGTGAAATGATACATTTTGTAGATAGAAGAAACTAAAGAATGATTTGATATAGCATTTTTGAAATTGTGGAATGCCAGTTTTATAAGACGTTAATAGGTACGGTGTAACAAATGAGTTTGGTGATCAAATAAGTGTAAAAACATTGCACCTGTTTGGGAGATTCACGAATCTTATCAGTATATTAAAGCATCTGAGGGATTCATCAGTAAACAAACTCTATTAGTTTTGAACATACATTTTATTCATTCATTCAACAACTATTCATTAAGTTCTACTATAAGTCAAGCTCTGTCCGAGGTACTGATATATCAGTGCCAAAATAGACAAACGACCATGTCCTTGTAGGGCTTACATGCTGGAGGGTTGAGGTGAAAAATAAACAATTAAAAAAAAAATTCAAAAATATGATAGGAAATGATAAATGCCAAAAAAACCTAGAGGATATTAGGTGAATTAGGGGGGCTGGTGCAGGGGTAGGAACAAGTTTCATTCAATATTACAGAGCATGGTCCAGAGAGGCCTCATTGAGAAGATGACATCTGAATGAAAAGGGAAGTGAATTATACAAATAGGCAATTGGGGGAATAGCATTTCAGGGGAAGAAAATAACCAATACTAAGGCAAGAACAAGTCCAATGTTGAAAAACCAGGGGGCCATTGTGGCTGAAGCAAAATGAGCAAGAAGGATCATCCAAGATAGGAGAGGAGAGAGGATATTTTATGAAGATCTTGATGGGCCACTTAAGGCTTTTGGATTTTTCTCAGAGTCAAATTGGGAGCTTCTGTAAAGTTTTGAGCACAGAAATAATGATTTGAGTTATAAAAAGATCACTCCAGCTGCTGTGTGGAGAACAAACTATATAATTGCAAAGACAGAAAACAGGAATCCACTAGGGGTCCATTGCAGTAATCCACATGAGAGATAACTAATCTTGATTAGGAGGACAACAGTACAGATGATGACAAGTGGCAAGATTTTTGGACATAGAGTCAAGAGAACTTGCAGATTAGATGTGGAATATGATGGAAGGAGAAGTGTACAGGATATCTTTCAGGCTTTTGTTCTGAGGAACGGAAAAGATAGATTTGCCATCAACTGAGATGTGGGGAGCTGTGGTGAAGCTAGTTTTTTGAGGAGAAAAGATCAGAAATTCAGTTTTGTTTTTGCTATCTTTCATAGATATATAAGTAGAGGTGCTGGGAAAGCAGTTTGATATGAGCCAGAAGCTCAGGAGGGAGGTCTGAACTGGAGATACAACTTTGGAAGCAATCAACATATCAATTATATTGAAAGACATGAAAATTGAAGAGATCACCAACCAAAATTGTGTCCATAGAAATAGAAATGGACCAAAGAGTAAGCCTTGGAGCCTCCAACATCAAAGAGCCTGGGAAGAAGGTAATAGTCCAGCAAAGGAGACTGGGAAGTATCCAATAAGATAGGAAGTAAGTCAGGGGAATGTGGTGGCCTGGCATACAAATAATGAATGTATATCAAGGAGATGGGAGTGACAACTATGTCACATGCTCCTGACAGGTCAAGTAAGGTGAGGACTGAGATTAAACACTGGAGTTAGCAATGCAGAGTCACTAGGAACCTAGATGAGTGCAATTTTAGAAAAGTGGTGGTGTCAACTCCCGATGAAATGTGTTTGGGAGAGAATTAGAAGAAAGGGATAATTGGAAATAATTAGTATAGCAGCTCTTTTAAGGAGTTTTGCTGCAAATGGGGCTTTTTTAAAAAGTGGGAGAAAAGTGGGCCAAGAGAAGTTGTTTTCCCTTTTAAAGTGGAATAAATAGCATATGCTTGTATGGCTACAAGAATGATCCGGAAGAGTGTAAAGAATTGATAATGTAGGAGAGAGGGGGAACTTGTAAGAGCATTTTTCCTATGAGAACAAGTGAGGCTATAGACATCAGCTTTAGATATCAAGAAGTCTTTAGATATCAGCATGAATATTTCATTTATGGTAACTGGTAGGAAGGTAGAGTTTAAGGGAGAAGATATTGATAGATAAGTAGGAGGGGTGGCAGGAGTCTATAAAAGTCCTCTCCTGATCATAGAACCTTTTCCCCTCCCTCTCCAATTCCAACCCAACATTTACTAATATACCCTGTGGAACCAGTATGCCATAGCACACTGGAAAACACTGATTTATTGCTATTCATTCAATTTAGCAAGGTATAACTATATTCAGGAAGGCTAGTCCTGGGTCACATATATGATTAGTGTTAGTAAAATTTTCCTTTTGTATAGATAAACTAGTTGAGTACCAAATGATCTAATCAGCTCCAATTAATTCTCCACCTAAAGTCATCAGTGTAACCTATATTGATGTTATAATTCACAGGCCATTCTTCAGTCTCTTATACATACAGACTCTCAACAAATACTTGTTGAATGAATAAATGCGTTAAGAAGCCATGTGTTTTTCTAAGCAAAACAGGAGGCAAAATATGGCAATCCACTTATTTTGCTAATTATACTAAATAAACGGTAATTTAACTTTGAAGTCAGATTATTTAGAAGTGCGAGAATTATAAAGTCACTGTATCATTGTATTAACTTTCTCTTGCTGCTATATCAAATTACTAAAATTTTAGCAACTGCAAATGAGACTTCTTTATTTTCTCATAGTTTTTTGGGTCCAAAATCTGATACATGTTTCAATGGGCTAAAATCAACTTGTTAACAGAGCTGCATTCCTTACTGAAGGCAAAGGGAAAAAACTACTCTTGGGCTCCTTCATGTTATTGGCTTAATTCAGTTCCTTGTGGTTGTAGGATTGAGATTCCTTCCCTGCTGGCTGTCAGCTAGGGGCTGGTCTTTGCTCCTAGAGGCTGCCTGTATTCTTTAATCATGCTCTTCATGTGGCCCTCTCCAGCAATGATTGGTCAAGTCCCTCTTATACTTTGAATCTCTGACTTCAGCCAAAGAAAATTAGAAAGTTCTCTGATCTCTCTGGCTCATGTGTTTAGATTTTCCCAGTGTATAAGAGATAATCCAGCATAATCTTTTTGGAATGTTCATCACATCTGCAAAGTTCCTTTGCCATGTAATTTATTCATAAGTTCCAGGAATTAGGGCAAGGATATCTTTGGGGTACATTTTGCCTATCAGAATATTTAATCTAAAAAATTCAAAGCATTTTTCAAAAGATGTTCCTATAAAACTATGCTTTGTCTATGCGATAGAATATTATAGATATTTCCCTATTTTACCTCTCAAGAAGAGAGGTAAACATTAATTGGAATTTCCTAAATATCATTCATTTTCTTCCCTTTCCATTTCATTTCATCCCATTCCATTCTATTCAATTCCAGAAACTTTGGTTGAACAACTTCTATGTGCCAGACACCATGCTACATGCAATGGATATAAAAATGGAAGTCATTTTCTTAGCTTGTAAGGAGCTCACAGCCTGGCTGGGGAAACATCTCAAACATAATTTGCAGAAACAGAGTGTGGTCAGTGAACATTAGTGGACAAATAAGTTAGAACTGCTTGGACTTACCTTATCCTTCTATGCTCCTAATGCTATACTGGACCCCACGAATACTTCCAAAGTAACTAGGTTTTCAAAGAGTCCCAGCGGTCTTTCAAAAACAATTTTCTCCTTCACTTGTGCCTTCAACTGCCTGAATAAAAGCCTTTGTGGGCATTGCCTTTTGACTAAAAAGGAAAACATTTCAGGGTTGGCATGAGCCTGCTAGTCTTTCTGTAACTTAACTTTTCAAGGTCAAATAAAAGCCTATAAAAATCAAGTCTCCCCATGCTGATCAATAGAGTGGGGCTGGGGAGTCAAGCTGGCAGGCTGGGCTGTGGCCAGCCTATGTGTCTAAATCCACCTAGGATGCTCTCTGATTCTCTGGCAATCACTCTGGCTGTGGCTTGCAGAAGACTCTGGAGCACTCCTTGGCAGGGCTGCATTTAAACAGTAGCAATTTGTTATGCAGACCCTGGCACGGTCCCTCACAGACCAACTGCCTCTCGTCGACACAATCAAGACAACTGTCTACACCATTGTATTATCTTTTCTTGCACCTTTGGATACTAATATTTCATAGAAATTGCCGTTTCCCCTGTTCAGATAAAGTTCTTTTATATGGTTAATTAAATTACTCATTTATATATTTATTCACCTTTTATTGTGCATCTCCAGAATGTAAAACTATACGCTTTAGCTTTAAATGTATGCAGACTTCCTTTTTTTTTTTTTTTTTGTGACGGAGGCTCACTCTGTCACCAGGTTGGAATGCAGTGGAGCGATCTCAGCTCACTGCAAGCTCCGCCTCCCAGGTTCAAGCAATTCTTCTTCCTCAGCCTCCCGAGTAGCTGGGACTACAGGCACCCGCCACCACGCCTGGCTAATTTTTCTATTTTTAGTAGAGACGGGGTTTCACCATGTTGGCCAGGATGGTCTCGATCTCTTGACCTTGTGATCCGCCCGCCTCGGCTCCCAAAGTGCTGGGATTACAGGCGTGAGCCACCGCGCCCTGCCACCATGTGTTCTTATAAAGTTCTTTGCTCATCCAGCATAAACATGCTTGGTGTTTTGACCCTAATTAATGGTGGGATTTTACAACATACAAATTTCTCCTCACTCTAAAAACACCTTACCCTGCTTTCTTTATTCTTTTTTATTTTCATATCTTTTTCATTCATCTCTTAAATTTGCCTTTTATAAACCTTTTTTGTGTGTCTTAGAATTTATATGTTAACCCTATATTTCCTGCTTTTCTACCCAGATTTAGGAAGTTGAGTAAATTGCTATTTCATGTCGTTATCCACCACCGCCCCCCATCCCCCCCAAAAAAAGGACACAGTGAAGGGCCATTAAGATTGTAGAAAGTGGAGTTATCAAAAAAGATGATTAGAAATTTCTGGGAAAATGTACAATCTTATAATCAATAGAATACATGTTCTCAATACTTGGAAACTCAGCATATCAATTTAACATAGTGATCTATATTTAGCAAAAATTACTCATCACACTCAGGAGCATAAAATCTCTATGCTCATTTCTGCCTGCCAAAGCATTTAATGCAGCTCTAGTTATTTAGGATAAGGATGGCACTGAGTTTTCAAATAAAAATTTCTTCCGTAGGACACACTAAATTACTGGGAGGATTAGGTGATAGAGAGCATGAATACACACTCAAAATAGGACATGGCATCTGTCAGACTCTGCTAATAATTTTCTGTCTTATGCTAAGCCTGTCAGCATTGCCAATATTCTTAACAGAGGTAGCTAGCCTTGTGTTCTGAGTGAATGAAACAACCAGGTCAGTTTTGTCTGATATTTAAAAAAAATGTTCTTAGCCATACCATGTCTTAATAATTTCTTAATGTTTGATTATTGTTCTGTGGAAGAATTTAAGTTTAATCATTATTTCCTATAAGAGAGATTTTTCTCAGTTTTCACAAAAGGATCTATAGCTCTTCCTGAGAATCTACACCACATAAAACAGGAAGGGAAGTATGGAAAAAAAAAAGCCCACCATTTTTTCTCCTAAGTCAACTTATTTTTTTCAGAATTTAACAGCAGCGTTTTCTGATCCCTAGACATACAGCCTTGGACTTAGTGTTTCATCCTTTTCTTTCAGTTGCCTCCACTCCCCTCCCATTCTCAATTCCTGTACATGCAGTTCTAAGACACACCAATACTTCCTTTAAAATGTCTTGGGCAGTGAACAGTTGGAAATTAAAAGTTTAAAAATACCATTTACAGTAGTATTGGAGCCATAAAATACTAAACAAAAGATACACAGTATTGCTTTACTGAAAACTACAAAACAGTGCTGAGTGAAATTTTAAAAGACCGAAGTAAATAGAAAGAAACAGCATATTTGTTAATTGGAAGATTCAAAGTTGTTTAGCTGTCCATTCTCTCCCCATTTATATACGTGTGTGTGTACACATGTTCAATATAATCAAATTCTCTTCATCCCATGTGAGCTTTTTAAGACTATAAAAAAGCTGTTTCTAAAATGTATTTGGAAATGCAAAGGACCTAGAATAGACAAAAAATTGTTTAACAAAGAAGCACTTGATTTCAAGATGTGTTACAAAGTTGCAGTACTCAAGACAGTGTGGCATTGGTAAAATAATAAAGACGGATTAAAATATAGAATCTAGAAATAGACTCACATATATATGATAAAATAATTTTCAACAGAGTCATCAAAGCAATTCAATGAGGGGAGGAAAATCTCAAAAATGGTGCCAGAGGAACTGGATATCCAAAAAAAGGGCACTTCAGCTTCTGCATTATGACATATTCAAAAATTAATTTGAAATTGATCATGGGCCTATAAGGAAAAGCTACAATTATACATAGACAAATATTTTCAAATATATATATATATGTATATATATGTAAAGGCTCACACCTAGAATACATAAGAAGGAATTCCTACAACTCAACAATAAGGCATTTAATTGTCTAAAAAAAATGCAAATACTTCACAAAATATGATATATGAATGGCTAATATGCACTTTAAAAAGCACTCAAGATCATCAATCCTCAGGAAAATGAAAATCAAAACACATTGAAAAAAGATGGACAATGTCAAGCATTTTAGAGAATGTGGAGCATCTGGAACTTCCACATATAGTTGGTGGGAGTGTAAAATGGTACAACCACTTTGGAAAATAGTATGGCAGTTTCCTAAAAAGTTAAATATGTATGTACCCTATGACCCAGCAATTATACTCTGAAGTATTTACCTAAGAGAATTTAAAAACAACTATAGAAGCTTTGTTCTAGAATGTGTACAGCTATTTTTTTCATAGTAACCCCAAACTGGAACAACCCAAGGTATCTATCAACAGGAGAACAATAGTTAAATAAACTGTGATATCCTCATGCAGTGGAAAAGCCATTAAAATAAATGGACTACTGATACACATAACATGAATAGATTTCAAAAACACGATGTTGAGTAAGAGAGAAACAAAGTAGTACATAATTTATGATTCAGTTTATAAGAAGTTAGAATAAGCCAAAATAATCTATGAGAATAAAAATCAGATGAGTGGTGGCTTCTAGGGAATGAGGGAGAGGAGTTACTGGAAAGGGGTAGGAGGGAAATTTTTAGGGGTGTTGGAAATGTTGCATGTCTTGATAACAATGTAGTTTACATAAGTACACTCATTTGTCAAACTGAACAAACTATATACTTAAGATCTACTTTTGTAAAGAAGACCTTAATTTAACATTTTGAAAATATCTTCCAGATTTGTTTATTATCACTTATTACCTCATTTCAGGCTATGAATATTCAGCATTTATTTTCTTGTAAAAACAAGGGAATTTGTTGAATACAGAACTCTTATCCTAGAAAGGGATTGTTCATACCACGGTGAATGGCCCAGTGTGTGGCACATTTTGTGTTCTCACTGGAAGTCCTCACAGGTATAAGCCAGTTGCTGAAATGTGGCTCTGGTTTAGCTGTTCCACAACATCAAGCATCATCGCATTTGTTCATTCAGAATTCCAAGCTATTTACAAACCAGTGAATCCCTTCACTCTTCTCGTGATGGTTAATTTTAGGTGTCAACCTGACTGGATTAAGGGATATCAAGAGAGCTGGTAAAGCATTATTTCTGGGTGTGTCTGTGAGTGTGTTCCTGGAGGACATTGGCATGTGAGTCAGAAGCCTGAGTGAGGAAGATCTGCCCGCAATGTAGGTGGACACCATCCAGTTAGCAGGAGGCCTGAATAGATAAAAAGGCAGAGGAAAGATGAATTCACACTCTCTCTCGGAGCTCGGACACACTTTTCCCGCCCTTAGACATCAGAACTCCAGGTTCCCCAGCCTGTGGACTCCAGTGGTCCCCGTGGGTTCTCAGGCCTTCATCCTTGGAGTGAGAGTCCCTCTAGTGGTTTCCCTATTTTTTCACCTTGCAGAAGACCTATCATGAAACTTCTAAGCTTCCATAATCAAGTGAGCCAATTAACCTAATAAACCCCCCTTTCATCAGTCTATCTATCTGTTTACCTATTTAGCCTATTGGTTCTGTCCCTGTGAAGAACCCTAATATACCTCTCATTCATGTCATTCTTTGACACTGTTCAAAATACAAGTTACGTTAATTATTTTTCTTCGCTAAATCGTCATCTCTATTATGTTCAGTGCTCTTCTCCTCCTCCCCACTACTTCAACTCATATTTGCATCGTTTTCCTTTCTGCTAAGTTTTTTAATATCCTCTGTAACTTTTTCTTGTTATTCAAAAAGAAAGAAGAAAAGAAAAATTTAAAGAAAGAAAAAAAGAACCTCCTTAAGGAGCCGAAATTATTCACAAAATGCCTTAGGTTCATCCTCGCATCAATTCAACCGGGGACACTTGAGACTCTGCAGCCTTCTCAAGTGGAAGCTGCTTATTATCACATTCAGGCCTGTGTATGGCACTAGGCATTCCTATTATTTCTAATTAACCTGTCTAAAATGTATATATTTTAAAATTTTAAAAAAGACACAACAAACATCAATACTTGTAGTTCAATGGCATAGTTAACTGCCACTTTCTGCTTATCACTGTTACCTGTTGATACCCTAATGACTCTTCCGCATTCACTAAGGACCCTAATCTGACTTTGTAAATCTATCTCTAATTCCATCATCATTCTCCGTCAATGTCCATGTAGCTGTCTCATTCAATATCCTAGTTTTCAAGTTCTGACTTTCGTTTCCATTCTATTTTAGCAGCCCACTTCTGCGTCTTCATGATGGACCCAGTCATTGCCAATTTTATTAGCAGCTTTATGGAGAAACAATTCACTTACCATAAAATTCACCTATTTAATTGTATAATTCAATGGATTTTAATATATTCTCAGATATGTGAAACCATCACCACAACCATTTTGGAGAATTTTCATCACTTTAAGAAGCAAGACCATATCCTTTAGCTCTCATCCTTCTATCCCCCCATTTCCCCACTCCTCAGCCCTGAGCATCTAATAATCTACTTTCTGTATCTACAGTTTCTCTATTCTGGACTTTTATATGAGTAGAATCATTTAGTATACAGTTTTTGTGACTTGCTTCTTTCACTTAGCGTAATGTTTTGAAGGTTCCTGCATGTTGTAGAATGTATCAGTCCTTCATTCCTCTTTATGGCTAAATAATATTCTATTGTATAGACATACTACATTTTGTTTAACCTCTTGTCCATCAATGGACATTTGGGCTATTTCCACCTTTTAAATGTTATGAATAATCCCTCTGTAAACATTCACGTACAAGTTTGTATGTGGACATAGGCTTTTCTTTCTCTTGGAGATATACTTAGAAGTGGAATTGCTGAGTCATATGGCATCTTTATCTTTATATATTGCCCACTCCTTAATATCCAATATCTCACTCTCCAGCCACACATCAAGCTTACTCATTTTCCTCCTCCCTGTACACCTACTCTTCAAACATATAAAGATTCAATTTCATTTTCTCCCAAATTATATACTCTCTTCTAACTTTATTTTCTTGCCTACATACCCCATGGCTTATTACTTGAATTGCTCACTTGACAACTCTCAAATCACTCGCCTTCTTTTTTTTTTCTGTTGTTGCAAAATATGAAGTCCTAGCTTTGGATTAATCCAAGCATTTTCTGCTTTTAAACAACTTTCTAGTTTGACATCATTGAAAAATCCCTAGTTTCTAACCTCAGCTGGACTTTTGGCACTGTTTGTCTCTAAAAAAACTGCATGAAAAGACCCCTAGCTCACCATTATCTTCACCACCAACCTAGCATCACCATTGACTGTTAACATAAGAAAGTACTTTCTGTTGTATTTGAGCCATTTTATATTTGAGGTCTACTTGTTATAGAAATTTTCTTAACTGAAATTACACGGGGCTTTCTTTTTAAAAGATCTTTCTTTTTTACTTGAAATGTGAATTGTAAGTTATTTTTAAAATAATAAATTGCATGATTCTTAGAATTAATGTCATAGGTTGTTCTCTGATGATCCTATATAAATTAGTAGATATGACAACTCTAGTGATAATTAGATGTTATTAGTCTACATGCCACTCTTAGAACAGTATTTCTCCTTCCTGTTGGTATCATAGAAGCTATAGTTTTCGATTCCAGGGAAATGCACAATATGCACACATACACATGTGAAACATTCAAACTAAGAAAAATAGCAAGTTGATGAGCAGAATTATCTGAGTAGCTATTAAAAGAGATCTAGGGAAGACGCTGTCTCAAAAAAAAAGAGATCTAGATGCTGGACAAATGTTTTCATTGTTTTAAGTACTTGACAATTAAATAATCTTGGAATTTTAAGCCTTGAAAAACTTTCACCACACCTCTATTTACCATATACACAGTTTGTTGTGCAGGTAGGTCACACTAGTGGGCTGTATGAGTAGAATCTTGGGTTACTTTTCTAAAAGAAATGATAAATTTACCTTGATATCACTTTCATTACAAACAGGGACATAGATTTGTAGATGGCCTTATTGCAGCTTAGGCCAATTTCTTTCTATAAATGTAATATTATGCTCCACTATAGATGCCTTTTGGTCAGATTGTTTCAAACTATTCCTCAAAAGACAAACGTTTAACTTTATAAAATAGAAAAGGAACACCAGCAATTTATTAAAAGCCCCTTTGGCCTTCTGCTTATTTTCTTTAAAGTGTTACTTTAGAAGGCAGGATCATGTAGGTGAAAATATACTGACCTGAATGTCATAAAATTGTGGGTTCATACCCTGGCTCTGCTACTTATTATGTATGGACTCCTGAGTGAACTACTGATCACCTTAAATCTTAGTCTTTTCTCAATCACAAAATAAAAACTTCTTAGGGTACTGATGAGGACGTAATATGTATAAAGTGCATGGGATGAAGTTTCTTCTTGTTCCTTTATTTCCTTTGGGTCTAACCTGATTTCTTCTTCATTGGATTAACATGATTTCTCAATGACTTGCATATCAAATCAACTTGGTAACATTTTCATGTGCTCCAGATAGAATATCACTTAGAACATTTGTCCTTTGGATCTGGTTCATGCATTATTTAAAACCCAAGCATAATTTGTTGATGAGATTAAATGTGTAGATTCTAAATATTAAAATATTAAAATTCATTTTCTATCAAAGGTAGTCTGACTCTGAAATTGTTTCTTAGTATTGACAGAAAGACACTAAGTCATACTCACCCCTCTGAGACCAGTAGGAACAGTGTCACCAGTCTGGGGTAAGGGTGTCCTTAGATCTCTGTAGCTGCAGGTCAATACAACTTCAATACAGTACAGTATAATACAATACAATAAGACATGATATAATAAAAATTCAGTAGAGGAGGAATGTTTTGAATAGCATTTACTCAAAGCAATATATGTGAGTCTACCACTCACATCCACTTTCTTATTTTCCCTTCAGTTCTCAATTCCCTGTAAAATGATTTTGGTACTCTCTACTTTATTGAGACCATTTCAAAAAGTAGCACATAATCTCCAAACTGGTAAATATTAGGAGCATCTTTCAGCCCTGTACTCACCTGCTGAATTTCATGCTACATATAATACCTGAATTTTTCTATCATGATTTTCATAAACTACTCTGGTTTTTACTATCTCTTTAACTGATCTCTGTTGCTCTGTTTAGGAATCTCTCCCCCTGTGCTTATCTTCTTTTCATTACCTTTCCACCAGGTTTCATTTTCAGCCCACCATTCTTTTCAATATGTGTGCTCTTTCTTGAGATGGCCCCAATTTTAACCATGGTCTATGGGACTACTTTATTGATGTATCCAGTCCCACCTCTCTACTAAGCTTAATAAATGTTTGTGAATGGATCATAATTGTATACCTCCACCTAGGATGTATGATTGGGGCCTTTTAGTGCAGAAACAGTCCATTTAGTGCAGAAACTATGTTTGTGCACAGTTCAGAACATTCAGAGCACTACTCCTGACACACTGTTGTGGCAGACCCTGTTACTGGTCTCCTTCATCTCTCTTTCTTCACGCATCTTACTACAGAAAGTTCATTTCATTTGGGGTGTCAAAATATCAAAACTTGGCCAATATGAGATAACTGAACTATCCCACAGATTCTAGAAAGCTTTACCTTGTTGATATAGGCATTACACCTGTTTCTGTTCTTTTTTCCTGGAATGAAAGCCAGGGGAGCAAGGGTCATGGTGATACAATGAAGTGACTATAAGGATGCAAGCCATGCATCAAGGGACAGAGCATCCTGGCCCATTGATGGAGCTTCTGCATCAGCCCTGTACTCCCATATTAGATAGAATTAATTTCAGCTTTGGGAAAAATAAAATCAAAATAATAGTGAAATAACAAAATAAAAGCTGATTTCTCTTTTATGTTAATGAAGTCTAGGAATGAACAGTCCAGGACTGGCAGGGCAACTCCTGTCATTAGGCACTCAGACTCCTTGAATTTTGTTGTATAGTCACATAATCTAGCCATTATATCTACAATTTAATTCATGACCAAGAAAGGACAAAAGAAGGATATAATGTTTTCCTTTAAAAATACTTTCTGAAGTCACATAGGGCATTTCCATTTACATCTTTCAGCCAGAAATTAGTCATACAGTCATACTTAACTGTAAGGTAGACATGTGTTCAGTTAAAAATAATGAATGTTATTACAAAGAAAGAAGGCAAGAAAATTGGGGGCCATAATTAGTTATCTCTGCCCCCAACTGCATATCTTTGACTTTTTGATAAATAAATAAATAACAATTACTCCTCATTTGACTAAACTTTTTAAGATTCCTTTACATGCAGCCAAATGCAATCCTTAATTAATTCAGAATCTGAATCCTAGAATAGATACTGAAAGTAACACAAGATAAAATGTGGGATTGACTGAAGGAAGAAAGTGGGGGCACTGGGCAATACAGTCTCATGGTGCATTCTGGAAAATTTGTGATAACGCTTCTGTAGAATTAGGTAAAACTGTCGTGTGCTGTATTTTAGGAGGCAGACCATATGTCTCCCTTGGCTTTACTGTTAGGAAAAAGTGGTAGGACAGTTCAGACCCTTGGGGTGTGTGGGTTACTTTATCGTTACTCTCATCAGGCCATTTTATAAGCAAAGAGGGAAGAGTTGTTTTAATCATTTATTGCAGTGTAATAAATCACTCCAAAACTAAGTAGTTCAAAACAGCAATTGCTATCTGTTGTAGTTCTTGTGGGTTGACTGGGCTTGGGTGAGTGATTTTCTCATAGGATTCCTCATGTGATTTTATGTCAGAAGATGAATAAGGCTGAAGTTTTGACTGGTCTGGAAGTCCAAGAGGGCTTTTTCTTTTCCATATCTGGTGCTTTAGCTAGGGTGACTTGGCTAGCTTGGGGACTGGGAGCCTCTCTCTTCAGGTAGCTTCTCCTTGTGGTTTTTGGGGTGATCAGACCCAACACCAGGTCATGGGGGCAACGAAGTCCGGCGGAGTCAAAGGATTGAGAAAAAGACAATTTGAGAGAGAGAAGTGGGACCGGGGGCCATCGCAATCGTGGAGGCTGTGAAGGCCCCGAGCTCTGGGAGCCCACACTATTTATTGGTAATCCAACAGAGAAACAGGTGGTGAGAATGTGGGGGTCAAAAGGGCAGGTGCATGATCTACAGCTGTGATGGTTTAGCATTTATAAGGTACATGTTCTGCTACTTGACATAATGGAACTACAATCCATCTAGGAGCCTAGGAAGACTAGAAGCAAACAGCCAGCAAGTCTAGACACATTCCAGAGGACATTATGTCAGACATGCAAGCCCTGCCTCAGCTTTCTTCCCAACACTCAGCTTTTTCCCAACAGTGGCTAACATGGGGTTTCTCACAGCATGATCATCTCAGGGTAGTCATGCTTCACCCATAATCGTTGACCCACATATAAAGTATATGAGACACCCAGCTGGAAGCTACTAGGCTTCTAATGACCTAACCTTCAAAGACATGCAGCATCACTTCTGTCCCGTTCTATGGTCAAAAGTGAGTTAACTAAGTTAACCTAGATTCAAAGAACAGGAGCTGTACAAGTTCGTGAATACCAGAAAGGGTGATTTACAGGCATACCTCGTTTCATTGCACTTTGCTTTATAGTGCTTCACAGATACTACATTTTTCACAAATTGAAGGTTTGTGGTAAACCTTGTGTCAAGTAAGTCTGTTGGTGCCATTTTTCCACCACCGTGTGCTCACTTCATGTTTCTGTGTCACATTTTTGCAATTTTCACAATATTTGAAACTTTCCCATTATTATTACATCTGTTACAGTGATCTGTGATCACTGATCTTGCTGTACAGATCAGAAGGCTCTCGCTGCTGGGAAGGGGGTAAAATGTTATTAAAATCTCTGGTAACTAATTTGGCACTGTTTTATAAAGCTGAACATGTGTCTACCCTAAAAACCAATAAGTTCTTGTCTATGATTTGAAGAAACTTGCACATGTGCACCTAAAACTATGTGCAAAATAGTTCACAGTGTCATTGTTTGTATTGGAAGAAAAGCTGGAAATGACCCAAATATCATCAAAAGAAGAATGAATACATAAATTCCTAAATACTTAATAAACAGTGAAAATTGCCCATCAGTGAAAGTCAATGAATTACAGCTATGTGAAACAATATAGATAATATCTTATAAAATTGAATTTTTTTTAAAGCATGTTGCTGAAGACTTCGTACTGTCTGATATTTTTATAATACAAAAAAGCAAAATTATACAATATATTGTTTAGGTATACCTACCTATGTGAGAAAACTACTTTAAAAAAATCAGTGACATCATGAACATGAAATTCAGGTGGCTGCTAATCTTTGCAGAGGAGAGAAAAGGGATGGGAATGGGCATGAACACGTAGGTGATTTTAATATAAAAGTAAGATTCAAATTCTTAGGTTGAGTGGTTTAGGTTTATGCTTTAAATTCACACACATGTCACAATTCTTTTGTATGTATAAAGCATTACATAGTAAAACACTTTTAAATTAATAAACTTTATGTACTGATATGAAATGCTATTTAAAAATAGATCATCAAGTAAGAAGCTATAGAGGTTTATTTGGGACAGCCATGGTTTACACCTGGCATAATTGCTAATTGCTTCATTTTCCTCCCTCAGATCAGCCCAACTGAAATGTAAATTATATGTTTACCCTATTTTTAAGTAAAAAAATTACAAGATGTAGAATGATGTTTATATTATGCTTCAGCTCATGTAATATGACCTAATCAAAAATATACAAATTTAACTTTAGGAAACAAATAAGAACATTAGTTATAGCTAACATTTTGAAGAAGAGGACATGTGGAAACTACTTGGGAAACAAGGATACCTTACTAATGGATAACAGTTAATGTCTGTGGAGCAGGAATTGGGAGATTGGGAGACAGGAGCAAGAGACTTACCTTTCTCAGTAGATCGCTTTGGCCTACTAGAATTTTGTGCCCTTATTCACAATAGCAAACACATGGAATCAACCTAAATGCCCATCATTGACAGATTGGATAAAGAAAATATGGTACAAATATACCATGAAATACTATGCAGCCATAAAAACGAATGAGATCATGTCTTTTGTGGGAACATGGATGGAGTTACAGGCTATTATCCTTAGCAAACTAATGCAGGAACAGAAAACTAAATACTGCATGTTCTCCCTTCTAAGTGGGACCTGAATAATGAGAAATCACAAACACAAAGAAGGGAGCAACAGACACTGGGGTCGGGTTGAGGGTGGGAGGAGGGAGAGGAGCAGAAAAAAAATAACTATTGGGTACGAGGCTTAGTACCTGGGTAATAAGATAATCTGTACAACGAACGCCTGTGACATGAGTTTACTTATACAATGAATCTTCACATGTACCCCCGAAACTAAAAGTAAAAACAAAAAACAATTTCACAGCACATAAATAATTTTGTGCCTTATGCATGTATTACCTATTTGGATAAGCAATTTAAAACAAAATTCATTTTTAATGCAATGTGATCCATGCTATGATAGCTATTACCACACTATCTTTCATTTATTAGATTCCTGTTTTATACGAAGCATAGTTCTCAACACTGTGGCTACATTAGATTCTGACAGCGAATCTAAGACATAAGTAGCACTACTACTAGCTGTGTGACTCTGAAAAGTTGCCTCATTTCTTCTGTGAAACTATTCTTATTCTATCCTATTTATACTATTCTTTTTCCTGCCCATTCTGTGATGTCACATATGTTAACTGTTAAGTATTTGCTAAGGCAGTAACTATAGTAGAAAGTGTTCTGGATTCAAAGTCCTGAGCTCTCTTGCTCAGCTACTTACCATCTATATACACCTGAGCAAGCTGCTTTGGCTCTCTGAGAAAGCCTGGATTTTTCACTATAAAACAGACACAACAAGCCTTCTGATTTTAGAGACTTCCGTGTGAATCAAATGAAGGCATAAAGTGGAAGTGGGTTAGAAACCAGAAGGCATCATGCAAATATGAGTTACTATTATTAATGACCGAGTGTAACATTTCAATCAGGAAAGCCGTAAATCAATAGAGATGTTGTAACTGAAAACAACTTGAAGACGATTTTTTTGCATTCAGCACAAGTGGCATTTCCTCCTTGCTTGTTGCTTTATATAGTCGATAGTTTTATGCATTGCAACAGCCTTGAAACAGATCAGCAAGAACATAATGAACATACTTTAAGCAGAAAATGTTAAATGATCTATGTCTCTTGTTACAGGCTAAGCCTCAATTAATCCAGGAGGTGGTTTTTCTCAGTTGAAACAAAAGCAAAAAACCTGATGTTGTTTACTGTACGTAAATAAATTCAAAATTTGGTGATAAAATGGTAATATAAGTCGAATTTGTGGCCTTTTCTCTTAAGAAAGTACACTGACAATATTCCCACTGAATTTATTTAGCTCAACTCTCTCTTTTGTATAATTTGAAAGCTGCTTCTTCTCCTTCTTGCAGCAAAACAACTTTGTGAAATACTGTATTACAACAACAGAAAAAGGCCTTACCAGAAATTAAACAGAAAAAAGGTGGAAGAATTTGATTTTATTGATTAGAAAAAAATAGCATCACTTTAAAATATATGCAAAGTGTTCTAGAACTAAAAATCTTTCAATTCCATATCTATAATGATGGAATGCTTGAAAGGAGGTAAGAGGAAAAATATATAGCTTTCTTGTTTTTATAGCATTGTAAAGTTACCTGGCAGACTTGTCTATGGTTTGTCGTATTTTAGATTTTCTTGGCTCTTATGATAGCAGAAACCCAGGAAAATCTTCTAGAGAATTTTGTCTAACTGGTGATTTTTAAAAATCAATTTATAATATCAATAGGCTCAGCCAGCTCAGTTTATTTTTGCACAAAGTTTTATTTTTCTCTCAATAGTGTCCCATCCTCCCCCTCTCCTCCACAGCCTCTCACCTCCCTCCAGGGGCACTCTGCTGAGTAGCTTTCCAAGGGGAGAAAGAATGTTTGAAAATGTGGGGGAAGATGTGAACTGCAGCCCACATGAAAATCTTTATTTAGACAGTTTTTACCTAGGGATTTAAAAAATGGCAACCAAGGTACTCAATCCTATTTTCTTAGCTGAAGCAAGAGAATAAAAGAAGGAGGTGGGCAATGTTTAGTGCACCTGCGCCCTGGGAGGTGTGCAACATTTCCTCTTATTTTACACTTTATGATTTTACTGTTATCCTATATTCAGGGCTCACAGCATCAACTACAAGAGCTTGCCGGGTGGCAAATTCTGAGTGTGGGTTTTGGTGTCGATCTGACGTCACTTCAGATTCAGATCGAGTATTTTTAGGCCAGATAATTGGACTAATGACCAGAAATGACCAGAATTTTCCCTACTCAAAATAACCAAAACAAAACAAGACAAAATTTCAAATAATAATGGTAACAACCAAAATGAGTAACTGAGAAAAAAGTCTCAATCATCAAGGTTTATTAAGCTAGCTTAAGGGTGCCTCCGGGAAAAACACAAGACACAGGCACTTCTGTGGCTGTTTTTACTAAGAGATTTTTAGGAGGTTTAGTATTTATACATTTCCTTAAAGGGGGAAAGGCAGGTATGAAGAAGGGCAGGTAGGGTGGTAAAGTGAATAGTTACATTCCTATGAGACACATTAGTGCATAGTAAATCTACATTTTACGTAAGAGAAGGTGAATATTTGAAGACAAAAGGGAGTGAAAGGAAAAGTCAATTATGCAGATGTCTCTGGGCAAGGTGGAGGACTTAAGTCTTGTCTTTGTTTTACACCTGGGAAGAAAAGCTTGTAATTGACATTATCAGGGTGGAAATGAACAGGCTTTAGTTTTAGGAGCTAGACTTAGATTGTAGACCTAAAGTTACAATTGGCATGCCCTTGTTTATGGGAGTACAGCAAAGAATTTACTTATGAGTGATCTGTGGAGGAACCCTTTGTAGATGTCTGAGGCCTTCTACACTTCCCTGGGAATCTGGCTGATGGATAATGTTGCTAACAGCTATTCATTGGAAAAAGGGTGTTGCATGACTCAGCCTCCCAGCTTAATCTTCCATTTTGCATAAGAAATTTGGGGGACCTGAGATTTTTTATTTTCCTTTATGATAGTAACCACATTTAGAGCAAAAGGGCCTAAACGTATGTTTACTATAATGGAAAGATATTCCATTTGAAGTCATAAGATCTGCATTTAGTTTTCTAGGATAAGCACTCACAAGCAAGGTAAACTTAAACTCTTCAGCCTCTTTCTTCCTCTGTTTAGTTGGGGGGACCACTCTCCTAATTTCCCCATAGGTTCCTGTGCAGATCAAACAGTGGTAATTCTCAGTGGTTAGCAAACTTTTTCCATGAAAGGCCAGAGTAAATATGCAGGCCTTGCTGGTAATTATGGTCTCTGTTGTAACTACTTAACTCTGCTGTTGGAGGGCAAAAGCAGCCATAGACAATACATGAACAAGTGTGTCAGTGTCCAATAAAACTTTACTTATGAACACTAGCATTTTAATTTTATACATATTTTATATTTCAAAAAAAGCTATTTTTTCTCTTGATTTTTCCCCTAAGCATTTACATATGTAAAAGTCATTTTTAGCTCCTGGTCATACAGAAACAGGTGCTGGGCTGGATTTGTCCCACGGGTTGTAATTTGCTGACTCTGGTGTATATTAAAGCACTTAATAAACGTACATATATGTAAGTAGTTGCTAAGTTGTGTAAAATCATAGTGGAATATCTAAGGTCCATTTTAATTCCATATTGACATCCTTTGTCACTCTAAGGGAGGAGACACCCCTCATATCGTCTTATGCCCAATTTCTGCCTCCAAAGAAAGAAGAAGTAAAAACTAAAAGGCAGAAATGAAATCCACAGGCAGACAGCCCAGCGCCGCACCCTGGGCCTGGTAGTTAAAGATCGACCCCTGACCTAATCAGTTATGTTATCTATAGATTACAGACATTGTATTAAAATGCACTGTGAAAATCCCTATCTTGTTGTGTTCTGATCTAATTACCGGTGCATACAGTCCCCAGTCATGTACCCGCTGTTTGCTGAATCAGGACCCTCTCACACGCACCCCCTTAGAGTTGTGAGCCCTTAAAAGGGACAGGAATTGCTCACTCGGGGAGCTTGGCTCTTGAGACAGGAGTCTTGCTGATGCCCCCAGCTGAATAAACCTCTTCCTTCTTTAACTCCCTGTCTGAGGAGTTTTGTCTGCGGCTCGTCCTGCTTCAACTCCAAACTTGATGAGATTCCTGCTTGCCATGTCTGCAACATTTCAATGTTGTCCCAAGGAAAATCATTTAAGAGGGGAGGCTATTTTGACTGAAAGAGTTCCAGTTGCATTTCCCATCCAGAGAGATAAATGGTTGTAGAATCACTCAGCATTTGAAATTACATGAACTATTGACTTGTCTCAAAAGCATGAAGCATCTTGGTTTTCCCTAGGCAATGCAGACACCCCTTTTATATCTTGTATGTGCACCATCACAGAACCTCTCACACTGAGCTGTGATTGTCTGCTTAGGTTTTGGCATCTCAATAAATTATGAGCTTCACAAAGGTAGAGATTAAGTACTAGTACCTCCTGGCAATGGTATTTGTTTATTTATGCCTGTGATATTATAATTTATAATAAAAATATATATTTGGTCTTCATCTAGTTACTGACACAGAGCTCCTAAAACCCTTGGAATTTCCAAAGTGGTGTCTTTTATGTGCTTATAAGATGACTGGTGGCTAGGGACTCCTAAATAGCCTCAGGATGGGGGCTGGTTGCCAGGGGAACAAACCATGTGATCAGAGGGTTGGAACTTTCACCACTGGGGAGTGGAGAGGGTCTGGAGGTTGAGACCATAACTAATGGTCAATGATTTAATCAATTGTGCCTTCACAATGAAATCTCAAAAGGACAAGGTTCAGAGAGCATCCAGGCTGTTGAGCACCTGGAGGTGATGGGAAGGTGGCAAGTCTGGAGAGGGCATAGAAGTCCCACGTCCCTTTCCTCATGCCTTGCCCTATACCTCTCTTCCATCTGGTTGTTCCTGATTTATATCTTTCTATAATAAACTGCCAATCTAGTAAGTAAATTGTCTTGAGTTCTATGAGCCATTCTAGCAAATTATTGAGTCTCAGTACGAGGTCAGGGGAATCTTGAATTGATAGCCACACAGTCAGGAGCACATGTCACAGCCTGGACTTGTGATTGGTGCCTGAAGTGGACACAGTCTTGTGGGACTGAGCCCTCAACCTGTTGGGATCTGATGCTATCTCTAGTTAGATAGTGTCCAAATTGAGTCAAATTTTGGGACACCCAGCTGATGTCAGGGAATTGGCCTGTGTGTGTGTGTGTGGAACCCACACATCTGGTGCCAGAAGTGTTTTGTGTGAGCATATAGTGAAACAAATAAGAGTTTTCTATACAATGTTCCTTTCTAGCTAATGAAGGATTTACAGAGCTGACAAGAATACAGAAAAAAAAGCAGATAAACTAGATGGAGGAGTCAGGGTAAAGGTGAAATGTGGGAGTTAAAATGATAAAGCTAAGGGTAAGAGTATCACAGAGAAGTATGTACCACTTGATCCTGCATGTGGCCAGCCTACTTGCTCTATGATCTCCAGCAGCAGAAGCACACTTCTCTCTCTCTCTCTCTCTCTTTTTTTTAAATTGGCAACTTTTAAGTTCAGGGGTACATGTGCAGGTTTGTTACATAGGTAAACGTGTGCCATGGTGGTTTGCTGCACAGATCATCCCATCACCCAGGTGTTAAGCACAGCATCCATTAGCTATTCTTCCTGATCCTCTCCCACCTCCCACCCCCTGCCCTCCAACAGACCCCAGTGTCTGTTGTTTCCCCCCTGTGTTCATGTGTCCTCATTATTTAGCTCCCACTTATAAGTGAGAACATGCAGTATTTGGTTTTCTGTTCCTACGTTAGTTTGCTAAGGATAATGGCCTCCAGCTCCATCCACGTCCCTGCAAAGGACATGATCTCATTCCTTTTTATGGCTGCATAGTATTCAATGATGTATATGTACCATATTTTCTTTATCCAGTTTATCATTGATGGGTATTTAGGTTGATTCCAAGTCTTTGTTATTGTGAATAGTGCTGCAATGAACATATGCATGCATCTGTCTTTATAGTAGAAGAATGTATATTCCTTTGGGTATATAACCAGTAATGGGATTGCTGGGTTGAATGGTATTTCTGCCTCTAGGTCTTTGAGGAATCGCCACACTGTCTTCCACAATGGTTGAACTAATTTACACTCCCACCATCTGTGTAAAAGTGTTGCTTTTTCTCCACTACCTCACTAAGCACCTGTTGTTTATTGACTTTTTAGTAATAGCCATTCTGACTGGCATGAGACGGTATCTCACTGTGGTTTTGATTGGCATTTCTCCAATAGTCAGTGATGTTGAGCTTTATTTCATATGTTTGTTGGCCACATATATGTCTTCTTTTTAGAAGTGTCTATTTATGTCCTTTGCCCACTTTTAAATGGGGTTGTTGTTTTTTTTTCTTGTAAATTTGTTTACATTCCTGGTAGCTGCTGGATATTAGACGTTTGTCACATGGATAGATTGTAAAAATTTTCTCACATTGTGTAGGTTGTCTGTTTACTCTGTTGATAGTTTCTTTTGCTGTGGAGAAGCTCTTTATTTTAATTAGATCCCATTTGTCAATTTTTGACTTTGTTGCAATTACTTTTGGTATCTTCATCATGAAATCTTTGCCCCTACCTATATGGTATGGTATTGCCATAGGTTTTCTTCTAGGGTTTTTTTTTTTTTTAATAGGTTTTTTCTTTTTATATAGTTTTGGGTTTTACGTTTAAGTCTTTAATCCATCTTGAGTTGATTTTTGTATATGGTATAAGAAAGGGTTCCAGTTTCAGTTTTTCTCATGTGGCTAGCCAGTTCTCCCAGCACCATTTATTAAATAGACAATCCTTTCCCCATTGCTTATTTTTGTCAAGTTTGTCAAAGATCAGATGGTTGTAGGTTTGAGGTCTTATTTCTGGTTCTCCATTCTGTTCCACTGGGCTGTGTGTCTGTTCTTGTACCATACACGTGGTGCCAGATGTGTTTTGTATGAGAATATAGCGAAAATACAGAGAATATGTTGTTTTGGTTACTGTAACCCTCTAGTATCACTTGAAGTCAGGTAGTGTGACACCTCCAGTTTTGTTCTTTTTGCTTAGAATTGCCTTGGCTATTTGGGCTCTTTTTTGGTTCCATGTGAATTTTAAAATAGTTGTTGTTTTTTTTTCTAATTCTGTGAAGAATGTCAATGGTATTTTAACAGGAATAGCACTGAATCTCTAAATTGCTTTGGGCAGTATGGCCATTTTCAAGATATTAATTCTTCCTATCCATGAGCATGGAATATTTTTCCATTTGTTTGTGTCATCTCTGATTTCCTTGAGCAGTGGTTTGTAGTTCTCCTTGAAGAGGTCACACTTCTCTTGTTATCTGTATTCCTAGGTATTTTATTCTTTTTGTGGAAATTGTGAATGGGAGTTCATACATGATTTGGCTCTTGCCTTGACTGTTGTTGGTGTACAGTGATGCTAGCAATTTTTTCACATTGATTTTATATCCTGAGACTTTGCTGAAGTTGCCTATCAGCTTAAGAAGCTTTTGGGCTGAGACAATGGAGTGGTCTAGATATAGGATCATGTCATCTGCAAACAAATATAGTTTCACTTCCTCTCTTCCTATTTGGATGCCCTTTATTTCTTTCTCTTACCTTATTCCCTGGCCAGAACTTCCAATACTGTGTTGAATAGGAGTGGTGAGAGAGGGCAATCTTGTCTTGTGCTGGTTTTCAAGAGGAATGAGAAGCACACTTCTCAATGTGGGGCTACATCACATGTGCCCATGATCTGAAGACACACTTGGAGTACCTTGACTGCTCTCCAGACATTATTAGAAAAATGATGTCAGATTAGTAACCACAGATACCTATATTCTCTGGCCTTGCAAGATGATGTCTTGGTCTAGAGCTGAAAAGTAGGTAGTCTGTCTTCAAAGTCTCCCTGCTTCTCCTTTCATGACCTCTCCTCTGCTCAGGTTTCCAGCCTGTGCCACACCTCACAGGACTCTGATCCTAGCTCTCTGTTCGCTAATTACTACTGGTATCTGTTAACTCATGATCCTTTTCAGCAGCATTTTCAAAATCCTAAACTGCTCCAAGGGAAATGAAAAGGCTTCATGGCAAAACAAGTTTGAAAACTTTGAAAATCCAGGTCTCACTCTGAGAATCAAAATAGATACCTACACAGATGCATAAAGCCTCTGAACATTCCACAGTAAAGTGACTTGTGTAAACATTGTTTCACCCAGCATTGCTCAAACATATTTAATTATGGAAATTCATTTTAGATAACACCTATTAACATCTTATGGATTAGTTTTCTCCATATTCTAACTCACTTCAATTGAGCAAACACATTTACAGAAACTACTTGTTGCATCAAGGAACTCATAAGTGAGAGCAGTGATTCCTCCCTTTGTTCCAGGTAGTTAGGCATGAATGGAGCAGGAGAGGGCTCTTCCCTACCCACTAGGAATGTTGGGTGATGGTTTGGCAGTTATGACATTGTCTCTCTAAAAGTGATAAATTGGGAGTCGGCACCAGGGAGGGGCCATTTCCTGACAGTCCACAGCTGTTACACTAAAGCGTTAATTGAACGCAGACACCAGGGAGAAGAAACTTCCTGGGCATACACATTAAGAGACAAAATGGCAGAATATGATGTTCTGGGGTGTTCTGAAAAAGAAGGAAAATCTCAAATGGGCATGCGTACAACTGCCTGAACACACTGCGCATACTCAACTCCCAAGGGTAAGGAGGGCACTGCGCATGTGGGCAGCCCTCCCTAAGGGGAGAATCTTGGGAAGGGGGCTGCCTATAAAGTCCTTGGATCAAAGTTAAACACTGCACTTGACCTTGGTGCCTGCTTGGGTCTCTTCCAAGCGTATTTTCCATTTGTCTCTTTCCTGTTCTAAAGCCTTTTAAATAAACTTCCACTCCTGCTCTCAAACTTGCTTTCATCTCTTTTTCTGCCCTATGACCCTTAGTCAAATTCTTTCTTCTGAGGAGGCAAATTGAGATTGCTACCGACCCGTATGGATTCACCACCAGTAACCTGGATACCTTCCACCGGTAACGCGTTCATGGACTTTAGAGTCTAGCAAAAAATAATCCACTTTGGGGACAGATACCTTACAATATTATTCCTTATGGTATATGAACTCTAACAGAATTGCTTCTGACAATTAAGCTGTTTGCACAACCTCCCCAACAAAAAAGATTCTTTCGGGTTAAAATATTTTGGGCTCCATGATAAGCTTCAAGGAAGAGAAGATATTTTTAGGGAGAGGCCGAGGTCCAGTATTTCTTAGACCATATTATACATTGTGCATCTCATTCCACATAGCTATAAATACACTTTGTAGCACAGTAGAAATGCCATTGAACTTGGATCAGGAGAAGGAATTTGAATCCTGGCTCTGTTGCACATTCTTTTTTGCCTTGGATCCAAATAATGTCAAGATTATATATTTAGAAAACACAAGATAGTATACCTCAAACTGCTAGATACTATAAAAGAATCCAAGATGGACATTGGTTACAAATTTATATGTAAAAATCAATAGCTGTATGTTATACTGACAGTAACTGGTTAGAAAATTTAATGGGAGGAAAGCTCTGCTTTATAACAGCAACAAAAAACATAAACGAGCTAAATATAACAAGAAATGTTCAGAATCAAAATAAAGAAACAAAAAACCCCAAATTTTTCTATTAACAATGACAAAAAATCCAAACAAACCTACCTAGACTAAAGGGAATAAAATACTTTGATCTTAGGAAACAATAAATTTCCCCTAAATTCATCTCTATAGATGATATACTGCCAATCAGAATTACAAGAGGATTTTGGAGAACATACGAAATTATTCTAACATGTGAAAAGAGCTAGGACAATGTTGCTAAGGAAGAGGAATGCAGGGAACTTGCCTTACCAGATGCCATTAGGAAACTTTATTAAAGAGAAAGAGGAAGCTGCATGGATGCTGGGGACTATGGTCGTGAACATGACAACAGTGCCTGGGCAATCAATTAATGTTGTTGAATGAATGAATGAATGAATGAATGAATGACAACCCTTACCTTATATGAAAACACAGCTAGCCCATCACTTCTAAATGATGAAAAGGATGAGACAATATTAAAGATGCAGTGGTAAAGAGCACTGGATCTGAAGCTGAACTCTCTGGGTTTGAATCCTGGTTCCACTACTTGCCAGCTCAGTGGCCTTGTTTAAATTTCTTAACCTCTCAGTGCTTTGCTTTTCTCATCTCTAAGATAACAAAAGTTCTTTACAAGGGATGACAACAGTTCTTACTTCATACGGCTGTTGAGAGTAAATGCATTATTCACCTAAAGGCTGTGACGAGTGTCTAGCACAGAATAAGCTCTCAGGAAATATTTATTGAATGAAAAAAGGAAAGGACAGAAAATTATAAATGTAGTCCTTGGTCAAAGGTCAATGACATGGCATCTCATGTTCAAAAACTTGCTGTCACTGCAGCAAGTATGCTTCACTGTCCACATGTATGATCTAACAAGTTAATCTCAACATGTTAAACCTCCTTTCATCCCAACTGTGTACCTGTAAACTAACAACCTAATTGCATGATTTCAACCGACCTTATTGTAACTTCAAACTGATTTTTCTCTGGATTCTTATATAACAATTTCTGTCATTTCAAATACATCAGTCTCTGCCAACAACCTCATATTCTTCAACTTGTTCACTCTTTATTCCCACTACAACTGTTCTTACACTTTTGTAAGCATCTACATCTCTTCCTTTCTCTAAATACATCTCCTCCTTAGAAATTTGCTTAATTTCTTATCTGTCTTAGAAATGTCTTTCTTGTCAGTATAACCAGTTCACTGGCCCTTTTTTCTCTTGCACTTACAATGAAAATCCTATAAGTGAGCAGCTAAAAGGAGGAGACATTAGTGTCACTAAAAATTTGTTACTTTCCAACCTCAGTTTGCCTTTTGGGAACACACAGCCATACTTTTGTCACATCCTTCTCTCTTCAATTCCTCATATATTTCAGTTTGTGTTCATTTTTCTAAGCTTCTTCATTTCTGAAACAATCTTTTGAACATTTTGATTCATCTCTTAATTTGCTGGAGTTTTTGATCAAGTAGTCTTTCGAGAATGAATTAACAGGCATTTTATTTCTTTAATCCTTTCATGTTTAAGAATGCCATGGGAAGAATATCTTGGCTGAATATAATATTCTTAGATTATGAGTTCTCACATTCAGAATTTAGTGAACATAGCTTCATTATCTTTTGGCATTGAATGTTTGTATACTGAAATTTGATGCCAGCCTGATATTTCCCCCAGTAGGTATTTTTCTTATTATGCCTGGATGTCTAAGAATAAACAGCCTCATGATATGTCGTGGTGTTGAGCATTTGCCATAAAAATATCTTGCCATGCTGTTTTAAATGTTTGGAATGAAATTTTCCTAAAAAACAAAAAAAGGAGGCTATGTGCCCTTTGGATGGCAACTTTAGGTGTTTCTTATTTGAAATAATTTCCTTATTTTATCTTTCAATATTTTCTGTTTCATTTGTTGAGTTTCATACTTCAAGGACACCAATTGTACTTACTAAAGATCCAGTTTGCCTATTCCAGCTATCAGATTTACTCTGGCTGCTTTAATGTTTGTCCTTTTCATCTCCATTTAGGAGCTTATTCCAAGTCTTTATCAGCACTTCCATATTCAGACATGTCTACTCTGTTTTGTATTGCTTTAAATTGATATGTGAGTTTATCATCTTGGAATTTTTTATGTGTTTCATCTGCTCTTTGTTCCTCTACTCCTCTTTTATTGCATTTATTTGTGTGAATCAAGTGTATTTTGTATCTACTTTACCCCTTCTACTGATGTTATTAGCTGTACCTCACTTTATTACTTTATAGTGGATCTCAAACTTCAGAATGCATAAAAATTACCTGGAGTGTTTGTTAAATCACATACTGCTAGGCCCAACCTTAGAGTTTCTGATTCAAAAAGTAGGAGGTAGGAGCTGAGAATTTGCTTATCTTAACAAGTTCTGAAGCTTATACATTGGGAACCTCTTCTCCACAGAATATAATACACATCTTTAAATTATCATAATCTACTATCAGGCAATCTTATTCCACCATGTAAGCAATGTTAAGAAACCAAAGACAAAATTAATTGTATCTCCTACTCCCCTTTGTGTTTTTGTTGACATGTATTTTATTTCAACAAATGCTAAAATTCCATATGTAGTTCTTATTCTCATTTTATACTGTTAATAGATTTTTAAATAAATGTTAAAATATATTCAAGATAAAAATAATAAACACATATTTTACATTTACCTATATGGTAGACAGGCCTAAGGGTGCTGCCTATCATGATCCTGGACTCCTGGTCTTGGTGTCCTTGTGTGATCCCTTCCACTTGACAGTGGGCAGAAGCTATGACTTCTAGCTTCTAGTCAATAAAATATGGCAAACATGATAGGATGTCACTGGGTGATTATGTTACATTATGTAGGATTCTGCCTTGCTAGCAGACTATTCTAAAGACTCTTCTTGCCAACTTTATGAAGTTAGTGGCTGTATTACTCAGGGTTCTCCAAAGAAACAGAGCCAATAGGATGGATAGGTAGGTAGGTAGGTAGGTAGCTAGGTAGCTAGGTAGCTAGGTAGCTAGGTAGGTAGACAGAGATTTATTATGAGAAATTTGCTCATGTGTTATGGAGGCTAAGTTCCACAATCCACCATCTCAAGCTGAAGACACAGGAAAGTGCATGATATAGTTCAGTCCAAGTCCAAGGGCCTAAACCAGGTGAGCTGACAGTGTAAGCCTCAGTCTGAGGGCAGAAAAAGATGGATGTCCCAGCTTAGGAGTAAGGCAGAGGGGGCAATCTCTTCTTTCCTCTGCCTTTTTGTTCTATTCAGGCCCGCAATGAATTGGGTGATGCCCACTCCTATTTGGGAGGGCTATCTGCCTTCTCAGTCCACTGATTCAAATGCAAGTCTCATACAGAAACACCCTCATGGACACACCCAGAAATAATGTTTAGCCAAAATATCTGGGCTCCCTGTGATCCAGTTAAGTTGACACATAAAATTTACCATGACAGTGATTACATAGCAAGAAACTGCAGGCTGTCTCCAGGAACACTGCAGTCAAGGCCTGCCTTTAGTCTGACCATCCCAAGGGATTGAATTCTGCTAACTACCTGAGTGAGGCTTGAAGCAGATTCCTCCAGTCAGTAATCCAAATGAGAAAGCAGCCTGGTTGATACCTTGATTGCAGCCTCTGAGATCCTGATTTGAGGACACAGTTAAACTGTGCCTGGATGCCTGAACCACAGAAACTGAGATAATAAATGTATATCGCTTTCAGCTGCTAGGTTTGTGATAATTTGTCATACAGCATAGAAAACTAATATAACCTACACATATAGCATGTGAAAATAAGGCTAGAAGTCCCACTTAAAACTATGTAATGCCTTTCAAAATTTAAGCTTAAAGAGGACATTTTACGCTGTAAGAAAATGCTTATTTGGCATCACTGATTTTTATTTCTCCAGGACCTAAGTCTGAGATTTTTGTATTAAAATAACTCATCCAAATCAATCTCACCTTTACATTTTATACCTCACAAATTGCTTTTTTAATGATGTTTAAGAAATGATTGTGAATTCTGATAATGATTGGTTTAATTAGCAACTAAATGTCAAATACATCTGTTTAAAATAGGAGATACATGCAAAAACGTACTGTTAAGAGTCAGAGTAGAACAAAGTTCAGAGTAGACATTGGATATTAATAACAATGTAAATTTATTGCCATATTAAAATTAACTTAAGGTTTAAATGAGACAGTATAGGCAAAGACAAAGAGAAAATAGAGAAGAAAAAGCATATTATCAGGAATTAAGAAATATAGGAATGGGGGGAATGGGGAGTACTTTTTCTTCTTATTTTACGTTTGCCATTCCCAGAATCAAGGAAGTATATTTTAATCACATGCAAGCATCAACAACAAAATACTGGGTAATAAGAAAATAAAGTACAACTGAAAATGAGAGAGTTTATTTGGAATGAATTTGTTTCTGAACTTTCATAGTTATTTAATTCTATCATTAAAATTTCAAACGATTAGGTTTTATCCACCTCAAAGTAAATGAAAGGCAGCATTCCAGAAATAGTATAAATCCATCTGATGAAACAGAAGTTAGGTTTTACTATGTGTATAAAGTAGAGAACTCTTTTAATATGTGATACAAAGTATCTGATTCTACAGAATTTTTGGACGCCAACCTGTCTTCTTCAGTAAACAGCACATGGAAAATTATATTATGTTTCCCTTTCTAACTTAAAAATAGAAGGTACTAAAATTCTGAATCTGTTCCAGTAAGTGTATTCTTGGTATAGTTAACACCACTGTCTCTTACGCTCCTCAATTTTAGCTCACCTTAGGTCAAATCAACCTGTTCACTCCTTTATAACCTAAGATGCATATCCGCAAATTTAGAGGAACAGAGCAAACCACTGTAAAGAAAAGAAAGAAAGAAAGAAAGAAAGAAAGAAAGAAAGAAAGAAAGAAAGAGAAAGGAAGGAAGGAAGGAAGGAAGGAAGGAAGGAAGGAAGGAAGAAAGAAAGAGAAAGAAAGAAAGAAAGAAAGAAAGAAAGAAAGAAAGAAAGAAAGAAGGAAGGAAAGAAAGAAAGAAAGAGAAAGAAAGAAAGAGAAAGAAAGAAGGGAGGGAGGGAGGGAGGGAGGGGAGGGGAGGGCAGGAGGGGAGGGAAGGGGAGGAAGGAAGGAAGGAAGGAAGGAAGGAAGGAAATGTATCCTTATAAGGATAGATCTGCCATTTTCTTGCTGTATTCATAATGACTGAGTCCATACACATTGCAGGAACTGCAAGAATGAAGTTGAACCAGGGAAAGGGTTTACTTACCTGGTAATAGCATAACTTCTGATGTTGTGGTGCCAATCCTGATTATTTTTCTCAATAGACATCTTCACTGATCACAGACCACAGTAATTCCATTAATCATTTTTGTTTCCTCAGGAGCTAGGGGACTATACCCAAAGGAGAAATAAGATACTATTAATGGAAAAGGATTAGAATATATCCTGTTCTTACAGTTCCTAATTTGAGGTCTACAAGCTAAGCCTTTAAGCCCCAATTTGGGGTCTAAAACACCTCATCCAGGTATTTCTTACTGTTTGCAATAAGAACAGTAATGCTAGATTAGGACCATCTTATCTAGTAGGTAGTAGATGGAGGCTAAATAATTAGGATCATCTTCAATGTGGATAATTTAATGATAACAAATATGTAACCCTAGTTAATAAAATCTTCTTAAAAGAAATAACACTCTTTGTATTCTTATATTCCATCCAATTGTATACATCAATATTTATCTCCACACAGACTGTTCTTAAAATAAATGATGCTTGATTTTTAAATATTATACTATTGTGAATATTTATTCTTTGCTGTTTTTTAGAGATATTCACAAGCTTATATAATAGAGTAAGTTAATTAGTCACTTTTATCTGAGAAAGAACCTTAACAAAGTCAATTTACATGTTTGCTGATATAAATTGCCTCTCTTCTGTGTTTTTTTTAAACAATACATTGCTTTTAATGCCTCCAAGAAGTACCATAGATGTACTTTTAAAATTTATATAATTGCTTTAGAGAAAATGAGCTTAATGACACCATAATTAATAATGCATTTATGTGCTAAATTTCCCTATGACTTCTTCAATGAAGTCTTCTTCACCTCCCTGCTTGCCCTTTCAAATCAAATCAGGAGAAATGTCCCCTTAGCAAACACGTTGTAGCTTACCCTCAAATCTATACTATTATGTTTCTCACTGAAGCTTTGATGTCCTGAAGTCTGCATCTTTCACTCTTCAGTTGGATTGTGTGCTTTTTCTCCTGTGCTATCAAGAGAAATGTTAAATTCTTTTGTCACTTGAGAATTTAAAAATTGAATTTTCAAAGGCAGAACACCTTTCAGACAGTTATGCAGATGCTTTCTTAGAGACATAAGTAACTAGGCTCTATCGTTTAATGAATTCTATAAGAATTTTATAATAACCTACAAGTAAATTTAACAGACTTCCAGTTCCAGAAATAGCTTGGAGAAATGATCCTAAAAATCCCTTTACAAAAATAAATAAATAAAACCACAAAATAAAACAAAACAGAACAAATACATTTTAAAATATAAAGCAGAAACAAAGGGAATGCTGAAAACTAGTAAGCAAGCATATGAACTGAAACTCTGGCATATACCAAAGATCCCTAAAATTTATATCCTCTGTGAAGGAATACATTAGAAAAACCCTACCAAGCACAGAGATGACCAGGAGGCTTAACTCTCTTGACCTCAGTTGGGTGAAGGATAGATACATGTAAAGCCAATTCACAAAACAGGAAGTACAAATGGCCAAGAAATGTATAAAAAGATGTGCAATCACGTTAGTAATGGAGGAAAAGCAAATTGAGACAATAAGAAATATAATTTGCCCCTATCAGATTAGCAAACCTTTTTAGTTGGACAATATTAAGTACTGTGGAGGATGCTGAGTAATGACAGTGCTAATGCACAGCTGATGGGAGAATAAATGAGATCAAAGTGGTATCATTTAGCAAACCTGAAGATACTCACACCCTTGGACCTATCAGAGAAATTATCAGACCAAAGAAGAACAAAATGTTCATTATCATATTGTTTATAACAGTAAAATATTTTAAAAAATGTATAAAACAATATAAATTCCCATCAATGGGATGTTAGAAAAATAAATGGTAGCATATTCCACCATTTACAATGGGTACTGCGTACTATATATCAGTGAAAAATATAAACTAAATCAAAGCTATATAGATAAAGGGTAAATTCCAGGAATAAAACGTGATTTTTAAGAAATCCAGCTGCCAAATGACGATACCATACTACATGATTTATATAATGCTTAAAGACATGTGTCCAAATAATATATATAGTGTTTATTTAAAGTAAATGTATAAAGCATTCATAACATATGTAAAATGCATCCATAAAATCCATGTATTAGAAGTAACAGTATTAAAAATTGTGGGAATAATAAATTTAATATGGCTATAATCTCAATGGAAGTAAAAAGGGGTATGAGATCGAAGAGGGGTAAGATAAGCTACAATTCTAATCTGTACTGCCTTGTTTATTTTTTAAAAAACACAATTATCTGTAACAGTTGTGAGGGTGGATTAAGTATTAAGAAAAGTGAACTGTTTCATCTGCTATTGGTGGAAGGGTAAATTCCAATGTCTTTGGAAGGCAATTTGACAGTATCTATCAAAACGTAAAATGCATATACCTATTATTCATCAATTATATTTCTAGTAATTTATTCTATGAATATATTTGATGTAATAAAAAGGTAAATATAGAAAGGTATGTATTGCAGCAATGTTTGTAATAGCAAAACTTTTGAAACAACTTAAAAGGGACTGATTAAATAATGATATGTCCATAAAGTGAATATGCAAAATGAATGGGGTAGCTCTCTAATGGCTGAGAAGAAAAGATCCTTGATATAAACTGAGTAAAAACAAGCAAGGCAAAGAAGAATGGCACTGTATGTACACAGATGTGGTCTCATTGGTGTAAGAAATATATATGCTTAGAAACAAATCTGTGTAAGCATATCCATGAAAATATTTGGAAGTTTACATAAATTGTTAAAGACAGATGCTTCTATGGAGGAGAACTGAGAGAATGAGGTGGAATGAGATTTAAATTTCATGGTATATGCTTTGTACAAAAATGGGTAAGATAAACGTGCTGGGTTAAACCACTATATATTTTGACCTGTAATAGGAAGAGTTTCACACAGTTCAGTCGTCTAATATGCATGATGTAAAGCATGGCTTAGAAGGCTTCCACTATGAGTCAGGTGGATTACTTGAGGTCAGGAGTTGAAGACCAGCCTGGCCAACATGGTGAAACCCATCTCTACTAAAAATACAAAAAATTAGCCAGGTGTGGTGGCACATGCCTGTAGTTGTAGCTACTCAGGAGGCTTAGGTAAGAGAATCGCTTGAAGCTGGGAGTTGGAGGTTGCTGTGAGGCAGGATTGCGCCACTGTTCTGCAGACTGGGAGAGAGAGAGAGAGAGAGAGAGAGGGAGAGAGAGAGGGAGAGAGAGAGAGAGAGACTTCCACTATGACATTCAGAGCACTTTGACAAACAGACCATATAATAGGTCTGAAGGCCTTTTTGCTTGATTGCAAGTGGAACTTCCAGCAGCTTAGGTGAAGCAGAACAAGGGTCAGCCAGTCTCTTGGGACTGGTGATCTGGGTTGAAAAGCCAAGTGCACCAGGGTAGCAATGCGCGGTCACAGAGGCTGTGCTGGGCACAGAAACGATCTGAAGAGATGAGTTGCCAGTAGCAGAGCTTGACGATTATTAGCAAGCCTGTTCTGAGTGCAGTTTTAACAGAATGCATCTATTGGCAGGAGTGTGAGAGGCAGCAAATGCTTGTGGCTTGTTCTTGCTCTGACTGCAACATTAACTCAGCTTTACTTGGATGACTGCCAAGGAGAGCTTCAGGAAGCTCTCCTTGGAAGAGATGCAATTATCCCCTTGCCCTTTTTCAAAATTCTCTCATGTCACTTTGTAGTCTGGCTGTAGCAATGTCATGCCTGATAGCTGGTGTCTGATGTGAGCCTTAGCCAAGGGTGTCATTACCTGGAGAGGGTACAGCGATGTAACCCTACACCATGATCTATAGTGAACCTGTGAGTGCTACAACCCCAAGCTTTTACTGGTTCAACACTGAAGCCAATCTGCCAGGCAGAAGGGAAAAGAGATGATTTGTTTGCTCTGGGATTGGGTCATTGCTGGCTGACTCTGTCAGTTAAAAGGGCCTCCTCTAATTGCAGTGTTCTCCTCTTGTACGGGGTTCTTTTTAAGTGGTTTTGGAGTGTGTGTGTGTGTGTGTGTGTGTTAAATTTTATTACTTTTACTAAATTTCCCTCTATTTTTCCCTTGCAAGAGAATCTATTAAACTAATTGAATTTATTTACCTTATTTTGGTTTCTATTCGTTCATCAATTCGTTCCTCCATCAATCCACTAAACATCACCAGTATAACTGAAACTAAATATTAGACTCTGGGGATGAAAAGCGGTACACTATAGTGGTTAGAAGCATGGTTTCAGGAGTCAGGAACGTGGGCTCTATCCAGGATTATCCACTTACTTGATCTTACATTAGGTTTTCTAATCTCTTTACACCTTGGTTTCCCCAACATATAAATAGAACCTACCTCATAGTGTTATTATAAACATTAAATATCAATATAAAGAGATCTGCACAGAGGATGAAACACAGTAAGTCTACAATACATGTAAACTTTTATTAATAATGATCTATGAAAATTGTTTATTTTATCCTTACAAATGACAGCCATAGGTACAGTTCTGTACCTAGGCCATGTCTGAAACAAAGATGCAGTTTCCATCTTATTAGAGAGGATATTTTAACAGGCTCTAAACTGAGCCTCTTATTCGTGTTCAGGAAAATCATCTGAGGCTGGAGATGGATAGTCTCATATCCAAGGTCTTTGTTCAGAGAAGCCACAGGCAAAAATATGTTACCCTCTTCCTATTCTCCTATCTGTCCAAATAAAATGCAGCTTTAATGCTCTTCTGGGTGGTATAACTGAGTTTTTTCTTCTCTCTTTAGTCCTTGCGTGAGGACATTTATAACATCAACCAATCTTTCAAAAAGCTAGGCAATTCCCTTATGAAATATATTTCAAGGGTTTATTACAAAAAATATACAAATAGCTCTCTGTTCCAAAAAAATTCGTCAAACACTGTGATTTGCTATCAAGTCACAACACAAAACAGACCCGCCACAGGGCTTGGAGCCCTCCTGTAAGGTTTTGGAATAAAGACCCTTAAAGACTCTTTCTCCACCTAATGCAATCCCTCTTACACTTCTGAGCTGATCAGAATTCAATCCAGCGAAGTTTAGAAATAATTTAATAGTGTTTCATTCTTCCTGCTATTAACACCAGAGGCCAAAGTTGACAGGATAGACATCATCTTCAATAAGATTTTGAGGCAGAAACAACTGTGCTTCATGAATGAAAGCCTCTTTGCCCACAAATAAACTTGGCATAGACTATCATCTCCATTTCTCCAATTGCACCTAACTAACATTTCAGAGATTCAAATAATACAAATATATAATACACTTTGACATGATGGATTCCAGCTTCCAACATGCTGGGTTTCCTGTGACCTAAAGAAAATACTCTGAATTATTTCATGCCTTCTCTTAAGGACAAATAGCTGATTCTCATGAATAAGCTGAAAATCCTCAAAGCACAGTTAGTAATATGCAGGCTTAGGACTTAATGTCAGCTCCTCATTTTGTGTAATTTCTTAATGTGTTCCTGTTTTCAGTTCCTTTGTTTATCTGTCGTAAGTATTCAGGGATTTTGAACTCAGCCCCATGGGTAGAACCTACCTTGAATGTGTCAAAATTCAATGACCAACAGCATTTATCTTGTCACCAGTCAAGCTTCAGGTCTCAGCTCCAACATCATTTCCTTATATATACTTTTTCCCCATGATACATTCTCATATCTCCCCATCTTTTTCCTTTCTTGTACCTATCATTAATTCGAATGGTACTCTTATGTAATTATTTGATTCATACCTGTCTCCTCTACTAGATCCAAATTTAATAGAAGGCATAGTGGTATGCACTTATAATCTCTGCTACTCAGGAGGCTGAGGTGGGAGAAGCGGGAGAATTGCTTGAGACCAGAAGTTTGAGGCCAGGCCGGGCAATGAAGTGAGACCTCCTCATATTTAAAAACAAAACAAAACAAAACAAAAAACTCCTTGAGGACAGGTAGCTTCTAGTTTTGCTTTGTTTACCTTTATATTCCATTGCTTAGCAAAATCTCTAGAATTTAGCAATCAATAAAAATTATTAAATAAATGAAAGCACACATAAGAATAAATTTCCTCCAAATTGTTTTCTTTTATTTTACCTTTCCACAGTCATTCCCATATTTCTTTATGTTCATCTAATCCATATTTCATGGAATGAATTATCCCATGCATCTGGCTGAATCCCAATTAAACCTTTCCTCTCTTCCCATTGATAAGTTCAGGAAACCAACCCTTTTCCCCATTGTAACATTCCCATCTATTATGCCTTAGACCATCCCACATAAAGTAGATGTTGTGAGTCAGACACAAGGGAAAACAGAACCCAAGGAGGTAAAGGCAAAGAGATGAATGAATTTTAAGTAATTCTGAAAAATGTTAACTGTGCCTCTAAAGCACTAAAAATCTTTTCCTGAGATTTAGCCATATAAACACAAACCTAGGCATGAAATAGTTTGCATAGTACTCGTATGTTTAAAATACAATTCAACTGTAATATTCACCAATTTTGGAGATATTATAAATAACATAAAAGAAACAATTGACGCTTGGCATTTGAATTTAGTATCTGTGGTTTAGATTATTTGGGAATGACCATGAATACCACCAAGAAGTATTAATTTATACCTTGGGTAAGAATGTCTGCCCTTCATTATGGTGTTTAGAGTAATAAGTAAACATATGTCAGCACTTAGCACAAAGCAGATGTGCAAGGCACCTCTCTAGTAAAAGATCTAATTATTTTACTGGTATTCTTATTTTAATTAGTGAAATTCCATATCTGAATTAAAAGCATTCTTGATTTGAGAAATTATAACAATCTCCAGAGTTATTCCTCAGCCTGGTATAGGCTTACTGACAATTTGCATAGTCTCAGGATTAAACAAAAATTCTTCCAACTTTTAATATTACAGGTTTCTGATTATTTAATCATTCTTTCATGCACACAGCTTGACATAACAGTATTTTGGAAAAGAAAGTAAAAGAGTTAGTGAAAAGCCTCCCAGTGGGAAAACAATTAGTAAACATGGATTTTTACCTCCTTTTTTTCCTTTTGTATCAACTCTAGAGGGTGGAAGTTCTGAGAATAAGTGAGCCTTCAGAAACTGCCATTTCTACACATAGAGGGAAAACTTGATAGCATTTCACTTGGGGCATTCAATTTATCTCTTATCTCCACAACACAAACAAGATAAAGGAGAGGATGTCTCAATGGCAGATTCAGTCTAATTTACAGCAATGGCATACCAACTGCAAGCAATGGGAGAAGAAAGACTAAGTTAACAGTGCAGGTGGCATCTGTAAGCCTTAGAGCTTTGATAGAATTTCAACAGGCTGGACATGTTCTATAGTCAGGACTAAACAAACAAACACTAAAACTAAAACAAACAAAAACCTCAAACATTTGTCAATGATTAAAAATGTGTCTTTCCTAGAGGGATAAAGGGAAAGGAAGGGTTAAAAAGGTGAGAATAAAGTTCTGGTAATAACTGATAAGCAGGAGAATGAGATTAAATAAAAGAGTAAATTCCTGGATGCCATGTACATTTTTTTCCTGTTCTGAAATAGAGAGTGCTTTGAGTTTAAGATGAGGATAATACCTTATTCCTCTGTATGCACAAGTTGGTTTGAGACAAAAGGCCCTGCCTCTTCCTGCTGCATGCCATTCTAAGAGACAGTATTTCTTTATGCTGCGGTTGTGCATTAGGCTCAGCTGGCGGAGGTCATGTCTGAATGGTGACAGAGGGAATATGAGCTTGAACTGCTATTCAAGGAAGGATAGCTCTTCTTCCAGCTCATCCACTCTGTCTTATCTCCACTTACAATTTGCTGGCTGCTAAAAATGCTTGTATCTGGTCTTTAAAAACATTCTTTACTCTCGTAGGCAACTTAAGGAATAAGATTAGTCCCAGTTTCGCCAGATATGAACTCTCTGCCTCATTATCCAGCTGCAGAAAATCCATAAGAACTCAATGAAGCTGAGTTTATCAGTCTTCATCCACTCGCTATATCACATTTTTAGGGCTCTGATGTGTCTGGGCCTTCTAGTCTCTTCCCCTTCCGTTTTCAGCCTATCAAGTCAATGTGGTTATCATTTTCAGGCACACAACTTCAACACATTCTCTGTGCTTGATTAACTTGTGGTTGGAAATAGGTGTAAGAAATAGGTGCATAGGTGCACATTTGCTGTTTCTACACTAAAGACCTTGGCACTGAGTTCCAGGTTTGAACTGGTGATCAGAATTTAGACAATTCTGAGAAAAGAGGTTCAGGTCTGACAAACCTGCCTTACTTAGAGTACTCTCTGCTCTCACTGTCAGTGATACTGGAATTTTTAGTCAAGATTCTGAGAGGCTTCCATCATCCTGGACTTTAAGGGATGGTGATGAGCTTGGGGACCCCATAGGCAACACAACCTAACTAAGGTCTTAGCAGTTTGGAACTACTTTTTTTTTTTTTTTTTTAGATGGAGTCTCACTCTGTTACCCAGGCTGGAGTACAGTGATGTAATCTCAGCTCACTGCAACCTCCATCTCCTGGGTTCAAGTAATTCTCCTGCCTTAGCCTCCCAAGTAGCTTGGGATTACAGGCACGTGGTACCACACCCGGCTAATTTTTTGTATGTTTAGTAGAGATGGGGTTTCACCATGATGGCCAGGCTGGTCTCAAACTCCTGACCTCAAGTGATCCACCCTCCCAGCCTCCCAAAGTGCTGGGAGTACAGGTGTGAGCTACTGCACCTGGCCATCTTTAGTTACTTTTAACGTTAATAACAGCTCAAGATTTATCACATACTTAACAATTTATAGAGACAATTTTTAAACAGATTGACTGTACATATTGTCCTAAATTATTATACTTACATACAATAAATGGAATGATGTATCCTTATCTAAATCTAAAGTGCTCATAAGCATTTTGACAAATTTTTCTTATTGGGGGAGGCTTTCTCTCTAAATGTGAAAAAAAAAGTGTGTAAGAACCAAACTGTTTTGTTCATATCAGAGCTTTGGAAAAAGCAAAAAGTATATCGGCAGATTATTTTCAGTAGCATTAGCATAATCTAATTAACAATGAAAATACTTGCATTTACTGGTATTCCCTAATATTTAAATAGGTATGGTTAAATGACCTCATCCAGCAGGATTTTAAAAGAGATCATATTTGAAGGTGTCCAGTGAAAGCAGCAATGAGGGATAACTTTATTATTATATTATTAATTTGGGGGTTATTTCTCCTTTCCTTCCTTCCTTCCTTCCTTCCTTTCTTCTTTCTTTCTCTCTCTGTCTCTCTCTTTTTAACTAATCAAAAGAGAGCTGAAGTATTGAGTTATTTCATTTGGATCTTATGGGTTCATGGGAATGTTCTTTGTAGAGGCAATAAAGAGTTTGCTTTTTTGGCTGGGATGACAAATTATTGAAGTTTCCAAGCCAAAATTATATTCTTTAACCTTCAGTGGTAAAATTCTGTAAGGGATTAAATAGATTCAAAGTAATTTTCCAAGTTAGAAGGACCTTTACAAAATTTGTAGAGGCCCTCATTCATGGAAACATGGTAAGGTCTTCCACGTGGGCCACCATAAAATGTGCCTCCAAAACTTTCACAATAGAGCCTCAACTCTTCTCCCATAGGTCTTTGCATTAGTCAGGGTTCTCTAGTGGGAAGAACAAATAGGATACATGTATATATGAAAGGGAGTTTATTAAGGAAAATGGACTCACACAATCGCAAGGTAAAGTCTCACAGTAGGCTGTCTGCAAGTTGAGGTGCAAGGAAGCCAGTGGTGATCAGTCCGAGTCCCAAAACCTCAGAAGTAGGGAAGCCGCCAGCGCAGCTTTCAGTCTGTGGCCAAAGGCCCAAAAGCCCCGTGGCAAACCACTGGTGTAAGTCCAAAAGTCCAAAAGCTGAAGAAGTTGGAGTGTGATGTTTGAGGGCAGGAAGAGTCTAGCACAGGAGAAAGATGAAGGCCGGAATACTCAGCAAGTCTGCTCTTCCATCTTCTCCTGCCTGCTTTATTATAGCTGCATTGGCAGCTGATTACACGGTACCCACCCAGATTGAGGGTAGGTCTACCACTCCCAGTCCACTGACTCAAATGTTAATCTCCTTTGGCAACACCCTCACAGACGCATCCTGGAATAATACTTTGCATCCTTCAATCCGGTCAAGTTGACACTCAATATTAACCATCACAGTCTGAAACCTGAAGAATTTGAAATTTCCTTTCATCTATACACAGAATGTCAAAAACCTAAACACTCATCAGAGAATTCAACAACAAAAGAGTAGAGATTCAGCAATTTTGTCAGAAGCTTGCTTCAAAATATTTAAGATGTGAGCATTAGCAAAACATGTTCACTATCCAATCCTCAAAAGATTTCTGGCCCCATTCCTTTAATTATCATCAAAAAGCAACCTACTTGAGCCGTGGTATCTTAGTTTTCTGAAAAAAAGTATCTTCCCTTTGGACTCAATATTATGTCTTTAGCTTTTAAATAGGGTCAATATAGGAAGGATCCATTTTGAGAACATTTCTGTAGCTTTGGTAAAACCATTTTTCACTGTTGCTCAGTGTCCTTTATATACAGATCTGTGTGACAAATTCTCCATAGAATTTTGTGTCAAGAAGTGTTTCTCTCCCTAAATTAATACTGACCTTCATTTTTATCAAATACTTTGTAACTTTGATCAAATATTCTTCACCCCTTCTTAATTTTAACAGAAATCTCAAGTTAACTTAAACTTGTATTGGGGTTATTGACTAATTTCAGGGATCTAGTTACTTATATTTTCTTCTCTTTCTTATCAATTTCTAATTAATATTTTTTATTATTAAGCTTTGGTCTAACATCTCAATTACATCAATTCTTTTTGAAACAGATGAGGTATAAATATAGTGACCATATACCGTTTTTTTTCAGGGACATTTTGATTTCAAGTGGCTTTATTCTTTTACTCAAAGAAGATTAGTTGAAATCAAATGATACGCTTCCACATGTATTTGTAAAAATTTCATGAAAATAAATTCACTGGCCATTGGAAATCGGAAAAACTCTGGATCCCAATTTTGGGCTGAGAGAATATTGTCACAAAGCTTTATATCATAAATAAGCCCAGCCTTACTCCAGTTCTCCAGACCCATACTTCCACTGACCATTAGCCATCTTCACTTAAGTGTTCCCCACAGACCTCAAACTCAACATATCCTTCCCATTAAATCTTGTGCTTTTTCCTAAGCTTTCCATACCTTGGCTAGTGACTAATAATTCAAGCAATTTCCTTCACTGCTCCACCCCATTCAAATTAACCATCAACTTTATTGATTTGATCTTTGAAATGACTAATTTATTGCCTCCTCTTGGTTTCTCTCTTCGACATCCTAATTTATTATTTATCTCTGGACCCTTCCTAATCTTCCCAACTATCCTCACCTACTTTTCCAATCTCTTCTCGATCCTATCATCTGAGTGTTCTTTCTAACATTAAAATCTGATTATGCTACTTTCATTTTAAAAAAATGAGTAGCTCTTGCATTATCTACAGAAAAATTCAATTTATATAATCATGACATACATAGGTGTTGTCTCTGACAGCAATACCACCAGCTCCTCCTGTAACCCAAGTGTTGTAGACTTTCACACCCGCGTTTCCCTCCCCTGTCATAGCACAACTCTCTTCAATTCCCACCTTCCTCTGGTAGGTCTGGGAAAAACTGAAAGTGAGCCAGTGCATATGAGGGTCCGCTTTTCTGCTACCATCAGCTCCTACCTGCTGCTCTCAGGTCTGGCTCAAACCTTCACCTGTTTCCCTAAGGATCATGGAATTCTAGAACAACCATCTCCCTCAACTGCTGTCACCTTTGCCAAGTAGACCTCAGTAGAAGGGTAATTCCAAGGGGCATGCCTTCTTTTCCATGTCTTATCCTTAAATTTCCCATGGACCCTTTGACCTGAGGCTGTTACGTATGACTGACTTGTATGCAAGGTTTGAAGATATTGAGAGAAAATATACAGAACAATTTGGAAGAGGGAACAGCTTAATATTAAAAATGTCACGTGAGGCAGGGCATGGAGGCTCACGCCTATAATCCTAGCACTTTGGGAGGCCGAGGTGGGTGGATCACTTGAGGTCGTGAGTTCAAGACCAGCCTGGCCAACATGGTGAAACACTATTTTTAGTAGTAGTAGGTTACTACTACTACTAAAAAAAAAAAAAAAATCTGGGCATGGTGTGTGTTGTGCCTGTATTCCCAGCTACTCAGGAGGCTGAGGGACGAGAATTGCTTGAACTGGGAAGCGGAGGTTGCAGTGAACCAAGATTGCACTACTGCACTCCAGCCTGGGTGACAGAACAAGACTCTATCTTACACACACACAAAAAAAGTCACATCATAGATCTTCAAAGTCCTTCAACCATCTTTGCAACTGAGAATTTCTCAGCAAGCGCACTTTTCCTTCTTAAGCCTCCACCCACAGCCACCTTCTTGAGCCCTCTGCCTCTGTTCTTTTCTCTCTGCTGTCCTCTTTTCTCCCTAGTTGCCTGTGCCCGACCCTCAAATTCTTCATTATTTCTCATATAGAGTAGTGGGTTGTACTTTCCACTCTCTCTCTCTGACCCCAAACTAGGCCACAGCTTTCTCTTTATTTATTATTATTATTTTACTAAATAAAGGGACCGTGTACTTTGGCAGAGACATTTGTCATTCCACTTTTTCCCTTTACCACACACAGATTATATTCCTAGCCTGGGCTTCTCTCTCTACTACTTTCTGTAAGCCAAAGAGGAGCAATATATATATTTTTTTAATTCACTGCCTTTCTAAAACAGGTGCACAATGATCATTTTGTCCCCGTAGAGATTCAATCTTAAGATATGTGTGAATTCCTTTCTGAGTTTTATGAGTTTTCCCTTCAACAGTCTCACAAGAAGTGCTTATTTGTTATCTATTAACACTTTTTGGGGCCAGTTTCCAATTTCCCTTCTAGCATCTTTTTTTTTTTTTAAACCTGGTATTACAGTGCCCTACAAATATCTTTTATGGAGTTTTATCACATCATATCTTAGCTTTTTATTGCTGTTTCCTAGGTAAAATTTTTCATTACTTACTTAGTCCTTGTTTCATTGGACTTTCTCCATAGATCAATAGATCTTGTCAGAAATGTTCCCACCTACCAAGTGGCTCATGGACAGCCTTTGTGAATATGACCAAATACAGAGAGGAGGAGAAAGAGGAAGTTCAATTTGTGAGTAAAAAGCTACAGAGTGGGTCCACTGTTATAAGATAAAATGATTCCTTTTAAAAAACTGGTATGGTTTAGTACAGTGAGAAAAAATAGCAATTATTATACTAAATTGTTCTTCTACTGCAACTGGATAGAGGTCAACAACAACAAAAACTTCCCAGAATCTTATAGGCCTTTTAACAAATTTGAATGTTTTTATTGTTAAACAGATATTTATTTTTCCTCTGATGTATATAATGACACAAAACCTAAACTCATAAAAACCCCAAAAGAAAAGGAAGGAAAATGGATGAAGTACAGTTCAGCACAAATAATGCCATCTAGCTTCCACATAAATTATTCATGGTAGCTATTTATGTGGTGTAATTCCTATACTTACCTGACAATATGCTGACAGGTTCTTCTTTCTACTCTATTTTCCTCAGTCGGCTTATTCAAGTCTGAGAAGAAAGGTAAGAGAACAGCAGACTCTCTCTCTTCTTAGAAAGTACTTGGATTATGTCTCAGTTGTAGAAAAAAATATTAACATATTATATTTACAGGAAGCAGTCTCATTTTTGTGGCTCCTTTAAAAGATGAGAGCATAAATGTAAGTAAAGGACAAACTGGGTCCTCCCACCTTGCTTCATGATTTCATGAATCACTGAATCCTAGGCCTGGAAGGGACTTTGAGAGCCTCCTTCCTACCCCTACCCTCCACATGAAGACATGAGCTGTTCAGAGGAGAATCAATCCCATTTTTCTGGTCTCACTGAGAAGGTCCCACATCGTCCCTTGTCACTCACTCCAGTGTAACAATCCTGACATCAGAATAGTCTTCCTGATGGATAACTGAGTTCTTCAGGTTGCTTTCTTATCCTCTTATATTAACCTGGGGAGGTCAAGATAATTAATTCATACTTTACTATTTTCTCTAATTAGGCATTATTTTATTTTGTTTCCTCATTTCAAAGTTTTTCACTGTCATAGCATAGTTAAGTATATGGACTTAACACCATATACTAGCTGTGTGACCTTGGGGAAATATTTTAACCTCTCTACACTTCAATGTCATCATCAATAAAATGGAGGTAACAAAACTACCTACCTCATAGGGAACTTAGGAAGATTAAATTAAATGAGTTAATATTTGTAAATTCCTTGACTCAGTGCTGATGTATAGTGTTACATAAATGTTTGCTAAAAAATTTAAAGCATATTTAGAAAAAAGGAAAGACAAATTTGGAATATATAACAAAATACAAAAAAATTATCAATAATTTTACTGCAGAGATAACACTGTTTATATTTCAATATGTTTCTGTCTGGTCTTATGTATATATAAATCACATATATAGCACATAATTGGGATGATGCTATATTTGAGAGAAAGCGCTGCTGCATCATCAGCTACTTCACTTAATGTTACTTTATAAACATTTCTCCAGATTCTTAAGAATCTTTGCAAATTATGTTTAGTGGTTGTACAGCAATCCAGTTTATGGGCCTACACCATGAGCAATCTCCCTGTTGTTGAGATATGAGGTTTTTTTGGTATTTCCTTTTTTTAGCTAATTCAGTGATAACTGTCTTTATAAACTTTTATCCATCTTTTTGAATATTTCTATTCTAAATTTCCTTGAAGCAGGATGCTGGGAGAAAGGATACCTTGAAGACTCCAGATACATACTGTTAAGTTATGTTCCAGTAAGAAATGTATTAACTGATGCTCCGAAAAGTAACGTATGAGGTATCATCTTTCATAGCAACATTAAATGTTGCTTTAAAAAAAAGAAACATAATTTCCATTTTTATGGTAAAAAAACTACCATATTTTAACATAGTTTAATATTTTAATATGAATTTTTGATTCCTGGTTAGAGTGAATATTTCTATTAACTATTATATACTAATTATTGAGTGTATATTAGCTACTGTAAACTAGTACATTTTTATTAAGACATACCTTAGCATTTGGCTGTCCAGGTGGAATTCATTGTTCTTTTATGTTTTCCTTTGGGTCATGTTTTCTAACTTTAATTGACTTGTCATTTTCCTTTAGAGAGTTTTTTCTTCCTGGGGTTATTTTCCTATACTGGAAACCAAGGTAAGAGGCTGTGTTGGCATTGGGGCCCAACTGACTTGTATGTGGCATGATGGGATGTTCCCATCTTTGCAAGTCAGGAAAAACCAACAAGTGACTAGTATGAGTTAGTATTGATCTGGGTTCTGTGGAGATAAGAGAGGGTCCTTATTCTCCTAGAGTTTTAAAGTCTAGTTGGAAAGAAATGACCAATGCTTGAAACAATTAGTGATCAATTAAGGCAGCCTATACTGAGCAACTTGTGGAATACATACAAAGTGCTACAGCCATTTAAAGAAGGGAGAGATCAATGATAATGTGACTAATCATCCATGAGGTTGGCCTTGGTGGAGGGAAGGGCAAACAGTTTGGGTGAAAAGAACTACAGAAGTAAATGGCAGCCTATTTATTATAGATGAAAAGAGCATGAATTTTTGTGTTAGATCTGGGTGGGAAGGCTCAGCTACACCACTTGGTAACTTTAACCTCAAGCAAGTGTATTAAGTGATTTGAATCCCAATTCTGCCACTTATGAGCTGTGTGACCTTGGGGAAGCTAATAATTTCTATGATAAGTCTAACTTTGCTCATGTATAACATAAGGATAATAAAAGGACCTACCTCACAGGATTGTCATGGGGATTCGATGAGTAAATATGAGAACTGGGGCCTGGCACATTATAAGCACTCAATAGTGTTAGCTTTTATTATTAACTACATAAGCATCAATAAGTAAGTTACTTATTAATATGATATAGTAATGATTCTCCACTACATTAGACAACTATGGGTATTTTGATTGAGAATTGGGCAAATTTGGCACTGAAAAGGAGAGGAAGAGACTAGAACTGGAAGTTTTCCTCGAAATCATGATATACATACTAAATTTGGAAGTGCAGTGCTCAGCTCTGCACTCAGGTCAGTTATTATTCACTGGAGCACACACCCACAGACTTGTTTCCTTCCATTTAGCTTGAGAGCCTGATTTTTCTCTGCAAGGCTCAAAGTCAGCTCTGATTTTTTAAAGATCAAATTCAACACTCTCATCAATATATCCTAAAAAAAGATACAGTTAACATTCCTAAAATAGGAATTAAAATAGACATATAATTAAAATACTAATTAAGTAAAGAGGTACTATATTAGCAACACTAAAGAAAATAGAAGGATTTAGAAAAATCAAAATACTGAGAGTGAAGGTTTTAAAATATGTACGCATTCCTTCTTGACGCTCCTCCCCTAAAACGGTAGAGCCTAGTTTCACTATCCTGGACTGTGGGCTGGAGTTAGTGACTATTTTAATGTATAGGATGAGGTGGAAGTGACAGTGTTTGACGTCCAAAACTGGGCCATAAAATCCTTTGCAGCTTTCTTTCTGTCTTGGGTCCCTCTCCTCAGGGGACCCAGCAGCCTTGTTTGGAGGAAACTCAAGAAGCTCTATGGAGAGGTCCAAGTAGTAAGGAATCAAATCAAGACCTCCTGCCAACAGCCAGCACAAACTTGTCAGCCATGTGAGTGAGTAATTTTGGAATAGAATCCTCAGTCGCAGGCAAGCCTTAAAATGCCCGTAACCCTAGCCAACAGCGTGACTGAAACCTTATGAGAGAACCCTGAGCCAAAACCACCCAGCTAAGCTGGTCCCAAATTCCTGACCAACAGAAAACTGTGTGATAATAAAAGTTTAATTTTTTAAGCTACACTTTGGGGTAATGTATTATGCAGCCATATATGACTTATACACGAAATGTGATCTAAACTAAGATTTTACCATGAGATACTTAACCTAATTCACTTGAGGAAAAAAGAAGGCAAAGCTCATAGTGAACTAGAGGGAGATTTTGATATGTAGAAATGAAGAAAATAGTAGAAAAGCAAACATTAAATAGGAAATTAACTATAAGCAGGTCATACCTTGTGGAACAGACTGGCTAGCTGTTCAAACCCATTTCTTCTTTCTCCCAGATATACTGCTGGACTACATTTCCCAGCCTCCCTTGCAGCTGGATGTGGCAATAATACCAAATGCTAACCAACTGGACTGAAAACCTTCCACAAAATCTCCAATGCTGTCCCTTTTTCTGTCTGCCAGCTAGATATTAACAACCAGAGTAATCTTGGAAGATGACAGAGCCTTTAACAGCCTAAGGTTCTCAATAATAGTGAAGCAGACAGCCCCCCAAACCAGGCTGCTGGAGGATTTATGCCTTCAGTGTGGCTTCTGTAAGTTCTTAGGCAGCTTCATCCAGCCACCAGATTGAGAAGTTAAGTGCATAAAGGCATGTTGGTTTCTTAACCACTAGAGCCAGGAGGTAACTCACGTCACTTTGCTCACATTCCTTTGGTGCAAATTAGCCATTTGGACCTACCTAAGTGGAAAGAGAACTGGGAAATGCAACCCTTGTTTAGGCTGCTGTTCTCTAGCAAAAACTCTACACAAAGTAAATGGGCATGGATCTTTGGCAGATGTGCCATAGTCTCTCCCTTCCTTTAATTTTTTTTTTTTTTTTTTTTTCTGTAGAGACCAGGTCTCACTTTGTTGCCCAGGCAGGTCTCCAACTCCTGGCCTTAAGTGATCCTCCTGCCTCAGCCTCCCAAAGTGTTGTGATTACAGGTGTGAGCCACAACACTTGGCTAGTCTATCCTTTCTTACACACAAAGACTCAACTCCCAAGGAGGAAGACTAAAGGACCCATCCAGAACATGCCTCCAGCTCCAAATCCAAGACCTCCAAAATGTACATAGTATTCTCATAAAGTTGCCAGATGTTGTGATCTGGCAAACTATAAACAGAAGATATGTTACACCTCACATAAAACATATACTAATGGAACAAGGACATGATAACCATAAGAAACAATCTGACATAATCATTGGTTCATCAGAATGCTGAAACTCTGTCAGTCAGGCATTGTGCTGTATTTCTGCCCTGTGGGTGGGGTAAATTCCTTGGATATGCCCTGTCCTTCTTTCTGGAAGGAATCACTTGTCCATTGTTTCCAAGGCCCCTCATTCAAGGCCCTAGGAGTTTCTTCCTTTTATCTATGGCCACATCTAAAATAAGTATTCTGAAACATGCCCTCTTTGGGGGCTGTTCTAGCACATTTTCTAGCCTGTTTCCTACTGCTACAAGTTTGGGGACTCAAATGTTGTTTATTAAGGCTCAAACAGTCTAAGGCTCATGGGTTCTTTGGCAATGTATTTCCCTTACAAACTTAGGCTTTTGTGTTACTTGCTCCCATCAGTTCCGTGTGCCAATAACCATATTAAAATTTTCCTGCCTCCAGCCTGAGTTGTTTCTTTGTTTCCTGACCCATGGCTTCTCTTTTTCAGCTCAACGATGCTCTTTTGAGATTATAAAAAACAGCTTTGACCTTATAATGCTCTTTGACATAAGGCAGCATCACTACTGAACTTTTATCACTCAAAGTCTCTTTCAGCTTCATATTTTACTGTTTAGGGTCAGCCTCTGTCTCTCCTAGCCCCCTTATATTCTGTTCGCAATCAAGAAATTCTTTCCTGAGCTCATCATTTGTATAAGGTGTGGCCGAAGGCTGGGGGTTCTACCCTCTTCCGGCTCTGGTACCCTGGTTTCCCTCCTATGGATCCACTCAGCAGCAGGGGGCATCACTGATTATGCCATTTCAGTATCAGGAGAAAATAAGTTCAATTTTTAGCAACTGTTCTTAATGTCATTTGTATTCCAGAACAGTTACTTTTGCTAATTTGGCAGAATGTGAACAAGGTTCAATAAAATTCAAAGATAAATATAAACACATGAACTCTGTGGTCTGGATAAATGGCAATGAAGAACAGTCTCTTGTCAGAGTGCTTATTGATAGAATCTTTTAAGTTTTAGCTCTATGAATGTTAAAAACAATTCAACCAAATGACAGGATTTTGTTGGGTTTTGGTATGGTAAAAGCTATTTTGTTTAAAAGATAATTACGCTGGGCACCATGGCTCACACCTGTAATCCCAACACTTCGGGCAGCCGAGGCAGGCAGATCACTTGAGGTAAGGAGGTTGAGACCAGCCTGGCTAACATGGTGAAACTCTGTCTCTACTAAAAATACAAAAATTAGCCAAGTGCAGTGGCAGGTGCCTGTAATCCCAGCTACTGGGGAGGCTGAGGCAGGAAAATTGTTTGAACCCAAGAGGCTGAGGTTGCAGTGAGCCAAGATCACGCCAGTGCACTCCAGCCTGGGCAACAGAGTGAGATTCTGTCTTAAAACAAAAGGTAATTAAATATTAATATTTTGCCACATGGCATGCTGATTGGAGTTATGACTATTCAAGGTCTAGAAGATTGTAGTACAAGATATTTACATACCATACTCCACAATTAAACAAAAGACTGTTTTCCAAATTGTTTTTCCGTTCATGAAGGGAGATGTAAATTTCTTTCTTGGAGGGATGTATTTATGATGGTGGAAGCAAGAGACATACAAATAAGCAGTTTCCACATGATGATGATGATGATGATGATGATGATGATGATGAAGGAAGGGAGGAGAGAAAGAGGGAGTGGGGAAAAGGAGGAAGAGGAAATTAAGAAGGAAAAGGAGGATGAGGAGGAGAAAGGAGCATAAGTAAAAAAATATTATGTTTTATCATGATGATCAGTAATCATCTGACAATTGGGCCCAATTCAGTTTTTCATCAGCCGATAATCAACATGAACATATAGGATCCCAAGTACCTACAAAAACTCATATTCTGTAGTTACAAAGAACCTCACTCAAGATAATGGTAGCTGTTATGATGGTATACCAGAAAAGGATTTGTTTTCATTTTTCTCTAACTTTTCTTATTTACGTTCTATCAGAGTCTTGCAAGGCAAACAGTATTATTCTCATTTTACAGATGGAGAAACTTGGATCAGATGTCATTACAAGAGTAGAGGAGCAGGCATTCAAACTTCAGATCATCTGTCTCCATGGTTCTGAAGCCTTTATTATTCGACGTGTTGTGGAGATTATGCAAGATACTGCACATGAACGCAGAATGCCTGGCACATAGTAAGCACTCAAATGTGACTTTCTCTCCGTCCCTGGATCCCTTACTGGAGACTACATAAACTCTATGTTCACTGTTGTGCACATAGAAAGAGTAACTACATTTTCTTTTCAATTCCAAGGAAAAGTGTCAGCATAAGCTTACTTGAGTCTCATTAGGGGTAAGAAGTAGGATGGCTGTGAGTTGATAGTTTTGACATATATTTTGATAAATCACTATATTACCTAAAAGCAAAATAGTGATATGATTTCTTTATAGGAAGGGTTCCTTATTTCTCAGATCACAAGCCTGCTATTTTCTTTAGTTTATAAAATAATAAGCGCAAAATAAAACAGCCAGTATAAATTGATGTTTTTATAAGGGTCATATTCCTTCTAAACTTAATATATAATTTTAGTGAAGGAGTCCCAGATTTTAATTCTTTTCCTACCGCTTATTAGTTATATAACTTTGGCCAGTTATTTGACATTCTCCAGCTTTAGTTTTTCATTTGTAAAATGCAGATAACACTTGCCTTGCAGAGATGCTGTGAGAATTAAATGAGGTGAGGTATAAATTAAATAATACATAGTAAGAACCCAAGAAAGTAAGCACTTCCTCCTGTCCATGAGTTGAAAGGACAAATGTTGGCTTAATCTCCTTTTTTATGATTAAATAATACAATAAAATCATATAGGTAATATATTAAAGTATAATTGTGACAATTTTTTTTTAAGCATTTAATAAAGATCTACTAAATTTGCCTTCTCTGGAGACCTTTAGCATTTTTGGCCCCCAGTATAAATGTATTAATATTAAATTGATCAAGTGATCATTAGAGAAGATGAGAATATTTATGTTCATTGATACATACTCTGCTTGAACAAAACAAAGACCTTAGAAATTCTGGTAGTCATTAGTGTCATTTGCCAAACAGTCCCAATTCTCCTCATTTCAGGGCTCATGATGGAACTGCATTTCCTGGCTTAAGTGGGACTATATGACTAGTCCTGACTAAATACATGTTGACCTGGTGCAGTGTCTCTTTGAGACCTTTCAGACTCTTTTCCCCTCTAGCTTGGCAACCAGGGACATGTAAAAAGGTGGCTGCATCAGACTGGGTCCCCTTGACTGCTGACCTGCAAGGGTCATATAGCGAGAGACTGTGGAAATGTAACAGCATCACTTAGCTTATTCCGAATGATCAGAGGTGGTTAACAAAAGCCAAAAGAACTTCTAGAAAAAAACAGATATCGAAAGAAGTAGACTTTCTTCCTATAAAGGATGTAGATAAGAATCTTGATCCAATTTTTATTCAAAATAGATGGAGCAAGATATGGGGCCTCACTTCCAAATGTCTCTTTAGAGTTTTTGACCTTGACAGCACTTATATATAATAAGGATAAAATTCCAGTTAATAATATAAATTGTGATACATTCTTCAAATGAAAATGGAGATCAAAATTAGATTAAAAGCAGGTGCATAAGTTAATTTGATACTTGTTTCTCACCTAAAAGCTTTCTAGACACTCAGATAAGTGTTTTTAAAAAATATTTATTCATGTATTTTTCCATATCATAAAATGTGTACTCTAATACTGAGTAATTTAGAGAAACCCAAATAACTTGGACTATTTCCTATAAAACAACAAAAAATAAGGCACAGTCTACATTATATAGTGAAATGGTAGCAAGAAGAATGACAAACCTAAATTAGGGGTAAATATTCATTTTAATTTTTTTGGACAAATAATTTCAAATATAATTTTAAAAGACCAAATCAGCATTACAGATTCCAATTTAAATTAAGCTTAATAAACACAATAAAGCCTTTGAATAGTTTTATTTTAAAATGATATGACACACTTGCTATTAACATATAAGGCATCAAGTGCCCTAAGAAAGAGCTCATAACCTTAATAATTGCCCTTGAAAATATCAAAAAGCACATAATCAATGTCAAATTATTTTTGTTTGGCAAGAAAAGTAAAATTAACAGCACGATGAGAACCACAGGGTACAAACTCTCAATACACAATATGTAATAATTAATCTTTCTTTCTTATATGACATTTGTTTGGAGCCTGGCTAGGAAGCCTGAAGATGGCAGTGAAAAAATAGGGAGAGCTGTTCCTGAAACACAGGAGAGTTACCCAAATTTGAAACAAAGGAATATACTCCCCATAGTCCCCTGAAATAAAATAACAATTCACGGTAAAATAATTTCCAAATATCTCACACTCTCATGAGCCTGAAATTGAGAGGTTAAAAAACAAATTAATAAATATTTGTGGGAGGCTGAACAACCAAAACAGGTTTATAATAATTATGGCATCTCATTCTGAGGCTGATTCCAAATTCTTCATTCATGACTTGTGAAAGACTTCTCTTCTTCTTAATGTCAATAGTAAGGCATGCCAAATTCCTATAATAAAATTATTCTAACAATAACTTTGGATATTAAAGCTGTATAACTATAAAATATAGTCCAAATGCACATAGACTTGAGTGCACATAAATCTGCACACAAACATAAACCACGAGTACACTCTTGAGTGTAAGCCACAGATTCTTGAAATTAGTTTTATGTGTTTAAAATAACGTCTTGCTTTTTACAGTGTCAATTCACTAGGCAGGCAAATTATTTCCCAAGACTTATAAAATTTGTGAGATGATAATATAGAATATTATGAACCAAAAACAGATATAGCTAAAAATCAGCCAAAAGGAAATGATATGTTAATTCTCTTTCTTAAGTACTCTTTTTAGACTAGGAAAAGCCAGTAAGACTTCATTATAATCTTCTCATCGTAGTCATTCTTTATGTCCAATTCTGGGAAAGGTTAAACCCATTACAGAGAACAGTAAGTATTGATAGTATTACATCTTGCTGTAATAGGTGAACCACTGGCAAAGGTTGTGAATCTTTTTTGTCAGACCACGTTTTTTTGATGGCATTAATTGCTGCAATGAAATCTGACCTTCAGGTTGAAAAACCTTCTCCTAAGAGATATACATATAGAACACTTTTTTAACTTGACAATTAATCCAAGTAAAATTTTGCATACACCTATCATTGCACACGTGAAAGATGAAGACCAAAATGTTCACATGCTCCTGCCTAGAATTTTTGCTTGTCAGAAGGTGGTAAAAAAAAATAGAGCCATTGGGTTCAGGCTTTTAATTCTCAATATTTAACTAGCATGGTGCTCAGTCACTCATTTATCAAGATTAAGTCACCCCTTATACTGGGGGGACTGAGGTAAAGGCACACATAAGTTTGGCAGCGCAGTCTCTTTTCAGAAATTGTACCTTGAAGGGCATGTGCCAGCACTGGTCCAATTGGGTCCCTAAAACAAATAAGTATGAGGGGGATGAACTCATATTTTAAGCAGACAGCAAAGCATGTGATGATATCAAGGCAAGTAACTTGATAGAACAGAATCAAGGGTTATAGCAGTCATGTGGGTAAAAGCAACCATGGCCTCCAAGAACTTCATGGTTCCAAGCAGTCTTGTCTTCCTGTAAACTATAAATCACCTACACAGTGGGGAGCATGACGAAAAGCTGTTCTTTATATGAGGGGCCAGTACATCTTATTATGTGATCTGCTTTAAGAGCTCCCAATGGGTGGGAAGGACACACAGCGCTGCAAAGAAAACTCTTTGCAAACTCTACCACTAACAGTTTAAGGTGCCCTAAAAAGAACTGGCTTATAAAGATATTAGGAGCCTTAAATCATCCACCAGCAGCGTGTAGATCCCAGTAATAAAGGAGAAAGACAGCTTTCTTTCTGTAACTCACCCCATTGGGCCACACTGCTGAAAGACGAGCTGTCTTCTCATTGAGACTAGGAAGATGACTCTTGAGTTTAGATTTCTAAAACCATGTAAATAAGCTAAAGACCTAGAACCACTGAAATATGTTTTTCTTCTCTAGGACTAGCAATAAAAACTTTCACAGGTAACAACCAGCACCATATTGAAGAGACAGACGGAAGGTCACAAATCTCCATGAAGGATGCAAGACCAAAACTATAGGTATTGTATGCCCAATGTCTATAGAATGCATCACCTGGTCTTGCCAAAGTACCTCTAGAGCCAAAAACACTCTTTGTCAGATTGGGAAAAACAGGAAATAAAGCACATGGCTTTTCTTTGCCTGTGTTACCATCATTTTAAATTCAAGTAATCTTCATATTGAATTCAGGCAGGATGGATAAGGGCTACATAAACCAAATACCCAGGGAAAAGTCGATTAAGGCAAGTATCTGAATAATGTCACCACAGCCCAAAAGAAGTCATTCAGATGATTTTCAAAATCATGTAATGTGTAATGGTTTGCCCTCAGATAAGTAGAACCTTAAAAGAGAGGTGCTCTATATGTTAGCAGATTTAAATAATGTTGAAGTGTGCATTTACTTACCACATTTCGATTTTAAATTTTAAAGGAAATTATAGCATTCTAGGGAAAAGAAAGGAAATGTATTTTGATGTGTTAGGTCTTTTTCTCCCCCGTTGAATATTTTTTTTCCAAAATGGCATTTTTCAAAATGTTACCTCTAGATCAAATCTATATTATTTGGTAGCCCTGCAAGATTCATTAAATGCTTCCACATGAAAAGCTTTATTATCAAGTGAAAAGACCTCCTAACACTTGATTCCCAAACTCCTCTTCCTTCATAAACTGAAAATTGATTCCACATTAATTCAGTTTAGTCTGCCATTTGGCTAATTAATCCTGTTTCACCAATAAATAAAAACTCAGTTGATCTCATTTAGCTTCTATGAATAAACATTAGTTTTTTCTTTAATGCCTTCTTTTTTTTAATGCCTTCTTTTTTTAACACACAGCTCAGACCTACTCACTCAGCAGATCGTTTCCTTCTTGTTTCAACATCATCCAAAGTGGATCCTTAAGCAGGCTAGAGCTGGACTTAGAAACCTTCAGAATATAAAACTTATACCACTGGTAAGGCAGCCTCAACAAAAATCATGAAATGAGAGTCACAGTAAAACAAAGTTTGTTCAAAAAGCACAAAAATACAGCAACAGAAAGCAAAAATCATGTTTATGTCATCTCAATTCTTTCTTTTCAGTAATCAGTATTGCTCTATAACATAAGGCAATTAACTACATCTAGCTTCCTCTGATGGCCATATAATTTCTCATTTTTACTTAATAATTCTTTCATATGCCCATCCTCTCTTTTTACTATCTTCTGAGCCTCCCTTTTTGTATTTCAGTTCAACCCTTAAGTCATATGCAGCATACCTCACTCATCAAATCAATCTGACACCCATGAGAGCTCATCCACATAAATATCCTGATTCACACATTTTGCCAAAGTCACCCATGTATTCCACAGTTGTCCACAACACCACAAACTTCAGACATTTGAAATAGCCTTTAAAAATCTGCAAAGAAATCACTTTCTTACTTCCTCATTCCTGCTGTCTCATACCAATTCCCAGCTCCTGTCCTCTTTTTAAGAATGACCCCCTGATCCTGGTAACACAATCATGGAAGTTACAACAACTCTTAGAGCACAGGTTGGAAAAACCTCCAGGCAGAGTTGCAAAATGTAAGGTATTTCTGAGGCTGCATTTCCCATCCCTTTTCTGAACCGTCACCATAATGAGGCGGTCTGTCACTGTGAACACCCAGTGTGTGTCTTGCAAAGTGAGCACCTTGCTCATCATGCTGCTCTTAGAGAAGAGTTTGTGCTGCATGAGGCAAGAGTTCACAGTTGCTGAATGACATCTAGACCACTGTGAGTGGGAGGTGAGTTCTGACGATGACTACAGTCCCCATTAAATCAGTGTATTGAATCTCTCTTTCCATTTTATTTTTTTTTGGCTTTGGGCTTAAGGACTGTTGCTACCATGAGGGAAGTGCTCGTTGCTTGGCCTACAGCAAGTGATACAGCCTGCGAGGCACAGTCCCCAAAAGTCTAGCTGCAATTCTATTGGTGGTTTTCCCCAAACAGCAATAACAAGATGTTACCTGGAAGCACACCAGAGCCAATCATGACTCAGGCCTGTCTAGATGTTTAGATGTCTGGAAATATATTTAAAATGTCTCATGCCTTGCCTCTTGCTGCTGGTGTGAGAACCAGCAGACTTCAAGAGCACAGATAACCAGTATGATGGCAAAATCACAAAATATAAAACTTATATCAGTAACTAATTTGACTTCATTTTAAAAAAGAGCCTGTGACCCTGGCTAATATCTGGCACCAACACTGTGGTTTAAATTCACATTGGTCTTACAATGATTTACATAATTTTTTTTTATTAGAAAGTTTATCCTAATGACTTAATTACCATTTTTGAAAACAGGAATAATTTCAAACATAACATTTTTTACAATAAGGAAAGCCCAACATCCTCAAACTTCAAAATATTCAAACTAAAAATTCCATGTTTTAGTGTTTAGCCAAATTACAAGAAGGATAATTTAGCAAGAAAATGGATAAGCACCTTTGAGAATTAGATGTAAGCCTTATTATTGATTAGTGCTTAGTTCTTTTTCACAAAGTAGATTAGCAATTGATCCTACTGTGTGTAGGACCACCTAGTGTCCAAAGAATAACATCATATATTTGTGTAAAAGAAATAATTTGTAGACTGGGTCATTAGAAATATTTTTCTATCGAAGTAGAAGTTCTTGGCCATTACAGATTAATTAGCCTTCAGCTCTTCAGAAGGATAGGTGTGGCTGGTTGTGGTTTCTTATACATCTTACATGGCTTTTCTTCTAAATAGAAGACACATAGAGAACAAAAACACTTACTGGCTGTTGGTTTGTGAAATAAACTTTTCTTGCCAGGCAAATAAATTGCACTGTGAATTTTTATAAATTAACTTTTTTCATATTATAAAATGCCAAGGCAGACTCTCAAGATATTCACAACCAGAATTAACTCTGTACAGCAAGCGCATCTTCCTCTACCAAGGACAGTTCCAGAGTGTTTTCATTCGTGCTGGTTTTCATCCTGAAGTTGAAAGAACCATAGAGTTTTGCAGACTCTTTGGAAGAGGCAAATCTGTTTCGACGATAGAGCTCCCCCTTCCACATGGACATCATTAACAAGCAGGACAGGATGACGCCCCCCAGCGTGAGGAGGCAGAGCCCCGCAATCACACAGCGGTCCAGGTGAGCCCCCAGCCTCGCACTCTCCTTCTCCAGGCGCTCCATCTCCCGGGCTGCCACAGTGTTGGGGTCCACAGTCACTTCCCGTGGGACGATGTAAGAGATGATCACGAGCAGGATCCCAGTGACCAAGAACAAGATGGCGCTGATGAAACCATAGTCTATAGACTTCCCTGAAGACGTGGCTTCTGAACTTGTATCATCCTCCTCTTCAGATATCAAAGATATGGCAGCCTCTTGGGACCACTCATTTGGATTTTCCCAGCCAAGCTCCCCAGGGTGATTATGCCCTTTTGCTGATGGCGAGCTCCGGTTCCGCTGCTCCAAGTTGATGTTTTTGTCCACATAGGTAAAAGAAGTTTCTAATTCCTGGCTGCAGCAGTTACAGACTTTCCGTTCCGCTGTTATTTGGTTGTTCCCTGAGTGGAGAAGTCCTGGTGGAAAGGCATCTGGCTGAAGAGTACTGTTTTGCAGAGAGGAGGAGGGGGATGCTGGAGAAGAACTAAGTTTAGACCCTTCCATCTCGGTTGCTCTTGGGGTGGATGCACACTGTTTCTGACAGCAGAGAGCAGCTCTTGTGGCTGCTGTATCTGCCTGGTCACCAGGCAGCCCTCTTGAACTCCAGTCCCTGGCATCACAGAGGTCTGCCTGGTTGCTCTTCTTAGCAAGGTAGTGGAGCTCCATGAGAGCTAGTCAGACATCCCCCAGCAGCTTCCGGAAAGTCTGCCAATAGCAACAGAGTTAGATAAGAACCCAACAGAAGCTAAGGTTGTACTTCCAGGAGTGTTGCTCCTGGGGTCCCCATTTCCTTCACAGCTGCACCTGTTTAGCCCCTTTTCCACCTCAAACAGGCAAAAGAAGGGAGGGGATACCTAGTGGCAGGAAAGTGTGGAAGGGACAAATGCTCTCACTTGTCATAGTGATTAACACTGAGAAACTTAAGTCAGGGTAGAAAGGTGCGTGGAGGAAGTGGCAGTGTCTACTGAGAAAGAATACTGCCGTCACCAAGCCAAATTTATTCAAGGACTCGCGCATTCCTGCAAAAGGATCCCTCAAACGAGAAGGCAAGTTTCCTGTAAAAAGACAAATGAGAAAGGCAAGAGCCCTTTTTAGCAGAGCTGCCGATTTTCTGGAGGACTTGGGGAAGCATAGACTTGTTAATTCAGTAAGATTGTAAGTGTTTACACTCTCCCTAGTTCAGAGCAAATTCTAATACAGATTAGCTTTGGAGCATCACCATCAGTGAATGACTATACACCCCTATCAGCTGGGCAGGAACTCAGCATTTTGATTCCATAGCTCTGAAGTAGATGAAAAAGGCCAGCTTAATCAGCCACCTCTGCTAAGCTTACACCTCATACATCCAATGACCCTAGTGACACAGCCCTGTATTTACAAGACCATATGCTGCTTATTCACTGTGCTTCCACTTAGCCCTATTCCCTCACTGCTCCATGGGGGAAGCATGTTCTGGACCCCAAAGCATACAGGCAACAGACCTTACGGCAATCCCTGCAAAATACAATGGGCCAACCCACTCCTCCACACACACACCTGCCTGCTCCAGCTGCAGGATCTGCTACTCCCGTTCCCTGGGTCTGTGTTCCTCCCTCTCTGCATGCTTTGCTATCACACAATGCACAAGAAATTGACCATCTGGATAGTTTTACAAACCCAATCTAGAAGTGAACTGATAATAAAAGACAAACTATAAACCCACAGAGTAAGAGTTCTGTGGAGACAAATAGGTGAGAAGCTATTTCCAAGGTTACCTCTGTAATTTTATAAACATGTCACTCCTCACCCCCGACTGCAGCAAGGGGCATTTCTGGGAGAGAACTTTGGTTTGAGCAGAAAACCATCGGCTTTTCTCTGCCTCTGCCATGTTTCTAAGGAATAAAAATTCACTTTCCACTATCATTAGAGATTTTAACCAAAGGCTCCTTTTATTTTGCTTCCAAATCCAGGGTGATAATTGATTTAACCCAACGGCTTGAGGCTTCTTATAATTCAAAATCCACAGCTCCAAAGCTGGTAACAGAAACACAGGCAAGGGTCACCTAAGGTCAACCTGGCAACTCAAAATATGGGAGAGGGAATTGACATGTTTTCTGCTACACCTAAGAGTTTGTTTAAAACAAAACAAAAAAAGCAAAACAGAAAACGTTTTTCTCCTGTTATCGGAGTTTCTCTACAGTGAAAACAGCAAAAAACAACAGGGCAAAAGAATCACTACTAAACTAGAACAAACCCCCACTAAAGGATCCCTCAATGAATGAAGTGATGGTAACAGGCTTCATCAATTACCGATAACTCTTCTTCCAGTTTTCTCAGGCATTAGGGGCTCTGATTAACCTTTGGTACCATTAACTCATCACACTAGCCTACCTTGGATAAAATCAGCAGGGTTCTTTGAGACTTTCAGTTTATAACAAAAGAAGAGAGAAATCCCCACTTAATTCCCTACGGCCGCCTCTACCTCTCTTTAAAGAAAAGCTACTCCCGCTTGTTCGCTTGTTCTACCGGAGGTATGCTAGCAGCACAGTCGATTTCCTTTGCAGCTCCCTAATCCGGGGTTTCCATTCTCAGTGGAGAATGGATAATCCCAGGGGACCAGCTAAAGACTCTTTTCTTCCGTCCTCTCCCTCTTTTTCCTCTGATCTGCTTAAAAGCCCAGTTAACGACATTGCACCTTAAAGCGAGGGGACACGCACTTTCCCTCGTCCATCTGTCATCAATTAAAAGCATTAATATTTGCTTTAAACTGACACAGGCAAGGCTGATCTCGGGGAGGCGACCTCTGGATGCGCCCTGTGCGAGCAAAGCCGGGAGAGCGAGCCCCAAGCACCTGGCAGCGGTGCCCCCAGCAGGCGCCGAGGAATCCGGCTATCCATTTCTGGTGAACTCTGCGCCCACTGAGGCATTCGAGGTACGGATGTGTCCGCCTAGTACTCGGAGACGAAGGAGAGAGAGCGGGGATATGCGCTCCAGCTCTGCTAGGCTCCAGGGCTCTCACCCTTGCATTCAAAGCCTCCACCCCATCCCACTCCCCGCCACTCACCTTCTGCTTCGGCCACCCGGTGCGGCTCCAGCACCGCGCGCTCTCCCGGCACGGTTCCCGGAGAAAGTCCCCCAATCACCAGCTACGGCACTTGTAGCCTCTGCACGCCGCTCGGCTCCGCCGGGTGGGCAGCGCCCGCCACGGCGGGCGGGGTGGGGCGGGGCGGGGCGCTCCCGGAGCATCCCGGGAGTTGTAGGCCAGGGGCGGTCCCTGCATCCCTCCTGTCTCTGTCTCCTCCCACGCCTTCTGGGTTTTACCCTTCCTGCAGATGAGTTCCCGCCATACCCTCTTACTCCTCCCCAGCACTTAAGAAGACAGCACTGTTTTCTAAGCCTAGAGTGGAGTTCCCTAGCCTCAGGTGTGGCCACAAGACTGTGAAAAGGAAAGTATATTCGACTTCAAATGTGCCAGATAATTTGCATATTTTGTCTTTTTAATAGTCAAAACAAATCTTCCAAGTAGATTTTATTAATCCTCATTTTACAGATGTGGAAACAGGCTCAGAGAGGGTAAGTGCCTCATCCACAGTTACCAACAGCAGCTTCTGAAATTGCATCCAGGAGTCAGATTCGAAAGTCATTGCGTGTCTCACAAAATCAGAAGAAATATGACCATAAGGGGTAAGAGATTGTCCGATGTACCAACACATCCCCTGTATTTAGCACAGTGGTATTCGTTGAATGTATGAATAATAATGACTCAAAATAACAGTTAACATAAATAGCGCTTATTATTGCCAGGCTCTCTTCTAAGCACTATAGATACATTATCTCATTTAATGGTCACAATTTATTGTTAAAGTACTGTAAAAAAAAATCCTCATTTTAACAGAAGGCAAAACTGAGTTACAAAGTAGAATAATTTGCCCAATGTCACACAACTAATACTTAGCAGAGGTGGGGGGGGGGGGATGAACACCAACAGATTCTAAGCGTTATGCTATATGGAATGAATGGAAGAAAGACCAGAAGGCCAGAATAAAAGGGCTCAGGAATAAAGGAAATCTGAAGGTTGAATCTTCTGAGTTGTGACTCTTAGGATAGGACAAGGTAACTGTGTCACCAGCCTCTTTCAACCAGAGTGGACTGCAATAGCCAACAGCCACTGAAAGCCCAGGGTATGTGTAGCTTGCAGATAATCTCCAGTTTTCCAGCATCCTGTTGGGACAATTCTAGGGGAGCAAAAAAGGATTATAGTATGGATGGGCTGGGCACGATGGCTCACGCCAGTAATGCCAGCAATTTGGGAGGCCGAGGCGGGCAGATCACGAGGTCAGAAAATCGAGACCATCCTGGCCAACATGGTGAAACCCCGTCTCTACTAAAATAGAAAAAATTAGCCGGGCGTGGTGGCGCGTGCCTGTACTCCCAGCTACTCAGGAGGCTGAGGCAGGGGAATCGCTTGAAGCCGGAGGCGGAGGTTGCAGTGAGCAGAGATCGTGCCACTGCACCACTCCAGCCTGGCGACAAAGCAAGACTCCGTCTCAAAAAAAAAAAAAAGAAAAAAAGAAAAAAGGGATTAGGGATTATAGTATGTATTATGACATTGTGCTTGTAGCTCACATAAATACTGTGGTTGCTTGCTTTCAAAAGAGAGATCTATCTCCTTTAATGACAATTATGTTGGTATTTCATTACATTGGATAGAATCTATAGTCACATGATTACAGGAGTTCACAATGCTCCCTCTTTAAAATTCTTTTTCCCCCATATGATTATATTTGTAGCCAGTGAGGCCCATTTGTTGATAAACATGACAGATGTATTATGACTTCTCCTTTGCTTACTACACGGTTCTCCAGCATGAATATCTTTCCTCCACTGCCCTATTCCATCCACACTTCAAGGACTAGTTTGTCAAGCCAAATCTACAGGGATGCATCCAGTTCTTAGTACTACATATGCAAAAAGAAATAAAGAGAGAAACTAAGATGTAGAAGGAACTTGAATTTATGTTGACGAGGAAAAACTTAGGAACTTAGGCTATTTAGCCATAGGAGAATACTGAGAGGAAACAATAAACTAGCTTCAAATATTCTGAAGTTTCTAAAAATAGAAGAAGAATTCTATAGTATATTTAAAAGGGTAAAAGCAGAACAAATAACAATAATACTTTTTTGTTAGTGCTATTATGTTATCATCTTTAATTTTTACACCAACTTCACAAGGGAGGCAGTATTATTGCACCCATTTTGCAATGTAGAAATTGAGGCTTGAAAAGATGTAGTTTCTTTTCCAAGGCCTGAAAACTAATATCGGGCAGAGCTAAGGTTCTAACTTGGGTCTGTGTGATTCCAGAGACTTGATCTCTTTGCCAACACATTATACTGAGCAATGCTTCACAATCTTTTTTACAGCAGAGTACACATAAGAGGTGATACTATTTATGGCAATGTGATAAACACAGGAGGTTTCTCATGGCCATAGTTCTGGGGCTGTGGGTACTTCAGTCTCTGCAGGACAGCTTGGAGGGCTAAGGAAATAAATAAGTCAGCACACCTGTGACACACTGGAGTGCTGGAGGATGCCAAAGCACTGATCTGAGAAGCTCTGGATAGCACTATTAAATTTAAGAAGGAGGCTGATTTGAGACTTTGTATAAGGAAGGACATTATTTCTAAAACTTTTAAATTGATGTCTCATGAAAGCAAATTCTCTGGTACTGGTGAGGATTAAAAAAAAAAAGGAGAGCCATTTATTAGTGATTTCATAGAAGGGATTCATCTAGTTGGATTAGAGGACCTCTGTGATTCCCAGGCTGAACTGATTTTAAGTTACTTTTTTTTTTTCCCTGAAGCCTTTTTCTTCCAAGGATTACACCTCCTGTGAACTTTGCTGGGACTTGTCAGTACTGGTGTTTTTGATATTTATCATCCACTGCTTTACGACATTTCTGGAATGGCTAGGTAGCCACTGCATGTGGTTTAACTTCTCACTTAGGTGCCTAAATCTCTAAGGTAATCAATCATAAACTCCTTAAGGTCAGCATCTACATGCTGAACACCTTACCTCCTGCAGAAAGTGCAGTATTTCTGTTGAGAGGGAAGATGTCAAGACTGAACTGAAGACTCGAGATGATTACCTATAATAATACTTGACTGTCTACATATTCTTGAGCATTAAAAATATATCAATTCCAACCAACACCACAAAATCCCCTTTAAAAGTCTGCTGACAAAAAATAGAGATGAACCAATTGAGCACTTGAAAATAAAAGCTCTGCAAAAATTGCCACTTGCTGGAATACTTTCCCCCTCTCTCATAAGTCTATGTCTAAAACTTTCCTGAAAATTGACCCAAGAACCTTTTTCAAAAGCCTTTCTTGTTCAACGTCCTCAACTTATCGTTACCTTTCTAACTGGCTTTCTAGTAGCATAATATGCTTTCTTTTATGCTGTTATTTTAGATATAGAAAAGTATTTCATGTATATTTTATAGTGCTTTCTATGTGATCTCTCCAGATAAAATTTAAGCTCCTTGAGAACCAACATATTCTTTCTATTTCTTTGAAGCTATATGTGGGCATGAAATAGTGCGACACATAGGCAACAGTAGTTCCTCAATATATGCTGATAAAACAATTCACAGTTGTAAAATGTTATCTAGAAATCTACATAATGATTTTGGTCTTACTCTAATTTTAATGTCTCACATTTTCCTGTTTACTTATACTCCGTTTCATGTGAGAGGAGCAATCGTTACTACACTAAGTTAACTAGTTGAAAAATAAGAAAAATTCTGAGAAGTAAATTTACCATGTAAATCAAGGGTAGTGCTGGGACTTTTAACAACCAGCCTCTTGTAATAATTACTGAGGATGTGTTCCAGTTTCTTTTTCTTCAGTAATAATAATAAGGGCTGATTAGTGGACTATTAAGGGATTATTAGTGGAGTTATTATTATGAGAGGCTGGGTCCTAGAGAAGTAAGAAAGACATTTTTGGAATAGGCTGGAGGGAGGATCAGTCATTGAATAGGGATAGCATGAGGAATATGGTCCTATACCCCATACTGGTGCTAAGAATGAAGGTGACCATAATTTAGAGAATGAAGATCTTGTTAATGAACAAGATTCTAGGAACAAAAAAAAGCATTAAATTAGAAAGGTTTCCATTTAATAAGAATGCTTACAGTGGCCAAGTAGGCATGTTACTTAAATAAAGTGGCTGAATACAGACAATAGGGATGGGGAAGATTACCGAAGTTAAGAGCAAGTGCCTTTCCCAAAAGGGGCAGTATCCCCTAACTGTTCTACCTGAGTTTTGTCTTAAGTGAATTTAGACATTAATGAAAGTCAGATATCACAATTTGTTATTCAAAATTCAATGTATTTTAAACCCTTAATGAGTCAGAGAAAAAAAAAATTATTGGGAACATTTGTTTCCCGTAGTAATAGACTAGGTAATTTAGACCTACTCACTGCATTTGGCTTTGAAGAAATGTATTTATATTTGAAACATTTAGAGAACCCAAAATTATTGCATCCAAGGAGCAAAGATTTTTTTTTTCTATCTTTTGGGGAGGGGTGGAAAAGATAGTTTTCTCTTGCTTCTGTATGTAAACACACTAAATTATTTTTTTCTCTTGTTTCTCATCTGTGATACAGACTTCAAAGTTTGTACGCCTAGGACATCTGACCTGGCTTTCACTGTGTTGTGCCAAGGGTAAGAATTGGGATCCAGAGGACCGCATGGTCATTATTTGCTCTTAAGTAAATCATCTGTTTCTGATCCAACACCATGTGTACCTTCAGGATAAAATTAATAAATATGAATATTAAAAACACAACAATAAAACTCAAGAAAAGAAGCTAGCCACTAAAAAATACACAATGTGCAGTTCTATTACATAATTTCATTGATATTTAGTTAGTTAAGAGGCAAACTATACCAAAGTATTTGGAGATGTTAGCAAAACAATAAAGAAAAGCAAGAATGCAGTTACCATAAATGTCAAGAGGTAGGTTGCCTTTGTAAGGGAAGAAAAGAGTAGTGATTCTGAGAAGACTAAAGGGGAGGCTTCTGAGACCTGGCACTATTTCTTGACCCGGATGTGTTTACAAGGGTGTTCTCTTTGAGCTAAATTATCGGAGGTAACCCTCTTTATTTCATGTACTTTTCTATATGCAGTTGTTCATGATAAAAAGCTGTTGGATTGGATTCAGCTGTTGGAGTGGATTCAGGTTCCAAACACCTAATTTGCAATCTCTGCATTAAGGGTTTATATCAAAATCTAAGCGTTCTGTTTTACCTTAAGAAGAACCTGAAGATAGTTTTCTCTGACTTACCTTCACCTGGCATCTTGCTATGCATGGCAGGGTGAGGAGTGTACAAAGGTATGCTATTCAGATTCTCCCGAAACGCTTACAACATTAGGATTTAAAGTAATCTGGGCACTGATATCTCAAAATAAGAAATATGGAAACATTTCATGTCTAATATTTTGTATATAAACTTTATGACACCTTTAGAAAGCACAATATGGGGAGAATATTGGACATTGGTAGAAGGATTTGGGTCTGTTGGTTGCATAAAGGCCCTGTTGTCTTTAGGCCACAGATTTCCTTTATAATTAAACTTACTAGAAACAAGACTGCATTCACTGGCCCTAATCTTGTACCTTCATTTTCTTTTTAATCTACTATTGCTGTTAGGGTCCATGTTAATTTAATTAAGTAAAAAACACAAGTTGACAGCTATGGGTTGAATCTGATCTAAATACATGGTTTTATTGGTGCATTGAGTTGTTACAATTTATTTAGGTATTTATCAAATTTGGAAATTTGGAAGATTTGAGAAAGCTATTTGGATTTCTGGTTTCTCTTGAATTATATGAAAAATCCTGAAACGTGGACCTCACTTTTGTATGTTAACAATTAACTAGAGCTTAGTAGGTTTTGCACTCTGTAGATGGGACATAAAGTATCCAGATTTTCATAGTTCTCACCCTTAACTTATATCTGGCTCAGTTCTCCTACTACTTAGCTTTTGCAGATATGTGGGTTTGCTACCAGTTCCTTAACAGTAAGTCTCCAGAGAGAGGTATTTCACATGAGGCAAAATCAATAACAGGTAGCCTTCTGTGCACTCTTCTGCTATCTCCTTTCCCAACTCTTGCCCAATGCTTTTCTTCCACATTCACTCTTGATTGATGTGTTTTTATTAAATTTAGCCCTTTTTGGCTTGGCATTTTTGATATCTGCTCTATATTTCCTGAGTACCCTTCCATTTGCTCATTTAAATGACTGCTTGCTGCTCACCTCTTCACATGACCTTTTAGGGAACAGAACCATTCCTGATACCATTCTACCATGATCTCAAGAAATGTTTCAATGTCTTAAACTCTTTCCTTGTCTTTTTATTACATCCATTTCTAGAGACAAAACCCAGTTTATGAGATCATCACTGCACTGAATGCCTGTGTTAAGGTCATTAACAATTTTAAGTAATTCAGCCATTCACTCAATAGCCATTAATTATCAACTAGTTCTATGCTGGGTGCTGGAGGTGCAACAATGAACTGAATGGATACATCCCAACTTTCAGGGAGCTTATGGTCTGGTGAGGAACATGCCAGTTTAACAGGTAAGTATAACACCATTTCATAAGTGTTGTAACAAGGGAAATAGATAATACAATGGGAACCTACAGGAAGAGAACCGAATTCTGAATTGGAAGGGTCAAAGTAGGCTCCTACATGATGTAATATCCAAGTGATACAAATATAGAAAGAAACTGGCCATTAGAAGAATAAGGCAGGATGAAGATGAACTTCTGACAATTCAGAAGTGAATTATTGGAACTGAAAAACGTTTATTATGTCTTCAGTATGAAGTGTGAGATGAGGAATGTCAAATAACGATAGTAGAAATGTTAGTAGAGGACAGATCATCTTTGGTCTTCTAAGTAAGGATAAGGTGTGTGGACTTAATTCTGAAAATAGCAAAGTGCTAAGGATGGTTTTCAAGCAGGAGAATAATATCATATTCAAATTTTGAAAAGATCCTTCTGGGGAATAGATGGAAATGAGCTTGTCTAGTGTCATCAAATAGCTAATAATAATCATCCAAGCAAGAGGTAATATCAGTGAGATCTAAATGTAAAGACACAGGTAAGTTATAAGGAAAAGATATATCCTGCAAACATTAATCAGAAGGAAGCTGAAATGGTTATATTAAAGCGAGCTTCAGGACAAAGAATATTACCAGGGATAGAATGAAACAATAAGTATAAAAGCATCAGTATATCAAGAAGACAAAACAATCTTAACTATGAATGCACTCCTTGAATCTCTGTTCAACAACCTTTCCAGTTCTAGCCAGTGCAACATGTGTGGAAATGATGTACATTAACTTCCAGGCCGAAGTAGTTATGTGTCTGATATTTCTGCCCTTGTACTCTTCATACCATCTTCTATCTCTATATGATGCTAAAATGACCTTGAAACCACAATATGGAAGTAGCCAGAGTTGCTGAATCACAATATAGAGGAGAACCACCAGATGCATATAAGAGATAGATGTGAGCATCAAAACAACTTCTACTGTGGCAGTGAAGTTTTGGGCTTACTTGGTATAACAGCATTTTCTCCTTAAAAAGGAGGTCAAAAAGGAGCTCAGAAAGTGGAAATGAGTGATCTGTTCATCTACCTATATAGATAGTGGTTTAAGCAATTACTGTATTTTGCTTTCTTTAATATTAAAAGGGATAAATATTTTAGTTTAGATTTTCCATGTAATTATTATTACTACTAATTTTTTAAGTAATATTATTCAGTGCTTAAACTATCTTTCTACTTGACTTTTCCACTCTCATCTGCACCTTTCCCTTTTCTATAAAATAGACATGTTAGAAAAGCATAATACCTTATATCTATATTTTATACTTTCAAACGTACATCAGAGGAATAATTAAGTCAGATTCCTATACATGCATAAACATATGTCTCAAGAGCAGTATGTCCCCAAATATATCATCTATATATAAATATTAGTTTCATGAGATATATAACTAAATAATTCTGGAAGAAAGGATTCCTCACTTTGAAAATTCAGCAGGTTTCATTACTGTAGGGCTTCTGAGACCCTTTGATTTGCTAATATATGATTTTAAGCTCCAAGGGCAAGAGATGTTTTTAAGGTTTTCCCAAACTTACAAGATTATGGATCTTCTATTTTTCATTAAACATCTTGTAAAACTGGTGCTGTTTAAAATAAACCCTGAGATATACTGCTATAATTTTTCATAGCCATGTCAGGTAAGAATATTTCATATTTTGATTCATATTTTTGAGGGACTTTTATAGTTCAACTCTGCCATGCTATTATGTTATCTGTTATTGTGTTATGTGTTATGTTATTGGAGGCCTGACATTAACAAGTGTCATAGGTAATGGCTATACTTCATTAGGGTTTCTTTTTTTAATGTTGTTAGACTTTATGGTATGTGATTTGACTTTAGTATTTCACCATTATTATTAGTCTCAGCATTGGTTTTCTGACTCTGGTTGCTACTTCTTCCTTCTTTTTGCTTCCTTAGTGTAGGTTCACTTCATCTCTTGTCTGGACTGTTGCATTTATTGCTAGTTAGTACCTTGCCTGTAATCTTAAACTGCTAATTCACACATAACATTACCCATAGATTGATCTTGATAAAAAATATAATCATGGAAATCCCCTTGTTAAAATCCTATATCTAATTTTCATTGCTTAAATTTGTCTTGTTTAGCACTCAGTGGCTCTTTTAAAGAAGAAACATCTTTCTTCCAAGCTAAGAAACTCTCAATTATCATTTATTTACTTACTTTTGCAAAGACAAGGTCTCACTATGTTACCCAAGCTGGTCTCCCACTCCAGGCCTCAAGCAACCCTCCCACCTGAGTCTCCCAAAGTGCTGGGATTACTGGTGTGAGCCACCATGCTTGGCCCAGTCATGCATTTAAATATTGCTTCCTTTTGTTATTGTTAAGCTTTCCAGGTAGAATTTCTCTTAGATGCTAGAACTTCTATGTCTATTCCTCTTCATTTCTTCATACCTTTTTTTATTGTTATTATTTTACCTACTTGTGTTGCATTTAAGAGATTTCTAGGTTGAATCTTCTGTCTGTAGAACAGTGGTTTAGTAAGTGTGCTTGGAGTCAGTTGTCTTGGGTCAAGTCCAGTGTCTGCCACTTACTAGCCATGTGGCTCTGAATAAGTTTTATAAAGGAGCTGTAGTTCAATTTCCATATCTGTAAAATAGGGATGATAATATTACTGCTTATTTGGCTAGTATGAAAAAGAATTAAATAAAATATGCAAATCACTTAGAACAGTATCTGACACATAATAAATGATCCAATATGTGTTATATTATTATTTTTTAGTTTTTGCTTTTCAGCTGTTTCCATTATGTTGTTTTTAACTTCTTCACTATTTACTTTTCTTCATTTTCATTACCATCTGTGCTATTTCTTATTTTATAATGTGATGTCCTCCCTTAACTTTCCATGGAAATTAATTTTACATATCTTCAAATGTAAAACCAGGATCCATTCTGATTACTCTGTTAACTATTTCTTGGGCATAAGGTCTCCGTTTAGTCTCTCTTTCTCTCTTCCATGAGATGTCTTTTCATAGTTGGCTTTTGCCAAATCGTACTCATTTTCATAGCAAAGATTTTCTGTTGGATTTACCCCTCTGTCTGTTTTGGTAGCTTCCTTGTAGTGGCTTCATATTTCTTCAGTCACATCTCATCTACTTTTCATGTTTTAGAAATTCCTCCTGATTTCATCCCCATTAGCTGTCCTCTACATTTTTGAGAGTAGCTTGTTCTTTAAGAGAAAGTTTATGACTGGCCTATGCCTACCTCTTCCTGATCTGCTAACATAGACTCCATTCTCATAAACTATAGGATTTTGAAATAATTTTCCCAGCTGTATCAAAATTTCCCTTTTTTCAAGCTTCCTCCTCTACTTAGACGAGCTAGTTCTGAATTTTACTCCCCTAGCTATTTGTAAGTCCAGGTAGCACGTACGTAGGAGTCCACTCTACTAGGCTATGGTTTTCTTTATAAGCCTCTTCCTTGATGGCCCCCTCCCCATCCTTCCCCACTATTTTCTTTATACCTTGGCCTCATCTAATTATTACACTCCTATCAAAGAACCAGTAATATATTATTATCTTTATTTGTCTATGTAAAAATGGAGAACTTTAGTCATAATTTAATCCTTGATTTCTAACCTTCACTTCCCTTCTAAAGAGGCAAATGCAAAGGAGTGTATTTCAATTTACTGAGCCTGGTGATATTTAAAAGTGCAAACTAGGGAGCTGAAAAAGGTTTAAGTAGTACTATACAAGGAAAGAGGTGGGGGAAGGCAAATCCCAGAGTGGGAAGGAGGCTGAAACTAGACACTGACAGGCTAAAAGAGAGGGACTTTGGAGGAGGAGGGAGGGAAAAGAAAAACAAACAAACAAAAACAAAACACAGAAACAAAAAAACCACTGTGAAAAGATTAGGGAAGCTGTTTTGTGAGTAGGATGGACAAAGGCAAAAAGAAAAAAAATGGCTAAAAATTTTTCTGTGCAAAATGGATTTTCAGGTTTCCAAATTTTTGAGTCAGATATACATCAAGATTTGGGTAGGTTGTTTTCGGTTTGTTTTTTTGTATTTGCTTTGGCTTGGTTTGGGAGTGTGTGTGTGTGCGTGTGTGTGTGTGTGTGTAATTTAGAAAGCTAACACTTTGCATACACAATGAATTTTGTAAAATCCTCAGTGGAATCTGGGGCAGCATCCTATGGCCAAACACATTAATATCTTTTTCAGCAAAACATATGTGTATTCACACAAAAAGTTAGGATAAATGAAGAGTGCAAATAGCTTTACATAAATTCAGATTTTGTTTTGCTGTGAAATGAGTTTCCTATAAATTAATAGAAATCCTTTTGCTTTTAAGAGTTTGTTGGATTTCAGAATGATGATAAAGCAGCGGTCCTATAGGGTATATATAACCCTTGCTTTCGCCTCCCTTTCAGACACTCCTAGTCTTGACTGGGCTTATCTGTTTGTCTGTGGTCAAAAGCTCGGTCATTGAGTGGTCTAGAATGACCTGCGATGAGACAACTTGTATTTTCTTCTTGTGGCCCCTCATCCTCCAGCTAACTAGATCAGGCTAGGTAGCAGGATGGCAGCAGGAGTCCAGGAGAGTGAGTGGAGGACACAAAGCTTCTTGGGGGACAGGTTTAAAACTGGCACACAGTCATTTTCAACACATTTTTATGATGTTAAATCAAATTGCCATTCTAGCTCAGATTCAAAGGATGGGGGTATAACCTCTACTTTTTGATGGGATGACCTACAGAATCATACTGCCAGCGATGTGAAAAAATTAAGGCTGTTTTTTTTTCAATCTGTCTACTGTCCTATTAAAGTGCTGAGTTTGAACATTAAGTGGGAATGAGTGGAGAACCAACACTATCTATGGAGACTCAGTCACATAGTCATTGGTTGCCTTACCAAAATCAATTTCCCTTCATTCTTTTTTGTAGCAGCACTTGGATTTCCCTTGAGGTAACTGCCTTCCTCTTTTATTTAGCAACTTTGCGGTTTGGAGGAGATTGACTCTATCCTCTGCTCAAAGGCACTAATCAATAAGTCTAATCATTTTCCCCATGCCACAAAGGAAGGAAAAAGTCCTAAGCCAAATCAAATATGGGACTTCCTTAGCCACAATGGTCTCAGAAATAGTCCAATCAAAATAAAGTTCAAAATGTTGACCACAGTTGAGGGCAAAGGAAGCACGTAGTCCCTGTTTCTGCTTGTAACCACAAGGTAAGTTGGCCTGAGAACAAAGCTGACACACAGAAGAGTCTAAAGAATCACAAGGAAATAGAGTGATAGTCAAGGTTAAGCTGTGCAGAAGTTCTTCTAAATTTTGAGCTTCTTGGTGACTTGAGTCAACAAATCATCAGCTTGAGTTGGCTTTTGTGATAACTATGAAAGCATCCAAGTGTGATGTACTTTCATTTTATCTCAGTAGACTCTTTGAGGTAGTACTAGATTTAATTTACACTACTTACCAGTTTCAGTATAGTACCTTTCTCATTATAAGGGTTTAAGGACTCTATATAATCTGAAACCTATGTAACATAGCCCTCCAGTATAAATAAAGTAGAAGCAATATTCATAAATTAAAAAACAAAAGGCAGTAAGCACACCCCAATTCACAGGGTTCGGGTGATATTTATAGAAGGAAGGTATACATAAATCAATTGATAAATGAAGAACTTAAACCTAAAGTCTTTCATTCCATATAGTTCTCCCATTTTGCTATCATAGCTAAAACAAAAGCTATGAATAAATGCCTTTGGTTTAAAACAAAAACAAAGAAACACCAAGGACCAAGAAAAGCCTCTAACCAAAAGGAAGAAAATGTTCCAGAAAGGACAATCCAATCATTTTTTAATGGATAGTGAGTTTTAGAATAAAAGACTAAGAAAAGGAAAATACACTGCAGGAAAATTGAAGAACAGGTTCATGGCAAATATCATCAACATGGCAGTTCCCCAAACAGCATTCTCATTTTATAAAATGTACAAGCAAGCTAAGGCTAATTCTCTAAGTCCTTATTAACGTTTTAATTTCAGTGTTCCTTGGAAAAGGGAATTTGGTTATCTGGCAATGGCTGTTGCAAAAATTAACTAGAACGGATGCTTTGCTAAAAGGAGAATCAAACAGCAATGTGGAGTGTTTAGTTCAGTGAGCCAGAGCCAGAGCTCTTTTATATGGTATAAATTCTTTCTTTCTTTGATCTTATGAGAAGTTGAACGTAGTAACGTATGTCTTAACCTGCAAGAAAAAAGCCCTTCCTTTTAAAAATCAAGACAAAGTAACTTTAAGCAGTGATAGAAATGAAGGCTAACTATTGGGAAAAAACACGATAATGAACTATAAAATATGTAATGGAAGAGTCTGTCACCATGCAGAATCAATGTCAAAGTCATATCTACTAAACTATGTCATCCTTCTATCAAAAGTAATTTAGAAATAATTAAGTGGATCATCAAAGTATTACTCTATCTGCCCTTCACTATGAGGGCAGACTGTGTAACTCATTACCAAATTTTCTTAACCCAGCATAGTCCTCATTTCTATTTTTATGCATCTATTAAGATCTTACATATTCCTCATAGTCATAACACATGAGGATATTGCATGCATTTCTTCAAGATTTATGATTAGGATGATAATCATGTTCAGACACTGTCTGAGCAATACCAAGAAAAATGAAATTGCAAAGTTCAAATGCAAGGCAACTTGATTTGTCCACCCTTTGCCTAGTTATAGTTGGTGACTTTTTATGATGTTGCAGTCTGCACATTTATTGCTTCACACATTTAGTAAATTTTATTCAGCACATACTCTGGTCAGGCACTATGTTAGATGCTGGGAATTCAAAGACAGAGGAATATATGATTAATTTATCCACTTTCAAGTTTTTTCCCAATGTAGTATAAGCTAGCTTGGAGAAGGAACATTTCCCTTACCTCTTCTGTCCTCCAAAAAGTACCACAGAAGTCCCAGTGTTTTCTTCTACAAGCAATTGTTTCTATGTATTACATGTCTTGCAGCTCATTTACCCACCTAAAGTTCCCTTAAATATCTCCCAAACTTAGCCTACTTGTTTGACTGAACCACTTTAAATACTTGGCATTCTCCTGAGTAGAATGTGCTGATGTCTTCTATAAACTGAAAAGTTCTACTTCCTCTGTCCTCTCTCAACAGCAGTGAGCAGCCAAGTTCTCTTGGGGCAAGATTAGAAGAAACTACCTTAAAATAAATAGAGATACAAGCATTGGTTTGATTCTCAAGCTAAACCAAAGGGGAAATAGTTGGCACATTTTATCATAGAAATTATAATGAAAGTAAAAAGAGTCCAAACTAATTCTCCTTCCATCTAGCTATAAATTAATAGTGAAAGACACTATTATAGGCCTTTTGTTCTCATAAATATTTAAAATATCATGATCAGATGTACTTGCTATTTCTCTTTTAATTGAGTTGTGAGAATCCAATTACTGGAGTGGGTTAGCACTTCTGATTATCTCAAGGGGTTTTTCTGCTATCAGCTACCCCCAAAGAAGCTGACCTCCAGTGGTTTGATGATGTGAGATATATGTTGATTTCAAATAAATGCCTATGAAAATGCCTAAGAAAACATCTGAAAAGATGTTTGTATGAATGTGGGTAATATTATTTTTAAAAGAATCCTATTTTCAAGACATGTCCTTTATAAAATCATTTATATTTGGAAATGTATGATCCAGATATGTTTGAGTATTATAGTTATGTATCTCAGATCTTCAATTTCTTCTCTCCCACTCTTAAAAATAAATTGAATGTGAAATTTTACTGTTCTCTCTTGAATAACTTAGATGTTGAGGAGCTTTAGTCTTGCTTCAGCACTCCCATATCCTCTGCACATGTCTCTGCAATCACATTTACCACACTATTTGTCATTTTTAGTTCTCATCTCCCTCATCAAAATGTGAGCTACTGTAGAGCAAGGAATATGGTTTATTCATCTCAATGCCCTCAGTACCTAGCAGAGTGTGGGACCAAAAAGCCAAAGCATATTGGATAAGAAAGGAAGAAAGAGTGGTGGTGGAAATGGAAGGAAGGAAAGATGAAGGAATATAACAACTATATGTGGAAAACTATTTTAATAAATGTGGCAAGAGATGGTTAGAAACTCTATTGTGAAATCTGCTTGGCAAAATCAATACGTTTGTTAAAAGATTAATATGATATACTTGTCAAAGAGGAGAAAACACTCAGGAATAGAAGACAACTTCAAACATAATACTTTGAGTGGGGCTAACTTTAGTAAACTTTTAAAAAGCATAGGAGCTCAAAAATGCTAATTCAATTAGGAAGCCTCAAAAATAACAATATGATCTTGGATTATAACAACTTGACATCACAATTTATACTTGCTATGGCTATCTAAAACTAATAATCACACATATGATCCAGCAATTCCACTTCTGGGTAATTATCCAAAAATTGGAATCAGGATCTCAAAGAGATATTAGCAATGTTATTACCAATGTTCATTGTAGCACTATTCACAATAGCCAAAATTTGGAAACATCCTAAATGTTCATGAATGGGTGGATGGACAAGGAAAATGTGGTCTATACATACAACAGACTATTTTTGTCTTTTTTGAGACAGGGTTTTGCTCTGTCACTGATATGGTTTGGCTCTCTGTCCCCATCTGAATCCCATCTCAAATTGTAATCCCCATGCGTTGAGGGAAGGATCTGGTGGGAGGTAATTGGATCATGGGGGTGGTTCCCCCATGTTGTTTTCGTTATAGTGAGTGAGTTGTCATGAGATCTGATTGTTTAAAAGTTTGGCACTTCCCCCTTTGCTCTCTCTCTCCTGCCACCATGTTAAGACATGCCTTGCTTCTCCTTTGCCTTCCACCATGATTGTAAGTTTCCTGAGGCCTCCCCAGCCATGCAGTACTGTGAGTCAATTAAATCTCTTTTTTTTTTAAATAAATGACCCAGCCTCAGCTAGTTATTTATAGCAGTGTAAAAATGGACTAATACAGTCACCCAGGTTGGAGTGCAGTGGTATGATCATGGCTCACAGCAGCCTTGAAGTCTTGGGCTCAAGCAATCCTCCCACTTCAGCCTTCTGAGTAGCTGGGACTGTAAGTGTGTGCCACCACACCCTGCAATGGACTATTAATCAGCCTTAACAAAAGAAGGAATACTGTAATATGAGACATAATGAAAGAATCTGGACATTCTGCTGGGTGAAATAAGCCAGTCACAGAAGGACAAATACTTCATTATTTCATTAGTAAGAGGTATCTAAAATAATCAAACTCACAGAAGTAGGGAGCAGAATGGTAGTTGACAGGGCCTGGAGAGAGGAGAAAATGGGAGAACTGCTACTCAAGGGACATAATCTCACTTAGGTAAGATAAATAAGTTCAAGAGATCTGCTGCACAACAGTGTCTCTATAGTTAACAACACTGTATTGTATATTTAAGAATGTGTTAAGAAGGTAAATCTCATGTTAGGTACTCTTATCCAAATAATTTTTTTAAAAAAATAAGAAAAAGGAGTTTCCCTTATAGGAGACTTGAGAGGGAGCTGAGTTTAAAGAGAACTTTCACTTTTGCTCTACATTTTGTTTGAATATTTTGTCCACTCACAAATGCTCAGTCCCTAGTGCAATATCTGGCACATGGCAGTGACAAATAAAGACCTATTCAATAAATAATTAAAAAAAAATAGTTACAGGTTTTTTGACTTGACCAAGATGTTGGACCAAGAGGTTGGATCCTATTTTCCTTGAATTAGAGTGAGACTGTTTCTCATTAATAACCAAGAGAATGCAGCAGAAGTGGCACTGAGTGACTTCCAAGGCTAGGTCAAAAATGGCAACGCAGTTGCCATCTTGTTTACTGGAATATCTTGAGCCCTGAGCCTACATGTAACTCTGACTACTCTGAAAGCAATATACTGGAGTGGGTATGTGGAGATGCTCAGTGGACATCCCAGATGATCTCCCAGCAAACACCCTCCATCAACTGTTTGCCGCAGGAGTGAACCATCTGGGACTTTCATTCCATGGATCCTTTATATAAATGTAGCCCCAGTTATGCAGTTGGCCAGTGTATTAGTCTGTTCTCACACTGCTAATAAAGACATACTCGAGACTGGGTAATTTATAAAGGATAGAGGTTTAATGGACTCATAGTTCCACACTTCTGGGGAGGCCTCACAATCATGGCGGAAGGCAAAAGAGAAGCAAAGGCATATCTTACATGGTGGCAGACAAGAGAGTTAGTGCAGGGGACCTCCCATTTATAAAACCATCAGATCTCATGAGACTTATAAACTACCACGAGAACAGTATGGGAGACACTGCCTCCATGATTCAATTATCTCCACCTGGCCCTGCTCTTGATACATGGGGATTATTACAATGCAAGGTGAGATTTGGGTGGGGACACAGCCAAACCATATCAGCCAGGATCAATTGTATAAGAGATTTTTTTTTTTTAATTGAGACAGAGTCTCACTCTTGTCTCCCAGGCTGGAGTGCAATAGCACGATCTCTGCTCGTTGCAACCTTCACCTCCCAGGTTTAAGTGATTCTCCTGCCTCAGCCCCCCAAGTAGCTGGGCTTACAGGTGCATGCCACCACACCCAGCTAATTTTTATATTTTTAGTAGAGATGGGGTTTCACCATGTTGGCCAGGCTGGTTTCAAACTCCTGACCTCAGGTGATCCACCCGCCTTGGCCTCCCAAGTGCTGGGATTACAGACGTGAGCCACCATGACCGACCCTGTGTGAGGGATTCCAAGCAAAAACTGTCCAGCTGAACCCTTCCTGAATTTATGATCACAAAATTGTAAGCAAAATAAAATAGTTGTTTTTTGAAAATTAATTTATCAAATTAATTTATATTTTATTTGACAAATGGAAAATGACAAATATTTATAGTATGCAATATGACATTTTGAAATATCTTTACATGTGGAATGCCTAAATTAAACTAATCACATATGTATTACCTCACATATGTATCAGTTTCTGTGATGAGAACACTTCAAATCCACTCTACTTAGTGATTTTCAGGTGTTATACAAATTTTATGGGAGACTATTGTTTTGAACTACCCTCCTGCATTAGACACCAGCAGACTAGACTACCTGTGCTAAGTGCCATGTGATCAAAATGAACTTTGAAATGGGCCAGTTTTCAAAACAAACAAAATAAAACAAAATCCAAACAGGAGATTCCAGTCAACTGCGGTCAATGTAACTAGCGAGTTTCCTCTATTTTAACCCTATGAGTAAAGTAAGTTTGAAATGACCAATCTGTTTTTTGTTCCCAGGTTCTCATTTCTTCAGCCTTTTCTGTCTATAAAGCCAAACTCTTCTGCTCAGCTCATCGAAACACTCATTCTGTTTTATAGAGCAAGATGTTGCTCAGTGCTAGAATCACAAATAAAAGCCAATTAGATCTTTAAAGATGTGGTAATTTTGTGTTTTGTCAGTTTTTGGTGACCATGACTAGACCCAAAGAACACTGCATATGATTCCTGAGGCTCCTCGAGGAATGTGAGAGGCACCACTGTCCCCTTTTAAGGTCCTTCGTCTTCCTCATGGAACCCCAAAAGCTGGACTCTGCTCTTTTTGCATTGAGCCATTGATCATTTTGGCTTTTGAATCCAAGGTTAGTTTGTGCTATGAGAGAGCACATGACCCTTTGGAGTTTTGTGTGACTGAGTCACTGGAAAGAGCTATGGTTTTTCAGGTATCTGACCGTGGTTGCAGTCGGTGGCTGTTACTTCATGAGGTGTACAGCTCTCGCTTTCAGAAATGCTCAGGAATTTGGGCTTATTCTTCTTTGTTACTTCTTGCATGCATAGGTAGGGGAAAATAGTTCACTAAGTTGATCAAGAGCAATTTCAGCACCAAAGCCACAATTTAACTGGTGGGCATGGATCGGGCACCTAAAAGCTGCTTAGAGTGTATACTACCTAAAAATAAGATTGCCATCCTGGGATGAGCTGGATTATGGAATGGGTTAGTTTTAACACTAGGTTATCTGTCATCCTCGAGAAGATGTCTGTGCAATGAAGGAAACTTGTGAAAGTATTACACAACTTAACCTAATGATGTTTTCCTCCTTAAGCTTTTATCTTGGCTCCAAGAGACTCAAAATCAATGTAAAAATGGTATGCTTTTTTTTTCCTTCTTAAATTATAAATTTATTTATTTATTTTTCTAGTCTAATTTTTTTCCATAAGATATTGGGGTACAGGTGGTATTTGGCTACATAAGTAAATTCTTTAGTGGTGATTTGTGAAATTTTGGTGCACCCATCACCCAAGCAGTATATATTGCACCACATTTGTAGTCCTTTATCCCTCACCCCTCTCTCACTCTTCCCCCCAAGTCCCCAAATTTCATTGTATCGTTCTTATGCCTTTGTGTCCTCATAGCTAGATCCCACCTATCAGTGAGAACATATGATGTTTGGTTTTCCATTCCTGAGTTCCTTCACTTAGAATAATAGTCTCCAATCTCATCCAGGTCACTGCAAATGCCATTCATTCATGCCTTTTCATGGCTGCATAGTATTCCACTGTATAGGGTTTCTTAATTTCTAAAACACCAAGTATTCCAACTTCTGGCTGTACCTGACGTTACATGTATAAGTATTAGGCCCTGGAAGGTGCAAATACTTACAAAAATGGCATCCTAAAGATAATTTAAAATTATGATGGTCTTATTTGGAATGTTCAGATGAACAGTGTTGTACCATCTTCTCAAGTGTCCTTGAGAAGCACGCTTAAAAATGAGTGCTCCTAGCCAGGCTCAGTGGCTCACACCTGTAATCCCAGCACTTTGGGAGGCTGAGGTGGGTGGATCACTTGAGGTCAGTAGTTCGAGACCAGCCTGGCCAACATGGTGAAACCCCGTCTCTACTAAAAATACAAAAATTAGCCAGGCATGGTGGCAGGTGCCTGTAATCCCAACTACTTGGGAGGCTGAGGCAGAAGAATCACTTGAACCCAGGAGGTGAAGGTTGCAGTAAGCCAAGATCGCACCACTGCATTCCAGCCTGGGCAACAGAGTGAGACTCTGTCTTTAAAAAAAAAAAAAAAAAAAAAAAAAGGTCTCCCAAATTAGACCCACCCAAGAATACTGATTAATGTGTAGAAGTTTCTAAAAGCTTGTCATTTTTTTTCTTTAAAAAACTCCTTATGAAAAGCAAATAAAAAGCTTAAGCAACTCATTGATAATGAACACTAAATCTGCCAGCCTTTTCATTTATTTACTATCTTACCTTACAGGCAAAAGGAAAGCTAGATGAAATGTTAATAAAAGTTAGGCCCTCAGATTAAGCAGTTTGCTTCTTCTTCAGTGCTGTCCATTCTGAGTCCAGGCATAGAAAATGCTTTGTCTGCCCTATTCATTAATGGGCTGCGCTCTATACTTAATCTAGTTAAGGAACAGAAACTAAGTTGAAAAGCCACCTTTCTGGAATTTAGCTGGTTATTTTGAAACTCTTGTAACAAATATACATATACAAAGAAAAATCACTAGAAATGCTTATTATGGGAGAAAGCATTGGTCTAAACTTCACTTTTTATCATTTTTGTTTTCACTGGGCTTTCTACCTACACCCTTCTTTGTTTTGGCAAATAATGGTATTTAGGTCTAAAATCTAAGTTCTGTGATTTTGAGATGTCAGTTTTCTATCTTGTTTCATCTAAGAGCCATCTTTTTTGGAAATGCAAATTTAGGGTCCAAAATTTTTAGATGGCCATTAAAAATGGGATAAATAAAATTGACAGTGATGAGGTTGACACAAAGGTTTAATTCATCAAAGGTTGATGGGCCAGAGGAACACTCGCTGGTCCTTCAACATTACAGGGCCCCAAACCAGTCCACTCTATTTACCCCAGTTCAGAGAAATCTAAAAATCTAAAAAGGAAGGCAAAGAGTACAATAAGCAACCCAGCTAACAATCACATAAAGCAATAATCAGGTAGGTCAATCAAGGATAAAACAGGTGTTCCATAACTCAGCCACTCTGCTGAAATCGGTAAAATGATCAGGGGATAAAGAGAGAGAGATCCTTATTGTTAATGATTCTGGGGAAAGATGAATGGTCTTTGAAGAAGAGGTGATGGTTTTTGACAGTCTGTCTGGGTGTGGTATCTGACCTCTCCTGTGATAAGAGTTAATCTTCCCTGGCTGATGAAACTCCCCAGGGAGAGGATTGATGACAATCAAGTTCTTTTTAGAAGATCTGTCTTCAGGCAGATGAGGGGGATTCACAGAAAGCCTCTCCTTGCATTTTGCTGTTTTTTAAGTGCCTTCAGCTCGAAGTAATCAATATACCAAACTGACATATTTGGGGTGGCGTTTCCTGAACTCCTTCAATGGCTAGCTTTGTTTAATGAGCTATTCAAGCATACTTGTTAAGAATGAGAAAATTTGGTGAATGTAAATGGAATAAATGTTTATAAATAAACTTTTTATATTTTCAAAAATCTTTTTGAAATCTTAAATTTATGTTAAATTAAATAAATATTCATAAAATTAGTCATTTCTAAGTAAAATACTGAAAAATTAATTGCTAAACATAAATTTAAATATATATTTTGGCATCTTATTTTTATGTAATATAGAGAATCTCTATACTCAAATATATTTGGCTTTGGTAATGAACATAAAAAATTGGCCAGGCGTGGTGGCTCATGCCACCGTGAGGCATGGGAGGCTGAGGTAGGCAGATTGCTTGAGCCCAGAAGTTCATGATCAGCTTGAGCAGCATGGCAAAATCCCAATTCTACAAAAAAAAAAAAAAAGAAAGAAAATCAGCTCCTTGTGGTGGCATGTGCCTGTAGTCCCAACCACTCTGGAGGCTAAGCTGAGAAGACAGCTTGAGCCTGGGAGGTTGAGGCTGCGGTGAACTGTGATGATGCCACCACACTCCAGCCTGGGTGACAGAGTGAGACCCTGTCTCAAAATTAAAACAAATATCATATTATGACATAGTGTTCATCTATAAAATGCTAATGTAAAACACAATGCCTATTAGTTTTCATCAGAAATTAAGATTTCTAAGAATTAAAATAATTCTAATTAATATATGTAGTTAAAGTTATTAGAAATAATGAGGGAGGCAACTCTGTATGCAGAGTGTACAAAGAAAGAAAGATGTGTATTTGGTAAGAAAAGTTACTGAAAGGCATGAGAACTTTTTTTGGTCATTTTTGAGGAAAAGAGTAATCTGTCTATTTTGGAGGTTATTTAAAGTTTGTTTCACAATGAGTGAAGGAAAAAAGAAGTGATACAGATAAAATTGAATTGATAGAGAAAGTAGGGGGAGAGTGAGAGGGAGAGGAAGAGGAAAGAAACCATTTCATGAATTTTCAATCATTGAATGGATTTGTTATAAGGGTTTTAAAAATGAGCCTTAAAACCAAAAGTACACTGGTACGAAACTAGAAGTTGGTTTTTCTCTGTGTTAAAATGACAGTTTTCTTGGGGTTATTGATTTGAGAGTGTAAAGTGTTTTTTCCCTTTAGGTAATTGGCCTAGGAAACAAAGACTTTATGTTTTATCAAGATAATTTATTGTGTTTCATGTTGTCATAGTCTTTTGATTACTTAAGAAAATAGAAACTTCTCAGTATTAAAACAGCTAAATTTTTGTTGGCAAATATGTAACTTTTCTATATTTGTCTTAAACTGTTTCACAATATCTGATAATCTTGTTAAATTAAGTGTTTTAAACCTTTTGACATTTTTGACAAAATTCCTAAAATCAGGTTATAAGTAAGTCTTTTTGACCTTGAACTAACTTTGGACATTTCAGAGAGCCCCTGAGACATCTGAAAATATGTATGAATGTAATTACATTTATTTTGTATGTTAAATTATATGGAAAGCATTTTCAAATAAGAAATGATGTTTAACTTTGAGTTATATTTGTATCAATATATTATTAATATATGTTCCAGGAACTATGGGAAATTTTTAGAAAGCTGATATGTTATCAGTCATTACTTTGGTTATGTTAAAATGTTGTATGCCACAGAAATAACAAAATTTCTTTGTTATTTGTATCATTATTATCATGAATTCTCATCATACTTTTAGCCGTGACCATTTTGTCTTATCATCCACAGACAGCTAAGTGTTTTCTGAAAGCATTTGCAAGCAACTATAATACGAAAGTGCTTCAGCATTAAGAGGACTCATGGGAAGGACTCTTAACAAGTACAGGTTTCTTATAACTTTGAGATTATACCATTGGACTGGGTAAGAATTTCCAGAACTCTAATGAAAGTGATGACTTTATGAAACTACTATTCCAAAATCAAGCGAATAAAAATTAATTGCATGACACAAAACAAACTGATGAAGATAATGTTTTATGAATTTTTATTTCCAGAATTTGCTGCTTCTTTTAGTTTGTTTGCTTTCCAGATTTAAAGAAACTATGTTTTTCTTTTAAGCCATCTATAGGTTATAAGCAATTTGGTAAGTATGCTTTCATGAACAAAAATGGAAACATTTTTTTCTCCCTACCTGATCCTTCCAAAATTTGGAAACTTTTGTAAATATTCTTATTTTTATGGCAATAATATCATTTGTACAAGTTCAATAAGAATGTCCTGTCTTTATAACAGGATATAATTGGAAATACTGTTATATTACCAAGATTTTGACTGGAATGTGATCATTGAGAATGTACATAGTATGCCTAGCTTCAGAGGTTCCAAGCCTTATAGTGAGTGAGAAAAAAAATGTCACCTCCTGGCAGACCCAAGAATCTCAAGATATTTTAGAGACCTAAATAAGAGTGAAATTTACCTAAATCTGTATGTACTGGAGGTGAAGTCTGATGTCTGCCTTGGTTTGAACCCATAGCCTTGAGACTATTTTAAAAGTCCAATCTGAGATTCTTTATAAAAAGTGCCAGCAAAGCAAACTTAAAAGGAGCCCATATGGTTAATTGCTATTCTTGCTGCACTTATGAAAATAATCAGCCAAAGTTTAATGAGACCAAATTAGTCTTACTCTAATTATCATTGGTAGAAATGGGAGTGACTATAGAGAGAAAAATTATGTCTCAGAAGAAAAACTATAGTGTATCTGTTATTAGATTGTATCCCTGTTCATTGTTTTTGAGTTTTCATTATCTACCTGAAGATAATATTATCTACCTGTAGACTGGACTGGATCCTGAATTCTTTTAGTTTCCATGGATATCTGGTGGCAACTCTTCAACTAAGAATAAGACTTCAGTTTCTGAAGCCCTATATGCTGAGACTGGACAATCTGATGTAAATTTCAAGGGACAAACCTTGTGCTTGATACGTGAGCCATTTGGATAGTTCACTGAAACATTCAATGTCATAATCAGAGTCATTCAAAATGCAAACTCTCATGAGAAGCTGATGACATCACACTGTGGACAGCTTTACCCAAGATGTTGGAACAATATTCCTCATCATAATGAGGATTCTTCCCTTCTTATTTTTGCCCTTGCTTATGTCTACCTCCTTCACTTGGCAGGATAATGCTATAATTAAAATTTCAGAGTCAGTAGCTTCTGGATATAACTTGACAAAGTGTGAGATTTGTCATGCCGAACCCAAATCTTTACATGACCTAAGAGATCCTTTAGTCCACCTAGTGAGTAACTTTAGCAACATCCCTAATGCAACTGTTGTTGAAATTGTACTGTGGTCCCTTTTATAGTGTCAGACCTCTAGACCCACTTGTTCTCATTCTTTGTTTTAATTTAACCCAGTCATGGAATACTATATAATAGTATTGCTACCGACTGGCTGAACAGGAAAGAAAAATATGTGCAGTTGCCAATGCTTCTTATTACACATGGAAAAATATGTTGGGTATTATGGTTGCAAAAAATTAATTAGCAGGCTACTTGGTTAAAATGGGTAGATTCCTCATATGGCTCATTCTTTGATGCATTTAATTTTAGTTGGTTTGGTTCATTGGGATCCTTGGTAAGGGGCATACTTCAAACACGTGGTATTGCTCTTCTAATATTCATAATGGCTGGTTCTATATTTTTGCAGTTGCGAATTGTGCTGCTATAAACGTGTGTGCAAGTGTCATTTTCATATAATGACTTCTTTCCCTCTGGGTAAATACCCAATAGTGAGATTACTGGATCAAACAGTACTTCTACTTTTAGTTCTTTAAGGAATATCCATATTGTTTTTCATAGTGGTTGTACTAGTTTACATTCCTACCAGCAGCGTAAAGGTGCTCCCTTTTTACAACATACCTGCCAATATATATATTTTTTTATTTTTAAATTATAGCCATTCTTGCAGGAGTAATGTGGTATCTCATTGTGGTTTTCATTTGTATTTCCCTGATAATTAGTGATGTTGAGCATTTTTTCATATGCTCGATGGCCATTTGTATATCTTCTATTGAGAATTGTCCATTCATGTCCTTAGTCCACTTTTTGATGGGATTATTTGTTTTTTTCTTGCTAATTTGTTTGATTTCCTTGTGGATTCTGGATATTAGTTCTTTGTTGGATGCATAGTTTGCAATAATTTTCTCCTACTCTGTGGATTGTCTGTTTACTCTGCTGATTGTTTCTTTTGCTGTGCAGAAGCTTTTTAGTTGAATTAAGTCCCATCTATTTATCTGTGTTTTTGTTGCATTTACTTTTGGATTTTTGGTCATGAACTCTTTGCCTAAGCCAATGTCTAAAAGAGTTTTTTTGATGTTATCCTCTATTATTTTTATGGTTTCAGGTCTTAGATTTAAGCCTTTGATTCATCTTGAGTTGATTTTTGTATAAAGTGAGAGATTAGGATCCAGATTCATTCTTCTACATGTGGCTTGCCAATTATCTCCACAGCATTTGTTGAATAGGGTGTCTTTTCCCCATTTTATGTTTTTATGTTTTGTTTGCTTTGTTGAAGATCAGTCATCAGCTTCTCATGTGAGGTTGCATTTTGAATGACTCTTGTTATGACACTGAATGTTTCAGTGAACCATCTGAATGGCTCACATATCAAAAACATTTCATCTTTTTGTTTGCTTTGTTGAAGATGAGTTGGCTCTAAGTATTTTGCTTTATTTCTGGGTTCTTTATTCTGGTCCTTTGGTCTACATGCCTATTTTTATACCAGTACCATGCTGTTTTGGTAAATAAAGCCTTGTAGTATAGTTTGATGTCAGATAATGTGATGCCTCCATATTTGTTCTTTTTGCTTAGTCTTGCTATGGCTATGTGGTCTCTTTTTTGTTGTTGTTTCATGTGAATTTTAGGATTGGTTTTTCTAGTTCTGTGAAAAATGTTGATGGTCTTTTGATGGAAATTGCATTGAATTTGTAGATTGCTTTTGGCAGCATGGTCATTTTCACAATGTTGATTCTACTCATACATGAGCATGGGATGTGTTTCCGTTTGTTTGTGTTGTCTATGATTTCTTTCAGCAGTGTTTTCCTTGTAGAAACCTTTCACCTCCTTGGTTAGGTATATTCCTAAGTATTTTTATATTTTTGCAGTTGTTGTAAAAGGAATTGAGTTTTTGATTTGATTATTTGATTCTCAGCTTGGTCATTATTGGTGTATAGCAGTGCTATTGATGTGTATACATTGATTTTGTATCCGGAAACTACTGAATTCATTTATCAGATCTAGGAGCTTTTTGGATGAGTCTTTAGGGTTTTCTAGGTATACAATCATATCATCAGTGAACAGTGACAGCTTGACTTCCTCTTTACCAATTTGGATGCCCTTTATTTATCTTTTCTGGTTGCTCTGGCTAGGACTTCCGATAGTATGTTGAATAGAAGTGGTGAAAGTGGGCATCCTTCTTTTGTTCCAGATCTCAAGGGGAATGCTTTCAACTTTTCTTCATTCAGTATAATGTTGGCTGTGAGTCTGTCATAGATAGCTTTTATTAACTTGTGGTATGTCCCTTCTATGTCGCCTTTGCTGAGGGTTTTAATCATGAAGTGCTGGATTTTGTCAAATGTTTTTTCTTCAACTATTGAGACGATTGTATGAATTTATTTTTAATTCTGTGTATCTGATGTATCACATTTATTGACTTGTGTATGTTAAATCATCTCTGCATCCCTGAAATGAAACCCACTTGATCATAGGGGATTATCTTTTGATATGCTGTTGGATTCAGTAAGCTATTATTTTGTTTAGAATTTTTGCATCTATGTTCATCAGGGATATTGGTCTGTAGTTTCCCTTTTTTGTTATGTCCTTTCCTGGCTTTGGCATTAGAATAATACTGGCTTCACAGAGTGATTTAAGGAGGATTCCCTCTTTCTCTATCTTTTAGAATAGTTTTAATAGTATTGGTGCCAATTCTTCTTTGAATGCCTGAGAGCATTCAGTTGTGAATCTATCTGGTCTTGCATGTTTTTGTTGTTGACATTTTTTTTAAATTACTGTTTCAACCTTGCTACTTTTTAATGGTCTATTCAGAGTTTCTATTTTTTCCTGATTTAATCTAGGAGGGTTGTATGTTTCCAGGCATTCATCCAAATCCTCTAGGTTTTCCAGTTTGTGTGAATGAAGGTGTTCACAGTAGCCTTGAATGATCTTTTGTATTTTTGTGGTATCTGTTATAATATCACCCATTTTATTTCTAACTGAGCTTATTTGGATCTTCTCTCTTCTTTTGTTGGTTAATCATCACTAATGGTCTAACAATTTTGCTTTTCTTTTCAAAGAACCAGCTTTTTATTTCACTTATCATTTGTATTTTTTTTCAATTTCATTTAGTTCTTCAATCTTTTTTATTTCATTTCTTCTGCTTGGTTTAGGTTTGATTTGTTCTTGTTTCTACAGTTACTTAGATTTTCTCTTTTTGAACTCTTTGAGACTTTTTGATGTAGGCATTTAATGCTATGAACTTTCCTCTTAACACTGCTTTTGCTGTATCCCAGAGGTTTTGATAAGTTGTGTCACTATTATCATTCAGTTCAAGGAATTTTTAAATTTCTATCTTGATTTCATTGTCCACCCAGTGATCATTCAGGAGCAGATTATTTAATTTCCATAGTATTCAGGGTTCCCTTGGGAGTTAATTTCCAATTTTATTCCACTATGGTCTGAGAGGGTAAAATTTTGATTTTGATTTTTCTTAAATGTATTGAGACTCGCTTTGTAGCGTATCATATTTGTCTGTTTTGGAGAATGTTCCATATGCTAATGAAAAGAATGCATATTTTGCAGTTGTTGGGTAGAATGTCCTGTAAATATCTTTTAAGTCAATTTGTTCTAGAGTATAGCTGTTTATTTTTTTCTTTGTTGACTTTCTGTCTTGATGACATGTCTAGTGCTGTCAGTGTAGTATTGAAGTCCCCCACTATTATTGTGTTGCCATCTATCTCATTTCTTAGTTCTAGTAATAGTTGTTTTATAAATTTTGGAGCTCCCAGATATGGTGCATATATAATGTCCTTCTTTGTCTTTTTTTTTAACTGTTGTTGCTTTAAAATCTGTTTTGTCTGATGTAAGAATAGCTACTCCTGCTTTCTTTTGGTTTCCATTTGCATGGAATATCTTTTTCCACCCTTTCACCTTAAGTTTATGTGAGTCATTATGCATTAGGTGAGTCTCTTGAAGACAGCAGACACTTGGTTGGTGGATTTTTTTTTTTAATCCATTCTGCCATTCTGTATTGTTTAAGTGGAGCATTTAGGCCATTTACATTCAATGTTAGTATTGAGATGCAAGGTGCTGTTTTATTCATCATGCTAGTCATTGCCTGAATACATTGGGTTTTTTCATTGTGTTATCATTTTATAATCCCTGTGAGATTTATGCTTTAAGGAGATTTTATTTTCATATATTTCAAGGTTTTTATTTAAGATTTAGAACACTTTTTAGTATTTCTTGTAGTGCTGGCTTAGTAGTGGTGAATTCTCTCAGCATTTGTTTATCTGAACAAAACTTTATCTTTCCTTCATTTATGAAGCTTAGTTTTGCTGGATACAAAATTCTTGACTGGCAATTATTTTTAGGAGGCTAAAGATTGGACACCAATCCTTTCTGGCTTGTAGAATTTCTGGTGAGAAATCTGCTGTTAATCTGATAGATTTTCCTTTACAGGCTAACCGATGCTTTTGCCTCACAGCTCTTAAGATTCTTTCCTTTGTCTTGACTTTAGATAACCTGATGACTCTGTTCCTGGGTGATGATAATTTTGTGATGAATTTCCGAGGTGTTCTGTGAGCTTCCTTTTTTTGGATGTCTAGATCTCTAGTGAGGCCAGGGAAGTTTTCCTTGATTATTTCTTCAAATATGTTTTCCTAACTTTGAGGTTTCTCTTCTTCTTTAGGAACACTAGTTATTCTTAGGTTTGGCTGTTTAACATAATCCCAGATTTCTTGGAGGCTTTGTTCATTTTTTCTGGTTCTTTTTCCTTTGTCTTTGTTTGATTGGGTTAATTCAGAAGCCTTGTTTTCAAGCTCTGCAGTTCTTTCTTCTAGTCCATTGTTGAAACTTTCCAGCATGTTTTGTATTTAAGACATTCTTTCATTTCCAGAATTTGTGATTGATTTTTCATTATGATATCTCTTTCTCTGTAGCATTTTTCATCTATATCCTACATTGTTTTGTTTTTTAATTTGTTTAAGTTGGTTCTCACTGGTATCTCCTTGAGTAGCTTAATAATCAACCTTCTGAATTCTTTATCTGGCAACTCAGAAATTTCTTTTTGGCTTAGATCCATTGCTGTGGAGCTACTGTAGTCCTTTGGAGATGTTATATAACCTTTTTTTTTTCATATTGCCAGAATTACTTTTCTGATTCCTTCTCATTTTGGTAGGCTATTTCAGTGAAAAAATCTGAATCTCAAGGGCTGCTGTTTATTCTTTTGTCCTATGAGGCGATCCCTTGATGTGATGCCCTCCCCCTTTCCCTAGAGATGGGGCTTCCTGCAAGCCAGACTGCAGTGATTGTTATTGCTCTTCTGGGTCTCGCCACCCACAGGGGCTCCCAGGCTCTGGGATGGTGCTGGAGAATGTCTGCAACGAGTCCTATGATGTGATCCATCTTCAGGTCCCACACCCATGAATACCAGCACCTGCTCTGTGGGAGATTTCAGGAGAGTGAAGTAGACTCAGTGAAAGTCATTGGTTGTAGATAAGTTTAGGGTGCTGGCTTTCTTGAACGCTGGTTATGGGAGCAGTGAAGTTGTCACATGGACAGACTCAGGACCACTGGTTAGCCAGGATGTTGCAGGCAATGGAATTAGCTTTTGTTTTCTCCTTCCTTAGAGCAGGGTTGTTCTGTCATGAGATGCTGTAATTTCCTAGTTGGTAGACCTCCAGCTAGGAGGTGGCACTTTCAAGAGAGCACCAGAGTTTTTCACCTGTCTTGTGGAATTTGCAGTGGCCTGCCACTTCTTTCAAAGGATCTGTGATTTCTTTTAGCTTTCCTCATATGCTCCTGCAGTGGTTCCTGGAGAAAAAGTCCACAGTGTGTGTCTTCATGTTGTTATGTCTGTCCAAGTGGGAGCTGCATGTCAGCCCTCTCCATTTTTTTTTTGAAAAAAATGAATCCATTGTTTTTTTACAAGTGAGGAAGAATAGCTATATAAAGGAGAACAGTGGTCATAACTACATCATTTAAAATATTTAAAATAGTTCAGTTTTTGACACAGAATTTCTTGATTTAGAAAACAAATCTGAATAATCTTTGGCTAGCTCAACTAGCAAAAACATCTTTAAACATTTGTATGGCTTGTAATATCAGTTACAGTTGAGATATGTGTGATGGATAAACAAGGCGAAAAATAGAAGAATCTTGCATAATAAAGCAGGTAACATGTTAGACAAAACTTAGTAAAAATGCCACCTTAGCCATCAAGCACAGATTATATGAATAACATCATACAGGGACTCCTCAAGATCACTACTGAGGTATAATTCTGAGATAGATATTTTAACCTAGGTAACATATGGTCAGAAACAAAGAAAAAAAATTAATCAAAAAAAGATTCTAAAGGAATATTTTTAAGCCCTACAAAGTCTTTAAGTTGTCTTAAAAATGGCTGAAGGTTTTTTTTATTGTATAGCAGTTTAATATGACGTTTGTGGTAATTAACAGATATTGAAAAATCCTTCCCTTGGCAATCTGGATTTTTAAATGTCTTTTGAAGTTTCAAGCAGCTCACAATATGGCAAAGTCTAGGAATGAATGTTGCATAGATCTTTCCTTCTGGGTAGAGCATTAATTCTGAAAATGAAAGTTTAGGATATTCGGCTTATGTGAATTGGCAGAAAACTAATGTTCTCTGGGGAAATTTTAGAATATGGGCAATAATTGTAATTGTCATAGCTTAGGTTTTATACATATTGTGTTGTAAGCAATGACATTGCAAAGCTATTTAAAGCACTCTCAGTTGCTCAGGCTTTTGCTTCAGTTTTTCTTGCTATCCAGTTCTTACATTTATTTGGGCCTTCTCTGAATGCTTTTCAATTTTGTTCCTTGATTTTTAAAAATAAAATGTTGTTTTAATAAAAGTATTACATACAAAAATATTTGAAAGAAATTAAATGTAAATAGTATTAAAATATATAAAAATGATATTTACTTTATCCCTTTGTCCTGATCCTTACAGACAAGTGTTTTTAACTCATTCAGCTGTTTTCTAAGTATTTTTCTGCATGATTTTAAACAATATGCATATATTTCATTTTCTACCCTTATTAATGAATATTTTCTATTACGGTTGTCAAGGCAAAATAAGCAGGTGGGCATTAACCTGGAGTTTCTGAACCCAGAATTTGTGTGTAAGCATACCAGAATTAACTTGGAAATATTTCTTGTAACTGACTTAAAAAATAAAACAACAACAAAATGAGATTCAGCAAATCTCAAACATCCAACAAGTCAACCAGTTGTGCAACCAGGGACCTCCCATCAGACTATACCATGTAAGACAAATACCTCATCACAGCATGCCCAAATAAGGCAGGCACCTAGCTGTAGCCAATTAGGTGATTCCTCTACTTTGTTTCACGTTTTCCTGCTCATGCTGCTGAGTGGTGCTCTCTGAACCTCTTCTGTTCCTGAGTGCTGACCTATCTAGGAATTGCTCTTGGCTCAAATAAAGTCAGTCAAATTTAATTTGTCTAATATTTTTCTTTTCACATGGTATGTAAGGATTTAACTCACAATTCCTCTTCTCCTTCCTGATCCTTCACATCCTCTCAGTATATCTCAATTTTAGTTAAAAGATTACTCAATATTTTCACTATTTTGACTACATAAATATTGTTCATGCTGAACCAGGAAGAATGCTATGGCTTTTAAAAATTGTTGTGTATTTTCTCTGTAGTTTACAGAAGCCCTCATGTTACTTGTTTGCTTTTCACTTAGTTTTCTTCGAACATCTAATTATTTTTTAATGTTTTCTAATAGTTCTTTAAATGCCTCTCAGTATAATTTTTTTGACAGTCAAACATAAGAGATGAGTTATTAATTCCAAGTGTTTTTCCTGGAAACAGATTTTATGCTCTTATCTGAACAGGTTGCTCTCTATGTCAGATAAACATGTCTTGTTTTTTCTGGGAATTGTTCAGTTTTATTTCAGGAATTGTCTTTATTTATATCTTTTGTTGATTATTTTTCCCTGAATCTCTTGTATATTATTTTAATTATGATTCAACTGTAAATGAAAGCAAAACTCCCCAGACACTAAATAATGAAAGTTTATTTCTTTTTATACAAAAATAATCATATAAAAAGTAGATAGCTTGGGCTAGTACTGTAGTTTCACAAGTATCAGGCACCTAGGCTTCTATTTTGCTTCTCTGCCATACCTATCATATTGCCTCATGCGCCAAGAGAGTTGCTCAATCTCCATCCATCATGTCTTCATTCCAACCAATATTGAGAAGAAAGGGTGGAAAAAAGTAAATCTCATCTTTTAAAAATACTTTTCTTATATTTCTTTAGCCAAAATAGTTCCTTGGTTGTCTCAACTTGTGAGGAAGTTTATAAATAAGTTATTTTACTTGAACTGAAATATTTCCATCTAAAATTTGAAATTATATTACTAAGTACAATGCCTATAATGGGTATTGAGAGTCAGCTACCACATCTGCCATAATCAGCTTCATTGGGAGAAAGAGGAAGGTATCAAGAATGGGCAGAGGGAAAAGTCACACTGTGATATAGGCTGGATGACAGCCTAAACCAGTTCCATGGGAAGGTTGGAGCTAAAATAGCTCATCAGGGATGTTGCACTTGGGGCCTAAGTAGATGGGCCTTTATATTCCTGTGTCTATCAATCACTAAGTGTGGATCCCTCTAGGAAACATATGATCTTGGGTGAAGCAATTCTCTTTAACTAAGGCAATCTCTGAAAAGGCTGACAGTAGTCTCTGACAGCCCTTTATAAAGGGCAGCCAAAATGAAGGGTGATATATTTTGCATCTGTATCCAAATCCCATCCAAATCTCATGTTGAAATGTAACCACCAATGCTAGTGGGGATTGGTGGGAGCTGATTGGATCATGGGGGCAATTTCTCATGGCTTAGCACCATCCCCCTTGGTGCTGTCATGCCAACAGTGAGTTCTCACAAGATATGTTTTTTTTAAGTGTGTAGCACCTCCCTCTCTCTCTCTTCCTCCTGCTCTTGACCATGTGAAGTTCCAGCTACCCTTTTGCCTTCTTCCATGATTGTAAGTTTCCTGAGGCCTCTTCAGAAACTGAGGAGATGCTGCCATGCTATGAACAGCCTGCAGAACCATGAGCAAATTAAATCTCTTTTCTTAATAAATTACCAAGTCTCAGTTATTTCTTTATAATACTGCAAGAATGAACTAATTCAGAAAATTGGTACTGAGGATTGTGCCATTGCTATCAAGATACCTGAAAACATGAAAGCAGCTTTGGAGCTGGGTAACGGGCAGAGGTTGGAAGAGTATAGAGGGCTCAGAAGAAGACAGGAAGATGAGGGAAAGTTTGGAACTTCCTAGAGACATGTTAAATGGTTGTGTCAAAAATGCTGATAGTGATATGGACAATGAAGTCCAGGATGAGGAGGTCTCAGATGGAGATGAGGAACTTATTGGGAACTGGAGCAAAAGTAACTTTTGTTATGCAGAAGCAAAGAGAATGGCTGCATTGTGCCCCTGTGGAACTCTGAACTTGAGGGTGGTGATTTAGGGTATCTGGCAGAAGAAATTTCTAAGTAGCAAAGTGTTCAAGATGCAGCCTGCCTGCTTCTAACAACCTATGCTCATAGGCATGAGCAAATAAATTATCTAAAACTGGAACTTACATTTAAAAGGAAAGCACAGTGTAAAAGTTTGGAAGATTTGCAGCCTGGCCATGTGGTAGAAAAGAAAACCCCATTTTCAGGGGAGCACCTCTAGCCAGCTGCAAAAATCTGCACAACTGAAAGTAGGGCAAATGCTGATAGCCAAGACAATGGGGAAAAGACCTCCAAGACATTTCAGAGACCTTTGTGGCAGCCCCTCCCATCACAGGCCCAGAGGCCTTGGAGGGAAGAATGGTTTTGTGGGCTAGGCCCAGGGCCCTACTGCCCTGCACAGCGTTGAGACACTTCTCCCTGCATCCCAGCTGCTCCAGCTCCAGCTGTAGCTCCAACAGGCCCATGTATAGCTCAGGCCACATCTTCAGAGGGTGCAAGCCATAAGCCTTGGTGGCTTCCACATAGTGTTAAGACTGTGGGTGTACAGAGGGCAAGACTTGAGGCTTGGAAGCCTCTGCCTAGATTTCAGAAGATGTATGGAAATGCCTGGATGTCCAGGCAGAAGTTTGCTGCAGGGGTGGAGCCCTCATGGAGACCTCTACTAGGGCAGTGCAGAGGGGAAATGTGGGGTTGAAGCCACTACATGGTGGCCCCACTGGGGCAGTGCCTAGTGGAGCTGTGAGAAGTGGGTCACCATCCTCCAGACCCCAGAATAGTAGATCCACCGGCAGCTTGCACCCTGAACCTGGAGGAGCTTTAGGCCCTCAACATCAGCCCATGAGAGCAGTTGTGGAGGCTGAACCCTGCAAAGTCACAGGGGCAGAGCTGCCCAAGCTTTGGGAACCCTCATCTTGCACCAGCATGCCATGGATGTAGGACATAGTGTCAAAAGAGATTAATTTGGAACTTTAAGGTTTAATGACTGCATTTCTCAGTTTCAGACTTCCAATGGTGCCAATAGCCCCTTTCGTTTGGCTGAATTATCCCTTTTCTAATGAGAGTATTTACCCAATTCCTGTACCCCCATTGCATCTTGGGAGTAACTAACATGTTTTTGATTTTATAGGCTCATAGGTGAAAGGGACTTGCTTTGTCTCAGATGAGAATTTGGACTGTGGACTTTTAATGCTGGAATGAGTTAAGTCTTTGGGAGACTTTTGGGAAGGCATGACTGTATTTTGAAATGTAAAAAGGACATGAGATTTGGGAGGGTCTGGGTGCATAATGATATGGTTTGGATCTGTGTCTCCACCCAAATCTCATGTTGAAATGTAATCCCCAATGCTGTAGGTGGAACCTCGTGGGAGGTGATTGGATCATGGGGGTGGTTTCTCATGGTTTAACATCCCTTTTGGTGCTGTCATGTCATGGTAACAGTGAGTTCTTACGAGATGTTTCTTTAGTTGTTTAGCATCTCTCTCTTTTCTTCCTGTTTTTGGCCATGGGAAGTGCCAGATCCCCTTTCACCTTCTACCATAATTGTAAGTTTCCTGAGACCTCCTCAGAAACCAAGGAAATGCTGCCATGCTTTCTATAAAGTCTGTGGCACTGTGAGCCAATTAGACCTCTTTTCTTTATAAATTACCCAGTCTCAGTTTTTTTTATAGCAGTACAAGAATGGACTAATACAAAGGGGAATCTGGAGGGCTTAGCCTCATTCTTATTACTAACCACATGAGGCTAGTTTTTTCATAATATTTTATCTAACTAGTCTCCTTAGCTAAAGAAACATGGACAAGAGTGCTTGGGTGCAAATTTAAAACAAGACCATTGTGTGAATACAAAGTAATACTATTGAGGCCAATCACAGAGTATCCCTAAGGTCATTGATTATTGTAGAAAACATAATAAAAAATCTTAATCTCTATTTTTAAGTATATCTAAGAATCTATGCTTCCAATAGTACTACTTAGAAAGTATTTCCTGCTCTGAAAACCAGAGCTTCCTCTTTGGGAGCCAGGAGACAAGTTTAATTCTAATTTTAGTGTATTCAGAATAAAAGGCCCATGTTCCTAACCTTGGCAAATTCCTTCTTGATATGCTGGCTATTCAGAGCACCTTCAACTCATCCATATTCCTGAATATACACAGCCATGCATAATAGTTTATGTGTAGCATATTTACCTGTTCTCCCATGGAGCCTGACTATGCACAAAACTCCTTCATATCATCTGAGGACATTTTTAGGGGACATCATCCTGATGTCTTCATCCTCTTTTTCAAGTAGGTTACACTAAATCTGTCTATTACTTCTATTTGCCCACTTTTTTATGTGTCATTGCCTACATTCTCCTATGATTTCTATTTCTTTCAAGATTAGAGGAAACATTAATTGGCTGAACAAAATAAACTATGAATATTTATAATTCCCAAATCCCTAACTTTCTCAGTTGTTTGGGTCCTAAGTAAGATTCTTTTGATTGTTCTGAGGATTTACAGATGAAAATGCAAATAAAGATGGTGAGTGAAGAATGAAGGTGCATTTAATGGTCACTTCTTTGTCTATCTAATTCTTTCTTCAGAAGAATTATTCTAATGACCCTTTCCAGTTTTGCAGGTGTAAAAGTACTGGGCACCCATTGTCCCATGGAAATGATATTACAGGATATTTATGGGCTTGGGAAAGTATGTGCTTGTGAATAATAGCTCTGGAAATGTGGCTCTGATTGCTAGGGCAGAAATAAACAAATGTGCATAAGGACAAAGGACACTTTTCCTTCAAAGTTTAAGCACTGCTCTGATAGATGGAGATGGTCTCACTCACCTTTAATAGCTGGAAAGGAAATCAAGGTCCCAAAAGAAAAGTCAACACTCAAGAGGGGGAAATTTAAGAGCCTAGTAACCTAGGCTCAATGCCTGGACTCAAGTGTTCATGGCAAGAGCTGCATTCAGTTCAATGTTCCACTGGTTGAACGGTCACCTTGTGATCCAGAACATGGTTGCCACTGCAATCTGTTCAGAACTGAGACCAATTAGGGAATCACTGAAGCATAGGACTCTGCAGAACCAGTGTTCAACTCCATCATTGTGGCAGAGATTGAAGCAAGGTAGGCAGAAAGCTGGGTTCTACTAAGAAACCATCTGATTTTTAATTTTTCTATGCCTAGTGTTGGAAAGCAGAACTGACCTTTTTGCAACAAGCCCTATTTGATTATAGAGGTACTGGATTAATTAATTTAAAAATAAAATACATGTGACTGTTATGGAATGAGAGTTGGTATCTCACCTGACTTCATGGGAGTATTACTCTAAGGAAGTAATTATGGTTAAATGAGATCATAAGGGTGGGACCCTGATCTGATATGATTAATGTCCTTGAAAGAAGAGACTAGACATTAAAGCATTCTCTCTGCTCTCTCTCTCTCATTTTCTTAATATCTCCCTCCCTTTCTCTACCAAGTGAGGATACAACAAAAAAGTGGCAATCTGCAAGCGAGGAAAAAGGCCCTTACCAGAAACTGAATTGGCCAAAACCTTTATTTTGGACTTCTAGCCTGGATAATTCTGAACAAATACATTTCTGTTACTTAAGCCATTCAGTCTATGATATTTTGTTATGGCAGCCTAAGCAGACTAATATAGTGACCATATTTGTACTCCGAGCTAAGGAAATAGGTCATAATAGTTACATCAAAATAATGAACTTTTTTCTTGGTTAGAGGTATAGGTATAGGGTTGAATAGGAACAGATGTATACAATACCACAAGCATAAAACTAGAAATTTATTCATAATGTTTGCAGACAATCACATAGAAGCTGAATAAGAATTGTAAAGAAAATTTCTGGGTACTGAGGACCTTGTTATTCAAAGTCAGTTTAATATTGATACAGTTGGCTATCTATTACCCTGGGGTAACTAAGATGACATCTAAAAGGCTAGCTAGAAAAAGGTAGATTTTCTTCTCTGTGGTCTAGATATATTGCCCATACAAAGTCCTGGAATTATTTTTAAGAATCCATATCTCCCTGTGACGACATTCATGCATGACCAGTTTTGTCAGCGTCTTTTATTATTGTTGTTGTAGTTGTTTTAAACAAGTCTATTGAAATCAGTGGTCTCTGATTCAAGTCCAAAAAGATTAAATAACTAGGACACATTACCTATGATCATTTAAGGTGATAGAATACTTCTGCTGTGGGAAGTCATACATAGAATCCTATTATAGTTCAATGCTTCTTTTTTATGTATAAATTAAGATAGACTCATTGTCTTTATTTACTAGTTTAAAAGGGCACTTGGTGATGAGGTAGCCACTTGGAGTGACAGGGAAAATGACCTTTTCAGAATCAATGTAGAAGTCACTGATGTCCAAGAAATGTTACTTTCTAGTTCTCTACCTCTTACCTTTGAAACAGACTAAAAGAAACATTATGCTTCTATTACAACACAGGCAATGTATTATTCATCTCCAGTTAACACTGGGAGAAGGCAATTTAGATTCAAGCCTGATTTCCTGGTCATTTGAAAAGTTTAAGCACTGGAATATATCTTTTGAAGGAGATTTTGAAAATTAATTTTTAGCTTTTCTTTGCTGTCATTCTCCTTCTAGAGTGCTGTTAAGGGACAGGCCTGGCAAAATAAAATCACCACTGAAAAAAAAAAAAAAAGAAAAGCCCCAATCCATTTTTCTGGATAAATTGCAATCTGCTCAATTCTCTCTTTTTATGGCAAGGTCATAGGTTTTTTGTTGTTGTTGTTGTTGTCGTTGTTTTCTTTTTTTGGAGAGGGTCTTGTTCTGTTGCCCAGGCTGGATGGAGTGCAGTGGCACAATGGAGTGCAGCTCACTGCAGCCTTGGCCTACTGGGCACAAACAATCCTCCCAGCTCAGCTTCTCGAGTAACTAGGACTACAGGCATGCACCACCACACCCAGCTGATTTTGCATTTTTGTAGAGATGGTGTTTTGCCATGTTGCCTCAGCTGGTCTCAAACTCCTGGGCTCAGGCAATACTTCCGCCTCAAGTCTCCCAAAGTGCTGGGATCATAGGCATGAGCCACTGTTCCAAGCCATGGTCATAGATTTTAAATCAGTTAGATTTGTATTAAATTTTGAGCTCCACCAAAGCTGTATGACCTTGGGTATGCTTCTTTTACCCTTTTCTGCTAAGTATGTTAGGATGATAGAATTAAATGAGAATAGAAAAAGTTTAGCTCAGGGCCCAGCACACAGCAGCCATTAGATAAATCATAGCTACTGCTGTTGTGAAGATTCTTGCTGCTGCTGCTGACGGTGCAAAGTATGCTATGGCAAGAGTAGAAAGAGCCTCCTGCCTATATTTGTCATATCCACTCAGCAATGATTCTGCCAATATTCATGAAGTGTCTACCATGTGTCCAACACAGAGTTAGACATCTGGTGTTAAGGAATAAACAAAAGAGGCATGACTCCTGTGTTCATTGTGCTTAGGGACCAGTTGAATATTAAATTGAGACATAAACATAAATATAGAAATGCAAATACGGATAAGCTCTCTAATGGAAAATTCACAGTTATATTCTCTAATGGAGAATATAAAAGGGAAATGAAATTTAGCTGAAATGTGTAGAATAGCCTCTCTGAGGATCTACTGCTGAGATCTGAAGAAATAGAATGAGATAATAGGCAAATAAATAGACAAGGAGCCCTCCAGGCTTTGCATGTGCAAAGGCCTTTGAGTAGGGAAGAAATATGTGCACTTGAGGCACTGCCAGAAGACTAGTATGGCTGAAATTTCAATGGAGAGTGGAGAGAAGTGATATGATATGAAGAGAGAGAAGTAGACAGGGGCCTGATCCAACTACTTGTTAAAAGTTGGAGTTTTTTTTCCTAAATGCAATGAAAAGTTGTTTTTAATAGAAGAGTTACACAGTTGAATCTACATGATTTAAAAAACAGTTTGACAGCTTTGTGGATGATGGAGTAGAGAGATGCAAAGCAGAACAGGATGACCAGTTAAGAGCATTTTATTATTCCAGGGAGGATATAACAGTAGCTTAAGGAAGCCTTATGGCTGTAAAGAAGGAGATGAATGAATATTTATACGCATATACACACACATATATATGTGGTAGATACAGCTTTATTTACCCTTATGTTTTTCAATCTGTAAAACAAAAATCAGAAAAGTTAAAATAACTTGCTAAAGATCACACAGGTAGAAAGTAGTGTTACTGGAACCTGACCTTATATTTGGCTTAATTCTAAAGTCCTTACTTTGAGCATTATTCTGTGTTTGCCACCTAATCCAGAGGATGAGTCTAGATTCTACCCCTCTGCACTGGCACCAATGATTCCTTTCAGCTTCTGAATCCTCAGGCTTTGCAGTGACTTAGGAGACAGCGGGTGTGCCAGGCACATCCTTGAGGCAACCGCAGCCAGTTTCCAATCGGTCCCAGTATCAGTATCACCAGTGGCTCTATGCGCTCTCCTCCCGAGTGCTCTAGGGTTTCAGAAAAGTGCCCTTAATAGAAAGTGAGGGGAATTATCTAAGCTTTACCCTCATACATTAGGAAAAGTGGAATGGTAATGGCTTCTATTGTGGGATGCTGCAGATAATTAAACAGAGGAATGAAAATAACTGTTTTGAAAGGAATATGGAAGATCACTGAACCAGAAGTGTTTTGATCAGGTGGCGAATAAGGATTCAGAGGAGATAATTTAGAGAATATGATTTTGGAGAGGGAGGGGAAAGGAGGATAGACGGATATAAAGCATCAAGATCTGGACATGGTTTCAGAGAGGAAACATGGAATAATACATCAGATGTTAGAGTTTGGGAAGTACAGTAATAATTGATACCACTATTGAAAGGTTACTATATGCAATTAAATGGATCATCTCATTTAATCTAATCTCACAATAACACTTATTTACTTGATATCAGAGATACCAAGAAATTTGTCTTGCATCACACAACTAATAAGTGATGGAGTCAGGATATTGAATCTGTCTGTCCCCAAAGGTAAACTCAAATATTAAATTCTCCTGATACTGAGAGCGGGCAGGGCATGAAATGGGTTTTGAATGAATCCTGTCTCTGATTCTTGCCTCTTATCCTAAACAGAAAGGGAGCCATAAAGGAGAGTGCAGAAGAGAGGAAAATAAGTTACCAGTATAGTCTTTGGGATGACCTTTCTTTAGAACACTGAAAGAATAAAGTGAAGGTTGCAAAGCTTGACAAATGGCACAGGCAAATCCTTGAAGCCTGTAACTCTGGTGACAGAATGAGGTTTCTTGGGAGTTATTGCAGTTACCAGACAAACAGTAGTACATTTCAAATCATGCATGGGGAATAATAACAGTGATGAGATTTCTGTTCTTACTGTCCTCTTCTTTTGTGTGACATATTGTGTGGGAGGGGGGAGTTGTGTGGGAGGGGATTTATACTAGAGCTTAGAAATATTAATATGTGTGAGATGCCAACAGTCAGAATTTAACCAATTGCCATTTGGTCAGGGGAGCTTATTTCTAGTGAGAGAATATATTGCCAGAGACAGAAGGAACTTCTACATTCCAGGCCAAGGCTGTTTAAGGAGGAAGATAGTGAGTTGCTGATAAAGTCTGTGAATTGCGTTGATCATGGAGCTACTTGCTAGCTATTGTAATAGTTGCCATTTATCAAGCACTTTCTATGCCAGGCACTATTCTAAGTACTTCTCGTGTTTTACTACCTTATCATTCAATTATCATAAAACCCTGTGTATCAGTTGCTATCATAATAATTCCAATTTTATAGATAAGAAAACTGAGGCAGAGAAAGGTTAAGAAATTTGTCTAAGTTTGTACTGCTAATAGGTATTAGTTAAGATTTGAGCCTAAGAGATTTGCCTGTAGAGCCCATATGTTTAACCATTGTACTATCCTGCCTCTATTGCAAATCCCGCATCTGTTTATTTTCTGAATAATGAGTATGCAGATTAGATTTTCTTTCAAGATCCGCTTCACTTTGCTTATATTAAAAACATTTAAAAACCATTTTTAAGCAGCATTGAAAATTGATTTCAAAAAAGCGTTTTTAGCACAGAGCCCTCTATAAATGTCTTTCTGTCTTATACATGTAAGACAGAACCCTAGATAGAAACTTAGGGAATGAATTACTTATTATAGAAGTAAATGCACAAAATAAATATTAAACTACTTGATAAGAGTAGGTAGAAATTGCCATACTTAATCGTCTAATTCTGTAAAGGTTATTTTTTCTTTTGTAAAAAATTTAGGCTTAACTTTTCTTCTCTGGCCAGGTATACTGGGGGGTGGGTTGGAAATGGATCAAGACTTGATTTAGAGAGTCTTTGCCCTCAAAGCCATGGCCAGTGATGGCATTCAAAGATGAGGCAGGGGCCAAAGAATAAGAGGGAGGCTCACTCCACTAAGGCAGAGAAGGAAAGCCTAGTAGACCACCAGACTGGAGATCAAAAACTAACATGGAAATTGAGAGTCCAGTGTCATGGTAGTTAGCAGGAAGCAGCAGCCAAGGTCGAGAGGAATTAGCGGACCAGTCAGTGCTGCTGCCCCTGCTTTCTGGTGAAGGCTGCCTCTGAGAGTTGTCTGGGAGAGCTGCCTATTTAAAGGGCAGTCATAGGTCAAGTTGAATGTCTGTGGCTCCATTTGGAAAATATGTATGAGTGGAAAGAGAACATGGAGCAGAATGACAATGCACTCTCCTTTAGTCAACTGGCACCATTTTTCCTTCAAAAACTCACTCTTCTCACTGTACATGTTTTTTATCTTTCTTATCTCATCATAGTCACTCTCATTAAAGTCACCTAAACTTTCCTCCCCTATACCACACATGGTAGAAATAAAATTTCTGTCTTTCTTTTCTCAGAGGCAGTTTAATAGCACCCTGCAGATCCAAGTAGGAGACATGAGCTTTTCCAATGTCAGCCAAAAGTATATTAATTCAAATGGGAGTCAAAAGAGGGTTGTCACTGTATTGTTTAAAAGCAAAGGTTTTGCTCAGAAAAACTGGGCTCCAACTACCTCTGCCACTTACTCATGATGTGTCCACTGCCCTCTCTGTGAGGCTTTGGGCAAGGTTATCTGATCAGTTAAATGTTAAACTCTCATTTCAGCTTTGTAAAATTGTTTGCAGAATTGAGTTGGAGAATGCAAATGAGGATTGTGCATAACAGGTACCTAATAGATGGTGGCTGTTATTTTTATTGATATTATTATTATCATTAAAAATGGTCAATAACTGCAAGGTTCAAACAGTAGGCCAGAAAGAACTTACTTAAAGCACTTAATCAATATATTATTATTGTTCTGAAATGCTGCTATTTGCAGAACAGCCTAAGAAGCAGCTTAGAATCTATTAAATAAGGCCACTTTTGTCCTCACTGCATTAAAATTCTCTCTTGCCCTTACATTTAACTATATTTCAAGCAAAGAAAATAACTGTCTTTACCTTGACATAAGGTTGTTTTCTAATTTAAAGTTTTTGGTCCCTTGATGGAATAGAAGAGAGAGAAGACATAATGTATAATGCTTGATTTAGGAATCAGGCAGAACCATTAATACCATTTCATCCTCCTATTTTAGGGTTCAAGGACTGGGGACTGGATTCCTTTTGCCTCTACTGAGGCACACCTTGCTGATGTAAATTTTGGACTCTGGATCGAGAGCAGAAAATATGAGGCTCATGTATCTCAGTGAATTTAGAAAAATAGATTGATAAGATTTAGAATTAGAATGGGTCAGTGGAATAAAAAGTGAATGTTTGAAGAATAGCTTTGGAAATATAAAAATTATTATATCATAAAAATAGAACTAAGACATTTATTAATCTGAGCCTGAGAAATTCCATATAGATAATCAACCAAATTTCTCATTCACTTGTTCATGTATTCATTCAATAGACATTTATTTAGTGCTTTCTATGTTCTATGAACTTAAAATTTACATCATCTTCATCTCCAACAATGGGTCATAGACTTGGACTGAAAAATAAAAGGCTAATGAAGTAACATGGAATTGTACAGTGTGGAATAATAATACTCCATTTGTGATTTTTTTTAAATTAAATAAGTTTATTTCTTCTTGTTTTGTGCCACAACCCCACCTCCCGGCCCCATGCAACCTCTCCTTTTCTCTGTCCCAGGTGATGGTAGGAAATTGGAGGGCAGGAACAAAGAGGCCAGGGTATTTCTGCTCCCATCCTACATGGAAGACCATCATGCCCCTTCTTACACTCACTTGGCTCTGGTGCGCTTTCTCTCTTTGCTCCTTTAGGCTTAGAGGTGGTAACCCCTTTCCCCTGTTCATAGCCATGACTGCATCTCTACTCTACCCCTTTCACTGGTTTCCTTACTTCTCCCCTCTCCTTTGTAGAGAATTCTTTATTATATTTTCTTCAAAATACTATCAGTGTGAACCTTTTTTCTCCTGCCAGGACATCCACTGATAGATACATGTAGCTATATAGTCAAATAACCACACCTATAGAGCTAAGAATTTATTTGTTAACAATATAACAAAAATGACAACAAAAACTACCTAAAACAGTTTTAATATTTCAAAAGGTACACTTTTCCTACTGAGCATCTTGAGGAGAATCTACTTAGCTATTGTTTTAATTCATATTTGTATACACATTTCTAGGGATCTATAGATAGGGCTTTGGTCATCAGTGACTCTCAGGCAATGGATTTGCTTGCTAGCTTTTATTGCCCTGAAATTTTTTAAACTTACATGTTGTTTTGTATACGTGAGCCCTGCATGCTCAGACATATCTACAAAGGAAAATTGAGGCCTTTTCTGTAAGAGATTGCTTTACTCCTCCTACTCCTTGCCTCACAATTTCTCTTGATTATATGGAATAGTGACAAGAAACCAGAAAAAAAAAAAAAGAAAAAACCATTATGTTTTATAGTGTTAAAGCAAACTAAATATGGCCTGAGAAGGACTCCCTACTTCTATATTTGAGTCCTTGTGGATGAACTGGAACCTAGCTTAATAGTCAGACAAAATTGAAAACCTAACTTAGTAGCATGCACCTATAACAAGAGCTGAGTGTTGGCCAATCCCAGTGGCCACACTTCAGCCACTCATAGACTGCTGAATGTTCAAACTGCTTTCAAATAAGGCAAATGCCAAGCTGTAACCAATCTCACTGTTTCTGTATTTCACTTCCGATTCCTGTACGTCACTTTAATTTTTTTTTTTTTTTTCTGAGATGGAGTCTCCCTCTGTAGCCCAGACTGGAGTGCAGTGGCTGGATCTCAGCTCACTGCAAGCTCCGCCTCCCAGGTTCACGCCATTCTCCTGCCTCAGCCTCCCAAGCAGCTGGGACTACAAGCGTCCGCCACCATGCCTGGCTAATTCTTTGTATTTTTTAGTAGAGACGGGGTTTCACCATGTTAGCCAGGATGGTCTCGATCTCCTGACCTCGTGATCTGCCCGCCTCCGCCTCCCAAAGTGCTGGGATTACAGGAGTGAGCCACCGCACCTGGCCATCACTTTACCTTTTATTGTCTATAAATTTGTTCTGACCACGAGACACCCCTGGAGTCTCTGTGAATCTGCTGTGATTCTGGTGGCTGCCTGTTCATTGCTCAATGAAACTCCTTTAAATTTAATTTGTCTGAAGTTTTTCTTTTATCAATAGCTTAATAGGAAAATCAAAAGAAACAGACAGGAGACAGGCAATCTGCTGTCCTTCTCCCATATGGGTGACAATACAATTGAAAGAATAAGTACTAATTAGCTAAATGAAAAGCTCAAGCTGTGATTGTTGAGTTTAATTTTAGGGCAAACTGAGATGCTTCCCCAATCCTTTGGAGGTAAAAAGAGAGAGAAACTCAGAATGTCTTACCTGCCAAATCTGGCCACTAAGACCCTCATATGTCCCAGAGGGAACATCAACGAAATTATTTGGAGGAAACGCTAAGAAAAATACTAATTGAGAATTAAGTAATTTGGTTTTTCATACATCTCTTACTGTGAAAACCAAAGTTAAAACATTGTTGTGAAATATTCTTTGATTATATTGAGCAAGTTATGGAAGTATATGTTAGAATTAGATTTGTTAAATAACATATTGATCAAGAACTCTACAGAATCTACTATACAACTATATTGCCATGGACTGAAGATTGGAATAACTTATTTCTGCCTGGATAAGAAATAAATGGCCATATTGAAAATAAGATGAAGAGTATCACAGTATTTTCCCCCTCTGCCAGATTAGTAAACACATGTAAAAGAAAAATGAGTATGTTTGCTCTTAGGATCATGGCTATAGACTGAATGTTTGTGTCTTCTCAAAATTCATATGTTAAAACCTAATTCCTGGCCGGGGGTGGTGGCTCACGCCTGTAATCTCAGCACTTTGGGAGGCCGAGGCGGGCGGATCACAGGGTCAGGAGATTGAGACCATCCTAACATGGTGAAACCCCGTCTCTACTAAAAATACAAAAAATTAGCCGGGTGTGGTGGCAGGCGCCTGTGGTCCCAGCTACTCGGGAGGCTGAGGCAGGACAATGGCGTGAACCCGGGAGGCGGAGCTTGCAGTGAGCTGAGATCGCGTCACTGTACCCCAGCCTGGGCGACAGAGTGAGACCCCGTCTCAAAATAAAATAAAATAAAATAAAATCTAATCCCTAATGTTAGGGCATTTGGAAGTGGGGCCTTTGGGAAGTGATTAGTCATGAGGGCTCTGCCTTCATGAATGGGATCACTGCACTTACAAAACAGACTCTCAGAGGGCTCCCTTCTCCAATGTGAACTCAGTGACACTGCCTTATGTGAACCAAGAAGTGACCTTTACCAGCCCAGGAATCGCTGGTGCCTTCATCTTGGACTTCTCAGCCTTCAGAACTGAGAAATAAAAAAAAGTTGCTTATAAGCTACCTAGTCGATAACATTTTTGTTATGGCAGTCTAAACAAAGAAGACGGTCATCATTTGCTAATCTAATAATGTGTAGCCCATTCCTTTTCTGAAATCTGACATATAAAACCTACACTTGGTTCCCATAATATTCTTTCTTAAAAAAAAAATCAGGATACTAACTTTACCTTCAGTCTTCTGATTTCACATTCATTACTTGTTGTTATTCAAAAACTAACTGAGTATAAATAATCTATAGTGTTTCTTGGTAAACTGGGTTACAATTTGACTATGTCAGGAGACAAACATTTCAAAATTATGTGCTATTATAAGCAACTCACTTATCTTGAGATTCAGTTCTTTTTCCACCAGAATTACCTCCAACTTTTTGTGATCTGTGTCTCTTCTGGGCATTGAAAGCATAAACAAGACAAAAAAAAAAAAAAAAAAAAAAAAAGGGAGGTGACTAGTTGAATGTTCCCTTTATCCTGGTGATTTTTTTTCTTTCCTTCTGGCTACTTCCTTGGTGTTCAATTACCTCTTATGAATACAAAATACCTGACTTTTAGAAAAGGAGATTTTAGCCTCTTTTCTTAATCCGCCTTCCAACAAAGTAATTTGGATAGAGACAAGATTGTCTGTATCATTTCGAGGCATTTGTCTTCAAAGCTTCTAAGTGTCACCTTTTGAGATAGTTAATTCTTATAACAAAAATGTGTTCCACCTTGATATCAAGCTTTCTGACAAGGCTGGCCTCAGATATTTTAATACATACAAGCCCTGATGCTAATATGTGCACAGATTTTCTGAACCAAACATAGTCTTAGTTGACATCATGGTATTAGGAGATCAACATGATAGAACTGGGAGTGATTCTGAAAAGGATTTTTACATTGAAAATCTCATTTGGAAAAATTGTCTCCTACTGGCTACTATAATAGGAATACTATAACTACATTAATACTACATTAATAATTTCTTAAAACGTCTTGGTTACACTTTTGTATAATTACAATCTTCAAGTGCTAACTAGGCTTCTGGTAAAGCTTACAGGGAATTTTACTTACATTTCACATTAAGGGAGAAATATACTTGATTATTTAATAATCAACACTTTGTTTTTCTCCTTCCTTAAAGAAGATACTTTGGATTCAGGTAAGAGTCATCATTGCTACCTTAAATTTACTCTGACTTCAATATTTTATCTGATCTGATAATGCACATAACTGGAACAGTGAAAGTAAGATGAGGCTCTTTACAATTGTATAAGTTGCCTCAGGAAGTTAAAAAACAGGTCTAACACTGCTGAGAACTCTTCAAAGAGAGCTTTTTCCCCTCTAAATACATATCAATATAACAACAGAATAGAGCAATAGGTAGACAACAAAAGGCTCAAATAAACACCAAAAAGAAAATAAAACAGAAATAAATTTGTGAAACTAGACATAAGAAATAATTTCAGATAAAATTAGAATTAATATATTATTATTTAATAAATGACTTCATTAGAAACCAAAGGAAACGTTTGCTCTGATATAAAGGTCAATATAAAATTAAGATTAGGCAATACAAAATTGTTACCTATGCATAACTTCTGTGAAAAAAAATTGTAAAAGCACAAACCTCTTTTGATGACCACATAGGATGTTTACCCCAATTTCTTCTTCATTTCATAAATGATAACATTGCATATATTAGGCACCAGGTAACTATATTTATTTTCCAAGATAATATCAGTTACATACAAGTTTAAAAGATCCACTAGTGGAGTTACTACATTAGGAGTACTTTGAAATTTATCCTTAATGGTACACGCAAATTGTTACTATATATCTTAATACATTAAGCATAGTTCTATCCATACAGGTATGAACTCTCCTCCCTCTTCAAAAAAAAAAGAAAAAGAAAAAAACCTCCTTTGTATGTTCTAATTGTAAACCTACTAATCTGTAAAATTTGATACCAACTGCCAATACAAGCTATGTTTGATCCTAGGGAAAAAAATTAGTGTTCTATGTTGCCCCCTTTTTAAAAACTAGAACATGAGGCATGAGAGGGTTAAATCATTTTCTAAGCGTTTTAACAAATTTTAGGACTTGCTTCTCATTGCAATATTCCATGAAGACTAGTTCCTTAAACTGCAAGCTTTGTATAGACAGAAGCTGTGTGTGTTTGGCTCAATGGTATACACACAATAGCAAGCAGCTCAGTAGCTATTTGTAGACTATTCATGTGAAACTCACAGCTACCATGGAATGGTCCCTGTTTCATTCTTGCCAATTAAGGAGTATAGGATAACTTTTTTTTTTCGCAGTGTTCAATAACCTTTTATAGCTCTTTGATTTCATAGAATAATAGAATTTTATACCTTGGAGAAAACTTTAGGATTATATGCTCAGTTCCCTTGTAACTAAATGTCTCGTTTCCCAGGCAAAATAATGTTATTGTGGGTCCCAGGTTAATCTTGCCTTTCAAAAGTTAGTATTATTACCAGAATGAGAGTAATTGAAAATAGGTTTTTGATTGATGACATCCATTCTAAACAGTTTGGAAAGGAGCTGTGTCCTAGTTTCACTTCTTATTTCCTAAATAGTTTGGAATATAGGTTTTTATTTTTTTGAGACGGAGTCTCACACTCTTGCTCAGGCTGGAGTGCAGTGGCGCGATATCGGCTCCACTGCAAGCTCTGCCTCCCGGGTTCATGCCATTCTCCTGCCTCAGCCTCCCGAGTAGCTGGGACTACAGGCGCCCGCCACCACGCCCGGCTAAATTTTGTATTTTTTAGTAGAGATGGGGTTTCACCGTGTTAGCCAGGATGGTCAAGATCTCCTGACCTTGTGATCCACCCGCCTTGGCCTCCCAAAGTGCTGGGATTACAGGCGTGAGCCACCATGCCCGGCCTGCAATATAGGTTTTAAAGTTACATGTCATCCAGTTAGCAGGAGTAAAACCAAAGAAACTACCTACATCAATGTCAATGACGTTAACTAGATACTTTTAACTAGTTATTGTTCCAAACAACATTAATATTAATTTAGTGATCACTAAGCAAACACTTTTAATTGGTTAGAGTTTCCTCAAACACAGTCAAACTTTCATACACGCTATTTCTACAATCTGCCTAGGATTTAAACTACTTGTTACAATGTTTGTTAGATAGTCTCATTTTTAATTTCAAATATAAAGTTACCATTACTATATATCTGCAATAAGTAAGCTATAAATAGAAAGTAATCGTAAAATTAAATATGAAAGCAAAACATTGTCAATTGTACTTTAGCTGCATCCTGCCCTGTACACTCTGGATAAGGATCCAGAAGTGAGTACTAATTATTGAGATGATATAAGATATGTTTCTTTACTGTTGTTTTCTTTAGTTATCTCATCAATAAAGTGTAGATAACAAATTCATAATTCAGAGAATTTTAGTGAAAATTAAATGAGATAAAGATGTCAATTCTTCTCAAATTGATCTACAGATTCTATTTTTTTTAAGCTGAAATCGCCACAGGTTTTTTCTTTTCTTGTATTTATTAATTTATTTTTTGAGACAGAGTTTCACTCTTGCTGCCCAGGCTGGAGTGCAATGGTGTGATCTCAGCTGACCACAACCTCCGCCTCCCGGGTTCACGCTATTCTCCTGCCTCAGCCTCCCGAGTAGCTGGGATTACAGGCATTAGCCCGGCTAATTTTGTATTTTCAGTAGAGACAGGGTTTCTCCATGGTGGTCAGGCTGGTCTCGAACTCCCGACCTCAGGTGATCCACGCCTCAGCCTCCCAAAGTGCTGGGATTACAGGCATAAGCCACCTTTCCCAGCCTGGTTTCTTCTTTTGATAAAATCGACAATCAAATTTTAAAGTTTATATGGGAAGGCAAGGCAATTTAATTTTTGGAAACTAGCCAAGGCAATTTTGAAGAAGCTGAACAGATTTGGGAGCTTTTCACTGACTACTGTAATGCTATATCAATAAGACATTGGTATATTGGAGCAATGATAGACAAACTGATAAATGCAATAAAATGCAGTTCCAGAAACAAACTCACATATATTCATTTACCTGAGATATAATGAAAATGGCAGTACAGTGTAGTGGTAAAGAAATGATCTCATTCAATAGTGCTTCATCAGTTGGATATCTATTTGGAAAATAACATGTATCTTGACCCCTACTGTACACTATACATAAAAATTCAATTCCAGGTGAATTAATGATGTAAATGTGAAAGGGAAACAAAGCTGACAGAAGACCATCTATCTTCATGACCTTGTCATAGGAAAAGGTTTCTTAGTCAGAAAACAAAAAGTACTAAGTAGATATTTTTAAATTTAAATGTAATTATATTAAAATTAAGAATTTCTGGTTATTAAAAGACACTGCTAATAAAGTCTAAAAGCCACACACAGAGAAAAATATTCATGATACACTTATCTGACAAAGGACTAGTACTCATAACATATTTTAAAACTCCCACAAATAAATAATCACTTGCAAGTTTGACAATCCAATGGAAAACTGGCCAAAAAGACTTGAGCCCTTCTCAAAAGAGAACGTCCAAAAGGTCAGTAAACTTATGAAGAGGTGCTTAGCTTCATGAGCCATCAGGGAAAAGAAAATTAAAACACCTATCAAGGAAGATGATATGTTTGTAATATGAATGCATTACAAAGAATTAATATCCAGGCTATATAGAGTATTTCTGAAAATCAAATCAGTAAGACAAACTACCCCATAGAAAAATAGGCAGAAGATAAGAACAGGTCTTTTACAAAGGAAGAAATTCAAAGAGCTAATAAACATAAAAAGGCGTTCAACTTCTTTAATCATTATGGAGATAAACAGTCAGAAACTAATACACAATGTCCAGATTGCATAATCAAAGTCTGATAATAGCAAATGTGGGTAAGAATTTGGAACAACATGTAAACTGTTTATTCTGGTAAATTGTCAGGGACAGTGTAAATTAGTGTAAGCGCTTCCAAAAACATTTAGGTATTATCTGTTAAAGGTGAGGGATTGGCTCATATGTAATGCTATGACTACTCAGTACCCCAGGCATATACTATAAACCAATCCACATGTGCACAGAACACTTATGAATTTTCATAGCAGCTTGTTTATGATGGCTTACAATGGGCAACCACCAAAATGTACTTCAATAGTAGAGTGAATAAATAATTTTTAGTATATTTATATAATGGAATACCATATAGCAATAAACACAAATGGACTACACTACGTGTAGCATGTAAGAACTTCACAAAGAAGCCTGAAATAAACAGCAACATGATTTTCCTCAAAAACAAAAAAGAAAATAAACTAACATGTTTATAGATATGTGGTAAAACTTTTAAGAAAAATAAGGAAATTGTTACAGAACTGTCATCACAAAAGTCAGAATGGTGGTTATCCCTTGGAGGTAGAAAGTTGAAATCAGAAGGATAGACAGTATTTTCTGGGGCTGAAGGCAATTGCTCTTTTTTACCCTAGATGCTGCTGCATGGCATTTACTTTGAAATTATTTATTAAACTATATACCATATAACTATATACCATACACACACACACACACACGTGTGTGTGTGTGTATGCTATATTGTAGTTCACAATTTTTAAAAAGCTGAAAAAAGAAATAGGAAAAGGGAAGCAATTTTTCTGACATGGATCACAAGACAGACACAGTTCCCTAGGCAATCCAGTTTTCCAGTGTGACTACAGAAGTCATTCTTGGAATCTCAGCCTAGAGTATGTTGCATGTTTCTTCAGCTCTTCAGGAATTATTAAATGAAAAAACCTGGAAAATACCAAGTATCAAGGAGGATATGGAGCAACTAGAATGCTTATAAACTATGAGTGGAAATGTAAATTGGTATAACCACTTTAGAAAACTCTTCTACTAAAGTTGATCATGTACGAACCTATCACCCAATATATTAGTCAGGGTTCTCCAGAGAAACAGAACAAATGGATAGGTGTAGATATAGATATAGATGGATATATTAAAATATATTTATTATGAAGGATTGGCTTATGTGATTATGGAGGCCGAGAAGTCTCACAGTCTGCCATCTCCAAGCTGGAGACCCAGGAAAGCCAATGGGGTTGTTCCAGTGCAAATCCAAAGGCCTGATCCAGGAGAACTGATGGTGTAGGTCCCAGTCTGAGTTTGAAGGCCTGAGAACTGTGTCCAATGGTGTAAGTCTAGCTCTGAATCCAAAGGCTCAAGAACCAAGAGTGTCCATGTCTGAGGGCAGGAGAAAATGATGTTCAGCTCAAGCATAGAACAAATTTGCCCTTCCTCCACCTTTTTGTTCTGTTTAGGCCATTAACAGATTAGAGGATACCCACCTGCATTGGTGAGGATAATCTTCTTCACTTAGTCTACTGATTCTAATGCCAATCTCTCCTGGAAGAGCTTTACAGACACACCTAGAAAGAGTGTTTTTACCATCTACCTGGGCATCACTTAGCCCAGTCAAGTTGACGCATAAATTAATTGTTAAGCCCAACAATTACACTCATCGGCATATACACCATAGAAAGGTGTTCATCAAAAGAGATGTGCATGAACAGTCACAGCAGCATTACTTGTAATAGCCCCAAATTGGAAACTATCCAAATCCTCATCAATAATGGAATGGATAAATATATGGTGCTATCTTTATATAATAAAATACTACTCAGCAATAAAAAAGACCATAATTATACAAAATAATATGGGTTTCTCACAAATATAATGTTGATCAAAAGAAGAGTGTACCCAATATGTCCATTTATAGAGTAAATTGGCAAAATTAATCTGTGTTGTTAGAAGTCAGGATACTATTATCCTTGGGTAGGTAGGAATTGGAAGGATCACAGAGGGGTGCTTGCAACCTTCTGTTTTTTGATATGAGTGCTGATTAAAAGGGTGGATAAGGTTTTAAAAATTTATTACTGTAAAGATATGAATTGTACACTTTTTTGTGTGTATGTACAAAACATCTTTTATATATTAAACCTCTCTAAAAAGTTTTTAAAATGGGATTGCATATGTGATGTTCTTAGAACTGCACCTGGCATGTGATAAGCTCTAAACTCTATTAGCAATTATTATTGCTGTGATTGATGTTCTTGATGTATTATCTACAAAAAGCAATAAGCCTGAGTCCTGTTCCTTATGTATTAAAAGAGAAAATTAGCAAGCATTAGAAAGAAAAGACAATTTTCACTAACGTAAGGCTATCTCACTGACATAATCAGAAGAACTGAAAAATAATTTAAAAGGCATAGCTTTCTTCTTCAATGGTTCAACGCCTTTCATTGCTGGACTACCTGTGGCACACATCACTCCATGTGGAAAACACTTCAGTTTATCAAATAATGTAGCTACTTTGGAGAGACTATGTCTAACTCACCCTAACACAGGCTTATCACAATGAGGCACCCCTTCTAATTAAGTTTATTTTTCTCCTAAGTCTCATTTATATCCACTTGATCTTAAAATTTTCCAAATAGACTTGGTGTGGTGGCTAACACCTGGAATCCTAGCACTTTGGGAGGCCAAGCGAGGAGGATCTCTTGAGCTCAGCAGTTTGAGACCAGTTTGGGCAACATAGCAAAATTTATTTTTATCTCTACTAAAAATTTAAAAAAAATAGGCATAGTGGCATACACCTTTTGTACCAGCTATGCAAGAGGTTGAGGCAGGAAGATGACTTGAGCCTAGGAGATGAGATTGCAGCAAGCGATGATCACACCACTGCACTCCAACCTGGGTGACAGAGCAAGAGCCTGTCTCCAAAAACAAACAAATAAAAAAGTTGCCAAATAATACTGACTTCTGGAATCTTCAACTCAATAGTACCTGAGGAGATGTAAAGCTCAATTCCAGGAAGGGAGGCAGAGGTGGCCATGCTGGGTCAATCCCATATGGAAAGAGAATGACCAGTAATATGGAAAATATAGGAAATTGTCCAAAATTTTCAAAGAAGACTTTCAGTTCTTTTGTTTGTATGCTTGGTAAATTATAATAGAGTGCAATTTTAAATCAAAAATAGAAAATATTAGTATCAATATTATATCAAATAATATGATTAAGACAATAATATTTGCTCCTTAACATTTATAACAATATGGTTCCTCACCCACAGATTAGAGAATTAACTATGAAAAGAAAGCTAACAAACAAATGCAATATTAAAATAGGTAGACATTCACAATAGTTTAGGACCTCATCTTCTGCAATTCCATGCCTTTCCATTGGTTTAGCAAATATTCTCAAACACTGACAATTGCACAGGGGATGACCTCATCTACTTTGGGTTTGGCTTCAATAATAATATAAAAATATTTTAAAATAGCTTTTCAAAGTAAAAATGATACATTTTATGGACCCAGAGACTAAGGTTATCCAACACATAATTGCGAATTAATTTTAAGCAGATGAAGTGAAAAGTCTCTGGTCAGTGGGTATTTACCTAATGGCTTTTAATTATTGAGATCAATGTAATATTTTTCCTCTTGATTTCTCAATCCTATTTGGTAAACCATTTCTCCTGTGCTCTTGCAGAGATCAGAGCTTTGATTTGCTTTAACAAGTGTGTATGACAATATCTGTTTGGCACTGCCCTTGCTAGAACACCACCAGTTGGTCCATCTGTGTTAAAATGGCAGCTGGAAGAACTAAAGCAGGTCAGAAAAAGGAGCAAATTCATGAAAGAAATTCTTCTAAGGTTGCTGAGATGTTTTAGTTACGGGCACCAAGTTAGAGAGTTGGTATTACCATTAAGAGGGGGAAATAGGCCTTGTGAATGGGCATGGCTGCGGGTAAAAGTTATATAAGATTTTGTGATTTCCCTTATTTCTTTATTTGCCTCTTGGTCACAGCGTCCCTTGCATTTTAATTTCTATTATTCCCTGATCCTTGGATATCTGGCTCTATCTTCTTTATTCTCCCACTATAGTAGTATACTGCTGGCCAGCACTATTATTCACTTTCTCTATGCCAGGGACTATATTAAGCAATTTTTATGTACTACCTCATTTAATACTCACAACATCCCTATATGACTTACATCACTGTCTACGTTTCACTGATCAGGGGAACTGAGGCCTAGAGAGGTTAAGTAAATTTTCTAGAAATCAGAGAGCCAGTCCGTTGGTGCCAGATCAGCAACATGAGGACTCTGCCTCTAACACTGAAGTCTACTGCCTAGGAAGTGACCTTCACCCTCCCATCTTGTAGCACCTATCAGTTTGCCCCACCGGGGGAAGAAACAGCTGTTATATATGATTCCACATTCTATGAAGGAGCCAGTAAAATAATCTCATGAGTGACAATAGATCTAAAATCTATTTACCAATGGGGATATTGGGCCCTTCTTTGGGAACTGTGAGAAAGAGAGTAAAGATGCCCTCCTGCTGTTTCCTAATATCTGGTAGGAACATTCCAGATGGAGGAAGGAAGCACTTATTGGAGATTGGGAGTTAGGAAGGAGTTGAGGACAAGCAGAAGAAACCTAGATTTTGTATTCTCCTTCCTACTTAATTGGCAGCTCCTATGATTTCAAAGTCTATTACAAGCTGTAATTCCCACCACACAGACCCAATGTTTGTCTGACAGATGTAGGGTCAGAAAAGGGGTCATTTCACTACCCAGGAAGTCTCGATAAAACCACTGAGGCAATTCTAAGTCTCTGCCTCTGAGACATTGTTCTGGACTCCTTGATTATATTGCTACTACTTTCCATTAAATAAATTCCTCCAAGAAAAGGAGATCTGCTGAGTAAATAAAATGGTTTGGCACTGGTCTCTTTCCACTGAGGAAGGCGTATGGCAAATTTGTAACATACAGTGGTGTCAGGTGACACCTTGGTGAAAAGGAAAAAACCAGGCAATGCTGCCGAGGGTTTCCCACCAAGTTCAAACTTGTATAGGATATCTCTTGTGCCTTGCATCTAATCCTCTTGGCTCAATCTTTATTTCTGGGCACTGCTGCAGCAACGAATTCTCACAGATGTAACCTGACAGCACTATATATCTCTCGTTTTCGGCCTGGGGATTCTTGGATGCAGTAGCGTGGGGTGGATTTGAGTGCTTATTAACACTGCATGTAGCCCATTTTGCCCATTTTGACTCATGGTGGAAGAAATCTGGTCCCTTATCTCCCTGAAGTAGACATTTTGAGGCACATTTCTCTAAGACACCTCAGAAGGCCTTGGCCGTATTGAGTTCCAGTTGTCCACTACGGAGATCAGCATAGCATATTAACAGTGAATTGGCTTTCTCTCCTTCTCTGTTTCACTCTCTCTAATCCTTCCTTCCTGTTCTCTTGTCCTGCTAGCTCAATAGACTACCTGCACAAAAGCACTTGTCTCAGATTCTGCTTTCTGGCAGGGGGTGGATGGTGAAGGTAGGGAGGTTGTAGTGAGTCTCAGGCAAACACAAAGCCTAAGTAGAATGGAAAATTGGAAAGAAGAAAGTGTGAATAAAAAAGGTTGTCAACAGACAAAATTACAATAAGTTTAGTTTAAACATCTAATTGCCTTTTGTGTGTGAGTCTAGAATTGGACAACACCTCATTCCATAAGATAGAATGAGTGTTCCCCTGTGTATGACAAAACAGATGGTTTTTGTAAGGTAGAAACAAGAAAAAAGAACAACAAAAAGAATAGATTGGTTAATATCAGGCTACTACAGGGCTCTTTCCTTGTAAAGGTTAGAGCAGAAGGGACTTCCTCATTATCTCAGGTAGACTGGGTTCTTACTGATTGTTGAAATCTGTTTTAAGGAAAAACTGGCTTGTTTGGGGATTTGACTGCTTCCTTAAAGTTTCAGTTTGATTATGTGACATTTAGCATGAGTGGCTCCATTTTGGTTTGGTCTGGTCTGCTGGGGCCTAGGACAAGAGGCTGGTCTAAAATAATGCCTTCCCATAAATTTTGTTTAATGGTGTATACATACATACATATTTCTGTTATCTTAAAATTCATTCAAAAACGTATTGCAGACATTTAATGATAATGGAATTAGTGTAATAAACCAAAAAGCATTAAACACAATAAAAAAGCAAAACCACTTTGTAAATGAAAAGATATTTGTATCAAATCCCCACGTCCTGCTGCCTTAGTAGAGCAATTGCATGAAACCTTTATCTCTGAGTTTCTTAGCAGTTGGAGTGACAATGAAAACATACACATCTCAGTATTCAGTTGTTGAGAGCAAACTGACTAATCAGAAGTAAATGCTTTCTGGATTTTTGAGCAGTGGCAGCTCATTACATTTCAGGTATTAAGGATGGAATGAATAACGTGAGATTTCCATTTCATTAAGGAGGTCCTGCCCCAATATTATCAGATGAAAAACGGTAAGAAGTTTCATCTCCTGGTCATTTTTGTTATAATTATAGATGGAGTTTTGTATCAAAAATTGGAAACTGTATCACCATGTTTTTTTTTTTTATAGATGGCACATTGGATAATGTAATGAACAACGTACTTAATAGTAGAGTTACACAAATTACGGAGGCATTCTCTGGGGGCTACTTCATCTGTTAACTCTTCATCAGTGCCAAAGATATGGCATCTAAAATGCTAGAACTTTTCTAAAAAAAATGGCTCTGGGCTGTTTAAAATGCATAAAAATGTGCTCAAATGCCAACTGATTGAACCATGAAAAAATGACCATTATTTGGAAAACAAGTCAGAGATCAACACTTAAGCAAACTACAGTAGAATTAGAATATAATCCTAATAATGGTAAATTTTGAGCAAAACTGCAATCCTGATGAACTTTGAGTCAGATAAAATAGTTCCATATTGCACTCCCAGATAATGAAATAAATTAACATGTTAAACAATATTTCTTAATTATGCAAGTATGACAACTTTATTGCAAATGTCTCCATTCTCTTCTGTACTTATGGCACACATTCTTATTGGCATTCCTCCCTGTTGATCTTGGAAGCAGCCTCTGAACTTCTTAACACAGTACTCCAGATATTGAAAAGAATAAGATGCTGCAGGTGAGTTGAATATTATTGGTTATTATTTGTATGTCTTAACCGTCTAGATGAGAAAACATGGCTGCCGAAAATAATTTCTTCTCATTTATATGAAACAGACCACAGATCTCACAGTGTCTTCAGGCTGCTCCTGGGATACAGGATAAAATTTGTTCACTGTATTCAATACAGAGAACAAATGAGTGTGAAAATAGAATGAGATTTCCAACCTAAATCTAAGAATCACAAAGTTGTAGGGTTTTTCATCTGGCTTAAAAAAGTGTTGATATATGGAAATATGAGACAAATCTGAGGTGGAGGAAGCTTCTTTACCTAAATGAATCACTTTGCCAGGAAGATAAGGCCCACAATAGATATAAATGTCCATCAAGTATTATAATAGCTATCATTTCTTTAATAAAAAGAAGGCAGCAGCATGACATAACATGCCTCCCATTCAGAAGAACACTTCCAAAGATTCCCCACCCCACCAGCTCTCAACTCTCTCCACCATCTCAGCTACAGGTTAGTGTGGGACAGGCACTTAGAATTCTTGAAAATACGATTGGCAAAGAGAAAACTCCATCTGCAAATGTAACAAAAATAACCAGAAGATGAAACTCTTCCTAGATTATCTCACATTTTTCATCTGATAATATTAGGGTAGGACCTTCTCCATGAAACACAAATCACATATGTTATTCATTTCCCATTCTTAATTCCTGAAATGTCATGAGCTGCTACTGCTCAAAGAATCAGCTCTGATTGTTGTCAAGGGTGAGATGTACAAAGGAAAATATATATTCTATTATAGACTTTAAATGGAATCCTCTTCATCTTTAATGTGAGTAGATTAATAAAATGTTTGCAAAGTGACTAATAGTAATAGTAGAGAATATTAGTTTAAAATAAATGTATGAAGCTTCTTTGGAATAAGTAATGCTAAAACCAAATATTGATTTATTAAAGTTCTAATGTTATACATATCCTTTATGGTTTATAGATATTAAGTAATCATACATAGCTAGAAAAAATTAACAAGAGTAAAATCAACTGCATTTTAGGTCAATAGAGGTTACATAAAGAGAAATATTAAGTTGGTGCAAAAGTAATTGCAGTTTTTGACATTACTTTCAGTGGCAAAAACTGCAATTGCTTTTGCACCAACCTAATAACATAATCAAGTAGTTTAAGAGTTACTAAGTTAGATCACTGTAGACAGGTCTTTTTTCATGAATAGTATGTGAAAATATTATTATTGTTTCAATAGCCCTCATCTGTTAGTCTAGTAATAATATATTTTATGCCTAAATTTCTTTCTGGTCATGGGTAATTTTCAGGGAGATTAATTCTAGGTTACTGTTTTGTCAATTTTTTAAAAAGGAAGTAAATGTCACAAGCATAAAGAGAATCTCAGTTACTTCATCCGTGAAAATGAAAGGCATCCATTTATTTAGAGAAGTGTAATTCAGTGTGAATTATTTAGCACTTATAGTCATAAGCTGTTAGCAGTAGAAGGAACCTTAGGGATTTCCTAGTTCAAAGATTTTCAAGGACAATCTTTGGATTCCTTGAGCTCCTCAGTTGGGCCAGGGGCTTGCCCGCTCATCTCCTTACTTGGTTAGACCAGATATATAAATATATATATATATATATATTTATATATATATAAATTTTACTTAAGTTCTGGGATGCATGTGCAGAATGTGCAGGTTTGTTACCTGGGTATACATGTGCCATGGTGGTTTGCTGCACCTATCAACCCATCATCTAGGTTTTAAGCCCCACATGCATTAGGTATTTGTCCTAGTGCTCTCCCTCCCCTTGCCCCCCACCCCCTGACAGGCCCCAGTGTGTGATGTTCCCCTCCATGTGTTCATGTGTTCTCATTGCTCAGCTCCCACTTATGAGTGAGAACATGCTAGACCAGTTATATTTTTAACTGTTTTATGTAACGGTATTACTTGTAAGGTTGAATTTGAAAAAATAATTCTGCTACTAAAAAATAGGCAAATAGCCCATATATCCCCCCTCATTTTACCAATAATTATAGGATTCTCAAGAAATAAAAAGACTTCACCATGAAGATGCTGTTTTGGTAGTAGAGCCAAGTGCCGATGATCCTTCCACTGAAGTGTGGCACTTTTATCTGCACAGGATTTAGGAAAACAGCTTCTGCTCAAAAGTATGTGTATAGATTTTTAAGTTTTAAAGCTCAGTTAAAGAAAAAGAAATGAGTGAAAATTCTAAGTTTCGGTCAAGTTTTTATGTATGAATATTAGTTGTTTCAGAAGTCAGAAATACTAGGCTATTTTGATAAATCTGATTAGTCCAGCAAGTTTGAAAAAAAAAATGCATGAGGAAATAAAGGAAAAAAGGAACAGGGAAGGAGGAAGGAAGAAAAAAAAGTAAGCAAGCAAGCAAGAGAAAGAAAAATTAAGAAGAAAGAAAAGATTTGAAAAGATAACTTATTTTTTTCAAATATAGCTACATTTGAGGCTGATAGCTCCAAATCTTTTTTTTTATCTTAGGTAATTAAAGTATTAAATTTCCTTTTACCTAATACCATACAGAAAATGAACATTTGATGAAAACTACTTTTATTTGGGTTGTGATTATTCTACTTTTAAATTTTATGTGTCCTGTTCTATGTGTGTGATGGCATTTTATAAACTAAATGGCAAACTGTTCTAAAACAAAAAATATGAAAAGTTAATATAACTAATATAACTTTAAAAAAGCTCCACATTGGACATTCTCAACAGAGAGAATATGTCTAAAGCAAAATTAAAAACATAACTTAAAATTATCTAAGAATTTCAAGGACTGTTGTTACATATATGAATTAAGACTTCCAGTTTTTATGAAAAGGTGAGAGATGCTAAAAAACTGCTCTGCAAATCAAATAGCCTAATTTGTTCATATTATAATTCCTTTTATATTGCATTGATGTTATAGTGTTTCTTTACTTATTTGTCTCTCCTCAAAGACTGCAATTTCCTTAAGGTAAGTATATCTTACCCCTTAGTAATTTGTTTTCTGTACCTCACAACTCTCACAGGCATGCTGTAGATGTGTTATTAATATTTATTTAGTGAATGAATGCATGAATGAATAAACATGAGTGACTCTGCACAATGAGGTTCTGGGTTACTTGTACTTTCTGGTATCTCTTTAAAAGTCTGTTTTGTTTAGACTATTCTCACTTCAAAGTAACTTGGTAACAAAAATAGAATTACATGTCCAGATTTCCTCACTATTCTCTACACTACTTTAGTGACTTAAAGACATTAGTGGAAACCAAATTCACATTTTTCTAAATCATTTATAATAGCACAGAGGAGTAGAATTCTAGCCCAATCAAGTACAGATGGGTAATGTACTTAAGCACCTTTACTTTCAATTATAAAACAAAATACACAGATATAAGCACACAAGTACATAGACACATACATGAGAGTAAGTCCAGTACTTCCTCTTTTTAAGTTCCCAACAGATTATTTACTTTAAGAGAAAATAATAATGTATATTACGTAATAAGCACATACTACGTGCCACATTCTATGTAAGCATTGACATATATTGCTTGATCTTTACAACATTCTTATGAAATATGATCCACTATTATTCCCATTATATACTTGAGGAAATCAAAGTTTAGAGAGGTTAGTAGTCATATATTGCTTTTACATTGAAAGGCTTTGTTTCAAGCCCAGGTGTATCCAGTCTTGCACATTTTTACATATCACCTAAGCATATATCAGAGTCTGGTCTGGATCAGCAAAGAAGGAAGGTCTTAAAATGTCTGAAAGTGTTTGGAAATGCCTCACTTCAAAACAGAGTTACAAGTCCAAAATTTTTTGTTTTTTGCTTTCTCCTGTTTGACTTCAGTGATTTTCTAACATCAGAGAAAAAAAAAATTCATGTGCATTTAAAAAAATCTCCGGTTGGCATTTCAACCAAAGCCAGGATAAACTGGTGGTCTTCTTCCCACATATGCACCCTTTAGATAGCAGCCCTCTGGCTTTTTTTAGTAGGTAGCTCAGTTTAGTTTCATTTGAAACAGAGTCATCTCTTTTGTTAATTTACAAATTTAAAAGATCAGTGAAGTGTGAGAGTGAAATGGATATAAAAATACAAGAACATATGCAGAGGGTGCTGAGAAGAGGCAGACAATACAGTGTTTCTCAGCATGAGGGCTGCTCTGTCGCATTACTACTTGGGACATCTGTGCCTGCACCAAGCTGTCTCAGAGACAGGCTTCAAGCCAAACCATCACGCAGACTTTGTCCTCCACACATAGTCATGGCAATTTTGGTATTCAGAAGCACCTGCCTGCAAATACAATTTGCTCACTGATGCTGCAAGGGGCATAAGAATTATGCACTGTCTCCATCTAATAACACCTTTGCAGTCTCTCCACAGCAGGGGCTCTGCACGGATCTTTTAATCTTCTCGCCCTCTGTAGGAAGTAAGAACTATGATTTCTCTTCCCCTCACACATTAAATTGTATTACCAGGTAGCAATGGGGCAGTGCCAGCTGAATAAAATTGATAGCAAAAGCAGACAGAAGAATTGCAATGTCCTCAGCTGACTTCAAGGGAGAGAAATTTTATTTCAAAAGCAATAAGTCAATGAGTCATGAGCCCCAGTGCTGTGCAAGCACTCTGGTGTTGCTCACCAAATCTGCAGCTAGGGATGGCGTGGAACAGACATCACCTGCTATCAGCCAACATAACTGAGGTGGCTTTGTCAGACAACTTACCTGAGGTGGCTCTATCAGCAATCGAGCCTCATCACCCTTGTCCTTTTGCAAACCTGTACAGTTGCTATCCTCCTGCATTTTTGGATTGCACTTATGCTTCAATAAATAGCTGCATTAAAACAGGATGTTGCCTTCACTTATTTAAATATTCCTAAGCATAGCTAGTAGGGATGGCTTTTCGATTACTAAATTCAAGCTCATCAGGAAGGTGCATAAGTGATATATCACTGAGGCATATTGTGAGAAATGTTTTCTAATTGTAGGAATCCTGCTGCTTATTCCTGACAAGAAGCTGTTATAAAAGGTTGAATAATATCTTTGGGATTCATAAATTATGAATGCAGTCCTCTCTCTGCCATGGATGCCATGGTATGTATGTTGCTTATAGCCTTTCAAATGCCGCAGCTAATGTATGCATTGCCAGTGTCGTCACCACTATTTCAATTTATAAAGGATACTAAGATAACTTTCCCCAAAATACATTCCTTGGAACACCAATACTGCGTAATACGGTTCTACGGAAACATCATATCAAGAACTGTTCCTGTGAATTGGTAGGAGTAAGATAAACTCTATCTTTTGCATTTTTCAAAATTATTTAGTAAGAAACTTACTTTTCTCAAAATATCTTGAGGGATAAAAACCCATTAGAATCGCCATTTGAGGAAAGAATGTGAAAACAAAGAGCAACATAATTGTTACCATCCAAATATTCATGACGGGATATAGGGATGAGAGCAGCGCAACCTGTTCTCTATTTGAGTATTACTTTTCCTCCTCAGATTAAGACCCAATACACTGATTTCCATTAAGTTTTCTTTATATCATAATAGACATGTAGCAAAAACAGCAAAGACTATGTCTATATTGTTCACTCTTGGATTCCCAGAATAAGGCACATACTAGGTGCTTAGTAGGTAAATGCTTGTTCAATAAATGAAGGAATAAATAGATGAAAGAATGGCTGAGTCTGCACATGGCTCTTTACATGTGTGGTTACTTATGATATCGCACTATTTTCAGAAATATGTGGGCAGTATTAGGACAGATGTTTCTAAGCCACCACAGTGGCTCTGCTCTCCTCCCTATAACTTGTAAATAATAAAATCACATGCACATTTCAAAATGTCAGCCTCTGTTGCTGGCTGTGTTGTTGCCTTGGCAACATAGACTATGACATTATAAGCTATGGTCTCTGCCATGCAGTTATTTGAGAGTTACCCTGCAGAGTTCCACAATGAGATATTGTTATTATGGATCGCTTACCACCCCCTGGTCTGAACATTGATGTGTGTGTGCCTGTGAGAAGGAGGCTTACCTTATGTTAATTCTCTTTATTATTTGGGCCTAGTATTCCAATGGCTAAATAATTATTTTATCCTCCTTCATTTGCTTCAATTATGCTCATAGTGGATAGCATACTGTGTATGAAAATATACTCGACTGCTGATGATCCGACTTTGGGATTTTACAGACCAGAAGAACTCATTAAACAGAGGAACAAATCTATGCTTGTCCACTTTTATTATTGCTAAGTAAAGGCAAAAAATAAAAATAATTACCCAGTATCCTAGTTTTATTAAAGAACAGGCATTTTGTTTTCCCCAAAGAAAGAAGCATACTTTTAAAATAAAGGGCAGCCTTGAATTTGAAGAGCCCTATAAAATATCAATCACATTGCCTTTATTCAATTTATTAGACTTGAAAATTTCCCCATGGACAGACCATATTCTGCAAACACATAAGTGACAACCTCTTTTAAAACAGGATAGTAGGAAAAGAAAGGTGACTATGAAATATAAGAATCATTATTCTAGATAAGGAATGTCCTGTACAACCTAAAATTCTATCCCGTCAGTGGCACCAGGGAACACAGAACAAGGCTCAGCTCATCATGCCAAACTCCAGACTGCATGTGTTCAAGTTCACAGGCATTAACTTTCTCCACTCTCCTCAAGGAGTCAGCCCACCTCTGAACTCTCCCTCTTGCTTATTCCCAACAAGAATAATATACAAGGAATATACAAGGAGTAAGGAGTATACAACCCCACTTCTCTCTTGAGAAAACTGAGGCCAAACATCTTGTGATTCCATAGGTACCAGTTACCTAAATCTCTACTCATCCTCTCCAGGCTTGGACCTTCTATTATGTCCACTTGTTTGAATTTTCTGACTCTTGGCTGACACCTGTGTTTTAGTATTTACTTTGCTCCACAGTGAAGTACTAAATTTGGTTTGTTTTGGTCCATATTGACTGTTCATGTAATTACTATGGCCCTGAAAGAAGATGTTAACTCCATTACCTTTCTCACAATGGTTCTCAGGCAAGGTCTCCCTCTGGTAAACCCACCCAGGTGTGTGCCCTCTCTGTTCCAGCTCCTCAGCTCACCACGGATGGGATAAATTGGGTCAGACAAGTTCTTGTGCATCTGGTTTTATGTGGGGTCAGAGATGTATTTATGTATTGGGTGAGACAAGTTCTCGTGGATCTGGTTTTATGGAGGGGTCAGAGATGCACTGTGTTTTCCAATCTAGCTATTTCCAGGGATCCCTGAGTGAAGCATAAACCATGATCTCCATCAGGCTTCCTGTTCTTTGTGTATGTCCAGCACTTCCCAGAATCTTGGGGAGTCAGAGTTAAGTGGTAGGATTACGACATAAACCCCACTCCCAACCCCTAACAATTTCCATTCTCCAACTCCATTTCCTTACATATCTACCCACTGCAATCTGTCTTCACCACCCACAGGACACCCCAACCACTCTGGCAAAATTCATCAGTGTCTTTCTAATTGTCAAATCCAATGACATGTGTCAATATTGTAATTTTTTTACATCTTCAAAATATTTAATTTTAAAAAAGTGAAATGTAACGTTTTTTCATCTGGAAATCTTTAAAAGTTGTTTAGCTCTTATTTTATTCTACATGATTCTGACACTCCAATCATTTTCTCTTGAAAATTCTACACCAAGTCTTTTCTTCCATATAAAACACTCTTTCTGAAGTGTACTCTAACTTACTTCTCTAACCAGTTCTTCCCAGATTCCTTTGCTTAAATGTTAATGTTCTTTTAAGTTCTGATCTTTACCCTCTTCTATTTCTGTTAGTCTTCTCTCATTACTTCTGTCCCTAGGTTGACTTCCAAATCTTCATAACCAGTTTAGGTCTGTTCCTTGACTCTCAGTTCTGTGCATCTTTCTGCCTGTGAGAACTCTTCACCCAGATAAATCCCAACTTGCATATTCAAAATTAAATCACTTACTCTCACATGACAGCATGAGGAGCTCTGCTGACCTGCTCCCTGATGAAAACTGGTGAAAATCATGTTAAAAAAGAAAACACCAAAAGCCTTTAGAAATAACATAGAGCAAAACAGCAAATGAAAACAAATATTCAAGAAAATCTATAAAATTTCAGCAAGAAAAGCGAGAGTCTGTAATATTTGCACCAAAACAGCTCTACTCTTCCCCATCTCCCTGCTTTTTTATTTTGTTTTGCCTTTTTTTTTTTCCTCCTGGGAAGAACAAGGCTTTGGCATTTCTTGTCCTGCCCCTGGCTGCCTGGTGCTGAGGCTAGTCCTGGTGAGTGTGGTTGAAAGGTGAGGCTTTATTTTTCTGCCCAACCCCTACTCAAGATTGGAGGGTCTACCTTGGGTGTGGCATGCTGAGAATCCTGGGGCATTAGTACCCTTTCCCCTGGCTTGTGTTGTAGTCCCTCCATGCCAGAGGGTCAAGCCAAGAAGACATTAGCCTATTGTTCCCTTTTTCACTGAGTGCTCTCCTCAAATGAGGGTTTTACTCAGAAAGAAAATTGCTGTTGTCCCTACTCGCCACTTCAGAGCTCTGGTTAAGAAATTTTTTCCTGGGAGGAGAAGCAGGCAGTAAAATAGTGACTTCATCTGCAACAGAGCAGTGGAGAAATTTAAACCTAAGGACACTCTCAAGATTAGTGTAGATTGTGCTGAAAGGCAATTAGGATGAGCTCTGTGAATCTAATGAAGATACAGCCTAGGCTGTAGGCCAGCTAGTTTGCAGGAAATAATAAGGGAATAGGACAGCTGAGAGGAGCTCTCCTGGGTTCAGAATAAACATCAAACACTGACATTGGAAGCCATTTCTTCAAAGGAGTTATAATTTAATTAGGTTAGTTTGTAAAGAAATGTATGCTCAGGGTATTGTAAATAATAAAGCAATTGCCAGCAGTGGAGCAAGGGGAAGAATTAGAAGAGAGGCCCAACAAATACACTGTTATCCCAGGTTGGCTCAAAGCTGTGTCTAGTTGAGGAACAACATCAGAAGCTTAACACTGTGTGTGGGGGGTGGGAGTGTACTTTGTTAAAATAATCCAACCAGTCACTAAACAAATAACTAAGCAATTAACAATAACAAACCATGGAAGAGAGTACCTAGAACTCCTACAATATGCCCAATATCTAGCAAAAAATATGAAGCTATGAAGAATTTTGAAAATATGATATATACTCTACCATAAAAAATAAAGCAACAGAATAAAAAATAAAAATAAAAAATAAGGTAATAGAAACTGCCCGCGAGAGTAATGAGATGTCAGATGAATCAGAAAAAGATTTTAAAGTAGCCATTATAAATATATTCATAGACCTAAAGGAAAGCATGATTAAAGAAATAAATGAAGGTATGATGACAATGTTGCATCAAATAAAAAATACTAATACAAAGATAGAATCTATATCTATCTACACACCAATATTAACATTTGTGTCTGTGTACACACACACACACACACACACACACACACACACACAAGACAAATGGAAACTCTGGAATTGAAAAGTGCAATAGCTAAAATAAAAAATGTAGTGGAGACCCAATAGATTTGAGCTGTCAGAAGAAAGAATTAGTAAACTCGAAGATAAGTTGATAGAGATTATATAAGCCAAAGAACAGACAGGAAAAAAAAAACCAGCCTCAGAGAAAGGTGGGACACAATTAAGCACACCATATATTTGCAATGGGAGTTCCAAAAGAAGACAAGAAAAAGACAAAATAATTCAAAGAAACAATTGCTGAAAAATCCCCAAATTTGTTGAAAAACAATATCCTATACATAGAGGAAACTCAACAAACTCCAAGTAGAACAAGTGCAAAGAAACCAGCAAACAGACACATCAGTAAAAATACTGAAAATCAAAGACAATGAGGATATCTTGAACGCAGCAAGAGAAAAATACATCATGTACAAGGGAAACCTAATAAGATTAACAGTTGGCCTTTCAGCAAAAACAATGAAGGTCAGAATGTAGTGGGATGACATATACAAAATGCTCAAAGAAAACAAGAAGTCAACCAAGATTCCTGTGCTAGCAAAGCTATCAATCAAAAATAAAATAAAAATAAAGAATTTCCCAGATAAATAAAAACAAGAAAATGGTTGCTACCAGAGCCATCTTACAAGAAATACTACAGGAAATCCTTCAGGCTGAAAGTAAATTACCCTAAACAGTAATTAGAATTCACAGGAACAAACATGAGCACCAGTAAAGGTAATTATACAATTATAACAGACACTGTAAATTCATTTTTCCCTTTCTTAACTGATTTTAAAAAGCAATTTTATAAAATGATATGTGCAAATATATTGTTGGGACTGTAATAAATAGAAATACAATAAATATGTAATGTATTTGCCAACAAGAGCATAAAGGAAGTGGGCGGGAGCAAAGCTGTAATGGATTAAAGAAACAATGACAGATGGTTAAGCAGTAAATATATCAAGGTATTGTTGTATTTGTAACATTAGTACATGTAATATGTATAACAATAGTACCACAAAAGGGGGGAAATGGAGTAGAGCTATATAGAAGCAGCACTTTATATATTATTGAAACTTAGCAAATATAAATCTGAAGCTATCTATGGTAAGCCCTAGAGAGACCACCAGGAAAAACAAACTCAAAATGGTGAAAAAAAAATTGATGAAATTATAATGCTACATTAGAAAATATTCACTCATTGCAAAGGAAAGCAGTAAAGGAGGACTAGAGGAGCAAAAAAGACATGTGACAAAGAAAGCAAGAAATAAAATGGCAGCTATAAAACCAATTATATCAATAATAACAGTAAATGATGATTAAACAATCCAATAAAAACCAGAGATTATCAAACGAGATAAAAAAGCATGATCCAACTATATATTACCTGTAAGAGAAACACATAATATTCAAAGATACAAATTGATTGAAGTAAAAGGATGGAAAAAGATATATCGTGCAAAAAGCAACCACAGGAAGCCTGAAGCAGCTATACTAATTGCAGATTATAACAAACATGTCTCTTGAGATAAAGAGAGGTAATAAAAGGGTCAATTCATCAGGAAGAGATAACAATTATAAAAATATATAAGCCTAATAAAGGAGCACTAAAATACATGAAACAATCTTTGACTTAAGTGAAGACACAATTTAACAATAGAAGATGGAAATGTCCAATATCTAGCAAAAAATATGAAGCTATGAAGAATTTCAGTAATAAATAGAAGAACCAGACAAATAAGCAACAAGGAAACAGAAGGCTTGTGCAATACTGTAGTCCAACTAGACCTAACAGGCATCTATAGAACACTCTACCCAACAGAAATAGAATGTATTATTCTTCTCAAGTACACATGGGCCATTTTCCAGAATAGGCCATATGTGAGGCCATAAAACAAACCTTAATAAATTTTAAAAAGAATAAAAAATACAAAATATTTCCTTCAGCTGTAATGGGATGAAATAAGAAATCAATTACAGGGAAAAAATTAGGAAAGAAACAAATATGTAAAAATTAAACAAGACGCTCTTAAATCATCAACAAGTCAAACAAAATCCAGACAGAAATCAGAAAATATGTTGAGATGAATGAAAATAAAGACATAGCATATCAAAACTAAGGGATGCAGATGAAACCGTGTTTAGAAGGAAGGTTATAGCTGTAAACACCTACATAAAAAATAAAGAAAGATCTCAAATGAATAACCTGACTTCTACCTTAAGACACTGGAAAAAGAAGAGCAAAGTAAAGCTAAAGCAATCAAAAGTAAGGAATGAATAAAGATTAGAATTCAATTTAATAAAATTAAGTTCAACTTAAGAAAATAGGACAATAAGAGAAAATTAATTATGCCAAAACTTGGTTTTTGAAAAGAGCAAAAAAACAGAGAAACTTTTAGCTAGTTTAATAAAAAAAAATAGAGAAGACTCAAATTACTAGAATCAGAAATGAAAGAGGGGACATTATTATCAACCTCACAAAAGCAAAAAGGAGTATAAAGGAATACCATAAATAATTTGTATTCCAACAAGTTACATAACTTAGATGAAATGGTCAAATTCCTAGAAAGACACAAACTACCAAAACTGATTCAAGTAGAAATAGACAATCTGATTAGCCCATAACAAGTGAAAACGTTGTATTAACAAAACAAATCAAAACAAAACAAACCGACAATCCACAAAGAAAATCCCAGACTGCGATGTCTTCATAATTTAATTTTACTACAAATTCAAAGAAGAGCACTTCCCAACTCATTTTATGAGGCCTGTTATACTGAGTATAATACTGATTTTGTTTCAGTATTATCCTGGTACCAAATCATACGAAGATATCATTAGAGAAAAAACGAACTATAGACCAATATATCTTATTAATATGGACACAAAATTCTCAACAGAATGGTAGTAAACAAAATCTAGCAACATATAAAACTAATTATACATCATGACCAAGTGGAATTTATCTTGGAGATACAAGGTTAGTTTAACATCTGAAACTCAATGAAATATATATATTTTTTATATATATATATATATATATATATATATATATATATATATATTCCATTCATATAAAAGCCCAGAATCTATGGAGACAGAGTATATTAGTGGTTGCTTGGGTGTTTGTGGCTGGTAGAGAAAGAAACAGGGATATGGAGTGGGGGAAAGGGTGAGAACTGAAGGATTTGCAGTTTCTTTTCTCTTCTTGACAAAAATATTCTAAAATTAACTATGGTGATAGTTGCACGTATCTTTGAATACACTAAAAATCATTGATTTATAAACCTTCAATGGATGAATTGCACAGTATGTGAATTACATCTCAATAAAGCTATCTGAGAATTAAACAATCATTTCCCCCCGATCTGCGTATTGTCCTGTCTTCCTCATGACATTCTGTTAACCACACAAGGCACTAAGTACCCTGGAAGTTATTCTAAACTGCTCTCTTTACCTTTTCCCCAGCATCCAATTCTTCATCCTATCTAGTCTGCTTCCTAAAAATCTCCCTGACCTACCCCATTCTCTCCGTCCCTCTAGCATTCCCTTACTTTATGGTCTTATAAATAAGATTTCCCTTGATAGGCCTTCCTGTGCTAAAAGTTGAGTATGAAGGGAATGGTATTGAAATTGATGGTGTGTGTGGAGGCAGGATTAATTGAGGGATACGTTTATTTGCAATCCAGTAAAGCTATTTATTTATTCATTTATGCTGTTTTATTTGAAGAGTTTTAGATAATGACAATGATATTGGCAGGGGTCTACTCCCATCTCTACACCACTTCTTAATATCGCTCACTGTTTTTCTACATTTGTGTGATATTCTTTGTTAGACTGATACATTTTAAGCTGAATAGGGAAGCTATGGATATCATCTAGCCCAATTTTGTACTTTTGATCGTGTACTGGGTTCATTTTATTTCCTTCCTCTCATTACTCAGTTCCAAGCAACCAAAAATGTCTATTTTACTTTAATAGTGAAAGAATTAGCAAAATATTTATCTTCCTATATACATATATGCATAATTATTTGGCATGACAATTTATAATAATTACTTGAGGAAATTACAAAGCAAGAAAGGAGAAATCTTGGGAATAAAGTAATTTGGGGAATTTGACTTATAATTAATTTTCTGTAAAGGGGAATATTGTGAGAGTAAAGGATTTTACTAATATAGGATAATATTACCTATGAAAAAGGAGATGGTCAGAACTAACAACAATGATTAATACATTAATCATTAAAAGAAAATTATTTTACAATGAGTATTATTGTGGTCAACTTGTCTGGAAGATGAAATGTACAATGTTTAGTAGGTTGGAAAAGATTATTTGGCAAAACAGATGGCAGCTTTGGAAAGCTTCTATTCATTTAGGTGGTTTTAAGGAGAATACCTAGATTGGATTCACTACATCTGAAAAACAAGGATTCTCAACTTTGCAAATATAGAGACTGGATTTTTTTTTAATATCCAAAGATGATTTGACACTAGAAAAACAGCTCATTGTAAACCAACAGGAATGTTCCTACCCCCAGGTATGTGTACTCTCACAATAAGTAAGCTGTATGGGCAGCCAGCGTAAAATCAGTTTTGCCTGGTCAGTACAGAAACAGAACATAGGGATTTAGGTCATCTTAAGTCTCTCAGAGCTGAGGCAACCTAAAGTACTCACTTTAGGTTCCCCACTCCAGGGAGAGCCTGTCAAGAGCACAGTGCTTGGCTTCACCAACCAAGACTTTCCCTGAAGAGAGAATGTCTTTTGCTTCTTCTCTTCAAGACTTCATCTTCCCTGCATGGCAATATATAGTGTATATTCATATACAAAACAGCACACAACCAAATTGATGTTGCTTCTGTCTGGAAATAACAACTGATTGTGATTAATCTAGTATCAACTGTTTCCTGTGTCTGATTAGACTGCAGTTTGCTTTGGTTATGACATCCAACATGGGTCCAGTACTGAGAGACATGAGTACTGTTCATTTCCTCAGCCACTAAGATGTCAGACCTTTATATATGTGTTTTATTAGCTAAACTTTTAGAGAACACATTTTTCTCTGTTTTGAAGGTATTTCACCTCAGGGTCATCGATATTCTTTTACCATTTTTTTCTCTTTATACAAGAAAATAAACTTCACTATATATTCCAATATATAAAGAATATAACTTGACCTGCACTCACATGAAAATGTTGACACATTATTTACTTTCCGTAAAACAAATAAAACTAATTTGCACATTTAAATAACTACAGTTACATATTTACAAGTAAGACTTACACTTAAATACATAGTGCTTAATTAATAGCCACCTCCATTAAAAAATAAAAACTTTGTTAAAGGCCTAACCCAGCTTCTAATATCTGTATATGATTTTTAATCATTTATTTGTCCTTACCTATAATAGAACGTTCTCAGTCTAAGGAAGCTATCTCACCAATTGTCAGAAAGGATCAATCAGGTACACTCAGAATGAACAATTCACGCAATGAAGGGCAATTGGCCAACTGCTGCATGCCTGAGATGGGTGACTATTCCAGGAGAAATTACTCTAGCCCCTGCCCCCTCAAATTTTTTTCCAGACTAATATTGCAGGAGACAAGAAAGCTAACAAAACAAATCAATGTTTTGTCAAGATGTTACTGAATGTAACAAAAGATAGCAAATGACAGGATTGAAAGCATAAAATACATGCAATTCAGTTAGAATTGATTTATCTTCAAAACAAAACCAGAGGCTAAAAGATGTGTCTTTTCTATATCTATATAGATGTGCTATATGCTATGTGCGGTGTGCTATGGCCTTCTGGCATCTAGGCAGTCTGTACCTTGGGTTCCTGGGAAAAAGGCAGAGTACAAACTGCGTATGTGTGTGTGTGTGTGTGTGTGTGTGTGTGTGTGTGTGTGTGAGACAGGACTTTGGACCTAGATTCCTATGTGGCACTCCTGGTCCTGGCATGGGTCTTGCGACCTCCTGTTGCCCGTCTAGTCTAATACCCAAGTAAGGTTTTTCCAAACTTTATGTCCCAAGCAGCACAATTTACCCAAGAAAGTATAAATCATAATATTCAGTGCTCAAATTTGGAAAACAGTATTAAACAAAGGTAAGGAGGCTTCCTTAAAACTTTTCAAATGCATTTAGTTGCTATTGTATGTTGGGAATATTCACAGCTGAGATATTATATTTTCTGTTTACCTGAATTCTTTCTTTTAGCTCTGTAATTCCCATTAATACCCAAGTAAAATATCCAGTGGAACGTTTTGACCTAGAGTAAACTCTGAGCTCTTAGGGCCCTTTACCCAAGTCTCATCCACTGTCTTAGCACTTGAAGTTGTGCCGGTCAGGAGGAGAGAAGCATAGCACAACCAAATGAAGTTGTCCACCCTGAGGCCTTCCATGTCTACCAGTATGAGGTAGTCCCAAACCTATTTTACTGAATGATATGTGCTGGGAAACCCTCCATAAATGGAGCTGAGATCATAATCCCCAAATGAGGAAATCCAGACATAAAAGGGCATTTCAATAGAGACAAGGGTTCTTAAGTATTGCTTCTCATACTGAATCTCTACCCAGAAGCACTGTGGTGGTTGGCTTACCCCATACCAGCCCTCCTCCTCAGGCACTTCTACCTAGGGGGAATAGGTCTGGTGACATAGGGAGTGTTTAGCCTTCCCTGTTGGTCATAAGACTGTCACTACAAATGTACTCATTCACGGATACTGAATTGCAGCTGTCTGTTCGCTATTATTCTGACCACAGCGAAAGATAAACTTTGATGCAGCCATAAAAAATGATGAGTTCATGTCCTTTGTAGGGACATGGATGAAATTGGAAATCATCATTCTCAGTAAACTATCGCAAGAACAAAAAAGCAAACACCGCATATTCTCACTCATAGGTGGGAATTGAACAATGAGAACACATGGACACAGGAAGGGGAACATCACACTCTGGGGACTGTTGTGGGGTGGGGGGAGGGGGGAGGAATAGCATTGGGAGATATACCTAATGCTAAATGACGAGTTAGTGGGTGCAGCGCACCAGCATGGCACATGTATTCATATGTAACTAACCTGCACATTGTGCACATGTACCCTAAAACTTAAAGTATAATAATAATAAATAAAAAAAGAAAGATAAACTTTGCAATATACAGAGAGCTTTTAATGATATTTTATTTAATTAATATTTTATTTTAAAAAAGGACCAGTAGAGGAACCCTGAAATGAGTATGTTCTAGCTGAAATATTGAAGAATATCCCATAAGGCATCAGGAATCAGCTAATGCTTCACTTACAAAGAGTGCCTCCTGGCATGCAATGCTCAAACTTTCTACAGATTGGCAGAAAAAATAATTATTGTGATTCCACTGTGCAAGATGCGTGGGAAGGAAGGGGTCCTGGTACATAGGACTTCATTTTCAATAAAGTCTCCTAAAGAGATAAAAGAGCAACAACTGAACACTCAATTTTATTCTTTGTTCAGCTTGCTGGATCACAAGCAATGCTTCTTTCTGGAGTATTTTTTCTTAGAAAATAATAAGACATAATGTAAAGTAGGCTGGAAGAGTAGGGATTACACTCATTTCAGAATCAAACAAATCAGGGATTGAATAATCATCTCTTCTGCGTTCTAGCTACATACCTTGGGCAAATTCATTAACTTTTCTTAGCCTCACTTAGCCCACCCCATACATGAAGATAATGATGCCTAATGTGAATGATTAACATGTGCCTATCATCTTGAAATGTTTCTGGATCATAATAGGTATTCTATACATTAGGTCTCTACTAGGCTAAAGTGAGAACAAAGCAAATAAGAAAATACTAAAAGCAGAATAGCATGAACAAGAATGATCAGTCTTGTGTCTATGATTGTTGTTACTCCACAGATAAATTTTACCTAATTTGATCATAGGTCATATCATAATCATCTTTGACAAAATACAGCATTTTACGGTGTGAAATGAGCGATATATCTGGCAGTCAGATCTAGCATTGATAAGGGATAAAACTAATCATTCCATTGGTGGATAGGAAGATGTCTTAGTTTGCCTGACTTTAGGAAGTTTTTGAAAGACAATAGATTCATTATCTGAGAAGCAAAGTTTGGTGTATTTTAGGTTTTACTTTAGAGCCAGTATTTGAAAAAAAAAAAAAAGTTCTATACTATTTGCCAAATATAAGAAACTGATGAGATGATAAAATTGCAAATAATGATTGAAATGTTAGAATCAAATGCCCAGTAGCTAGTTTAAATGACAATGACAGTTGTTTTTTAAACATTTCCACTTACAATTTTAGGATTGAAGAGGCCTTGAAGGTTGTTTTAACCTAGACTGCACTTTTAGTGTGGCCCTGAGGTCATTATCCTGACACATTTGATGCTCAATTTTTATGAAGCATAATAATGAATACCAGCATATTAAAGGTGAAATAAAACCAGACTGCTTGAAAGCAGATGTATTCTCCTGGGGATACTTCAAGAGAATTGGAATGTGGGTTGGGGTACCCTATATCAAATAAGTATTTGCTAGAAAACACATTAGCCAGGAGATATAATGTAAGTGCCAGGGTACTCCACTGCAGGGGTCCCCAACTCTCAAGGCTGGACCAGTACCAGTCAATAGCCTGTTAGGAATCAGGCCACACATCAGGAGGTGAGTGGCGGGCAGCAAGCATTAGTGCCTGAGCTCCACCTCCTGTCAGATGAGCAGCAGCATTAGATTCTCATAGGAGCACAAACCCTAGTGTAAACTGTGCATGTGAGGGATCTAGGCTGTGCACTCCTTATGAGAATCTAACTAATGCCTGATGATCTGAGGTGGAATAGTTTCATCCCAAAACCATCCCCCTACCCCAGCTCCGTGGAAAAATTGTCTTCCACAATTCCTGGTGCCAAAAAGGTTGGGGGCTGCTTCTCCAGCACATCAGTCAATGTTTGATTGGAAAGCCAGAATCACCATAAGTATCAATGGAATAAGAAAATTAACAGAGGGATGAAGGCTTACACAAATGTAGAAGTCACTAGGGAAGTGGATGTTTGGCAGGCTGCAGCTGGAGGATTGGGAAACAGTCCCTGATGACTTTAGCCTGAAGCACTGGAGTGGGCAGAGAAGCTGGAGCTCACCCAGGAGTCTGAGCAGCTGCTGCTCCCTGTCACCATGATCCAAAACCAGGAACCCACAGAGTTGTCCATGGAAAGCTTCTCCACCACACCTTCTGGGAATAGGGTTGCCTCTTCACTTTGGCCCTCTAGTCGCAGTTCCTCTCTTTAGCAGCCTCTAAGCCAGAACCATAGAGGGAATGGGATTTTGGGAAATGTAGTTCTCAGTCTTGGAAGGGCATAGTGCTGCTGGTGCTGAGTTGGTAAGAAACAACCCAGCTCACCTGGTTACGGTATATGCTCAGATGTGCTGACTCTCTCTGGAGAGCAGTAAGAGTGTCACAGAATGTTTGGAAAGATGGATGTCCCATAGTATTTCTTTTAGGATTCTTCCTGTGAGAACTCAGTGGATAAAAGTAGAAGCAAAATAACTTGGTCAAATAACAAAATCAAGACAAAAGAGAAATCAAGAATGTATGGAGTAACATTTGTGTGGCAGGCATTAAGTTATTTATGGATATTATTTCATTTACTTTCACAACATAGATTCTCTTTCTTTCACTTTATGGACAATGCAACTTTATTTTAAAGGTGAAATAAAGATCTCCTGAATCATTAAACCAGTAGATGATAAAGTCAATGGAAACTAAGTTTGGGTTTAAACACACAGCTACTGCTACCACTTCATATCACATCCCATCAAGGGGCTAGAAAGATTGATATTGCTTTTAGTAAGACACAAGTATTTTCGCTACTAATTCAAGTCTATATTGGCATTTATTTAACTTTTAATGTGTATTTCGTGGCCTACCTGCATCAGAATGACTGTCAGAATCAGCCTATTTTTTTTTTTGAGATGGGGTCTCACTCTGTTGCCAGGCTGGAGTGCAGTGGTGCCATCTTGGCTCACTGCAAACTCCACCTCCCAGGTTCAAGCGATTCTCCTGCTTCAGCCTCCTGTTCCTGGGACTACAGGCACACACCACCACATCCAGCTAATTTTTGTATTTTAAGTAGAGACGGTGTTTCACCATGTTGGCCAGGATGGTCTCAATCTCTTGACCTCGTGATCTGCCCACCTCGGCCTTCCAAAGTGCTGTAATTACAGGTGTGAGCCACTGAGCTGGCTGAATATCAGCATTTTAAACTAGCTCTCTGGGTGATTAATGTTTAGCTTTCAGTTTAAGGATTGCTGATTTAGACATTTTCTCAATCATCAGGGTGAACGTAGAATTTTGGTTAGGGGAAGGAGCCAATTTTACTGCAACGAATATATAAGGATATACTAAAATACAGAATTATATAAATTTTCTGCAAAATACAGAATTAGAGGTAGTTCAAATTTTTGCCTTCTTTGTCAATATCAATTGCTTTACGATTGCCTCCTCGAATTAAATAACATGTTGTGATTATTTCCAAATAAACAGGAATCTCAAATAAAAAAGTATTAATGTTTCCTTTTTTCTAGGAAAAAGCAGTAGTCATAAAAGGCTATAATATTTTCAAATGTATATTAAAGTTGTCTGTGGTTCTTTTTGTCCCCAGCTAATTGTTATCCCTTTTGAAAGCAGCTGCATTGTTAAAGTCAATTAACAATGCACTTGAATCCATTTTGGCTTCCTACACAATGACCTAGTACACTCAGCACTCCGGTGACCCTGGCAGACACAACAGTACTTTGAAGTACTTGCAGTCGTTACTCAGAAACTTTTAATACCACCTGTGCCACTGGTCCTAGTTTCCAAGTAGAATATAATAACCTTAATTGGAGAGACATCTCTTTTTGACTGAGACCTTTGCTAGATTGAAGCTGATGTTTGAAATGAATTCAGCTACATAAGGAAAATTATATTTAAGAGAAAAAACATGAAATTTCAAGTGCGTCACCTAGAGGATTTAAGCAGGTAACAGATTTCTCATTATTCTGTTCTCTGTAGAGCTAAATGTTTGTGCTTCTGATTTTCTCGTCTGATAGCCAATATATTAAAACAACAACAGTTCTTAGGCCCAGAATGCCTTCACAAACTGAAAGCACAAAATATTTAGATTTGATAGCCTAAAGAGCATATCAGTTAATTTAAGATAATTATTATAATTGAGAAACATAATGGACATGACTTTTTTCAAGGCTTCTTCAAAAATTATAAATTAAAGGAAGTTATTATAGATATGTCAAATTGGAAAAATGTGGTCTATCAGACAGTTAACTTTCTTCTTCCCAGAAATTCCACCCCTGACTCCGCCACTCTCAGTTGCTTGATTTCTGACTGCAAGATGGGTTTCTACCACCTGGAAATCATGAACAACCAGAACTTTGTTCCAGAACTGCCTTCCCAGTAAAGCCTTCTTATTGGTGATTTTCTGTGTGCTCATTGACACCATGTTCCCTCAATTCCTATAGGATAGGTCTTTTTAATAATTTAATATGGATTTCAGATTATAGATCTGTGGCCTTTTTATCTTCTGGTTTTCTGGGACCCTTCTCATCTGACTTTTAATATCTTTGATTTTTCTTGATGCTCCTATTCATGCCCCAGACACCTGACACTTTGTTCTTCCCTGGAGGTCCTGGTGGTTTCTCTAACCCACTCAATCATCTTTCATTGCAGTGAGAAATATTAGGAAACCAGTCTTTCCCCAGACCTCAATTTTTCTCACGTGTAATGTAGGAGTTTTCATACCTTTCTCCTAACTTAGCTTTGAGAATTAAATGAAATGACACATGAAAGGCACCCAGTGTCTATATCTGTACAGCACCTGTCGCTTGGCAGGTCCTCAAGAACTGAAGCTAATTCTTCCCCATTTTGTTATTCTCATAATGCTTTGATGCACAAAAAAATTTTGTAATTTTTCTGTTTCATGCAATAGTTCATCTACTGTTTCTAAATAAATGCAGCATCCAATAAATTTTTTAAATCTCCGGGGTAAGAATTATATGCTCTAGTTCATTTGAAAGCCCCATTGCCTAGCACCAGGCTGGGCGTGATAGTATGTGTACAATAAATAATTACTGAAATGAATTAAAGTGAATGGGGAGCTGGAAGGGTTTGGATGGCAGTTGCCAGGCTGCCTGTTACACGTTATTCCTGACAGAATGTATCCCATGAATTAATGATTCAGAACACCAGGTGGCCAGCCACAAGCTTCCTAAAAAGGGAAACAAGCAGGAGGAGAGGAGGATTTAGCACGAAAGCCTAAGTTTTACCACAGTGAATTCAAAAACTTTCTTTATCACTTCAAAACTAGGCAGCTGGTGTCACAGCTTCATTCCAACTGTTTGTGATGGTGGCTGTGATGTTCTGGGGCACAAGGCAGGATGTTCCTGAGCCCCATCTCACTCCCACCCTGATTCCAGGTTCTACTGATCTCAATGATTCATTTGCACTTACGTTAACGTTAATAGGTACAATACTTGTAAAACTACATCTCTAGTGTTTTTTAAAGTCAAAGTTAATGAAAAACTGTGAATGATTTTTAAACTCCCTGGGCTTCAAACTTCGCAGGAACACACTAAGTTTGAAGGAAATTGTTACTGGTACCAGGACTCTCCTTTATTTTATAACTGTAGCCTTTGGAGTTCTGAGAGTCCAAGGGGTGGAGAGAACTTTGAAAATTTTTATTGAACTCATGCCTGCCCTGACAGTGAGAATTAAGCCTTGGATCTCTCAATTCAAATACAAAGAATACTTTTTTTTTCTTTTAACTAATGCCTATTTAAGCATTCACAAGTGCACATACACATACATACATAAAACACTTTCCTCATTAAAATATTGAATAATATTCTTGCATATAAGTATCCCTTTTCATAGCCACAGCAAACCATGGCCCAAGAAGATGAGCTTAAAGGGCCTAAAAATGCAACCTCCATCCAGAATTTGACTTTGGAGGTCTTACTTTAGCTTTTGGAGAGGTCTGGGTATCTTATGGTGTATAGCATCTGTCTATAAACATGAACATTTTCAGACAGACGGCACACTACAGCTGAGCTTCTGTCTTCTTTTATTTCTAGCAGAAGTAGACCACACAAATATACAGATTACAGAAATCTACACAATAACTTGACAAATGGAGAAGAAAAATGCTCTAAGACAAGAGATTATCACTAGCTGGTCTTATTAATTAAGAAATTATAGGATGGAGTACAATGGAGAAAAATTCACTGACTTATATTTGAACTCAGACACCTCAAACCTAAGTGAAGGAACAAACAGAGCTCCCTAATTCTAATTAAATCACTTTATTCAGTGGGAATTACTTCTGCAGCTATGTCAGAACTCCTGCAAATTGCTTCATATAACTCTATTCTGTACTGATACTGTAGTGGTGTATCTTGAGGAATGTTCTTATTGAATGTAAGGGAGTAAGGGACTTTGATCCAACACCCTGGTACTTGTATTTCCTAAGCAGTACTGTTACTGCCAGTATGTTTGAAATATTGATATGTAATTTTCAAAAATGAAGACACCAGATAGCAGCATCATACAATCAGTACAAATTTTGGACAAAGACCAACTGTTGGTAAGGATGCAATTGGAACTCTCCAACATTGACAGTAGGAATACAAAATGATACCGCCACATAGGAAATAGTTTGGTATTTTTTTACAGTGAAATATACACTTACCACACAAGAAGAAACTATAATCCCATGTATTTACTCAGGATAAATAAAAACATTCTGTATGTTGATACAAAGGCTTATAGTTCAGTGACCATAGCGACATTATTCATAATAGTAAAAAAGAAAACTGGAAGCAACTCAAATGCCCATTAACTGAAGGATCAATTTAAAAATCGTGGTATATCCATTCAGTGAAATACTACCGATCAATATAAAGACAAACTGCTGATATGTGCAAGTTAGATAAATCTAAAGAGCATTAAGCAAGGGAATAAAGCTAAACACATATGACTGTATTCTGTATGATTTCATTTCTATGAAATTCTAGAAAAGGCACAGGTTTGTAGTGACAGAAGCAGATTACTGACTTCTAGCAGGCAGGACAAAGGAAAGAGATTGACTTTAAGGAGGCACAAGAAAACCTTTCAAGATGATGAATATGTTTTACAGTCATGACTGTAAGTGGTGTGTATATATATATTTTTGTATATAGATATTTGTGAAATATAGTATATATATTTACTATATACACAGTATGTATCTACTATATATACAGTATATATTACTACATATAATATGTATTTACTATATATACATATAATATATACTTTATATATACTGTATATATTTGTGAAAACAATCAAATTTGACACTTGAAATGGGCACATTTTGTTTTTTTGTAAATTATACCTCAATAAAGCTGATTTAAAAAAATATGAAGTAGTTATTTGTAAGAAAATGCATGGATTTCAAAAGTTTGATTACTGTAAGTCTCTAAGAAATACTTCATCTTATTAGGTGATGAGGGAGGATTTCCTCAAATTCTATGTCTCAATTCAGTTTGTTCCAAGTTGCATGGAACTACTGGTGGACAATATATGGGGATAAATATTTATATAATCCTGAGGAGGTGTAAAATAAACATAGAGATAAAGAAAAAGCATACCAAATCCATGTTATTAATACTTTTCAGCTTCTGAGAAAAATTGAAATAATTATTGTGATTTTTTTGTTGTTACTTAAGATATTTGAAATGTTTGAGAATACATCACATTAGAGAATCTGTGAACTATCAAATAAAATTTGATTGTTATTAGACTTGTGATTTATTTTAAAATGAATAAAATAATTAATGTTATTAGATTTTTAAATTTTGATTCAGATTTTAATTTTTAAAAATACAAACTAATTCTAAAATATAACCTAGGTCTTTGGGTACAAAGTCTTCTAAATTTATGGACTAAAAATATTCTCATAATTTGGCAATAGGCACTAATAAGAGTATCAATATCAGTCTGCAAGAGTAGGGTTCAAGATATATATATGTGTGTATATATATGCACATATATGCGTATATATATGCATATATATGCATATATATATGCGTATATATGTGTATATGTATGCGTATATATGCGTATATATACGCATATATATATGTGTGTATATATATATGCGTATATATATATATATATTCAACTTATTTCTATACCAAGTTCTAATTGTAATGAAGTGGTGAAATTCCCCTCCATCTCTTCTCCTTCCCCTTTGCCAAGAATCATTTGTCTCCCTAAGGCTTCAGGCTTTTAACAAAAAAAGCTAGCATTCCTTTTTTTTCTTTGTTTTCAGATACAAACACATTATTTCTTTGGGTGCCATAGCCAAGTAGCTTGAATGAAGTGTGAAGCAGGCAAGGAAGGAAGGCAAATAAGTGGATTTTAAGTAGAAGGATAAATCTATACATCGAAAATATTATCCTGCTACAGTATGAAACCATAAAATTTTGTATGTTCATTTATTTAGCCATTCCACTTCTAGAAAACACTTTTCAAGAATTACTCACTAGTGAGAACCATGTCTTAGCTGAAGACTGTCCATTACAGATTACACTCAATGACAAAAGCTGTTAGCAATCTAAATATCCAATGAAAGACAATTAGTTAAATAACTATGAGACAATTGCCCAATGGAACATTATTCAATCATGAAAATAATGTAAAAGAATATTAAAGAACATGGAAAGCTTCAAGATATACATTTAAGTTGGAAAAATCAAGTTATGTATGATTCTCTACTGCAAAAAACATATAAATATTGAGCAAAGCTCTGAAATATAGCTATTTCTGGCGATGTATCTCCAGTTTAGATCTCCTTCCTAAACCCCAGATCTGTTTTCAGTTTCCTGATAGACATTTCTGCTATGAAATCTCACAGCACCTCAAAATCAACATGTCCAAAACTGAGCATATCTTATATCCCTCCAAACCTGTTCCTTTTGTAGAGTTCTCTCTCTCAGTTAATGGTATTCAAACCAGACATCTGGGCGTCCTTGAATCTTCAATCTGCCGCCCACATTCATGTTCAGCAAATTTATTCAGCACCTGCTGTATGCCAGAAACTAGTCAGACCCTGGGTATTCCATATGGAAAAAAATAAACATGGTACCTGAATTCATGAAGCTTATTGTCTAGCAAGGAAAGCAGACACTAATTATATCATTGCAAATAAATAAAATAGTCACGTTTTGATTCTTTTATGAAGGAATAAAATCAGTACTCTGAGAGAGTGAGGACGGAGACATTTTAAATAGGGTGGTCAGGAAAGTCCTCTCTGAGAAGATGACATGAAGCTGAGAGCTGAAGTTTCCAGCCATGTGAAAGGCAGCGTGGCATGGAGGAGAGAATTATTGATAAAAGAAAGAGAAACAAGAAGCCTCCAGAAGGAATTGTAGAATTAAATTTATTTTACCTTCTAAAAATTTATTGAATATGTCTTTTTCTCTCTATCATTGCAGGCTTGACTCTTTTCTAGATCAAAATTATCTCTTGCCTCAATTATTCAAACATCCATAAAATGGCATTTCTGCTTCTGGATTTGTCTCCATCCCATCCACCCATCACATTGTAGCCAAACTGATTCTTTTGAGGCAAATTGGATCATGTCACCCCAGTGCTTAACACCCTATAAAAGCACACCATCACTCCTGGAACTAAGCCCCAACTCTCCTCTGTGGTTTATAAGGCTCTGCAAGATCTCACACCAGAATACTCACTCAAACTGTTTCCATTAACTGCCCTCCATTCTATACTTCAGACATACTGAACTTCTTTTATTTCTTCACACAGACTATTCTCTTACACCTTAGAGCCTTGCCAAAGCTGTACCCTCTACCTGAAGCACTTCCCCACTTCACTGTTTTATCTGATTAAATCTTTTACGTCCTTCAGGCCTCAGCTAAGATATTATTTCATTGAGATAGGCTTCCTTGAGTACCCAAGTTTGATGCCCTGGTTTTACAGCACACTCTCTTCCCTTCTCTTCCATTATCCTGTATTATAATCGCCCATTTACAGTCTGGTTCTTCAGACTGTAAATTTCACAATTTAGGGCCTTTTCTTTACTTTTTCCTGCTTTATCTTGCAAACCTAGCCAAGGTCTTGAAATACAGTAAGTGCAAAGGGATTACCTTTGCACTCTGGCAAAGGTGGGTCGATCGCTTAAGTCCTGGATTTCAAGACCAGCCTGGGCAAAATGGCAAGACCCTGTCTCTAAAACAATACAAAAAAATCATTTGGGTGTGGTGGCATGCACCTATAGTTCTAACTACTCTGGAGGCCATGATGGGAGAATCACTTGTGCCCCGGAGGTTGAGGCTGCAGTGAGCCGTGATTACACCACTGCAGTCCAGCCTGGGTGACCAACACTCTGTCTCAAAATAGAAGAGTATGGATGGCTTTGTTTCTTTTCAAAATTCTTCGTATTCTAAATATTTTAAAGATTATTTAAGTAGTACTATTCTACTGAAGAAAGAACACAGGCTTCAGATGGCTCATCAAGTACTGATATGGACATAAGTAAGACTTCCCTGATTATCCCAGGATATTAGGCTGAGCTGAATCTAGGAACAGTCTCAAAATTCAAGGTCCTGAGAGTGAGCAGGATCTGGTACAGTGGTGCAACATCACCTGTTTCAGAGCTGAAATAAATAAGGCTGAAATGGGAGAGCCCAAGGGAGAAGAAGCCTGTAGGGAGAGACCTAATGCAAAGCCAGGGCAGCCCATCCAATAGGTCCTCCTTCCGCAGGGACTGGGAAATAGACTGTACCCTATAGCCAGGCAACTGGACAAATTTTCAGATATCCATAGAAAGGAATGAGACATGAAGGGGTAAGTGGGAGAACAAACCTGGAAAACATTCCTGAAGCAGGAAAAAGATCACATCAATTCCGTTTTTGTGGGGAATTTACATCCTCAGCATCGGTGGAGAGGAAACATTTAATGCTACTGACAGCAGAATAATTTTATGGTTCAAAGACCATGGGAATGGGTGTCATGAGACCAGTATTTAGGCTACTAGCTTTTTGTGTGATCCCCAAGAGAGAAACCTACCTCTGTGCCTTGCTTTCCTCCTTTGTAAAATTAATGGATTACACTAGCTGATCTCTTAGGTTTTTTTTTTTTTTTTCAATTAAAACATTCTGTGTTCTGTCATTCTGGGCTGAATGCCCAAGGCATTCAACAAAATACATTTGTTTTAAAGAGATAGAGGAGGGAAGTAATTCACCTGTACTTATTTATGAAGCACAAAGTGAATTTTCTGACTTTCAGATAACACCTTGACACATGCTTGATAGTTGCTGAGTAAACTTGCTTTATATGTGATGAAACATACTAAATTTAAATTGACTCTAGTTTAACCTAAAAGCCATGGGAATCTGACACATTTCCACCCATAGAAAATATTAGAAGGATTTCATTTACTGCTAATGCTTGGTGCTAGAAACACTTGAAAGTCAAACACAAGTCATTTATTTTATGACTCATTTCTAACAACTTGAGAAAAAATACATTTAGTAACTCTGCGTCAGTGCTATGAAAAGAGGCAAAATAATGCTTCTCTAAAACTTAGAGAAAGCCACCTCTAAAGGAATATTTTGGGCATATTCTGCACTGGCTCTTTACTCCCAAAGGCTACTTGTCCCTGAAACAATCCCATTATGAGGTATCTCCCTCTGGTTGCAGGCAGAGGAAAGAAATTAGGTTTTTTGTTCCAAGTTAAGACCATCTTGCTGCAAGCCTTGTTCTGATCTTAGAGACCTAGAGACACCTGCTCCAACACCTGTGTAGTAGTCTGTTCTCACATTGCTTTAAAGAACTCCCCAAGACTGGGTAAAAGAAAAGAGGTTTAATTGACTCACAGTTTCACGTGGCTGGAGAGGACTTGGAAACTTATGATCATGGCAGAAGGCACCTGTTCACAGGGCAGCTGAAGAGAGAATGAGAGCCGAGTGAAGGGGAAAGCACCTTATAAAACCATTAGATCTCATGAGAACTCACTATCATGAGAACAACATGGGGGAAACTGCCCCCATGATTCAATTATCTCCATCTGGGTCTGCCCTTGACAGGTGGGGAGTATTGCAATTCAAGGTGAGATTTGGGTGGGAACACAGAGCCAAACCATATCAATCTGGCATTCTAAAATATGCTCCAGTCTTGGTTTACAATATTCAAGGCTGGAATTTCCCTGACTCATATCCCTTCCCTAGATATGTTTTCCTGATTGGAATTTTCAGGATCCTTAGGGTCGCAAGGAAAAATTACACACAAATTACCTTTAGTAGGTTTATGTTAGGAATTCTCCCCATAGGGTAGCATGTACAGGAATGTTACATTGCACTCAGACCATGCAAGACTGAGATGTACAACAGCCATAATGAGTACCAGAACAATGGCTAAGCATTGTTTGGAAAGACAACTGCTCTTTCTTCTCCTCATCCTACTTTATCTATTAACTTTACCCTAATGAGAAGAAACAATGTGATTGGCCAAGTTGTTACCATTTAACTGGAGTCTCAGGGACACCTGACCTATCTTACCTTCAGACATTATAAACATTCTTTCAGATCATGTACCAAAACCTGGTGAAAATAGCTAGGGACCGAGTAGCAAGATTGATTTCATCTGACCCAGAAGACACTATCATATCATGTGAATCAGAAGAGAATTTAGGACCTCTTATAGAGAATAGGGCAATATAAATGAGCAGGTACTTTGAAGCTTTATAAACTTTCTCAGTGATAAGATTGCAGATAAATAGGAAGTACAGTTACTAAACAAAAAGGTACCATGAAACCACTAATGATCTCTGCATGTCCATCCACCTGATATAAGAGCCACTTCTCCCCTCCTCAGGGGATTTGAAAATCTTGTATGCTGACTCCATTCTTATATATTTAGAGACTCTCTGAAATATTAGGTCAATTATATCTGTTCTGCAAAGAGATTTCACTAAGGAGAAGAAATTGTGAAATTATGCCCATATGTTTTAGGGTGTGATTTAGTCTACAGAAAATTATAAAAAATTGACATAATCCCATTAAAATCTAAACTATAAGCAAAAAATATACATTTCACTTTTTGCCACTGAAGTATGGAAGCCTTTTAACCAGAAGCATATCCAAGGCTTTCTAAATTCACTCTCTGAAAAATGAAATACCAGCTCCACAAAGTTGAGCCAGGCCTCCTGCTCAAACCAGCCATTACAATGATAAATCCATTATGTGGGTTGAGGTTGAAGTGTTGGAGAAATCGTGAGAGCTTTTTAAGTAATCTGTATATAATCTTCTATTTATATTCTTTGTGATTCTTGATTACTTTTTGGTCTCGTATTAAGTTTCCTATTTACACTTTTTTTTTTGCTTTTTTTTGGTCTTATTTTCTACTTTCTTTTGGATTTGCCAAGTTTTGATTTTTTCTTCTCTTTGCCTTAAATTCATTTGGGATATTATCCATGTTATTTCTACTATTTTGTGATAATCCTTACATTTCTAACATACAGACTTCACTTAAATATTGTCTTAGTCCATTTTGTGTTGCTATAATAAAATTTCTGAGAATGAGTAATTTATAAAGAACAGAAATTTATTTCTCACAGTTCTGGAGGCTGGGAAGTCCGAGATTAAGGTGCCAGCAGGTTTTGTCTGGTAAGGGCCTTTTGCTACAGTTTTCTCAATATGGCAGAAGGAAGAAGGACAAGCTAGCCAAAGACTGCTGCCTAAAGCCTCTTTTAAAATGGCCTTAATCCCATTAATGGAGGAGGAGCTCTCATGGCCTAATCACCTCTTAAAGGCCTCACCTCTTAATACTATCACATTGACAACACCTGAATTTTGAAGGGGAGTAATTCAAATCATAACCACTGTCAATATATCTTAATTTTGTCTATAGTTCTGCATTCATCCTTTATAAAAAAGGATCTTAAATTCCACAAATATGACCACCCTTCTCTGTCTTAAAAATATTACTATTGTCTTTAGTTGTACTTTACTTTGTTTTTAAATCCCTGTTAAAGCAAACTAAACATGGCCAGAGAAGGACTCTGTACTTCTATATTTGAGTCCTTGTGGATGAACTGTAACCTAGCTTAATAGTCAAACAAAACCGAAAACCTAACTTTGTAGTAAGTAGCACCTGTAACAATAGCTGAGTGTTGGCCAGTCTCAGCGGCTATACTTCAACCACTTATAGACTGCTGAATGTTCAAACTGCGTTCAAATAAGGCAAATACCGAGCTGTAACCAATCTCACTGTTTCTGTACCTCACTTCCAATTCCTGTATGTCACTTTACCTTTTTTGTCTATAAATTTGTTCTGACCGTGAGGCACCGTTGGGGTCTCTGTGAATCTGCTGTGATTCTGGTGGCTGCCTGTTCATTGCTCAAGTAAACTCCTTTAAATTTAATTCAGCTGAAGTTTTTCTTTTATCATCCATAATACTATGTTTACATTGTTCAGATCTGTTAATATCTTTCTCAGTTTCTTTACTTATCATTGCTTCTTACATTCAGCCCCTTTCTTCTAGCTTAATTCCTTCTTGCTGAAATATACATTCTTTAGTTCTTTCAGTAAGTATATGCAAGTATAAAAACTCTCATAGTATGTTAGAAATGACCTTTAGTTTACATTCACTTTTGAATCATAGTTCCCATAGAATTCAACATTGATCAGTATTTTGATTCAGTAGTTTAAAAATATTCTATTTTCTTCACACATCTACTTTGCTGACAAGAAGTCTGTTGTGAGGTCTTATTATCATTCTTTAAAGACTGTTTTCCTCTAGTTCCTTTGATTATACTGTTTTTGTGTACACTATATGAAGCTTTATTTCTATACCTAGGGAGACAGGAGGAGTGTCTGAATAAAATATAATGTTTGGGATTAATTTTCTTTTCCTTTTTTTTTTGAGGCAGAGTTTCACTCTTGTTGCCGAGGCTGAAGTGCAATGGCATGATCTCGGCTCACTGCAGCCTCCGCCTCCTGGGTTCAAGCAATTCTCCTGCCTCAGACTCCCTAGTAGCTGGGATTACAGGCACCTGCCACCATGCCTAGTTAATTTTTTATATTTTTAGTAGAGATGGGGTTTCACTATGTTGGCCAGGCTGGTCTCGAACTCCTGACTTCAGGCGATCCACCCGCCTCAGCCTCCCAAAGTGCCGGGATTACAGGTGTGAGCCACCGCGCCTGGCCAATTTTCTTTTATTCACAAGGAAATCCATCAATGTTTTTCTTTATGATTTCACTAGGTCTGCATTTGGCCTCTTCCATTCAATGCTTTGTAGTGGGTAGGGTCTATACCACAGCTAGGGTAATCATTTAAAATGTAAATCCAATTATTTCACATTTCTGCTTAAAATGCTGGAGATTTTCTTGTATTCCTAGAATAAAGACCCTAACCCAAGCTAAATGCCGTATATGATCTCTCTAGAATAATCTTGGGCCTTTTTTCCCCTTTGCTTTTTGACATACAGCCACATAGGCCTCCTCTTAGTTCTTTCCCACTTTTGCCCAGTTAATCCCTAGTCACACTTGAGATTTTATTTCAATGTTACACCTAAAATGAAGTCTCCTTTGATCCCTTAGAATACATTGGATCTCTTGGCCCAGTGCGGTGGCTCAGGCCTGTAATCCCAGCACTTTGGGAGGCCGAGGCTGGTGGATCATGTGAGATCAGGAGTTCAAGACCAGCCTGGCCAACATGGCAAAACCCTGTCTCTACTAAAAATACAAAAATTAGCTGGGCGTGGTGGCGGTTGCCTGAAATCCCAGCTACTCTGGAGGCTGAGGCAGGAGAATTGCTTGAACATGGGAGGTGGAGGTTGCAGTGAGCCGAGATCGCACCATTGCACTCCAGCCTGGGCAACAGGAGCGAGACTCCATCTCAAAAAAATGAATAAATAAATAAAATAATAATAATACATTGGATCTGTCTAAGATATGCTCTCACAACTGCCTGCATTTTGTTTCAAAAAGTGATAGAACTATATAAATATATGACTAGGTGATTGTCTATCTTGTTTCTTTGAGGGCAGAAATCACTTCCTGTTTCACCCAACCTTGTAATCTGAGCACCCAGCATAATTCTTGGCAGTTAGTGGTTATTTTAAAAGGCTAAATCTAAAGCAATACTTTTTAAAACTGCCAGTACATTCTTCTTTATTTCTCTTACACACATAGAAAATATCTATTGCCTATTAACATAAGAAAATTGTTTGCTAAAACTTAGAAGTCTTGATACATTATTTCCACCGGCCTTTAAGCCCTGCTACATTTTCAAATTGCATTACATGGAACTATGCTTTTATGTAGTTAATCACCACTTGTCAACCTAAAAAAGGTGAAGGTCAACACCATGATATTTTGCCTTGAAAAATGCTTCCCAAAGGAGATCACTGATGCCTTTTTCTTTATAAATATAATTCCTTGGTGTTTGACTTTATTTTTGTCAATAATTCATGCAATTAAAAATTAATTACACACATATAAGTAAATATGATTTTCAAAAAAAATCTACTGTGGGCCGGGCGCGGTGGCTCACGCCTGTAATCCCAGCACTTTGGGAGGCCGAGGCGGGTGGATCATGAGGTCAGGAGATCGAGACCATCCTGGCTAACAAGGTGAAACCCCGCCTCTACTAAAAATACAAAAAATTAGCCGGGCGCGGTGGCGGGCGCCTGTAGTCCCAGCTACTCGGGAGGCTGAGGCAGGAGAATGGCGTGAACCCGGGAAGCGGAGCTTGCAGTGAGCCGAGATTGCGCCACTGCAGTCCGCAGTCCGGCCTGGGCGACAGAGCGAGACTCCGTCTCAAAAAAAAAAAAAAAAATCTACTGTGGTTATCATGGTCTCAGCTAAGCAGGAAGCTGCCATCTGGAGAAATGATTTTCACATTCTGATGACTGAAGTGGCCTCAAATCACTAAGTGTGACATGCTTCCTTCACTTATTTTCTAATTAAATGCAATTTGCTTTGAAAGAGTTTTAACTAAAAATATAATTCTACTGATATAATCCAAGTAAAATATAGCCTGACAAATGGAGAAAGAATGGAAAGTAATTCTAATATCACCCTTTCAAAATAAAGTGTGACCATCCAAAGATGTGGCAAATTATTATCCCTTGTTTTAAACACTGTTTTTTCCCTTAGGTTCTACTCCTGTGGAAATTATAATTTGAAATCCCTAGTTCACTTATTTTAAAAAGTAAATAAAAATGGCAATCTGCATTTTTCCACTGACCAAATTTAAATGATTTCCTTCCTAAGGCTGAACACATGAAAAATAAAATCATTTTATTTATATGTTTTTAAAATGAGCATTACTAGTGGCATGGCCGAAAAATTGGAATAGCACTTGTCACTTCAGCACAGCAAATATTCCACAGCAATTACAATTGGGTGACTAGGTCAAGTTTGTCCATCCTAACAATTTCAGGGGACATACAAAATAATTTGTATATATGTATATAAATATATATGTGTGTGTGTGAGGAATACCATATATATTATATGGCATGTGTATGTGTGTATCTATGTATATGTGTGTACATTACATTATTACATATTATGTATACATATTATGTGTGTACATTACATTATTGAATGTAATGTGTGTGTTTGTGCATGTATTTATATACAATTTGTGACATCTGCCACAAAATACCTTTTTCTTTATTACATAGCATGTTTGTCTCTGTCAGTTAGGATTTGCATTCAGTTGCTATGTCAGAGACTGGAAATAACAGTGGCATATACATAACAAAAGTTTATTTTTCTCTCTAGTAGTAGAAATCAAGAGTCAGGTGTTCTGAGGCTGACATGGCAGCTCCAAAGTCACCAGGGCCCCATATTCCTTCTATCTTTCTGTGCTGGCAATCTTAGTGTTATGGACTAAATATCTGTGTCCCCCACAAACTTGTATATTGACCCCCCAACCCCCAAAGTGATGGTATTTGGAGATGGCACCTTTGGGAGGCAATTAGAGTTAGATGAGGTTAGAGGGTAAGGACCTCATGATGGACTTAGTGCCCCATAAGAAAAGACAATAGAGAGCTTGCATTCTTTCTCCACATGCAGGAACCCAGCAAAGGCTGTAGAGAGGACCTAAAGAGAGGGCAGCCATCTACAAGCTAGGAAGGGGGCCTTCACCAGGAAACTGAATTGGCTGGTACCTTAATCTTGAACTTCCTGGTCTCCTGTACTGTGAGAAATAAATTCCTGTTGTTTATGCCACTCAGTCTACAGTATTTTGTTTTGGCAGCCCAAGCTGACTAATCCATGTGGTATGTGTTTCCACTGTCACCTTCCCTCATTGACCTAGATTTCTGCTTGAGCTCCAGCTTAGAAGTAGGGTAGTAGAAGAGGACAACGTGACCTTCCTGGAAGCCCCACTCAATGAGGTTTGAATTCATTTAAATTTCAGGTATGCAAGAAGGCTGGGAAATTTAGTTTATCATCAAGGCATTCTCCCTAGGGTTATATAAGGAAGAAAAACATGACTATTGGGCAGGCAGCTGAAAGTATCTGCAACAATGTGTATTTGTCTCTTCTCTAGAATCGATGAGGGTATGTGTTTACATGCCAGCTGAATTAGTCTTTTGAACAAATTTGATTCCAATCTTGAACTCTAGAAGATAAGTTTCTAGGAAACCTTGATCCAGGCCAATTAATTTGTTTTTCTGAACCATAGTAACATCTATTTTACTCATTAAATGTGGTCTCTGTGTCTAAATACATTCTTTTTGGTTAATTAAGTCATATTTAAAATGTACTAGGAAAACTCAAAAATCAGATAAATCTCATGAGAGAATCTTTTGAAAAATACAATTGATACGCTAAATTTCCTTTAAATTTTTTTCCATTTTTTTCTTTGTTTTAGTAAAAGTAAAAAATATTGGTTCAGGTACAGCAAACCAACAGGTTATATCAACTAAATTGTTAATGATACTTAATTTATGGAGTAAAAATGAGGATTTTGAATGCATGTATACATATTCTGGCTGATGCCAGAAACTTTGCAAATAATTATTTCCTATCCTCCCCATACCCCAGTAAATAATACAAAATAAAATAGGAAAATATTAATGTAATATTAAAACACAGATTTGATATTTAGAACTTGCCAACCTGGAAAAAGAAAACTTTCTACATCTTCATCATAATAAAAACATGTTCACATTTCTCTCTTTCCGTTCACCAATGACTATATCTGTAGATAACCAAAGAGAGTAATGACAGACCATTAGCACCAATAAGATAATTCATTTAGATAACTCAATAAGATATAAAATACTACATAAAATATGGAATGTAAGATAAAAATAAAATGTTGAGGTCTGTTCGTCCTGATAGAAAGTAAGATAATTGCTCTGATCAGCTCTGTCTTATGTGTGTCCCATATTTGTTCTTTGAGAAATGCCCATTTCTTGCCCCAGAACAGTCTGTAAATGCTGTGTGGCCCCAAAGTCATCACCTCTCTTTTACACATTGTCAAAGCAGCCAGGCAGCCCTGGCCATTAGATTTTCTTAGTGTGACTCAGACCCCTGTCCACTGCATTACATGAGACACATACTGAGCTTCAAAAAACCCCCTTTTTTCAGTTTCAGAGAACAAGATCCTTCAGCACTCTTTCTTCAGAATCAATATGTAGATTTCTCTAAAGAAACCTTCTCATTCTAACTCTTAATATTTTTATACCATTGTTGAGTAAAGGGATAAGAGTCACTTAACTTGGTGTTAGGTTTCTTGGTGTCTTGCTTACACATTTTGCATGTGGTCCAGCATCTCCTTTGAAATGTGGTACTTTTAGTCTCATGGTATCTCAGCAAAATTTTTATTTCAAACTAAATAAGTATTAGTTGTTATTATTGTCCAAGGAAAAAGGGCATCTGTGTTAGCACTGAAGGTAGTAGCTGAATAAAATTTTAGTTTTATATGTCGCATCTTTTTTATAGAATAATTCATATATTATGTTTAAAATGAGAAAATATTTTTTAAAAATAATCTTTTTCTACATGAATATGTTTTTCCAGTATTATTTATTAGGGCCTTCATTTTCTCAGAGTCTGCCATGTTACCTCTGCATATATCAAAATTCTATAGATGTCGGTCTGTTTCTAAACTCTATTTCATTTTTTGTCAATTTTCTTGTTTTTGTGCCAGTGTTGCACTGTCCTAGTTATTATTGCTTTATATAAACATGATGTCTAATAGAGAAAATCCCCCCACTATAGCCCCTTTCTGCAAGAAGTCCTTGACTTTTCTTGGATGTTTTGTCCTTCATAAATGTTTTAGAATCAGAGTCTCATAATAATAATCAGTGATTTGAAGACCATCCCTTATCCCCAACCCTCAACTCCAGGAGATAAAGAAGAAAACAGTTTTTGATAATCAAACATATGGGTCCGACTTGTTTCTCTCTCTTGAAGTGACTGTATCCCCCTTTATTCCCAGATAATTGATGGTGATGTTAGCCAATCACAAACTTTCTCATGGGAGACACTAAGCAGATTTCCCTCCAGTCTCTGGTAGACGTTAGTATAAAGGAGCATTGCATGTAAGAATGACTCATGACTTCATTCACAACAGAGGTAAAGGCCAGAGAAGTTCCCATGTTTGGTTTCATTACCCTTGTTACATTACATATGAATTACCATGTGGAAATAGAGTGTCCCATATCTTGCTATATATCAAACACTTTCAGTGACTGTCTAGCAAGCTCATATCTTCACAAATGAACAAAAAATTGTAACATAGCAAATGGCTTACAAAGCCCCTAATTTATTTTTAAAAGATCTGCCAATAGTTCCTGGCATACTCTGTCTGTTGCTTTTGTCATTTAAAATCATGGTCATATTTCCAGGTCAACACATAAAGAAAAAGATTCAATTTATATAATTATGTGATATTCACAACCAGGGATATGGCAATTAATAAAATAGAAAGGTCCTCTGAATGCAATTCTGAATACAATTTTAATTACCCTCTTCTTCGAGATGCATCACCAGAGCCTCCCTTACTCCTCCCTCCTCCCAGGTAAAATTGATTGCCACATTCTTTCTTTCTTTCTTTTTTTTTTTTTTTGTGAGACAGTCTTGCTCTGTCACGCAGGCTGGAATTGCAGTGGCCCCATCTTGGCTCACTGCAACCTCCGCCTCCTGGGTTGAAGCGATTCTCCTGCCTCAGCCTCCTGAGTAGCTGGGACTACAGGCATGCACCACCATGAGTGGGTTTCTCCATGTTGGTCAGGCTGGTCTCAAACTCCTGATATCAGGCAATCCTCCTACCTCGGCCTCCCAAAGTGCTGGGATTACAGATGTGAGTCACCATGCCTGTCCGCCACATTCTTTTTGACATTACTTTTTTTTTCTCCGAATTTAGCTCCATGCTGGCACATTTGTCTTTAACACAATTAGTTATTCCATGCTTTGATGCTCACTTCATGAATTACCTCTCTGAGACCTCCTCTCTTCTTTTTCTTCCACTGAGCCTTGAAGATTATTTTCTTCATTGTGCCATAATTTTTTCCAAGTCTTTTTCAGTAGCTAATTGTGTTCATAAGGTCCTCTCTTGAGGGTCCTTCCTCAGGAGAGCGTAAACCTCGTCATTCTTCTTTCTACTCTCAATTTCTCCCCTAATGCAAAGAACATCAGAATCCATAAATAAGGTTTAAATAAATTCTCTCAAGTTTTCACAAATCACCTCCAATAAGAGGACTTAAAAACCACATCTACAATATTTTAAAGTCGTATTTAGGTATTTCCATCTGGATGTCATTTTATCTCCAAAAATCCAATATCTTGAAAACTGAATTCATCATCTTTTCTCACCATTATCCTTCCCCCCTGACAACTCCCTCTATTGAATTTTTATAATATTTAACCATCATTGTTTTGAGTTAGTCCAACTCATTGACTCTGTTTTCTCTTACCTTATATCCTGTCAGTTATCAAGATCTGTTGATGATTTTTTGTCCTAATATTTTCTAAAACCATCCCTTTCTTTCTTCTCTGAAATGAAAAGCCAAATTGTAGTTATGCATGTTCTCAAGCCTGGCCTATTGCTATAGTTGCCTAACATGGTGACTTATAGACACTCGAAAGATGATTTTTAGTGGAGTGACCAGATGTCCACATTTGTACAGTAAATTATGTGGTCCCCATACTTTTGGAAATAATGGAAAGTTGTCACAAAGGTGTACATGAAGAGATCCATGGTCCTCATGTGTCAGCCGTGGCATCTGTCAAAAGCTGAAGAAACAGAGCCAGGTGGATTCCCTAGCGATGTTTTTGCCACCAAGCTGGTCTTAGAGGAAATTATATAAGTTCACTGAAAGGGACATTATTAGTAAATCTGGAGATTGTGGTAGTCCTTTTGACCTCATTTATTTACTTGTTTTGCCTTTTCAGGAGCCTCTCTCACCCTTTCCATGTCTGCAGAGTCTTCCCTCTTCTTACGTGCTCCCCTTAAGTTCTCACTATCCTGGGGTATGGTTCAAAGCTCAGGACTTCCCACGTTTCCACTGAGTTCCATCTTCTTAAGTTTGTGATCTTCGTATAAGACAATAGCTAGTCATATTCATTCATCCATCCATTCTATAAATACTTAATGAGCACCTAATATTACCAGGATTGTTTCAGGCACTGAAAATAAAAAGTAGACTTTGCAAAGATGAAACTAACTACTCTCCCTGACCCCCTCAAAACTTCAAATTCTTAGAAAGGCAGTATATCATAGTTAAGAGCATAATTGGAAGACAGATTGTCTGGGTTCAGATCTTAGCTGTACCCCTCTCAGTATGAGAAGTAGTGCAATTACTTAAACTCTCTGTGTTTCGTTGCATCATCTATAATAATAATAATAGTATTTACCTCACTCAAAAAGCATAGTGTAAGCATTGCACCAGAAAATATCTCAAACTCTTAAAATAATTCTGGTACTTATTAAGCACTCAATAAATATTGACTATTAAGAGTATGCCCTAAATACTCTGGGCATTTCAGGTCTAGAGATCTGAAGACCATGCTGAAAATATGGTAGTCACAGCAATGTGTGCTGTGACAGTTACAACTTTTTCTCTGCCTACGTATCAAGTAAGCTTGATGAACATTGATTGTTTGATTGATCAGTTAATGGCTTTGGGATTTTGAGAGGGTTTCAGTCATTAATTGATACAGAGGTTGAGCACAACTGACCTTTGGTGTCAGACAAAACTGGGTTCAAATCTTTCTTTGCTGCATATGTGCCATATGATCTTGCAAGAAATTGGGTTAATGATTCTCCTGATCATGTATCCATTTAAGTGATGTTTACTTACTCCCTGCTAGACACTATTTTAGTCCCTGGGAATACAGCAGCGAACCAAATAGATGTGATCTCGGCACTGTGTTGCCTACAGTTTAGTGAGGTAAGGGGAAGAAAATATGCAAACAAATAAGTGAAAGAAATAGTTTTAGCCATCTCCTATGGTAATTGTGAGGAGTTGTAAATTCTCCAGGAATGTAATTGCCAGGATAAAAGGAATTCACAGTTTAATGTAAGAACCAATCATACAAATAGTTATTTGTCATTCTATACGGAAAAAACAACAGAAGCATCACTATGGGGACAGAGAGAAAGTGTGATCTAGAAAGTGGAAGATTCTGGACCACAGGCAGGAGTTGTAGAATGGTGATTGGCTTCAGGCAGGAACTGCAGTAAGCTTCTTGAGACCAGTTTTGCTGTCAAAGACCATTCTTTCTTTCCTTTTGGCTTAACATTGCTGCCTGAATTGTTTTCCAAGTGAGTTTGTTTCACCATATTAGACCTCTCCTAAAATATTTCATTTTCGTAGCTCACTCTTTCTCAAATGCCCAAGGAAACATTTTTGTAGGTGCATGCTCTTTTCTTTTTCTTTCTGTGTTTCCTTTTCCTTTTTCTTTTCTTTTCATTTCTTTCTTTTGGAGACAGGGTCTTAATCACCCAGGCTGAAATGCAGTGGCACAATCATAGCTCACCGCAGCCTCAAACTCCTAGGCTCAAGCAATTCTCCCACTTCAGCATCCTGATAAGCTGGGACTACAGGTGTCTGCAACCATGCCAGGCTATTTTTTAAAAATCTCTCATAGAGACAGGGTCTCATTATGTTGCCCAGGCTGGTCTTGAACTTCTGGGTTCAAGTGGCCCTCCTGCCTTGGCCTCCCAAAGTGCTGAGATTACAGGCTAGATGTTCTTTTCAATCTTTCTGAAATGGTTATTGAATTTGAAAGCCCAAGCCAAAGGAGTTAAGAAGTGCTAATCTGCAACAAAATTCCCTTTTAGTTCTGTCCTCTCATCAGGATAAATCTTTTTGAGGGATGCTGCCTTTTCTTTACATCTTTGTATCTCTTGCATTTTCTGATATCAAGTTCACCTTTGGGAAATTCCACCTGGTGAGAAATTACAGCAATTCCCGACCTAACACTTACGGCAAGAGTCCAATCTCCTAGCAATTGACTGATCACTCTGACCTCTAAGCTGGACAGTGCAGAGCCACCTCAAAGAGCTCTTACAGGAACCCCTGGTGGATATAAACAAAATGAGATCATTGAAATGAGTGGAATGCAAACACCAAAACCCGCATCTGGACTTTAAAAACATGCACTATCAAGTTCTGTGCAAAGCCTCCAGGCCCACATAAAAATCTGAAATGATTTATAGGAAAGGCCTAGAAAATCTATGTGGACGAAAACCTGTGACATTAAGCCTCTTCTTTCTTCTTCAGGATGGGTTGAAGCATAAGAGTCTATTTCACGTAGAACTGTAACAATTTGTAATTTTGTAATTAACAAATGGTAAAACTAGCAAGATTTCTTCCAGATATAGATGCCAGGAGCCTTTCTCCCATTTTGACCCTCTCATGTTGATTTCAAGGCCTGCATGAATCTGTGGTTGGTTTTTCACCTTTTAACTCCACCCACAACATCAGATGTCAAATTGAACACTGTAGTCAAAGAGTGAGACAAAATTTAGATTGGAATATCTTCAGCTTGCTGAAAAGTTGGTAGTCTGTATGACTGCTTGCATTTTCCATCAACATTTCGTATTAACATTATGCAAAGTGCTGCTTTAAGGTTGCAATTATTGTAGACACATGGGCTGGAAAAGTGATGTCAACCAATTCCCATTTAGTTGAGTTTCTTGATTGTGTGCTCATGACACTGATGAGAAAAACAAGTAGATTGAAAGGAATACTTCTGTCTTCTGTCTTCCCTATCCCTGGGGGATTCTTACGATTGGCTAATGACTCTCAAATCTATGTCATCTGTATAACTGACAGCTCTCTCCCTTGAACTCCAGTCTACACCTGTAGCTGCCACCAGAGGTCCCTAAAACTCATCACATTCAGAACTGAAATCCATTATTTTTCTTACTAAACCCTGCCCACCCCCCTTCATGTCTTAGATTAATGCTATACTATTCAGACAGTTATACTAAGCTGAAATCTGTTATTGCTTTCCAGGAATTCTGGAATATGTAACAATGTCCATATTCCAGCATTCATGTAAATAGACAATTGTAGAGGAGTAAAAGTGCATACAGTAGAGAAGACCTAAATATCTAACTTTAAAAAGTCCTTTGATTTGAGTAGCATTGCCACAATTCTCTGCAGGGTTTTGATAGTTTACTAAAGGGTGTAAATAATTAAGTACAATTATCACCACAATTGAAAAATCAACCTCAAGCTTGTTGTCCACTCTTATGGGTTCAGAAATGCATTTTTTAAACAATTAAAAATGTTAGCAATTAAATCCAGATTTATTTGAATTTCACTGGCTTTCCCCTTAATAACCTCTTTCTGTTCCAGGAGCCAACCCAGGGACCACACTGCATTTAGTTGTCATGGCATGCTATGTCTTCTGTTCTATGACAGTTTCTCAGCCTTTTCTTATCTTTAATGACCTTGGTAGCTTCGAAAATACTGGTCAGGCACTTGTACACTGTCTCCCAATTTGGGTTTATCTACTATTTTTCTCATGCTTATACTGGGGCTTTTCATTTTTGGAGAGAATGTCATAAGGTGAAATTCCTTCCTCATTATATATTATCAGGGGATACATGATATCACTTGTTATGTAATATCACCTGGTGAGAGTGGTATTTGCCAGCTTTCTCCACTTGAAGTTTACTATTAATATTTTTCCCTTACCTTACTTTATCAGGCATGTACTTTCATGCTTAAAAGATTCAAGTTTTCTAACAATCTTTCATTTACTTACCTTTCTTTTTGTAATTCTCTAACACATAGCACTGTCTTTCAGATAAAAAGGAAAAAACAAACTTAATTTGAATTTCTTTCTGGACTCTAACATAATTCAAAGTAATCTTTGCAGCAAATATTTTTCAAATATAAAAATTTAACTCAACCTAGTGCTGACTGTTTCATATATAGCATTTACATCAATATCATGACTCATGGTTATAGTGCATTTGAGCTACTCTTGTCATTGATTGACTAGGTTTCCTAGAACTTATAAAAGCTCACTTATATGAATAGTCTTTATGACATTAATCAATCAAGAAAGCACTCAGAATAGCCCACTTTTTATAAGAAAAGCATATGTAATACGTTTATGTAAAGTTTTTTAAAGATCTAACAAAAAGATATATATCTGAAATATGAGTGATAAATTCAGATTTAATTCAGATGAAAATGTTAATTTAAAAGTATAATTTTATTTAAAATTATGTATAATCCCCAAAACTTCCTCTTGTCAGTGAAAAGATGCATACACAATAAAACATTTATATCCACCCCCTTCTCCCTAATGGTTGTCTGGCTCAAGGTTTGTCAGCCATGTTCAGCTGAGCTGTATCTGTGCACTTTCTGAACCTCTAAAGCTGAATAAAATATTTGCAGACACGGCTCAGACCTGATAGAAACAAGGTCAAATAACTGGAACATTAAATTTATCCTCATAATATTACACTTGTCACTGACCTAACATTTTGATAAGATCCTCAGGAAATATACGGTCATGTCTTCTTGTATCTGTAGAATATTTGTGTAATTGCTGCAACAACAGAATAAAGTTTGAAACCTAGACTACATGTGAAAAGTGTGGAAGATACACCAGCTTAAGACTAAGTGGTATTTACTGCTGGAATTTAAACATGTTGGTGACTGACTTCCAGGAACCAATTTCCTTTAAAGTTCTGTTAGACACTGGGGAGCAAGGCAGTGCTTTGATGTACATGAGACATTGTTGTATAAAAAAGAACAAGAACATCCTTCCAGCTTTTGTGGGTAATAAAGCATAGCTTCCATCAGATGTGTAGTTCAAGAACAGCGGGTCCACTGGCACAAAGAAGGTTTCAAGGCATTAGCTGTGGTTGAGGAAGCATTGATAATGCCCAGCCTTGGGAACGTCAGCTAGTGGCCAAGATTTTAGCAGTGATGTCCTATATATGCTGCTTTGGGATAAGTGGCTAAAAGAGGCCTCAGCAGTACATAGGAGTTGAAGAAGATGGGGGGAACCAAGTTCATCTGATGCTAAAACTAGTTTTTCTTAATTGCCATACTATAATGTTGGTTAGTTTGCTCAAAAGGGATCATACAAAACACTTGGCTCATTGTCAAGAAATTGAAAATTGATTACATCTTTCTAAAAGTACATGCTGACACCAGTAATAAAACTGGGAATAAAGGCTTAACGTATAGATATGAAGAACTTGATAATCACCCACTGGTAACTTCTATAATAATCTTCAATTTTTAAATAGATAAATGGCAATAAATGATATCTTGCATCTCACAGTATGCATTTATTTTATTGGACTTTTCCTGTGGCAGGACCATTAGTCTTCAAAAATGTTTAAAGTAGTACATAAAGTGACCACATGGTGTCAGGAGCGACATACTGTTCTTACTAAGGAACCAGCTTTTCAATCTGGGAAACACAACGATATTTTAAAAATGATTTGCCTTACTAATTTTCTCCAATTTTGATGCTTCAATTAATCAACATTTTAATACAATTTCCAACAATTTGGCTCAAGATGTTTATAATTAAAGCCGTTCTGATTTTATTAAGATGACCAATAAATTTCTGTTGCAATTTAATTTTAAAGTTGTGTTGATCTTTTATTGGAGTCTAGCTGTACTAAGTAACCACTCTAGAGATACCCGAGCGTATTTTCTCCTCTTCACTATTATAGGGCTAACCTATAAGGAGCAGGGTATAGTAGAAAGAGAACTAGTTTGGAGTTAAGCACCCTGCCTTAATAGTCCAGCTATTTTCTACATCTATAATCTTAATTATGTAACTCGAGTTTCTGTCTTCTCATTTGCAAAAATTTCTGACTACTGTCCTAGTATATAGGTATAGGGGGATTTGCTGTGATTGGAATTTATTTAGTGATTCATGTAACAGCTCATTAGTGATGGATTGAGCCAAGCTTGCCCTTTGATTTCTGACTAGGACAGTCTGCCCAGTTAAATTTGAATTTTGGATAGATCATGAGTTTTTGTTAACATAAGTATGTCCCAATTATTGCATGGGACATACTTATACTAAAAGATTCTTTGCTCTTTATCTGAAATTCAAATTTAATTGGATGTATTGTACCTGGCAACCATACTTAAACATTATATTAATTGTGTTTATATGTTAGTAAGAAATAACTATAGTGGGGTGTATCTGGCTCTTCCTAGAAGCTCCTCTAGCACCTAAGAAGAGGTATATTCATTCACATCAAACAAAGTTACAGGAGATTTTTCCGCCAACAGATTAAGTATCTGGGCAAAGCAAATATGAAATAATAAAAACCTCTTTTATGAGGTTTTACAACAACATTGAGGGAAAACATCATAAGACATAAATGAAAAATCTAGAGAATTTTTCTCTCTTGGCTTATGATCAATAAAGAGAATGTTAAAGCTACCAAAGAAGTATAGCAATAGAATTAATAGGATTGGCTGTTGCCACTAATGTAATGAAGGGTAGGGAAATAGAAGAAAAGTTTGGAATGGTTCTCAAATTTCTGATTTGGCTGGACAAATAGTACCAAGAACAAGAAGAGAAAGGGGCTGATTTTGAAGGAAATATTGAATTCCAGTTTTAAAATGTCAACGTTGAGAGACGTCCTTTGGTGAACATAAGCATATGGAGCCCCGATGAGAATCTACGTTAGAGATATAATTGGCAATTGAAGCTGTAGAAATGGGAATAATCATGGAGGTAGAATGATAGACAATGAATAGCAATGGGCCAGTGACAAAGACCGAGGGAACACATACATTTAAGGGGAAGAAAAAGGAAAAAGAGCACAAAAAGTAGATCAGAAAGAAATCATAGACAGAAAACTAAGAGAAATAGTGTCATGAAAGAAAGAGATAAGAGCTTTACAAAGGTGTTCAATGGTGCCAAATCCTGATGAGGTCAAAAAGATGTAACAAAAAAGAAGGTCATTGAATTTGACAAATGAGATGCCATTGAGGATGTGTGCCAAAGTATTTTTATTGAAGCAGTGGGAGCCAAAGCCAGATTGTGGGGAATTGGTGAGTCACAAAAGTAAAGAAGTAGAATAGTGAATGGAAGTCAATCTGTAAAGCAGGTTGGCTGTGGGTTGGAGGAGGCATGGCAGTACTTAAAAGAGACATAGGAATGAAGGAGGGCTTCCTGTTCTATTTTAAAGGGAACATGGAATTGTGGCCTTTTTTTCTTTAATGGTAGATATTTGATCAATCTTATGTGTTGATAAAGTCGAAGTTGAAAGTGCAGAAGAGAGGATAGACCACCAACAGTGGTCACAGTACTGAAAGTAAAAGAAGGGGTGGGGGACAAAAGCACAGAGTGGGGAGGTTTTAGTCTCAAGATAGAGGTTCCATGTTTCTTGAACTGTGACTAAAAAGAAGCAGATGAAAGTCAGCAAACAGTACAAGTGAAAGGGAGGTCGGAAGAGACAGGAAGAGAGAAGTAACTTGGAGAAACTAATCAGGTCGCCCTTTTCAGACTCAAACATAAATGAAGACATGTTATCAGGAAAAGATAGTCATGTTAGGAAATCTTTACTGAAATCTAAAGACAGGGTAGGTCAACCAGAAAGACTCAAGAGGGTGAGAGATACAGAAACAGGCCATGCCCATTCACAGGCCAAGGGAGAGAGTGCTCAGTTAAGTCTACCTGGCAGATATATCACTAGTGAAGTACAACACATGAGATACTAGAGTCTTTAAACATTCCAATATTTTTATGAATTTCCCTCATTCTTATTTTATTCTAAGAACCGTTTTTGAATACCATTTTCCTGGTATAGATGTTTATTCCATCTTCAATTAACTTTCTCTTTTCGAATGAGTCAATAGGCATTCTGATTTTAGTAGTTTAGTCATTTATAAATTAGTGTGAGTCAAGTTTCTTATGCTAAATTAACAACAACAGCGTGAGCGGATCTGAATTTTTGACATGCATATCTGACAGCTAGATGCTTGATTATGGTGAATACATTCATCTTGTGAGGCTTCCTAACAATCGGTGCAGCTCTGCTGGAGACATTCTAATCCAGGTGCATAACTTTCCTTCTTCCAATTCTGTTTGGAATATGGCTTTTAACTCATATATATATGAATCATATATAACTCTTCCTCTGTGTGGTGTGGCCAGTCTTGCATCAATTAAACTCTTTCTTTACTGTAATGCTATGGTCTGAGTAAAATGATTTTGTCTGCGCAGCAGGTAGGAAGAACCCGATGAGTGATTACGTTAGTGTTAGCTCCACACTTCCCATTATCACAGTGTTATAATATAGTAGAGGGTATATATATCCACATAGATATGTATATTTAGTATATATAGTATAATATATAGTATATACTATATAGAGTATATAATATATAGTATATATAATATATACTATATGTATATAATATATAGTGTATAATATATATATAGTAGAGGATAATGGTTAAGTGCATAAGCTTTGAAACCAGACAAACTGAATTAGAATCCAAGCTCTTCTACTTAAGCTGTATAATCTCAAGCAAGTTAATGCACTTCGTGCCTCAATCTCCTTATCTTAAAAATGGATATAATGCCGATACTATCTATTAATCTTTTGTTTTTGAAATAAATTAATTAATGTGTGTAAAGCTCTTAGTACAATTTATGGCACATGGCATATACTTAGATAGTGTTAACTACTAGTGAAACAGCCCTTGCAAAATTATGATAATAAGAGAAGTCTGACATAGTTGACTCCATCTTGCTTTTAACCTCCAAGCTATCCTTGATCATTCCCACCATACGCCAAACTAACTTTGGGAGAAATTTACTTTGTAGGCTAGACTTAAAGCAAGAATGATAATAGCCCTTCCCAAAACTAAACAACCTTTATAAAATTTATGAAATTCCATAGGTTCGAATTTTGAGAGGGGCCTGGTTTCTGCTAAGATGTAAGTATAGTTCAACAATTATCAGCCTTTGTTCTGGAGGTCATGAGATTTGTAACTTCCTCATTAGCCCTGTAGATAACATCACTATTGTAGAACTTAAGATTAGCCCTTTGAGATTTCTTTTCAGACTTTTGCACTTCTGACCACCACTGACTCCATCTGGACTCTTGACTCATGAATCAACCAGTCCTGTGGTCCCCACCCCCCACCCAGAGGTGGACTCAGTACACAAGGACCATGTTCCACTCTCCTGTGACGGCTTCTCCAACCAATCAGCAGCACCTATTTCCTAGTCCCCTGCTCACCAAACTGTCCTTGAAAACCCCTAACCTCCAAGTTTTTAGGGCAACTGATTTTAGTAATAACTCTCTTCCGTATGGCATGGCCAGTCTTGCATCAATTAAACTCTTTCTTTACTGCAATGCTGTGGTCTCAGTAAAATGATTTTGTCTGTGGGGCAGGTAGGAAGAACCTGATGGATGATTACATTAGTGTTAGTTCCACACTTCCCATTATCACAGCCATGATAAACTGTGTCCTAAATTATATGTATTATCTTTTTTCCATTTTTTAACAAATATTTATTGAGTAGCTTTTTTTGGTGCTTAACCTCATAGTGCTGGATATAAGGGAAACAATGGTGAATAACACAGAAAAAGGCCCTTGCCCCAACACATTTACTACCTGATAGGATAGAAGGTTGTAAGTAAATAATCAAACACAATAATATATGGTGCCTGTGCCTTAATGCCATAACAAGCAGCCCACTCAAATAAGAAAACCACATTTTATGAGTTCCATCCTCTCCCTCATCATCTGTACCCAAATCACTCAATTGTTTTAATTGTGAATGTAGATGAATGTGACTTAGCATTTTGTTTAGATTTGAATCTCTGAGGTATTTTTTATTAACCTGTAGTGTCATCAGGCAGCCAGGATCTTTTCATGTTTTTATCTGCAATCTGCAATGTGTAGACTTTTACCCTTATCCCTATTGCTTCATGGTCACAAGATGGATGCTGCATCTCCAGGTCACATGTCTAGAGTCTGGGAAAAAAGAAAGAAAGAGAAAGGGATGAAAGTTTAAGTGGGCTTTGTTCTTGTGAACAAGAAAGGAAAGTCTTCCACAGCAACTCTATCTGTATTTCTTTGGCCAGTATACTACCACATGATTGCCTGCAGTTAGAAGGAGGCTGAAATATTAACCACGTAACTAACAGTCATGCTGCTGTCTTAAATAAAAAGGGATTCTATTAGGAAGACAGAAGTTTGTGAAAATGTCATGAGGTGACTAGCAATTAATTAGAAAAATTAAAATTGCCTTTTATGTTAATTTTTTGGTAAACACTGAATCTTTAAAAGTAATTAACATCGTTGTGTTAAAACTGAAATTTCCACAAAAAACAAAAATTAGGGAAATGGGATATTTAACTAAAAAGTTTACATTATAACTAAATTAGTTAAAACCTTATAATGCTGTAATTTTCTGAATTCTTATCTTTTTATATAAAGTTTTAAAGTTTTGTTTTTTCGAGTTTCTATTGGAGACCATGTAAATCTCATACCAGTACTTTAACAAATTGGTCTTTATAAAATCCACACAATATTCTGACCACCAAGCTAATGGGACAGACTTGAGTGACTACACATTACAAAATTAGTTTTTAAAGCCACTAAACAGATAACTACAACCCACAACAAGAACCAACAGCAAGCTCCGGGGAAGGGAAATAATCTGTATTTCAGAAGTACTAGATATAATAATCAGAATGCCAGTTTTTAACAAAGAATTATAAGGCATGCAAGAAGAAATGGTAGCATGGCAAACTCAAAGGGAAAAAAATTAATTGACAGGAATCCCAGACATCGGAATTACTAGACAAATAGTTACATCAAGTGTCTTAACTATGCTTAAATAGCTAAAGGATAACATAGACAAAGAAAGAAAATTGAGAGAATGATGCATGAGCAAAAGTACAATAACTGAAAATCAAAAAGTCACTGGAGGGGTTCTATAGCAAATTTGAGCAGGCAGAAGAAAGAATAACAAAACATAAATATAGGTCAGTTGAAATTATGCAGTTTGAGGAACAGAAAAAAGAATGAAGAAAATGAACAGAGCCTAAGAAATCATGGAACAACATTAAACATAACAACATATGCATAGAGAAAGTCACAGAGGCAAAGAGGGAGAAAGAGGCATGTTATAGTTTGGATATTTGTTCCCTGAAACTCCACGTTAAAATTTGGTACCCAATTTTGAAGGCGAGGCTTAATTGGAAGTGCTTGGGTCATGGGGGCAGTTTCCTCATTAATGACTTAGTGCAGTCTTCATGCTCATGAGTAAGTTTTCACTCTATCAGTTCCTGTGAGAGCTGATTGTTAAAAAATAGCCTGGTACCTCCTCTGTCTCTCTCTTGCTTCCTTTCTGACACAGTCTGGATACTTGTCCCCACCCAGTTCTCATACTGAAATGTAATTCACAATGTTGGAGGTGGGCCCTTGTGGGAGGTGATTAGATCATGGGGGTGGTTTATAATGGTTTAGCACCATTCCCTGAGTGGGGTCTCATGATAGAGTTATCACGAGATCTGTTTGTTTGAAGATGTGTGGTACCTCCTCCTCACTCTGTCTCCCTCCTGCTCTGCCATGTGAGGATGGTGCTTGCTTCCCCTTCACTTTCTGCCATGATTGTGTTTCCTGAGTCCTCCCAGAATGACTCCTGTACAGCTTGTGTGGCTGTGAGTCAATTAAACCGCTTTTATTCATAAATTACCCAGTCTCAGGTAGTTGTTTATAGCAGTGTGAGAACAGACTAATTCAAATGGTTTGTCACCATTCCCTTGGTGGTGTCCTTATGATAGTGAGTGAATTCTTGCAAAAAATGGTTGTTTAAAAGTGTATGGCACCTCCCCTCTCTCACTCTCTCTCTCTTGCTCCCATTCTCACCATGTGAGATGCCTGCTCCCCCTTCATGTTCTGCCATGAATGTAAGCTTCCTGGGGCCTCCTGAGAAGCTGAGCAAATGCCAGTACTATACTTCCTGTAAAGCTTGCAGAACAATAAGCCAATTAAATCTCTTTCCTTTGTAAATTATCCAGTCTCAAGTATTTCTTTATAGCAATGTAGAAATGGCCTAATACACTTTCTCACCATGTCATCTCTACACACACCATCTCCACTCCACTTTCCACTATGAGTGGAAGCAGTGTGAGGCCCTCACCAGAAGCAGATGCTGGTAACATGCTTCTTGTACAGCCTGGAGAATTGTGAGCCAAATAAACCTCTTTTCTTCATAAATTACCCTACCTCGGGTATTCTTTTATAGCAAATGGACTAAGATGGGGACAGAAAATATATTTGAAGAAACCAATGGCTAAAAATACCAACATTTAATGAAAGACATGAATCTACATATTCAAGAAGCTCAACAAATTCCAAATAGGATAAACTCAAAGATAACCAAACTTAGTCCATTTAGGCTGCTAACACAATTTACCATAAACTGGATGGTTTATATACAAGAGATACTTATTTGCAGTTCTAGAGATGGGGGAGTTCAACCAAGATTGTCTGATAAGGGCTTGCTCTCTGGTTCATAGATGGTGCCTTCTTGTTGCATCCTCACAAGGTAGAAAAGGACAAATAAAGTCCTTTTGTCCTATTTTATAAGAGCACTAATCCCATTCATGAGGGCTCCACTTTCATATCCTAAGCACCTCCCAAAAGTCCCACCATTTAATACCATCACACTGAGGATCAGGTTTTAACACATAAATTTTGGGGGCAAACAATTAGACCATAGCACACACCAACATACATTATAATTAAACTGTCCAAAGCCAAAAGCAGATAAAATCTTGAAAGCAGAAAGAGAGAATGACTTTTCATGCACAAGGGATCCTCAATAAGATAAATACTAATTTCTCTTCAGAAACCATGGAGATCAAAAGATGATAAGATGACATATTTAAAATGTCAAAAGAAAAATAAAACTGCCAATGAAGAAATCTATATCCAGAAAAACTGTCCCTCAAAATTGAAGGAGAAATAAAGACATTTCCAGGTGAAAAAAAGCTGAGAGATTTCACTGTTAGTAGAACTGCCCTACAATAAATTATAAAGGTTTTGCGTTCTATATACTAACAACAAACTATCTGAAAATAAAATTAATAAAACAATTCTATTTATAAGAGCACCAAACAGAATAAAATATTTAGGAATAAACTTAACCAAGGAGGTGAAAGACTTGTACACTGAAAACTACAATATCTTGATACAAAAATTTTAAAAGACACAAATAAATGCAAAGATATCCTGTGTTCATAGATTAAAAGACTAATATTGTTAAAATGTCTATACTACCTAAAGTGATCTATAGATTCAATGCAATTTTCATAAATATCCCAAATGGCATTTTTTTTTACAGACACAGAAAAAATAATTCTAAAATTCACCTGGGAAAACAAAAGACCCAGAATAGCCAAAGCAATTTTCATAAAATGAAACAAAGCTGGAGGCATCATACTTCCTGGAGTCAAAATATATTACAAAGCATTAACCTCACATGGTAGCATGTGCTTGTAGTCCTAGCTATTTAGGAGGCTCAGGTGGGAGGATTGCTTGAGCCCAGGAGTTTGAGAGATATGATTGCACCACTGCACTTCAGCCTTGGTAACAGAGTAAGACCCCGTCTTAATTTATATATATAACAAATTTATATAATAAATTATATATAACAAAGCTATATAATTTATATTTTATATTATAAATATATAGTATAATATATAATATAAATTATATAATATATATTATATATTATATTTCATATATTATATATAAATCATATATAACAAAGTTATGGTAACTGAAACAGTATAGTGCTGGCATAAAAACAGACATATATACCAATGGAACAAAATAGAGAGCCTAGAAATAAAATCATATCTATACAGTCAACTGATCTGACATAGCCACCAAGAATACACAATGGAGAAAAGATAGTCTCTTCAACAAATGGTTTTGGGAAAATAAATATGTATATGCAGATAAATGAATTTGGACCCCTATCTTATACCATATACAAAATCAGCTCAGAATGAATTAAAGACTTAAATATAAGACCAGAAACTATAAAATTACTAGGGGAAACAAGGAAAAAACTCCATGACATTCGTCTAGGCAACAATTTCATGGATATGAACCCCAAGAGCACAGACAAGAAAAGCAAAAATAGGCAAGTGAGCAGCATCAAACTAAAAAGTGGGACTAGATTCTACACAGCAATGGAAACAGTCAAGAGTGAAAAGACAACCTATGGAATGGGAGAAAATATTTGCAAACCATATATCTGATAAGGAGTTAATATACCAAAATATATATGAAGCTCCTATAACTTAATAGCAAAAACCAAAACAAGCATACCTTGTTTTATTGTGCTTTGCTTTATTTTTATTTTATTTTTTCAGACAGAGACTTGCTCTGTCGCCCAGGCTGGAGTGCAGTGGCACGACCTCGGCTCACTGCAACCTCTGCTGCCCAGGTTCAAGTGATTCTCCTGCCTCAGCCTCCCGAGTAGCAGGGATTACAGGTGTGTGCCACCACGCCTGGCTAATTTTTGTGTTTTTAGTAGAGATGGGGTTTCAGCATCTTGGCCAGGCTGGGCTTGAACTTCTGACCTTGTGATCCACCCGTCTCGGCCTCCCAAAGTGCTGGGATTACAGGCGTGAGCCACCATGCCCGACCTATTGTGCTTTGCTTTATTGTACTTTGAGATATTGCATTTTTTACAATTTGAAAGTTTGTGGCAACATTTTCCCAAGTTTAGTCTTGGTAATGCCATTTTTCCAACAGCATGTGCTCACTTTGTGTCTCTGTCTCACAATAATTCAAACTTTTTCATTATTATGATATCTGTTATTGTGATCTGTAATCATGGATCTTTGATATTACTATTGCCATTGTTTTGGGGTGCTGAGAACCATGTGCATATAAGATGGCAAACTTAATTGATAAACATTGTGTATATTCTAATTGCTTCGCTGGCCATTCTTCCATTTCTTTTTCCCTCCTCAGGCGTCTCTATTCCCTGAGATACAATAATATTGAAATTTAAGCCAATTAATACCAAAGCAATGGCCTCTAAGTGTTGAAGTGAAAGGGAGAATTGCATGTCTCTCACTTTAAATCAAAAGCAAGTAATGAGTGAGCTTAGTGATGAAGGCATGTCACAAGCTGAGATAGGTTGAAAGCTAGGCCTCTTGCACCAAACAGCCAGGTTATGAATGCAAAAGAAAAGTTCTTGAACAAAATTAAAGGTGCTATTCCAGTGAACACGTGGATGACAAGAAAGCAAAACAATCTTGTTGTTGATATGGATAAAGTTTTGGTGTTCTCAATAGAAGATGAAACCAACCATAACATTATCTTAAGCCAAAGACTAATTCAGAGCAAGACCTTACCTCTCTTCAGTTCTATAAAGCCTGAGAGAGGTAAGAAAGGTGTAGAAACATAGTTTGAAGCTAGAAAAGATTGGTTCATGAGGTTTAAGGAAAGAAGCCATCCCCATAAAAATCCTTCTTAAAAATGCAAAGGGAAGCAGCAAGTGCTGATGTAGCAGCTGCATCAAGTTATCCAGAAAATCTAGCTAAGTGATGGCAGAGGCTACACTAAACAACAGATTTTTGAATGTGGACAAAATAGCCTTCTACTGGAAGAAGATGTCATCTAGGACTTTCATAGCTAGATAGGAGAAGTCAATGCCTAGCTTCAAAACTTCAAAGGACATCTAGGCTTTGTTGTTCTATGTAGGAACCCTGGGGATTTTTGGAACGGCAAATGAGCGTTGGCTTCCATTTAAAATTACCAGCTGCATTAGCTTCTAGGAAGGGAATCAGCCTGTCCTTTGAACCCTCAAAATGTATAAAGAAAAATTTGACAGAATGGAAGGCAAAAATAGACAATTCAACAACAAGAGCTGATACCCCAACACTCCACTTTTAATAATGGGTAAAACAACTAGACAGAAGATAAATAAGAAAACAGAGGACCTGAACAACATAGTAAACCAAGTAGATCTAATAGACATATATAGAATAATCCACCCAATAACAGCAGAATACTCATTCTCATCAAGTACACACGGAAGATTCTCCAGGACAGACCATATGTTAGCCCACAAAACAAGTCTCAACAAATTTTAAAATATTGAAATTATACAAAGTATCTTCTCAGAAAAAAACAGAATGAAATGAGAAAACAGTAACAAAAGGAAAACTAGAACATTTACAAATATGTGGAAAATAACACTTTTGGCAACTAATGAGTAAAAGAAGAAATAAGGGAAATTAGAAGACACTTAGAGATTAATGAAAACTAAAACACAACAAACCAAAATTTATAGGATGCAGCAAAAGCTGTGCTCAAAAGAAAATTTATAAACATATGCATTAAAAAATAAAGATCTCAAATCAAAACTTAACTTTCCACTTTAGGGAACTAGAAAAAAAAGGCAAACTAGGTTTAAATCTAGTAGAGGAAGGAAATAATGAAGATTAGAGTGGAGATATAAAACAATGTAAAACCAAAGAGCATTAGAGATTTGAGATTAGGTGAAAAGTAAAACGTATGTGTAATTCAAATCCCAGAAAAAGAGGAGAAAGAGAATGGAGAAAAAAGCAGTATTTAGAAATAATTACAAGAATTTTTGAAAACTCATAGATTCAAGAAGCATAAAAAATTCCAATCAGGAAAAATGCAAAAGGAAGCACACTTCGTGTTACTCAGGAAACTATATACAGAAAAAAAAAGTTAAAAGCATCTACAGGGAAAAAGAACATAAACTTAAAAGGAGTAATAATAATATTGACATTTTATAAGCATGAAATCCAGAAGACATTGAAGATCGTTGAAGTCTTGAAACAAAATTACTACCAACTCAGAAATTCTATACCGAGTAAAATATCCTTCACAATTAAAGGCAAAATAAAAAACCTTTCGAAAGAAACAAAAACTAACAGCATTTATCCCAGAAGACCTATGCTAAAAGAATTATTAAAATGAATTATTCACATGGCAGGTATGTAATTCCACATGGAAGCACAGATATGTAGGAGGAAATGAGAAATGATGTAAAGAGTGGGCACAAGAGTAAATTTAAATGAATATTGACTATAGAAACAATTGTAATATGTTAGTCATTTTAAAATACTTGTTTAGTTAACGCATGAAAACAATTCTAAAATGATGAGAAGATGGTAAATGGAGTTAAGTGTTCCATGGGAACCATGGAACCTCTCATATATATGGGGGTTTAAAAATTCAAGGATGCATATTGTAGTCTCCATGGCAACCATCAAAATAATAGTAAAATATTACATGGCTAACAAGCTTATAGACAAGAAAAACCTAATAAGAATACTAATCAGAAAAACATAACTAACAAGCTAATAAATAGGAAATACAATAATAGAAATATTTAATCATAAAATAGCAAGAAGAGCAAAGGCATGGTAAAATAGATGAGATAGATAATTAATACAGATAACTAACATAGATTTAAAAGCAACTATGTCTATTAATTTAAACAGGCTAAATTTTTCAATTAAAAGACAAAGATTAATTGATTGGGTTAAAATTTTTTAAAAATAGATACACCAGAAATAGAAGAACAAGAAGAAAATATATATACCATATTTTAAATTTTTAATTTGTGTTTATTTATATTGCCCTGCATGCACACACAAGGTTTCTAAAACAGAGATCTCTAGAGTTCTCTCACTATCTAGCCAATCATATAACCTTCCAAACTTGTTTCACTTCAGGTCCCAAGTTTGAGTAAGATTTGCTAAGAAAATCTTAACTACCCAGAATCATAAAAGAAAGTTTCTCTGCAACACTAACCAAAAGAAAGGCAGAGGTCGGGCACAGTGGTTCACACCTATAATCCCAGCACTTTGGGAGGCTGAGGCAGGCGGATCACCCGAGGTCAGGAGTTTGAGATCAGCCTGGCCAACATGGTGAAACCCTGTCTCTACTAAAAATACAAAAATTAGCCAGGTGTAGTGGCGCACACCTGTAACCCCAGCTATTCCAGAGGCTGAGACAGGAGAATTACTTGAACCCAGGAGGCAGAGGTTGCAGTGAGCCGAGATTGTGCCACTGCACTCCAGCCTGGGCAACAGAGCGAGACTCTGTTTCAAAAAAAAGCAGATAGCTGTTCTAAAGCATACAAATAGCATACAAAAAAGCACACTAATGGGCTTTCAGAAAAACAGCATGTTACAGTTAAAGAGGAAATTTTCATAAAGAGAAAGGTATCAAATTCACATGGAAAATATAACGATGAGCCAATAACATAAGTTTAAGATATATAATTCAAAAACTATCAGGACAGGTGTACATCATTTCTCAAATCCTATTGGTAAGAATTTAGTCACACACTCCAAAGGAAAATATGGAGAATTGTCTGGATGTTTGGCAAGCAATATTGTCTCTTCCATGCCTGCCTTCTGAAACTTGCTCCAATTCATCCTTTACATTTCCAGAGTAATTGAAATGTAAATATCATTTTATTACTCTAAAAATATTATCTGGTTTCCCCCAGTGGAATACAATCCAGATTCCTTAGTCTGTCATTTAAGGCCTTTCACATCCTGGACCCAAAGCCTTTTCAGTTTCAACTTCTGCTTCCTCCCCTGGTCACCTAGAAAATGACTTGTTCAGATTTTCTTGTTCATAATGTTTGTTTGTTTGTTTGTTTTTAACCTACAATGTCCTCCTTTGCCTTTCTGCATGTTGAAATCTTGTATTTCTTTGCAAAACTGAAATGTTTTCTGCATAGTCTTTCTAATCCCCTTTATCAAGATTAATTGTTCTCACTCCTGGAAACTCACAAGCACTTTGTTTATATTTCAAATGTAGCATTTATTCTAGTCTGACTTGTATAATCATCTCAGCCACCTCTCCATTATGCTACACTGTTCAAAGAAAGCTTTGTGACATATTTCTACCTTTCACTGGAAAAACATCAGCTAAGAAGAATTTATTGCTCAGGACAACTTATTAAGCCAAGAATCACAGAAGTAAGGGAGAGAAACAATCAAGACTCTAGTAGTCTTGGAGGCATAAGCTAGATAAGTAAGGAAGTATAGTTACGGCGAAAGGAGTCTGATAACACCAAAATTATAAACTACTGGGGGAATGTGTAGATTTAGACTCTATCTAAGACACTATTGGTAACCCATTTGACTTCCTGCAGTGTATAGGGAACAGTATACATAAATTCTCCTTGCATTCACAGTCACATAGATTCTATTATTATATCAAGCCCCAAAATAGAAACCAAATCAAATACTGACTGGTATATCATTAATAAGAAAAGAAACTAGGCTTTGAAATGAGATACAGTTGTAAAACTTGTCTCAAGAAGTGGTAATTCTAGAAGAAAAAAAGAGAATGAGTGCTACTCAGGTAAAGTTTCCTCAAGACATCTATCACCATTAAAAATATTTATTAAGTGCCTACTTGTGAGTTATGAACTGATGGCTCTTATACAGGCATTTAATAAAGAAGATGTGCATTTAATTTGGAATCACAGCATTCATTGAATCTTTATAATTAACAAATTATTTCATAGATTTCAGTAGAATTCCAAAGTTATATAATAAAATTTATTATTTGAAAAAAACCGTATTTTGTTGATTTCGCTATGGCAATCCAGTTCCTGAAATTAAACTGTACTAACCCTGTGAAAATAGCAAAATTTAAATGTAATGACATAAAATTCTTCCTTAGAACTTAGTTTGATTGTTTAGGTGAGGGATATTGCAAAATTGGAGTAAGAGAATCCAAAGGAAATGAAAGCTTTTGAAGGTTAAATTGCAAAGGTTTCATCCTCTTAAATTACCTGGAAATATGTGAGCAAGAAAAACACACATTCCTTTCCTTCTGTGACATTCTTTTAGTTAATTAAATCCCCATATGTTGCTCACTTGAAAGTATAGGTGAGGATCTGATATTAAATTGCCCTTTCAGAAGAATAAAAATTCACCCTAACTCTTGGTTTCTCACATTCAGTGGGGCCATGAAGAATTTAATAACGAGTAGAAGTCAAATTGGGATGAGAAAGGATGTTTTGCTATTCAGTAAGTGATTTTTTATCTACTTTGGGCCTTGATAGAATAATAGAATCTGCCTGTGGGATCTCTGTATAATTTTATGCTCTGTACAATTGAGGAAAATAAACACTAAGGATACTATTGTTCTCTTAAATAGAGTCTAAACTACACAGTTCTAATAATTTATAACCTGGAGGTTATCATACTCAAACTTTTTTTATATCAAACTAGATCTACACTAGAATCTATGGGGTCTGGATAAAAGTAGAAAATATCTCTGGAGATATATTTGGAGGATAAAGCACATGGAAGGTAAAATACACATTATTGTGCAGATTCACTTCCAAAACGTGTATAGAAAACATCAATGGTTTAGGCAGATTCCTTGGCAAGGGGCTGCCTGATATTTCCTCCCAGTGAGCTAAGAACATTTAGATTCTTTAGCATAGGTTTTTAAAATGTACAAATATTTTATAGCCAATTTCAAAATTAGGACCCTGATCTCAGTAGAACTCTTAAAAATTAAATTTAAGCTTTATAGCTTAAATGTATATAAAGCTATTCTGCCCATAGCTTTAAATGACAGAAACAATGATTAAAATCAAATAGATGGCCAATTAAGTACTATTTCTATGGAGAATGAAACGCAAAGACTGCTTTTTAGGTAACAGACCACTTAATCAATCAGCCTCTAAGTGTACTATTATGCTTTACAGTTAATGCCAATATTTTATACAAACTGTCAGGGCATTCTATATGCTAGTACTTCAAAATATCTCCAGAAACCAACCACTTCTTACCACCCTCATTGCTCCCAAGACACCGTCACCTCTTACCTGGATTGCTGCAAGAGCCTCCTAACCAGTCTTTCTGCTTCCACTCTTTTCTCTCTTATAGTCTCTTCTCAACACAGGTGTGGGAAGAGCAATTCTAAATATAAGGCAGAACATGTCACTTCTCAAACCCTATAATGACTTCCGTGTCCCAGAATACAAGCCAAAGTCCTTACAATGACTTCCTTTGGGTTCTCTAAACAGAGCCTGTGACAAGGAGTCTTGTAAAAGTGATACGGTGAAGGTGCGATCCCACATGCAACCTGTAAGGGGGAGAGTAAAGCAGGACAAAGAGGGAGAAAGAGTCAAGAAACAAGGTCATCTCAAGTAACGTTGACATTGGCCTGATCCACACAGGAGGGCTCTGGTACATAAATGGATCATAGAGGTATCTCCTCTTGAGGCAAGGAGACCAGACTTTTAGACCCTCCTATCTGTCAACCATTGGCTGAGGGCAAGAGGTGACTCCTCAGGTTATGTGGCTGCTGTCTGCCCAGCACTCACAGCAGTAGGGAAGCAGTGCATGGACCTGGTGAGAAGATATGGGCAGGCCCTGGAGCAGCTACTGCAGTGACCTATACAGCCTTACACAATGTGGCATCCAGTATCTCTCTGACCTCATCGTCTGTCACTCAAACAAAAAGACTTTCAGTATTTCATTCAATAAATGACACAAATAGCAAGCACCGTTCAAGGTTCCAGAGGTTGCAGTAGAATAAGACAGGTAAGGTCCTTAAAGTCATAGAGATTACATTCTAATTAGAGAGACAAAATATCTCAAACAATTTGCAAACATAAAAAGATCTGCAGTGACCCAGTCTAGAAAGAGAATTAAAATAGCACAAGATGTAATAGTTACTGGGTGTTAGAATTAGATATTACAGAAGGGCTTTTTCCTAAAATATTACCTAACCTTAACTTTTAATAAAAAGAGCCAGCCAGGCTAAAAGCACTCCATGAGAAGGAACAGGTAGTATAAAGAATATAAATTAACAATAACAACAGCAATAACAACAAATAGGTCAGTATTTCTAGAAAATAGAGGTAAAGGGGATGATGGTATTAGGTAGGAACAGAAGTATAGATAGCGACTACAAATAATTCCAAGAATTTTGCTATAAAAAGGAGTCAAGAAAAAAGGTTGATTGTTGGAGTATCATTGGAGTGGGGTAGGTTTTTAGTTGTTTGTTTTGCTTTTTCACAGGATGGATGATATTTTAGCAAGTTTGTATGCTGACAAGAGTGAACAGGTAAAGAGGAAGGCATTGGTGGCGTGTGAGAGTAGCGATAATTTCAGGAATGAAGTCTTCAGAAGTCATTTGTGGTGATGTTAACTTTGATAACAACAAGAATTCCATATTCACAGGAGGACAGGTAGAGAGGTCATTAAATTTAGCTATGGAAATACTCACTCATGAGCTGAGAGTTAGGGCAGGAAGTGGTTGTTTGAGGTTTGAGGAGAGAAAAAAGGTGTAAAATGGCTATGTAGATTGTGCGAAAGTGAGCAATTACAGAAATGTCAAAGAAAACAAGAACCTTCCTGTACTGTTGAAAGTGTAAATAATGTAGCTATTTTGGAAAGCACTTGGTAACATTCAATGAAACAAAGCATGTGTGTATATGCTATTTATCTGCTATTAAATTATTTGCAATATATTCCAGAGAATATTTTAAAGAGACACAGAAAGATGTGTGGGCAAAAATTTGCACCCAGCATTATTTCCATAGTAGAAATGTGTCCATCGGTTGAGAGATGGATAGATAAACTGTCAAAAATGCATGCAGGAGTCAAAAGAATGGGTAACTTATGGACATATTACAAGGCTAGATGTCTAATACATCATGTTCAGTCTAAAAAGGCAGAAGCAGAATGAGAAGCATAATAAAGTATCTTCAAATTAAACACACAAAATGATATTGCATATTATTCTTTTGATACAGATGTTTAAACATTGGTATAGCTGGTGGGAAAAAAAGAACGAGGTCTAGATAAAAGATGATGATAAACATTAAAGTAAAATAAAATGAGGGCTGGCATGAATTAATGATAACAGTTTGCAATAACTCTGATTAGTTTATTGTATATTCAAAGTCCCCCAAACACAACAATAAAAAAATAAGCTGGGAGCAATGGCTCACGCCTGTAATCCTGATGCTTTGGGAGGCCGAGGTGGGAGGATGGCTGGAGCCCAGGAAGTTGAGACTAGTGATATAGCCTAGAGAGAGCTTGTCTCTAAAAAAAAAAAAAAAAATTAAAAAAACACAGAATACTAGATATAGAAAATAAAATAGTGCACATATTGTTTACAAAAAACAAATTTATAAGCATCTGCTAGAAATTTCAGAGGAGGGAGATCCTCTAAGTTTTCCAGTGAGCAAGGAAGGATGAGTAGAAATTACAGGACTTCTATAGTACCCATTATTACTCATTTGAGACTTAGGAGAGATCATTGATAACAAATTTATTTAGTGTGTCAAGTTTATTGTCCTATTTTAGTTAACTTAAATGTTGATGAAGACTTTTCTTAAGCTTCATTCTAACTTTTACTCCTGTCCATATTTTTCACCATAAGATTTGATTACCTCAACAGACATATACAATGGGTGTTTGGAGAAAGCTAAACTCCAAGATTTGGGATGTATACTTATATTACTGTTTTTTTCCCCCCAATTAACTTTGCCTGGTCCCTTCTTGTGTTGAGTGCAGGATCTCCCAAGTGTGTTACTGTTAACCTTTTGAGCTGGATAACTCTTTCCTATTGGGGGAATGTCCTGTGTATTTTAGGATTTTAGCAGCATACCTGATCTCTACTCAACAGGTACCAGTATGACAACCAAAACTGTCTTCAGATATTGCCAGATGTCTTCTGAGAGTTTATCAGAAAGCTAAAGTAAAGGTTAAGTAATTCTTAAGAAGTTGATCAGATTTACTGTATATTCTTCCATAAACTGCCTACTCTCTGCAGAGACTCAGTGCATATCGAATCCCATAAAAAACAATGTATAAGAATATTCAAATAACAGAAATGTATGTCATGAGTTTCTGTAGGGACACTTGAAAAAATACTTTAATATTTAGATAGTTAGGTCAAATCAGATGAAATTTTGATATTGAACCAACATGGCAGTTTCATATTGTTCCACCTAATATTTATCAAAAGCTGCTATTGTGTTGTTTATTTCCCCTGTTAGAACTTAGTTTCCCTGAGCATTCATTGCAATATCTTTTACTTCTAATACAGTGTCTAACACAGTGCGTGCACTCTGTAAACATGGATCATAAATGCTAATTAACACATACGAACACAATTATACATTTAACTAGAATAGTTATAGGAATATATAAGACATTATTTAATGGCAGAAAACATCTTTTGCTGTAGTGACTTGAAAAAATTTTGACCTCCTCAAGATGTTCATTACATAATTTTAGTCATCTCATGCATTTCTTCATCTGATAGTTCTAATATGAGCTTCAGAGTGGGACATTTCAAAGTTTGAATTCCAGCAGCATTGTATGCCAGCTGTCTGGCCTGGTCTGTAAATAAATATGACAATACTTACATCAATGGATTATTGTGATGATTAAATGTCACAACATATACAAAACACCCAGCGCAGTGTTAGCTCAGGTCTGGTATTCAATGAATGTTAGGTAATTTTTGTTTTCGTTTTTGTTTTTTTCCCTAGGTACCCATTCCTATTGATTAAAGTTCTTAGGATTTGCCTCTTTTTGGGTTTCTTTTTGTTTCTGACATTTTTCTTCAACTTGGATAATATTTTTCAGCTGAGGATTTATTCAAGCAAAGTAGGAATTCAGGGGCTGTACTATGCCTATTTCATTTCTCAAGCTAAAAATAAATTTCCATTAACTATACATATAGATGTGTATTTACTTGAATTCTGTACTTGGTTGATGAACAGAATTTTATGATTTGCTTATTATTAGAATTTAACCTAATGACCTCCCACTACAGTCATACTTCTTAAGGTATTTAACGTTGAAATGCAGTTTATTTAATCTTTGCGCATAGGAAGAATAATTATATTGTAATTGCACAATTGTTAAAAGATATCAAGTGCATTTATGCATTTTCCATTTAAGTTAAATTATACACTAAGCATAATAGCTTAAAAAATACTTCTTTTTTACTTAAAATGTTTTTCCTTCTAAGAAAGCTTACAAATTAAATCTCACAAAGATAACCTGATATCTTAAAAAGATCACACACGTTGTACGCAGAGCAAATGTCATCGTTCCAGAATTTTATTTTTTAAAGGGAGCATTTAGTTAATACAAATCAATTTGCAAAAGTGTTTCATTCCCTTTTTGGTTCCAAAATGAATTGAATTCTCCCTTATTATTTGATTCTAATTTATTAGCAGTTTCAATATCTGCTCCTACAAAAATGCCACCCTTTTGCAACCAGAAATACTTTCCAAGAATATAGGACAACTAAATCAGTTTAATAATATATTTCATATAGCAAGCAAAAAACCCTTCAAAAGTTGATTTTAAAACATCATAATACAAAAGAATAAAAAAATAGTTAATACCAAGAGTTTAAAAATCACACCAAAACCTACCTTCTTTGCAAAAAGGTCTCCAGATACCGACTCTACTTGCTTTGTCTTGCTCTGCAACTCTAGGAGATAATCCTGGCTTATTAAATGCACTCAACTCTAATAATGCACACTTCGGGGATAGATGTAAAACAAAAGGAAGAGTACATTTCAATATGTTGACACTTCTCTTGTGTACATTTCATTAGCCAAGATGCACTGTGCATGAGCACACACGCACACACACATACGTTCAGCACTCCAACCATTTCCTTTCCCAGCTTAGAAAAATTGAGTGTGCCATTCTTCCCCTTTCTGACCTTTTTCATGTCCATTGAGATGAAAACCTTCCACACTTTCCCTTATTTCCTTATTTATCATGATAATATTGTCTTCAAGTCACTTTGCCCCTTGATCCCCTTAAGAAGGTGTGGCTCTTACTCCATGAAGACTCAGGGATTCCCCTTGCTTTATTCTATTATTGATTTGGCAGTTGTGGGCACATTCTAAATGGCAGATACTGGAGAAGCAAAGATGAACAAACTTAGATGAGCTTCATCTGGCTGTAGTCAAACTAATTATGTGTCTTCATCTGTCATGTTATATATATGCCCTGTCCCATTTACTTCGCACAAAAACAAAGATATTATTTTCTCCATTTCAGAGGGAAGAAAACCATTTCATGGAAGTTCAACAATTTCCCCAAGGGCACACAGCTAGTAAGCAGAAGAGCTGAATTCATAACTCACGTTTCTGACCCCAAAGCCTACAGTCTTTCTTCTCACTGCTGATTTCCCTGACCATCTGACCTATCCCACTGAGCCCTGACAGCACCGTTGTATCTGCTTGTATGACCGGTCATTAGATCTGTGCCCTAGTACACCCCCACTTTATCCCTAGGCTGTGGGGGTTATTGAAGGTCTTGCTTCCACCAGACATAGAATGGAGCAATAATTTCCTCCATGACCAAATCTAGCTACACCTCTTCTCCCATACTTTCTGCTCCCTCCTCCTGAATGAGTTTTACCCATTTGATTTTCTGTAATCCCCTCCCACCCCACCTGCCACACACAATTATGTGTGTATGAAGTGTTCTTCATGCACTTTGCACAAGGTGAGGAAAGTTCAACAGTAATTCATTATATATGTGCTGCAATCTCAACTGTTGATTTTAGAGTCTCAAAATTTTGTTGTATAACCAGGACAAAAATGTTACTATACAAGTTTGGTCTCCAGAGATTTATTAAGGAAGTGGCATTCTTTGTTGTCATTAAGCCTAGTTTTTTTCTTGTGCTTACTAAGAGTTGTGAGTAGAAATCTAGAGCTTCTTTATGAACCCCCCCACCCCCCACATCTAACATCCCAACAGAAACCCAGAATTTACAAACTCACTCCCAAAACTTCCAGTTATCTTTACTATATGAGTAGATTTCTCCAGGTCCCTAGCAACTGCTGTCAATATGAATTGTTTTGCTATAACTTTTGAGTGACTTTGGAAACCTTAGTTTTCAAGGAAGTTTGGTTTGATTTTAATCAGAAGCAACTACCTATAGTGCTTTCTGACAGCCTGCTAAGTGCTTTGGCTGAAGTCCACTTTTTCTTTTTATTTGCTACCTTGATCTTAAGAGGTATGCACTTGGCATGCAAGCAAAGTTGTAGAAAGGAAAATAAAAGGCAGCTCAGCCAAAATGTCTCAGGATATTTTTTTAACTTCCTATTTATGGTTAGACATATATAAAGGCTTATTGTAAAAGTAAATAAAAAAGAAGCTGAAAATACATAAGCATATAGAGAAAAAATGCCCTTATGTCATATTATTGAGGCAAACTACTTCAAAACTTAATATCCTTTCAGCCTGCTACATATTTCAGTGAAAAAGGGAAAAAAATGAACATAAATGGTAAAAGTCATAAAGTATGTTGGCTAGTGGTATGTATCTGCCTTGGCAAGTTAAGGCTGCATTAGAAATTCTTTTCCTAGAAAGAAATATTTAGACAAAAACCAAAAGATTGATTTAATGAAACTAATGGGTACACTAGGAGAATTCCAAGTTTGCCTAGAGCTGGAGAAGCCAGCAGAAGGAAGAGGAAGACATTTATTTGATGCCTAATAATCCTGGACTCCTACTCCTCACAAAATTCTCAAATATTGTAACTCAAGGTGCTAACTTGGATCACTTTGCCCTCCCAAACCCACATACTAGTGACTTTATCTCCATGGCTTCTCTTGTGTAAAATAACTTTCAAGGAAACTTACAAACTAGTGGATGGGAATTTAAAAATTTACAATAAACATACTACAAGACAAAAGTCGGCTAGTACTATGAGAGGGATACAACAAAGTTAATTGCATGTTCAAAGGAGGGAGAGAACGCATTCGGTATTTTTATTGGTGAATAGAGAAAAAGTGTAGGGATGGTTGATGCAGAAGTACCTTTGCTACTGAGGTGGAGAATTGAACAGGAGAAATAATAAAGGAGGAAAAATTTCAAGAAATGTTCAGGATTTTTTTTCTTTCCCTGAAACACAGGTTACAGAGAAGAAACTACTAAAAACAGAGATATAGGAAAAATATTATAAAGCACCTTGAATGCCAAACTAAAAAGACTCTGGTTGCATTTGTTAAAAAATATTAGAATATTTCTGAGGACTGTGTAACAAGACCAGACCATACTTTAGAAAAAAATATATGGCCATGTCCTCAAGGAATGTGAAATATGAATACAAGGAGGCTTGCATTACAGAAGATGACATTCTTACACAAGTTGCACTAGAAAATAGAACACAAAAACCTGAAACTTTAAGACAGGCAAACCAGAAATTTTGACATAAAAGGACTCTAATATAGAGGACTGAGTAAGGAGCAGCTACTTAGGCTTCTAAACGGAAGCTTGCATAGAGATGCTTCCTCTCTTGCAGGTGGGCTGGAACTCCCTGCACTCCTGGTCACCCCACCTCCTGGGTCCTGCCTTTAATCCTTTTGTGTATAAGTCACTGTGGGTTTCTGAGGTTGCATGTGGGTGTGCAGGCAGGGAATGAGTGATTGCAGGTAAGCGTCCCTTGGGCACTGAACATCCCTGTTCAGCAGGGCTCATCACAATGACAATGAAAGCCAACAATAAGAGCCAGTGCAAGATTCTATCAGGCGTCCTCCCAGGCACAGGACCTCTGAGAACCCTCACTCAGCCTGTTAGTGAAAACCTAAAGCTGATGCCCACCTGAGGGAAGCTGCAGTATGTAGTCAGCCTGGCAGTAGCAATCAATGTTTACCTTGAAGAGACCTCCTTGAGTCTACCATCTCCAGCAACCCACAAAGTCGGCCATGCAGGCCCTTTTCTTATGGTGAAACCTCCTTGCCAGGCTCCTCATTGGTAACCTCCACATCTGGCTGCCAGAGATGGGACTTGTCTTCCCTCCAGCATTACATAGCATGTAGGATAACTATCCATAGCTGGGCAGAATGCAAAAGGAAGAAAAAAAGACAGAAAGGAAAAGAAAGGAAAGAAAGGAAAAAGGAAGGAAAGAAGGAGAAAGAAAGAAATAAAGAGGGAGAGAGAGAACAAAATTTAAAACTACCAATATTAGTTCACTTGGATGGTGAAATGTTGGAGAAGAGGAAACAATTTTATCTAAATAGAAAAGATATATCAGTTTTCAACATTTGTATTGTTCTGAGAGCCATTCTCCCATACAAACACATACAATGCACATATAATTGGGGTTTGATCAATATTTAAGTAGATAAATAAACATCTACTGAATAATTCATATTTCCAGCATAAAATAGATGCCACACTCATATAAAAAATTGAAAGAAAGTTTGATAAAAGAACTACCTCTAAAGATGTGAGCAGAGTTAAAACATTAAAAACAACAACAACAACAACAACAACTAATGGCAACATTAAGGAGCTATTGCCACCCCCAGGCTGAAGAAGCAAGAAGCAGTTACTGAAATTTAGAACTTTGTAGTGGATTCCCTGATGGGAGCTGTGACCTAAGGTGGAGGGATATAGCCAAGATGACTCCAAGGAGGAAAGCTCGTGGAATAATTACCCTGATCGCTCTCTCTTCCAAGCCTATTGATCTACCAGTGCCTCTCTCTGGCCAAAACCAACATGAAACCAAATGGCCAGGGAGCCTCAATGATACAATCATTTCAGGCCGAACCCAGCACAAATTCCTAGACCATTTATTTATTTATTTATTATTTATTTATTTATTTATTTTCAAATCTATCTAGAGATTTTTTTTTCTTCTAAGGTATGCTTGCTATCTTGTTATCATCTTTCAAATGGTAAATATACATATATGTATATTATATGTCTCTTATATAATATATACATAATATGTGTCTATTATATAATATATACATAATATGTATATATTACGAATACCTAGGCAGTTTTCCAAGGCCTGGAATGGAACCATAAGCAAAAAAACTAGGTACCCATCCTGAGTGAGCAGACAGTCTAGTGGGAGACAGGAAACATCCCAGAGCTCCACAGATCCCTCTTTGTAAAGAGAAAATCATAGACTTTAGGATCAAACCAAAATATTGTTTGGTGACTAACCTATTTTTATGGAGCCTCCGTTTTATCTGTTAGAAGGGAATGGTGACACCTATTTCTTAGGGTTAGTGTATGATTTAGAGACTATGTATGCAACACATGTAATATCAGTGCCAGCATACAATGACTAATTTTATCTTTAGAGATGACCCAGAGCCCAGGGCAGCCTGTGGATTGTGGCAGGAGATACCGAGGCATTATAGAGACCTCACTAGTGGACTTCTGCTTTCTTTCATCTCCTCTTCTTAGGCAGCTCCTGCCCATATCCTCTTCACTTCAGTGCTCAGCCTACAAAGGACTTGGAAGCACTAAGCAAAACTACCTCTGGCACTTGTAAAAGATGATGGCTCTCTCTTCCCTTCAAAATAGACAATTTCTTCTCCATTTTATATTTAACATGGGAACAGATGGTTGGTGGTGAGTGTAGCTTCATGTTTCCAAGGAACCCAGGAATGGAGGGGAGATCTCTATTCTAAGGTGTTTCCAGGTAGACCCAAGCCATGCAGTCTGTATGGGGAGAATATGAAATATGTCCATTTGGAGTGTAGTCGTGGAGGCAGCTGACTCTTCCTCTGCTGGCTGGACAGGCCTGCACCTTCTCCTGAACTTGTCTGCTATTGGGTTACTTATTAAGTGGATTGCATGCAGAAAGACAGCCCAAGGCATTCTGAGTAATAAGCGAATAATATTTCTTTTATTAGTGGTGCATGACCTTGTTTACGATACTTCGTATTACAAGTCCCAAGAAAGTTTTAGTTGAAGAATCAGTATAACTGCAATAAAAAATGAAAAATTTCAAATTGCAAGGCAGGAAAAGTAAAAAAAAAAAAAACAAACAAAAAAAACCTCGGCAACAACACAACAATATAGGTTACCTTAATGATCCAAATTCCAGGGTGCTTTTCTTTTTTTCAAACACACTGGAGAATAAACAGAAGTTTTATTTTATTGTAGTAATTATAAAATATAAATTTTTCCATACTGATATTTTCAACAAGAAATTTAATGTTTCTTTATTAACTTTAAAATACTTTCTTAGGTGTCGTAACTACTTATAAGAAAACAGGTCTGCAATCCTCTTGGTTTTTATTGGTCTTCCAGTTAAACACTGAGGATTCCTCCCTACTAAATTTAAACTTAGTGGGATTTCTGACAAATAAAATCAAATTTTCAAAAAATTTTCAGTAATGCCAGTTAGGAATTACATACTGGTTAGCAAATACCCAGCAAACTCAATTTTTACACATCTCTTTTGCACTAAAGAATTCCGTGTGAATTATACTTTTGTTCAAAGTTGGTTATATATTTTTACCTCCTATAAACTTCTATGAAAGATATTATAAAGACAAGTACTGACACTTGTTATGAACAGATGACTAAAAAGACCTGTGCTATGTTTGTTGAATACCTGTATGAATATCCCAGTATACATTTTGAAAAAGTACACCAGGAAAATAAAATTGCGGCTTCAATCATTTGACAACATCCTTCATCCATTTGTTAATTCACCATTTATTCATTCAGCACTAATGTTGTTCATTTACATGTGCAAAGAATTATGCTAGAAACAGTGAAAGGAAGAGTTATATGCCATGGGGCCTGCCTTTTAAGAAGCTCATGTTTCTACTAAGGTAACTATGGATAACAAAACTCAATCACAGTTCAAGAGCTATGAAAGAAGTCCCACTGTTTCTATTTTATTTAAAGATTCATATACGTGGTAATGTCACCTGCAACATGAAACCAACTTCAGAGATTAAGAGAATGAGGCACAAAATTATCAAGTTCAAGTGTCTTTGGATATCCATGTTTCCTTTCCAACAATTTCTAAAATTATTTGCATTACATATGCAGAAATTAATTATCAGGAAACTATCAACAAACACAAATACTTTTTTCATTTGTATGTATTGTGCGGTGTGACTTTGCCTGGCTATTGCATTACATTGTCAATATTTTATTTTACTCCGAGGCTATGGGCATGTGGATGACCTATTCTTTTTCATTTCCTCCATATCTACTATTCAATATTGTTTGTACAAATAACACCAAATAACCTTTTCCTTGCAGGAATATGTGAAAACAGATTGCTTCGTTCTCTTATGCTGTAGTGTTAACAGTTAAACAGCAATTCTGTTTCTACCGAGTACAGCAAACATGAAGGTAATTTAGTGAAGGTGTCTCCCTCCTGGCAATTGCATAGGGGACCAAGCCAGGTCTCTGTCCATACTGCAGCCAGATTGAGCTTTGTAAAATGCAAAGTTGATCTTGTTACCTCACTGTTTGATATCTTTCAATGGTACCCAATTACTGTTAGGATAAAAACCAAATTATTTAACACAGCCACATGTCCTCTTTTCAGGATTGAGAGTAGTCAGGAACAATGTGGCCAGCAGGTAAGTAGTAGGTGCACTACATCATCAAGAAAAGATAAATGAAACAGGTTGGAGAGGCCGGGTGCGGTGGGTCACTCCTGTAATCCTAGCACTTTGGGAGGCCGAGGTGGGCGGATCATGAGGTCAGGAGATCGAGACCATCCTGGCTAACAGGGTGAAACCCCATCTCTACTAAAAATACAAAAAATTAGCCAAGCATGGTGGCTTGGCCTGTAGTCCCAGCTACTCAGGAGGCTGAGGCAGGAGAATCGCTTGAACCTAGGAGGTGGAGGTTGCAGTGAGCTGAGATCGTGCCACTGCACTCCAAGTTGGGTGACAGAACAAGACTGTGTCAAGAAAGAAAGAAAAGAAAAGAAAGGAGAGAAAAGAGAAAAAAAAAAAGAAAGAGGGAGGGAGGAAGGAAGGAAGGAAAAGAAAAGAAGCAAGTTGGAGAGATGGAGAACAATACACTAGAGAACACGTTTGAAGTTTAGGAAGGACACGCACAGCACATTTTTCATGAAGGAATGAATAATTATTCTGACAGCGTCCCTGGAACTGAGCAAGGATTGCCAATCACAAATGGCAGAAGTACAGATGGAAAGTCCTACCAGACCTTTGTCTGGGTCAGAGCAAAACAATAGTCAAGTTGCTAAAGTATTCAAGAACCTCTTTCATAGCTTTCCCACATACGCACATTCTTTATAAGAAAGCCGAAGCACTAGTCTTTCATCAAGAACATTTCTGATCAATCTGTTTCTTCATGCTCTGTTCCTGAACGCTCTCTGCATTTATGTTTTCATCTCCTTCACTTTCTTATTTAAGGCAAAAATCAATTCTGGTGAACTCCACATATTTCTTAGGCTATATAGTCACTCTTTCTAAAAAAATGAATTGGTCTATCTATGAATAGCTTTCTGTTACTTCCACATATGAGGTTACCTTTCTTTTCCTTTTCAATGTTAAAACCAGAGTGATACCATTTATTACCTTTTGCGGAGTTTCAGTCTTTCTGTAATATCCACTGTAGCCAGAAGATGTCAGTCATGCAACTCAAACCGACTCTGCTCCTCTCCCGGAGTAGCTCAAAAGCAAATAGCCTAAAATTAAGTATAAGGATGAAGACCTTTGAAATCCTCTAAAATTCCAAACAATAGGTATACAATTCTACGCACTTAAATATTCTTTATGACACTTAATTTTGTCTATCTGGGATTTAAAGAGATGTAGTCAGTAAGCAGTTGCTGTTCACAGGTCTTTTCTAAATAGCTGGAACCAAATCAGTGTTGAGACAAAGGAATCATAGAACTGTGAAGTTGGAAGGGCCTTGAAGTTCCTGTGGCTTAATCTGCTACCCTCCTACGTAAATTTCTTTTATACTGGAACAGAATAGGGATTTCTTAGTACAACCTAATTTCTGTATTCACACATTCACTTATTCATCAAAATTTTATTGAACATGTTCTGTGAGCTCAGCAATGAGATAATTACTAAAGATACAAAAGTAAAAGTGACGAAGTAGACATAATCCTTGCTGGCTGTTATGGATTGAATTATGGACCCTTCCTCTGCAAAGATATTTATTTATTATTTATTTATTTATTTATTTTTTTGAGACGGAGTCTTGCTCTGTCACCCAGGCTGGAGTGCAGTGGCGCGATCTCAGCTCACTGCAAGCTCCGCCTCTCTGCAAAGATACTGAAGTCCTGGTATCTCAGAACGTGAACTTATTTGGAAATACAATCATTGCAGACATAAAGTTATTTAAGATTATACTGGAGTAGGGTGGGCCCTTATACTGGAGTAGGATGGGCTTATACTGGAGTAGGGTGGGTCCTTAATGCAATATGATTGGCATCTTCATAAGAGAAAGATATACAGGGAGAAGATGGCCAGGTGACGACAGAGGCTGAGACTGAGGTGATGCATCTGTAAACCAACATTAGGAGCTATAATTGGAGAGGCAACAAAACCTTCTCCCCTATAGTTTTCAGAGTGGGGTATAGCCTTGCTGACATCTTGATTTCAGACTTCTAGTCTTCAGAATTGAAGGAGTACATTTCCGTTGTTTTAAGCCAACCAGGGAGTGATACTTTGTTATGACAGCTCTAGGAAACTAACACAGCCCCAAAAGGATTGTACAAGACAAAGAGGCAAATCTAATACAGTGTGATAAGTGCTATTATACATATGGGGTATGATGGGAATATATGATAGAAATGTCCATGAGTGTATATCAGAAGAAAGACGTCTGAAGGAAGCAACCAAAAACAAACAAAATGAGATGGCAAAGAAATGCCAAGTAAATTATTGGGAAGCAGTAGGATTATTTCCAAATGGAGAATATCACCTAATTCTCTCATCTACCTACAGCCTTCATTGCCCAGCTCAAACTTTGGTCAACAATCAAAACATTAGTAGAGATGAATCCCAACCCAGATGTTCTGAGACTTTGATTGTATCAAACTTTATTTGTAATAATTTTTTATTCTTTTTACATTACATCACTAAGAGAAAAAAACAAACCTTTTTTTGAAACCTTTAGTGACTAGAGAAACCAATTTGTACTAGAACCCTTACAATTCCGCTAAGCCTTCATGTTAACCCTCTCTTCTTCCTGCCAAACCCTGCCCTATGCTCCTACCCTGTCAGTGCTCTGGGTTTCCTGTATTCTCTTGGCTTTTGCTCTGCATCTGATTTGGCTGAATCTCTGCCAATCAGCCTCCAGTAATTCCTAATTGAACAGGAGTTTTCTAGAACCTCTCATGTGCTCACCAGAGTTTTATTCACCATTGCCCTTTTCTTGCTCCAAGATCACCGTCTTCTCTCTACAACTCTAAGTCTCTCTGGGGCTTCCCATCACACTTGCTACCCCTGCTGTTCTTATGAAACTCCTCAGAATGCTGAGCTGAGGAAAGTACACAGTGTAGGGCTGCCTTGGGCAGGGCTCTCCAGTGCATCTCTCAGAGCCCTTCCCTTCAGCATCTTTCTTAAGCATTGAGGGAGGGAACATGTCCGCTAGCTCTCCCTTGGAGTGGGCCACTCAATTATTTAGGTCACTAACTTTAATGCTTACTATGGTAGACAGTATTGCCCACAGTTGGAGAAATCTTGGTCAAAATGTGATTTGGGTTGGGGAGTTGACTGAAGGTGCTTAAATCTTCTTTTGCAGAACTTCTCATAGCATGAAGTGACCATCAGAGAAATTGGGAAACTGCAAACCAGACCTGGCTTCCTTGGCCCTGTATAAATGCAGCCACACTAAATTATAGACATCCTGCTGCTTCGTCTCAGCTGACCCAGAAATTGAAAGATGCTGATACAGGATTTGTTATAGGACTTAATTCTAATATTGATAAAACAAGAACAATGGCTAAGTGATCAGTAAACTCAAAGTAATATTAGGCATCCATATGAAAAGTAATCATATGAAGACTTTATAGCAACCTAGAAAATATTTTTGCTATAAAACTAAAGGAAAAAAGTAGAATACAACATTGGCATACAGCTAAGATTAAAAAAAGAGAGTGAAATATTTTGATCATACAAATAGTATAAATCATAGCTTTCACTTTTTTAAAATACCATTGAAAATTATGTATAATCCTTTCCTAAAATTCCTTTTATAATCCTAAAATGAAGCATCAAATATTTTCATTTTTTTCTTGTCATTTTTGGCCCATTATGTACTTGCCAAATTCTCTTTTGCTACTTTGCCTTTAGACAAGCTGTTCCATGTCCTTGGAATACATTTTATTATATTCTCTAAGCAGAACATTAATTCATTTAATCATTTGGCATATATATATGCCAAATGGTGTGTGTATATATATATATATATATATATATACATACACACACACACACACACACATATTATATATAGGTATATATATACACATACACATATTATATATAGGTATATATATTTTTATATATAATAGGTATATATATATATACACACCTATTAGAGGTCCTATAACATATAAAAGAATATAGTTATAAAATATTTAGAGGAGGGTTTACTCCTTCAAGGTCCTCTTATCAAGACAAATTTCAAGGGGAATTCCCTTTGTGATGCCTTCTTAGTCCCCTTTGTATTTAATTTGCCATTTCCTTCTCTGTACACACCACTTTAAAAGCATCTATCAAATTACATTGTTAACAAGTGTTTATTGCATTTCTCCTTAGCTAGACTCAGGATATTGAAAAAAAAAACAAACCACATTGTCTTATTTCTTGTTGTAAGCCTTTAGCCTAAAAATGTACCTAGTTTATGACAGATGTAGGTGACAGAAAATGGAGAGACAGAAAAAAGAAGGGCAGAAAGGAGATAAGAAGGACATAAGAGATTAGTCCTAAAAGGAAATAAATGATTTCAACATATGCAGATACAGTCTGACTACAGCACAGGGAAAAGCAGCTTCAGTCATACAAAAAACAATGCTACTAGGCTTGCAAGGGGGTGACATCCATGCCCTTGGATTCATTAACTTGGTGCTTGTTAAACTGAACAGCCAACCCTATTGACCTACATTGTCAACTGTATTTATTTTATGATTCATCTTTAGCCAAAACAATACAAGTAGTGGAGCATCATTATGAGGATTTAATTACCTCTAATGATTAGTAAGAGAGATGTTTTGAAGATAACTTTCGCCTCTTAGAATAATAAATTGCAGATTTTTTTCCTATTAGTTTGTAGCAGGTAGACAAAATGGTGGTTTTTTACTATGATGTAACAACAAACTCTGATTTTAGTAACTATTGATTTAACAGGATTGCATGCACAGGGAAAAATACATATACATAATGTCTCTTTCTCTCCCTCTTTCCTTCCTTCCCTTTCCGTCCTCTTTCACTCATCCCCCTCTCACATACACACCTTACCTCAGTGACAGAGGAAAAATTACTCTGTCAGGCTTCCCAAGAAGTCCGTAATGAGAATTCAATATCCCTTCCACAGCAAATGTGCACATATACATTTATATATTCATAATTCACTAAAGGGTTTCTCACAAGTTTACACTAGAGGAGGTTTACATTGTCTATCCCTTTGTTGAAAGCAGTATTGCTTTGTCCTTGCCTATGACAATGATTTGATTTTAGCAGTAAAAACAGTGTTTAGAGACTCTTCTTATGGAAATTAGACATGTAAAGGTCTCATGATTTGAGTCTTTGAATTTGTGTGGACGTTCAAGCATTCATTCATCCATCCATTCATTCAGTTATTCATGAAACAAACATTTGTTGAATGTCAATGTACATGGCTGGGACTAGGATAGGGCACACAGATACAAATATTAATGAGATCAGATCACTTGCTCCTAAGAATCTCACAGTTGAGAAGAAAAGACAAATAAGTAAAATCAACACATAATTAGAAAAAGAGAAGCACATATAGGATGGCATAGAAGAGGGAACAATGAAGTGTTTAATTCTGCTTTTGGGGATCAAAGAAGGCATTGGTGAAACTTATCTGTTAAATCCAGATCCCAAACATATAATAAATTCATGGTGAGATTCAGCAGGTGCCTCATGAACTGCCTACTTTGAGAGTTGGAAGGGCAAAGATCTCTTTATGTGTAAGTGTGTTTAGTGTGGTGACAAATGTGAAAATTGGGCCTAGGTTTCCAGGAAATACCCCAGGGATGAAAAAGTTAAGCCAAGATTTTTTTTCATCGAAATGATACAGAAATAATTTGCAATAAGGATCCAAAAAAAGTGGAAAACAGTGAAGAAATATGATCGTAGACCCAATGTCTAGAATAGTTTGTGGATGATGATATATGAGTGAGGGCCAACCAGACTCTGAACTAATTTTCTGCAAGCCCATCCTTATATGTGTAATTGGAGCAGCCCAGGATGCAGCCTGATCTAGAAACACACCAGAGACCACCATTTCAGGGCGTCATGCAGCTAGTCAAGCTTAAGGTAATACCATATAGACTGAATGCCAATGGATCATACAGACCGTTGAGGCTGGAACAGGCTCCTCATCCATCACTCTCAATTCTGTCATGCAATAACAACTTCAGAGAAGTGCATTCATACATTTATTACTATGAAACTAGAATAAGATTAGTTCTCCAGATTTCTGGGAGGATCATGCTAAAAGGTACTTAGACATTCTTAGGGATTATCCTGCAGTGCATTAGGAGGAGTGTGTGTGTGTGTGTGTGTGTGTGTGTGTGTGTGTGTGTGTGTTTTTCCAGGAGTCAAGGGAGGAGCTAGCCAAAGAAACATTATAGAATTAGCTAAAGTAAAAAGTTGGGGAAGGGGGTGCATATTATAGGAGTACAAAGTAATCTAATAGAATGCAAGGGCAAAAATCTTGCTCAGCCTCATGAAAAGACTAGAACCACCAGAAGATCCCATCATCTCTTCTCATTGTGGCTTTCTCCCAATCTTTTTCATTCTTTATTATCAGTACAGAAACTGACTTTCTCTTCTTTCCAATTTATTGTCATCAAATTGCCCTCAGGGCTTATGAATCTCTCAGCAACTTTTACAAATCCCTGGGGAACAGATTAATTCATTCTAAATTCAGAGGTCCAAACCTGGTACATGGAGCCTACTTCACATGGATTAGGTTATGCAGTTTTGAAAAAAAGAGGTTGGATGTAAACATGGTCATGACCTCTTTATCTTTTCCCAGACTCTCCATACTCTTTTAAACACATGGAATAAATATCAAAAAACTCAACAATGACATTTCTATTATTAATCAGAGAGAAATTTTCTGTTTGTTTCAATCAGGTAATGGAAATGATTTGGAAAGCATCCACAGGTCAGACAAATTTAGTATCAGTTTTATTGTGGAACTTGGGAACAAACCAATCTCAAAACTGAAAATTTTAAAATATATGTTTACAACCAAAATATGTGTGAGAAAATGTGATTTAACAAGATGATATTGATTCCTGTGATATTGCATATTGCTACAATAATAGATAACTCTAATAACATATTCATTTATGCATGCATTCATCCCCTTCTTATCTATTGAGTCCATTGTTGCATTTCATACCCTCTGCTAAGTGCTAGATATACAATGAGGAACAAATTAGAAATCTTGGTCTTATGGTGAAGATGAAGGGAAATCTAATTTATCAGATAACTTTTCTCTAGGAGCTTTAAGGTTTTTCTCTTTATTTTGATATTAATTTTAGCCATTTAAATGGCTAGTAGGGGTATTTCATTTTTGTTTTAATTTGCATTTATCTGATGACTAATGATGTTGTATACAAATGCTCACTGGCCATTTGTGCATTTGCGAATTGCCTGCTGTCTTCTTATTAATGGCTTGCAAAGGTTTTAAAAGTATAGTCTGTGATTCATTAATCTTCATGAATGTGTGAGGTTCATTTTTTTCCATATGAATATCCACATGTTCTACCATCATTTGTTGAAGAACCTATACTTTCTCAATTAAAATAGCTAAACAGTTTTATAAAAAATAAATTGACCATATATTTTGGGTCTGTATCTAGACTTTCTATTCTATTTCTTTGATCTGTAAGTGCATTCTTCTACCAACAGCTCTCTGTTTTAATTACTGTTGCTTTGTAGTACGAGTCCTCTCATTTTTTTTCTTTTTCAAAATTATCTTGGCTGTGTAGACTCCTTTGCATTTCCAAATTAACTTTAGAATCAGCTTGCCATTTTTGAACTAAAAAGGGACTCATGGGATTTTGATTAGAATTGCATTTAATATATAGATTAATTTGGGGAAAATGTATGTTATATCTTCTCATTTATGTAGGTATCCTTTAATTTCACTCAGCAATATTTTGTAGTTTGGAATATCCAGGCTATGCATATATTTTGTTAAATTTATCTGAACTTCATAATAACCTCAATAAAACAAAACTCACAATGGACAACAAACTAACCATATCCTTCTCTCTACCTAGTTATGGCTAACTTTAGAACAATCTTTACCCTTGTTCTTACTTCTCTTTCTAGTTCTTAACTGACTGAAGCAAAAATAATTTAAGCTGTATGATTTTTGCTGTTTGACCTTTCACATATGAAAATCTTCAACTGGTCATAGTTAAACAGAACTTGGAGAGTCAGACTTGTGCAGAAATGTATAAATGAGTACTTATACAATTATATCTCAGGTCATTTGGACTCTATTTCACTCTCCCATGTATAATTCTGTGGGAAACAGCATGGAATCTAGGAAGAAATTTTGCACCAAGAAATAAGAGGACCTAATTTCTACCCTTGTATTTTGTTGTTTACTATTCACATAATCTTCAGAAAACTACTTATGCTTTTTAGGCTTTTGTTTCTTCATCTCAAATAAGTAATAATAATATATCTTGTCCACAAAGGCAGGAGACTGTACACAATGACTTCTTCGTGGTATTTTTCAGTTCTGCAACTCAGAAGACGATGTCAGTGACTTACAGCAAGGAAATTTTTCAGTTTTTAAAAATTGAAATAAGTTACTCCTTGATACTTTATTTATGCTTATATTTGCAATGTATTATAATTAGTTTGGCTTGTGTTGAGGACTCATACTAGGTACTTAGTAAATGTTGCTGAATCAGATTGCATTTCTAGGTCATATAAGGTAAGACTTAGTTTAACAGCCTTTAGGACTGATGATTCAGAAATATAGTTCAATTTTGCCCTTCATCCTTGTGTGACAAACACATTTAGTCCTGACCATTGGTCTGGTAGGAAGTAATTTCAGTGAGGCTGTAAAATTTAAGATTTATTCTGGTGTGATTACACATTTTACGCCCCATGACCCACCATTTAATAACAGCGTGCTTGATCAAAAACCAGCCTTCTAGTCTGTTTACCCATGTTGCTGTTACTGAGAGATGATTGTGGGGTTTTTGGTCTACACTATGGAGATATCTATGGAGACATTTTAGTTGTGTCAAAATGAATAAAAATCTGTAAATACCATAAGCATTTGGCTATTTAGTTAATGTGATGGAATTGGGGAAAAGCAGACAGTCTGAGATTTGTGAGCCATTCAGTCTTGAAAGATGCTTCCTTCCAGAGTGTTTAAGGTCATGACCTAAGTTTGTTGGAATTTCAGAAACCCATAATAATAATTCAGTGGTCTTGTCAGTTCAAAATTTCTAGACAAGTCACTGATTGATATATCTCAGATTTTGGTGAGTCAAGGAGTAGCTTTATGCTACATTTATTCTTTGTTACACCAAGACTTAAGAGTAATGTCCCTTCCCTCAAAATGGATTTTAGGTAGCAGTTGACTTTCCAGCTCTAAACTAAAGTTATTTTTCCCCTTCACTTGGTGAATATCTGTCAATAAAGAGAGAATAGTGCTGTTGATTTATGGTCAAGCTCTTCTGGATCGATTTCCTCAACAAATAAAGAAATGAAGCATAGACAGTCTAAAGTAGATACAAGTGCCTCAGCACCCAAGTTCTATGTAATGTTTTCCTTATTGTCATCAGCAACCAGTTCTTGTGCTGCTGCTCTTTCTTCTCAGGCATTCATTCACTTCATTCAACAAACTTACAAGGTGCCAGGAACTGACTAGGCACTGGACATACAGCTTTGAACAAAAGAGGTTTAGTTTGCCCCACGTCCACTTTGGTTTGTTTTAGTCATGACAAGGCTTCATGTTTGATTCCTTACTCTATTTTTCTAAAGTAAAACCATCCTTTCTCATGATGTGTTTGCCCTGACCATTGAATCCTATGGTTATATACTGGAAGGTTTTGTAACCTGAAAATCAGATTCCTGTGTCTTACAGAATCCAGATTCACATTACATTGTTTAACATATTTATTTTAAATTTGTAGATCTTTGGTTTTTGAACATTTGTGTTATTGATTACAATAACTGGCTTTATAGAATATTTTTGAGCTGTTGTGTTTACCTAATCCTGTATGCCAAAATGTCAATTGCAGTAAGTTTTTATGTTTGGTACATACATTTTTAAATAGTACTTAGAGAGTTCTTTCGGTGGGTCTATTCTAATGTTCTCTCTCTCTCTCTCTGTGTATACATATGTGTGTGTGTGTGTGTATACACACATAAACACATACACATATATACATACATAAACACATTATACATATTTAAACACATGTAAATATGTGTATATCTATGTAAATCTATACATGTTTGCATGTCTATCTGATATGAGAGGGTATACTGGCTTTGCAATTTACAAATTCTATGCTTTTGTGCAGGTCATTTCACTTCTTGTTTTTCTCATATGCATAAATAGTGTAGTAGGGTGGTAAAATCTATTTCATAGAGTTAGCTGGATCTTAATATATATTAGCCATTATTTTGTTCATTTTTATTATTATCATCAAGTTTGGCAATCTCTACCTTGGTCAAGTATTTTTAAAATGCATCATTACACTTTAGACCAAAGTTCCCACAAATATTCAGTAGAAATTTGAAAAGAATTAACTCCATCCAGAGTCTTTTCCCATCTTTTCCATGACAATCAAACCCATATCTCAGAATTTTGCCTCTATTATCATTGGCTCATAACCTTCACACAAGTTTAAATATTTTTCTAGAATATGGCTCTCATTTTCACAGTAAAAAGCCTAGTCCTGTGTGAAAAACAGACACTGTGCTAAGATTTACACAATTTTGTCATTCCTCAGAAGAGCCTTCAAGATATGAGATGGGAATATTGTGTCTATGAAAGAATGTAGAATTCATACAGACATTACATATTTAAATAAGGCTGTAACATAGTAAGCAGCAGAGTCAGGAATCTAACCTGTGTTTGTCTGAACTCGAGACCCACTCTCCCTTATATTGTACTACCCATGGAACCTCCATGTAAAGGCACTCCTACTTGCATTAAATCTGTTGACTTTAAGGAAAGGTTGGCAATATCCTTGCTTCCTACTGTCTCATTCAAAGCCATTAGATTTTTACATTGGTTCCACCATGCCTACTTCGAAGACCACATATTAACTTTGTTTGTTTGTTTGTTTTTCAGACAGAGTCTCGCTCTTTTGCCCAGGCTAAAGTGCAGTGGTGATATCTCGGCTCAGATCCTGGGTTCAAGTGATTCTCCTTCCTCAGCCTCCCCAGTAGCTGGGATTATAGGCACCCACTACCAAACCTCGCTAATTTTTGTGTTTTTAGTAGACATGGGGTTTCACCATGTTAGCCAGGCTGGTCTTGAACTCCTGACGTCAAGTGATCTGCCCACCTCGGCGTCCCAAAATGCTAGGATTACAGGTGTGAGCCACCATACTCGGACTTAACTTTTAAAAGTCATAATTCCACCAATTTCCAGGTGCCTACCCAGTATGCATAAATTATTTATGCCAGAACCACAGTTCTCTTTTCTACTTCATAATCTTCTAGATGCTTAAGTAACTTCATTCTTCAAATGGACAACCATTTGTATACTATGGACTCATAAGGCTTTTACCTTCTCTTCATTCCACTTTAGCAATGAATCCACAGTTATGTCCTAAACAATGTCATCACTTTTCATCCATTTTTCACATCTGATATCTTGAAACTTGAAATGTGTCTCTCTGACTATAATTTTCTTCCACATTTTCTTACTTCTAAGCAATAGCATTATACTTCTAATATTTCCATATCTCATTATTCTCTCAAATTATTGAGGCTTTGCTTTCCTCCTTATCCAGGCTGGAATACATGGTTCACTGATTTATCTTTATTTCACAAGCCTCTAGGATTTTGTTACACCTCCATAGTTTATTTTAATCACTTTGTCAATTTCTACACCTAGACAAATCAGCTGCCCATTTTCTCTAGGCCTTTTGTTAAGCTGTGGAATTGTGCCAAATAACATCATATAATTTTCATGATTGGATCCATTACCAATGAATGAAATCCAAATACTGACAAGCCTTTAATATTGCTTTATAAATCCATTTATTCAATCTGACTTAAAGCTTCATTGAGCACTTCTCAAGCTGTCTCCTGCAAGATATTAGTATGTGTTCCTCTATATAGAAGCTCTAAAGTAAAATAATTTGGAAATGCTACATATTATATCTAATTCTTATAGATTCACAATTTTCATTTGCATATTCAAGGCTCTGAGAACTACTACAGCAAACATAAAACTTCACATAACATAAAGCTTCAATAATTTATTTGACTTTGAAATCCTTTATTCATTTATTAATTTGTAGGAATCATAACATCTCAGTCAATACATTTTAGGAAATGCCGTACTATACAAAGGGTGAGGTCCTTGTCTGGTTAGTTCACCACTGTATTCTCAACAGTTAGAAAGATGCCCATCTCAGAGTAGGCTCTCACACAGATACAAATATTGGATGAATAAATAAATGAAATAACTAAAGCAGTTTCTGTGACTTTTTCCTGATCTTTTCAATTTTATTAACCACACTACTGCACCCTCATTATCAAGTGAAGCTGGACATGACTTTGTTTTCCTATCACCTCAACATCTTTTCAAAACTTTGAATATTTTTTCATAATTCCCATCTCAGAAATATGTTTGAGTTTTCATGCTTAGTAATAAATATAGATGCTTAGGAGACATAGCTAGATGTCAATCTCTTTCAGATATTTCATTTAATCTCTTAATCCTGTAAAATAAGTAAAATATTCTCTTTTATGTAGGTGATAAAATTAAAACTCATACACACCACAGTTAGAATTTAAACCCAGAGCTGTTGATCTCCAAGGCATAGCTTCTTTCCCAGCCCCATTGTTAACCCCCACTTTCCAAAGATAATAGTCTCATTTTGTTAGATTCCATACTAGGTACAGCTTATGTAACAACTAGATCTACTAGTCCTTGAGCCCCACATGAGATTATAGCCCCGGCTAATACCTTAATTTCAGCCTGGTGAAACCCTGTGCAGAAAACTCAACTAATATATTCCTAAACTTTTTGCTTCCCAAGACTGTGAGATAATAAAAGGGCATTGTCTTAAGATGCTAAGTTTGGGGGAGGAGCCAAGATGGCCGAATAGGAACAGCTCCGGTCTACAGCTCCCAGCGTGACCGATGCAGAAGATGGGTGATTTCTGCATTTCCATCTGAGGTACCGGGTTCACCTCACTAGGGAGTGCCAGACGGTGGGTGCAGAACAGTGGGTGCAGCACACCGTGGGCCAACCGAAGCAGGGTGAGGCATTGCCTCACTTGGGAAGTGCAAGGGGTCAGGGAGTTCCCTTTCCTGGTCAAGGAAAGGGGTGACAGACGGCACCTGGAAAATCGGGCCACTCCCACCCGCATACTGCGCTTTTCCAACGGGCTTAGGAAACAGCACACCAGGAGATTATATCCCGCACATGGTTTGGAGGGTCCTACACCCACGGAGTCTCGCTGATTGCTAGCACAGCAGTCTCAGATCAAACTGCAAGGCAGCAGCGAGGCTGGGGGAGGGGCGCCCGCCATTGCCCAGGCTCACTTAGGTAAACAAAGGAGCTGGGAAGCTCGAACTGCGTGGAGTTTCTGGGGGCAGGGCACAGACAAACAAAAAGAGAGCAGTAACCTCTGCAGACTTAAATGTCTCTGTCTAACAGCTTTGAGGAGAGCAGTGGTTCTCCCAGCACACAGCTGGAGATCTCAGAACGGGCAGACTGCCTCCTCAAGTGGGTCCCTGACCCCTGACCCCCGAGCAGCCTAACTGGGAGGCACCCCCCAGTAGGGGCAGACTGACACCTCACACGGCCGGGTACTCCTCTGAGACAAATCTTCCAGAGGAACGATCAGACAGCAGCATTCGCGGATCATGAAAATCCGTGGTTCTGCAGCCACTGCTGCTGATACCCAGGCAAACATGGTCTGGAGTGGACCTCTAGCAAACTCCAACAGACCTGCAGCTGAGGGTCCTGTCTGTTAGAAGGAAAACTAACAAACAGAAAGGACATCCACACCAAAAACCCATCTGTACATCACCATCATCAAAGACCAAAAGTAGATAAAACCACAAAGATGGGGAAAAAACAGAGCAGAAAAACTGGAAACTCTAAAAAGCAGAGTGCCTCTCCTCCTCCAAAGGAATGAAGTTCCTCACCAGCAATGGAACAAAGCTGGACAGAGAATGACTTTGACGAGCTGAGAGAAGAAGGCTTCAGATGATCAAACTACTCCAAGCTACAGGAGGACATTCAAACCAAAGGCAAAGAAGTTGAAAACTTTGAAAAAAATTTAGACGAATGTATAACTAGAATAACCAATACAGAGAAGTGCTTAAAGGAGCTGATGGAGCTGAAAGCCAAGGCTTGAGAACTACATGAAGAATGCAGAAGCCTCAGGAGCCGATGGAATCAACTGGAAGAAAGGGTATCAGTGATGGAAGATGAAATGAATGAAGCGAGAAGGGAAGTTTAGAGAAAAAAGAATAAAAAGAAACGAACAAAGCCTCCAAGAAATATGGGACTATGTGAAAAGACCAAATCTATGTCTGATTGGTGTACCTGAAAGTGACAGGGAGAATGGAACCAAGTTGGAAAACACTCTGCAGGATACTATCCAGGAGAACTTCCCCAATCTAGCAAGGCAGGCCAACATTCAGATTCAGGAAATACAGAGAACGCCACAAAGATACTCCTCGAGAAGAGCAACTGCAATACACATAATTGTCAGATTCACCAAAGTTGAAATGAAGGAAAAAATGTTAAGGGCAGCCAGAGAGAAAGGTCGGGTTACCCACAAAGGGAAGCCCATCAGACTAACAGCGGATCTCTCGGCAGAAACTCTACAAGCCAGAAGAGAGTGGGGGCCAATATTCAACATTCTTAAAGAAAAGAATTTTCAACCCAGAATTTCATATCCAGCCAAACTAAGCTTCATAAGTGAAGGAGAAATAAAATACTTTACAGACAAGCAAATGCTGAGAGATTTTGTCACCACCAGGCCTGCCCTAAAAGAGCTCCTGAAGGAAGTACTAAACATGGAAAGGCACAACCGGAACCAGCCGCTGCAAAATCATGCCAAAATGTAAAGACCATCGAGACTAGGAAGAAACTGCATCAACTAACGAGCAAAATAACCAGCTAACATCATAATGACAGGATCAAATTCACACAAAACAATATTAACTTTAAATGTAAATGGACTAAATGCTCCAATTAAAAGACACAGACTGGCAAATTGGATAAAGAGTCAAGACCCATCAGTGTGCTTTATTCAGGAAACCCATCTCACGTGCAGAGACACACATAGGCTCAAAACAAAAGGATGGAGGAAGATCTACCAAGCAAATGGAAAACAAATAAAGGCAGGGGTTGCAATCCTAGTCTCTGAAAAAATAGACTTTAAACCAACAAAGATCAAAAGAGACAAAGAAGGCCATTACATAATGCTGAAGGGATCAATTCAACAAGAAGAGCTAACTATCCTAAATATATATGCACCCAATACAGGAGCACCCAGATTCATAAAGCAAGTCCTGAGTGACCTACAAAGAGACTTAGACTCCCACACAATAATAATGGGAGACTTTAACACCCCACTGTCAACATTAGACAGACCAACGAGACAGAAATTTAACAAGGATACCCAGGAATTGAACTCAGCTCTGCACCAAGTGGACCTAATAGACATCTACAGGACTCTCCACCCCAAATCACCAGAATATACATTTTTTCAGCACCACACCACACCTATTCCAAAATTGACCACATAGTTGGAAGTAAAGCTCTCCTCAGCAAATGTAAAAGAACAGAAATTATAACAAACTGTCTCTCAGACCACAGTGCAATCAAACTAGAACTCAGGATTAAGAAACTCACTCAAAACCACTCAACTACATGGAAACTGAACAACCTGCTCCTGAATGACTACTGGGTACATAACGAAATGAAGGTAGAAATAAAGATGTTCTTTGAAACCAATGAGAACTAAGACACAACATACCAGAATCTCTGGGACATATTCAAAGCAGTGTGTAGAGGGAAATTTACAGCACTAAATGCCCAGAAGAGAAAGCAGGAAAGATCCAAAACTGACACCCTAACATCACAATTAAAAGAACTAGAAAAGCAAGAGCAAACACATTCAAAAGCTAGCAGAAGGCAAGAAATAACTAAAATCAGAGCAGAACTGAAGGAAATAGAGACACAAAAAACCCTTCAAAAAATTAATGAATCCAGGAGCTGGTTTTTTGAAAGGATCAACAAAATTGATAGACCGCTAGCAAGACTAATAAAGAAAAAAAGAGAGAAGAATCAAATAGACACAATAAAAAATGATAAAGGGGATATCACCACCAATCCCACAGAAATACAAACTACCATCAGAGAATACTACAAATACCTCTAAGCAAATAAACTAGAAAATCTAGAAGAAATGGACAAATTCCTCGACACATACACTCTCCCAAGACTAAACCAGGAAGAAGTTGAATCTCTGAATAGACCAATAACAGGCTCTGAAATTGTGGCAATAATCAATAGCTTACCAACCAAAAAGAGTCCAGCGCCAGATGGATTCACAGTCAAATTCTACCAGAGGTACAAGGAGGAACTGGTACCATTCCTTCTGAAACTATTCCAATCAATAGAAAAAGAGGGAATCATCCCTAACTCATTTTATGAGGCCAGCATCATCCTGATACCAAAGCTGGGCAGAGACACAACCAAAAAAGAGAATTTTAGACCAATATCCTTGATGAACATTGATGCAAAAATCCTCAATAAAATACTGGCAAACCGAATCCAGCAGCACATCAAAAAGCTTATCCACAATGATCAAGTGGGCTTCACCCCTTGGACACAACAAGGCTGGTTCAATATATGCAAATCAATAAATGTAATCCAGCATATAAACAGAAGCAAAGACAAAAACCACATGATTATCTCAATAGATGCAGAAAAGGCCTTTGACAAAATTCAACAACCCTTCATGCTAAAAACTCTCAATAAATTAGGTATTGATGGGACATATCTCAAAATAATAAGAGCTATCTGTGACAAACCCACAGCCAATATCATACTGAATGGACAAAAACTGGAAGCATTCCTTTTGAAAACTGGCACAAGACAGGGATGCCCTCTCTCACCACTCCTATTCAACATAGTGTTGGAAGTTCTGGCCAGGGCAATTAGGCAGGAGAAGGAAATAAAGGGCATTCAATTAGGAAAAGAGGAAGTAAAATTGTCCCTGTTTGCAGATGACATGATTGTATATCTAGAAAACCCCACTGTCTCAGCCCAAAATCTCCTTAAGCTGATAAGCAACTTCAGTAAAGTCTCAGGACACAAAATCAATGTACAAAAATCACAAGCATTCTTATACACCAATAACAGACAAACAGAGAGCCAAATCATGAGTGAACTCCCATTCACAATTGCTTCAAAGAGAATAAAATACTTAGGAATCCAACTTACAAGGGACATGAAGGACCTCTTCAAGGAGAACTACAAACCACTGCTCAAGGAAATAAAAGACGATACAAACAAATGGAAGAACATTCCATGCTCATGGGTAGGAAGAATCAATATCATGAAAATGGCCATACTGCCCAAGGTAATTTATAGATTCAATGCCATCCCCATCAAGCTACCAATGACTTCCTTCACAGAATTGGAAAAAACTATTTTAAAGTTCATATGGAACCAAAAAAGAGCCTGCATCGCCAAGTCAATCCTAAGCCAAAAGAACAAAGCTAGAGGCATCACGCTGACTTCAAACTATACTACAAGGCTACAGTAACCAAAACAGCATGGTACTGGTACCAAAATAGAGATATAGGCCAATGGAACAGAACAGAGCCCTCAGAAATAACACCGCATATCTACAACTATCTGATCTTTGACAAACCTGAGAAAAACAAGCAATGGGGAAAGGATTCCCTATTTAATAAATGGTGCTGGGAAAACTGGCTAGCCATATGTAGAAAGCTGAAACTGGATCCCTTCCTTACACCTTATACAAAAATTATTTCAAGATGGATTAAAGACTTAAACATTAGACCTAAAACCATAAAAACCCTAGAAGAAAACCTAGGCATTACCATTCAGGACATAGGCATGGGCAAGGACTTCATGTCTAAAACACCAAAAGCAATGGCAACAAAAGCCAAAATTGACAAATGGGATCTAATTAAACTAAAGAGCTTCTGCACAGCAAAAGAAACTACCATCAGAGTGAACAGGCAACCTACAAAATGGGAGAAAATTTTCGCAGCCTACTCATCGGACAAAGGGCTAATATCCAGAATCTACAATGAACTCCAACAAATTTACAAGAAAAAAACAAACAACCCCATCAAAAAGTGGGCGAAGGATATGAACAGACACTTCTCAAAAGAAGACATTTATGCAGCCACCAGACACATGAAAAAATGCTCATCATCACTGGCCATCAGAGAAATGCAAATCAAAACCACAGTGAGATACCATCTCACACCAGTTAGAATGGCAATCATTAAAAGGTCAGGAAACAACAGGTGCTGGAGAGGATGTGGAGAAATAGGAACACTTTTACACTGTTGGTGGGACTGTAAACTAGTTCAACCATTGTGGAAGTCAGTGTGGCGATTCCTCAGGGATCTAGAACTAGAAATACCATTTGACCCAGCCATCCCATTACTGGGTATATACCCAAAGGACTATAAATCATGCTGCTATAAAGACACATGCACACGTATGTTTATTGCGGCACTATTCACAATAGCAAAGACTTGGAACCAACCCAAATGTCCAACAATAGACTCGATTAAGAAAATGTGGCACATATACACCATGGAATACTATGCAGCCATAAAAAATGATGAGTTCATATCCTTTGTAGGGACATGGATGAAATTGGAAATCATCATTCTCAGTAAACTATCACAAGGACAAAAAACCAAACACCGCATGTTCTCACTCATAGATGGGAATTGAACAATGAGAACACATGGACACAGGAAGGGGAACATCACACTCTGGGGACTGTTGTGGGGTGGGGGGAGGGGGGAGGGATAGCATTAGGAAATATACCTAATGCTAAATGACGAGTTAATGGGTGCAGCACACCAGCATGGCACATGTATACATATGTAACTAACCTGCACATTGTGCATGTGTACCATAAAACTTAAAGTATAATAATAATAAAAAAAATGCTAAGTTTGTGGAAATTTGTTACACAACAATAGAAAACTAATACAGTCAAAAATGACAGATGTGACGAATAGGACACAAATAGCCTGACACATTTAAGCATATCAGTAATTACCTTAAATGTGAAGAGTGTAAGTACTCTGACTAGAAAATAAGATTGTAAAACTAGATTTTAAAAAGAAAAAAATATATATATGATTTATGAGACACAATTTAAAAATAAGATTAAAGAAAAAAAGGAATATAAAAGAACTGAAAAATATATATTATACAAACACTAACCAAAAGAAAGATGGCACATATATATTAACATAAGACAAAGAAGACTTCAAAGAAACAAATTTCAAATACAATGCAGGTTTTTGTCCATAAAGAATTAAATTAGAAGTCAACAACAGATAGAAAAATAGAGATTTTTAAGTGCATGTAAATTAAGACACATACTTCTAAATAACTCATGAGTAACATAGGAAATCACCATGAAAATTATTTGGTATGGAATTATCATTAAAAATATTTTGTACTAAAATTATAACTTACAAACATCTGTAAGATGTAGCAAAAGTAGTGACTGGAGGGATTTTATAGCTTTAAATGCATGTTATTAGGAAAGAAGTAGAGAATCAGTTATGTAAACACCCAACTCAAGAAGGTAGAAAAGAAGAGAAAATTATTCCCAAAGAAAGTAAAGGAAGAAAATCTAAAAAAGTAAAAGAAGAAATGAATGAAGTTGAAAATAAACATAGAATAGAGACAATCAATAAAATAAAAGTTATTTTAACATTTATAAAAATAATTAATACCCCGGGAACATTACTCTTTTCAAATCATGAATATTAGAATAAGAAGGTATTATGAAAAGTTGGTATCTTTGACAACTGAGATGAAATGAACAAGTTTCCTGAGAAATGTCAAATATCCAAACTGACAAAAGAAGAAATAAAAATCTGATAGGCAACTTTGGTTGCTAAAGAAATTAAATCTGTAATTAAAAACCTTCCTACAAGAAAAACTGTCCCTGGTGAAATAATATTAGTTTTATACAAATCCTTTCAAAGAATAAGGAAAGAGAAATACTTCCCAACTTATTTTGTTATTCTTCTCAACTTAGAATAATGCTAATACCAAAATCTTATAAAACATTATAAGAATGAGAAATTATAGGCCACTAATTCTCATGAACGTAAATAAAAACAAAATATTAGCATATAGGGCCAGGCATGCTGGCTCATACTTATAATCCCAGCACTTTGAGAGGCCAAGGCAGAAGGATTGCCTGAGCCCTGGAGTTTGAGACCAGCCTGGGCAACATAGTGAGATACCATACTTATGAAAAATATAAACATTATCCAAGTATGGTGGTGCATGCCAAAGTACCAGTTACTTGGGAGGCTGAAAAGGATGATTGCTTCAGCCTGGGTGTTTAAGGCTGCAGTGAGCCATGATCACACCACAACACTCCAGCCTTGGTAATAGAGCAAGAGACCCTGTCTTTAAAAAAAAAAAAAAAAAAAAAAATATATATATATATATAAAATTTTTGGTCCTCACATTTGGCTCAGAATCTCTTGAAATATTTTACAGATCTTGGCTTTTTTCATCAACACAGTGTTTCACTGATGGTTTTAGTCAAAGCAAGAAAAAGAAATAAATTATCTTAACATTGGAGAAGAAGAAATTGTTTACCAGAATATTCTGTCATTATTTATCAAAAATTACTGGATACAAAGTCAGTATTAAATAATCATTTTTAATATAACAAGTGGAAAATTAAAACTTTAAACTTTCAGTTAAAACAGTATCAAATAATATTAAATATCTAAGAATAAATCTAATAAAGGACCTCTGCGTTAGAAACTATGAAATATTTCTGTGAGAAATATAAAAAAAGACAAAAATAAATGAGGTGGTATCCTATGTTCATGCAATAGAATATTCTACATATTTAAAGGTGTCTATTTGTTCCAAACTGACCTACAGAGTCAATGCTAGTTTGATCGTAATCCAAATTGTTGTGTATGTATAAATTAACATTCTAAAATGTATAAGAAAATGTAAGGAATTAAATTAACCAAAACAATCTCAAAGAAGGAGAAAATCTGATAGATTTACTCTACGTATAAAGTGATTATTTTTAAACCAAAAGTAAGTAATTTAGTGTGGTTGATTGAAGGATGAAGGATGAATTCAGTCTAACCAATACAAGAATAGAGAAAGAGATCAACAGAATGGCATAGAGTCCTGAAACAAATCTTTCATGTGTTTAGTAACTGATTTACAACCAAGTTTCCATTACCAATCAGAGGGGAAAGGTGGTCTTTTCAAAATATGGAGCTGAGTCAACTGAATAGCTAAAATGTGAAATTTGACCCCTCCCAACACCTTAGATTATAGATCAATACAATCAAAACAGATCATGATGTAAAAAGTAGAATCATCAGTCTTTTTGAAATAAAAAGGGGAATATCTTCATGATCTTGGGATAAGCAAATATTTTTTAAATGGGATAAAAAAATCACTATGAAATAAATTTTTTATTGTTTATTGAATTACAGTACTTAATATACTAGAGAGGAAAGCTACTGATTGGGAGCAGAGATTTACAATACATATATTTGTCAAAAAGCTTGTATCCAAGATATATAAATAATGCATACTAAACTATATGAAAAGGAAAAATGTACAGTTTTTTTTAAAAGGCAAGAGACTTAACCAAATACTTCACAAAAGAGGATAATAAAATCAGTGCTATATATATGAAGAGGTGCTCAACATCACTAGTAATCAAAGACAAGTTTAAAGCCACAAAAAGGATACAAAGACATACTCAGCACCAGATAGCTAAAATTAAAAATATAATTTCAAAGTTGCTGAGGTTTTAGACCATCTGACAGTCTTTTATATTGCTATTAAATGTCTGAATATGCATGTCTGCCATTTTGCAGTACCTGCTAAAGCTAATCATATGTGTACCCTTTGACTAAGCAATTATACCCTTGAGTACGTGTCCAACAAAAGCAGGTGCTTATGTCCACTTAAAGTCATGTAAAAATGTCCGCAGCAGGTTTATTTATGATAGCCAAAAGCTGGAAAGAACCCAAAGCCCATTAGCAGGAGAATGAGCAAACAAATTACAAGATATTTATATAATGAATACAATTCTGCAATAAAAAAGAATAAATAACCAAGACAGTAAGAGAAGACCTAAGTAACAAGAATGGAATAAATATTCATGGTTATAATGATGCAAAATTTTAAAGATATCATTTCTCTCCAAATTGATCTATAAATTCAATGCATTTTATTATACACTCCTGAAAGTTTTTCTTTGGATTAAATAGACAAGCTGATCATAAGACTTATATAAAAGAGTATACTGCCAAGAGAAGTAAATGACACTGGCAGGGCCTCAGATTTTAAGTCTAGTAAAGCTAGACTTATAAGTCTTCTATCATATAGTCTTGTATGGGTGAAAGAATAAGCAAATGAAGCAATGGAACAGAATAGGGAACACACAAATGTACCCATAAAAATATGAAAATGTCATGACAGTTGGTGCTACTAATCAAAAAGAAAAAGACACATTAATCATAATGTTAACCACAAATACTATGATGAATGATAGTATTAATCAAAACACTATGGGTGATGTAGCTTTTCTTTATGGATTAGTAATGCCAACTATGGTTATGTGTGGTTATCAATATGAAAAAGAATTAAATTAGACATATCTCACATTACAATTAAACTAAATTCCAGATAGATGAACGACCTAATGCTAGATCTTTTTTTTTTTTTTTTTTTTTTTTGAGACAGAGTCTCACTCTGTCGCCAGGCTGGAGTGCAGTGGCACAATCTTGGCTCACTGCAACTTCTGCCTCCCAAGTTCAAGTGATTCTCCTGCCTCAGCCCCCCGAGTAGCTGGGACTACAGGTGTGTGCCAACACACCCAGCTAATTTTTGTATTTTTAGTAGAGACGGGGTTTCATCATGTTGACCAGGATTGTCTTGATCTCTTGACCTCATGATCCGCCTGCCTCAGCCTCCCAAAGTGCTGGGATTACATGCGCGAGCCACCACGCCCAGCCCTAATGCTTGATCTTTAAAACTTTTTGAAGAACATATTGAAAATATACTTTTGATTTCAGGAAAGAAATGGTGACAAAATAAGACACAAAGAGCAAAATCTATAAGCAAAAAGTTGTTACATTTACAACATTAAACTTTCTGTTCCACAAAAGATCGTAAACAAAGATAAAAGACAAACCACAAACTGAAAAATGATATTTGCAACTCAAATCCATTCAATAGAAATATGGGCAAATATTATGACCAAAGCAATTTACAGTAGAGAAACATCAAACTCCAATCATCATATTCAAAGATGCTTTACCTCATTAGTAATCAAAGAAATGGAAATTAAATAAAAAATAGAATACCAGTTCCCTGCTTCCCACTTGCATGTCCTTAACCCCAGATGGGCAAATAAGTAAAGTCTGTTAATGCAAATAGTATCACAAACATGAAGCAAGATATCTGTGACATCATATAAAAATACTGAGATTTGGAACTGGTATAGACCTTTTGGAGAATGATTTGACAATATCTAGCAAATTTAAATATGTACATAGTTTTCAACCCACAAATTTCACTTCTACATATATATCCTAGAGAAATTCTCATATTTATGCACATGATGATATACACAAGATTAATCACTGCAGCATTGTTCATAATGCTGAAAATTTAGGCAGCAATCTAAATGTTCATTAAAGCATGCATAAACTTTTTTTCTATATTTTATACACTGGAATACCACAAAGAAATTAAAATACATGAACTGTAAGTCTATGTACTATGGATAAATCAAATAAAAATAATGTTGAATGGTGACTATTTTCAGAATGATATATACAGTCTGATAACATATACATAAAATGGCATGAAAAATAATATTTATAGACACATAATTATGTAGGAATGGTATGAAAGCATATGTAAGATTTTTAAACATCAGTTTCCAGAAAATGGTTATTTTGGGGGAGGAGACAGTGATTTAAATATTAAACCCTTCTTTAAGGGAGGTTTTATTTTATCTCTAATATTACCTAAAATACTGATTTAAATCATGTATGATAAAGTATGAAGACCTAATAAGATTTGATGATAGTAATTGTCTTTTCATTACTATAAATGCCTCAATTTTCTAAATAATTTATACTTAAAATATATAAAACTGAGCACTGGCCAGTACCCTGGTAATTTGTAAAGTTTCATTATAATTGAAAAATATCTTAAGAAGAATTTTCACTGAATTTTGCCAGTATTTCTTACTTGAAGAAGATTATTTCTATGTTGCGGGAAGTCAGGGACCCCAAACAGAGGGACCGGCTGAAGCCACGGCAGAAGAACATAAATTGTGAAGATTTCATGGACATTTATTAGTTCCACAAATTAATACTTTTATAATTTCTTACACCTGTCTTTATTGCAATCTCTGAACATAGACTGTGAAGATTTCATGGACATTTATCACTTCCCCAATCAATACTCTTATAATTTCCTATGCCTGTCTTTACTTTAATCTCTTAATCCCATCATCTTCATAACCTGAGGATGTATGTTGCCTCAGGACCCTGTGATGATTGTGTTATCTGTACAAATTGTTTGTAAAACCTGTGTGTTTGAACAATATGATATCTGGGCATCCTAAAAAAACAGGATAACAGTGATTTTCAGGGAACAAGGGAGGTAACCATAAGGTCTGACTGCCTGCAGAGCCGGGCAGAACACAGTCATATTTCTCTTCTTGGAAAAGTGAATAGGAGAAATATCACTGAATTCTGTTTCTCAGCAAGGAACAGCCCTGGGAAAAGAATGCATTCCCAGGGAGAGGTCTCCAAAATGGCCGCTCTAGAAGTGTCTGTCTTATGCAGTTGTAGATAAGGGATGAAATACACCCTGGTCCCCTGCAGTGCCCCCGGGCTTGCTAGGATTGGGAAATTCCAGCCTGGCGAAATTCTAGTCAGACCGGTTGTCTGCTCTCAAAGCCTGTTTCCTGTTAAGATGTTTATCAATGACAATGTGTGCACAGTGGGACATGAAACCTCATCAACAATTCTAATTTTGCCCTGGCCTTGTGATCTTGCTCTGCCCCTATTTGCCTTGTGAATTTTATTGCCTTTTGAAGCATGTGATCTCTGTGATCCACACCCTATTCATACACTCCCTCCCCTTTGAAAATCGCTAATAAAAACTTGCTGGTTTTGCAGCTCAGGGGCATCATGGAACCTGCTGACATGTGATGTCACCCCTGGAGACCCAGCTGTAAAATTTCTCTCTTTTGTGCTCTTTCTCTTTATTTCTGAGACTGGTCGACACTTAGGAAAAATAGAAAAGAACCTACGTTGAAATACTGGGGGCTATTTCCCCGGATATTTCTATGGAATAAACTCATTTATAAGTTTTTAAATAGTGACTTCTTAGTTTCTTTTTGAGAGTTAAGAAATATTCCATTGCTATGAAATACATTCAAATAGAAATGTCACTATTACACAAATGCATAAAATCCATAACAAAATTGAAACTAAATTCTCTGTACTCTCAGGCCAGTTATCTTTCCACTGAATCAAAATTGCCTTTTATTAAAAAAAACTTTTCATATGAAATATGGGAAAAAGAACAAAAATTCATAATAATATTTTCTTTTGTGGTTGGCATTATGAATTATAATAATATGAGACATTTACTGAGCTCTACAATTTGTTCAAAACCCTACCAACACAACATTATCTCGTCTAATCATGAAGCACTGCTAAAGGTTGAAAGTGTAGGTAATTTGGGTCCATTACTTCCCTTTATTTTCTCTCCTGCTGCTTCTTTTTTTACTGATCACTGTATGACAAGAAAGAAAAAATAAAACCAAAATTGGTGAACTAGAAGTTGTATGAAAAACTTGGTTTCACAAGAGATTGTCTAAAAATGAACATTTTAATAATATGTGCCAAATCTTGCTTTTACTACCAAGGTTTATGTGGTTTCCAGTAGAGATTTCAAAATATGAGAGGACATGAAACAATATGAGGAATTTCAATTTCTGTTTTAAATAAAAGGGAAAATATGCTTTGCCAGGCTGTCTGAACATCCTGATTCAGTCACAGGAACATCTCCAGGGATACTGTCTGAAGCTAGCATAGAGAAAAACCTATTTAGTTCCCTTTTTGGTTCTTAACTTGGACATAAAAGTTTTCTACCCTGTGCTAGGATGGAATTGAGCATCCCCACTGATGAAATTGACTCAGAGGTAGTCAAGAAACTGGGCAAATTGATAACAAAGGCTCTCTTTCTCTTTCTCTTCTATTTTTCCCTTTAATATTATTCCCTGAAAGGGATTTATTTTATGTTTCTCTCTTGCAGAAATCCTGGACTCACAGATCATTTACTCTTTGTAACAGCTATAGTTTCCACACCACAGCATAACTCAGGACATTAAAGGTACTACAGACAACTCAATGTATGCAAACCACAATGACTAACCCTGGAACCCTGGAAAGAATGTACACAGTAGCAGGAGCCTACAGAAGACTGCAAGAAGATGGGGAAATGCAAAAATGAAATATAAAATGAAACAAAGTAAAATCTAAATGGATACCTGAGATGAGTAATGAAATTTTCATTGCCATTTTTGGATTTACTCTCCTAACTAATCTCCAAGGTAATGCAAACTAAGTTAGAAGAAAGCTTTTCTGAGTCAATCGGGGTCCCAAGAAGCAAACTGAAGGCCCACTGTGTGTAGGCACTGGTTTTCTGCACCACACCCTGGCTCACTGCCTTCTCCAAGCCCTCCAAAGACTGTTAGTTTAGGCATCTAGGAGAAAACATTTCAGAACTTGTATGTCCCAACATCATGCTATTTGAAATATCACTTTTCTCAGAAAAAGTCTTGGAAGGAGATCTGATTTAACCAGATAGGTACTGGGTTAGTGACACAATATGTAGTGTTACTTCTTCCAATGAAGAAGAAATGTGTCTGGTGTTCAGAATACACACTTAGGCTAATATTCAGGCTCTGCCACATGCTATCTTTGTGGAGATGGTGGTTAGTAATATGTATGTTGTAACCCATACACAGTACAATGACAAGTTCCTTAATCTCTCTCTACGAAATGTTTATATGCTGTCACTGCATAAATTAGTATGAAACAGCCTCCAATAAACATTTCCCATCTGAGGGCTCTCTGATTTTTGGTTGAGGATCATAGGCCATTATTCTATTAATACTTGGATAGTTTCTAGGGCTTCATAACTCAAAAAAAAGAAAAAACAAAATTTCAAACCAAGATAGGATATTTTGCAAATAAGCAGACATCTTACGTCATTCTCTTTGCTTCTGTATTCCTTGACAAATAAGATAATTATTAATTTGTTGGTATATAGCCTTAAGTTACCTGCTTTCTCTACTTAGCAGGAAGATTGCATTTAGTGGAACTTTCCGAAGAATTTCATACTTTCAAATTGTTCATTTTTCTTGATTTTTCTCCACCCTAATATTCTTAACTTTCTTAATATTCTTATGTCTCTGTTTATCTCCTTGCAAATTCTAAGTCTCCATCATGATTTCTTTTTGTTCTCTCACTTCTTTAAAAAAAATTAGCTTCCTTCACTGGTCATCCTCAAGGTTTGTCGTCAACCATTTTCCATTCTCACTCTACCAGATTCCTCTCAATCTTTTTGAGTCATGAGCTTCTTTCAAAAATCTGTTGAAATGATGAACTCTTTCAGAGAAGTGTGAGGACTGGGGGGTAGGGGGCATATTCACAAATTTTACATATCATTTCGAGGGACTTATTGATCTCCCTGCTTTATGACTGCTGATAGACAAACACCTGCTCTCCAACTTCAGTATCTAATCTGTGTTGATTGTCCCAAATCTTCATTTTTAATTCCCAGTCTCTATCCAGTACTCAAGACTCATATGTACAACTAACTAGTAAATGTGTCCATTTGAAAATTCCATAAGCACCTCAAACTCAACATGCCTAAACTAAACATATCTTCTTCCCATCTAAATCTTGTATTCTCTGCCTTGTTGTCTGACAGAGTAAATATCACCATCCACTGAAGTATCTAAGGTTAAAATCTTGGTCACCCTAGACTTTTCCTTCTCCCTCATTTTCTACAATTATTCACTAAGTTCTACAAATCTGAAAATTTTTTTTTGCAATTGTCATTGATCAGATCCCAATAACTTCTTGCCCATATTAGTGACACAGACTAAAATCATGTTTAATTACATAATTAATAAAAAAACTTTCTCCTTGTAAAAAATTCAAATAATATAAAAGTACAAATGGTGAATTTTCTCTTTCCATAGCACATCCTAATTCTCTCCTTGCACATATATATCCACTGTTAAGCATTTGGTGTATATCCCTTTAGTTCTTGTTCCTTTATATTTGCATACATGTATATGTATGGATGATAAGACATAAGTTTTGAGTATTTCTTTACACAAATGGGAACATGCTGTATTAGTTTGTTTTCGCACTGCTGATAAAGACATTCCCAAGACTGGGCAATTTACACAAGAAAGAGATTTATTGGACTTACAGTTCCACTTGGCTGGGGAGGCCTCACAATCATGGTGGAAGGCAAGGAGGAACAAGTCACATCTTTCATGGATGCCAGCAGGCAAAGAGAGAGCTTGTGCAGTTAAACTCCTGTTTTTAAAACCATCATATCTCGTAAGACCCATTCACTATCACAAGTACAGCACAGGAAAGACCTGCCCCCATGATGCAGTCATCTCCCACCTGGTCCCTGCCACAACACATGGGAATTATGGGAGCTATAAGATGAGATTTGGGTGGGGACACAGAGTCAAACCATATTACTTGCTTTACATAATAGTCTCTCACTTAATCTTTTTCACTTAATAAAAGATTTGGAGAGATTTCTATTTAAGTATGTGAATATATGTTACATTTTTAATGGCTACTTAGTATTTCATTATAAAGATGTAGACTATATGATTTAATCATTGCCTTTTGATGAGAATGTAGCTTGTTTCCTGTTTTTATTATGCCCCACTATCATCCTTGTGCACGTGTGAGTATACTTTCAAAGGTGAGATTCCTAGCAGTGGATATTAGAGACTCCTATCTGCCCTCCCTACCTCTAGTCTCAATCCTCTTCAATCCTCCTTCACTTATTCACCAACAATCAACAACTATCTGAGCATCTACTGTTATCAGGCCCCATGCTGGGCATTTGGTAATAAAAAAAACCGGTTGACACAGCTCTTGCTTCCAGGGAGTTCAAAATAAAATGGAGGAGAGACAAACAGATGCAGTATAATAGTGCAGTATTATATACATATATAGGTATATCTATATACCTATATATATAGTATATAATATATGTAATATATACAGTGCAGTATAAAGTGCAGTATAATAAGGTTGAAATAGAAATGTGTACAAGGGGCCGGGCGCGGTGGCTCACGCCTGTAATCCCAGCACTTTGGGAGGCCGAGGCGGGTGGATCATGAGGTCAGGAGATCGAGACCATCCTGGCTAACAAGGTGAAACCCCGTCTCTACTAAAAAATACAAAAAATTAGCCGGGCGCGGTGGCGGGCGCCTGTAGTCCCAGCTACTGGGGAGGCTGAGGCAGGAGAATGGCGTGAACCCGGGAAGCGGAGCTTGCAGTGAGCCGAGATTGTGCCACTGCAGTCCGCAGTCCGGCCTGGGCGACAGAGCGAGACTCCGTCTCAAAAAAAAAAAAAAAAAAAAAAAGAAATGTGTACAAGGTACTCTCTCAGAGAACAGTTTTTAGAAATCACCTCGGTTGGGCGCGGTGGCTCACACCTGTAATCCCCACACTTTGGGAGTCTGAGGTGGGTGGATCACCTGAGGTCGGGAGTTCGAGACCAGCCTGACCAACATGGAGAAATCCTGTCTCTACTAAAAATACAAAATTAGCCAGGTGGGTGGTGCATGCCTGCAATCCCAGCTACTCAGGAGGCTGAGGCAGGAGAACCGCTTGAACCCAAGGGGCGGAGGTTGCAGTGAGCCAAGATTGTGCCATTGCACTCCAGCCTGGGCAATAAGAGTGAAACTCCATCTAAAAATAAATAAATAAATAAATTACCTCATTCTGAGAGCAATCAGGAAGTAAGAGAGATGAATGGAAAGTTTCCTAGACACCTCTTGAAGATTGGAATTGGCTTGGTGCAGAAATGATGGGACTTTCCAACAGAAGGAAAAGCCTATGATTTATTGATTGGGTATCAATGTGTGTCATGCTCTGTTCTAGGCACAGAATTACAGGCGTGAACAACACAGAAAAGGTTCCACTTTCATGCAGCTTTCTTTCTACTGGGGGGAAGGAGATTAATTCAAACATAAACAAGAAAGTGTATGATACAAATTCAAATTATGATAAGTTGTTAGGGGAAAACTATTAAGAGACAGAGTCAGTAAAGGCTTTTTTTCAGAAGGTTACATTTGCCTTGAGACCTGAGTTGTAAGGGCCATCACAACAAAATCTTGGAGAAGAGGGGCTAAGCAGAGGGAACAACATGTGCAAAGATGCTGAAGAAGGAATGGGCCAGACATATTACAGTAATGAGAAGGTCAGTTGTAAAGTTAACAGGGAGATTGGTGGCTATGGACTAAATGTTTATGTCCCTTCAAAATTCATATGTAGAAACCAAATCTCCAGTGTGATGGTGTGTAAAGATGGGATTTTTGCGAGTTAATTAGATCATAAGGGTGGAACCTCCATGATGGGATTAGTGTTCTTATAATAAAAGACACACAAGACAGCATGCTTTCTCTCCCTAGCCCATGTTAGAATACAAGCAACCATCTGTGAACCAACAGGAGGACACTCACTGACAACCTGACCATGCTAGCACCATGACGTCAAAATTCCAGCCTGCAGAATTGTGAGAAATAAATATTTGTTGTTTAAGCCACCCAGTCTATGGTATTTGGTTATCGCAGCCCAGACTAAGATGGTGCTACATTCAGGAACTGCAAGCATTTATGTGTGGCTAGAACCATAGCCTGGCAGAGAGAACCCTTCATGACCCTGTTTCCACCCTGGCTCCACCTCTGCCCACTCTTCACATGATCCTTAAGCTCCAAACACATAGCATATTTTTAGTTAAATAAAACATTACCTTTTCTCTTGCCTTTGCTCATTCTGTTTCCACTGCCTGGAATGACCTTCCTTGCCTTGCTAACTCCAATTTTCCCTTCCTGGCTTAGCTCAGGCAGCTGGAATCCTTCCCCAGTCCTCCCTGGCTGTGTTAGTAAGCAACCCTCTCTACAGCAGAGTACCTTGTGCATAAATAACTCTTGTGGTTAATTGTGTTTCCCTGAAGGCAGGGCTTGTTTAACTTGCACTTGTGTCCATAGAGTTGGCACAGAACCTGACACTCAGTGGATGAGTCTGCTGATTGGGGTTGGCACCTGGCCTATCTCCCAATGGCTTTACTTCCTCTAGTTCATCTGAGTTATGAGTCCTATCTCACAATCTTTCCTGTAGATATCCAAGGAGTCTCTTTATTTTTCCTGTCTCTGATCATAGCAACAATTTAGCAGAAGTTCTTTGAGTGTCTCAACACACATTATGCTTTGAGAATTATATGTATATATTATAGGATTAATGCCTTCTGAATATGCAACTTCTCTAAGCTTGCAAGCCTTAGTTTTTGTATTTCTTTTCTTTTTCTTTCATTTTGCACTTTTAAGAAAGATAATAAAAACAACTTTGTTTTTAAATTTTTTGAATGACAATAATTGCATATATTTATAGGGTACAATGTGTTTTTATACATGTACACATTTTGGGATAATTAAATCAAGCTAAGTGACATAGACATCACCTCACATACTTATCATTTTTTTGTGGTGACTACATTTAAAATGTACTCCCTTGGCAATTTTTCAGCATACAATACATTATTATTAACTCCAGTCACCATGCCATGCAGTAGATCTCAAATACTTACCCTCTTGTCTACGTGACCAACATCCCTCCATTCCCCACTACCCTCCAGCCCAAATAATCTTCCTTGTGTTTTCATGTATTATGTGCCAGCCCACTGGCTAAGTCTTTGCCTGTTACCTTATTGAATCCTCAAAGCACCACTAAGAAGTAGTTGTCTCCAACATATAAATAGGAACCTGAGGTTCAAACAAATAAAAAAGCTTAGTTACAATTGGGACCCAGGTCAGTCTGATTGCCTCCTGCAGTGACAAAACAAGGAGCTATGTCTGAAGTCAGAACGTCTCTTTATTTTTGTTTTAAAAAAATCTTAATTTAGTACTTGTAAAATGAGAACATTAACACAAATAATAAACACAATCTTGAGCAAAATTTTCCAAGATTGAATCATTGAAAAACTAGGGAGATTTGGAAAAGAATAGAATTGACATTATGTAAAAGCAAATTAATTTTCCTATCTCAAAATTTTATCTGTAAATACAAACCAGAGCTAAATGCCAAACTGAGCAACAAACCATTACAGACCAAAATAATATTTTTTTCCTATAACTCACAATAAAATGTAAACATGACTATAAATACTGCTCATCATGAGGGCTTATGGATTCTTTATTACACGTGGGAGGAGCAGTCATCTTGATAAATGTCTAGAGTTGGATTCCACTTGAGAAGTACTTCTTGTTCTAGAAAAAAAAATCATCTTCACATTGTTACTATTTTTTGATCCTAAGTAACACTGTAAAGAGAGTATCTTACAATTTGTTCCATTCAAAATCTCCTCTGAGAGATTTTGAGCAACACATGCCATTGCTCAAGAATTTCAACATTACTTAAAGTATCCATGGAGGATTCTTCATTTTGCAAAATGCATTTCAATTTCACAAATCTTTTTGAAGTACACAAAGCCTGTCTCAAACACAAAGTCAAGCAAACCATGACCTCTGTTCTCCAACTAGACTCTAGAAACTTAGAGTTTTATTAAAGATCACTACCAAAGGAGCTGAATGTGATTTGAATACTCTGTATAAAATTTGGCCACATATTTATTATAAGTTGTTTCTTTTATAGGGCCATTTTTCTGAGGCCCTTAAGGAAAAACATTTGGCACTTACGAAATAAGACCAAGTTGCTATAAAGACAATATCCCAAGACTATTTGGAAGTTTAGTTTCAACTATTTATCACATTATGTTTTTTTTTCTCTCAGGCTAAAGGAATATATTATATGATCTCAATTACTTAAATACATTCAGTTATGTGTCAGAAAAATAATTGAGGAAATACCTCCCAAATACTACCAAAGTTATTTATTTGTACTGATACTATAGACTTTTTTTTTTTTTTTGAGATGGAGTTTCACTCTTGTTGCCCAGGCTGTAGTGCAGTGGTGCAATTTTGGCTCAATGCAATCTCTGCCTCCCAGGTTCAAGTGATTCTCCTGCCTCAGCTTCCCAAGTAGCTGGGATTACAGGCATGTGCCACCATGCCCGGCTAATTTTATATTTTTAGTAGAGACAGGGTTTCTCCATGTTGGTCAGGCTGGTCTTGAACTCCTGACCTCAGGTGATCCACCTGCCTTGGCCTCCCAAAGTGCTGGGATTACAGGCATGAGCCACCGTGCCCCGCCTGATACTACAGACTTTTTAAAAATATATTTTTTGTATTCCAACTTTATAATCAGATAATAACAAACACTAATAATAAGATTAAGAATCTGTCTTCCAAAATATGGCATAATAATTAAAAGCTAAGACTTCAGAGACAGGCAAACCGAAGTTTTAATTCTGTCTTTGCAAATTAATAGTTGTGTGATCTTCAGCAATTTACTTCACTTTTCTAACCTTCATTTTTGTTTTATTTTATTATTTTTATTATTTTGGTTTTTGAAGACAGGGTCTCACTCTGTCGCCCAGTCTGGAGTACAGTGGTGTGATCTCAGCTCACTGCAACCTCTGCCTCCCAGGCTCAAGTGAGTCTCCTGCCTCAGCCTTCCTAGTAGCTGGAATTACGGTCACCCGTGACAATGCCTGGCTAATTTTTGTATTTTCAGTAGAGACAGGGTTTCACCATGTTGTCCAGGCTGGTCTCAAACTCCTCACCTCAAATGATCTACTCACCTTGGCCTCCCAAAGTGCTGACATTACAGGTGTGAGCCACTGGCCTGGCTGTTTTTGTTATATTTTAATAGAGTAAATAACATCTAGAGTAGAGTTATTATGAAAGTTAGATGAGATTATCTGGGTGACAGGCTAAGAGATACTGAATGGAAATTATTAAAATTCTCCCATTCTTTGCCATTCAAAGTGTCTGAGTTCTAAAGAAGATCTTTTGGATTTGTTGATTACTGTCACAAAGACACAAATTATATTCCAAACAGGACAGTTTTGAGAATAAAACAGGACACTAAGATCAATAAAATTATACAATTTTAAATATATATAGACTGGCAAATGGGTTTAAATACAACTATGTTGTAGGCTAGTAAGAATAATAAACCAATTTTCAAAAATAAGTTCTTTCTAAAATAAAATACTATATAAGATAATACAAAATTTAAAAAAACTTGTAGTTGATTATCTGACTAATAGAATACAAGCAGAAAAATTATTTTGCATAGATAAGGCTCATTCACTTTAATCAGTTTCTTAGCTGTATCCATTTTTAATATTGCTTCTGTTATTCTGATTATATTTTTATCCCTATTATAGAATTGTATTATTTTTAATTGCCTTCAATCTTCTTTAAACTTGCATTTTAGGATTAATAAATTTGATATTCTGATGGCTTCAATTGGCTCATCTCTGTAAAACATGAAGTTTTGACTGAGAAAAAAAATAAACTTCCTCTCTTAGTGCTCTGCTACCTACTAAGCTCAGAAAAATTCTGCTTAATAGGGAAAATGATCTGTTCTATATTTTTAATGTGTAATACTTTAGCCAAAATATTTCCATAGATACTACCTTTTTGCCTTTATTTAGAGTATCTTTATTCAATAAATATTCATACAGGATAAAACTTCTCAAGTAATTTGTCACTATTTACAATACTTTTGAACATTTCACAAAACTTATATGATGTAAAATCATAGAGCTTCTCAATTTCACTCTATTTATGCAAAATATACATATATCCAATTAAAATAGAAGCTCTATCAAAAGATTATTTCCATAAGTTGTGATGCTTGAAAGTATAGGCTTTGAATTTCAAAAAATAAATCTCTTACATTGAGCTCAAAAAATTAATTTATTCAGGTCCTCTCTTGCTATGGAAGAATAAATTTCAATGTCTCCCTGCTTGCAAGTTTTGTTTTCAATGATTACAAAATACTAAAAGCTTCAAACACTGGAATTTTTGGCAGTCCATTTGTGAACATATTGATTTAAATTTTCTAATTTTGAACACAATGCAGTTTAGAGGAGTCATTCAAAATAAGTTCAATATCACTGTAGAACACTTAAGTTAATTTGCAAAGTAGCTATTCAGAGATTCAAACACTTTTGAAATGTGATTGACATCGAGTACAAAGGGAGACTACTATAAGTGGGGCTATTATAATACTGCTTGTAGTGGATATGTTTCTTCTTTTTAATTGCAATTTCAACACAGCTCATTTGGATGTTGAAGAATTGGGGCAGGCTTTGGCAAACTATAGTCCTCTGGCTAAATCTGAAATGTTTCCTGTTTCAGTAAATAGTTTTATTGGAACACAGCCATGCTCTTTTGTTTATGAATTGTCTATGGCTGCTGTTGCACCAAACAGTAGTTGCAACAAAGACCATATGCCCAGCAAAGCCTGAAATGTTTTCTATCTGGACCTTTACAAGACACAAATTTGCCAACTTCTGAATTAAGAATACACTACAACAAATTCCAAGTATATTTCTGTGTCATGCATTTTTTATTATAATGGAGTGATAATATCATTTTTGCAATGATACTGTGATCCACCAACATTTATATTCATATTTCTCCATTGAAACAAATAACGTTATCTTTAATGGGGAATTTCTTAACTGAATTTGCACTAGCATTCACAACTTAATGGAATAAACTCTCAAAAGTTTTACTTTGATTCCATGAAATGAATGAAAAAGGATAACCAGTTATTGGAACTAACTGATTTTCCACTTAGTAAAGCAGTTGATAACTGTTCATGGAAGCAGACCCAGGCAATTTCAATGAGTGGAATGTTTACTAAAGAGTATTCTTGAAATCAACTCCTGCGGAAGAGAAAAAGAAGCAGGATTGGACAGATGGAGAAGTCAAGCTGTCCCAAAGACAACCATTCCCAACTCCATCAGACTTATTCTGCCTTGGGCCAACATGGCTGAACCTTTCAACTTCTGCTTGATTAGTCATTCCCGAAGGAGTGTGACCTTGCCAAGGCAGCTCTCTGCAGCTGAGGCAATCCCTGAAGGGACTGACAGGTGTAAGCTGTCTGCCAGCGGCCCTTTTAGTAACTGAATCAACAAGTCCTTCCCTGAAGTGGGACCCAGAAGGTACATCACCATGTCTACTGCAGTCCACCCCTAGCACCATGCTGATTCACTTCTTCATATATGTTTAGGGAGCAACTCCTTCAAGATTCTGGTGGGCCTGTCTTCCTAAGGGAAACTTAGAAGTGGAAGGTTAATGATATGAACTTTTTTTTTTTTTTTTTTTTTTGAGACGGAGTCTCACTCTGTCGCCCAGGCCGGACTGCGGACTGCAGTGGCGCAATCTCGGCTCACTGCAAGCTCCGCCTCCCGGGTTCACGCCATTCTCCTGCCTCAGCCTCCCAAGTAGCTGGGACTACAGGCGCCCGCCACTACGCCCGGCTAATTTTTTGTATTTTTAGTAGAGACGGGGTTTCACCGTTTTAGCCGGGATGGTCTCGATCTCCTGACCTCGTGATCCGCCCGCCTCGGCCTCCCAAAGTGCTGGGATTACAGGCGTGAGCCACCGCGCCCGGCCCAATGATATGAACTTTAATTCTTCCAGCTGAAGCTGATCTAAGTTTCTTTGTCTTCCTTCTCTTATTCATTCCAAATTTCCCTCACCCTCAGATAGCACCTCTGTTGATCCTGGCTGGTCACAATGTTTCTTTACAGGCTGAGATTGCCTGAGAATTGTGAATTTTCTATCAAAATTGGGCAAAGGGGGTCCAAGCAGTGCCCAAACAGGTCATCGAGGTGTTAATAATATTCTGCCATTGTTTAACAGCAGCCCTTCCTCCTGTTGATCAGAATCAATTATCCTCACCAACATGGTGACTTTTCTTCTTGTTTCATGACCCCTGGGTACAAAGGGACCTGAAATTCCCTGAGGTTAATTATAGCTTTTCTTTGTTATCTCGAAGAAGCATTCTCCCTTAAGGAACCAGGACATATAGGCTTAAAGAGCCCAGAGTTCTGGGGGCAGAAGGCACAAATTCTCCAAGATGTTCACTGTAGTAGTAAGTAAGGCTACTCCTGCTTCTACCCCTAGATTCATGGACCAATCTTTTTTTTTTTTTTTTTTTTTTTTTTTTTTTAGGTGAAGACATAGTTCCATGTAAAGGTCTTTGATTCAAGCTATATATAGTGACCTGTAGGATGGTGCTCCATCCTCATAAAATTATCACCTCCGAGCTGGTACTTAAGCTATGCTTCTAAAATACTGTTTCCAAAACTCTTATCAGGTGGCAGTTTCTGGATGCTATGGTGTGTGATATGACCAGTGAATTCTGTGGTCATGGGCCTACTTCCATATATCCTTTTCTCTGAAACGAGTCCCTATTCTGATGAGATCCTGTGCTGGTGAAATCAGACATGCCATACACCTCCAGAGAGTAGTGTCGGCTGAAGTTCTGTGGGTTGAATTGGCAAACCTATACAGACAGAGTATGTCTATCTTTGCTTGAATAAATTACTGGCCCTTCCAAGGTGGAAAGAGCTCAACATAGTCCCCTTGCCACCAAGTGGCCAGTTGGACTACTTGAGGGATAATGCCATATGATATGGTTTATCTCTGTTGCCAGCAGGTTAGAAACACAGCAGTAGTAACCAGATGGGCCTTGATAAGTGAGATTCCGTGTTGTTCGGCTGATGGATAGCCAACATGAATAATCCATTTCTGTAGTCAGTGACAGAGCCTGACTGACATCCACGGACTAGAGTGAGACCAGCAAGGTGCCTAGGGCACAAACTTTAAGGAAGTACTCACTCTAGGGTTGTGCACATGCAGGGTCAGCACCTAAGAGTGAGAGCCTCCTTAAATTTTTACACCCTAAGTGCTTCACTTGTCCTAATGCTAGTTTCAGCCCTGCCTAAGTCATTTTGTTTACTTGGTTGTTAAGTGCATCTTTCATGGTAGTTACTCCCTGTGATAAAAACCATTAATTCATTTTGTGTCCATTCTTGTATGCCTAGCCACATGCCTCTACTCTAGACCTTCTTGTGTTTGGTCCTCTAATCTTTCTCTATTTTCATGATCAACCAACTATGCCATTCTCCACTCTTCATGATTCACTATCTGTAGATCTCCTGTGAGTAAATTCTCTGTCTGACAAAGTGGATAACCTGTGCACTATCCATGAGAAGGATTATCATTTCAACTCTGTCTCTCAAGGCTGCCTTGATTAAGCCTTTAATACTGTCACTGTCTGTTTTATGCCTGCATCCAAATGCCAATCTAATTCATCTGTGAAAGACTCAAACTTTCCCTCCTCCATTAGCTGGTCATATATGACCTTAGGTGTGACCTAAAAGAGGGGTACCAGTACAACCGTGTTGGATAACATGGGAGTCTGGGACTACCTTCTCATGCAGCCTGTTTTTACCCCCTCAGCCTAATCATGTTCAATCCTGATGTAACACTTCCGTTTAACAGTAAATTGTTGCTGGGCCTGCTTGACCTAATGACTTAGGATGATACCCTCTACGTAGTTGATAAGTGATGTTTTGTGGCATGGACCCACGCTCCTCATGGATGGATGGCAGTTTTGAGTGGAGCCCCTAGGAAAGTGTTCAACAGCAGGTTCATGTTGAGGTATAAAAAATCCTGCCACTTGTGCCATGCAAACCTGACTATATTAGAAAATTGTAGAAATGATCACAAGGTACATGTGTGGTCCCAGTGGACTGACGTAAAATCTACCTTAGAAGGATCACATTTATTACATGGCCCTTATGCTTCCACTATAACCAGAGGGTTGGAAGGGAACATGATGATGCTTTGGGTCTTCTGGTATCAATGTGTGTTTAACAGCCCTCAAAATGTTTGGTAGTTTTCCTTTCTCTGGTGTATAGTTACTGAGTAAATGGCCGTTAAGTCCCTCTGGAGGAAGAATTGGGTTGATCTTTATCAAATGTACTTGCTGTAGTTCCTTCTTTTTAGAAACCCAACCTCGTTTCAGTCAAGACATTCTGAAACAAAAAAAAATTGCCCAAGGTCTAGAAACTGGGCAGGAGATGATTACTCTTTTTTGAGACAACTCCCCTTAGATTCCTAATTATCCAGCCTGATTTTCTTCGGATAGTATAAGTTGACTTCCAGCTAAGAAATTTGAAAAGAAAACCATGGACTGGGAGAAAATATGTACAATATTTCTAATCAAAAAAGGAATTTTAAATATCCAGACTGTATAGAGAACTCCTGCAAGTCAATAAGAAAAAGATGAAAAAGAATAAAGATGCTTGAAAAAGCACTTCAATGAAATGATGTATATGTAGCCAATAAGCATATGAAAAGGTGCTAAAGCATAGAGAGACTGCTGCTTTTGCACATACTGGAGTAACTAGTATTAGACTGCCAAGCTGCCACAAACAACTTTAAAACTGGACAAAACATATAAAAAATGGCTTTTGGACATTAGATGACAGATAGAAAAGTGAGGTAATCCCTTAGAGAAGAGAAACTAACAAGGTTACCCTTACAATTGCCCTCACTTTCCTTTTCAAGGCAATTTCTGGACAGAGGCCCAGAAAGGAATCCCCAGTTGAGAACAAGAATCTCTTAGAGCTACGAAGACAGCATTTAAAGTTTTGGGCTGCTGCATAGACTAAGATTTACAAGGCAGGTTATAAGAGATAGAGAGTGGTTTTGAGGAGGTGGTGCAGAGGGGTCCCCTTGAGTCTGGCTGAATACTAAGCTGATCATGAACAGGTTACGTACAACACTGAGAAAAGGAAACAACTACGGAAAGAACTACCACCAAAGAGCTGTAAGCCAAACAACAACTGGAACTCATACAGAGCTGTGAGATAAAAGAGTTACAGTTAGAGGTGGAAACCCTGATTGAATACCATCATTTTTAATAGAAAACCTAGAAAAATCCAGGCCTGGGGAGTGGAGCTTATCTAGTCTTGAATAAAGGCTATTCTAGACTCAATTAACTTAAAGATGGGTCTCAAAAGTATCAATTTAATCTGTAAGCAAATTAATGCCTACAGAGAAAAGTAATATTCTGTTAAATAAAATTTTTAAAAATCCACTCAACAAATTAGAAACTATAATGTCTAACATACAATAAAAATTACTAAAAATGCAAAGAGGCAAGAAAATGTGGATAATAACATAAAAAAATCAGTCAGACAGTTATATCCAGAATGGCTGAGATTATCAAATTAGCAAATGATGACTTTAAAACAGCTATTATAAATATGTTTAAGGCCAGGTGCAGTGGCTTATGCCTGTATTCCCAGCACTTTGGGAGGCTGAGGCAGGTGGATCACAAGTTCAAGAGATGGAGACCGTCCTGGCCAACATTTGGTGAAATCCCGTCTCTACTAAAAATACAAAAATTAGCTGGGCATGGTGGTGTGTACCTGTAGTCCCAGCTACTCGGGAGGCTGAGGCAGGAGAATTGCTTGAACCCAGGAGGTGGAGGTTGCTGTGAGCTGAGATCATGCCACTGCACTCCAACCTGGTGACAGAGCGAGACTCTGTTTCAAAAAAATAAATAAAAATAAAAATAAATAAATAAATAAATATGTTTAAGGCTATAAAGAAAAGCATGAACATAATGAGAAAACAAATGGAAAATTTTGATAGAGATATTATAAAAACAAATAAAATGTGAAGTCTAGAACTGAAAAACACAATAACTAAAATGAAAAATTCATTGGATGGCTTACCAACAGATTAGACACTGAAGAAGAAAAGATCAGTGAATATGAAAACAGTACACAGAATCTATACAGATTGAAACACAGACAGGTGAAAAGTCTTATCAAATAAATTACAATGAGATAGCACTACAAACTTACCGAAATGACTAAAATTAAAAGATTTACCAAGAAGAGTTGCTGAGGATATGGACAATAAAAACATTGCTGGTGTGAGTACAAAATGTTTCCACATGAGGAAAGCGTTTGGACATTTTTTAACTTTTTAATAAAGTTAAACATATGCTTAACACATAACCCAATAATTCCAGTCCTACGTAAATCCCCAACAGAAACAAATGCACGTGTCCACACATGTGCATGCACACACACACACACACACACACATGCACTTGTATAAGCATGTTCAGAGTATTTATTTGTAATAGCCTTCAGTTAGAAACAACCCAAGTGTCCAGCGAGCAAATGGATAGGCGATGTGTGGTATATCTTTTTAACGGTATAAATGGAAAAAAAAAAGAGCTACTGATACACAAGACAACATTAGTAAATTTCAGGGACATTATGCTTAGTGAAAGAAAACAGAGAAAAAGCACTATATATTCTTCAAAAAGCAGTGAAACTGATCTATGATAATAGAAGACAGAGTGCTTTCCTCTTAAGTGAGTCTTCACTGAAAGGCCTGAGGGAACTTTCTGGGGTTTTGAAAAATTTCTCAGTTTCTTTCTAGGTGATGGTGACAAGGATGTGTACATATGTAAAGCTTCATCAAGCCACATTCAAAATTTTTGCATTTTACAAAGACATGAATTCTCCTAGAAGAATCTTAGAGGAAATAAAAAGACCCAGTCGTGAAAAAAGTAGAGAAAGGGTATACGAGCAATTATTATCTGCAGAGGTGCATTTTTCAAAAGAAGAGATAACTGTGAAGGATTTTTTGGAGGTGTTGCTTTGTATGTGCTACATAACACCCTCCTTACAGTCTTTAAGAAAATATTAGTAAGGACTTTTGTGTGTGTGCATATAGGAGGGTAAGAGAGAGTAAGATTTACATTTTTTGGACGTGTATTATGCTGAGAAGCTTTAATATGTTCTTATTAAGTTTCATATGTCAAGTCCTCAGCACCATTTCTGGTACATATATGATGTTCAAAAATTATTTTAAATTATTGTTATTGTAATATTGTTTATTAACCCATTTCTAGGTAAGGGATGGTATCCTGTCCTATTTCCTTATCATCTTTTGCATAAATATTCATATAGCCAGTCAACATACAACTGAAACCTTATATTCAGACCCATAACTTACTTAATTTGAAGAAATGTTCAGACTTCAGTATGACAGACTATTCTAGTAATTGTGCTAAGCCACAAATCTTTACCATATTTTGGATGATGGTTCCTCTAGGCTATGTTTTTGTTGGGGATGGGATGTCTCTTTTCTTTAATTCAAAGAATTTGGGCAGTTTGTAAAAACAAATGTGATAATTTGGCTCCAAATAATCTATGCCAAGCATTTAGTTAGGCATCTGCCTATTTTTTCAACCATATTTCCAATTAAGACTATGAGACTATTTGTGCCAAATTGTCAGCTAACTCTGCCCTTTCCCTGCATAGAGATGAAAATTCTTAATAAGAGTGCGGGTATTTCCATAGAAAGATAATTCTCTCTTTTCTGGAGACATATGTCTTTGGAGGCATATCCTGACTTTCCAATCTTACATAATATTCTAGTCACATTCTACACACCACCCAGTTTTATTTTCACTCTAGCACTTTTTACTAAAATTATCTTCCTTATTTACTTGGGATTTTCTGGCTTATTTATTTGTTTTTTTGTTCAATGGCTGTCTCTCATATCTTCCTTGATTAGGGCTCCCCTCATCTTTCAACTACAGTTACATTTATAGTCCCTACAACCTTAATTCACTGTTTTCTTCTTTTTATATTGAAGTGGTATCATTGTCTGGGGTAAATACCCGAGGTTCATGATCTCACACCAGAGAAATCAAGGACGCAAACACACAGGAAGTGAGTTTAACAGTGGAGGTTTAATAGGCAAAAGAAAGAGAAGAGAGTAGCTCTCTCTCTCTTGCAGATAGAAAGGGGCTCCCAAAGAGGCCTTCTGGTTTCATGGTGAAATACACGGGTTTTTATAGAGCAGCTTGAGGAGGCAGTGTCTGATTTACATAGGGCCCGAAAGATTGCTCAGACCAGGTATGATGTTTGCATAGCCCACAAAGAAGCTGGCCATCCCACTATAATCTTTTATTATGCAGATGGTTCTCTACCTGGCCGCCACCATGTTGTCTGTTCCTTACTATACTTGTGGTTGACAAAGAAAGGGGAGGATGGAGGCACCATGCTGAATGTGTCTGGCCGACAGGTAGTCTTTTCCTATTGGCACAGCTGCCAGCATTTACCTATGCAAGCTTTTAGATAGCTTATCTATGTCTGCAGATCGATTTTACAGGCTGCTCTTTGTTAGAAAAAGAAACTATTTGGGGGCTGCTTTTTATTAAAGGAGAAGCCTTACCGAGGGCTCTTTTTCCTTCACTGTCTAAATAATTTCTTTTTAGCTCCTATATCCATATTATTTGTAGTTTCTCTATGTGTGTTATTTACTGTCATCCTCCCATCTGGACTCTAAGTTCCTTGATACTCTTGTATGCTCCAAAAGACCTATCTAGCACAGTGCTGAATATATAGTACAAAGATTTCACAAGCTCAGATTTCTAAAAGGATTCCTATGATTCCTCAAAGCATATTTACATAAGGCTTTTATTTAAAGGCAAATGCTACATCCAGTAAGAGAAAAGAACATCAGTCAGCACTGGGAATCCAAAAAACATCAAGATGTTAGTTTATTAGGGTTCTTTTTCATGCAGTAATGTGCTTCATCTGTGGATTGAACTGCCAAGTTTTGTATGATGAATCTTAATTCAGGTGAAGTCAAGTTCCCAGCAGGGTCTTTTATGTTCCCCTGGTCACAAAGCGAATCCCAACTGTCTAACTGGTTGAAACAGCTAAAAATGAACAGTAAATAAACCAGTCTTAGCTGTCCTCAGGGGAGTTTTGGACTTTAAATAGCACATTATAAGTCTCATTTCCCTTTTCTTGGTCAAGAGTCAAAGTCAGACATCCAGGTATCCTCAGAATCAGGGCAGTCTCAGTTCTCCATACACAGGTTCTCGGCAAATGCTTCTTGGTTTATTAACAAGTTCACATACCGAAAAATATAATTTGGTCATATGTCTAATCTGTTTCCACCTATATAAAGCTATAAAAAGATATTTTGTGTTTTTTTTTCCATAAACTCTTAAAATACTGTTTCCTCAGGTAGGGAAAAGATAATTGATTTCTCATCCCAAATCTTGAATTATTTCTCTCTTGTCTCTCTTCTTAGAAAAGAATGAATTTTTAATATTGTTACATATATTCCAGTTCACAAGACATGATTGTCTGTGTGTCTGTGAATGCTTCATTTTAATTCAATAGATTCTTTTTAAAGTCTTAGATTATTAAAGACATAATAAGAAATGGCCAGCATGCCAGCGGCAAAGTGCCTTCACTTAGAAGCATGAAATTAATTAAAATTGTCTTTTGTTTGAAGATGGTACTACTACTAAGAACATGCCACAGAATATATATTTAACAGTGACTGTAAATCCAGACACCTCATTGCTATAAATATATCAACCTGGCAAATGCATGGCTATTTGAGAGTTTGGTGGCCAAGCTGATCTAGCGTGATACCTTGGTGTGGAGCAGTATTTTCTGAAACTGGGGAAGTAATTTTAGCTAGTTGGGTCCAGGAAAAGCATGCCCTAGAATCACATGTAGGTCAATAGACTAGAATATCTGTGAGGATGGAAGCCTCTGTCTCCTTTATGGTTGTACCTTTGGTGCTTAACATAGTGATGGCACATAGTAGATAGTCAATGTAGAGAGTCAATGTATACTTGTTGAATGAGTGAAGGATAAACAACAACAACAAAAATGAATAAAGACTCACTTACAATTGTGAACTACATCCTCACTCAAGTTGAGGCCAGAGGTTCTAATTTTTATTTTCTTCGAGAGAACTTTACAAGTTTCAGATGTCTTTTTATGGGGCATTAGAACTGGCTTCAGAGGCACACAGCCAATTCCACCCCACAGATGGAGCTATAATGGCATGACCATTCCCCATTCTTTAGTGGAGCCAGTTTCCAACTTACTCAGGTTTTGGTAAAGGCATGACAAATGTGGAGATTGGAGAGATAATGATTTTGGCAAAGGATAAAGATAATATCCACTTAAAATGCAAATCAGAACACCCCTCTCCCTGTTCTGACCATCCAATGGCTTCCTTTCTATGTATTATAAAGTCCAGAGTTCTTACCCTGATCTACAAGGCCCCATTCTGACCTTATCTCCCAGAGCTCTTCCCTGTGCTCCTGTGCTCAGCTTCATTGGCCTTCTTCCTGCTTTTCAAACACACTGAGCCCACTTATATTCAGAGCCTCTGACATGGGTGTCCTCTGTCTGTATCACTTCCTCCAGGGCTCCCTGGCACTAGTTCCCTAGCTTCCTACAAACTCCTGCCCAAATGATACCCCCTCAGCATGACTTTCTCTGAATGGGCACAGTATTTGTGATTCCTGGGCTTTTTGTTATGGATTTATTTACTTACTAAATGTGTGAATTTCCCTCCGGAACTTCTCAATGGCAGAAAGTTTGTTTTTTGATGATGTTGTTTTCCCTTTTGTTTGTTTCCTTTATGCTGTTTCTCTAGTTCTTAGAGCGATGGCTAGAAGATACCAGACACTCAGTAAACACTTGTTGAATAAATACATGAAAACTGGAAGAAATGGATGAATGAATGGCATGATTTGATGGGTTGGTTCTAAAACAAATTAGAGAAATCAGAGAAAATTCCCCTTATTTCACATAAACACTAATATACTGAACTATGAAATCAAACATAAGAATAATGGGGGAAAATTAAACATTTTTCTTTAATTTCTCTTTCTGCAGATACATCTGACCTTCATTTGTGCTTGAGTGTTGTACCTCTGGGGTAAAAATTGGTGCACAGTTCTTGGTATAGTTCAGGCACCTGAGGCTAATTAACATTTCATCTAATAATGCTGATACAAAGTTGTAGATTTAGTAAAACAGTTTAAGGTGAGACCTACATGCCTTTTCTTGAGTGATAGTATTGAAAAATTAACAAGAAGCCAAATAACTAATTTTCTTAAAAAATAAAAGAAAATGAAAATATACCTTTAGTTGATTTGCTGTTGCTGAATATTTTTTCTTGCAGAAATCACTTAAATTTTACTGAGGAATAGAAGGACATTTGTATGGGGCATTTATCAGAATCACTAAAAAGCAAGAGTAAACAAATTCAGCATTTTTTATAATAAAGGCAAATTACCAAACTATCTCACATTTATAAATTCCTTTTAGATATAACAAATACTTCATCTAGTTAAATCTAAACAACAATTTGATACCTTAATTATTCCCATTTAATAGAAGATAATTGTTTCTGAAGCACATATAAAGAATGAAGAGTGAATTTCAACAAATATGTCCTGCTCCTGCTACCCTTAAGAAAACAGATAACACCTATTGAATCATGGTCTGTGCTGGGCATTATTCTAAATTATTTCATGAACTAATCAGTTTAATCTTTACAACCCTACAAAAACTATTATCCCCATTTTAAAGTTAACTGAGGTATGAGAAAATAATTTTCCCCAAATTACAAAGCCAGAAGGTTGTAGACATGAGATTTGAATCCAGGTGGTCTTAACCAATGTTCCATACTGCCATGACCACAACACTCTATGCCTCTCAATGTGCTACAAGTACTCACTGTACAAGGCTTTATTTATGCAAATCAGAGATGAGCAAATTAAGACACAAGGGAAGGTGTGTTATTTCCCTGGAACAAATTAAGAAACAGATAGGGAAAAGATAAATATCTGTATATATAGCAGAAAAAGCATGACAGAAAACAATGCAGAAGGGCTAGAAACTGATGAATACTGCAGTGGTTTTCAAGTTAGTTCAGTTCATATACATACATATTGAATATGTTATATTTTTAAACATATAATATTTTAAAATATATCATTTCTGAGAAGGAAAAATAAATATAAATAATGTAAGTATACAAATATTATCTCCAAATTAGTATTAAACTAAAATTTAATTTATGGCAGACTACTCAAATGATTTTTTTGTTTGGTATTTAGGGTGCATATAGGATTTTAGATGAAATGATGTTAAATTTTACACTGAAAAAAATTGCCAAAATCGTCAAAAAAGGAATGAAGTAGGGTTGAAGTCCTGCCTCACAAATATCAGAAAACAGTAGAAAACACTCAATATCATATTGGCACAGTAATAGACACTAGATTAATAGGTCAGAAAAGAGGATCTAGAAATAAATCCTAGTCTCTATGATGACTTAGTAGATCTATGTGACTAAGTCGGTAGTTCAACTGGGGTGGGGAGAAAATTAACAAATGATGTCATCTATCATCATTAACCATGTGAAAGAAAACACAATTCTACTTCAAATATGAAAATAAATTACCTATGAGTTTAAAACTTATCTAAAATAATAAGAAAAATAGAATTCCTGCAAGAAAATAGAATGGACTTTATATCAGATCAAATGCTAATGGAGACTTTCTAAATCAATTCTGGAAACCCAGAAGCTAGAAAATATAAGATATAGATATGTGCTTATGAAAAATTAAAAAAAAGTATTTCATAGCAGAAGATACTATAAATAGAAATAAGAAAAAAATATATATATATAGAAAAAAATGCTGCAATACAGAGAAGAGATGGCAGCATGACAATACATGTGTGTACCACACTATTTTTCTCTTCCTAAGCACATAGAAAGGCTACATTCTCAACTTTCCATGTAATTTGGTTTGGGCCATGAAACTGAATTCTGGCCATTGGGATGTAGACAGATATGATATAAAACACTTGCTGGTCTTAAAAATACTCTGCTCTATTCTTTTATTGCTACTTTTTGATATATAACAAACTACCTTAAAATTTAGAGGCATGAAACAACACTTATTATCTCACAGTTTCCGTGGGTTAAGAATCTGGATGAGGCTTCACTGGGTCCTCCGGTCTGGCTTGGGGGGTCTCTCACTGGCTGCGGTCAGGGTTTTAGCTGGGGCTTTTACCTCCTCTGAAGGCTCCACTGGGGAAGAATTCACTTCTAAGTTTTTCCTTAGAGCCTCCAGAAGGGGCATAGTCCTGCTGACACCTTCATTTCAGCCTAGTGATACTTACTTGGTCTTGTGGACTCCAGAAGTGTGAGAGTATAAATTTCTGCTGTTTTAGGTCACCAAGTATGTAGTAATTTGTTACAACAGTCACAGAAAACTAATACACAGGTAAAAGAAGACTCAAAGAGAATGAGAACAGTGATAGACCTTAAGTCCCAGAGAGCACAGAAGTGAGGAGACAGAACTTCAGAGGATATATGAAGTCATATGAAGCAAAGTCAGGAAGGATAAGCCTGGTGTCCTTGAGCTACTGGTGGTTACCAATTAAATAGGGATAAAGAGGTTGATGGGATTAGCTTTGATGACCTAAGAGGCAGGCTTTGAAGGTGAGTGTTGAAGGGAGGAAGTGGGTGTATGGCAATGACCTGAACATGTGTGTCTCCCCAAAACTCATATGCTAAAATCCTAATGCCCAAGATAATGTATTAAGAGATTAGACCTTTGGGAGATGATATGGTTTGGATCTGTGTCCCCACCCAAATCTCATGCTCAATTATAATCCCTAATGTTGGAGGTGGGGTCTGGTGGGAGGCAATTGATTGGACCACGGAAGTTGTTTCTCGTGGTTTAACATCATCCTCTTTGGTGCTGTCATCGTGATAGTGAGTTCTCATGAAGTCTAGTTGTTTAAAAGTATGTAGCACTTCTCCACCTCTCTCTTCCTCCTGTCCTGGCCATGTGAAGTGCCTCACTCCCCTTTTGCCTTCTGCCATGATTGGAAACTTCCAGAGGGCTCCCCAGAAGCAGAAGCTGCTATGCTTCCTGTACAGCCTGCAGATCATAAGCCAATTAAAACTCCCTTCTTTATAAATTACCCAGTCTCAGGTATTTCTTTATAGCAATGCGAGAATGGTCTAATACAGGGGATAATTGGGTCATGGGGGCTGAGAGCTCATGAATGGAATTAATTCCCTCATAAAAGATTCTCCACGGCGTTCCCTCACCCTTTCTGCCATGTGAGGACATGGCTAGAAGACCACTGTCTATGAACCAGAAAGTAGCCCTCACCAATCACCAAATCTTCCAGCACTTGATCTTGGACCTCCAGCTTCCAGAACTGTGAGAAGTAAATTCCAATTGTTTATAAGCCACTCAGTATACAATATTTTAATATAGCAGCTCAAGCTGACTAAGACATATATTATGCCAGGATGTGGAGTTTTGGAGTCCCCCTTTCATTTCTACAAACTGAGGTGTGGAGAGCACAGAAGGAAGAAGTTAACTGATGGTACAAGATATATATTTACATACAAATGTGTATGTATATTTATAGTTGTGAATATATGTGCATATATTTGACTATGTATGCATAATTTGTTTATATTTTATGTGTACATTTATTTTTAGGTTCATATAAATACACCGACATATATGTATATATTTGAATATTATTTTTAAAGCACAAAGTGGAAGGATAAGAGTTTGGCTAGGATAGCAGAAATAATAGGGATGAAGAAGTAAAGAGAGATGCTGGTCCTGAGGAAAAAATAATAAAACAGGAAAAAAATGATAATATATGCAACATATAGGCATTTCTGTAATGCTACAAAGGTCTGTATATGTCTAAGAAATTTTAAAAATAAATTTACAAAATATCATTTGTATAGCATTGGAAGTGCCGAAGGACCTTGTTAGAAGTTAAATCCAGACGTCACATGGTGCTAACACTTATGTAGTAGTTTCCCCTGCATTTGCTCTTTCTTATTTTTATTTTACTGGGTTTATGGTTGTAAGTCATTCAGCATTGCAGACAATTCAACTTACTACAGCTCCAGCTCTCACTGTGAATCACCTCTTGAATCTTCCTTTGTGTCTTTGAAAGAGGGAGACTGCCAGTGCTCAGTGCGCTTTAAGCCCTTGCCTGAGTTGACCTTAAGGAAGGTCTATTTCAAGAACCTGTTATTTTGATACAATTAAAATGTGAATAAAAATGTCTTTAAACATTTTTTTCAGTAAATGGGTGTCGCCTGACCATCCAAATTTTTCTCTTATTATCATTTGCCACCATATGATTTTTAAATCCAGCATCTTTACATGAATGAGTACTAACCAAGCTGTTCTACTCTTAAACTGGGATGCTAAAGGCATTTTTTTATTTTTATTTTTAGCATCTCCCAGCCCCAAAATCTCACTCATGTCACAATTTAATACAAGTCCTGGAACTGTGCATTCTTCCCCTGGATAGTCTTCATTCAGAGAACTGACCAAGGGAAAGAAAAAGCATGGAGGTTTGCTAGAAGTTTCTGTGGGGTTATTATACATCACTTCCATGCATATTGTTTTGAATAATCCATTATTTGTATACTAGTCATGGATTCTGAAACCTGACTACCTGGACTCAAATCCTGGCTTTACCACTAACTGGCTGTGTGTTCTTGAGAAAGTGACTTAACCTTTCTGTGCTTCTTTAAAATGTGGATAATAATCAATAGCAATGACCTCATAGGGTTGTTGTGAAAAGTAAATGAATTATCCATGCACTGCACTCGGTTCCTGGCACATAGTAGATAGTAGGTGATATAGTTTGGCTGTGTGCCCACTCAAATCTAATCTTAAATTGTAGTGCCCATAACCCCCACGTGTCATGAGAGGAACCCAGTGGGAGGTAACTGAATCATGGGGGCAGTTACCCCCATGCTGCTGTTCTTATGACAGTGAGTGAGTTCCCATGAAATCTAATGGTTTTATAAGGGGCTTTTCCCTTTTTTTGCTAGGCACTTATCCTTCCTGCCGCCATGTGAAGAGGATGTGTTTGCTTCCCCTTCCGCCATGATTGTTAAGTTTCCTAAGGACTCCCCAGCCATGCTGAACTGTGAGTCAATTATATCTCTTTTCTTTATGAACTACCCAGTCTCAGATATGTCTTTATTAGCAACGTGAGAACAGACTAATACACTAGGCAACTGTGAACTGTTTATTATTACTGGGAGTGTTGGGGGGTATTTAAGTGAACAATTTCCACCAAAAGTGGAGCATGGAGAAGGAGGAAAGGGTGAGATGAAAAACTAAAAAGAATAAGGGAAAGAAAAGCCTATGACTTTGGTTAGAATGTGAGAGTGCTTTGGAAGCAATGAAGCACCCTAGAAAAACCACATTCAAGGTTAAGAGTAGGGGCCTGGGGACTTGAATGCTATGAATATGCAGAGTCAGTACAGTAAATACTGCAGTCAGGGAACTTAGGTATTGAGTATGTGTGGACAAAGTTGTAGGGTTCAGGAAAAATAAATCTATAAAATTACTTTCATTAAGACTAAAAATGTATCTCAGGGAAAGTTAGAAAACAAAAACTACAATACATACTTAAATTCTGCATAGTAAATATAAAGTCAAATAGGAAAGCAGTTATCTCTTTATACATATTTTTCAATGACTTACTGGGATAACAAAACTTCCACACAAATAGCTAAATACATATTTCCTTCCTTATTCATGCACCCAATAGCTTGACAATAAGAAAACTTGGCTTTTAACCTCAGGTTGCTCAAGGACAACTTTCTCATTCTGAAAAGAGGTTTTAGTCTCAATTCATAAAAGCCTCTGCCTGTTTTTAAAATTTTATTTCAGAGAACACAAATGCATTTCTAACGGGCAGTAGGCTACTAATGAGACATATTGGCTCACAATCTTCTTATCAATCTTTTAAATTATTAATCAAATGAATTTGTCGAAGCACATTGAACACCTCACACAAGAAAATACTTTGTTATAACGGAACTGTTTTATTCAGATTTTTCTATTTCTGGGTTTTTCTAATATAAAGTACAGCCTGATCTGAGGAAATACAGTGGATTTTATATAGACTTCTAAAATAAACCTCTCAGCTTTATGTTTTTGTCTTTTGAAACACTTTCTTATATTTTGTATTGATACATACTATTTGTACATATTTATGAAGTACAAGTGATATTTTGTTACATGAACAAATGTGTAGATCAAGTCAGAGTATTTAGGGTATCCATCACCTGGGGCGTTTATCATTTCTATGTGTTGGGAATGTATCGAATCCTCTCTTCTAGCTGCTTTGAAACACACAATACATTGTTGTTAACTATAGTCACCCTAGTCTGTTATCAAACATTAGAATATATTCCTTCCATTTAACTGTATCCATTAAACAACCTCTCTTCACCCCCTCTGCCTCCCCTACACCCTTCCCAGCTTCTGTTAACTATCATTCTACGCTCTACCTCTAGGAGATCAACTTCTTTTTGTAATCTCCCACATATGGGTGAGAATATGTGATATTTGTCTTTCTGTATCTGGCTTACTTCACTTAACATAATGACCTCCAGTTCTAACCTTATTGCTGCAAAGGACAAGATTCCATTCTTTATTATGACTGAATAGTATTCCATTGTGTACATATGCCACATTTTAAATCTATTTATCTGTTGTTGGACACTTAGGTTGATTCCTTTTCGTTGTTATTGTGAATAGTGCTGCAATAAAAGTTGGGGATGCAGGTACTCCTTTGATATAATGATTTATTTTCCTTTGGATAAATACCCAGTAGTGGAATTGCTGGATTGTATGGTAGTTTTATTTTTAGTTTTTTGAGACATCTCCATACTGTCTTGCGTAATGGCTGTAATAATTTACATTCCTACAAACAGTAAATGAGTTCCCGTTTTATGCATCTTTTCCAGCATCTATTTTATTTTTTTCTTTTTAGCAATAGCCATTCTAACTGGAGTATGATAACATCTTATTGTGGTTTTGATTTGCATTTCTCTAATGATTCGTGATATTGAACATTTTTTAATATACCTGTTGGCAATTTGTGTATCTTTTTTGATAAATATCTATTTATATCCTTTCCTTATTTTTAAACGAAATTATTTGTTATTTTTTTCTGTTGGGTTGTTTGAGTTATTTGTATATTCTGGATATTAGTCCCTTGTGGCATGAATAGTTTGCAAATATTTTCTCCCATTTCACAGGCTGTCTCTTTGCACTGTTGATTAATTATTGTTTCCTTTACTGTGCAGAAGATTTTTGGTTGAATATAGTCCCATTTGTCTATTTGTTGTTTTTGTAGACTATGCTTTTGGGGTCTTAGCCATAGTCTTTTCCTAGATCAATGTTTTAGAGTGTTTTCCCTATTTTTTCTCTTAGTAGTTTTATAGTTTCAGGTCTTATGTTAAAGTCTTTAATTCATCATGAGTTGATTTTGTATATGGTGAGAGATAGCGGTGCAGTTTCATTCTTCTGCATATGGTTATCCAGTTTTCCCAGCATCGTTTCAGTATCCTCTGCTCATTGTATGTTCTTGACAGCTTTGTGGAAGATCAGTTGTCTATAAACGTGGTTTTATTTCTGGATTTTCTATTCTGTTCCATCAGTCTATGTGTCTGTTTTTATAACAATATCATGCTGTGTTGGTTACTATAGCCTTGTAATATATTTTGAAATCAGATAGTATGATACCTCCAGCTTTGTTCTTTTTGCTCATGATTGCTTTGTCTAGTCAGGCTTTTTGTTTGTTACATACAAATTTTTGGTGTGTTTTTTTTCTATTTCTGTGAAAAATGTCACTGGTATTTTGATGGCATTGAATCTGTAGATTGGGTAGTATGGTCATTTTAATAATATTAATTCTTTCAATTTATGGGCATGGGATATCTTTTCATTTGTTTGTGTCTGCTTCAATTTCTTTCATCAGTGTTTCTAGTTTTCCTTGTAGAGTTTTTTCAGCTCTTTGTTAAATTTATTCCTAGGTGGTTTTTTTTTTTTTTGCAATTTTTGTAAGTGGGATTGCTTTCTTGATTTCTTTCTCAGCTAGGTTGCTATTAGTATATAAAAACACTCCTGATTTTTGTATATTAATCTTATATCCTGCAACTTTACTACATTTATTTATCAGATCTAAGAGTTTTTTGATAGTCTGTAGGTTTTTCTATATATAAAATTATGTCATTTTCAAAGAGAGACAAGTTGACTTCCTCTTTTCCATTTTGGATGCATTTTATTTCCTTCCCTTGACTGATTGCTCTGGCTAGGAGTTCCAGTTCTACGTTGCATAAGAGTCATGAAAGTAGGCATTCTTATCTAGTTCCATTTCTTGGAAGAAAGGCTTTTCAGCTTTTCCTCATTTATTATAATGTTAGCTGTGTGTTTGTCACATTTGGCCTTTATTATGTGGAGATACTTTTCTTCTATGCCTAATTCATTGAGAGTTTTTATAACGAAGAGATGCTGATTTTATCAAATACTTTTCTGCATCTATTGAGATGATCACAGGGTTTTTGTCCTTCATTGTACTGATGTGATGTACCATATTTATTGCTCAGGTGGCGGCTGCAGCAAAGAAAGAGAGAACCTTTCCTCAGGGTGCATGCATGTGCAAGGGGGCCCTGCTGCTGGAGGAGTGGGACAGGGGAGGCAGTGGTTTGTGGTGGATGCCCCAGACAGGTGGCTCTCAGGCTCTGAAGAGTGTGCCTTTTGGCCCCTGGTAGCAGTGGTGGTGGTGGTGGTGGTGGTGGTGGTGTCAGGGAGCACGCAGGTGCACTGTCGCCTCCTACTGATAAGGGTGGGGTTGTTGTCAGTGGCAGTCGCCACATGCAGACAGGTAGGTTTCCAGCTCTGGAGAGTGCTCTTTGCCTCCCTTTGTCCTGGAGGCAGCCTCCTCAGTGTGCTGAACTGCCCTTTCCCCTGGGTGCAGGAAATTGTGCAGGGGATCCTGCCACTGCTCTGCGGGGTAGGTCCGACCAGTGTCATGACACACAGCCTTCCTGGTGGACATGGAGGGATGTCAGTGGGGCTCCCAGGATGTGGATTGAGCCCGGGGCCAGGGTGCAGTCTGTTGGAGGCTGCACTCTCAAAATGGTGCCATATTGCTGCTGCTTGGGTCTCCAGGGTGTGTGGGATCCAGTGTGAGCTCCCTTTCTGCAGCAATGCTATTACATGGTACCTACAGGCAGCTCCTTCTATTAGTCTCAGGGCTGCCAGGGTCAAAGGACTATCCCATGGCTAGGATTGCAGGAGTCCACAGTGGGAATGTGAACTGCTGGGGATTTCTCACTTGCCCTTTCCTGGCACAGGGGAGCCTCTCCAGGCTCCTGGCTGATCCTGGCTGGGCTATTTGCCTGCTTCTCACTCCTTCTGTGACTCAGGTGTTGTTTCCTGTCACTTCTTTGCTCAATTCCAGCATTCTGTCTTGGATGCTCTATTTGAATTGTGGATCATCTACTCGCTATTTTGGTTCTTCTTTGTGGAGGAGGGAGTGTCTGATGCCTCTAGTCAGCCATCTTGAAGCCTCCAGAATTCTGAAACACTTTGAAAGAGCTGTTTGAGTGGCATTAGACAGAGTATTTTAAAGGTTGATTTTTGTGTGTGTGAATGCTGGCCTATTAAAAGAGAAATGCAAAAATAGAACAACAAAAATTGTCATCTATATTAAATGGTATTTGTTTCATTAACACTTGCAGTGAAAAATTAATATAACTATGGAAGTTCCATCACAATTAGTGATTTTTTTTAAAAAAAAAGGCGTATACTGATTTGCACCTCAAGATGATGTGTTCTTGTAATGGAGCAAAAGTTAAACTTGTGTAATGAATATCTTTATCTTTCAAAACCATAATCCCTGCTAAGTAACCCCATCCTCCTCCTTCCCCCAAACCTTATCCATATGTCCAACTAATTCTTCAAGCATTGAGTATTCACTTACTACTCTTTTTGGTGCTGAGAGTAAGAAATGAGTAAGATATGCATTGCTCTTGAGAAATGCAAAGTTTTCAGAAAATGGTTGGATTGGAGCTTTGGGAAGTAAAGTTTCCTCTAAGAAGGATGTGGTAGAGACAGCAGCAACACAAATAGAAAGTCAGTGTTAATGAGCTGAATTACACCTGCGAGCAATGTGTATGTTGAATCCTGAACACACCTCCAAATGTGACTGTATTTGGAGACAGGATATTTAAAAGGGTGATTAAGTTAAAAAGAGGTCATTAAGGTGGGCCCTAATCAAATTGGAATCATCTCCTTATACAAAAAGGAAACCTGGACACACAGAGAGACACCAGGCATGCACACAGAGGAAAGACTATGTGAGGATGCAGTGAAAACACAGCCGCCTAAAGGCAAGGAGAGAGGCCTCGGGGAAAAAACAAACATTCCACCATCTTGATCCTGGGCTTTGAGGCTCCAGAACTGTGAGAAAATACATTCTGTTGTTTCAGTCACTCAGTCTGTGGTGTTTTGTTATGGCAACCCTAGTAATTGAATGTCCCCAGTTTGATAAATGACTCTCAAGATCCTTACCATGGTTTTTTGCATTAGGCCTTATCAAAGTAAAATTGCACCAGACAAAGTTAAGCAGACCAGGAAGGTTCTTTTGAAGACTATTGCAATAAAGGTGAAAGGCTGAATTCAATTATGTTGAGACAAATGGTGGGACAATCTTTTAAGCCTTGGGGTGAACTAGTGGAAAAGTGCTGAAGAACAGTAGGGAGAGGCTGATCAGTGGGATGTGTCCAGCATGATGTGTTATTCCTGGGTTTGTGAAAGTTTCTCTCTGTAATTGGACCACCTGTGTTTGCTAATGGGCTCCTATTGAAGTTAGGCCCTTATTCTCCCGTAGAGACAAGGGGTTATGATTGCTATTTCCCTCAGTATTGACATTTCAAAGAGATGGTTCTCAGCTCCTGGAGAAAGACATTCCTGGGTTGTAAAACTTACAAGAGACTGGGAAAAGATTTACATATATTTCAAAGGGGCGGAGAAATAATTTACAATTGCTAGTTTCCTTAAGTAAATGCTCTAAGAACAGGGAGGTCAGAACCTATAGTCAGAAAGAAAACTGTCTATCAAGTGGGGAGATTGTTAAAGCCATATTACTCAATGTCTTTGGGATGGAACAGGCTGGCTTCTAGTCCTGGAAGGACAGCAAGTTCCTAGCCATTGATTTGCCTGTGTACCTGCACAAATTGACGTCACCAGAAGCCATTTTTATGGAATGGAGAAGCATCCCACAATACTGTACTTCGAAAATTCTAATCATTCCACAGAGACCAAGCAGGAGCCATCAGAAAGCATGAAATAACTCTCTGCTATTGCCATTCTGGGCTTCCACAAATGGTGCCCTAGGCTGGATCTCATTAAATCTGCATCCCTTTTTCCACCTCAAATCACTCAGAGCCCAGCAATTACCCAGTAAGTGCTTTCTCAAACAGCAAATGCAAGATTCATTTTCTTTTAAATCCTCCATCTGTTTCTTTGTTTTAAAATGGCTCTGCTTTGAAATTGGTGTCTTCACACAAAACAGGTAGTGGTTTGTTTTCATTCTATTTCTTCTGTCAGGAGTTGTCTAAAGATTGAGAGAAAATTCTCCTCTGCCTTGCAGCCCTAGGAAACTGAGTGCTGGTGTGAAAGCATCCACAGGTAGACACAAAATTATCTGTAACTGCTCTATACAAAACACCAGTGGGACTCAACTGCTAGAGAGGCACATAATCATGATCTGAGTTACAGGCTTGAGGAATAGCCCATGCTAGAAGGTATACCAGCTGTCTTGTGCTGCCTGACAAATTTCCAACCCTTTCCTAAAGCCAAGTCTTCAGTCGTAGGGGAAAGTTTCTTGCTGAACCTTGGGGGACAGTCCGTTCTTTATAATCCAAACTAGCTATACTAGCAATTTTCTCTCTTCTTGGGGTAAGGAAACAAGTGAATTAAATAGAATAACTTATCCTTCCTGAGTGGAATTACAAAGGCACAAAGCTTAATGCTGTGATCCTGGCCTGTGTGTTTGGTGGAGAGAAGAATATGGATTAAAAGGTAGACACATTAGACATTTAGATATACGCATAATCCTTTCTATTTTATAAATATATTCATTCTAATAGCTGACTTCCTGTTAGGATAAATGCATTCATGCTTTGCTTTGAATGGCACAGCTGGCTTTCTGCCTTTTAGGTAGATGCAATTTTGCTATCTCCAAGTATGTTATAAGCAGAGGAGCAAAAGAAAAAAGTGAAAGAGAGATAAGAGTAGAATCGTGGCAACAGTTTATTCCCGTGTTGAGCTCAGACTGAAAACACCATGGAAGTATATACCAGCACCATGGAAGTTTATACTCCCCACCACCCTCAATACCTCCAAAACCTCTTAAATGACTTACACACCTCCCCTCCCCTCCCTCCTCCCTTCCCCTCCCCTCCCTCCCTCCCCTCCCCTCCCCTCCTCTTCTCTTCTCTTTTTTTGAGACAGAGTCTCACTCTGTTGCCCAGGCTGGAGTGCAGTGGCATGATCTTGGCTCACTGTAACCTCTACCTTCCAGGCCCAAGCGATTCTCCTGCCTCAGCCTCCTGAGTAGCTGGGATTACAGGTGTGTACCACCATGGCTGGCTAACACACTTCCCTTTTCCTGCTCAAGGTAACTGCTACTTCCAAGTTACCCTTTATTCGTCTCTTCCTCTTTCACATATTTTTCATATTAGATGATTTTGGAGATACAGGACTTATTGACTGAATTATTTGAGGCATGCACAGCATTCCTTTCACTAATACAACCAAGTCAGAGCATTTCTAATCTTTACAAGGTACACTGCCTCAAATCCAGATGGTGATTTTTTTCCTCCACAGAACTGTAGATCTAAAGGTACAATATGTATGACAAGAATAATCATTCAGCAGACATTCATTGAGCACCTCCAATGTACATGGTGCTGGAAATAAAGCCTTGAGTAGGACAGACAGGGCCTCTCCTGCAAAGAGCTTCCAGTGTTTCAAGGAAAACAAGTAATTACAATAAAAAATAGAAAAGGTCTAAGATTCCTTGCAGGTGGTCTAACCTAGCCTTGGCTGAGTGGAGTTAAAAAATGAAGAGCCTGGAAAGAGTGATATTTAATTCAAGAATTAAAGAGGAATTAGCCATATGCAGTAATATGGGAAAAGGAGCCCAATAAAGAGAATAGCATGCAAAAGTCTAGACTCTAGAGGTAAGAGAAAGCCTGGCTTTTGGGGGAAACTGAAAGCAGCTCACTATGGCTAGAGAAAAGAGGAAGAGAGTGACAGACACAGAGACAGTAAAGAGGAAGACAAACCAGAAGAGATAAATGCAGGGAAATTTCTAAATAGCCATGTAAACCTGTCCAAGGAATTTGGGAAATATCTTTAGGCAACAGCAACCAGCAGAAAATGGATGTTCCATGAGGATGCACCCCAGTCACCAAAAAGAAAAAAAAAAAAACCCAAACGAACAAACAAAAAAACCCCCATGTTCTCAGCATTGATAGACTCTGACCTACAACGGACCCATTTATGATCCTCAACATGTTGCCTCTTACTGCTATTCTTCCAAGAATCCTTTCTAGAAGAGAAAATGAATAGAAACATTTAACAATTTTATAAATCATTAACTAAAGACTGAAATTAGCTGGATAAAGCAAAAATGGCATGCCCAAACTGTGATCTTTTATATAGAGCTGGCCTCTCTGCAGTGTCCTTTACCTGAAATTAGCTCATCTGCCCCAGGGATCATTGCTAGCCATTGCCACATCTTTGTACAAATTAGAAAAAGGAGTCTACCCTCTCATCTGAAGATACTTGGCACTTGGGCTCAAGACTTGACTAGGAGAACAGATAGATTTAATCCCCTACTCATACCTCCTAATCCCATCCCCACAGCCTTGAACCTGAATGACTTAGGGAGCAGCTGTGCACACACAGACACAGCTTGTCTTTTGCTTTAACTTTACCTGTTATATGTCCTGAAATTCCACCTATTGTATGTTAATTTGGGAGGATAATAGTTTTTTGCAGAAGTGAAAAACTGTTAGCTGGTAAAATCATAGATAATTTGCTTCGCTACCAATTAATTCAACCGTCTTGTTTATCCCTAATTGAGAAGAGTGGCACTGAGGAAACAAGAGTTTGACTTGGAGATGAAGGGAAGGTGAGTCATCCTCATGGTAAAGCATGACGGCTTCCCTGGGAGAGACAGGGAGAACAGGGAAACTTAATAGGATGATATGGAGTGTTTTATTAAAAAGCAGTATGTGAGGCCTGGGAAAAGAAAGATTAGTGGTAACTGAGAAGTGCTGAGTGGAAAATGTAAAAGGGCCAAATTTAAACTTGAACTATTTTAACAATTTTTCTTAGCTTTCTGCCCCCAAGGGTCATGGTGCTTTCTCTCCAGAATGCAGACCTCAGAGTAGTACTATTAATCCTACAGTTCAGGGACTTTGTGACTTGTATTGATTTTATGTTTTTTCCCTTTTGGCTGTCCTGGAGACCTAATCAACATGGCTAATATTGCTTCTGTGGGTAGATGTGCTTGGAATTCCAAATGAATGTACAATTCTATGTGTCGACTTGGAGCTACCTTAAATAGAAATCAAGGAATATTCTTTTTAAAAAAGTGACTTCAACCTGGTGTGTCTTACCATTGTATTTCAATAGATTAAACAAAAACAAGGAAGCAAAAACACAAAATGGAACATTTGTCTTGGATTATAGCCTGTGTAAAGCAGGTTGCATGGCAACCACCTAAACTGAATTTAGTAGATTTAAGCATGTGCTGATTAATGTCAGGGGGACACAGGCACAGACACAAGGCTGATTGCTTCCTAAAAATTTCACTATAATAGTGTTATTAGGAGACATATTTGAAATGTAATACATTGAGATTTTTAGAAAAGCCACTTGGGCTCCAGCTTTCCAGTGAAATTCAAATTGATTCAACTTCAATGGGTGTCATACCATCAAGTAGACACTGTGTCAGGTGTTTTATGCATATCATCTTATTTCACCTCCAAGACCACTCTTTATGGTAAGGACTATATTTTCACTAGTCAAATGTGGAAACTGAGGCACAGATGCAAGGTCATGCATCTTGCATCTGAGGCACAGATGCAAGGTCATGCAGCTCATAGGTGATGGATTCAAACCCTGATTTATGTAGCTCCATAACCCTTACTTTTTCTAACATACCATTTTGTTTTCTTTTTTCCCCAGGAATTCCTTAGATGCTTACACACACCACATACATTCACATACTTTGTCCTCACTTCATCTTCACAGCATAATTCTGGTGAACACATAGTTATTTACACTTTATACAATTAGGAAAGTGAAGTTCAGTAATGTTAAGTACATTCCCAAGGTCATACATTGAGTACATGGCAGGTCCTATCAAGAATTTAAAGCTAAGTTTCCAAAATCCAACTTCAATCCTTCTCCTCCCCCACAGCTTCCTGTAAAGATGTTCTGTCCTGACTTCCTCAGCACATCATTATTCCACTTGAAATAAAATTGGCCCTTTCTCATTTTCAAAACATACCTGTCTCTTGACCTCACCTCAAAAATCATGTTCTCTTATTCCTACACCTGTAGAAAAATAATCTTAGCTACTAATCCAAAACAGGGTATTGATGGTTGATTAGGGATTTCATTCACTACAGCTGGTACGAGCATGTTTCCTAGGAGACAGCAGAAGACAGAGAGTCCCAACCCACTGCCATGAACCTCTCTTGTTGGAATATTAGCTACTGAGGCAGTTAGCAAAGGAGATATACAGTTGAGCAAAACAGACTTTACCACACCCCTAAAATCATACGATAAGTAATCAAACCCAGAATATGCATGAATATTTTGGTGGAAGATTCCTGTGGTATATTCAGGTATATATTCACATGCTCACATTAGTAATATATAACCATAGACTGAAACACCAACAGAGCAAGGTCTCATGAACCTCCAACAGATCTGGAACATTCTTTGGTTCTAAATTTTTTCTCTTTTTCTTTAGAGGAACATGACACTGTGGTTACAGTCAGGAACATCTCACATACAAGTAATATCTGAGAAAAAAGATACAGGAGTGCTGTTGAGCAGGGTGATAGTCCTTAATTGTGGCACCTATTTAAAACCCAACACAAAATGCTCTATATAGAAGGTATAGTAATTTCCACATTTAATTAAACAAATATACATAATTGCTAAAAATATTGAAAGGAAAAATGGCATTTCTTTGGCACTAGCAATACTTACTCAATTTCTTAGATTGCTTCTAAAGTAAAGTTAATGATATTTTTGTCTTGTCTGCTGGGTTTAAAAAATTGGCCTACTTTTGTCCTATATACATTTTTAAACCAATCACTCTGGCTAAAAGAAAACTAATGCCCTGATGGACAAAGCCTGGGTCATTTTTAATCCTAAGTGCTGAAGTTGGTATCAACCCAAGTGGAACCACAGGGACTGAGAAAAGGAGATGATAGTTTCTCAAAGAAATGCTGTGCAGATGAAAAAAAAATCAATTAATACAGAGGAAAAATAAGACATAAAATGAATTAGATTAAGGAAACGTCTATCAAAGGCATAGCTGTTGATTGAAATATGATTGAAATAAGATGGCTTTGATCGTGTGCGGAGAATTAGGGGTAGACCAAAGAAAGCAAAGAACACCTTTTTCTTTGAAGCACAGTTAATAAGTGTCAGATTGTATTGATCAGGTTGGCAGGAGAGAGTGTTGATTGAACAAGCTTTGATTAATAATGCAGTGACGGCACAGCCATGAGTAGGAAGGAACTGCCTGAGCAACACTCTCCAGGTTTGTATGACCCCTATGGTTCTTACTTCACAGCCTGTCAGAAGAGAAGCATGTGTCCAGGGATAATTTCATTTATTTTTATTTTATTTTTTATTATACTTTAATTTCTGGGATACATGTGCAGAATGTGCAGGTTTGTTACATACGTATACATGTGCCATGGTGGCTTGCTGCACCCATCAACCTGTCATCTACATTAGGTATTTGTCCTAATGCTATCCCTCCCCTTGTTCCCTACCCCCCAACAGGCCCCGGTGTGTGATGTTCCCCTCTCTGTGCCCATATGTTCTCATTGTTCAACTCCCACTTATGAGTGAGAACATGTGGTGTTTGGTTTTCTGTTCCTGTGTTAGTTTGCTGAGAATGATGGTTTCCAGTTTCACCATGTCCCTGCAAAGGATGTGAACTCATTCTTTTTTATGGCTGCATAGTATTCCATGGTGTATATGTGCTACATTTTCCTTATCCAGTCTAACATTGATGGGCATTTGGATTGGTTCCAAGCCTTTGCTATTGTGAATAGTGCTGCAATAGACATATGTGTGCATGTGTCTTTATGGTAGAATGATTTATAATCCTTTGGGTATATACCCAGTAATGGGATTGCAGGGTCAAATGGTATTTCTGCTTCTACATCCTTGAGGAATCACCACACTCTCTTCCACAATAGTTGAACTAATTTACACTCCCACCAACAATGTAAAAGCATTCCTGTTTCTCCACATCCTCTCCAGCATCTGTTTTTTCCTGACTTTTTAATGATCGCCATTCTAACTGGCATGAAATGGTATCCCATTGTGGTTTTGATTTGCATTTCTCTAATGACCAGTGATGAGCTTTTTTTCATGTTTGTTGGCTGCATAAATGTCTTCTTTTGAAAAGTGTCTGTTCATATCCTTTGCCCATTTTTTGATGGGGTTGTTTTTTTTTCTTGTAAGTAGTTTAAGTTCTTTGTAGATTCTGTATATTAGCCCTTTGTCAGATGGTTAGATTGCAAAAATTTTCTCCCATTATGTAGGCTGCCTGTTCACTCTTTTGATAGATTCTTTAGCTGTGCAGAAGCTCTTTAGTTTAATTAGATCCCATTTGTCAATTTTGGATTTTGTTGCAGTTGCTTTTTGTGTTTCAGTCATGAAGTCTTTGCCTATGCCTATGTCCTGAATGGTATTGCCTAGGTTTTCTCCTAGGGTTCTTATGGTTTTAGGTCTAACATTTAAATCTTTAATCCATCTTGCATTAACTTTTGCATAAGGTCTAAGGAAGGGGTCCAGTTTCAGCTTTTTGCATATGGCTAGCCAGTTTTCCCAACACTATTTATTAAATAGGGAATCCATTCCCCATTGCTTGTTTTTGTCAGGTTTGTTAAAGATCAGATGGTTGTAGTGTGTGATGTTATTTCTGAGGCCTCTGTTTTGTTCCAATGGTCTGTATATTTGTTTTGGTACCAGTATCAAGCTGTTTTGCTTATTGTAGTCTTGTAGTATAGTTTGAAGTCAGGTAGCATGCCTCCAAGCTTTGTTCTTTTTGCTTAGGATTATCTTGGCTATATGGGCTCTTTTTTGGTTCCATATGAAATTTAAAGTAGTTTTTTCTAATTCTGTGAAGAAAGTCAAAGGTAGCTTGATGGGAATAGCATTGAATCTATACATTACTTTGGGCAGTATGGCCATTTTCACATTATTGATTCTTCCTATCCATGAGCATGGAATGATTTTCCATTTGTTTGTGTCTTCTTTTATTTCCTTGAGCAGTGGTTTGTAGTTCTCCTTGAAGAGGTCCTTCACATCCCTTGCAAGTTGTATTCCTAGGTATTTTATTCTCTTTGTAGCAATTGCGAATGGGAGCTTGCTCATGATTTGGCTCTCTGTTTGGTTATTACTGGTGTATAGGAATGCTTGTGATTTTTGCACACTGATTTTGGATCCTGAGACTGCTGAAGTTGCTTGTCAGCTTAAGGAGATTTTGGGCTGAGACAATGGGGTTTTCTAAATATATAATCATGTCTTCTGTAAACAGAGATATTTCGACTTCCTTTCTTCCTATTTGAATACCTTTATTTCTTTCTCTTGCCTGATGGCCCTGGCCAGAACTTCCAATACTATACTGAGTAGGAGTGGTGAGAGAGGGCATCCTTGTCTTGTGCTGGTTTTCAAAGGGAATGCTTCCAGCTTTAGCCCATTCAGTATGATATTGGCTGTGAGTTTGTCATAAATAACTCTTATTATATTGAGATATGTTCCATCAATACCTAGTTTATTGAGTGTTTTTAGCATGAAGAGGTGTTGAATTTTATCGAAGGCCCTTTCTGCATCTATTGAGATAATCATCCGTTTTTTGTCATTGGTTTTGTTTATGTGATGGATTACATTTATTGATTTGTTTATGTTGAACCAGCCTTGCATCCCAGGAATGAAGCCGACTTGATCATGTTGGATAAGCTTTTTAATGTGCTACTGGATTTGGTTTGCCAGTATTTTTTTGAGGATTTTTGCATTGATGTTCACCAGGAATATTGGCCTGAATTTTTCTTTTTTTGTTGTGTCTTTGCCAGGTTTTGGTATCAGGATGATGCTGGCCTCATAAAATGAGTTAGGGAGGAGTCCCTCTTTTCCTATTGATTGGAATAGTTTCAGAAGGAATGGCACCAGCCCCTCTTTGTACCTCTGATAGAATTCGGCTGTGAATCCTTCTAGTCCTGGGCTTTTTTTGGTTGGTAGGCTATTAATTACTGCCTTAATTTCAGAAGTTGTTATTGGTCTATTCAGGGATTGGACTCTTCCTGGTTTAGTCTTGGGAGGGTGTATGTGTCCAGGAATTTATCCATTTCTTCTAGATTTTCTAGTTTATTTGCACAGAGGTGTTATGGCATTCTCTGATGGTGGTTTGTATTTCTGTGGGATCAGTGGTGATCTACAATTTATCATTTTTTATTGTATGTTTGATTCTTCTCTATTTTCTTCTTTATTAGTCTGGCTAGGGGGTATATCTGTTCTGTTAATCTTTTCAGAAAAACGACTCCTGGATTCATTGATTTTTTGAAGGAGTTTTCGTGTCAGATCTCCTTCAGTTCTGCTTTGTTATTAGTTATTTCTTGTCTTCTGCTAGCTTTTGAATTTGTTTGCTCTTGCTTCTCTAGCTCTTTTAACTGTGATGTTAGGGTGTTGATTTTAGATCTTTCCTGCTTTCTCCTGTGGGCATTCAGTGCTGTAAATTTCCCTGTAAACACTGCTTTAGCTGTGTCTCAGAGATCTTGCACATTGTTTGTTTGTTCTCATTGGTTTCAAAGAACATCTTGATTTCTGCCTTCATTTCATTATTTACCCAGTAGTCATTCAGGAGCAGGTTGTTCAGTTTCCATGTAGTTGTGCAGTTTTATGTGAGTTTCTTATTCCTGAGTTTTAGTTTGATTGCACTGTGGTCTGACAGACTGCTTGTTGTGATTTCTGTTCTTTTACATTTGCTGAGGAGTGCTTTACTTCCAATTAGGTGGTCAATTTTAGAATAAGTGCAATGCGGTGCTGAGAAGCATGTGTGTTCTGTTGATTTGGGGTGTAGAGTTCTGTAGATGTCTATTAGGTCCGCTTGGTACAGAGCTGAGTTCAATTCCTGGATATCCTTGTTAACCTTCTCTTTTGTTGATCTGTCTAATATTGACAGCGGGGTGTTAAAGTCTCCCGCTATTATTGTGTGGGAGTCTAAGTCTCTTTGTAGGTCTCTAAGAACTTGCTTTATGAATCTGGGTACTCCTGTATTGGTGCATATATATGTAGGATAATTAGCTCTTCTTGCTGCATTGATCCCTTTACCATTATATAATGCCCTTGTCTTTTTTGACTTTGTTGATTTAAAATCTGTTTTAGCAGAAACTAGGATTGCAATCCCTGCTTTTTTCCCTTTCCACTTGCTTCCTTCCTCCATCCCTTTATTTTGAGCCTATGTGTGTCTTTGCACATGAGATGTGTCTCCTGAATACAGCACATCGATGGGTCTTGACTCTTTATCCAATTTGCCAATCTATGCCTTTTAATTGGGGCATTTAGCCTATTTACATTTAAGGTTGATATTGTTATGTGTGAATTTGATCCAGTCATTATGATGCTAGCTGGTTATTTTGCCCATTAGTTGATGCAGTTTCTTCATAGTGTCAATGATCTTTACATTTTGGTTCATTCTTGTGGTGGCTGATACTGGTTTTTCCTTTCCATATTTAGTGCTTCCTTCAGGAGCTCTTGTAAGGCATTCTTTGTCTGTAAAGAATTTTATTTCTTCTTCACTTATGAAGTTTAGTTTGGCTGGATATGAAATTGTGGGTTGGAAATGATTTAAGAATGTTGAATATTGGCCCCCACTCTCTTCTGGCTTGCAGGGTTTCTGCCAAGAGATCTGCTATTAGTCTGATGGGCTTCCCTTTGTGGGTAAACTGACCTTTCTCTCTGGCTGTCCTTAACATTTTTTCCTTCATTTTAACCTTGGTGAATCTGACAATTATGTCTTGGGGTTGCTGTTTTCGAGGAGCATCTTTGTGGGGTTCTCTGTATTTCCTGAATTTGAATGTTGGCCTGTCTTGCTAGGTTGGGGAAGTTCTCCTGGACAATATCCTGAAGTGTGTTTTCCAGCTTGGTTCCATTCTCCCCGTCACTTTCAGGTACACCAATAAAACATAGGTTTGGTCTTTTCACATAGTCCCATATTTCTTGGAGGCTTTGTTTGTTCCTTCTCATTCTTTTTTCTCTAATCTTGTCTTCACTCTTTATTTCATTAAGTTGATATTCAATCTCTGATACCTTTCTTCCACTTGATCAATTCGGCTATTGATACTTGTGTATGTTTCATGAAGTTCTCGTGCTGTGTTTTTCAGCTCCATCAGGTCATTTATGTTCTTCTCTAAACTGGTTATTCTAGTTAGCAATTCCTCTACCTTTTATTAAGGTTCTTAGCTTCCTTGCATTAGGTTAGAACATGCTCCTTTAGCTCGGAGGAGTTTGTTATTACCCACCTTCTGAAGCCTACTTCTGTCAGTTCATCAAACTCATTCTCCAGATTTGTTCCCTCGCTGGCGAGGAGCTATGATCCTTTGGAGGAGAAGAGACATTCTGGTTTTGAAATTTTCAGCCTTTTTGCGCTGTTTTTTTTCTCATCTTCACGGATTTATCTACCTTTGGTCTTTGCTGTTGGTGACCTTTGGATGGAGTTTTTGCGTGGTGCTCCTTTTTGCTGATGTTGATGCTATTGCTTTCTGTTTGTGAGTTTTCCTTCTAACAGTCAGACCCCTCTTCTGCAGGTCTGCTGGAGTTTGCTGGAGGTCCACTCCAGACCCTGTTTGCCTGGGTATCACCAGTGGAGGATGCAGAACAGCAAAAATTGCTGCCTGCTCCTTCCTCTGGAATCTTTGTCCCAGAGGGGCACCCACCAGATGCCAACTGGAGTTCTCCTGTATGAGGTGTCTGTCAACCCCTGCTGGGAGGTGTCTCCTCATCAGGAGGCACAGGGGTCAAGGACCCACTTGAGGAGGCAGTCTGTCCCTTAGCAGAGCTTGAGCACTGTGCTGGGAGATCTGCTGCTCTCTTCAGAGCCGGCAGGCAGGAATGTTTAAGTCTGCTGTAGCTACTCCCACAGCCACCCCTTCCCCCAGGTGCTCTGTCTCAGGGAGATGGAAGTTTTCTCTATAAGCCACTGATTGGGGCTGCTGCCCTTCTTTCAGAGATCCCTTGGCCAGAGAGGAGAAATCTAGAGAGGCAATCTGGCTACAGTGGCTTTGCAGTGCTGTGGTGGGCTCCGCCCAGTCCAAACTTCCTGGCGGCTTTGTTTACACTGAGGGGAAACCACCTTCTCAAGCCTCTATAATGGTGGCTGTCCCTCCCCCAGCCAAGTTCGAGCATCCCAGGTTGCTTCAGACTACTGTTCTGGCAGTAAGAATTTTGAGCCAGTGAATCTTAGCTTGCTGGGCTCTGTGGGGGTGGGATCCACTGAGCTAGACCACTTGTCTCCCTGGCTTCAGCCTCCTTTCCAGGGGAGTGAACAGTTCTGTCTTGCTGGCATTCCAGGTGCCACTGGGGTATGAAAAAAAAAACTCCTGTAGCTAGCTCAGTGTCTGCCCAAATGGCTGCCCAGTTTTGTGCTTGAAACCCAGGGAACTTGTGGTTTAGGTACCCGAGGGAATCTCCTGGTCTGCGGGTTGTGAAGACTGTGGGAAAAGTGTAGTATCTGAGCCGGGTAGCACTGTCCCTCACAGCACAGTCCCTCAAGGCTTCCCTTGGCTAAGGGAGGGAGTTATCGGACCCCTTGCCCTTCCCAGGGGAGGCAATGCCCCACCCTGATTCTGCTTGCCCTCCATGGGCTGTACCCACTATCTAACCAGTCCCATTGAGATGAACCGGGTATCTCAGTTGGAAATGCAGAAATCACCCGCCTTCTGCGTTGGTCTCGCTGGGAGCTGCAGACTGGAGCTGTTCCTATTTGGCCATCTTGCCCCAATCATCCCCAGAGATAATTTTAAATTGGGAAAAAGCTGATTCAATATATGGGAATCATTTCATAGGGTGAATCATTTCCAAGGCCCAGAATATGCCCCCATTCACTTCTAACTGGCCTGAGGCTTCTTTTTCAGATATAACCTGTGCTAACCACCTACCTTAAGAGAGCAAGAGGCTTAGGGATGGTCTAGCCTGGCTGAGGCACTGGCAGTTAAAATTGACTTTCACTTGTAGAGCAGAGAGAAAACTGGAACTATAGTTGTATTGTGGACAAGAGCAAGCTTACAAAAAAAGAAAACACTATAAAGACTTAAATCTGAATATAAAGCAGTGATCAGATCTGAAGAAGAGCTCACCAATAAAGGGCAGAAAAGAGAGGTAGGGCAGATTTGGGGAGAATATCGTGACTAGATGCCGGGAGCCCATGGAGCCTGGGAAGAGAAACCCTTTTGTTGAGAACCTGTTGCCCTATGCTCATCAGCTTTGAAGAGCACTGAATCAACTGTCTTCTTCAGAAAGCCTTCCCAGCCTGTTAACCACAAGGAGACACAGAAGTCCTTGATTTCAGTGTCACCCACCCTATCATTGATACAGGGAAGAAAGAACCCCAAAGCATTAGTGTTGTATCCACAAGAAAAGAAGAGAATAGATCATGGACATAAATAAATAAATAAATAAATACCACAAAAATGGATGCCCTTTAGATGGTTTTGCTAACCACAGGCAGAAAATGGCTTGTGTTTAAAAAAAAATGAGTGGCATTTCTTATCTTCCAGATATATTTAAATATTTATATAACCCCTATAGAGCGTAGTGGGCTATGTGTAGTGATGGGACTCTGTCATCTTTGATTTACAAGCATTTCCAAAAGATACAGAAGGAGCCAAGTGCCATGAAGAGATATTTTGCCATTGAGTACTTACAGACACAAAGAAGGGAACAATAGACACGTGGCCCACTTGAGGGTAGAGGGAGGGAGGAGGGTGAGGATCAAAAAACTACCTATCAGGTACTATGTTTATTACCTGGGTGATGAAATAATCTATACACCAAGCCTTCATGACATGAAATTTAGCTATATAACAAACATGCACATGTATCTTTGAATCCTAAAACAAAAAAAGAAAAAATAAATAAAGTAAAAAAAATAAGAGATGTTTTGCTTTGTTTCGAAGGGCCCTCTCTCTTCCTAGGGGCACTACCAAAACCTCCAAGTATGACTGCCCAAATGGAAGGAATTTAAATAACTCAGCCCACCAGGAACAGAGTCAGAAAGCAAGCCAAGAAGAAAAAAACAGGCTGGGCACAATAACTCACACCTGTAATTCCAGCACTTTGGGAGGCCGAGGTGGGTGGATCACCTGAGGTCAGGAGTTCAAGACCAGCCTGGACAACATGGTGAAAACCCATCTCTACTAAAAACACAAAATTAGCAGGGTGTGGTGGCGCATGCCTGTAATCCCAGCTACTCAGGAGGCTGAGGCAGGAGAATTGCTTGAGCCCGGGTGGTGGAGGTTGCAGTGAGACAATACTGTACCATTGCACTCCAGCCTGAGCAACAGAGCAAGAAAGAAAAGAAAAGACAAGAAAAGAAGCAAGGAGAGAGAAAGAGAGACAGAAAGAGAGAGAGGAGGAAGGAAGGAAGGAAGGAAGGAAGGAAGGAAGGAAGGAAGGAAGGAAGGAAGGAAGGAAGGAAGGAAGGAGGGAGGGAAGGAAGGAAGGAAGGAAAGAAAAAGAAAAAAGAAAGAAAGAAAGAGAAAGAGAGAGAGGCAGGGAGGGAAAGGGAAGGGAAGGGAAGGGAAGAGAAGGGAAGGGAAGGAAAGAAAGAAAAGAAGTAATGTTTACAAGGGCCTCTTAGGCAAATAAGTGGGCAGGGAATGAGATGGGTAAGAGTTAAGAGAGAGGTTGCAGTGGGAGCGTGATTTTAAAAGAGAAAATTTTGAAAACATTAGGCTTTTAATCTAAGCCCAACCAGCCCTGCTAGTAATAGCAAAAGGTGATTTTTAAGATAGTCAAAGAGAGATTCTACAAACTTTCTCTAAAATATTTATGAGAGATGCTAGAAGAGATGATAACCAGGTATAAGAGCAGCATCAATAGGGGAAAAAAATGGTACACATGGGAAAAGCACAGTAAATTACGCCCAAAAGGCTGAAGATAACATGAGCAAAGAACTTAAGCCTCTAAACCACTGAGCAATAGAACTACCTAGGAAGAAATGACCAGTAGCTAAACTTTAACTCAAAAATATAAATTTATTTTTAAAGGTCTCTGAAATTGAATTATAGTTTTAGTTTAACCATAGGCCTAAATCGTGTAGAGCATTTTATTCATCTTAGTTTTCTTCTGCTATTCTTAAGTGAATTCTTTTCCTTAAAAGTTACCATGAATAACCATGACAATGTATTCTCTGAGGCAGAAATATCTGACTCATGCCAGACCTGTGGCAGAAACACCTGATTCATGCTAGATCTGATGCACTTTCTCTTTACCTGGTTATTATCTGACCCCCAAGTAGGTAGAAATTATAGCTTCCATTTAGCCCATTCACTTTTGCCTGCTATATAGAGGGGGAAAGAGAGTCAATAGAATTATTATAGGATAAGAATGATGATAATAATAAAAATACAGGGTAGGCTAATTTGTGAGCCTATATAGATACAACATTCTATCCAGACTGTTTTCTACTTAGTTGAAAATCCATGCTAAGAAATCTTTAGCAAATGAAACTCTAAAACTCAATACAAATATCTGATACAAATATTAGCCCTGGTATTTATAAAATCTTCCACATAGGTTTCTCTTCCTTGAAAAAGCAAATGGTGTGAGTATAAAGAAAAGAGTAGGTGGATCAGAGAAAAAGGATAGAGGAAAGAGTCACCGTTCTAGAAACTTCTTCCTATGACACAGCAACACAGATCTTAGTATTTGCCAATCAGGAGACTAGGGTCCCTGCTGTTAACTGGTGTGAGCTGCAGGCAGATTAATAAATGTGGAGATGTGTTGCTTTGCATGGTAAATGCATTCAGAAATGAAAGCATCATGCCCTGGAATTCTACTCCTTCTTCTAAAGGAGCTTTGAAAGCTCATGCCCTCTACATTTCTCCATTTGCACAAAAGAAGCATCTACCTCCAAGATGTGTTCTCCGAAATAACCAACAAATCTATTTGCCTTTTACAAGTGAAATGTGATAAAAACACTAGTAAGACTAAGACTCAGGTTTTTCTTCTTTTGAAAAATTTTTTTATGATATTGAAAAACAGGGCTACATATAGTCCTCCTTTAAACTTAATTATCAAAGTATTTATTAAATAGTCAGGAAACAACAGATACTGGCGAGGCTGTGGAGAAATAGGAATACTTTTACACTGTTTGTGGTTGGTGGGAGTATAAATTAGTTAAACCACTATGGAAGACAGAGCAGTGATTCCTCAAGGATCTAGAACCAGAAATACTATTTAACTCAGCAATCCCATTACTGGGTATATACCCAAAGTATTACAAATCATTCTACTATAAAGACACATGCATACGTATGTTTATTGCAGGACTATTTGCAATAGCAAGGACTTGGAACCAACCCAAATGCCCATCAATGATAGACTGGATAAAGAAAATATGGCACATATACACCATGGAATACTATGCAGCCATAGAAAAGAGCGAGTTCATGTCCTTTGCAGGGACATGGATGAAGCTGGAAACCATCATTCTCAGCAAACTAACACAGGAACAGAGAGCCAAACACTGCATGTTCTCACTCGTAAGTGGGAGTTGAACAATGAGAACACATGGACACAGGGAGGGGAACATCATACACCAGGGCCTGTCAGGGGATGGGAGGCAAGGAGAGGGGGCATAGGACAAACACCTAATGTATGCGAGGCTTAAAACCTAGATGATGGGTTGATAGGTGCAGCAAACCACCATGGCACATGTATACCTATGTAACAGACCTACACATTCTGCACGTGTCTCCCAGAATTTAAAGTAAATTTTTAAAAAATAAAATATAAAACAAAGTATAAGCAAGTTCCAACTTCTAAATAAATAAGAGTAAAGTTTAGCCGCTTTAAATATAAAAATCTGACATTTAATTTGCAGTTTTACATGGTGACAGATTTCACAATATCTTTGTGCTTCTTTAGCCTTTTATTAATGTAAGTTATAGAAACAAACTGTACTAACATATTGAAACTTATTTATTGGTTTAGGATAATAGCATTGCACAATCATGCACAACACATTCTCATTCCAGACCTGGTGAAAAGTGAATGATTACTATCAAGATAAATTATGTCCTATCGTTGGCAAAAATTAGATGAGAGGGTTATAAGAAACACACACACACATACAATATGTCTTCAAATACAGTTCACTGTTTTTGTTTTTCTTATTGAAAAACTTATTTGTTTTTCTTCAATGATAGCTATTAAAAATTTAAAATTTAAAATATACACCAGCACCATATAGAGAGCTTATAAAACATCTGCTTTCAGATGACTGGAAAATACTTGCTATTTTTAACTCATGTATTTTCTAAACAAAAATAATCTCATCAATCTTCAGAAAAATAGAATGTGTTAGTCTGCTTTTACTACTCTGAGCAAAGGGAAAATAGTTGCATTTTAACAAAATGTAGATTTCAATGTGCAGCATTAAAATAAAGAGAAACATAAGCATAAATTGTTGATGCTTAGTTTCCCTCAAAGCTTCTCTTTTGTTCCTGTTTACTATTTCTGCAAAAATAATTTATGCAATTAACACTGACAAAATGTGTTCCTATAAAACAAATTGCACCCAGTCCCTATCTGCTGTAGAATTTTAATCCTTAAGATAAGCTTAATAAATCAATATATTTAAATAAAATAATCACTGATATAAATGAGTTTCTCTGCTGAGGAACAGAATGAGACTCAATGAACAGTTAGTAGTGTTATGTCTTAGGTGTAATTCCTAAAAAAGAGAAAGATGCAGCGTATTTGTTGATTTTTAATTTGTTATTTTCTGAGCAAGGACATGTAGACAGAGCTTTTTTTTAATGAGTTGAAATGGTGATATGCATAGACACAGTTTAAATTATGCCATTCTTTTCTTTCAATGAAGACCTTCAAAATTAATGGAATTATCTGCAATAACAATGGGTATTTGTAATTTTTACCATCTAGACTGGAACAAAAATGGCCAGATAACTATTGACACTTTCATTTCATATAGTTTATCATTTGCAATATATTTTGTTGTTGTGTTGTTGAAGAAAGTATAGGTTTGATATATGGAACTCTATTTTATGCTTGAACATTAACTCTGCACAAAGTCAGAATGGATTTGTCACTGATATGAGACATCTCAAACTCTATAGACAATTGGGGCAAAGAAAAATAACTTCAAAACAACTTGTCCATCTATGATATACTCATAAACACCATGGTGAAATTCTGGATAATGCCTAGCACATTGTTTTCTGTACTGATAGAATTTTATTTTTTTTTAAGAGTGGAGTTATATTCAACAATAGTTACAGATATTTAGACACAACTATTATGATCCACAATCCAAGCTCTAGGTGATTATCTCAAATCACAATTATCTACTGTGAACTGAAGTTAAGAAGTTTCAAAATCAGTTCTGAAACATTTGTAACGAGAGAAAAATATACAGTGCATTGATTTATAGCACAAATATTGCTTGAAGAGTTTATATAGGGTCAGTCTCAGTCTATGTTTTGCTCTCTCTTTCTTTCAGACATTGAGTTCAATTAGTATTCTAATGGTAGTCTACAAATTGATGTGCCAAGTCCCAGGCTGCACAAAATGCCGGATTCCACTTCTCCATAATTCCATCAATGTGATAGACAGTAGCTATCAAAGCTGCTACTTAAACTGCCCATATGCAGCAGTAAGCTGAGCATCCAAACTCTCGTGACAAGCCAGGAAAACCCCATGTCATGAGAAAAATAAAGATGTTGTCCTCTTTTTAGGAGTGCCTTACCATCCAACTAAGAGGAGGAGGAGGAGGAGACTAAAAGCAGGAAGCAGCTGAAGTAAAATGCCTAAGGGCCAACATCCTATGCTTTATAGAATGCACTCTACAAAACTTCCTTCCATACCAATCTGAGCTGATGATTGTCCATCATGCTATTTTTCAATTTAAAAACTGGACAGTCAAAAAGTAGAGAAACTCATTACGATTTCTCAATACCGCCTTATGTTGAAGAACACGAATGTAAGAGATCTCTATGTGTTCAAATATTTTGGAGCCCTCAAACAGCCTTGCTCCTTTCGGAAACTACTTGAATCCAGAAGTCCTAGATTCAGTGTAAAACTTTGGGATTTTAGGGGTAAAGAAGTTAGAAGAAGATTGCAATGATACAAAGAGGCTTCTAAAGGTTCAGTTCAACTTCTATTAAAGTATTGAAAAAGAAGAAAGAAGGCCCCAATTTGAATCTATGTTGTATATGTTTCTTGATCTTTAAATTCTGTCTCATTCAAGGCTTTTTGATTGTTTTTGTTTTGTTTTATATCATGGACCTCCTTGGGTAAAGTCTGTGCTCCCATTCTCAGAACAATATTTTTAAATAACATAAAATGCATAGTGTTTATGACAAAAATTACATATATATGTATTAGATAGATGGACAATAGGTAAATATATAAGTAGATGGGCAGATAAATACACAGATGACAAGGTCACATATGCCGTCTACTTTAAATGAAATAAAATTCCCAATTTAGTTATCCAAGAGCCAAAAAGACTGATTAGCAACAACGTGGCCCCTAGAAACAGAAGGGGACACAGCATCTTTCAAATAGCTTCCCTTAGGTGACAATGTCAGTCCAACATCAAGCACTGCTAGAAGTGAGAACCTCATTTCTTGATGTGCCACAATCCTTTCGTACTCTTATTTAGCCTTTGTTAAATTTAGGAAGAATGTAAACAAATACTCTATGCCTTTAATAGAAAACAACTGAATCCCTCCTGATTCTAAAGCTAAACTCCGCCATAATAAGATGACACCTTCTTTCAAAGAAAATAGCACAGTTAGAGACCAGGAGCTCCTAAATAATATCTCTACCTTTAATATCCTTGAAAGCCCCATTCCTCACCAGTCTGGACAATACATGTTGTTCTGGTCTTTGAGGAATGACTAGATTATCAGTGATAGAGACTGAATTGTGGTTTATCTTAAGGTGCTCCAACACAGAGTACAGGGAGAAGCCTGGATGCGATGAAGAAACTGCTAGCAGTCCAGTCCACCAAACTCTAACCTCCTTTCATTCCATAGGAATAGAAGTGTCAGCCTACGGCTGCCCAGACCCATGATGTTTCCCCACTTCACTGGTGATAAGGTAGACTCTCCAGCATAAGAAAAAGTGGTGGTGCAATTTCCTGGCTATTGCCCTTAAACAGTGGATGTACTGCTTACATGTTCTATTTGCCCTTCCCTGTTGTCTGCTACTCAGATGCATTAGTGACTCTGTTGCGACCATGCATACTAGAAGATGTTAGAAAAACAAGATGGAAGGAAACTCTTCCCTGAATGATTGGGTAGTATTTGTTCACCTGTCGATCTCAAGAATTTCCCCCATCCTGCCCCAGCATAACTATATGAGAGAGAGATAAACTCCTAACTTTCTTGAACTATTGGAGCGTTTTCATTACAACAGTTTAGCCAACTCTAATGAATATAAGCCTTGTGTATATAATATCTCATCCCCACACACCATTTTGAGCTATATATCCAAATTGTGTAGTGAACAAAATCAATTCAGTCCTAGTGCTGGAAAAACAAATAGCTTTGGGAAAATCATTTGTCCAGCGCCACTCAAGATAGGCCAAGGCCTTGAAATGTGGTACAATCTTGTACTTATAAAGTGACTATGGCACTGACTGTTCCCAGTATATTAACAATAAGTGAACAGAGAATTTCTCAGTTTGGAATACAAAGTTTTAATTCAAAGTGTTTAATATACTAACTTTGATTTAAAGTTCTAATCAACTAACCAAAGAGGGAGAAATTACTCATTGAATGATTCTTAATATTCACTTACAAAATTAAACTTGTAAATCTTAAAGAATCAATAAATCTAAGTGGTGGAAGTATTCCCAATTTACGTATAATCTGGCTACCTATACTGTGTTTGAATTTTCTCTATAATAATACCACCTCAGATAATTACAATAATAATGATAAATGCAAAAAGGTAACCATTATTATATATTACTACAGCTACTATCATCATCATTATTACAACTTCTACCATTATTTTTAATGGGCACTAACTATGTACTAGATGTACTAGGATACTGTAATGATAATTCTACTTTATGGTTAAAATTCTCTAATGATAGGAAAACTCAGTACCTTGAGAGACAGATGATTCTATCATTGTATAGTTTTACTATTGGAGGCTTTTGATTAAAAATTCAAACAAGCTATAAATAAAATCTAAGATCAATCCCTCAAAAGGTACTCTGAAAGATCTGGGAAAAAATAGAGTTCTATTTGAAAATGAAGGCAATTTCACATTCTTTTATGATCCATAGCTCATTTACCTGGGTTTACTGTCCACTATTTTTCTTGAAGTCACCTGAAAACTAACCCTACATAATGATGCAGCATCCACTGTAAGATAATATGATAGTCAGAGACTCTGAACTTCTTTCCAAGGGAAACTCCAATATTGAAAACACATAAACTCTGACATAGCATGAAATCAATCGTACCACTGAAAAAAAATCACTATTGTAACAAATACCTCAAGATTCAAAGCTCTTGTCTATTTTTATGGTTACCAAGGAAACCTTTCCCTGATTCTCTAGTAAAATACATTTTATGAAAGATAAACGGAATAACTACCCAGGTATGAAATAATGTCTTAAAAATGTGGTTTTAAAAAAAGAATTCATGAAAAGTTTAAATAATTTTTTAATTTTAAACTCTAATATAAAGCATTTCAAAAAGCAAAACAACCTTGAAGTTGAACTTTTGAATCTGATAATGTGCTCCTCTAAGTAAATTTATAAATCCAATGGGATTTTAAAACCTGAAAAATTAAATATGCAACCACAATTATCTACACAGTCAAGCACTGAGAATACAAATGAAATTTGACATAATTGTGCTTTTAACTAATTTAAGATATAAAAGAGCACACAGAAGTATTCAACTGGAAGATCAAGATATTAGAGAAAAGTTCTATCTATTTTTAAAACACAACTTGTGTAGTGAACATTAAGAAATTTTGGTGAGATTTAATTGTAGTGATGCAGTTATGCAGATCCAAACTGGTAAAATAATTGTTCTCAGAGATATTAATTTAAGGGTGGATAAAATACAATAGAGATAACTCCATAAATGCTCAGAAAAGAAGATGTAAATGTGAGCAATTGCATGAAAGATATTTCAGGCTGAAGTTAGCCAGCCTGGGCTTAAACCTCTGAGAGGCTGAACAGGAACCAAATCTTTCTCATTCTTTTCTGCATTTTCAGGTACCAAACACAGGGTCTGAAAAATTAGAGATACCCAATAATTATTGATTAATCAGTCCATCTGAGCTTAACCGTTGAAAAACAGTTGTTGGATAAGTTACTTCAGGCTTCTAATTCTCCTCTATAAATTATTGATGCTGGACTAAATGAGCTTTTCCAGATTTACCAATCTGTCATTATTATTAATCTACGATTATCAGAGCAATCCACTCAGTTACTTAAACCAGAAACCTGAGTTCCCTTATCCCTCAGGCCTCATACCCAGTATCAGACCCAGATAGGCAGATCCTACTAACTCAATCCCACCATTTCTCCAGTGCTACTGTTGCCATGCTACTCTAAGCTTCCATATTCTCATTTGTGAATTTAAAGTACTCTATAACTTCTCTCCTTTCCATTTTGCAAAGGGAGTTAGAGTAATCTGTTAATATAAAAATCAAGTCATGCATCACTCATATTTAAACACCTTACTTGGCTTCTCATTGATCTTATAAGGATTGGAGAACTAAGCATCCCCTAAGAAGTCCATCATAATCTGGCCCATTCCTCTGGCTCTTGTTTCTTTTTTTGCTACTCTTCTCTTCAAATTTTCAGTGCTCTGGCTATACTGGGTATTCTCCATGCATTCATGTTTTCCTCCTCTTCCACAAATCTTTCACAGATACTGTCTTTCTGCCTGAAACCCTCTCGCCTTCCCAAGGTCTTAGACTTACAAACTCTTATTCATTCTTTAGCTCTCATCTTATTGCTACTCAAATCACATTAGGTATCCATAATATTCATTTATGTAAAATATTATACTTCCGTTTTTATCAGGACTCATCCTATTTCTGCACATTCTGGACATTTTTCTTACCATTTTACCATAAGATTCTGGACACTTTTCTTACCATTTTCTCATAAGATACCAGAAGTCCTGCCATTCATTTAGTATTTTCTCATTAATTTTTTATTGATAAGTTGGATTCTATGTCTTCTAATCATTGTTGGTTCCTCTACAGTCACTGAAAATGTTACCAATAAGTTATCAATATGGTCAAAAAAGGAAGAAAAATTCAGCATGCACCACTGGCTTCCTGCAACAAAATGTACCTAGTTCATAGTTCATCATCTCCCAGCCATGTTTTTAGCTAGAAGTGACCATGACTTCTGCTGTTTTCTGTTTTTATTGTTACACATTTTTAAAATAATTCCTATAAAATTATCACATGTAATTACATTTCCAAAAGGCCTATAGAAAATATACTGCTCACAGTAAGGGAACATTAAAATTCTACCAAAGGAGACAAGAGAAGACATACAGTAAAACATACCTTATTTCTCCACAGAAAGGCTTAATATCACACAGATTTAACATTTCCCTACAAAAGTTTTTACATTCAATGTTTTTTTTTTTAGATGGAGTCTCGCTCTGTCACCCAGGCTGGAGTGCAGTGGTGCGATCTTGGCTCACTGCAATCTCCATCTCACCGGTTCAAGCAATTCTCCTGCCTCAGCCTCCCAAGTAGCTGGGACTACAGGTGCCTGCCACCACACCCAGCTAATTTTTTGTATTTTTAGTAGAGACGGGGTTTCATTGTGTTAGCCAGGATGGTCTCTATCTCCTGACCTTGTGATCCGCTTGCCTTGGCCTCCCAAAGTGCTGGGATCACAGGCGTGAGCCACCACGCCCAGCCGAATATTCTATTAAAATACCAACAAAAATTTGTAGGGAATTCTGCTGTTAAGATGTAGGAAGACATTCCTTAAGAGGGTTTCTTTTCCCAAATTAACTCTCCTGAGAAGAAGTCTTTTTTATTCTGCCCATTATACATGCCATTCTCCTGGGCTGGATAAGAATGTAAGGTCTGGAAGTAAAGCTGCCATCTTATCAGGATGAAAATTACATAGTGATAATGATAGAACAGGATTATTGGATGAGCCTAGTTCATTGCTAAATATTCTTGAACTACTGCACCATCCCTGGGCCACTGTTTCCCAAATGTCCTGTTATTAGAGAATAAGCTCCTTAACTTGTTTATTCTGAAGCGTATGCTAGTTGCTCCTGAACACATTCCTAACTCATCCAATCACTTAGGAGAGGTTAGAGTCTGTAAAAGGAAACACATGTTTTACAACTTTTTAGTATTTGATCACCGCTCTACATCTTTCCATGGTGTGACCTCATTAGTTTCAGTACACTCATCAATTAAATGAGAATAATGATATTGTCTTTCAGGGTATTTATGAGTATTAAGAGCCAACAATTATAAAGTTTTTAACTTATGGCTTGATATAGTAGGTGCTCAAAAAATAATAAATTCCACTGCCTCTAACAGAAAAAATAAATGTGTACAGGCTTTGTCACCACATAGAGATTCTACCACTTATCTAGTCAATAAGTACCTTAGGTTTTTGGAGGCTTAGATTCCTAACTGTAAAATAAGAATAATACTTACTTTCAAGAGATCTATGAGGATTAGAAATGAGTGTTTAAAGCAATAAACATTTAATGAATGAAAGTTATCATTTAATAAAAATGCCAATTCACAAAACCGCATGTATTTTAAATAGCCTATAGCAACTAGATCAAGATATTAAAATGTATACAGCATTTTAATTCAAAATATAAATTTTTTCTTTTTCATAAGAAAATTTTAAAATTTTGATAACATCTTTAGTTTTCTTCTATAACATTGATTCTCATATGGGAATTAGGAGGCTACAGGCTGCTTTAAAAATTTCAAGAACTCTATGGATCTTGTCTCCAGAAAAAAGCACATATACAAAAACTTTTATGTTCAATTTTAGGGCATTATGGATTCTCTTAAATTCCATGCATCCCAACATTATATCACACTCCCTGATAAGGAGTTCACAAAATTTCAAGGGGTGATTCTGATATGGTAATTATAATGTGTAATATATATAAAATATATATTACAATAAACTATAATATGTTTATATATAAAATATATATTACAATAAATTATATATATTTATATATTTTATGTATATATATAATCATAATGCAGAATAAACTCTAATGCAAGTGTCTTACATACCTTTAATAAACTATATCATTGCTTTATCTGCTTATCTACTCCATTACATCATCTTCATATAATTTGAGAAGGAATACTTTTGGCAAATTTACATTTAGATGTTTGTGTTGAACAAATTTTTGTTTGGAAGTTTTTAGTTTTATTTAAATCTTATTCAAGGAAAAGGAAAAAGAAGAGAAGACGTCTAGACAACAAGGAAAACTAAAATCAGTAAGCCAGGATGTAGCTATCTAGAATGCAATCCAATTTTCCACTTGTGAAAAGACCAAATAAAACTCTGAGTGATAACTCCTCAAGAAAGACTTTTATTTCTGCCAACATACAACTGAAATTACATATGGGACTTCCAGCAGTTGTAGTTTATAAATACCCTAGTGCTACTTTATACTTAGAGCACAAGGTGGGGCTGGAGAAAGATGCTATTTCAGATTCTCCAAGTCATTGGATTTCATTATGGTCTTGACCAAGTTATCCAATTTTGCTTGTTTCCTTCTATATTAGTCGGCTAGGTCTGCCATAATGAAGTATAACAAACTAGGTGGCTTATACACCAGAAATGTATTTTCTCAGTTCTGCAGGCTAGAGAACAAATTAGATGTTGGCAGGGCTTGTTTCTTCTGAGGCCTTTCTTCTTTAATTTGGGGTTGGCCGACTTCCCCTTGTGTCGTCACATTGTCTTTTCTCTGTACCCATCTGTGTACAAGTTTCTGCTTCTTATAGGACACTAGTCATATTGGACTAGGGCCCACTGTAATGACCTCATTTTAATTTAATTACCTCTTTAAAAATTCTATCTTTAAATACAGTCATATCCTGAAGTACTGAGGGTTAGAAGTTCAACATAAGAATTTGAAGGTTGCACAATTCAGCTTATAACACCTTCCAAAAAAGAAAGAAATATTTGATCATCTTTATCTGAGCTAGTACCTAATGGACAATAAGTGTGTGACAAGTTTGGTATGTGCAAAGCATTCTTTAAATTTAAAATACCGGTTACATTGTGTCCACTCACTATAGCAGTGAAGTCCTAGGCAGAAGGCAGTGCTCTGTTGGGCCATCCGGTTCAATTCAACAGGCCTGACCTTCCTAGATGATGCCACATCTCACCCTTCACAGCCATGACTCTCTCCCTAGCCATTTTTCTATCTTTATCTTTGCATTATGGATGATACCTAAGATAACTTATACTGTCACCAGAACTAAGGAAAGAAACTTTTGTTACTCAGGCGTTACTAAGCAAGATAATGATGGATAATTAGGAATCTTAGAGTTGATTTTCAGTCTTTTTGCACCTAACAGGAGAGTCTCTTAAAAACTTGCATACATCCCAGCACTTTGGGAGGCCAAGGTGGGTAGATCACTTGAGGTCAGGAGTTCGAGACCAGCCTGGCCAACATGGTGAAACCCCATCTCTACTAAAAATACAAAAATTAGCTGGGCATGGTGGCAGACACCTGTAGTCCCAGCTACTCGGGAGGCTGAGGTGAGAGAATCATTTGAACCTGGGAGGCGGAGGTTGCAGTAAGCCAGTATTGCTCCACTGCACACCAGCCTGGGCGGCAGAGCGAGACTCTGTCTCAATAAAAAACCTTATGTACAAATTGATCAGGGATCATTTCAACAATTGTCCTAGAGGACAATGTATTATTTCTTCAGCTACAGAGAAATAATTGAGTAAAACATATGTATCCTTTACTATTTATTCTACCGAATGCTAGGTTTTACAAAGAGACTAGAGTGCTCTCTTAATCTCACAGATCTTTACATTTATTTTGATCAGTAAAAGAAGTATTTTTGAACACAATATGCTCCCAGTCCTGCCAGCCCAAGCACTTGCAGAGCTTACATTCATGCTGGAAGAGTGAGGCTTACATCTATGAAGATGTTACATCATGATACAAGATAGCCCATGGGAAAATTGTGATGAGGTAAGAGTTTATTTCTGACATCCTATGATTTCTCTTTCTTTTTCCTACCCCCATCTTCCAACAGCAATAACAAAATCTACTGCTTATTTCCTTATCTCCTTTGGTTAAATTTGTTCTGAAGAAATATATCAGTAGATTTTATCTTAGTTAGGGTTTAATACGTGCATTTAATGTTAAGTGTATTTTCTGTGTACTTTAAATTTTTCTTCCTTGTTGTTTGTTTAGCTGGTTGGTATTTGTCCAACTAAGGAAATTATAGGCATTTGAGAGCAGGCAGAAGAGATATGTTGAGGAAACAGGAAGCCTATGACAGGCAATATATGAGTAAGTGTCAAAATGAGTGAATAGTGAAAGAGCAGTGAGGATTTTAGCGTATAAAGGACCTAAAGTAAGTGATGAACTCTGACCCAAGACTTGACAGTCAGGGAGCACAGGGTCATTGCTGTGTAGGGGAAGCAGTATTTCATACTGGAGAAAGCTAAGAAATAGTATGGAGCATTTAATGAGTTGTGGATGGTAAGGAAATCTTCCTAACAAAGGGAAATTAGATTTAAGCTTAAAAGTTAATGAAAGACACTTGAAAATATAAAACAGTACATAATTGGTAACTAAATGGTTGATGCAACTTTAAGAGTTGTAGTAATTTAGGCAAGAAAGACATAGATGAGGATAACATCTATATAATCAATTATTTTAACTGCTTGAGCAAGGCAAGTATATTGAAGAATTCTTAAAAAGGTAAGTATATAAGTTGACAAATTGATGATGGATAATTATTTCAATATTCATTAACTACAAAGAATTTAGCCTATGATCATTACATGGTATTAGAGGCAGAATTGGAGAATCGAGCTCTGGAAAGCCTGGCATGGTGAAGTAGGCAAACTTTTATTTTATTTTAAATGTGAATCCAATGTAACACTGTTTATTTTGTTATTTTTCTTACTAAACATAGCAAGTTGTATTTTTTTAAAAATCCATAACAATATTTCTACTCTACAGACTCTTCCTATAATGCAGCTTTGACATTCATTCTATGAAGAGGTTGACTCTAGTGTTTCTTCCCCTTGGTGGTGAATTGTCATGTAGCTACTAGCATGACTCTTATGGCTATGTCATAAAAGATCATAAAGTTTCTGTTTAGTTCTCTTGGGATGACTGCTCTGAAATTCAACCACCATGCAATGATAAAACCCAGGCAGTCCATGGAGGTACTCATTTGAAGAAAAACCAAGATCTCAAGTCTTCAGCTTCTAGCTGAGAGCCAACTCTAATTTGCCAACCTTGTGAATAAGCTCTCTTAGGATTGGATCCTCCAGCCCCATTTGAGCCACTTCAGCTGACTCTGCTAGGTAAGAGATAAAACTTACCTATCAAAGGCCGGGCGTAGTGGCTTACGCCTGTAAACCCAGCACTTTAGGAGGCCGAGGCAGGCGGATCACGAGGTCAGGAAATCGACACCATCCTGGCTAACACGGTGAAACCCCATCTCTACTAAAAATACAAAAAATTAGCTGGGCGTGGTGGCGGGCGCCTGTACTCCCAGCTACTCGGGAGGCTGAGGCAGGAGAATGGCGTGAACCCGGGAGGTAGAGCTTGCAGTGAGCCGAGATCGCGCCACTGCACTCCAGCCTGGGAGACAGAGTGAGACTCCGTCTCAAAAAAAAAAAAAAAAAAAAAAGACTTACCTATCAAACCTTGCCCAAACTGCAAATTCATGATAAAACAAATAATTGCTCTTACTTTGAGCCAGTAAATTTTAGGATGAATTGTTATGCAGCAATAGGTAATTGGATCATTAAGCATCATGGTAAAATGGTTTGAAAATGAAACATTAAATTTTTACTTTCTGAGAAAAAGATAAATATATAGAATCCAAATAATTCAATGCTATTAAAACCAAACTTTTAAAAGTGCAATCTTAAAGAACATTTAAAAATGGAAGTATCAAAAAGAAAAATTAACTAGTCAATCAATTAGTGAAAAAGAACCTTGTCTCATTCATTAAAAAAACTCATTTCTTCTGAAAGTGACTCAAATCACTATCATTTGAGTTTGCAGTTAAAGTTATCTCTGGAAATATACTCAGTCTCGCATAGAAGACTGTGGATATTGCCAATGCATACAAGTTATCTTCATGTTGAAACTAAAGCACTTCGTATTAAAAATTGGGTTTTATCAAAATTATATCTAGAGGTAAAGTCTTGGGATTAAATTTAAAAAGAAGGGATAGAGTGAATGAAAGCTAGCAATAAGTAATTTTCTTTCCTATTTTTATATTGAAATTAATATTTATAAAAACTAAAAACAATCATTGATTCCAAATCATTAAAAACTACAAACATTTGTCAAGAATTTGCCACTAACCAATGCATAGATGAAACCATAAACTAGTAAAGTGGGACCATGTAGGAGAAAACAAAAGCAAAGAAAATGTCTCTCACTGTGTACCCTGGCTAAAAGAACTTTGGGAATCTTTGCTCAAAAAGGGAATGAAGCTACTCAGTACTTTTAGGGGAGCAGAAATATTTTTGCTTGACTTCATTCTTTATTAATACTCTCTACATCCATGCCAGGACTCCAATTCCCAGTTAGGCAATGTGGCTGGGGTCAGAGAAGAGAAAGTGGCAATTAACATCCAGGGATCTGTCATCAGCAGTGGGAACTGGCTTGGAATAACCATGGAAATTGCATACAAAGGGAGTCATAGTTATTCATTTACTTTATCTGATAGAGAAAGAATGCCCTACTAACTGCTTCAGTTTACACAAGCATAAATTTTAGTCCTCTCAATAAGTACATGGAGAATTAACTCAGTCAATGGATCTATGTGAAATGAAGAATGGAATACTAAAATCTTGGCTAAGGCTTAAATATATCAAACAGATACCCACCGTAATATTTCTGAAAAGAATTCTTACAATAAGGTAAATGCTGAGGAGAACCATACAAATCCACTTGCTTTATCTATAGGCAAACCTAAAGCTGAGATAAAATTTTCTCATTGAAAGACAAAGAAATGGAAAAACGCTGTATGAAAAATTTGGAAAGATTTTGGAACTTAAAAATATAACTATATTGATCTTAAGGTGCAGAAGAAAAAGAAACTTTAGGAAATGCTTTGCTAAAGGAAATAAAACATAATTTTAAAGAGTTACCTACTTGATAAAATGGTAAGCAGCATTACAGATGAGAAGATGCTGATAATGCACAGAAATAGAGCTGGAATATTTAAGAGACGGGATTAGAAGATAAACCATAACAGCAGAATTTATGATAATTAGTAAATGACATACATATCTCAGAGGAAAAGTAAATTACCCTAAAGAATTCAAAGTTTCTAGGAAAGCAGAGAAAAAGAATTTTTTAAACCATAAGTCAAAAGTGAAAAGAGAGAGTTATAACAGATGGAGAATGAAAATCCCTCATATGTATGATAGTTTACTGGAGAATTGAAAGAAATTTAATGAGAGCCCATAAGAAATAATAATAATAATAATAATAATACCAGAAAATTCTCCTAAGCTGAAAAAAAGACCTGAGTTTGAAAAATAAAAAAATATATATTTTTACAAAGTCCAACCATCAGCCATAAACTGGAGATCACTAAGGAAGTTAAAAAAAAGTGTAAAAGTGAGGCTACATTAAAAAAGGAAAGTGAGAAAATATATAATAGAGTACTATTTATGTCAGAAAGGCAGTGAAAAGATATAAATACACACAGACACACACCCATATATATAATGCACACACCTTCGATTTTGTTGGAAGAATAACTAATAACCTTTTTAGTTAATGGTTACATATTATAAGAGGGGGAGAATAAAATCAAGAGGTAGAGAAGCTGAAATTCTTTAAATATAGTTTGTTTTGTTGATTTTACATTGACACCACTCAATACCATATACAATTATTAAAAATCAGATAAAAATTAAAATACCTAAATATAAAAAGGAAACTAAACAAATGAATCTAGTTGTGTAACCATTTCATGGCATAGCCAATAGAGATGAAGAATCCAAATGGCTTGAAAATTCACACATTTGACTGTACATCCCTAACAAGCTATAAGCAAAGGACAAAAACAATTAGAAAAGATATTAGGCTTGTTTTCAGTGATTGTATTGTGAAGGTAGTGTCACCATTGCTATCCTGATATTTTTGTGTATATGTTTTGGGATAAATCAAGTAAACAATTATGTTGAGATCTAAATTTCTGACAAAGAAGAAGGGAGATAAACGAGATTGTTAGTAAGATTGATGAGATTAAGGGGAAAGCTTCTGGTCCTGAATTTGAATTGGAATCATCAATACAAACTCAAGATGATTTTCTTTTTTTAGTCCTTGATTTTATCTTTTTAAAAATATTTTGACAGCTTTAATGAGGCATAATTGATATACAAGGAACTGAGCATATTAAATGTATACAATTTGATGAGCGCAGACATATGCAAACTGCCATTGCATGATACTATCCCCACAGTCAAGGGAACAGACATATCCAGCACCTCCCAGAGTTTCTTTGTGACCCTGTGTTCTTGTTTATTATTCTTTTGTTTTCATGTCTACTCAGAAAATCCAGAAAAGGTAACTATGACCATGAGATAATTTTATATAGTAACTGATTTGTATCTTATTTTTAAATAAACACATTAATTTTGAATAGGTAAAGAATGTACTCAATGGTAAAAATAAACAAATAATGCAAAAGGATACATAGTAAAACGTAAATCTCCTTCTCACTTCTGTCCCACAATTTGCTGTTCCCTACCATAGAGGTAGCCATAGTTATTCAGTTCTTTTTTTTTTTAGATATATTCTTGTCATATATAGGAATGGATAGCTAGATAGCTAAATATAAATATAGACAGATGATAGATTGATCAATACATAGAAAGATAATCTCCCATATTTAGTAGCATATTATGAACTTTCTCCTGTATTTTGCTTTTCTCACCTAATTTATCCTGGAAATAGATCAGTACAAATCAAGTAGTTTGATATTTAAACACATGCATACTATTGCATTTAATCAATTTCCACTGATAGACATTTATGTGGTTTCTAAAATTTAGCTTAAAGTACTTGAGCAATAAAATGAATATTAGATAATACCAAGTTGTCATTCAATGAACTCTATCAACTTATACTCTTAATAATAATCCCTAAAAGTGTCTGTTTAACTATACCCTCAATGGTCAGGTCTACTATCACTATTTCATCTTTTCCTATTTGATAGAAGTCAACATAGTATTTCATTGAAAAAACAATGTGCATTCCTCTTATGATTTTAAAAAATTGACCATTTACATATTTTCATAAGCCATTTTTAATTCCTTTTCTGTGAATAGTTCATTCATTTTCTTTGCTTATTTATTGACTAAGATGTTGCTTTTCTTATTGAATTCTGGGTGATTTTTATACATTATATAAGTTAGTTTCTTGTCATGTGTGTTAAAAATATTTCTTTCAGTTTGTGATTTGTCTTTGAAATTTTCTTTCCAATAGATATCAAAAAATGTAGACATAGACAGAGTCAAAATAATCTTTATTTTCTTTTATAGGTTTGATATCTCTATTATACTTTGAGATACCTTCCTTACTCGAATAAAATTATTTCTAATTTTTTCTCATGTTTCCTCTACTATTTTATGAATTAATTTTTTAAGAATTTGTATAAATTTAGGGAGTACACATACAGTTTTGTGACATAGATATATTAAACTAAAAAGCTTCCACACAGCAAAAGAAATAATCAACAGAGTGAACAGACAACATGCAGAATGGGAGAAAATATTTGCAAACTGCACATCCAACGAAGGACTAATAAGAGTTAATTTTTATGTTTTATTTTACTTATTTATTTATTTAGAGACAGAGTCTTGTTCTGTCATTCGGACTGGAGTGCAGTGGCATGATCTTGGCTCACTGCAACCTCCACCTCCTGGGTTCAAGTGATTCTTGTTCCTCAGCCTCCCAAGTAGCTGGGACTACAAGTGTGCACCATGATACCCAGCTAATTTCTTTGCGATTTTAGTAGAGATGGTGTTTCAACATGTTGGCCAGGCTGGTCTCGAACTCCTGTCCTCAAGTGATCTGCTTGCCTTGGCCTCCCAAAGTGCTAGGATTACAGCTTGAGCCACCACACCTGCCCTATTTTAATTTTTGATCCAGCAAGAGCTTATTTTGTTGAAGAAGCAATAGAGATGAAAACATTCTTTTTCAGTTAAATACCCATTTGTTCCATTACAAGTTGTTGAAAAAAATCTAGTCTCTATTTATTTGAAATAAGATGCTTGCATTTCTTAAAATATGCAAAATCAGTACCTTTCTTATGTAATGGAAAAATATGTAATGTATATTGAAAAACATAACAGAGAAAAATAATTCATCATAATAGAAACAATATATGAGGTGACTAAAGACAAAAGTAATCAAAAAGTGTAGATCACATTCCAAAAAATTTCACACAGTTCTTAGGATTACAAAAGATAGGATAAAGAGCAAGAAGATATTGTTGAATGGGAAAATGTTATCAGTCATTTCTCACTCTTCTCTCCAAAGACAGATATGTCTCTGCACATGTAACTAAGCTTTTAAGGCAATTATAGCAAAGGTCAATATAGTGAATTTATTTTTACTTGAAAGTAATCCATGTACAAGAACCAATAAAGTTAAAAAGCAAAAGACTGGGTGAGGTGGCTCATGCCTATAATCCCAGGACTTGGAGAGGCCAAAACAGGAGGATCACTTGAAGCCAGGAGTTTAAGACTAGGCTAGGCAACAACACAAAGCCCTGTCTACAAAAAGTGTTTTAAAATAAAAAAAAAATTGAAGTGAAGAAAATTATGAAAAAAGATAGTCATTACAAAATTTACACTATCTGATGTTAAAATATTTCAAGGACACAATAATTATATGTGATATTACTTCGAGAGTAACTGCAAAAACATCTCTTCTGGGTCTTGCCCAAAATAGAAGAGACACTATTCCCTTATACAACTGTGATAAAGTGCTTTGTCAGTGTCTCTTCTATTTTGGCCAAGAATGGTTTCTGCCTACCCACCTCGTGACACTCCCCACCCCATATAGTTACAGCAGTTGGGGGTCCCAGCAGGAAACAGATGGCACACTCAGCTGGGAACTTTGCAGAGATTGTCTAAAGAAGGGGCTGTTTATTGAGGTGTGGAAGGGTTAAGGGAACCAACGCGTGATTTTGAGGCACACAGGAACTAGCAGTATTTGGAAACTTTTCTGGTTCACAGGCTTGATAGGACTCTAGAGGGAAAGGTGTTAGAGCCCCTCTGGGGGCTAGGGCTGTGGAAGACAGGCTGCCTGACAGAAGTTGTAAATTATAGAAGGATATAGTCACTCCCAGAACCATGGCAAAGCCACGAGGAAATGGAGGAGGAAAGCCAATATACAAAATGTTTTCCCCTCTCCTGTCTTCCAAGCTTCAATCAGTGATTTTCCTTGGCCGACCACAGTAAGGAGGCTGAGCCCAGGTGATAGAATTGGCAGAGGTCAGTCTCTCAGGGTACAGAGAAGGGCAGAGAATCAGTGGGGAGAGGATTGTTCTCAAAAGAGGATAAACATACACACATCCTGCCCACTTCCACCACCATCCTCAAGAGCTACGGCAAGGAGTAATTTTCTAGGATCCTACCATGGTAGATGTAATTATTTGGGATCATAACCTGAAAACCCTTCCTTGAAAACATTCTCAGAAATAATCTCCAAACCTTGTTTTCATTCCACTTCAGTCCCTCACTGCATAGTCAGATGCACCCTACAGCTTCTCATCTCCTGCAACTATGCCTCTTCTGCTTATTGATCTCAAGCATTACACACTTTGACTTCCTTTCATAACCTAATACCTCCACCTAAAGATACACCCAAACAATTATTCCACTATTAAAGCTCTCCAACAAACATACATGCATGCACGTGCAGGTTAATTATCCATTACACCTTCCTGTTCTCATTTTCCTTTTTCCAAGTTAGATTCTGTAATCCCAGCATTTTAATTTTTCCCTTAAAATACCTTCAATTACCTGACTTCTTGCTCCTTTTCTGGAGCTCATTGTCAAGGACTGCGAAGTATCTATTTTTACTCTATTTGCAAGCTAACAGGTTAGCCTGCCACAATTTCATGGATGCTGGCTGAAGCCAAGCCTCCTGCATCAGAAATAAAGAACAATTTTATTACTCACAGCAGTAGTGGTAGCCAGAGTGTCAAAATTGTTCCTCTGGCTCCCTCAGCTCCTGTTCCCACAGGGTGACACAAAGAGAATCAGATAATACACTCTTTGGACTGCATTCCAGGAGAGAGACCTACTCTTAGGGGACCTGAATTGTGTATAATGGGCATTAACATACCCATTCCAATCAAGATATTATGCTTATTAAGCTAGACAGTAAGAACTAATATGTCAACCCTTTATTCTGGAAGGAGACATCATTTCTATTTTCCAAGTCTGTTCACTGCACAAACATCTTTCAAAAGTTAGTCCACAACAAAGTAAGTTAGTGCCCCTGTTTACAAGCTGTGCAGAAATACAACAGTTCCATGAAAAAATTTTCTCCCAGCCCTCACCCATGCCTGTGTTCAAGCAATTAAGTCATCCAATTGTGTTGAGAGGTTTCACCCTCTTGCATCATGGCTCTCTCCCTTTCTACTGGATTATGACCATCAGCCTACAAATTCTTTCATTTCTCATTTTAAAAATAAAAACCCCAATTTCCCTCCATCTACCACACAACCTCATTGCTCATTTTCCAAGGAAAACTTCCTCTAAAAAGATTGATTACACTTCCTCTTCCTACTATAGTTTGCTCTATTGACCTCTCTGTCCAATATTATTCTTAATGACTGCTGTCAAATAAGCATGCTGCCAAATTCACAGATATTTCTCCTACTTCATTTGAACCTACCTAAACACATTCAAAACAATCAACATTCTTTCTCCTTAGAAATTCTCCTAATCTGGCTTTTGGGAGATTAGCATTCTCAGAAATTTAAGTCCCTGAATGCTTCTTCTCCATCTCCTTTACTGGACCTCCTTTCTCTATCCACAGTGCTGGTTTCATGAGTGTGCAACCCACACAGTCACAACCCCCTTCCCAACCCCCCACACCACTTAGAAGGCCCTCAGGCTTTATTTAATGCCTCTCATTGCCACGTTGAAATTCTTGATAATTTTTTAACAAAGGATCCTGCATTTTCGTTTTGCACTGGTGTTCAGAAATTATGTGGCAGATCATGTCTATCTACTTTGATTTAATGTAGTGCTTTAAGGTTCAGTCTTCCCTTCACCCTTCAAATTCACTTTCTAGATAATTTCACCTGGTTCTATTGTTTTAAATACCATCTTTCTTCTTGCAACCCCCATAAGTTTTTTCCACCCTAAACTTCCTCCCTGAGTTGATTGTGTATGCCATATATCTTCACCTGGATGACTAATACCTACCTCAAATTTGTACATACAACTAAAAGCTCATGATGTTCTCTTCTCTGCAAAATTTCCATCTCCAAGTTTCCTCCATATAAATGACACTACCATTCAACAAGTTGCTGAAGGCCCAAACCCAGGCATCATCTTTTATGTCTCCCTTTTTTCACCCTTATGTCTCTTTTCTCATCCATAGTCAAGTCCTGTCAGTTCTATTTCCAATGTGTACCTTCAGTCTGTTTACATCTGGACATACCCACTTCCCAAACATCCAATCCACGTGATGGCCATTTCTCCCCAGACCACTGGAATAGATTCTTTTCTTAGATTTTCTTCTACACTTTAAGTTCCCTGCAATTTATTCTTTATAGCATAGCCAATATAATTTTTTGTTTATTTGCTTAACTTCATATTTTAAAATGTTCAGAATTACATAAAAACAAAAAAATAATTTTCACATATCATTATTTCAGGTTTCCCAAATAATAACATTTTTACTACATTTACTTTATCATTCTCTTTCTCATATATATGTTAAATTTATGTTACATGCATACATTAATATATACATAGAGTGTATAGATATATATTGATATTATTTGTCTGTGTCACCTCCCAAACCTCATCTTGAATTCCCACATGTTGTAGGAGGGACCTGGTGAGAGGTAATTGAATTATCGGGGCAGGTCTTTCCAGTGCTGTTCTCGTGATAGTGAGTAAGTATCATGAGATCTGACGGTAATTATAAAGGGGAGTTTCCCTGCGCTTGCTCCTCCTTGCCTTCTGCCATCACTATGAGGCTTCCCCAGCCAAGAGGAACTGTAAGTCCAGTTAAACCTCTTTCTTTTGTAAATTTCCCAGTCTGGGGTATGTCTTTATCAGCAGTGTGAAAACAGACTAATACAGTAAATTGGTACCAGTAGAGTGGGGTAATGCTGAAAAGATAACTGAAAACGTGTAAGCAACTTTGGAACTGGGTAACAGGCAGAGGTTGGAACAGTTAGAGGGCTCAGAAGAAGACAGGAAAATGTGGGAAGGTTTCTAACTTCCTAGAGATTTTTGAATGACTTTGACTAAAAGCCTGATAATGATATAGACAATAAAGTCCAGGCTGAGGTGGTCTCAGATGGAGATAAGGAACTTGTTGGGAACTGAAGCAAAGGTGACTCTTGTTATGTTTTAGCAAAGAGACTGGCAGTATTTTGCCCCTGCCCTAGGGATTTGTGGAACTTTGACCTTGAGAGAGATTATCTAGGGTATCTGGTGAAATAAATTTCTAAGCAACAAAGCATTCAAGAGGTGACTTGGGTGCTGTTAAAGGCATTCAGTTTTATAAGAGAAGCAAAACATAAAAGTTTGGAAAATTTGCAGCCTAATAGTGCAATGGAAAAGAAAATCTCATTTTCTGAGGATAAATTCAAGGCGGCTATAGAAATTTGCATAATGAGGAGCCAAATGTTAATCCCCAAGACAATAAGGAAAATGTCTCCAGAGCATGTCAGAGGTCTTCATGGCACCCCCTCCCATCACAGACCCAGAGGCCTAGGAGGAAAAAGTGTTTTTGTGAGCCAGGCCCAGTGTACGCGTGCTGTGTGCAGCACAGGGACTTGGTGCTCTGCATCCCAGCTGTTCCAGTCATGGCTGAAAGGGGCCAATGTACAGCTTGGGCTGTGGCTTCAAAGGGTGCAAGCCTCAAGCTTTGGCAGCTTCCACGTGGTATTGAGCCTGCCAGTGCACAAAAGTCAAGAATTGGGTTTGGGAACCTCTACTTAGATTTCAGAGGATGTATGGAAATACCTCGATGCCTAGGCAGAAGACTGCTGCAGGGGCAGGACCCTCATGGAGAACCTCTGCTAGGGAAGTGCAGAAGGGAAATGTGGGATCAGAGCCCCCACACAGAGTCCCTAATGGGGCACTGCTTAGTAGAGCTCTGAGAAGAGGACCACTGTCCTCCAGACCCCAGAATGCTGTAGATCCACCAACAGCTTGCACTGTGTACCTAAAAACGCTGCAGACACTCAATGCCAGCCCATGAAAGCAGCTGGGAGGGCAGGGGCCTATACCCTGAAAAGCCACAGGGGTGGAGCTTCCCAAGACCATAGGAACCCACCTCTTGCATCAGCATGACCTGGATGTGAGACATAGAGTCAAAGGAGATCATTTTGGAGCTTTAAGATTTGACTGCCCTGCTGGATTTCAGACAGACATGGGGCCTAACCCTTTGTTTTGGCCAATGTCTCCCATTTGGAATGGCTGTATTTATCCAATGCCTGTACCCCCATTGTATCTAGGAAGTAACTAACTTGCTTTTGATTTTACAGGCTCATAGGCAGGAGGGACTTTCCTTGTCTTGGATGAGACTTTGGACTGTAGACTTTTGAGTTAATGCTGAAATGAGTTAAGGCTTTGGGGGACTGTTTGGAAGGCAAGATTGGTTTTGAAATGTGAGAGCATGAGATTTGGGAGGGGCCAGAGGCAGAATAATATGGTTTGGCTCTGTCCCCACCCAAATCTTATCTTGAATTCCCACGTTTTGTGGGAGGGACCTGGTGGGAGGTAATTGAATCATGGGGGCAGGTCTTTCCGGTGCTGCTCTCAGGATAGTGAGTAAGTCTCATGAGATCTGGTGCTTATTATAAGGGGGAGTCTTCCTGCCCAAGCTGTCTTTGCCTGCTGCAATCCACATAAGATGTGACTTGCTCCTCCTTGCCTTCCATCCATATAATTATTGTTATTGTTCAATAAATATCATTTGAGAATAAGTTAAAGACAAGATACTCATGATGCTTATTTACCTGTAAACATAGCAGTGTACAGTTCCCTAAAACAGAATATCCTTTTAGCTAAAGACAATTCAGAAATTAACATTTTAATATTGATTAAAATTCTATTATCTAATCTATAGAACTTAATTAAATTTGACAATTTGTTCAAACGATATCTTTTATAGAAAAGTATTTTTCTTCTGGTCTAGGAACTAGGCCACGATCCACTTTGTATTCCATTGCCATGATCCTTTAGTTTTCTTTAATCCAGAACACTTTGTTCTGCCAAAAACTAAGGAAGTACTCAGAATGATGGAGGCATGTCAAAGGATGCAGGAGCCAGCTGAAGAGGTTACTAGTGGTCAAATCTCGGACAATTGCAGCATCAACACAACTCATTATAGTAATGGATTATAACCCATTGAATAAAATAAGCATCCATACTGATAAAAATAAAGAAACCAGTAAATTAAAAAAATTGGAGGAAAGAGAAAGCCCTTTTTCAAGTAGGTCAATCACTAAATACAGACGAAATAATGATATTTAAAAATCAGCAACCAATGCAATACTATGTGCTTGGTGCTGTGCTGAGTGCTGGGGTTACAACACTGTCTAAAAGCACACGCTGTAACCTCATCATGGAGATGGTAAGGTAATATCCAAACTCCACAGGCGTCACACATAGGCACTGAGGCCTGGTGCCCGTCAGATTTCTCCAGTCTCAGTAACTTCCTCATGACTCTTTTCACTCCAGCCATGCTAATTAATTTCAGTTTCCTTCATTTGGCAAGCAATTTCACTCACCCTCTCTTTCCACACATTAATTGCTCCCTTCCATTCATAGTTAACAACAGCATTACTTGTGGCTGGGCACCATGGCTTACACCTGTAATCCCAGCACTTTGGGAAGCCCAGGCAGGTGGATTGCCTGAGGTCAGGAGTTCAAGACCAGTCTGGCCAACATGGTGAAACCTCATCTCTACTAAAAATCCAAAAAAAAAAAAAAAAAAAAATTAGCCGGACATGGTGGCATGCACCTGTAAACTCAGCTACTCGGGAGGCTGAGGCAAGAGAAGCGCTTGAACCCGGGAGGCGAAGGTTATGGCAAGCCGAGATCATGCCACTCTGCTCCAGCCTGGGTGACAGAGTTAGAGTCTGTCTCCAAAAAAAAAAAAAAATTAGCTGGGCATGGTGGTGTACGCCTGTAGTCCCAGCTAAATGGGAGGCTGAGGCAGGAGAATCACTTGAATCCAGGAGGTGGAGGTTGCAGTGAGCCAAGATGGTGCCACTGCACTCCAGCCTGGGCAACAGAGTGAGACTCCATCTCAAACAGACAAACAAACAAACAAAACAAAACAAAACAAAAACAACACCAGCATCACCAGCATTACTTCTTCTAGAAACTCATTTTTATTTGTCCATACTCCTGCCACAAATCTCCATACTCTGGCCAGAAGTGCAGTTGTAGATAATAATTTTTCTGGCTTACCTGGCAAAAGAAACAGTAAGAGCATGGGGTGGGTGGTGAAAGCAGTCCCTATACCAAGCAAGTCCTGTGGCATTTTGAGGATTATCCTGCTCTTTCTACTCTTCTAATAACTATTAAGTTTCCCATATCCTGTAATAAATCTCTACTTAAATCAGTTAGAGTGCCTTCTATTGTCTGCAAATGAGAAAGAACACAAAGCATGAAGGAGGTCTATTATGCATGAAATGTTTGTTTAGAGGACGTAAAGAGTACACATGATTTAGTCTCAAAGGGTATATAATATTTGGATTTGGAAAAAGGGAAAAGAGCAGTCCAGGTGAAGCAAAGACACAGAAATAGGAAAGTACAAAATGCATGCAGGAAGAAATGAATTGTTTCATTTGGCAAAGTAACATGGATATGGACAAGTTGGAAAACAGAATAAAGAAACAATTTGGAACCAGATATATAGCATATTGAGTGACAAAGTAAGAATTTCATTCTGAAATAAATTAATCACTTTTCCTCATGACAGGTATATCTCATCTGTTTGGAATTACTCTGTTTCCATGTCATTTAAAAGAGGATGCAAAGCTTAGCTCCATCACTGATTTCTGCTATAAATCTAATCTCACCAGGCAGTAAATAGCTTCTGTACTCTTTACTAAAGATTTGTTGTGTCATAGGAACAAACATAATGGTAGAACTGATATTTCAATTATCTCCACCCAACCACTGCCGAGCTAGGTTCCATACCACCCATCTCCACTTTTTTTCCTCAGAAGTTTAAATTCTACACACACTATTTTTTATGAATTAATATAACAATCTTTGTTAAGTATATCCTTGAGTCTGAGCCCTTTCATATAATATGCCTATGAAGGCATTTCTTTAGAACAATAGATTGCAAATCTTATAATTTCATGTTCTCCATCCTTTCACAGGTGTATTTAGCTCCTACTATTGATCAATCACTGGGGAGAAAAAAATTGAGTAACACTAATGACCATACAAATCTATGACTTTTATTGTTTTTACCATAAACACTTCAAAAGCAAGGACTGTTTTTTCCACAAAACAAATACCTTATTCACTTAATTCTTAAAACATTGAAACCTCTCTGACCAAATGTGGGTGAATTTACCAGCTTTGTTTTATAGAATATTTCATATTAACATGAAGCTTAGAATTATAGAAAAATTAGGGGTTCTTTTCTTTCCTTGGTCTTCAAAGGGTTAAAAATATCTGTCTGTCTTGCTTTGGAAAATAAGAAGCATACCATTTAGTATTGTCACTTAAACTAAAATGCTTATCTGTTTGAGTTAAAGAATGTGTTTCCTCTAAATAATTCAAAATGTAGGTAGCATACTTCTCATTTTCATGACAGCTGGTACAACTCTTGATTTCCCAACCCTCAAGAGCAGGCAGTAAGAGCAGTACTGCACTTGCCATTGATACAAGAGTCTTAGAGAGGACTGGTTCTCAACACAAAGCTTCCAGGTATTAGAGGTGGATTATACATGTGGTCCAGTCCACTGAAGTTAATGAGACTACCAAAAAGGGTAACTCTTCAAAAGAAAAATACTAAGATGCCGGGATAATTTGAAACTTCCAGGGTTTTCTTTGAAATCTACTAGGTTTTCATGCATCTTTTTTAATCAAAATTTTTCTGCACATTCTCTGTAATTCAAATAGCTTATTTATATTATATAATATGTATACACTCATGTATATATATATATATGCCTCTTTGTATTTTTTAAATATTTTTTATATTCTAGCTCCTGTTATTTTGACTTTTGATGTGTCTGCAGTTTAAGTAGGAGGGATTGTGGAAGATCTTTTCAAATGACTGAGCCCTTATAAGCAAACCACTACCAGAAAGGACAATATGTCCTCTGCTAACACCACTTCTCTTCCTTTTTTTTTCACTTGCATATTCTCCTTATGTAACTTCCTTTTGAGAGAATCAGAAGAGAATTCTGTCTAACACTCCACAATTTGATTCTCAGAACTTTTACATATTTGAGGATACTTTGAAGAACAAAAGAAAAAGAAGGAGGAAGCAGAGAAGGAAAGGCAGAGGAAGAGAGGAAAGAAGGAAAGTTAAACAAAAATGTGTTTTTACCTTCAGAGCTCATATCCAAAACCTTTTCTAGGAAATTCTCAAATATTCCTTGGAAGTGGCTATATATACACATCTACCATAGGCAAAAATCAAGTTTGGCAAAAGTGGAAAATTGTGTGCTTTTTCCCCATTGATATCCTCATTCTGATTTCTGATGATCCATCTTTTCCTGAGAGTGGTGATTTAGTGCAATTGTAACAGAGCTCTGTTATATATATAAGTCCAGTCCTGGTATGCTGCTGTTTCATGGTTGTCCTTTATTTACGACAATGAACCAAAGACTGTGAGTAAAGTGTGATCATAACTCATTGATTCCAAATGTTCTGTATAATCAATATATCAGTTTCTTGAAAAGCAATTATATTTTAAAAACATGGAACCTGAGACAGTCACATTAAAGCAACAACTCTATTAAGAAAAGGATATGTTTAAATAACACATCTTTGACATTTCAAAAACATGACAAGATAATATAATATTGGAAGTTCAGGAATGCATTTTGGGTTATCAGAAAGGCATTACGTATGATAAGAAGAAAGGTTAAAACTTCTTAAATGGAGAAGTAACAAGATCTGGACTATTCCAGGAAACAAATAGCATTTTTAATTTGCAAAAGAAATTTTGGGTGAGTGCTTCAAATGGATTGATTTTTGAGAACCAGGGAAACCCTTTTATCCTGTCCTAACACAGAGCAAACTCCCTACCTGACCACTAAGTGGAGGGAAGGAAAGTGTTTTGGTAGGCTAAATTAGTTCCCAGCCCACACACTTCCTTTCGAGAATTTTCTGACCTAACTTGCCTAAAAGTCATGGCTATTCCTTTGATATACAAAAGACCATTGACAAATATCCTAAAGATACTTCATTTTTTCCTAATATATGGACTTTTTAAAAGGAGCTATAAATGTTAAAGAAAATTGACAGAAGTATTCTCATTCAATGAAATGAGAATGAAAAAGACAAGGAAAGGCTATTAGGCATTGGTCAGATCACTTAAAGCCTTTTTGCCTTACCACATATCAAATAGAAAGCCATTACTTGGCTTGTTGACAACTCTGATTTTGTCAGAGAACCTGAAGAGATTCCTTGGTTTTAGAAAGACACATCCTTTTCCCAGCCCCTGAGTCTGGTCTAACTAATTCTAATATAATTCTCATTTTCCTTATCTGAGTCGATCCCAGCTAATGTGACATAATGAAGTCTGCAGGAGAGAGCATCTTTAAAAAGAAAAGACTTGTAAGAAGGAAACCTTTCACTCCTTAACCCCCTTTTCTGCCTGGCATTCTGAAGAGATGTCTGAAAGTACGGTAGCAACCAGTCACATGATCATGAGACAATAAGCAGAAAAGAACCTATCTAGCAACCACCTTTCTCTGGATTTTTTGTAATGTGAAAAAATTCGCTCCCACAAGCCACTATAAATCAGATTTTATATTATTTGCATTTGAAGGCATCCTTGACTGATATAAGAACCTTCAGGTAAACAATTATATTTTAATACCAGTGTTGGCCCCTGTCAAAGACTGTCAGAAACACACATGTAATCAAATAAAGCTGAATTTATTGTCTTGTTGCAACAAGGTAGGCACACATCAGAGGGATCTTGGGTGTTTTAGTAAGAAAGTGTTGACAGGGACTTATAGGGGATGGGTGTTTACTGGGCGATTTTGATGACAGATTAAGGAAATGGGCATTTGCTCTAGATTATCTGCTCTCAGAAGATAGAGGTAATTCTGTGGTTGCATATTTTAACAAATCTTATCTAGGATATGGGGGAACAAAGTGGAGTTAGCCTGTAGCTAGTAATCAAGTAGTCTCTCATACTAGCCAGGAAAGGGGTTTCCTGATGTTTTCTGTGGTTTGTTCAGTGTTCCTCTGTTGGTCTCTACTCAGGCATGATTATGCAGAATTCTCATTTTTGTCTTATTTCATTGTGGTGTTCTGTGAAATGCTTTATGCTCAAAGGAGAAAACACCTCGACATGAGTGCCAGCCCAACCGCTAGAAAGACTGAGACCTCGCTGAGAATACTAGGCCAGCTCTGTGCACTCATACACACTGCTTTGTTATTATCTGATTTTTTGTATGATGTATAGTATTAATCCCCAATTATTTCTGCATGTTTAAAATGCAGTTGTACATATTTACTTAGGATTTTATTTTTACCTCCAGAAAATCCAGATGTGAAGTAATGGGCATCTGAACTGAGGAGGTGACAAAGAAGATAAATAACATATTTAGGTTTCAAAACACATTTTTGATGAAGAATAATTGTAACAATAAAATAAATGTTTATGACCAGTTAGATGCATGTAGAAAGGGGAAAACTGTAAGGTTTCTAGCCTGGGAGACTAGATAAATAGAAATGGCAGTAACCAGAATAGGAAGTATGAACGATAAGAAGACCTGGGGTCAATATGTTAAGTTCTGTCTTAGTATGTAAAGGTTGCAACATCTTTAAAACCTCCAGATGAAAATTCCCAAAAGGCTTTAGGAAATTGAGCCCTGTCACACAAGCCAGAGGCTAGCACTAGAGAAAATTTGGGAGGAAGCCATGAGATTCTCAAGAAGTGGCTTGTGGATTGCTGTATTGCTGTGTGCATTCATCTGAATGTGCAATACACATCATAAACATCCTAGATTTTTCTTTATGGAAACACAATAATATCCAAAAAGTTGAATTGTTTTGCCATCTTATTAACATGACAAGGAAAACTGTGCCAATGCTCTCTCATTCTTGACTCTTATAGGAAACTTTACTAAACTAAAAAATGTTATCTTTGGTCGTGATGCCCATTAAATGCATTTACCTCTTGAACTGCATCGATGTTTATGCACATGTTTGTCTTTACTAGTTCTGTCTATGCCATTATCATCCAACATAAAATTTCATCTTCTACAGGAAATTAAGCTCTGCTTATTTTTTTCCCCTAAGGAAATGATTCCAAATGGATATTTCATCAAAGTCGCTTGGCATGCTTTTCACAGTAAGTAGCACAGCCCACAAGCATGTGAGTTCTTAGTAGTGGCTGATGACTGTCCTGTGTTTTGTTATTCAGGCTAAAGAAAACCTTATCACTTGTTCTTTTGTTTTTTTGTTTTTTTAAAATATTACTGCCAACCCAACAGGCCCTAACATTATGGCTGGGAGCAAGAGCCTCACTGTGTTTCTGATGAGTTTTATCAAAAAGAGCATGATTCTTCTGTGAACCTCAATTAGAGACAGATCTCATTTCTTTCTTCTCTTTGATTTGAAGTGGAATTTGAAAAGAGGTGACTTACACAGTTCTTGTTTTCAACTATACCTGCCATATATCAATATTGGTAAGAATGATTTTTAAAAAACAGAAAGCTCAAGAACATTGGAGAATGTTAGAATTTGCAAATTCTTTCTTGCAAAAACAATCTCTAACTGACCATATAATAGAGACCCATACATCTGGAATGACCAGTCCAAATTCAACTTGCAGTCATCTTTTATTTGGGAAGTGTATTAGGCCATTCTTGTTTTACTATAAAGAAATACCCGAGACTGTGCAGGAAGTGTGGCACCAGCAACTGCTCAGTTTCTGAGAAGGCCTCAGGGAACTTTTACTCATGGAAGAAGGTGAGATGGGAGCAGGCACATCACATGGCAAGAGCAAGAGAGAGCAGAGAGGTCCCAGACTTTTAAACAACTAGATCTCCCATGAACTAACCAAGCAACAGCTCACTATGACCAAGGGGATAGTGATAAAGTATTCGTGGGAAATCCATGGCCATGATCCAATCAACTCTCACCATGCCCTACCTGCAAACTGGGGATTAGAATTCAACATGAGAATTAGCTGGGAGAACATCTGAATCATATCAGAAAGTGTAGTTTATTTCTAATTAACTTGAATTTGAAATAAACTTGACTATCTTCAGGTTGGATTTGAGCTCTCTAGTATGTCACAGTCCCCATCCTTCCTATTATTTTACACCTGGATGCAACATATATTTAGAGCTCCCTTGCAAACTTCCTTCCCTTTATTAGTAATGAGCAGATGAGGTCAGAAGTGCAACCATAATTCGAATTTCTGGAACTGATTATCTCCATTGATATCACTTGTAGCAGAATAAATCCTATTTATGTTAGATACCTTTGCTCAAGCAAAAATTATATCCAGAGCACTTAGCATAGTGTTACAGAGCAGGCACCCAATATATGTTTTTGAATGAATGAATTTATTTGGCTATTAAATAGCCTTTGGGTCTGGATGAACTTCTTATGTTACAGCCTAATTTGCACAGAAGATACCAGAGCCTGATGTTTGCTGATAGCTAAGGTACCCCTGATACGTTCTGATGAATATTGAACTTAGATATCTCTATCTTTGAAACTTACATTGTATCTTTTATATTGAAGAGACCCCCTGTGAAGTGATGAAAATAACATATAATCTATTCAAACGGTTACTCCTTGTCTATAAAGTTGTATTATATATTATCTCATTTAATGATAACAAAATCCTGCTTATATGCATTAATGTACCCATTTTATATTAGATAAAAGTGAAATTCAGAGATATTGAGGGGTTTTCTCAGCTCACACAATTCCCAAGTAACAAAATCAGACTTCAAACTCTAACAGGCATTTTGGTTTTTCCCCAGAAGCAGTTGTGCTCCTCTTGTTTCTATGATTAATTAGGACAGTTATGTCCAGGTTTTTTGTTAAGAGAACACATTTTAAATGTTATCCCTCCTCTTGGGATAAATGAGAATTGGGGAAGGGATGGTCTATCTGTCTTCCAATTCACTCTTCCATGTGTTCATCACATAACAAGGTAGATGAGAATCTCTCTCCCAACTTCCATTTTACTCAACCTTCATTTTTCTTTTTACTTATTCTTTATTTTCAGGTTCTAAAGACATTTTAATATACTTGCTTCTATACTAAACAACTTTATGTACCAAATATTATGAGGAGGGCTGCAAGAGGGAGCACAGCGGTGGTTCACTCCAGGCTCTGCTCCTTCTAAATATATCTCTGGAGGTCTTGCAAGATTCCACACTCAAAGGATTGACTTGAATCCATCAATATTAACCCTGTTCTAACCTGTATAATTTAGCTGTATAATTTCTCCTAAACTGGGTTGCAGGTGAGTATCTGAATACCCTTTCAGGTCTAAATGAATGTTACCTTAAACCATTCTTAAATGCAACTGATTTCCATGTAGTTAGACTACTACCTAAAAAACCAAAGTAAAAGTACTGAATGTCAGGAAATAGATTCCTAAAGAGAACTTAATCTGTGCAGGCCAGAGAAAGCTAAGAGAAAAAAAAAAAAAAAAAGAACTTGAGAACCCATGTTAACATGTTAAATTACTTTAGATATACCTGCTGGTAGCAAATCGGAGGGTGTAGAGGAGGCCTATTGGGTCTGTGGCTTTCCTGAAATGGAGTTTATTAAACCACATTTATGACTATTAAAGTTAGAATAACAGAGTTGATCGATGACAGCCTCTTTAGAAATATTAGATGTGAAATTTAGCAGAATAGGAAAGTCTCATAGGATATTATTGAAGATAAGATAGAGACTGAATCTGAACAGTGAGTTCATAGCTGGTAGAACAATCATGCTCAAAATGTGACCAGTGAGGCTTTTTCTCCCAGTCTTTCGACTCAGATGCATTTCACCACATGCTGTGCTTACCTCAGACAATCTCCTCCTAGATACCAAAGAGGTAGCCTTGCAGAACTTAGTTATTTCCTCAAACACTTAATCATACATAGAAACAAGATTTGATCATTAAAACTATATATATGTGTGTGTATATATACATATAAAATTCTTAAAGCAAGATGATCTGTCAAAATATCTCTGGCTTATTTTGCTTTTTCACTAAAATATACTATCTAAGCCATGCATATATCAATATAACTTTGCTTCTATTCTACTACAGCAGGGTAACCATAAGCCCAAACCTTCAGTACAGAGAATGAACCCTGTTTAACTTCCCCTAGAGCCTCATAAAAGAAGACTTCCTGGGCTGGGCACAGTGGCTCATGCCTGTAATCCCAGCAATTTGGGAGGCTGAGGCAGGTGGATCACCTGAGGTCAGGAGTTCGAGACCAGCCTGGCCAACATGGTAAAACCTGTCTCTACTAAAAATACAAAAAATTAGCTGGGCATGGTTGTGGGCACCTGCAATCCCAGCTACTCGGGAGGCTGAGGCAGGAGAATTGCTTGAACTCGGGAGGTGGAGGTCACAGTGAGCAGAGATCACGCCATTACACTCCAGCCAGGGCGACAAGAGCAAAACCCTGTCTCAAAAATAAATAAAATAAAATAAAATAAAATAAATTAAAATAAAATAAAATCGTTGCTTTAAACAGGCTGATCCATTCCACAATGTCACCTTTTTCAAGCCACCTTTTACTGAGCGCTTTCTGTAGACCAGCTGCTGTGGTCAACACTTTACATACATTATTTCATTTAATCTTCACAACCACCCAATGAGTTAGGTATTATGACCATTTCATAAATGTTGACAGTATGGCAAAGAGAGAATTAAATAGTTTTTATAGGATAACTCACAAAATAAGGGACAGAACTTATTAGCTGAACATGGTGAAAGAGAAACCATGTACTTTTAACCATGAAGCTGTTATAATGTCTTAGAAGAAGAAATTTACACAGTGCCTGGGAAGCTATCAAGCACCTTGAAGATCCCCAAAGGGAAATGAAATAACAGCAGATAATACTGTACTGTCATAGAAAAAGTCTTTAGAGAGGCATCTTGCTGGGTAACCAGATGTTAGATGTGACTTTTCCTGTGGACTTGGAATATTGGCCCTGCTCCAAAGGCCAAAAACAATAAGCAATAAGCACTGGACCGTCTACACATGACCTGCCAAGAGACTGACCTCAATTTTGTGATGCTTAGCCCATTGTCCATCTCCAGGCTATATAAGAGAGGTAGATGTGATGAAATTGGTTTAAAAATCTATACAGATAATTTCCTTAGAGGAGAGTTGTGAGACTGTTGCCAGGCCTCACTGTCACTGACCTTCTCAAGCCATGTGAGGGTGATTTCAAAGGAGCCACTCCAAGACTGCCACAGATCTCTGGAAAAATCAAAGTCCAAAGGTAGGGGGCTGGCCAATGGAGGCAAAATAAGTTTGCCTGGAGGCCTCTGCACTTCCTCAACAATGAGACTGGTGTGGACCCTATGAAAGGAGCTAGACTTGAATACCCTGGGAACTCCCTGAAGGATGTGGTGATCCAGCTAAGGTGCAGGGCAGCCAGCCTGCTGAGAAATCACTTTTATTAAGGAAACTGCTAGGGGTGCCTCCAGAGGAGGAAGACACCTCCAAATATCTACAAAAGTAACAATCAGAGAAAGAATGATTGGGTATCTGACATCTTAGAAGGCATAAATGATGGATGAAAACTACTCATCAAAGCATCCCTCCATCCCTTTCCCCTTCACTCTGCTGCCCTTGCTCTTCCCCTATAGCCTTTGAAGCAGAATTATAAATGAGGGAGGAAAAGAGGCCAGGCAGTTTTAGAGAGAGGTGGAGAAGCAGCTAATCCTGGCTTTTCTTCCACTACAGGTCCCTAACCTGAATCCAGGCTCAACAGGTGGGTTGGGGTGGGGATGAGGAGGAGTGTAGATGTTTCTAGACTGAAAGAGGGTTTGGAGTTTTAATATTAGGCTATACTGGATTGTTTATTATCTTAAAAATTGAGATTGTTTATGCAAATAATTTAGAATGAGCAGAGAAGCTGTGGAATCTACCTAAGCTTTCTTGCAGGAGCAGAAAAAGATAAGTCAATAGAGTGGGTTTGCAGAGGCAGTAGTGTGGAAAAGGGAGGCTATGATAAAATTTTATTCTTACAAACCATAACTTACTCTAGAAAGTGGCTATAGTTGAAACAAATCTTTAGTTAATTTTTCCTATACGAAGACCCCAGTTTTGTCTTGGTTATTTGAACAATTCTCACACCCACTAGACTTGATTCCTGACTCTACCTTGATTTTTCCTTATCTTTTCTATTACTTTATATTTTCTTAATTTCCAGATTTGGTTTTCTGGCTCCTTTTCTGTTTCTGAATAAATCAACTTCTGCCTCTACTACTTGATGTCACTCATTTCAGAATTTAAGGTGAAATCCAAAATAAAATTTCTTATTCCCATTATTGAATCATACCTAGGAGAGAGTCTAGTTCCTGGTCTCAGCTCCTTCAATTTTGCTGTGTCTTAATGAATTCACTAATTGAACTATTCCTCGACATCATAGAAATGGAATTTGAGTGACTAATATGAACTGACCAAACCTTGATTTGCTTAACCTTTGATCAATGAAGGATATGAGTAATTCCTAAAGAGTCATTTTCTAATATATTTTCCCACTTGGTTTTCTTATTTGTATATTATTACATTGACACCATGAAAAGGGCTCCTCACATACCTTCAGATAAATGAATGTCTATTATTTATTTATCCCCTACAATGGGCTGCATACTATACTAATGCTTTAATATAGTCCCAGATTTTTCTGATTCAGAGAGCATTAGAATTTGGCAAAATCTTGACTATAGAAGCAAAATGTAACAGATGTTGGGAGGAACAAAGTTGTTATAAGTCAAATTCCAAAAGTCATATTTAGGGATTCATGAAGAAGAGTAATTCAAAATGTTAACTGAGAAATGAGATGGATAAAGACAGACAGAGGAAGAGAGTTTGGCTTTGGCCAAGATCCCAGCAGCAGAAACTGCCAGACACGATAAATTAAAGCCAATGCTTGGACTTATCCCTGGTTGTAGACAAATATCTACTGTGGATCACCACCAGAGGGGTGGACTCCACTTAACTTAATGCCTATATTGCTCTAACTGGCATCAGTTGGAACTTTAAGATTCATTATCTAACTGTGGATGACAGGATACATAGTCCAAAGCTCCCTTTCTAAACTCTGAGTGCTTGTACTGCTGATAGATAAAGGGCGCTTTGAAGGCTGGTAAGACACACGGTTTTGCTTTCTTCTCACAGGCTGCTTGCTCTCTCAGCCATGTGCTTGCACTCGACTTCAGAACCTGGCTGGGGAGAACTCTGTAGGTCATTTTATGTTAACCGAGAATTTTACAAAATACATGAGCCTTCTCAGTGTTGCATAGGATGTTTCTCTGTGGTTCCTAGAGATGGAGTTCACTGAAGAGAAGCATTTTCTGCTCCAGCTGTGATTATTCTAAGAGATGGGAGAGTGTGGTGTGGGTGGGAAAGAACATTCAGGAGTCCGGTGATACATTTGCAAGTTGTTTCTATGACTACCAAACATTTGTGATCCTGTTTATGAATTCTGCAACAACTAATTTTTATACCCATGATCTTTATAATCATTGGCACTTATAATTCAGCAGTATCAGATATTAATTCAAAAGTATCTGTTGGGCACGTGACATGAGCCAAGCTAGGTTCTGAGAGTATAGAGGTGGGCAAAATAGACACAAATCCTGAACCTCACAAGCACCTTTCTGACTACCAAATGGAATTCAGCAGAATACTCATCCACCATATATTCTGCTGGGTAATAGCATTAATAGTGAAAATTAACACTTACAATTGAGCAACAAAATAGTATTGGATCATAGCCCACAGTATCAAATAAATATCCATAGTATACCCTGATATAAATGATTGAATAAGTAAATAAGTGGGAGAGAATAGACAGATTTCCTGTGAATAAATTTCCAAATAAATTACGCAAGTACTTCACCACTGAGGAGATGGAATATAACTTCTCACTACTTAAGTGTGGGACGTACATGGTGACTTCCTTTTGAAGAATACAGAATAATAAAAGGGGATGAAAAAGAGTAACTTCACAGTGGTGAAATCTGACAAACACTACATCAACTAGGTGATCAAGGTTCAAACCCACAAGGATAAGTCATGCTGATCGTACGTACCCTTTATATGATATAATAAACATGGTACCTTACCTCTGTGGTCTTCCTTCCCAGAACACATAATTCTCATCTAATCCTGACAAATTCCAATGGAAGAACATTCTACTAAATAACCAACTATTACTTCTCAAAACTGTCTAGGTCATCAAAAACAAGGAAAATCTGAGAAACAGTCATAGTCAAAAGGAGCCCAAAGAGACATGATGACTAAATGTAATGTGGTTTCCTAGATGAGATTCTAGAACAAGGAATGAGAAAAAGGACATTAGGCAAAAACTAAGGAAATATGAATAAGTATGGGTTCTAGTTAATAATAATGTGTTGATATTGGCTCAATAATTGTAGTAAATGTGTCATGCTAATGTAAGATGTTAACACTAGGGAAAGCTGAGTAAATATTTTATGGAAACTCTTCATTCTATCATCACAAGTATATATTTTTTATAAATCTAAAACTGTTGTAAAATAGAAAAATTTTATCTTAAAATAGTACCTTCAATTACCTTTAGAATTTCCAAGAAACATTCATATTCATTAATATATTTTAATTTCATAAATTCAGTGAAGAATTGATCTCTCCATTGTGTCAAATACTTTCTAGGCACACAGAAAAACACAGTGTCTAACCCCCAAAAGTTTATAACCTAGCGAAACATGGATAGGAGAATTGGCCTGGCAAGTATTATAATGCCCATTTTGTGATGACTGAACAGTTGCTTAGAGAGATTGAGATTTGCCAAAGCTACATAGCTTTTAAGAGGCAGTACAAGAACTCAATAGTAGGTTTTATGGTGACAAATTAGTTTTTGTATTAAAATAAATGTATAACTGGGAGTAATACATTTTGCCTGAGAGACTTTATTCTAACATAGATTTCCAAGACCATGCTACCATGCATGCTGGTTTGTGAAAATAAGAAAATGTCTTTTATTGTGGGCCATTGCCTCATAGGGAATTGGGCATGCTTTATCAGGGCCAGACCTCTGAAGTTCTTATTCCTGAAATTGATGTGAAACAAAAAGGGTTGAATTTGGTACAATAAGAGACTCCTAAGAACTGTGTACCTCCATCTTTTAATCGAATATTTAATCAGATTGAATTCAGATAGTATCTGATACACTCTGGAATTCACTTGCTTCAAGTCCTAGTTCTTGCTTAAAGAGAGAGCAGAATATGATGAATATACCACTGGCTTGGTATCAGAAGACATGGATTCTAATTCCAGCTCTGACACTGGCTAGTTTTATTAGATTGATTAAGTTAGTTAGTTTTATTAGATTGATTAAGGTGGCCAAACCTAACATATCAGGTAGCTGGGCCTCCAAACAGATGTGTTCTCATTTTCTGTTATTTTTTATTTTTCTTTCATTGGCAATTTCTGTATAAGTGCCAAGGTCAACCATAAAGCTCACTTGGATGTACTCAAAGCCCTCTGTGGTCCTTGGTAATATATTTGAACTTGGTAATATGTTAGAATACAGACTAAGCTGCTTTAACAAAAAGATCCCAAAATGTAGTGACTTAAATGAGTTGGTTTATTTTGCTAGCACTTAACAGTTTAAGAATAAAGAGTTGGGAACTTAATGGTTTCTAAAGTTGTTTCACTTGTTCCTACTCTTCAGGATATGAGATTTGGGGAAAAGTGTCTAAGATAAACAGCTTTAACATTGACAGTATGGGCAATTACACACATCATTGTTGTTCGTGGTTGGTTACATGGTTACATCGTTCCACCTGGATGCAAGAGAGGCACAAATCTTAAATCCCAAATCATCATTCTCTTTAGGAGAGCAGCCATGTTCTCAGATAAAATTTGAGGCTTCCGTTACTGTTAGGAAGAAGAGGTGTATGGGCATATTATTACCATGAGCAGTCTCTGCCCACTCAACAGGAAATAACTAACTGAGAGTTTTGGAGTAAAATGCTATATCCTGTGCCATGTAAAGACCCACCTCAAGCTTTCCTCCAAAACATTTCGTGAAATATATATTGTTCACTAACGTTTTGCAGCAGTTTCCTTCTAGTAAATGTGACCAGCTAAGTTCTGCTTCAAGGTTGGCACACTGGCAACCACAAACACTGTGCCCAGGGATAGGGAGAAATGAGTTGCACATGGATTACCTCGTTTTATCTTCACAACAGCCCCACTAAGGAGCTATTGCCATCTCCTTATTAGAAGAGAGAATGGAGACTCAGAAGGCAAATAACAACCTGGAGCCACACATTTGGGAAGTGACGAAATTGGGATTCCAGCTGCAAGGCCCATGATCCCAAAGCCCTGTATCACATCATGATGCCCCTCTATTTGCTGCATGTTCTACCTTCTTTCCCAAGGAAAGGCAACAAGCCTAACTGGGCCCAAGGATGTGGGTGATTTCACTCTATCCTTGTACAGCTATTCTTGCTTTAAGTTTTCCCAGTGACCAAACCCCTTACAAAGCAAATCCAAACCACCTTAAGCAAATGTTTTTAAATGAGATAAGGACATATTACTTAATTTGGAAACTTAGCCTTTAGATAGTCTTTATTCTCCCCAAGGATTTGACAATTAACCTTTAAAAACATTTTAATTCAACAAAGTGATAGGCAAAAATTGGTAGATAATTAGTCAGTGTCTGTTCACAGACATTTAAATGTGATGAATAATGACACAGTTACATGTTAAGTTTGCTTTCACAGATAATTAGGAAACACACATATCATGTCACGGGGGCGAGCATAATCTAAGGTTTCCATGATTATACTGTATCCATTAGCTAAAGAACTACTTTTAAAATAATGAGCATGCTTCCTAGTGTGAATAACTTTGGCTCCAGGGTAACATTCTACCCAAAAGTGCATAACATTTCTCTTGACAAATCCAGAGTTCTTCTGCCCATTAAAAACTAGCCATTCTGTGGGAAGCCTGACTTGTCTTCCCAGTTATGTACAAGATTCCATTATGCTCCTATTTCCTCTGGTAAATGAACAAAGGTAGATATTTAATCAAAAGCTGGACACTACAGGCATAGACCAAGACTATGTAAGGCTTTAGAATTATACGTAGTGTCCTGATACTCAGCACAGAACTCTGAAAAAAATTGACTCTAACAAAGCCTTGCTGAAAACAGGAAACAATCTCACCAGGGTCAGATATTAAGGTCATAGAATAAATTATGAGAAACTCTAACAGAAAACTTTTTTCTCAGTGATATTTGAAAGCTTCTATGTTTCTCAGAAGAGAGAGGATTTATTTAGGTGGTGTCTACATCGTCATTGCCCTAAATGACAATGGAACACTAATCTCTTAAGAGGTTCTCAGAAAAGAAGATTTCTGGGCTTAGAGTTGAGAATGTTTCTATTCTACAAACTACTTGAGATATACAAGATATATGAACATATTGACTCTGAAAAATTCTTTAATATTTTCTTACTTAATGTAGTGTTTCCAAAACTTGTTTGACCACAAAAACCTTAGGGAAAAAACTCTATGAATATCCTTCCCCTCACTCCCAATCCCCATATTTTCCAACTAGCAATCACAGGGAGATTTTTATTTAAAGCATGAATCAGATCATTGTCACTCCTTTGCTCAAAAATGACTCCAGTGGCTTCATGTCAACTCAGCATAAAAATCACAGTCCAAACCAAGATCCACAAAGCCCTACATTATCTGGTCCCTTACCTTGATCAATATCTGCCTCATGCATGCCTTCATGGGTCACACTGTCTACCTTGCTGCTTCTAGAATATGCCACACACCCTTTTTTCTTAGGGATTCTTCCCACTGCTATCCTTTTGCTTCACTCACTCTATTCTTTTCTCTGCTCAAATGTCATTTTCCCACAGCGTTTTTTTTTAACCTTTCTAAAGAAAACATCCTATATAAAATGAGTTCCTTCTTCACATGTTAGCCTTTTACTCTCTCTTATTTTTCTTCACAGTACTATTCACTACATGATATTTTATAGAATCACTTATTTATTAGCTTATTTCTCATCTCTCTTCTTAGAATGTAAACTTTTTGAGTAAAGATCTTTTCTGTTTTGTTTGCTCCGTTATCCCCAATGTCGATCCCTGACACATAGCAGGTGCTCAATAAGTAAGCATTGAGTGCATGAGGGAATGAATGAGTATCCCACAGGACCAGTAAGCAACCCACAGAATACATTCAGGAATTGATTGTTGTTATAATGCCAAAATGACAGATAGATTTGATTGATTCAAACAAGCAGGAAAAGAAAAAATTACAAAATCAGTTATTTGGTTGATAAAACTAATGCAGAAAAATGTTTTTGCTAAATTTTTATACTGTGTGGAGTTTCATAACCATTCCACAAAAACAGCTTTAGCCTTTTATTTGTTGAAATATATGAGGTTCTTATTCCTTAGAGGAATTTTCTACTTTTTTTATAGCTGGGAATTTTTCTGCTCACAAAAATGACCTAAAGTTCTATGAATTACAACCTGGCTTGATCTCTACCAGAGAATATTCAAAGATTCCATGACCTTCAGTGAGGTAAAACGCAGAAGTACTTTTCTGGCAACTGAAATCTATTAAGTAGGTAAAATGCTGAACTTTGTTGCTTTGCAATTCCAGAAGTCTCACATCAAGAAATCAGTGGTCTAATTTCCTATTATTTGAATTATGATTCTAATGACATTGTGCACTCAAAATTATTAGAACCTTTGAGAAATCAGAGAAAAAGCAATTAAATAAAGATGAGTTTCCTTGAATATGTCACAAATTGAGAATGGAGTATTATTCACAACATCATTAACATCATAAGAAATTATTGCCTTAGCTTCAAAAGAGTCACTATCAATGAAGAATTATCTGCTTAAGAGTCAAAATAAAGAAACAAGCATTGAAAGTTACTACTAATTTCCTCCCTCATAAAGCTTCGATTTCTAGCTGCCACTAAAAAAGAAAAATTGTTGCCACACTCTCTTTGCTTGGAAACTATTTAGATACTGCTTTTTCAAACACAGGCTTAGGGAAATTTGATGAAGAGACTCATTTTTCATAATTATGTGAGCTGTAGTTAGTGAGCAGGAAAGAAGAAAAGCTTTTATGTAAGAAAATGTCATCAGTATCGAAAGTTTAGGTATGGATTGGTGCCTCAATGGCAATGACAGGTTAGAATCCAAATCAGTCTAAGGACAGGAGAATAAAAGAGGTTATGAGGAAATAGGATAACGCAACAGGATACTAATTTACAAATTTCAACTGAGGCATAGAGAAATACTATAAAATACCAATAGCATATAATGGGCCAGGCCCTCTTCTAAGAGTTTTTCTGACTTTAATTCTCATGATAAAAATACGAAGCAGGAACTTCTGTAAAACCTTCTATAGATGATGAAATGAAGCACAGACAGGCCAAGTAACTTGTCCAGTGTCACACAGCTATTGTCATGAGTCTCAGATTCCAATTTAAACCCAGGCATTCTAGTTTAGAGTGAAGTCAAAAGTACTGCATAAGATACTGAAGTCGCTCAAGACATAACCACATGCAGAAATTTGTTAGGAATCAGCTTGCTGAAAGCTGGTTTTTGCAAAACCAAAAACAAAAATTTTTCTACAAAGGGGTGATGAGAGTTCCAAGAGAGTGCAATGAGGTAAAGGATTTTGTAGGAAGATTTCTTTGACATAGTCTACTTTTTGGGCACCAACCCCTCTTTCTTCAAGTGAGAATGGTGGGTGGGTCCAGCCTTCTTAAGACAAGTCTAGTGATTGAAGGAGGTTTGGGAGATTCAACAAGACCACTTAGAGAGCCTTTGATATTACAGACACAGTGGATCGAGCTCTGACCTCTGTCTATGGAAATCTGGAAGGCAACAGAGACAAGCACAGGAGCTGCTTTGATGGTAGGGAGAAGGCAAGTTTCCGCAGCCTGGTGAAAGTGACTCCAATTGTTGAAAATGACCCCTTAAGGTGGGTCAAAGCGTGTGTCATTTTTTTTTTTTTCCTGTGAAACAAAAAATTAACCTGGAAAATACAGGTATTTGTTTTTTGTTTGTGCTGTTTTCCTAGTACCTAGGATAATGCTTGTTCTACTCTTTAGAACGGATGTTCAATAAACATTTATTGAAGGACTGGATGAATGAACAAAGCACTGTGGAAGGAGTGGCCAGCAAAAGATGAGCCATTGCCACTTCACAGGAGATCAAGCTAGAGATCCTATAAGGGAGGCTCCAAAATACCCATTCCATCTTCAGTGGAAAAAGGTTCAGCATTTGTACGTCTATTACTCAGAAGGTTCCTTTTAGATTAAGACATTTGTGAGTATCATGTGATCTTTTCCATCAATTGCACTCCCCATCCTACCCTGGTGAGTTACTCTACTCTCTCACTCTTCTATATTGCTGTTGAGATCTCTAAGGAGGAAGGCAAAGAGGAGATGGCCCCTTTTCCCAATGATCTTGGCAGGCTGGAGGAGACTGTGAGGAAACAACATTTAATATAAGATCAATATCAGGTTTTGACTATTTCTGAAGCCTTCTGACTCTAATTTCTGAATGGATATTCTTTGCACTTAAAGTAACTACAGGACTGAAACTGAAGTTATGGGTCATGTTAGTGTTGCTGGAGCCTAGCAAGGGCCATTGGGCACGTCTCTTCCCAGTTCTACTCACGTGCAGTGATGTCACACCAGTAGCTTGAAGTCAGTGATGATGGGAGTATTTAACCATGGAAGTCACCAGGCACTACAAATTCACCACCCCACCCTCTTGGCCCTGACAAAGAGCCACATGCTATACATTTAGCACTGTTCCATTGGTTACCCAAAGTTTATCCATGAGGAAAGAAGACAATCTATTATCAGAACTGTTTGTGGGAGACAGAAATGAAGTGTTATTTGATTATGGTTTCTCCTATAAGTTATCTGGAAATAAGTTATTTAAATTCCAAATACATGTGGGTTTTGATATTTTTATTATAGATTTCTAGCATAATTTTTGTTAATGTAATCTAAATGATACCTATTCTTTGACATTTATTAATATCATGATCAATTTTTGTAAATGTTCTACATGTACTTGAAAACATATATATGTGTATTCTGTAGTTGTTGTTTGCAACATACCATCTATGCCTACAAAGTCAAATTTGTTATTCTACTGTTCATTCCTCTATATTCTTGCTAATTTTAAAAATCATCCTGACATGTCAATACTTGAGAGAGGTATTTAATACCCCACTATGGTGGTAGAATTGTATACGTCTGTCAGAAATTCCTTCAAATATGTACTTTTTTAATATGAGCACACATATTTAGAATTTTTGTAGCTTTTTGGTGAATGGAAACTTTCATCAATATGTAGGGATCTTATCACTAAGAATGCTTTATCTCTTACAGTCTGTTTTGTATAGTATTAATATAGTAATATGCAGCTTTAAAAAATTATTTGTTCAATATTTACTTTTCTATTTATTTTCAATCTTTTATGCTCTTATATTTTAGGTGAGTCTATAACTGAATGATTATAAAGATACTTGTTGAATTCAACAAAAGTCATGCTTTGTGAAAAATTTTTAGCCTCAAATGAACATAAAATAAGAGAAGAAGGGCTAAAAGTCTATGACCTAAGTATATAACTTAGGAAGTTAGTAAAATAACAAGTAAACCCAAAGATTCCTTGAAAACCCTCCAGATTCCTTGAAAAGACTAACAAAATGGACAAACTTCTGGCAAGGCATATAAATTGGGGAGGGGGGCAAAGAAGAAACAAACAAATAATGGTAGGAATCAAAAAGGCCACAAGAGTGTCTATGAGTGAGTCTCAGCCAGGCTCTTCCAGAGGATAATTGACAATGTCTGAAGACATTTTTGACCATCATTATTTAGGGAGTGTTACTGGCATCTAGTGGGTAGAAGCCAGAGATGCTGCTAAACATCCTACAATGCACAGGACAGCCCCCACACCAAAGAATTATGCAGCCCAAAATGTCAGTAGTGTCAATTTTGAAAAATCTTGCAATCTTGCTGTAGATTACAATGATATCTAACAAATAAATTAATCCCATCAACAACTATATGCCACCTTTGAACAGTTAATTGAAAAAATTCCTAGAAAAACATAGTTTTAAACTGACTCAAAAAATGAAAACTTTAAATTATTCTTTAACCATTAAAAAAAGCCAAAAATCTTTCCACAACGAAATCACTAGATTCAGATAGTTTTATAGGCAAGTAGAGTTAAATTTCTAAGGCACCAATCTCCTACAAACTCTTTTAAGGAAGAGAAAGATGAAATATTACTAAATACCTCTGTGAAGAAAGCGAACTGGAGAGCAAAGCCAGACAAAGAAAAACAAGCTCAATTTCTCTCCTAATCATAAGTACAAAATATTCTAAACCAAATAAGAATTGTTTCAGTTGAACAATATGTAAAAGTTATGGTACATAACGAATAACTTGAGTATATTCCGGGGATGCGGAGATGATTTATAGAATTTATAAATGTAATTAACTACGCTAAGACATTACAGGAAAAGCCGCAGTGCCTTTTTCATAAATGCCTCCGATAAAAATAATAAAAATGAACCTAAATTCAGGATAAAACTCTCCATAAATTGCAATAATAAAAGATATCTAAACAACAATATACCCTATAGAACACATCACCCTAAATTGGAAAAAAATAGAAAATAGATGAAGATGCCATTTTCACCATTTCTATTAGCATTTTATTGGAGGACTTAGCCAAAAAATTAAAGCAAGAAACAGTAAGGAAGGTCATAAGGATTGAAAATTCTTAAAGAAACATTTATTTGCAGGCAACATTATCATTTACATAGGAAGTCCAAAAGAATCTACAGACAATTTATTAGAAATAATGGAAGAAGTTACTAAAGTGGCTATCCATTTTTATACAATAGGAATGACTCTTGAAAATCATTTTTTAAAAAAGCTTCCCTTTGAAATAATACCCCAAAAATAAAAGGCATAGAATTAAACTTAGCAAAATATTTGAAAAATATTTTGGGAAATGTATAGACTTTATTGAAAGACATTTTAAAAAACTAACTAAAGAGGTATATATGTTTATGAGAAGTAGAATTGATTTTAAAATAAATATGAAAGGAGAATGGGTCCAAAATATCTCAGACATTACTAAATAGCTAGGCTCATTTTGAAGCTATGACAATTATATCTTGGTACAGAGACAGAAAAATTGGCCAGTAGAATATAGAATTCAGAGACATACCCACACATACGTGAAACTTTGGGCATGCCAGGCCATTTGGGGAGAAAGGTTGTCCAATAAATGGAATTAGACTGGATGCGGTGGCTCATGCCTGTAATCCCAGCACTTAGGGAGGCCGAAGGGGGGGGCGGGGTGGATCACTGGAGGTCAGGAGTTCGAGACCAGGCTGGCCAACATGGTGAAACCTCATCTCTACTAAAAAAAAAAAAAAAAAAAATACAAAAATTAGCCAGGCGTGGTGGTGAGCACCTATAGTCCCAGCTACTTGGGAGGCTGAGGCAGGAGAATCGCTTGAACCCAGGAGGCAGAGGTTGCAGTGAGCCAAGATCGCGCCACAGCACTCCAGCTTGGGCGACAGAGCAAGACTCCGTCTCAAAAAATTAAAAAATGAGAAACAAATAAATGGAATTAGAATAAAGTTATCAACAGGAAAACAGATAAAATCAAGTTCTTCTTTAAACCATACTCCAAAATTAACTCCAAACATCTCAGGATTTTAGACATCAGTTTGGCTTTGCTGAAGATATGCAGAGCTTATGACCCAGAAATTTTTCTGCTAAGCATATACCTAAGAGAAACTCCAGCACATAGGTACCAGGAAATCTATACAAAGATGTTTATAGCAGCCCTGTTGCATAGTAGCAGAAACCTAGAAACAACTAAGTTCAAAGGAAAATGAATAAATAAATTCTGATATTGTGGTGCGCACATATGCTAAAATGTTGCAGTCAAAACAAATGAACTATACCTAGACACAAAGACATGGATGACTCTTTGCAATATAATTTTAAGTGAAAAAAAAGTCACAAAAGATTATGTGCATTATGCTACCTTTTCTTATAAAGTTAAAAACATCTAAAAGGTTTTGAGTGACTAGATGTAATAGAAATATATTATTTAAAAAGTGAGCAAATGATAAGCACCACATTTGAGATAGTGGTACCTTTACATAGAGGAGAGAAAGAGGGACAAGATGGGAAAGAAACATATAGGGAGATATTAGCCATTATCAATATTCTCATTTTTTAAATTTCTGGTGGTAGTTTTACAGGTGATTATCCTAGATAACTGGTTAGGAAATGGCCTTGCATGGACAATAATGAGACTGGGTCATAAATCAAGGATCATAATTAATTCAATTCTATGGATCTGAGACCCAGTTAAAAAGAAGAAACCTATGAAGGAGGCACTACCATGAAATCTTTGTTATAGGAGGGGGCCACTGAGACACAGAGATCTAGAAACATGATAATAAGTGGTGGAGCCAATGTTTTTAACCCAGGTGCTCTCATCTAAGGCCAATGCTCTTAGTCGTATGCTCCAAAAAGAAGGAAATTGCTTCTTAATTCATGGTAGTATTAATATATGGTAGAATATGTAGATACAAAAGAGAAAATTAAAGAAATACAACAGAATATGAACAGTAGCAGATATATCAGGAGCAGGCAGTATCTTTCAATTAACATAGAAAGTCCTTGTATCATAATTACTAGACTCTGGGTAAACAAAAAGGGCATCAAAGAACCTATGCAACTCACAAGAAAGAGGAGGACTGAAGATTTGAGGATTTGGAATAAAGAGTGGCACAGGAGAAATTATTGGAAACCAGAAAACGGACTGAGTGATTCAACCACTTTTGAGAACAGAGATAATAACAATGCTTAGAAAGAAAGCACTGGTGGTTAATAAACTACAACTGCAGAATATAAGTTACCTATTCTGAGTCATACATATGAACCAAATATCAGCTGGAGTTACCCTATATACCAGTATTTAACTAAATTTTTATAAAACGCTGGATTTCCCTCCCACCATATATAACAAATTCAAAAGAATTCTTGATAGACCACATTTCTCCTAGTGCCTACATTGTGAATTGCTGCACTCACAAATTCTCAAATTCACTCACCTCTTACTTCCAGGACTGTTCTCTTCTCTCTTTTCTTTGCCATCCCAGACACAGAAAACACCTTCTTTTACAATATTTCTTCCAAAACTATTTTCATAAGGTATTTTGTATGCTACTTTAACACAGTAACCAATTTAAAATTTAATATTAAACATCCCTGTTTAAAAGTCCTTTAGCTGGGCCAGGTATGGCAGCTCACACCTGTAATTCCAGCACTTTGGAAGGCCAGAGTGGGAGGATTGCTTGAGGCTTGGAAATCAAGACCAGCTTGGGCAACCTAGCAAGACCTCTTCTTTACAAAATAAAAAATTAGCCAGGTGTGGTGGTATGTGTCTGTAGTCCTAGTTACTCAGGAGGCTAAGGTGAGAGGAGTGCCTGAGCCCAGGAGTTTGAGGTTGTAGTGAGCTGTGATGGCACCACTGCACTCCAGCCTAGGTGGCAGAGTCAGACTCTGCCTGTAAGTCCTTTAGCTTTCATGCCACCAAGCATTCCTCACTGACTACCTTTCTCCATAAGTTCCAGCCAGTGACTGTGCATCCTTATTCTCTATATTTTTCTTCCCCTCCCCTCTAACTTCTTCCTTATAAACTCAACTTCATGTTAACTTCTTACAAAGCATATTTTAGCTACCTCTTCCTCCATTATTTAATAACACTGCCCAGTCTGTCAAAACATCCTATCAAGGTATTTTTTCTAAACAAACACAGTAACTTTCCTAAAGGCTTATCCTTGTGCCATCTAATACCTCTATACTGAGCAATAAATAGCGGCTACCAAGATCCCTCATTCCCCTCCTACAGCTTTCCTGGATCCTCCACTGGAAGGGCAGACCTTGCCACAATCCAGGAACTAAACAGGTAAAACGCGGCACAGCAGAGGACCTTGATCTAACCTTTTCAACATTTAAACAATATTTTCAATGTCACCCAATTATGTGTGTGTGTGTGTGTAAGCAGCCACGATAAATGTATAGATTGATGATAGATAATACAGATGGATGGATAAATGGATGGATGATGAATGGGTGGATATAGTTTGACATCTGTTTTGACATCTTAACATTCCTCGCTCCTTTCCGTTTGGAGATGTATCTTTCCTCCATTATTTACAGTCTTCCTAGATGGTGCACCCAGGAGACTAAGGAAAAATATGTGACCCAAATTAAACAAATCAGACCCTGACTTTGACTTATTAGGATTGCCAAAGTAAAAATATTGCATGGAATACACTTATAAATTACATAATATACATTTAGCATAAGTTTATACTAAAATTATTGGCTGTTTATCTGAAATTCAAATTTAACTATGTCTTGTATTTTTATTTGCTAAATCTGGCAATTCTACCCATAATTCAAGTCATAGCTGCTTGTCACAACCAGAAGCCTCCTGGAGCGCGGATACTCCTCTGCTGCTTTCTAAAGCAACTGGCCATTGGTTTTTGCCTCCAAAATTCCCTAGCACTACCCAGATTCTGTACTGCCTTGGATCTGGTTATTTTTATTTTTATTTTTATTTTTTATTTTTTATTTTTTTTGAGACAGAGTCTCACTCTGTCACCCAAGCTGGAGTACAGTGGTGCGATCTTGGCTTACTGTAACCTCCACCAACTGGGTTCAAGTGATTCTCTTGCCTCAGCCTTCTGGGTAGCTGTAATTACAGGCACGCGCCACCATGCCCGGCTAATTTTTGTATTTTTAGTAGAGACAGGATTTCACCATGTTGGCCAGGCTGGTCTCGAACTCCTGACCTCGTGATCCGCCCGCCTCAGCCTCCCAAAGTGCTGGGATTACAGGCATGAGCCACCGCGCCCAGCCTCTGCTATTCCTATAATGTGTTGAGTATCCTTTACTCCAGTGTTCTTCCAATAAATTTCTTTTTTTTTTTTTTTGGTCTGGGATATCAAGCATGGTTACCTATAGTTTGTAAGTGAAAAACTCTAGGAGAAATCTTATGGCCCAGACACAAGTTGTAGCCCCACTCTGGAAACAGCCAGGTTTTGTTTGGCCCAAAGAGAATATCTAAAACTGGATTTATTGCCACTAACATCTGAGATAGGAATATTTACACTAAAAATCCATCATTCTGGCTTCTCCAAAACCTCCAATCTGGCAATATGAGGCTGCACTCCCACATGACAACTGGCTGGATTGGAACAGTTGTTTCCCTTAGATGGAGCATACATTCATTTATTTCTATTGTCTTCCAGGCCCTGTAGGTATTGGAGTATTTGATCCATGGTATTTATAATGCCTTCATGCTCCCTGTTTTTTTGTTGTTTGCCTGATTCATTCAGTTTAACTCAATAAATCTTTTCTTAGGACTTAAAGTCTTGGTCTAATAAAAATGACACACACGTCAAAGGAAAGTTTCATAGGTAATGTGGTGAAAGAAACAATGGAGATAGCTACAGGGTAGTGTGGGAACTGGTAAGGAACATTTTGTTCAACCTGGAATCTCAGACAAGGTCCCTGAAGGATAAGGGTATAAGAATTCCTGGCAGTAGAGTAAGTTGAACAAAAGGAAAAGGCATGAAACAACAGATGGAGTATGAATAAATGCAAGTTTTATTTTTACTGTCAGACAACAATTTCTGATGCCACAGCTCCATTTATCCTCTGTTAATCTTTAACTTCCACTGACTAGACATTAGCCCTAACTACTTACTTATAGGTTTTCCCTCTACTTTAGCCTACTCCAAGATATACTTATTGGTTCTACCAGTCTTAATTTCCTATCTGTCTTTTTAGTCACCCTCCAGGGAAGTGTGAGCCTCTCTCTTAAAGAAAAACATCATGGCACCACCTCTAGACCAGTGGCTTTTCAGGGGACCAAAGCCACTGAGTGAGTCACATGCCATTAGGACTTATATCTCATTTTTCCTTGATCTACCTGACTCTGTACCTTGAAAGTCAACTGAGAGTTCTATGATTTCCCTCTAATAAGCAACAAATCTCTTTAAAAATGTCTTGCATTTGTAGCATCAAACTTCATAGATAAGTATCAATAAGGTAATATTGATATACATTTGTTCCAGTTGTTTTTCAATGCTTAGAACCACCTACGATGATACAGGTGTTCTATAGTATCAAAAGGAAGGATCTTTGTCTTCTTCACTGCTGTATCCACAGTGCTGAGAAAAGTATTTGATGCATAGTAGTGCTTAACAAATAGCCACTTAGTTTAATAAATGACACAGCATTTTTCATGAGCAAAAATAAGTAATTTTTTATACTTCCACTTGCACAACTTTTAAAAATATAACTGCAATCATATTTGTCAAGCAAATAAAATTAGTGTGACTGAACGATTTAAATATAGACCATAAGCATTCCTTCTTTTTGATATTTAAAGAAGAATTTGCTTTAAATCACAGGCTTACTTTAAAAGACAGTGCATCAGTTGCAACAAAAATTATTTCAATCTTTTTACATGATGTAGAGATCTAAGCAACTATGTTGCTCTCTTTAAGTTGTGAGATTTATCAAGTGGTAAGCTGGGAGTTGTTTTGTTGTGCTATTTTTAAGGATTTCAAGGAGAGAACCAAATAGCTGTATTAGCATTTTACTCGCTTTTTTCCCTATTACCTACCTAGTTATAACCAATCTTGTTCTAGAAAGAATTGAATGTGGCTTGCAAAGTTACATAAAATACACTTAGCATAAATAAAAGCAGAGCAAAAGGAAGAAACAAAGGAAACAAAATCCTAGTAGGAATGATGTTACAATGCACATAACAGAACTACATGATTGCTCTACACAATTTGACCCTGAGTATTCTACCAGATTCACTAGAAAATGGAAACCTGCTCAGTTACTCAAAGCACAGCATCCATAACATGGAAACAGCAATTTGTTAGGACAAGTACCATGATTATTGCACTAAAATCAGATAGGAGAATGTGTTCAATAATGTTCTTACATTTTACCTCAATATAGGCTGATGATCACTGTAGAGCACAATTTAATAAAAGCAATTCCATGAGGAGGAAATACCTCCTGGTGACTCATCTCTTCCTATTTACCTATTTGTCATAATTGGCATGAGCAGCTGAGAATTATGCAGTAGCTGGAACAGTACCTTATATAGAATATTCCTACTGACTTTTGTCTTCAGATTACCTTTCATTTTTCATCAATATATTTCTAAATATCAAGCACAGAAATAAAAAATAATTTCTTATCTTCACCAGTGCCATTCAAGAAAGAAACACCACTAGTCTTGATTTACTTTACAAGTTTTTATGTTTGCTGATGTATAAAAATAACTATAAACTTTACCACTTAAAAACTCAGAAATACTCCACTACCTCCTTTCTGTTTGTAGAAAAGTCTGTGGTGCTCAGCACTGCATTAAGTACAGCATTTAAAAATTCCTATTGTTATTTAATCGTTTATGAAAAAGATGCATAAAGATTATATTGTTTGACAAAGTCATGATGAATAAGCAAATAACAATGTTTTTAAAAGAGAAATTTTACTTTTTAATATATAACTGTTTCAACTTGTAAAAGTAAGATTAAAAAGACAATAGCTCAGTTTTTAAAGCAACCATCAGGAGGAGGGTGGAACTTTTAGATTCAAATTTAATAAGCATTTGTTGTGCAATGCTATGCACTAAGCACTACACTAAAGGTTTTCTTTCTTTCTTTCTTTCTTTCTTGAGATGTAGTCTTGCTTTTTAACTCAGGCTGGAGTGCAGTGGTGCGTTCTTAACTCACTGCAAACTTGGCCTCACGGGTTCAAGTGATTCTCATGCCTTAGCCTCTCGAGTAGGTGGGATTACAGGGGCCCAGCACCACACCTGGCTAATTTTTTTATCTTTAGTAGAGACGGGGTTTTGCCATGTTGGCCAGGCTGGTCTCAAATTCTTGGCCTCACATGATCTGCCCACCTTGGCCTCCCAGAGTGCTGGGATTATAGGCGTGTGCCACCACACCTAGCCTAAAGATATTCATACATATAAACATAGTAAGTATCCTGACAATAATCCTGCACAGAGGGCACTATCATTCCTATTTTACAGATAAGGAAGCTGAGGCTCCAATGCAGAGGTCAGCAAACTTTTTTAATAAAGGACCAGAGAGTGAATATTTTAGACTTTGTGGGTCATTTTGTCTCTGTCACAAGTGCTCAACTCTGCTGCTGTAATGGAAGAGTGGCCATAGACAATAATTGAACTCATGGTTTTGGTTGTGTTCCTATAAAGCTATATTTACAAAACAGATGGCAGGTCCTTGGGCCATAGTTTGCATATGTATTAGTCCGTTTTCACACTGCTGATAAAGGCATAACCAAGACTGGGCAATTTACAAAAGAAAGAGATTTAACTGGACTTACAGTTCTACTTGGCTGGGAAGGCCTCACAATCATGGCAGAAGGCAGAGAGGAGCAAGTCCCGTCCTACATGGAAGACAGCAGGCAAAGAAAGAATGAGGAAGATGCAAAAGTGGAATACCCTGATAAAACCATTGGATCTCTTGAGACTTATTCACTACCACGAGAACAGTGTGGGGAAAACCGCCCCCCTGATTCAATTATCTCCCACTGAGTCCCTTCCACAACCCGTGGGAATTATGGGAGTACAATTCAAGATGAGATTTGGGTGGGGACACAGAGCCAAACCATATCATTCTGCCCCGGCTCCTGACAAATCTCATGTCTTCACATTTCAAAACCAATCATGCCTTCCCAACAGTCCCCCAAAGTCTCAACTCACTTCAGCATTAACTCAAAAGTCCACAGTCTCAAGTCTCATCCAAGACAAGGCAAGTCCCTTCCGCCTATGAGCCTGTAAAATCAAAAGCAAGTTAGTTACTTCCTAGATACAATGGGGGTACAGGCATTGGATAAATACAGCCATTCCAAATGGGAGACATTGGCCAAAACAAAGGGGCTACAGGCCCCATGCAAGTCCAAAATCCAGTGACGCAGTCAAATCTTAAAGCTCCAAAATGATCTCCTTTGACTCCATGTCTCACATCCAGGTCATGCTGATGCGAGAGGTGAGTTCCCATTGTCTTGGGCAGCTCTACCCCTGTGGCTTTTCAGGGTACAGCCTCCCTCCTGGCTGCTTTCATGTGCTGGTGTTGAGTGTCTGTCGCTTTTCCAGGTGCATGGTTCAAGCTGTCAGTGGATCTACCATTCTGGGGTCTGGAGAATGGTAGCCCTCTTCTCAGAGCTCCACTAAGCAGTGCCCCAGTAAGGACTCTGTGTGGGGACTCCAACCCCACATTTTCCTTCTGCACTGCCTTAGCAGAAGTTCTCCTGGAGGGCCCAAACCCTGTAGCATACTTCTGCCTGTGCATACAGGTATTTCCATATATCTTCTGAAATCTAGGTGGAGGTTCCCAAACCTCAATTCTTGACTTCTGTGCACCTACAGGCTCAACACCACATAGACGTTGCCAAGGCTTGGGGCTTGCACCATCTGAAGTCATGGCCTGAGCCCTACATTGCCCCTTTCAGCCATGGCTGGAATGGTTGGGATGCAGGGCACCAAGTCCCTAGGCTGCACACAGCTCAAGGACCCTGGGCCCGGCCCACAAAACCACTTTTTCCTTCTAGGCCTCTGGGCCGGTGATGGGTGGGGGGGTGCCATGAAGACCTCTGACATTCCCTGAAGATATATTCCCCATTGTCTTGGGGATTAACATTTGACTCCACATTACTTATGTAAATTTTTGCAGCTGGCTTGAATTTCTCCTCAGAAAATGGGATTTTCTTTTCTATTGCACTGTCATGCTGCAAATTTTTCAGACTTTTATGCTCTGTTTCCCTTTTAAAACTGTATGCTTTTAATAGCACCCAAGTCACTTCTTGAATGCTTTGCTGCTTAGAAATTTCTTCCACCAGATACCCTAAATCACCTCTCTCAAGTTCAAAGTTCTGCAAATCTCTAGGGCAGGGGCAAAATGCTGCCAGTCTCTTTGCTAAAACATCACAAGAGTCACCTTTGCTCCAGTTCCCAACAAGTTCCTCATGTCCATCTGAGACCACCTCAGCCTGGACCTTATTGTCCATATTGCTATCAACATTTTGGGCAAAGCCACTCAACAAGTCTCTAGGAAGTTCCAAACTTTCCCACATTTTTCTATCTTCTTCTGAGCCCTCCGAACTGTTCCAGCCTCTGCCTGTTACCCAGTTCCAAAGTGGCTTCTACATTTTCGGGTATCTTTTCAGCAGTGCCCCACTCTACTGGTACCAATTTACTGTATTCATTTGTTTTCATGCTGCTGATAAAGACATACCCGAGACTGGGCAATTTACAAAAGAAAGAGGTTTAATTGGACTTACAGTTTTCCACTTGGCTGGGGAAGCCTCATAATCATGGCAGAAAGCAAGGAGGAACAAGGCATGTCTTACATAGACAGCAGCAGGCAAAGAGAAAATTAGGAAGATGCAAAAGTGGAAACCCCTGACAAAACCATCAAATCTCATGAGACTTATTAACTACCATGAGAACAGTAGGGGGAAACTGCCCCCATGATTCAATTATATCCCACTGGGTCCCTCCCACAGCATGTGGGAATTGTGGGAATACAATTCAAGATGAGATTATGAGATTTGGGTGGGGACACAGAGCCAAACCATATCAGCATACCTCTGAAAGTCATAAGTAACTTGCTCAAGATCACTCAGCTAATCATTAAGGGAATCTGGATTCAATTTTGGTTTTTTTGCTTTGAAGACCAGTGTTGTTTCTACTCTCCTAAAGCTTCTTCAGTACCTAGACACCCATTTATAAACAAGTAGTTATTTGTGAATAACTTTTCATTAGTTGTTTTCAAATGTAGCCAAAATTATATACCAGCACACTTGTTAGAAAACTGTTTTAACATATTCAAGCAATAATCTACTAGTAGTTTTATTTACCTGTTGACAAACTTAAAAATATTTTTGTTTAATTCAAAGGAAGCTTCTTTTCTTTTAACTAAACAAATAAAAAAATTAATCCATCTGTTTTCCCACTTAACAGATATCTGTAGACAAGCTTCCAAATGCTAGGCACTACACTCAGACTTGGAGCTATCAAAATGAATAAGACACTAACTACACAGGAACATTAACCAAGCCCTATTATATTATGTGCACAATCTCCTTAGTCTACACGCCTAAAAAAAAAAAAAAAATTGCTCTCAATCTTCCCTAACATATCTTGAAAGCAAGCCGGAAAGGCATGAAACTGAAAGCAATTAAACATATGCTGAGACAAATTCCAACACCATTTAAATAATACAACAAAACTCAATTCTGAAAATATAAAATTGAAACATGCCTGGTACTCAATAAAAAACTACTAGGCAGTAAAATAAATGACACATAACAAGAAAAAAAAAACCAATCAATAGAAACAGATGAACCAACAACAAGATGAAGGAATTAGCAGACAAACATATTTAAATAGTTATATTAAATATTCTCTATATGTTCAAATAAGTAGAAGAAAACATGAATATAATGAGGAAAACATGAATGTCATGAACGATACACTCAAGTAGGTAGAGGAAATCATGAATATGATGGAAGATATAACAGACCTAGAAAGAGCTGAGTTAAAAAATATTGGGTGCGATTAAGAGCAACTTAGTGCAGAAGAAAAGATCAATGAATTTGAAATACAAACTATTAAAAATAAAGCAGAGAGACAAGAAAAAAACTGAAAAAGAAACAAACACAGTGACCTATAGGACATTATCAAGTTACATCTATTATTAAAATCTCAGAAAAAGAAGAGAGAAAATTATAAATTATAAAATTATACTTCCAGGAAACAACAAATCCCGAGGTCTGTATGCATGGAATATTACATATAGAGGAATGAGGATAAGAATTACCACAGACTTCTCACCACAAACTACCTGCTATGATTTAGGTGTTTGTCCCCTCCAAACTCATGTTGAAGTTTGATCCCCAGTGGAGGTGTTTGGGTGATAAACGCAGATATCTCGTGAATAGATTTATGCCCTCCTTCAGGGGTGAGTGAGTTCTTGCTCTATTAGTTTCCTCAAGAACTGGTTGTTAAAAAGAGCCTGGCACCTATTCATATCTGCTTCCTCTCTCATGATATAATCTCTTCGCATACCTCAACTCCCTTTTGGCTTCTACCATGAGCTGAGGCAGCCTGTGGCCCTCACCAGATCTAGATGCCCAATCTTGAACTTCCCAGCCACTAGAATTGTGAGTCAAAGAAACTTCATTTTTATATAAACTACCCAGTCTCAGGTATTCTGTTATAGCAACACAAAATGCTATAAGACGCTACCCAAGATAGAAGAAAATTCAGAGACATATTTAAAGTAATGAAAGAATTAACTTTCCACCTAGAATTCTTTACCTAGCAAGAATTTATTTCAAAAATTAAGTGGAAATAAAGGCTTTTTTTAAGACATGCCAAAACGAAGAGAATTTATTGCTAGCAGACCTACAGTAAAAGAAAGTTTAAAGGAAGTTCTTTACGTATAAAGAAAATAAATGATACCAGCTTTCTCAAAGGAATGAAGAACACTGGAAATATTAAGTAGGTAGGTAAATATGAAAGACATTCTTTCCAATTTATTTAATTCCTTTAATAGATAATTGATGGTTTAAAGAAAAATAAGACCAATGTATTATAAGGTATACAGCATAGGTAGAGGTAAGATGTATGACAACAATGGCATCAAAAGCAGGTTTGCCGTTTAAAGATTCCTGCACTACATGTGAAATAGTATAATATTTTTTAAAGGTAGAGCGCCATAAGTGAAAAAAAGTATATCATAAGCCCTGAAGAAGCCACTAAAAAATTAAAACACATATAGCTAATAAGCCAGCATTAAAGGTAAAATTAAAGTAAAACAAAAACTTCAAGTAATCCAAAAGAAAACAGAGTAGAAACAAAGGGACAAATAGGGGATTATAGGAGATTGGGCAAATGAAAATTAATAACAAGATTATAGTTTAAAACTCAAACAGGCCAGGCATGGTGGCTCACACCTGTAATCCCAGCACTTTGGGAGGCTGAGGCAGATGGATCATGAGGTCAGGAGATCGAGACCATCCTGGCTAACATGGTGAAACCCTGTCTCTACTAAAAATACAAAAAATTAGCTGGGCATGGTGGCGGGCATCTCTAGTCCCAGCTACTCTGGAGGCTGAGGCAGGAGGATGGCGTGAACCCGGGAAGCGGAGCTTGCCATGAGCCAAGATCACGCCACTGCACTCCAGTCTGGAGGACAGAGTGAGACTCTGTCCCCGCCCCCCCCAAAAAAACCAAAAACCTCAAACATAACAATAAATACACAAACTGTAAATGGTCTAAACATTCCCCCCAAAAAGGCATAGACTGTCAGACTGGATTAAGAAGACCCAATGACATGTTGCCTGCAAAAAACTGACTTTAACTATAAAGAGACACATAGGTTTAAAGTACAAATGATAGAAAAAGTGATACTATACAACTCCAAGCTCCCCCAAAAAGCTGGAATGGATATATTATTTTCAAAGTGGATTTAAGAATAAGGAATATTATCAGATATACAAAGTAGATTTAAGAATAAGGAATATTATCAGATATACAGAGGCACATTTTATAACAAAGAACTCACTTATGACAACCCTAAATATTCACTAACAGTAGAGTTTCAAAACAGATAAAGCAAAAAAACTGATAAAACTAAAAAAAAGAAATGGATACATTTACCAATTATAGCTGAAGATTTCAATAGTCCTCTCTCAGCAATTGATAGAACTGGTAGAAAGAAAATCAGTAAGGTTATTGAAGACCTGAACACTATCAACCAGCTTGGCCTACTTGACATTTATAAAACATTTCACTGAACAATTGACATTTATAAAACATTTCCCTGAACAATTGAAGACCACACATTGTTTTCAAGTGTGCAGAAAACATTTGTCAAAATAGAACTCATCATGGGTTACATAACATTTTCAATAATTGTTAAAATAAAATTGAAATCCTGCAAAGTATACACTCTGAAAACAACAGAATTTAATCAGATAGCAATAACAGAAATACATCTTACAAATGTTTAACAATTTGGACATTAAACAACGCAACTCCAAATAACATGCATGTCAAAGAAGAAACCTGACATAACATTTGAATATATTTTTAATTGAATGGAAATGAAAACAACATAAAATTTGTGTGACTGCCACTAAAGCAGTACTTAGCAGAAAATTGCAAGCATTGAATGCTTATTTTATGAAATAAGAATGGTCTAAAGTCAATGACCTAAACTTCCACATTAAGAAATGGAAAAAGAAGAGCAAATTAAATCCAAATAAAGCACAAGGGAAATTAGAAAGAGTAGAAATCAATGAAATACAACATTTAAAATTTAGAGAATATCAATAAAACTGAAAGCTGACTGTTCAGATAAAATAATAAAGTGGATAAACCTCTAGCCAAAGAGATTGTGAAAAAGAAGACTAAAAAGTATCTTGACCCTTATTTTGCACATTATAAATAAGTTAACTCAAAATGTATCATACCTTTAAGGGTGGGCATAGTGGCTCACGCCTGTAATCCCAGCCCTTTGGGAGGCTGAGCGGGTGAGTCACCTGAGGTCAGGAGTTTGAGACCAGCCTGGTCAACGTGGGGAACCCCATCTCCACTAAAACATACAAAAATTAGCCGGGTGTGGTGGGGTATGTATGTAATCCCAACTACTCGGGAGACTGAGGCAGGAGAATTGCTTGAACCTGGTAGAAAGAGGTTGCAGTGAGCCGAGATCATGCCACTGCACTTTATCCTGGGTGACAAAGCATGACTCCATCTCAGAAAAAAAAAAAAAAAGGATCCTATCTTTCAATTTAAGAACCAAACTATAAAGTGTCTAGAAGAAAACATAAGAGAAGATCCGCGACCTTGGGTTATACCATTTTCCTTAGAGAGAATACAAAGAACCATAAAAAACTAATAAACTGAATTTTATCAAAATTTTAAAAACATACTTCAAAAGACATCAAGAAAGTGGAAAAGTGCATTAGGAACAAATATTTACAAAACAGATATCTGATAAAGCACTTGTTTCTAAAACATATTGTTTTCTCTTTCAACTGGAAAATAAAGACAACCCAATTTTTTTAACGACCATAAAGATTTGAATAGATACTTTACAAAAGAAGCTATAGGAATTAGCAACTGAAGGGTTCAAAAACTTTATTAGTCATTAGAAAAGTACAAGTTAAAAACACAACAAAATACCACTACATACATACTGGAATAGCTAAAACTAAAGACTGACAAAACCAAGTGTTGGTAAGGATGTGGAGCAACTAAAACTCTCATACACAGATGTTAGAAATAAAAAATAGTATAGTCATTTTAGAAAAGTTGAGCAATTTCTTATAAAGTTAAACATACACTGATACTATGACCTAGCAATTCTACTCCTAGATATTTTCCCAAAAGAAAATTAAAAATATATGAACACACAAAGTCTTATATTTGAATATTCATAACGGCTTTATTCACAAAGCCCCAAATAGAAACAACCTAAATGTCCATCAGCTGGTGAATAGATATCAACAAATTGCAGTATACTCATACAGTGGAATATTGCCCAGCAATATAAGGGAACACACTGCTGACACATAAAACACGGATGAATCTCAGAAGCATTATGCTAACTGGAAGAAGCCAAATACAAAAATATGTATATTGTATAATTCCATTTATATTAAATACTAGAAGGGCAAACCTGTAGCGTGGAAAGCAAATCCCTGGTTGCCAGAGGCTGGGAATGTATAATGTAGTCAACACTCATTGCGTGGTGCACTTAAAATGGATTAATTTTATTGTATGTAAATTATACCTCAATAAAGCTGATTTTTTAAATGTGTGCACACACGTTTACACACACATACAAATCTATACACAGCCAACCTATCTTCCATATCCTTACGAGAGTATTCATTGTAAAACCACATTACATTCTCCAATGACTCTTTGTTGTTTTAGAATTACATACAAGCCCCTTTTCCATGTTATTTACATAAGGTCCTTCATATTCAGTTTTCTGTCTTTCTAAATAGCTGTGTTCCCCACTATTACTTTAATTTTTCCTACTCCCCGTCTATATGATGCTACTTACAGTTCTCAGAACCTGCTGTGGCATTTTATGATTACGTACTTTGGGACATACTGTTACCTTTTCTTATGATGTCCTTCAAAATTCTGCCTAAACATCAATTCATTTATGAAGTCTTCCCAGCCCAGCACACCACAGTTAATCTCTTTTCTATAGTGTTTTGTAAATTAATATTTGTTTCGCTTGATTGTAGTTTTCCTTATATGTGTCTGAATCATTTTTGTGTTATTCATTTAAGTATTTTAAGTTAGACTCGCTACCACAGATAATCATTTATTAGACAGTAACATTGTTAGTTCATTTCCAGAGTCACAGCATATGGTTGTGCAAATGCAGAATCCCATTCACACTATAATCTATGTAAATGGTGCCTCTGCAGCTGTGCAGCATGTTACCTTCACGGCCATAGCTAATGGCTGCTCTGGATCATCCATTAGTTATATTTATAGAGTGTCTGCTATGTGCTAAGCTCCAGATCAGTTTCTGAGAATGCAAAGGTTGGTAGGGAACTTAGAACATACTGGGGAAAATGAACAAAGGGAAAGGTAATTACAATATATTATAATGAGGGCAAAATGGTGTGCTAACTCCAAGGAGAGACTTCTAATTCAGAGACCAGACGAGCATCGGAGATTTTCCTCTATCCTCTTTCTTCCTCACTTGCTTTTTATTCCTCTGTCACCAACTCAGTGTTCCTGTTCCACAGAGGTGATAGTGGTCAAGGCAGGAACGGCCTTGCCCCCGCTGATCCTTTTGTGAAGATGATGGGGGAACCCTTAGAGTTGTTGGCTTATTGGTTTCTTAGGTAAATTAATCTAGGAGGCAAAAAAGCCTTTTTTCTGTGACTAGTGTTAAGTCTTTCTAAACTTAAGGTCAAAGTTATTAGACTAACGAACTCATCCCATCAGGAACAAAGCTAAGAAGAAACACAAGAAGAAAATTAATGTAGAAACCACCCTCCGTCAGAGTTGTAAATCCCCTACGGGAGGAGCCATGAGTGTCTCATTCATTGCTATACCCCTCTCCCGCCCACACTCTGTACACACACTAGTGCTGGATCGTACTTGAATGTCCAAAGAATGAATGGATGATTGAATCACAGATACATGTATTAGCCAGGGAATGTGGGCATTTCACTGAATGGGAGAGAATGTTTCCAGTAGAGAGAACAACATATGTGAAAGCATACACAAAAGAAAAAATAAAAGCTAGGAAAATATGACAAGTTCTGGGAACTGCAAATAGACCACTCTGGCAAGAATTGAGAGTAAGGCGGTTAATAAATGATGGAAGCTAGAGGTATAATTCTGAGTCAGAGCTGGTCAACACAATCATTTGGCATCACAAAGTTATTGAGTAAACGGCTTCCTTTTTCATGGGGCGGGTTGGCATTCTTTAGCATGTTATAAAATTGACTTAATAAAGAATTAAGCCACCTTCCACATATAAGCATGGATTTATGGGGGTATCACAAGAAATATATCTATCATTTTGAATCTATGCAAACATAATACTTTAAAACACATAAAAATCTTAGTAACTTTTCCTAGCTGTCATGGTTGGGAAGCCTATAAAATCATCCTTTAATTTAAAAATACTGTTACTCAATCTGAAAATTAACATTTTCTTTCTTGTGCCTGCAGCAATGGTTTCTGAGAGCTTCATGTTAATTAAAAATGTCCAATTACAATAAATGCCTCTAATGAAGATGTAAAAGAACAAAAATAAAAGCAGAAGGAATGGGAACACAAAAAAAGAAAGGTTCTAAAGGGCAACCATTATTTAGCTTCTTGTAATTGCCCTTAGGAATTTACTATCTCCCTTAAGAGAAGGAAATCTGAATTATATAATTTATTAGTAATAATTGTACTTTGGGAGGATTTCCAGGTGATTCACACAAATGGAAAAACAAGCATATACAAGGCCATGCATTTTCTTTGTCTTAATACTTAAGGGTAATAATATCAAGTTTGAAGTACACTAGAAAAAAAGTTAATCCTTCCCTATTGCTCTTAGATCCCTATTGCCTTGTCCAGATACAGTTGAGAAAGACTTGCAAGAAGAGAAATTGTCAAGTGTCAACTCTTATTAATTTTAATAAGCTTATATTTTAACTGCTGAAAAATTTTTGTATTTCACAGCTTTAATTCTTAATTACTAGAACATTAAAGAAGCCATCTCTGGATTCATGTGGTATATTTCCAGTGACTATTTCCTGACCAACCCTTAAGAAGCAATTGAAAGTCTTGGGCTCTGGCTGGACTTGAAATTACACACGATTTGAATTAAAGTCTATTTGAATGAAACCTATAAGCACAACACTTTCTTTCAACATATTCACATTTGTCTAAGGATGGAAGAGCACATTCAAATTGATGGTCTGTATAAGCAGACATATTTAAATTCGGAGGCAGGGAAAACTTTAATAAATGTGTCCTTACTAATAATAATTGGTTTTTTGGTCTCTTTTGCCCATAAGGAAATCTAGAGCTGTTAGGAAACATATTGACAGGAAGTCAATGTAATAAACATATGCCTAATACTTGTTTACTATATGTTAGAGTTTTTTTTTAGTTCCGTGATATAATTATCACACTACTATAAGTTAGATAGGTTGGTAAAAATTCAAGTGTATCTAACTCCAAAGCTTCTGCTTTCTCCTCTATACCCACAAGTGCCAAGCCTATGTAAGCTTTAAAACATGCAATTAATCGTTTGGAATATGTATCAACTTTACTCCTAGTACCCAAATGTCAGTACCTTTCTTTCTTTCATAATAAAAAAGATATTTCATCATCATTGGAAAAGTCTGAAATAATCTGTCCCTATTTAAAAAGCCCATTAAAATATTCTGAACAGAAAGACCAAGAATGAATATTTCTCTTAAAGTTTATGGGTGCATAGTTGAAATATACTCTGTGTGCTACAGCTCTTATGCAAATATTCTATAAAAATAAACTGACACCTGTAGCCCTCAGTATAAGCAACCACAGAGAACATTCATCTCCATCTTGAATATCAAAAATTATAAAGAATCTTTCTAAAGGAGCATGGCTATAGTAAATTAGACATTAACTCTCTATCATATTCCAATAATGAAAACTCTACCTCAACAAAATTCCATTTAAAACAGAAAAATGATGCAGAATGAACCACAGATTTCCTCAGGAAAACTGTGTGTATAGAGGGGACAGGAATTGCTATACAGATTTGACATTTTCTTTCCTTCAAATCTCATTTAGGCATTTTAAGGAGGTAGAGGTAAAGGAAGCTAGAAGACTGCTATGGAAGGTAGGACCCTGCTTGATAAGAACACAAGGAGAAAGGGAGAACAATGCATTCAAGATACCCATTAAGAATGCATCAGTCAGTATTTCTTCCAAGATTTGACCCCTAACCTTCCTCCTCCTCCTGCTCCTTCCCTCTACCTTACTTCTTGCACAGCTGGAAGTGATTTTGTTATTAGGAAGTGTGGTAATTTTCAGTTTTTGAGTTTTTGTTTAATTTGGAAGAAGAATTTAGTTAAGAGATGTATAGTATGTGGTGTTTTGGGAAGTCTGTTTAAGCACACATGTTCTGTGGTTGCACATGCTAGCACACATGTCGTATGTCTCATTAGCATCTAAAATCTCCACCCATGGGTGTGTTTTTTACTGTTATAATGAGCAAAAGGCTACTCAAGGGCAAGCTTTTGGAGGACTGTGCATGTTCGTCAGCGGGAAAAATCCCGAGCATGGTTATCTCCAACTCGGGCCTAATAAGTCTCCTTTAAGACTTAAAAGAAAACCCAACCACAAGTAGCCAGTATAGCAAAAGCCAGTATAGCCCATTGCCTTTTTTACTGTCAGTAAACACTACTATCAGTAGACAATGTCTCCAAGATTTCTTTTCCCAGGAGACTCCCTTGCCTACTCGTGTCTGATTATCTGACCACTCTATTTCAAAGAGAGAGCCATCCATAAACAGATGTACCCCCACTTCCTGCCACACCCTTGACTGGATGCAGCATAGAAACTGAGCACATGGAATCTAGAACTATTTGGCTTAATTTGTATTAAAGCTTTGCCATAGACTTGCCTGTTTTCTCATGTATCATGTAAATGGGAATAAGAACCTTCTTCACAAAATTGTGGTGAGAATTGAATGTGAAACATTTACAGTGCCTGGGAAGAGGTAGGCTTGCAAACAATGTTAGCTAATATTTTGAAAGAGTTGTAAAGTTAATTCTCCAACTCCATATGGATATAATTATAGAATTGCATTCATCCTTTCAATTTAATTCTAAAAAAGTGGTTTTGTTCCCAGCTTCATCAGACTCCCATTAAATAATCAGGAAAAATATCCCACCTGTCTCTGAACAATACTGCAAACCTCACTGATCACTAACTTCCCTTCCCTTAAAGCTTTTCCATCCTCCTAGACTTTATGATCCTGTGTTTATAATCAGTTGAAAAGGGAGCATTTACACTTTGCCGTCTTTATTTCTTCCAGCTTTTCTTGGGAATAATAAATATTCTCATCTCCTTATTAATTCATGCTCAGTCACAACCCACCTAATAGCATGCTAATCTTTTCATGGTTTTTCTTAATATACACACATGGCTATTACAACCAACAATTGTTTTGTTTTGTTTCTTATGTCAAGTAAACAATCAGGTTTACAGAAGGTGATGCATTCATCCCAGTTTTCTGGGAATTTTCTAGGTTTAAGAACTGAGAGTCCCACATCAAGAGAACCTCTTAGATCCTACGCAAGCTGGAACAGTTGACCTTTCTCCATTATTCATATTGGACAAATTTATTCCAATTTTGTCTATAAAATATCCAAATCATTAGAATATGAAGCAAAGTGAAAATGGCATTGGACTTTTAATTCCTAATTTCTGGTTTCAAATAATGTCCTGGTTTTGCCTTTCACTCTGCGTAAGTTTAGCAGGTCAGTCAAATATTAAAGGTTTTCATTTATAAACTAAAATAGGAAATATTAGTCCTTATACAGTAGGGCTGTTGTGACTATCCAAAGTAATAATGGTCATGCAGACAAGGTGTTAATAAAGGCAAAGCTTCACGTTATCTCTGCTGATCTTAAAACTCAGTACAAATTTGCTAAATGGTGCTCCTATGAATTCATGGTGGCAACTAAAACTAAGAAGTTAAAATGAAGTATTTCACATGAAAGTTTTGTTCTTTTTCACAAATATTTCATGTCCAACCATATTGATAAGCAACTTTATTTTATATTTAGTCAATAATAAAAATTCATACCCCCTGTGGTATTCCAATATTCTCTGCCATATCTCCAATATTCCAATATTCTCTGCCATAAAAGAATATCCAATCCCTCCCTTAAGCATCTGTAGTACAGATGTCTTCTCAGTTCAAAGGTGACAAGAAGACATCATTTTAAGTGTTACGTTCACAAATGGGCATTTTCTCACATAGTTTTAAAGATATTGTTTTTCTAGAATAGCCATTTTAAATAAGTGGTACAATATGCTGGTATGCACCTCGCTTCTAAAAGCAAACCTCTGGCTGTCCCTTTATGAACTACGTGACCCTGAGTTAGTTGTGGAACTTCACTGTGCCTATATTTCTGCATCTGCAAAAGAGAAATAATAATAGCACCTACCAAATACAAGTGTTGTGAGGACCCCATGAATGGATACAGGTGAAAAGTCTAGAGCAGCACCTGGGATATGAACAGACACTTCTCAAAGGAAGACATTTATGCGGCCAATGAACATATGAAAAAAAAGCTCATCATCACTGGTCATTAGAGAAATGCAAGTCAAAACCACAATGAGATACCATCTCACGCCAGTTAAAATGGCAATCACTAAAAAGTCAGGGAACAATCGATGCTGGCGAGGCTATGGAGAAATAGGAATGCTTTTACACTGTTGGGAGTGTAAATTAGTTCAATCATTGTAGAAGAGAGTGTGGCAATTCCTCAAGATCTAGAACTAGAAATACCATTTAACCCAGCAATCCCATTACTGGGTATATACCCAGTAATTATATAGGGATTATATAAGGATTATAAATCATTCCACTATAAAGACACATGCACACGTGTGTTTACTGCAGCACCATTTACAATAGCAAAGACATGGAACCAACCCAAATGTCCATCAATGATACTGGATAAAGAAAATATGGCACATGTACACCATGGAATACTATGCAGCCATAAAACAGAATGAGTTCATGTCCTTTGCAGGGACATGGATGAAGCTGGAAGCCATCATTCTCAGCAAACTAACACAGGAACAGAAAACCAAGTACCGTATGTTCTCACTCATAAGTGGGAGTTGAACAATGAGAACACGTGGACGGGAACATCACACACCTGGGCCTGTCAGGGGGTGGGGGGCTAGGGGAGGGAGAGCATTAGGACAAATACCTTATGCATGTGAGGCTTAAAACCTAGATGACGGGTTGACAGGTACAGCAAACCACCATGCCACATGGATACCTTTGTAACAAACCTGCACATTCTGCACATGTATCCCAGAACTTAAAGTAACATTTAAAAAAAAAAAAAGGAAGTATTTTATCATTTTTCCTGCTTTGAGCCAATCACTGCTGTAGGTTCCAAGGACAAGATGTTGAATAAGATTGGTTACTGCCTTCAGACAGCGGTATCTGAGGATTATAAATGTTTTGGTGGAGGTGATCCTGGGTCACAATGTCAAGTAAGGCTTTCCTAAAAAATACTGTGCTTAGTCTCTCCATTTACCTTAGAAAAGAGGCTTACCTTTCTTTCTTTCTTTTTTTTTTTGAGACGGAGTCTCGATCTGTCTCCCAGGCTGGAGTGCAGTGGTGCTATCGGCTCACTGCAAGCTCCGCCTCCCCGGTTCACACCATTCTCCTGCCTCAGCCTCCCAAGTAGCTGGGACTACAGGCGCCCACCACCACGCCCGGCTAATTTTTTTGCATTTTTAGTAGAGACGGGTTTCACCGTGTTAGCCAGGATGGTGTCAATCTCCTGACCTCGTGATCCGCCCGTCTCAGCCTCCCAAAGTGCTGGGATTACAGGCGTGAGCCACCGCGCCCAGCCGAGGCTTACCTTTCTATGCATTTATTTCCCCATAAGTTTCATAGAATCTCCTATTGAAAACCTTAATCTCAAATTATGTCCAGGTTTCAAATATGTTTAGTCTTCAATAACTTCTCTACCAAAATAGGATGTCAGGACTTTTGATATTTCTGGTATACACCAGGGTAAAAAAAATAGATTTTGTTTATATCTCAATGCCTTATTTTCTAAATATTTTTTGTTAATAATGTGCTTCCTCAGTGCCTCAAATCAAAAGATTTTGTGTTTTCATCTTAACCTTTTCATAGATTGTTTTCTGCAAGGAAATGTTGCCAGAATAGCAATATTTGTTTCACTAGAAAGCTAAAGAATTGGTTTCCACATAATACAGTACAAATGTGAATACAATCAAGGATGTCTCACTCAGCCAACTAAGCTGAAACGTCCTCTCTAGTCACCTGAGGTCATGATGACCATCTGGTCAGACACAGCACTCCTCACCTCCACACGGCCTCTGCTGGGGCTGCCTTCTCACCCTCTATGCAGACCTCACGAATTCTTCGGCATGGCTCACCCTCATCACACAAAGGGGAGATAATCAGTGACTTGCAGCTGTTCAAGGAGAATAACTTGCAGTTATTCAAGGCGGGATGATTATTTCCAGCTGAAATGAAACCTTGTTTTACCTTGTTTAAATCTCTCATTAGAGCGCTTCACAGATTCAGCAACATACATAGGGTTTTAACCATATGGATACTCTCCTGTTCTGCCTTATGGTCATTTACACTCTTTCCTGACACATTTCAGGCTGCCTTATCTTATCTGGCTCTCCCAATAAAGTTTTTCTTTTACTCTCTCATCAATAAAGAGAAAATGCCTTTTGTTCATTTAATTTTCTCATATCGTAAAGGCCAGAATTCAACAAAAGTGATCAGTTACTGAATTCTAATTATTCCTCCTCTACAGATTTTTACCACATAATCCTCCTCCTTTTTATCCCTCTGCCACAATCCTAATAAAAACAATAACTATAGTTTTTGGAAGATCTACCCTGAGTCAGGCACTTTGCACATATTGTCTCTAAATCCTTGCTACTATCATGCAATGTAGGAGTTATTCCTTCTACTTGATTTTTCTTTATTTCACTTATAGTCTGATATGTACATGTTATATATAATACATAGATTTTTTTTTTTTGAGATGGAGTCTCACTCTTATTGCCCAAGCTGGAGTGCAGTGGTGTGATCTCAGCTCTCCGCAACCTCTGCCTTCCAGGTTCAAGCTATTCTCCTGCCTCAGCCTTCCGCGTAGCTGGGATCACAGGTGCGTGCCACCAAGCCCAGCTAATTTTTGTATTTTTGGTAGAGACAGGGTTTCGCCTTGTTGGCCAGGCTTGCCTTGAACTCCTGACCTCAGGTGATCCGCCCGCCTCAGCCTCCCAAAGTGCTAGGATTACAGGCGTCAGCCACCACGCCGGCCTGTAGATGTTTACTGAATGCCTCAACCAACTGGAATATTAGTTGAGAACTACAATGCCTCCACGGGGGCATTTGTTTTGTACATTACTGTATGCCCAATACCCAGCACAATAAATACCAGGTTGGAAAGACCAAATCTATTGCCTATCATTTAAGTTTTAGTGCATAGCACAGTGTCTTACATTTATTTATTAGCCAATAAATATTTGTTGAATTAAATAATCATGTAGGAAGGTCAAAAATGACACAGAGGACTCCTGCTTTTCCACTCTGTCTAGTTCTATTTTATTTTGGGCATTTTATCCCTAATTGGCATAACTTACATTTATTTATTCCTCCTCAATTTCAAACTATTTTGGAAGGGTGCATTGTATCAGTTAGGATGCAATCAGAAAAGCAGAACAACTAGAGCAACCTATAATGTGAAAGAACTTGTCTCAGGGATTTGACCTTCTGCAATTGTGAGAGCTGGCAAAGTGGTTTCTGTAAGATTATATTCTTTGTACTTAGTGACAGTATGAAGTCCACTCAAGCATTAGTCAGGAAAAAAAGGTAAAGTGGGTGTGTTAGGTTATTCTTGCATTGCTATAAAGAAACACCTGAGACCGGGTAATTTATAAGAAAAGAAGCTTAATTGGCTCATGGTTCTGCAGGCTGTACAGAAAGCATAGTGGCATCAGCTTCTGGGGAGACCTCATGAAGCTTCCAATTATGGCAGAAGATAAAGGGGGAGCTGGCTGGGCGTGGTGGCTCACACCTGTAATCCCAGCACTTTGGGAGGCTGAGGCAGGCAGATCACGAGGTCAAGAGATCAAGACCATCCTGGCCAACATGGTGAAACCTCGTCTCTACTAAAAATACAAAAAATTAGCTGGGCATGGACCTATAGTTCCAGCTACTTGGGAGGCTGAGTCAGGAGAATGGCTTGAACCCAGGAGGCGGGGGTTGCAGTGGGCCGAGATAATGTCACTGCACTCCAGCCTGATGACAGAGTGAGACTCTGTCTCAAACAACAACAACAACAAAAACTGACAAAGGGGAAGCAAGAACAACATCACATAGTGAGAATGGGAGCAAGATAGAGAGAATAAGGCAGGGAGGTGTCATACACTTTTAAAGGACCAGATCTCAGATCTTGTGAGAACTCACTATTGCGAAGACAGCACCAAGCCAGAAGGGATCCATCCCCATGACCTAAACACCAGGCCCCACTGCCTGCATTGAGGATTACAATTCAACATGAGATTTGGGTGGGGACAAGTATTCAAACTATGTCAATCAGTCAGGGAAAGCAAGAAAAAGCTAGAATCCCTATATAAGGGCTGGAGTCCACAAAGACAGACTGAAGTCTATGTCAGTTCCTGTTGCCTCTGACCTTGATGATGTGGGTGTCTACAGAAATCCCAGCCTTTCAGCATGGCATTAAGCACACACATGCGGCCCAGGATTCCAAGAAGCTGAAGGAGGATCCAGAGGAAGGTGGAGTAGTTGCAGGCCTGGCTGCTGCCTCACACTAACGAGATGACCCCACGATATGCAACAACATTGTGTAAGCTACAAAATCCCCAAGGCTTTGCTTCTGCTTTCCAAATATTCTAAGAGATCTTTCTCATGGCCCACTGTCTCTGTAAACACACAGGCAAGGGAATTCTGAGAACTGCCATTCAGCCTAGGCCAGTTGACCTTTTTCAAAGCTGTCCCCCACATCTTCCAGTTGGTCATGACAACTTTGTGTTACATTCTTTTTTGTCAGTTATTAAAAACTCACCCTAATTTAGACCAGAAACTTGAAGAACAATGTTGTATTCTTTTAGAAGTCTTAATGAAGAAATTCTTATTAACATCTTAACTATACCATACCATTAAACATTTGATTGAATATTCACTTAAATTAACTGCTCTGTTGGTTAGAACTGAGTTTGTCCGTAAATAGCATTAAGCCAAAAAGATGAAAAAAGAAAGAAAAACAGTTTAATAGCCTTAAACAAAATAGAAATATATTTGTTTCTCACACAAAAGAAATGAAGAAATCGGAAGGCTAGGATAGGTCTGCATATGAACATCAGGGACTTAGGTTTTTTCTATGAAGATAAGCCTTAGCATCTTAAGAGTTACTTCATGCTCCATGATAGCTGCTAGATTTCCGGCCATCACACCTGCTCCCCAGGGAGAGAAAAAAATCCGAAGAGCTCACTTCTTAGCTTACTGCTTCCTTTAAGCCCTTCTGGAAGTCCCAAAGAGCAACTTCTATTTACATCTCAGAGCTTAAAGAGAAGCTGGGAATTATAGCCTAGAGGCATGCCTATTGCTTAAGGGAAAAGGAATACTGGGAGGCAGATAGGAACATTTACCAGGAATAAAGACTGTCTATACAAATCATACTTACCAAGATGAAAGATTGCTTTCTTTCCTAGAGATGAAAATGTTATCAAATATAATGATGAGCTTTACACCAGTTAATTTTGTGACAGGTGGCTTCATTTAACATTGTCGATAGTTTTGAAGCTCTGCACTTACAATGGGAAGGTTATAAAACCCTCAAACTTTTAAGCTGAAGCAGTGGCAGTGGAAATAAAAGATACCCAAATTTTGCAGTCGAAGGCATAAAATTACTGTAAAAGTTGTGCAGAGTGTTATAAAAGCTCGGTGGGACTCTGGATGCTGGTTATCTGAGAGTACCAACCACATGAGCTAGAGATTCATTCAAAGAGGAGTTTCAATAGGGCCAAGGCTGGCACATTGCAATCCACAAGAAACAACCATAATTTGAACCAGATTGTGAAGAGTGCAGAGGCCAATCAAACAGGGGTTCATTCATTTATCCGAGGGCATTTCTGCAATTACGAGAAGGAAAGATCTCTAAGAAAAGAAACTTGACAGGAATCCTGGGGACCTACAGAAATAGAGGGAGCTATGTAGAATTTACTTTGACCACAGAGTTAGTATCTGTTTTATGTCACAGCATGTGAGACTGAACTACCCACTATTCGTCTGTGGGTGTTAAAGATAATTATTCATTCTACCATCACAACATTTTCCTAGAAGCATAATCTTAATGAAACCAATGCAGTGCTCCACCTTTGCTTTTACTTCCTTCCTTCTTCAGCATTAAAAAAAGAAAATTAGTTGGTTGACATTAGCTTGTCACTTAGCCATGTTGATTACTATATACAGAAAGTGACCACAACGTAATGGGGCTAACGTCTTACAAATGTAGTGGCATTTATGCACCCCAGTGAACACTACAAAATAGCTATGAGGGAAGAAGACACAGCTAAGGTGGTTACCATGGTTCAAAACATTTGGGAGTTCATCTTTTAGAATTTTTTGGCACTCACATGTGTGCTTGCTTTTTTCCATCATGCTTGGTCAATGAGAAATCAATGGCTCAAGGAGTTGGAGGGATTTCAGAACGAGTCTCTTCTATACTGTAGGCATCCTGGAGGCCCCAAGCATCAAGACCAAGAGTAGAAGCTCCAAGGACAAAGCATGCATGTTCAAATCCCAGCTCTGCTCCACACTAAGTGGGCAATGCTGGGTGAATTTCTTACCATCTGCTTGTCTCAGTTTCCTCTTCTGCAAAATGAGATACTAAGAATAGCTCTACAGCATAGGGTCTGAAGTAGGTCTTAGGTTTCAGGTAGGTTTTAAGTTTTTTTAGCTATCAGGTTAAGATCCCTGGGAGTGACCAGAAGAGAAGTATGGTATTGATGAACAAATACATACAAATGTTAAACTTCTAATTTTTTTCTCACAGAATATTCTTAAGCAATTAAGTCTGAACAGCCAAGTACGTGCTGTTAAAAAAAGGGGAGCACCTTTACAATTCATGTCTTAAATATTTTAAAAATCGTAAGTTCCCAGTAATGTAAATAAAGAGCAGAACAGGGCATTTCTAAACTCACACTGCTGCTTTGAAGACAAATTAAAAATAAATGAACTATTAAAGGGCAGGCTCTTGTTCCTCTTTTCTTTCCTTCAAGACTGCGCAATCCAAGCTCTATGCTCTGGAATGATTTTACTGCCTTTCTTCAATAATTCAATGTACATGGAGCTGTGTCGGCCTGATAAGTCAAATTTAGTTTGAGGGAACAAATTAGAAAAATAGAATCAGTTATTGGATAGTTTTAAAGACCTTTAACTCGTTTGATTACAGGCTTTACTAAATTTATTAAATCCATCTTTATTCTCTATTAAGAACTGAATGATTATCCCCAAACTGCCACGTACAAATAGGCCTGCCATCTGCTTTAGCTATGATAAGCCCTGGTTTAGATAGATCCCTCGGTTCCATGACTCACTCAAGAGTTCAGGACAGAAGACTGAGTAAGCCTGCCTGCCAGCATTGCGTGGGTTTTGCCATGAAACTCTTCATGAGCTTTAGAAATGTTAATTTGCATTTGAGGTTTTGCAGGAATACGTGAATGCACTTTTTCGGGGGTGGCTATAAAAACAACAGTTTAGACCAAAAGTGTTTTTTTGTTTGTTTGAATTCCTAGGTAGACCTCGATTTGAAAAAAATGCCATGTGGACTCTTGATGATCTATGTAGGCACTTTACAACTCATGGCCATGGGTAGCGTGTTCTGGTAGCTGACCTTGGCCATTGCCATTTCCTTCATTCTTCAAAAAGATACATTTGCTTTCAGGCAACATATTCTTGCCTAAACAACAAGAATAGTTATTGTTATGAATATATCTTTCTGGTTATGAACATTGTACAAGCATTACCTGAAAGTGAGCTTGAAGCAGGCAGAGGAGAAATCTTTATTAATGCATAAAACAGGATTCTTTCAAATCTGAGATGAAAGACTGTTGGGAAGTATATATTTGCAATGGATTTCAACTATCACTTTTTTTCTTATTATTTGCTCTTTTTTTTCAATTTCAAAGTGTTAATCTGATGCTTTGAGAAAGGTTTCCTTTAAAAAATATTTTCAGATGTTCATGATTAACTCACTGTAGGCAGTTCAAAAGAAAATCTCTAGTACTCTTTTAAGGTCTAGAAAATAGGAAGAACATGTTTGTGTCTGGCACGATATTATATTTTGACCTTCAGAACACCAGCAGGGATGTTGCTAAGAGGCAATGCAGCAGACTTATATGAGTGTTAGATGAGAATATAAAAAGATAAACGTTTGATCATTGTTTCCCAAAATGCATTCTACTGGACAAAGGCACAGAATAATACACACACACACACAGAGAGAGAGAAAGAGAGAGAGAGAACAGAAAAAAAGGTGGGGGGGAGAGAAAGAGGGAATACCATGATCAAATAAACTTGGGAAATGCTCATACTCTATCCCTGCCAAAAGACACCCAATACACTTTACTATTTTAAAAGAGTATGAAGTGCTCTGCAGTAAATAAATCTGTAATCCATAATTTCTCCAAGTATTTAAACCACAAAATCCTTATCACTTGAGATTAGCAGGACTTGTGTTTTGATTTTTTTTTTTTTAAGGCAGAGTCTCACTCTGTCAGCCAGGCTGGAGTGCAGTGGGGCAATCACAGTTCACTACAGCCTCAATCTCCCGGGCATAAGCAATTCTTCCACCTCAGCCTCCTGAGTAGCTAGGACTACAGATGCATGCCACCATGCCCAGCTAATTTTTTTATTTTTTATAGAGACAGGGTCTCACTATGTTGCCCAGGATGGTCTCAAACTCCTGGGCTCAAGCCATCTTCCAGTCTCGACCTCCCAAAGTGTTGGGATTACAGGCGTGAGCCACTGCATCCAGCCAGGACTTTGTGTTTTTGATAAAACACTTTGGGAAATATTCTCTTAATAATCACCAGTTGATTCTTTTATAAAGGATTAGAATATGCAATAATTATATATATAGTGGGCTTTTTAAAAGTGGATTTTAATTTTTAAAGTGATTTTAGGTTCACAGCAAAACTGTGAGGCCAGTACAGAAATATTCCGCATACATCTTGCACCGTCACATGCACATCCTCCTCTGTTATCAACATCCTCCCTCCCCAGAGTGGAACATTTGTTACAATTGATAAACCTACACTGACACATCATTATTATGCAGAGTCCATAGTTTTACATTAGGATTTACTCTTGGTGATACGCATTCTATGAATTTGCATAAATGTATAATGACATGTATCCACCACTGTAGTAGCATATAGAATAGTTTCACTGCCCTAAAAATTGTCTGTGCTCCATCTATTTACCCCTCCCACCTCCCAAACTCTGGGAATCGCTGATCTTTCTACTGTCTAGGTTTGCCTTTTCCAGAATGTCATACAGTTGGAATCATATAGTATATAACCTTTTCAGATTGGCTTCTTTCACTTAGTAATATGCATTTAAGTTTCCTTTATGGCTTTTTATAGCTTAGTAGCTCATTTATTTTCAGCACAGACTAATATTCTATTGTCTGAATGTACCACCATTTATTTATTCATTCACCTACTGAAAGAAATCTTGGTTGCTTCCAAATTTTGACGATTATAAATAAAGCTACTATAAATACCTGCATGCAAATTTTGGGGAACGTAAGTTTTTAATTCCTTTGGGTAAATACCAAGTAGCATGATTTCTGGATCGTATGGTACGAGGATGTTTAGTTTTATAAGAAACTGTCAAACTGTTTTTCAAAGTAGCTATATCATTTTACATTCCCACCCACAATGAATAAGAGTTTCTGTTGTGCCACACCCTCATGAGCATTTGGTGTTGTCAGTGTTCTGGAATCCGGACATTCTAACAGGTAGGTAGTGGCATCTCACTGTTGTTTTCATTTGCATTTCCCTGATGATGTATGATGTGGAGCATCTTTACATATGCTTATTTACCATCTATATATCTTTTGTTGGTGAGGTGTCCGTTCAGGTCTTTTTTGGAGCCCATTTTTTATTGGGTTGTTTGTGTTCTTATTGTTTAGTTTTAAGAATTCTTTGTATATTATGGACAATTTTTTTGTTGTTATTTTTTTGATTTTTTTAAATTTTATTTTTATTATACTTTAAGTTCTAGGGTACATGTGCACAACGTACAGGTTTGTTACATATGTATACATATGCCATGTTGGTGTGCTGCACCCATTAACTCGTCATTTACATTAGGTATATCTCCTAATGCTATCCCTCCCCTTTCCCCCTACCCCACGACAGGCCCCGGTGTGTGATGTTCCCCTTCCTGTGTCCAAGTGATCTCATTGTTCAGTTCCCACCTATAAGTGAGAACATGCAGTGTTTGGTTTTTTGTCCTTGCGATAGTTTGCTAAGACTGATGGTTTCCAGCTTCATCCATATCCCTACAAAGGACATGAACTCATCCTTTTTTATGGCTGCATAGTATTCCATGGTGTATATGTGCCACATTTTCTTAATCCAGTCTATCATCGTTGGACATTTGGGTTGGTTCCAAGTCTTTGCTATTGTGAATAGTGCCGCAATAAACATACGTGTGCATGTGTCTTTATAGCAGCATGATTTATAATCCTTTGGGCATATACCCAGTAATGGGGACATTTTTTTTTTTTTTGAGACAGAGTCTCGCTCTGTCACTCAGGCTAGAGTGCGGTGGTGCAATCTCAGCTCACTGCAGCCTCTGCCTCCTGAGTTCAAGCAATTCTCATGCCTTAGCCTCCCGAATAGCTGGCATTACAGGCGCGTGCCACCATGAATGGCTAATTTTTGTATTTTTAGTAGAGACGGGGTTTCGCCACATTGGCCAGGCTGGTCTTGAACTCCTGACCTCAGGTGATCCGCCCGCCTTGGCCTCCCAAAGTGCTGGGATTACAAGTGTGAGCCACTGCTCCCAGCCTATTATGGACTATATTCTTTTATCAGGTATGTCTTTTGCAAATATTTTCTCCCTGTCTGTGGCTTGTCTTTTCATACTCCTGACAGTGACTCTTGCAGCACAGAAACTTTCAATTTTAATGAAGCTCAGGTTATCAACTCTTTCATGGATTGTGCCTTTGATGCTGCAACTAAAACGTCATCACGAAATCTAAGGTCATCTAGATTTTCTCCTATGTCTATCTTCTAGATTTTATACATTTGCATTGTACATCTGTGTTCCATTTTGAGTTAATTTTTGTGAAGGGTGTAAAGTTTGTGTCTACATTAATTTTTTTCACCTTCAATTATCTCCATAGGTTTATAACAGTAGAATGTTTAAGTTTTGTCTTTAGACGCCAAGAGACAAGGCTTTATTTTTGTTACCTTCAACTAAGCACTGTCTGTACACACCTCTGTCATCACAATGATCGCACTCTGGCTTAATGATCTCATTTACCAGTTTGTAAGTGGACAATGACAGCAGTTGTCCCCTGAAACCCAGAACTTACTACAGGGCCTTGGCACATTACAAACATAATAATGGCTAACACTTACTGAACAGTTACTATGTGTCAGCCCTTGATGTAAATGCTTTAAATTTATTAGCACATTTTCGCCTCACACCAACACCATTAGGTATGTTCTTATTATCCTCATATTACAGATGAGAAGCCTTGAGTTTCGGGCAGGTTGAGCAACTTGCCCAAGGTCACACAGCTAGTAAATAAAAAGGGCCAATGCCTGAGCATTATGAGACCCACGAAGTCAAGGCTAAATGAATAAATGAATGAAAAGAGATAACATTTACTAAATTCTTACTCTGTGCTAGGCATAATTCTAGGAGTGTTATGTCTGTTATCATTTTTATTCTTCACAATATTTGTATGAGGTGGGTGCAATTATTACCCTCTTATTTCTTTCAGAGGAGGAAACTGAGCAAAGAGAGTTTAAATTTACCCCAAATCACAAAACTAGTAAGTGATGGGGCCAGGATTAGAATTGACTCCCAAAGTCTTGTTTTTATGTGTTGAATGAATAAATAATTAAGCATTAAAAAATGAATTATAATACAACTTAGTATGGAATCACACATCTAAAAAAGTTTTCATAGGAATCACAGCCCTACGAAAATAACTAATCTCAGAAAATGTCTGACACAACTTTCAAGCAGCAATAAAAAGTATGGTTAGTGGTCTCCACTATGAAATTCTCCAAATAGATGTATGTGTAGTCTACACTGGAGAAAATATTTTGGTGAAGCCTTTCTTTTTGTGACTGATATCTCTAAAGAAAAAATCCATTTGATTTGGCCCCTCTTGGGAAAACAGATTTGAAAGATTTTTAAATCAATCATGTACAAAAAAGAAAGTAAATCATCATAGAAAAAACCCTAGATAATTTTCAAATTTCTTCACAAATAGAACATTCCTATTCTATATTCTCCACACTTCCCTCTTTAAAAATATTCCTCAGCTCCAAACTTTCCTGAAGGAGCAGGAGCCAGAAATAAATGGAAAAAACTTTGTATTTTCATCGACAGCACTGAGAGGGCAGTTCTCTGCTACCCAACGGCTGCATAATGTTCAGCAAAATTTTGCCTGTCTGGATTTATGAAGTATAAAAAATGGCCATCATTAGATCTGAAAATGATGAGACTAGTCCTGAAATCACCGTGTCAACATTTAGAAACTGCAGTGGAAAGAAAATAAAAATAATTAAATTTTTTGTGGCAGAAGGTGTCGGCACACAGAGCACAAGCAGCCATTTCCACAGGGAAGCATTCGTCTTAAGTGTGCCATAGATGGTGGCCAGGAGCAGGCAGTCGGGGCAGATGTGTGAAAGAAAGCTTGCATTACTTTGGTGTCTGCAGAAGAAAGGATGGTTATATCCTCACTCTAAGTTACATTGGCTCTTTCCATGAATATCAAATCTTGCTACCGCAGTTAGTCTGAGAATGACCAAGCATCTTCTACAGTGAACAGAGGCACTCTGTGGATAATAATTACGCCTATTAGTGAGCACACCATGTTAAGAACAATTCTGTTTAACTGATATATATTCTCTTATTTAATCTCAAAAAACTCTGAGTAGGTACTATTACCAACTTCATTGTATACATGAGGAAACCAAGACACGGACAAATTAATTGTCCACAGTAAAATAAAACAGGTAGAAAAGAAAAGTCTGGGATTAAAAGAGAGACAATCTGACTCCAGATACCATAGATACCACCCCTCCCTTTTTTTTTCTTTTCTTTTTTTTTTTTTTTTTTTTTAGACGGGGTCTTTCTCTGTTGTCAAGGCTAGAGAGCAGTTAAACAATCATAGCTCACTGCTGCCTCAATCTCCTAGGCTCAAGCAATCCTCTTGCCTCAGTCTCCTTAGTAGCTGGTGTGTCTGGAATTGGTGGGTTCTTGGTCTCGCTGACTTCAACAATGAAGCCACAGACCCTTGTGTTGAGTGTTACAGTTCTTAAAGATGGTGTGTCCGGAGTTTGTGCCTTCAGATGTTCAGATGTGTCCAGAGTTTCTTCCTTCTGGTGGGTTCGCGGTCTCGCTGGCTTCAGGAGTGAAGCCGCAGATCTTCATGGTGAGTGTTACAGCTCTTAAAGGCAGCGCATCTGGAATTGTTGGTTCCTCCTATCCAGACTTGTTCATCCCTCCCGGTGGGTTCGTGGTTTCGCTGGCTTCAGGAATGAAGCTGCAGACCGTCGCGGTAAGTGTTACAGCTCATAAAGGCAGCGCGGACCCAAACAGTGAGCAGCAGCAAGATTTAGTGCGAAGAGCAAAAGAACAAAGCTTCCACACTGTGGAAAGTGACCCAAGCGAGTTGCCACTGCTGGCTCAGGCAGCCTGCTTTTATTCCGTTATCTGACCCTACCCACATCCTGCTGATTGGTCCATTTTACAGAGAGTTGATTGGCCCATTTTGACAGGATACTGATTGGTACGTCTACAAACCTTGAGCTAGACACAGAGTGCTGACTGGTGCATTTACAATCCTTTAGCTAGACACAAAAATTCTCCAAGTCCCCACCAGATTAGCTAGACATAGAGCATGGGATTGGTGCGTTTACAAACCTTTAGCTAGACACAGAGTGCTGATTGGTGCATTTACAAACCTCTAGATAGACACAGAGTGCTGATTGGTGTGTTTACAATCCTTTAGGTAGACAAAAAAGTTCTCCAAGGCCCCCACCCGACCCAGAAGCCCAGCTGGCTTCACCTCTCAATGGTAGTGGCCGCGGGACTTTGCAGCCCTAGCCTGGGCACTCTGGCAGCCCAGAGGGAGCTCGTCCCCCGATCAAGCCCAGCAGGCGCCCAGCAGGGCGCGCTGAGTGTGGGGCCCACCGAGCCCGCGCCCACCGGGAACCTGCACCGGCCCGCCGGGAACCTGCACCGGCCCGCGAGCGCTGGGTGCTCAGCCCGGGCTCCCGCCCACGCCTCTCCTTCCACACCTCCCTGCCAGCAGAGGGAGCCAGCTCCAGCCCAGGCCAGCCCCAGAGAGGGGCCCCCACAGCACGGCGGCGGGCTGAAGGGCTCCTCCAGCGAGGCCAGAGCAGACGCCCAGGCCGAGGAGGCCCCGGGAGCGAGGGAGGGCTGCTAGCACGTTGTCACCTCTCACTGGGATTACAGACGTATGCCACTACATCTGGCTAATTTTTTTAATGTTTTGTAAATACGGGGTCTTGAAATGTTTCCCAGGTTGGTCTCAAACTCCTGACCTCAAACAGTCCTTCTGCCTCAGCCTCCCAACTTGCTGAGATTAAAAGTGTGAACCACCACGCCCAGCTGAAATCCACCCTTTTAACATTCTATGCTAGAGGAGTGCAAACAGCAACAGGCTGACCAAATCAGTCCACTGCCTCTTATTCCAGTGGCCCATGAACTAAAAATAGTTTTTACACTACTGGTTAGGGGGGAAAAAAAAGAATATTTTGTGACACATGAAAATCATATAAGTTTCACATTTCATTGTTAATACGTAAAGTTTCATTGGAACACACTGTCTATGAATGCTTCTGTGCTACAGTGGCAGAACCGAGTAGTTAAAACAGGTGAAGGGCCTGCAAAACCAACAATATTTCTTCTCTGGCTCATTACAGGAAAAGTTTTCTGATGCCTTGTTTGTGCAATACTGAGCAGGGGGCTGAGAAGGGTATTTCAAATATGCAGTACCCGACTGATGATCTGTCCTTCCACTGCTGTCCGGGTGAACCTTCCATTCCACCTACTTCCATCGATCTCATTTTCATCTTTGCTCTTGTGTGAGAATGTGGCACAACAAATTTCTGACCCACCACTGATAAGTTAGCTTATTTTGTCTTGAAACATATGGAGAGAAATACAACTATGATACACCAGCAAAGATGAATGAGGACATTCTATGCAAAATTGAATTAGAAAGCCAAGTTTCCCAAGTACAGTTATTGTGACTTGAAAAAATATTCGGGCCATTGTTCAAGGTGGAAAGGGGGCATAAACATCCAAAATTTTTCCTAATTAGATTTCTCTCATCAAAGAATAAAAGGTTAAGCTCTTGCCCAGAGAAGGCAGTCTCTTTAGCTGATCCAGTCACTAAACTACCTTTACTGTAGCTCAGCAATTCTCATCTGAGAATAAGAAAATGCAAGTGAGTCACTCTTGCTGAAGACACCTGTGTGCATAAAACAGCAATCAACAAGGAAAAGGAAAAGGTAATTGGGAAAGTAGTGCTTCAGCTTCCCAGATGGCTGTATTTTAAATATTTTAATAAATAAATTAAGTCCATGTTTAATTTAAACATGAGTTTGATCAAAAATTCAGCTGAATACTTCATGCCTGGCTTTTATCTCCCAGAAATCGCTATAGCAACAGCACAGGAGCCTGACTCAGCATTTCCTTAACCACAGTTAAGTGGGTAACCAATCAAAGATGTGAACTCGATGAAAAGACCATAAAATATACATCATTAAACTGGTAAAGCTCTGGTTTTCTCTTGAATTAATATGCATTCCATAAGAACAGGAAGCCAGTGGGTAAATATGATTATCTCCAAAGAGGAACTATTACCCTGTGCTCTCAAGGGGACTCATCTGAATATGTACAGTGGATTGAAAGGTCTACAAGAGCTTGATTCTTTGACATCATGTGGGTTTTTCTCTCTGTTCCTTTATGCAGCTCTTAACCTCCACAGACTCTCTACTAGCTAGCGGCATTAAGTCTTTAATACAAAAGGTTTTTCCATGATGGAGTAAAGCAGCAAAGGAAAAGTCAAATAGAGCAGCCTTGTAGGCTGCCAGTAATGTAGGTAGTGCAGTTTTACACAGGTGATGACATCCCAGGGGCAAAACCGGAGGGTATAACTTCACATTCTTGATCCAGAATATAGCTAAGTCTATCAGGAGAAGAAACTGGCTTCCCTTATGGTTCCTTCAAAATAATTAAACAGGAGATATGGTATAGCATGACTGTGAACTATCTGCACCTTTGATGGCTTTTTCCTATGGTTCTCAAGAAGAGTCTAAGATGCCTTCAAAATCAAACATTTAAAAATCGAACAACTTCATTTTATAGATGAGGAAACTGAGGCTGTAAGAATTGAAGTACATGTCCAGGTTCATCCAGCTGATTTATGGGAGAGTGATGTTTTTATGGAGGCTCCAAGTATTTCATTTCCATTATATTTACCACCCTGCCTCCCTGCTCTTCCAAGCATGGAGCCAATTGTTTCAAAAGATGATGCTGGAACACTATACATTCTACTGAACTCTGGGTTGCCAAAAGCTAGCATTGCTTGTTGAAACACATTGTTAAAAACATGTGTCTAGAATGGGAGAAGACATTCTCATGGCTGGTTCTGTCTTGGAGAGGTGGTGAACACTCAGTGTAATATGATCGAGACAAGTGAGGCAAGTTTAAAGTTGCTGCCTATGGCATCACCCTTGAAAGGCAGTGAATCAATCAGTAGAAAGTGTTTTGATCTTTGAAGTACACTAACACTTTAGGTAAGCTAATTCAGAAGAATCTATTAGGAAAAGGCATAATATGGTAGACATTTTCTTTTCAACTACAATAGTATTCCATTATACATACTCAATAGATTCTAGGAGAAAACAGTTGTTTTGGCAGGGTTCAGCATTTCTTCAGTTATTAGGGATGTTGTAGAAAAATAGGGAATGTTTATTTGCAAGGTCACTCTCATTACTAGGAAATATGGTAGTTGGGGCTAAGTTGGAACAAATCCACAGTTGCATAAACATGCCCTGCCCTCCCACTCCTTCACTTTATTGCACACATTCCTTCCACGGCCTGAAAAAAATTCTTACTTTTCTTTCTACTTTCAATATTCAAGTCAAGGACTGGCTTTTCCAGGAGCTTTTTTGATCTCCCAAACCAAGTTGGTGGCTACTCATGTACAACTGAAGACCTCGCTGCTTTTCTTCATATTTCTATCACTGAACTTACAAGGTTATATTGTGACTCATATTTTGTGTTTGCTTCTGTCTTCCATTAGACTATAAACTATTTGAGACCAAAGGACTCAATTTTATTTACCATTGCTCCCCATAATACTTAGAATGTGTAGGTGCGGCTGGGCACAGTGGCTCACACCTGTAATCCCAGCTCTTTGGGTGGCCAAGGCGGGCAGATCACGAGGTCAGGAGATCGAGACCATCCTGGCTAACACGGTGAAACCCCATCTCTACTGAAAATATAAAAAATTAGCTGGGTGTGGTGGCATGTGCCTATGGTCCCAGCTACTCAGGAGGCTGAGGCAGAAGAATCGCTTGAACCTGGAAGGCGGAGGTTGCAGTGAGCCGAGATCGCGCCCCTGCACTCCAGCCTGGGCAACAGGGTGAGACTCCATCTCAAACAACAACAACAAAAGAATACGCAGGTGCACAGTAAATGTTCATTTTTTAAAATAATATTTTGTGAATGATACTAATTTTTTTATGGTGGGCACATTCCAGCAGTTCACCAATCTCCTTCCTAAAGGCATGCCCTTGAAGACTTTGATATTTTATTCTTTCACATACATTGACATTATTCTTTCATTCTTAAATGAACTAAATCATTTTGCTAAAATTCAGAAGTAGCCTGAATGCTGAAGCTGGCTGTGATTGCCCAGCAGGTTGAAGGTCTCCAAAAGTAGTGCACTTTGCTGGGGATGCTGGGGTGGTGAGAGTTGCACATGTGTTCTTCATCATAGTGGTTTTCAAGCTCTTTTGACCCAGATCCACAGTGAGATATACATATTACATTATAACTATGTATTTCATAGCTTTAGAGCCAGGCTTCTGGGTTTGTGCCCTGGATCTAGAATTTACCAATTCTCTGTCCTTGGGAAATTGTTTAATCCCTTGGTTTACTCATTTGCAAGTTTGGGTTGGTAATGAGACCTATCTCTTAGAATTGTTATGAGTATTCACTGAGTTACTATATATAAAGTTCTGACAACAATGTTGGGCACTACCTCAGTGTCAATCATTATATTATTCCTTATTTGCATAAGTGAAACTAGAAGTTTATAAAATAATACCCGTATTATCTGAAATCTAAAAAAAAAAGCATTTGTCATAAAACTTTAAATTGATTTTACAACCCAACATTGAGTCTCAACCTTCAATTTGAAAATAACAATGCTTATCAATTTCTTATCAAATTTCCAATTTGAAATTAATAATGCTTATCCTTCTCTTTTAGTATATTCATTTTGCTAGAGTTTGGTAAAAACTCATTTTGCTACAGAATGGGCATAGAGACTATAAAATTTCAGTGAGAAAGAGACAATAAGAGTGGGTGCTTTCATCTCCCTGACTTATTTCAAGGATTTGATGAGCAAAAAAGGAGTTATGGAGCTGGGTGCAATGGCTCATGCCTGTAATCCCAGTACTTTGGGAGGTTTAGGTGGGGGGATCGCTTAAAGCCAATAGTTTGAAACTAGCCTGGCTATATAGTGAGACCTTGTCTCTACACAAAGTAAAAAATTAGCTGGGCCTGGTGGCGCATGCCTGTAGTCCAAGTTACTCAGGAAGCTGAGGTGGGAAGATCACTTGAGCCCAGGAGTTTAAGGCTGCAGTGAGCTATGATCACACCACTACATTCCAGCCTGGGCAACAGAGTGAGATCTTGTTTCAAAAAAAAAAAAAAAAAGTTACCCTATTCATTCCCTTCATCATTGAATAGATTTGAATTCTGTCTTTTCCCTGTCAGTTCTCTGCAATACAATGAGCATGTAGCTTCCTGTAGATACCCTGCCACTTCTTGAAACCGTTTATGAGGTGGGTACAACTTCAGAAGGCTATGCCTCAAAAACCAGAAGAATTAGAAAACAGTTATTTTCTTCTACTGTAATTATAGTAACTGCTAACATTTACTCAGTACCTTCTTTGTGTGAGCTTAGTTCTAATAATTTTAATTCATATTATTCTACTTAATCCTAGAAAAAAATACACAACCCTATGAGATAGCTACTATTATTATTTACTTTACAATGGAAGAAATTGGGGTACAGAAAAGCTAAATGACTTACCGAAGTCCCACAGACAGTAGGAAGTGCTCTAGGACTGACTAATGACCAGTCAGCCTGAATCAGGAGCCACGGGCTTAGCATGTGTCTCTGCAATAGGACTCTGTGCCCAAAGAGGACTCAGGGCCTGCATGGGACATTCTCAGAGAAAGACAAGGCACCTACTGCTGTGTCCTCTGGATTTTCTCTGATGGTACCTTATCTCTACCCCAACTGGTTGGCCAGGGGCTATTTATCCAACCCGTTAGTTTTTTTCTAAATCCTGGGTTGGTCCTGTTGACCTTCTCTCTGGTCTTGTGAAATTACGCTGTACCATTTCACATGGAATTAGTCACTTTTAACCCTATACACCCTTAAAAATGTGCACATACCTCAATTACGGGACATGACACACTGCAGTATAATTGGCACTCTGTGTAAGTCACCCATGCCAAGCTGGGGACTCCTCTGTGATGTTCATATTCACATTTTTATCTGCAGTGTCTGGCATAGAGACTTTGAAATAATTGGCCCTCAATAAGTAAGCACTGAACAAGCATGAATGGACAAACAGTTGACTCTTCACAGCGAAGGTGAGAAATCACTCTGTAATATCTCCTCATTCTTATTTCCTGCCATTCTTCTTCACAGAGGCTTTGCCAGCAGACTGGAAAGTTTATGAGAATAGCCAATAAAATATTTCAGAATTGTCTTGCTTTAAAGGAAATGACTGTGACAATTTTATAAACTGAGGTGTTTTCCACACTAATGTCTCTTTTTAATTTTTTAATCATTGCCAATATTAAAGTGGCTTCTAATTCTCTAAGATGTTATACTTTTGACTTAGGCAGATCTTGCTTACCTCCTTCAAATAAATCATCATTTCCTATCATTGTCACTCTCAACAAGTTCCCACCCCACCCACTTCTCTGAGGGTGTGGGCCACTTCTGGGACTGTCAGAAAACATTTCCTCATGGAGATGTGGTTTGTTCTGCACATCAGTGCTAGAATAATCTCATCAATAAACCCAAATATTCAACTACTATTAACAAACTAAAAATTAAGTGACTAAATTTCTATCTGTAACTACTGTCCTTTTCTCTTTCAAAAAAATATATCCAGCTTCAATATTCTGTATTCTCCTTTCTGTCTTAAGGTACTACTTAAGCCAACAATTCTTAACAACTCAAACAAATATTTTATAAAGGTTTTCTATCACAATTATAATTTCAAAAACATAGGAGCCGGGTACAATGGCTCACGCCTGTAATCCCAGCACTTTGGGAGGCTGAGGCGGGCAGATCATGAGGTCAGAAGTTCGAGACCAGCCTGGTCAACATAGTGAAACCCCATTTCTACTAAAAATACAAAAATTAGCCAGGCATGGTGGCAGGCACCTGTAATCCCAGCTACTCAGGAGGCTGAGGCAGGAGAATCGCTCGAATCCAGGAAGCAGAGGTTGCAGTGAGCCGAGATCACACTACTATACTCTAGCCCAGGCAACAGTGTGAGACTCCATCTCAAAAACAAAACAAAACAAAACAAAACAAAAGTTAGAAATGCAATTCTACAAATGCCCTCATTTGTCATAATTAGGGTGAATGAACAAATTCTTACATTTTTATTACTTTTTAGTTCATGAATTTACTGAGGCTTGAACATTTATGTTATATATTTTATTAACTCAGTTTTAGAAGAGTAAGTGTACACAATCAATAATATGGCACTGGGATCTTCATAAAGATATATCGTACCCAAACCACCAAAAAACCCAGCAAGTTTAATCATATTATTTTTCATGATCCAAATGTGTTTATACAGTCATAAATATATTACACTTTTATTATGTGCCAAGTGCTGCACTAAGTACCTGAGATGTATATGTCATGTACACACAACTATTCTATGGATTATATTTTAAGTCAATCACTTCGGAAAACCAATTCACTCATTTATACAACATTTTGTACTATACACAAACCACTTTCTTTGTGTAGCGATGTGCTCTGTTACATGCTGGAGAACACACAAAATACATTAAGGAAAGTTTGCCCTAAACACAAAGAGTTATTTTCTGCTTTGAATTCTATATATGTAGTCCTTATGTAGATTTGTATGAAAACAAATTTGAGTTTTCTGAACTATAATTTCAAATGGCCTGGATAGCCTTTTGGGTGAAAAAAACAATCTGGTGTATAGAAGTGCAGCGTGACTCTTTGGGACACAGTAGAACAAATTAGTTAAGTGTATAGATTTTGGTGGCTTTTAATTCCTGCTCTGCTACTCATCAGCTATATAGTGTTGAAGAAATTGTTTAAGTTTAATGTCTCAATTACCTTATCTGAAATATGGACAATAATAATTCCTTTGTGGTGTCATTATCAGGCTTAAAAGTATAGTGCTGGCCGGGTACAGTGGCTCATGCCTGTAACCAGCACTTTGAGAGACTGAGATGAGTGGATCACAAGGTCAGGAGATCGAGACCATCCTGGCTAACACAGTGAAGCCCCGTCTCTACTAAAAATATAAAAAACTAGCCAGGCATGGTGGCACGGGCCTGTAATCCTAGCTACTCAGGAGGCTGAGGCAGGAGAATCGTTTGAACCCAGGAGACGGACGTTGCAGTGAGCCAAGATTGCACCACTGCACTCCAGCCTGGGTGACAGAGCAAGACTCTGACTCAAAAAAAAAAAGTATAATGCATATACAGTGCTTAAGACTTAATAAGTGCTTAATAACCAACAGCTGTTCTTGATCATAATCATCATTAGAGATAATATTAATCAAAAATAGAACAAAAAGAAAAAGAGTTGACAAAGTATGCTAACATCTTAAAAAATAAGTCTTTCTGTTGACAATGTATTGCATCTTTACAAATGTTATCTTTTTAAATACAAGTGTATATTAGTAAAAGATAAGTTGAGATCTGTATCTTAAATCAAAATAGATGCCAGATGAATTAAAGAATTAAATTTTAAAATGAAATGTTTGAAATATTAGGAAATAAGATTTGAGGTCTGTAGTGATAGAAGAAAAGATTAAAATTTTACACTATGTAATAGTAAAAAGCTCCGTATTTAAAAAGACAATGATATAAAAACACAGATACATTTAATAGATAATTTAATGGATATATCTTTTATATAATGAGTTTAAACAAATAAGAAAAACACTAGCTTCCAAAGGTAAACATGTACAAATACGTCACATAAAAATATTTCTAAAGCATTAAGAAATGTGAAGATAAATTGATTTCAATATTATTTTGTCTATTCAACAAAGATATATTTAAGAAGGGAACGTTTTGTGTGGGAAAGGATACAGAATATGAGGAAATAAATATAAAATAAGTAGCCACATGGTAGATTCAAACCTAACCCCACTGATAACTACATTAAGTGAAAATGATTTAAACACTTTGATTAAAAGTCACATGTTATAAGATTGAGTAAAAAAGTAATATTCAACTATATGTTATTACAAGAAACCCATTTAGAGTAAATATACAGAAAGGTAAAAGGATAGAAAGGAATACAAATGAAGAAACTAATTATAAGTAAGATAGAATGACTATACCAATACCAGATAAATAAACTTTAAAATAAGTTGTATTGGGGATAAAGAGGGACATTTCATAATAGTAAAGGGTACAATTAATCAAGGAGACATTGAATAACAGAGTTCCACAGGACATGGTTCAAGAAGTGACAGAAGTGAAAATAAGAAATAGGAAACTCCACAATTATCTTTGGATACCTCTGCACAATATCTCTGTAATTGATAAAACAGAAAAATCAATAGCGATATAGAATGCTTAGCCCTACAATCCATCTTGAACTAATCGACATTCCAGAATGGTCTACTCAACCAAAGAAGAACACATGGAGCATTCACAAAGATAGACTATATGATAGTCTATAAAATAAATCTTCATAAGTGGAAAAGGACTGACATCATGCAGAGTATATCTTTGGTCCACAATAGAATTAAAGTTGAAATCAATAACAAAACCCTATATGGAAAATCTGCAAACATATGAAAGTTAAACAGCACACTTCTAAAGACTATAAAAGGAAAACTGGAAAACATATTTAAGTGAATGAAATTAAAAATACAACATATCGAAATTAATGGAACTTAAAGAAATATTGGGAGGGAAACGTATAGTTCTAAATGCTTACATTTTAAACAGAGAGTTATAAATCAGTGATCTAAGCTTTCACCATAAGAAGCAAATTGGAAGGTGGTCAGGGGAGGGAGAGGATCACGAAAGATAACTATTGGGTACTAGGCTTAATATCTGGGTGATGAAATAATCTGTACAACAAACCCCTGTTTACCTATGCAACAAACCTCCACTGGTACCCCTGAGCTTAAAAGGTAAAAAAAAACAAAAAAAAAACCACTGTCCCTTTAAAATAATTACTTCTCATATCTTTTCTACATGTATGCATAATAAACCATGTCTTCCTCATTTTACATTGTGTGTTTTGTGAACCAAATATTTTATAATTATCTACTTTTTAAAGAAGCAAATTGAAGCCAAAGTAAGAAGAGAAATAATAATGATAATAGAGAAAATAGTAAACAATTAAACTAAAGGTTGATCATTTGTAAATGTCAATAAAATAAATAAACCTATAGCTAGACTTATCATGAAAATAAGGAGATTGCATGAATTGCCAATAGAAAAAATAAGAGTGAACATCACCATACATTGAGCAGATATTATAAAGAGGGAAATGTTCTGAAAACTTAATGCAAATAAAATAGACAACATTAGCTAAACAGGATAAATTCACTGAAAGACAAAGTAATCAAAACTAGTTAAGAAGACATAGATAACATGAATAGCTCCAAATAAAAATCACATTTCTAATTAAAAACTTTTCAACAAAGAAAACTCATGGTCATATGACTTCACTGATGAACTCTACCAGATATTTAAAGAGGAAATAATACTAATCCTGTAAAAATATTTCAAAATATATAGGAAGTGGGAAGACTTATCAACTTATTTTATCAGATCAGTGTTGACTTGTTACAAAAAACAAAGACATTATAAGAAAAGAACTACGTGAACTGGGTAATTTATAAAGAAAAGAAGTTTAATTGACTCAGAGTTCCACACGGCTGGGGAGGCCTCAGGAAACTTATAATCATGGAGGAAAGTGAAGGGGAAGCATGCACCTTCTTCACAAGGTGGCAGGAGAGAGAGAGTGAGAGGGAAGTGCCACACTTTTAAACCATTAGATCTCATGAGAACTCACTTACTATCATGAAAACAGCATGGGGTAAATCCATCCCCATTATCCAATCATCTCCCACCTGGTCCCTCCCCTGACATATGGGGATTACAATTCAACATGAGATTTGGGTGGAGACACAGAGGCAAACCACATTATTTTGTGCCTGGCCTCTCCCCAATCTCATGTCTTTCTCACATTGCAAAATACAACTGTCCTTTCCCAACAGTCCCCCAAAGTCTTAACTCATTCCAACATTAAGTCGAAAGTCCAAGTCCAAACTCTCATCCGAGATAAGGCAAGCCCCTTCTGCCTATGAGCCTGTGTAATCAAAAACAAGTTAGTTACTTCCAAGATACAATGGGGATACAGGCACTGGGTAAATGCTCTTGTTCCAAATGGGAGAAATCGGCCAAAACAAAGAGGCTACAGGCCCCGTGCAAGTGCAAAATCCAGAAGGACAGCCATTAAATCTTAAAGCTCCAAAATAATCTCCTTTGACTCCATGTCTCACATCCAGGGAATGCTGATGGCAAGAGGTGGGTTCCCAAGGCCTTGGGCAGATCCATCCCTGTGGCTCTGCAGGGTACAGCCCCCGCAGCTGCCTTCATGGACTGGCATTGAGTGTCTGTGGCTTTTCCAGGTGCACAGTGCAAGCTATCAGTGGATCTGTCATTCTGGGATTTGGAGGAAGGTGGTCCTCTTCTAACAGCTCCACTAGGCAGTACCCCAGTGGGGACTCTGTGTGGGGACTCCAACCCCACATTTCCCCTCTGCACTGCTCTAGTAGAGGCTTTCCATGAAGGCTCTGCCCTGCAGCAGACTTCTGCCTGGATATTCAAGCATTCCCACACATCCTCTGAAATCTAGGTAGAGGTTTCCAAACCTCAATTCTGGCCTTCTGCACACCTGCAGGCCCAACATCACATGGAAGCTGCCAAGACTTTACCTACTGATTCCAGTGACCAAATCTTTGCCGTGGTTTCTGTGTCTGAATCTTAACTCACTCAATACACTGCACCACATTCAGCACTTCTAAATCCAAAAACCTGAATAGTTATTTCTCACAGGAACCAGAGTCTCGTGCCAGTGCTCTCTGTTGCCAAATTTTCTACAGCTGTCACCTTTCTGAACATTGGTGGTTACTTAAGACTCAGTTTATTTCAGCTGCCTGGCCCTCCCGCAGCCTGGATTAGCCCATACCACCAATTTCCCGTCTCCAGACACCAAATTTTATTGGCACGGCTCAGTGGTTCTCAAACATCATTGTACACACCAAAGCTTGGATTTCACTTTATGACTAATTAGCTAAGAATGTCTGAGAGAGGGACCCACGTTTCTGTAATTTTAAAAACTCTCCAGTTGATTCTGAAATTCAGCCAGGGATAAGAAGCCTGAGAATAGAATGAGGTAAGTGATGGCACAAAGTGTAGGGAGCTCCAAAAAACTCAGCTATCAAGATAACATTTTACTATTAAAATACCTTTAAAAATCAAAATCACTGGAAAATAATCCATAATAAGCAAAACATCAAAAATGTAAGTAAGGGATTAGCACTTGGAGTCTGAGGCAAAAGGCAAAAATCATAATACTGATCTTGCCTTTTAAAAAAAGAAATGTTCTCCCATTTTTGTGCAGTTGTTTGCACATAGGGAACATTTATATTATCTGAGTTTACAAATAGAAAACCTACCTTATGAAATCATGCTTTGAAAATATAATTTTGCAAAGAGCATGAAATTGATTGAAAGTTTATTGAGAAGATGAAAGTTGATTGATAGTACCGTACTGAATAGGCAAGTCTGGGGTGGTAAACTCAGAAATGTAGCCTCTCCAGAGTTGAAAGAACAAGTTTAGGGGTAGAAGGAAGCGGGACCAAGGACAGTCTGAGTCAGTGCACAAGGGAGAGCGCCTTTATTAGAAAACCTGCCTGGTGGTCATCAGATGGTTGTCTCATCACCAGCTCAAATGCCTCATGGCCAAAGCTGAATCATAAAATCACTCCCCTGTCTCCCCAAATCCCTGGCCATTTTACACAGCTGACTCTTGTAATATTCTATTACTTCTAGTCAGAATGTCTTCATTTTCCCCACCTTTCAAAGGAAAGCTGTGCTTTTCTTCAAGGCTGTTCCTGAGAACAGAAGTTCTCAGAGGTTACGTTGCCTTAGAAGCCCTCTCTGTGCCTCAGCTGACTGCCCTGACCACCCACAAATGCCTTCCTTTCATAGTCCAAACCCTGTGATTGCACATTTTTAGTGCATATCTCTCTGTAACTGTTTACAAACCTGCTGCTCCCAATAGACCACAACCTACTTGGAGGTAAAAACAAAATTTTATGTACTAGCTGCCTGACACATAGTAGGACCTTAATAATTATGTGTTAAAAAAAACAGAGACACAGAAAAGAGACTCCGAATAATGGCCTTGCCTGTAAGTGTTGAAGAATGGCAATAAGAAAAGAATTGGAGTGGAGGTGGAATTGAGACAGCAGGTAGCAGTATATGGGTTCTCTCCTCTCATCTTGACAACTCAACTATAAGATTTGAAGTAAGCTGTTTTTAGGAGGCCTGAAGGCCAACTAAACTCCTTAGGGGAACAAGATGGGAAGATGGGATTTACGAAGTAAGACTTTTCAAGAGGAATTTTGGTTTGGAAGTGGTGGTGGTAGGGTGCAGTAAGGAGGAAACACCTTCATCTTAGAAAGCATTTTTCATTCTGAAAAGCAGGAGGCTAGACAAGAGACAAGCTTTTCACAGTAATCTCTGTCCTCTAGGCCAGGGAGAAAGGCATAGGGAATATCCATTGTCCAGCCTCCTAAACCAGGTGGAGGAGAAAACTAAAACTCAGACAAAAATCCTGCTTGGGATAAAAGAATGTGCATTTGGCTGGTGCCCTCCCTGTCTCTCTCAGGAACTTGGGTTTGATGCAGGGGTCAGAACTCAAACGGTGGCAGAAGGCAGGTATGCATGACTGAGAGATGCTGGAGGTAGTGTGGAGTGAGGAACCGGATGCACTTCCTGCACCAGGGACCCCTACAAACTCCTGACCACAACACCCACTCAGCCACAAATGATTATTTCTGTGAAGAAATGCAAGCCCCTGGTTGCCAGACCTTTCACGTGTTTCTGATAACAATCCCTAAAATTTAATATTCAATTTCTCAATTTTGAAAGGTAAAAAATAATAAATTGTGTTAAATCCCTTGGGCTTACCATGTACAGGCCAAACAATACATGTCTGAAGGCTGAACGTGGGCTCATAACTACAAATAATTGGGAAGGAGAAATGGGTATTCAAGGATTCCTCAATGGTTCAACGGGTGAAAGCCATTCAATATCATCCAGAACTTCACTTTCACCTTCATCTCATTGTTACCCATCCTTGTGCATGTTTTTGATATCCCTATGGTCCTGTCTACTCAAAATAGACTCTTCCATTGACCTCTTCTAGAGGTTTTGGTGTTTTTTGTTTGTTTGTTGTTGTTGTTGTTGTTTGGGTTTTTTTGGTTTTTGTTTTTTTGAGACAGAGTTTTGCTCTTGTCGCCCAGGCTGGAGTACAATGGCGTGATCTCGGCTTACTGCAACTTCTGCCTCCCAGGTTCAAGAGATTCTCCTGCCTCAGGCTCCCCAGTAGTTATGATTACAGACGTGTGCCACCACACCCAGCTAATTTTTGTATTTTTAGCAGAGACGGAGTTTTGCCATGTTGGCCAGGCTGGTCTCAAACTCCTGACCTCTGGTGATCTGCCCACCTCGGCCTCCCAAAGTGCTGGTGTGATCACAAGCATGAGCCACCGTGCCCAGCCTAGAGGTCTATTCTTAATCCACCAGTTACCTTACAGGAAATTTAGCTAAGGGTATTTTTCATTGTCAGTTAATAAAATAAAAGTGGAGAAGCATCAGCATTTGATGTATTCAGTTGGTATCTTGAGAAAAGATACATGTTTTCTGAGCTTCCATTAAAAAAATAGATTTAAGACAAGGCATAGTGCCTCACACCTGTAATCCCAGCACTTTGGAAGGCTGAGGTAGGTGGGTCACTTGAGCCCAGAAGTTCAAGACCAGCCTGTGCAAAATAACAAGACCCCATCTCTACAAAAAAATACAAAACTTAGCTGAGCGTGGTGGTGTGCACCTGTAGTCTCCGCTACACAAGAGGCTGAGGTAGGAGGATCACTTGAGCCCAGGAGGTCGAGGCTGCAGTGAGCTGTGATCATGCCACTGCACTCCAGTCTGGGTGACAGAGTGAGATCCTGTCTCAAAGTTAAAAAAAAAAAAACAAACTGTAGATTTGCCCACTGGCTACTTTAGAGAAATAATAATGCTGAAGTGTACTTTTCTTCAAAAGATGTGTCTATTAATTTTCATTTCAGAGGTTTGGTAACAGAATGGCACTGGTATAGATTTTTACTAGATGATTTTTCCACCTAGAAATAAACTGAGACAAAACATTGCTAGGTGGTTCATGTGACTGGAAATCCAGAGGACAGGTGAAGGTGAAAAGCACCCAGGGCCGATAGAGAGATTCTATAAAGTGGTCCAGAAATAAGAGTTGAAAAACTTAACAGACCCTACGCAGTTTAAATTGATGTTCTTAGCTCAAAGAGGCCTTTTAAAAATAATTGTTATAAGCATCAGAAGATTGCAGCTGAAATGGTTTGAAATCAACTTTAACTAATTTTCCATTCACAAAATATGAGAGGAGGAAGCCAATTGTACTGATTCACTTGAGAAACAGTACAAGGGTTTTCATAGTAGAGAAAGAGGTTGATTTCAGCTCAGACAGATATTTCAAGCTTCAAGGGCCATGTCTAGACTGAGAAGGATTTGCTAACCCCAAAGTCCTATCAAGCAAGGAGTGTAAATGTATTTCAGAGCAGCTCAGGTACTAGAGTTTCTGCAGAACTTAGATGATAAGCAACGACAAAGCCAGCTGCTTCTAGACCCCTGGCTTATGATTTCAGCTTTCCAAATTAAAGACTGTCTCATCAGCACATTTAATAGTAAATCCTCCAAGAGCAGAAGACTCTGAATCAGTGAGGACTGACTGGCATCTGTGAGTGTGTGTGAATGTATGTGTGTGTGTGTGTGTGTGTCTCTGTGTGTGAGAGAGCGAGCGAGCGTGTATGTTCTCATTAGGGGACGATCTATGATTTGACAGCCTCACTGCTGCTGCTCCTGCTGCTGCTTCTGCTTCTGCCGCGGCTGTATGGTTTGTCATTAGTTGGAAAGGGCTGTGAGGGTTTGGAGAAACTGCAGTTTTAAAGACTGAGCACTGCTAAGTGGTCTCCCTCTCAAATAGAGTAGACAAGATTTTCTGCAAGATTAGAAACTTGGAACTATTACCACTTCATCTACCCAGAAAATCAGGCAGCGCTACAGAGGATAAGGTAAGAGAAGAAATTGTCCTCTCTTGAATCTGTGGGGCAGGGGGCATGGGGAAATGTCATCTCAAAGGCTTGCTATTTTATACCAAAGACATCTCACCCTCTGAGAGCAAAAGAGGCAACAGCTAAATTTGTAACAAGCTTGATTATTGAGCTTCTTGGCTTTTTCCTCTGGTATCTTTTTCTTCTTTATTATACTTTTGCCAGGCATCTAAGAGGTGTATTCATATTTATTTTTCAGTTAGCAGATATTTAGTTTTTTTCAACTGGGCACTGTTTCAAAACAATTAGTTTTTACTGTTTCTCTTTCCTTAAGCATTTTTCTCCATTAAGAGGGAACTGGTCCCTCTTAATGTGAGCTGGTCAAAACAGTTACTCCATTCTACACTAGAGATGCAATAAAAGAAGTTTTAAGAAGTACACATGAGCCCTATTCCCATAGAAAAATGGGAAGTGAAAGGAGTGGAAGTGACGGTTATTTGTGATTGGGACTTGATCAGAAATTGTAACACTGTTAATGAATATGTACTATGACCCTTCACAGGGGGATGGAACTGCTGCAATAAAGGTGGGCGCTGGAAAGAAGATGTTTTGAGAAGTCAGTGTTTCCGAGAAACTTTAAGCTTCTAAAGATGGAAAACGAGACAGTCAGTGAACTGAACCAAACACAGCTTCAGCCACGAGCAGTGGTGGCCTTAGAATACCAGGTGGTCACCATCTTACTTGTACTCATTATTTGTGGCCTGGGCATTGTAGGCAACATCATGGTAGTCCTGGTTGTCATGAGAACCAAGCACATGAGGACCCCCACAAACTGCTACCTGGTGAGCCTGGCAGTAGCTGATCTCATGGTCTTGGTGGCCGCAGGCCTCCCCAACATAACAGACAGTATCTACGGTTCCTGGGTCTATGGCTATGTTGGATGCCTCTGCATTACTTACCTCCAGTATTTGGGAATTAATGCATCCTCTTGTTCAATAACAGCCTTTACCATTGAGAGGTACATAGCAATCTGTCACCCCATCAAAGCCCAGTTTCTCTGCACATTTTCCAGAGCCAAAAAGATTATCATCTTTGTCTGGGCTTTCACATCTCTTTACTGTATGCTCTGGTTCTTCTTGCTGGATCTCAATATTAGCACCTACAAAGATGCTATTGTGATATCCTGTGGCTACAAGATCTCCAGGAATTACTACTCACCTATTTACCTAATGGACTTTGGTGTCTTTTATGTTGTGCCAATGATCCTGGCTACCGTCCTCTATGGATTCATAGCTAGAATCCTTTTCTTAAATCCCATTCCTTCAGATCCTAAAGAAAACTCTAAGACATGGAAAAATGATTCAACCCATCAGAACACAAATCTGAATGTAAATACCTCTAATAGATGTTTCAACAGCACAGTATCTTCAAGGAAGCAGGTAAGCAAAACTGAAACTCCAAGTCAATAGAGGAAATGTGGGATAGAGTTCCTTGGAGATGGGAAACAACTTTTCCCTGTTTAGCTGATGGCGAAACCAAAATACAATCATGCAAATGTTTCACAGTGTAAGCTTCTGCCTAACATATTAAATCCATCTCTAAAGCAACTGAAGATCTAAAAATAGATAGGGAAAATTTGATAGCACATCAGCAGGCATCAGTTCAGGTGCTATTAAGATACAAAGAAATATAAACAGAAACTCTAGAAATTCACCTTTAATATGTTTATGCCTCTCTGGAAATGTTATCAGAATATTTGGAGAATTTCTGGCTTCTGTAGGAAATAATTCTATTGCATGATAAAGAATTATCTTTAAAAATTCTATTGCACAACAAATATTTGACAAGACAGTTTGAAAACAGGTTAGTTTAAAAATAAATGAAACTTTCTTTGCCATTCTATGGTTACTCACAATGGAGACATATACCTGAGAAAGGTTCCTGGACTTATTTTTGGTAGTCTTAGTGGGGAAAGATTCTATCACCCTCTCCTCCAGCTCCCTACACAGTGTCCCAGCATGCAGAAGCTGAAAATGCACTTTGCTCAGGAAATGTTCCAATAAAAAAGACAACATCAAGCTCAATTTTTCATAAAGAATGATTGAAATTTTTTTAAAAATCGGTTTTTTCCTGCTAAGCATACCTAAAAATTCTGTTATACTTTTAGATCACCTGAATGTGCATATAATTAGTTGAATAGTGGTTTTACTAGTGAACCAAGTGCAAAACTTTGTTGCAGTGTTTATGAAATGATATAGGAATAAAATACTTTTATATCATTTACACATTTATCTATATACAATTGTTCTAGGTTACTGACAAACTTAGCTTGAAGTTTCTTTTCCTTCTTTGTTAAACATAATGAACAGATGATAAATATTTATTCTCATAGCTGAAAAAAGAAATCTAAACTTGAAATCAACATGCTGATACTTTTAAATGGGTTGAATTTTCTCATATTTCTTGAAAGGAATATAGTTCTGTGTACATAGCTAGAAACTGAGTGTACTTTGTAAAAAAGTATACATATAATCATTCACACTGTTACTTCATAAACTCCAGCTGATATATGCATCGTAACTGGACACAGCAAAATAAACTGCTAAAAAATTTAAGTGTTTTAGATATGCATGAAATGAATAATGAGCCATAACTTAAAGGAAACATATACTGCATTTTAAATGGTGCTGTAATACTTGGTTTATATAATACTTATTATTAAAGATAACTAGATGACAGAAGAAAGACCTAAACAACTATTGTCAGCTCTTAGATTTCTTTTGCCTTGGATCTAGTAGTGATACCTAATATAAGGCTTATTCAGCCATTTATTACCCAAAACTTGATTAATGGAAATTTAGAGAGATCTATTGACTATCTTCCAAGACAAACATTGACAAATATAATAAGAAAGCAAAGAATATGTACATCTCAATTAGACACCAAACATGGGTTAATGTCTGCAGCAAGGAAGATCAGGGAGTAAATTCATTCATTAGACTCCAATTTGCATTCCTGCTATACATTTTTAAAACTTGTTTGTCTTGTCTAATGTCCTTTCTTTCCATTACAGTCATTAGTACCTATCAGCATTAATATGCTTTAATTTGCTAATTATGTTACATGTTCACAGTCTTATTTCAAAGCTGTTACCGATAAGCTGTCCTTACAGAGGCTGTATGATAGAAGAAAAAGCCAAAGACTTGGCTCCAAACAACCTTGGGCTTAAATGCCAGGATTCCATTCAAACTCTATAAACTTGGATAAGCAGAACTCTGTGAGCCTTAGTTTTGTCATCTGTTAAATGAGATAAATAGCAATATCCAAGATCAGTGTAAGGATCCATGAAATACCTCATGAAAAATGCCTAAATTGGAGTGGTGATTAACAACTGAGTATTAACTGGCTCCTTCTCAATTTTTAAAAATATTTTGGCAACTGTGAGGGAACTACAGGTTTTTCCTTAAAAATACACATTCACTGCTTTAACAAAGATTACTTGTTGAACAAATGTGTATATGACGTGGTAACTTCTTTAAGGAGTTTTTTTAAATAATTAGAGCATTTGGAAATACATTCTGAGCATTTGGGGTTGTCACATTAACACCACTGTCAGTTAGCCTCCAAGAATAAGGAATGAAGTTCCCTTGTTGCAAATACCAATAACACCCTAATTGAGAAACATGGAGTGACACATAAGCCAATAGGAGTGTATTTAAGTAGTGTGTCTTGTAATTCAACCCTGATTATAGATGGGATGTGAGTTCAGAGAAAAGAAGGAAAATTACTGGGCTACAGGGATCAGAGAAGTCTTTATGGAAGAGGTGGCATTTGAGATGGCTCTGGAAGGATGAAGATAATTTGAAAAGTAAAAGTCAAGAAGGACAGTATTCCATGCATAAAGGACAAGACATAGTGGCTGGGATGAGAATGGCATGGGTTTGGAGAGGGGCCAAGAAGGGGCACATAGAGTGGGACTTATGTGATGGAGCGACTTAGTTGTCTGAAATGAATGATGTATTTGTGGGAGTGGTAAAAAGTAAGACTGGATTGATGTGTGAAAGTGAAAGAAGAGAAAGAGACAGAGAGACAGAGAAGGCTGTGGAGGATCCAGACAATCAGGCAAAGAAAGGAATTTGCACTTAATGCAGAGGCAACAAAGAATGTGAGTGATGAGCAGGGAGCAGCAGTGATGAAATGGTGTTCAGGGATGAGAAATCTGACAGCCGTCGGGGAGGCAGATTTGAAGAGAGAGAGATTGGTGGAAGAAAGACCACTTTGGAAGTTGTTAGTAGTGATACAGGCATGAGGCAGTAAGATCCTCTATCAGGAGAATTTAAAGTAAAGAGTATACCAGAAAGATGTTTCAAAGAAAGAAAGGGTGTGATGTGAACATATTAGACATAAAGGATGAAGAAAGGACAATTCAATATGGCCCCAGGATTCTGAGTCTGGAAGAATGTGGTGCCCCGATCAGTGGGAATGAGAACAGTGAAGGGGAGCTAGTTTTGTACAAAATTAGTGACCTGCTTTTTTCTTCTTCCAAAATAGTTATTTTCTTAAACCTTTGAAAGGTTCAAACCTCCACCTTCTATAGCCAAAGGACTTTAATTTTAATATTTTCTCTGCATTTTTTTCTTTTAGGAAAGTTTAACTTACAGTTTAATAAATACTCATCTGGGTCAGGTCTTTCTAATCAAGTTCTTAAATTCAAATGTGCATAGCCTAAAAGAGAAACATTTAAAAAGGAAGTAAAAGAGCATTTACATGTAAGGGACAAATGTGAGTTTCTTCCTTATTTGTTTTTAACTTTCATTCTCTATGCAGAAAATCCAGGCCAAAATCTTTGTTTTCTTTTATTCAGAGATTCAATTATATTTTAGGAAAACATCTAAATGTTGGGTAAATTCCGTAAGATAAATTACCCAAACTTATGGCTTGGAATTGTGTAAACTAAACGGATTATCTGACTAAATACATTGCTTTTATAGTTTGTTATTTTAATATAAAGGAGACATTGTTTAAATTATCATATTTGTCTCATTTCAGCTCTATCTACACAATGCCTCAAGAGTCCCTCAGTTCAGTCAATTCAGGGGTTCAACATTATGTAGATACAATATCTCTATCATTGACTGTGTATTTCTATGTAATTGATTGGATTTTTGGTATTTTGAAAGCACAGAAACACCTGAACATCTTAGTAAAATGTAATATCAATAAATACATTCAATTCAAATATGTACTTTCTACAGGATGCAGAAATATGCAGAATATTTTATAGATTTATAAAACAGGCTACCAGTTTTATTATCAATGGAGTTGCTTCAATAATTTTTTTCTTAATTCTTACACAATAACAAGTAGAGAAACCATGTAACATAGTCTTAATAGAAGCTCTAAGAGTAATGGCAGAATTTTTACTATGGAATTCACTTGACTCATCAAGCCTTAAAAATATCGGTCTTTGTTTCCATGAAACTATTAAACATCTAGAAGGAATATTGGTAGCCCAAGAAACAGAAACAACTTTCCTTTTTATTTATTATTTATTTATTTATTTTTATTTTATTTATTTATTTATTTATTTTTGAGATAGAGTCTCCCTCTGTAGCCCAGGCTGGAATGCAGTGGCAGTATCTCAGCTCACTGCAACCTCTGCCCCCAGGATTCTAGAGATTCTTCTGCCTCAGCCCCCTGAGTAGCTGGGATTACAGGTGTGCGCCAACACACCTGGCTAATTTTTTTCTATTTTTAGTAGAGACAGGGTTTCACCATGTTGGCCAGACTGGTCTTGAACTCCTGACCTCAGGTGATACGCTAGTCTCGGCCTTCCAAAGTACTGGGATTACAGGCTTGAGCCACCGCACCCGGCACAACTTTCCTTTTTAAAGTAATGCACGCCTTTTGCTGTTATTGGTGATAATGACAATGATGCTATAAAAGCAGTCATGTGTATTATGGAAAATATAGAAAACTAGGAATAGGCAAAAGCCATCTCTTACCTCCTGACCCCACCTCTCAAAGACCAAAATCATCATCATTTTGTTATACCGCTTTTCTTATGTTTTCACTGGATCTTTTTTTTTTTTAAACACAATTATAGTCAAATGTATATGTAGTTTTGGCTTCCTGGTTTTCCACATACAATTTTGGAAATAATATTCTCAAAGAGAAAGCACAAGGCAAAGCAAAAGAAAGTGATCAGGATTAAGTTTGTTTCTCTGAGCCTCAGTTTTCTCATCAATAAAACAGGAAAAATAATGACCTCATAGTGCTATTGCTGAAGTCATATGAGATATATCAGAAAAAATTCAGATCTGCTTTCCTCCCACCTGTCCAGCCACCTACTCTTCCCTCTCTCCCATGTGTCTCAGTGATCCCCACCTCGCTGGGCACCCTCCTGACCCTCTCTTAAGCTCTCCTCAGTCATACAATGCTCATGGAAAATGAAGACACTCAGATAAAGAACTGGCTTCCATGTGTCTTCCGTCTTCTCCCCTGCCTCACTCCAACTCCTACCTCTAGTGCTATTTACTTTTTTTTTTTTTTTTTTTTTTTTGAGACAGAGTCTCACCCTGTCACCAGGCTGGAGTGCAGTGGTGCGATCTCGGCTCACTGCAACCTCCGACTCCCGTGTTCAAGCAATTCTCCTGCCTCAGCCTCCCGAGTAGCTGGGATTACAGGCATGCACCACCATGGCCAGCTAATTTTTGTTTTTTTAGGAGAGACGGGGTTTCACCACGTTGGCCAGGATAGTCTCGATCTCCTGACCTCACGATCCGCCAGCCTTGGCCTCCCAAAGTGCTGGGATTACAGGCATGAGCCACCATGCCCGGCCTATTTACTTTTTAAAGAATACATGTTTTGGGGTATGAATGAATGTTTAATTAAATTTGGGGAAGATATTGAACAATAATGACCTACTGCAAAATTTTACTTAGTGTTGACCCAGCTCTACCTTTAGAACTTTTGCTTTCCCTCCAACTCATTTAAAAAAAAAAAAAAAAGACTAAGAAGATAGTTACCGACCAGCCTTCACCTGTCTGGAACTTGGGGTATTAGTTTGCATTTTGAAGAATTCATGAGAGGCTACGTAAAACCTGTAAGACACATAGGAAAGGAGGCACAATGTTGGAATGTCAGGCAGTAGGCCTGGCATTTGGGACCATAAAATCTCATAAATTGTAAACGTAAGCAGCTGCCAGCTCCACCTACATCTAAGAGAACCTTTACTCAACAGACTCATTCTTCTCCCCAGGTAGCTTAATCAATGGTTAAGCTCACAAGGCAAATTAATGGTATTAAACTCTTCAGCATTAGGCCTAAATTAGAGGTTTCCTGAGAGTACTGAGGCTACAGGCTCATCTTTCATTTTTTTTTTTTCATTTTTCAAAATTTTTTTAGAGATGGAGGCCTTGCTCTGTCATGCAGGCTGGTGTGCAGTGGTGCAATCATAGCTTACTGCAACTTCTACCTCTTGAGTTCAAGAAATCATCCTGCTTCAGTCTCCCAAGTAGCTGGGACTACAGGTGCACACTGCTGCGCCCAGCTTATCTTTCATTTTTAATTGTATTATTTATTCCAATGTCTGGGTTCAACTATATACTTAATAGTGTAAATATCTCTAAGTTCAGGAGAAAAATGTGTAATTTTTGTGACAGCTCACAGCTAAGTGTGCCATTTTATTTTTATTAAAGAATAGTTTTCTATTTTCTGATTCACATCCTGTATAAGAAAAGATTTTGTACATATCCTATAAGTTGACTAATAATCTCCTAAAGTTGTGTGTTTTGTGTGCTTTTAGATAAGTACACATTGTTTATTCCTAATTTTATATTTGCATGTTGCAAATATAAAATTAGGAATAAACAATGTGTCTTTATGAATAATTGAGCAATAATTTCACTAGCAGATAAAAATAAATTATTCCATATGCCTACAAAAAAGAAAGACCTATGCTCCTATAGAATTCAATCTGATCACACAAGAAACATCATAAAATCAGCTAAACTTGAAGATGACAAACTACTTTATACTTCTTTACATAGTCTCTCATTAATTCTTCAACATGCACACAGATACTCCAAGTTCCAGACAGATGAAGTCTGATTGGTAAGTATGTTCTTAGTCTCCTTTAGGTTTTTTTTTTTAATGAGTTGGGGTAAAAAGCAAAAGTTATAATGCTCGAGCTGGGTCAGTGTTAAGCAAAATTTTGCAGTAGGTCATTCTTATTCAATATGTCCCCTAATTTAATTAAACATTCATTCACATCCAAAAAGCCCCTAGCACTATCCTAGGTATAGAGGCTACAGGGATATATAAAGACAAACTCTTTGTCTTCAAGGAGCTTAATATGGGCCATGTACACAAACAATTCTGAGCATACCACTACATTCTATGAGAGAGAACGTGGCATCAATGAGAGGAGAAAGAAAATGGGGGGAGGCTTTTGGAGTACATGGTATTTGAACTGGACCTATAAAGGTGTGATGAATGTCTACAAGCAGCTATAAAGTCAGAGAAAAAAGAAGGAAAGTTCAACAGAAAGGGGGAAGTAGATGGGAGAAGACTGGGCACGTTCAGGGAGGGAATAATCTGGTATTGTTGAAGCAAGCTATGGAAGGGAAGCGTCTAGAGAAGGAAGTCTGAGCCAGATTGTGGTCCTGCTACACCTAATTCCCGCCTCTCCTCCCCATCCTGTCCCTTGTCATTCTACATACTTTCTTCTACGCCCATGCTTACAACTTTCACCTGAGTCTTCAGTGTGTAGCTTCAGAAAAGACATCTCCTGACCCATACATACAATTGCTTTTTGGACATCACATAATTACACCAAATCCAATAGGTCTAAAGCAAAACACATTATTTTGCCTTATAAACTTCTACCTCTTTCTTTCTTTCCTGTGTTAGATTCCCAAACCAGAAACCTGGGGGTCCTTCTAAGTGCCTTTTTCTCCTGTTATCCCCCCGCCCCCCATAGCTAAGCAATAGCCACATCCTAGTGATTCCAGCTCATTATTCTCCTGCTGACCTACTTCTCCACTCGCACCGCTGCTGCCCTGGTTCACTGCCTCTCACTGCCCTATTTCACTGCACACCTTACCAGCCTCTCTGGCTCCCATGGCACTCTCCTCCAAATCATTCTGCACATTGCTCACTAAAGGATCTCTCTAACACAGAGATACTATTTGCATAATTTTTACACTCCCCTGAGCACTGGAATTTTAACTCCTTAGCGTCACAAGTAAGAGCTTGTCCCTTTCCTACATTTTCGGCTTCCTCTCACGTGGCTCTCCCAACTTACATATTACGCTCCAGCAATTCTGAATTATTTGTAGTTCTCTGAACATGCTGCGTTCCCTAAGCTGGAACACTGTTCATCTTGCAAACTCCCAATTATTTTTCAAGTCATAAATCAAATGATGCCCAGCCACCTCATCAAGCCTTCACTGAATTTCTCAGGTAGATTTATATAGCTGCATTCCTAACTACATATATGTTAGGTGTTCTTCCTATATTTCCACAGTACTTTGCATACACATGTGCTTTAGTAATTCTTGGTCCTCATAATTGGTAGCATGTCTTCCCACTCTCACTAACATCCCAAAGAGTAGGGCCTTGCATTGTGGTACCCTCAGCCCTGCATTTGGCTACAGTAGGTTCCCCAAAGTGTACACACTCAGTGGTGTGTAGCTGCCAAGGAGTACAGGCTTTGCAAGAGCAGGTGATTAGTCTCACTCCCCAACTCCGCATTCAGTGCCATCACACTGGTGGCTTAAAATTGGTCATGGTTGAATTACTTACTTTACAAAATCAGCAAATATGACAAGCCAGGGCCCCCTCTTTTTTTGTGGAGAGATGGTTGTTAAATACTTATCAGCACACTTTTGTGTTTGTGTGTATGTATATATACAAATATATGTGTATATATATATAAAAAAACATGTAATTTTACAAATATAGTAAATGAAAGTGTGAAAGAGTTCATTCGTACGGACTTAGGGTCTCGGTCAAGTCCAACACTCTATTTTGCTTCCTGAAAAATTATCCTTACATGTGACATATTCTTCTCTGATTTTACTTAAAATCTCCTTGTCTTTTATTAAATCTTTTTTGAATTCCCAAAATAACAAAAGTGCAACTTGCCAGTACGATGGTGATTGTGTTAGTGGAGAAGATGTTTTAGGAAGATTTCCCCCTCCAAATAGGACAGGCTGATTTGGAAACATGGCAAACTCAGATAATTGACTTCATTGTACAAGAACCTGTTGGCTTTCCCATGAACCTTTAAATTCCCTCCACAATAAAAGAGCTACCTTGGACAGAAGGCATAGAGAGGCAGAGAAATGACCACCCAGGGAAGGGAAACAAAATGAACAGAGGTATAAAGATGAGAACAAATTCATTTGAGTGCCCCTAGGTGACTAATTTTCCTCAAACAGTTTTCACACATCATCTTCTTAAAAATATATATATATATCTCCAAGCTTCTCTGAGGGCTTTCAACACCCTTTAAAATATGACCCTTTCATCCCTTTTCTGTCTTTGTTCATCCGTTATCTCTTCAATTCAATAAACATGTATTGAGCACCAATTTTATACCAGGTATTGTCTAAAAAGAACCAATAATACTCTCCTCTGGAACATTCAGTAGAATATGAAAGATCTACGTTAAAACATAAGGTTAAGCTGTGCAGTGTACAGAAGAGACAAGAAAGTGGTACTTACTGTGCATAAGGTTGAAGAGCAAGCCCCCAGTGGGATACAAGTCACTCTCAGGCTTGAAAAATGAGTAGGCATTCACTAGGCCAACATAAAATACAAGAAGACCCTCCAGTCTGCAGAAGTAGTCAATGAGGCCAGAAAAACAAAGCCCAAGACCACCACCAACACCTGCCTTCTCAGTTTTCTCTTCAAGCTATTGAGCAATGCCAGAGAATATCACATTCTACAGACAATGGTTTCTTCACCCTTGGAGTTTCCATTCCAAATGGGCCCTCAGGGATTTCTGTCTATACATTTGCAGAACCATAATCAGTTTCCTCTTTTTATTCCTTAAATTCCTATTTCAAAATTCCCTACTGTCCTCATGTCATTATACATGGAATTCTTTCCTCTGAAATTCCTCCCACATCCAGTATCTCCCTTCTATTTTATGACCGCAGTTCCAGTTCCACTGTGTCCTCTCTGCACTGTAGGCAAGAAGGCTGATCTCCTGCCTTGCCACATGTGAAGAAGCCTCCTTCCAATCCCCCTGCCTCTTTTCTTTTTTCTTTTTTTTTTTGAGACAGTATTGCTTTGTCACTCAGGTTGGGGTGCAGTGGCTTGATCTCGGCTCACCGCAGCCTCAACTTCCTGGGCTCAAGCAATCCTCCCATGTCAGTCTCCTGAATAGCTGAGACTACAGGCGTGTGCTACCATGCCTGGCTAATTTTGTTCATTTTTGTATAAAGACGAGGTCTCACTATGTTGCCCAGGCTGCTCTCAAACTCCTGGGCTCAAGGGATCCTCCTACCTTGCCCTCCCAAAATGCTAGGATTACAGCCATCAGCCATTGCATCCCCCAACCCACACCCTGCCTCTTGATTGCCCTCCTCCAGTTCTTCTTCCAGGGTGCTTGCTGCTAGAATCATCTAAAATGCAAACTTGCTACCATCACTGTGCTGCCTGAAATCCTTCAATCTTCGCATTTTCTATATGCTGAAATCCCAAGTCACTATCTTGCCATACTAGGACATTTATGATCTGCTCCCTGCTTACTTTCCCAAACTCATCTGCCCTCTGTCCCCCAACACACCCTCATACAGGCAATTTCTGTCTCTGTTACACTCTTTCATGCCTGCAAGCCAGCATGCAGACTCCTCCAGTCTTGAGCACTCGGTAGCCCGTTATTTGACCTGTTTCTTTCTATCCTCCCTGTGGTAGGTCACCTCTCAGAGCAGGCTTTCCTGACCACCACTGGCAGGGTTTGGTGTTTCTCCCTTCCCTTTATATCACTTTGTGCATTCATCTGTATGGTTCACCATTTTGCCGTTAATAATTTTTTCAAATGCCCCTTTCTCTCAGCGGATTGTGCATCCCACAATGGCAGAAACGTGATCCTATTTATTGTTGTGTCCACGGTGCCTCCATGGTGCCTAGGGACATACTGATAAATTACTAAACTAGTAAAGCCTGGATATACAGGATAAGAACATGGAAGAATCAAATATGACTCTAAAGATGTTTTTCAGGAAACAGAAAATGGTAGAATTATTGAAAGAAATTGTAAGGGAGAGATTACAGAGAGACATCAAGAGGAGGAGTTTTATGGAGGAGTTAGAAATATGGGATTGGAAGTGAGTGGTCAGGATCAGGCAAAGTGGATTTGTGAATCATAATAATGGAAAGGTGTGGTGGCGGTTGAATTTAAAGCATGAAGAGCAGACTGACAAACACTGAGGTCTAGAATATTTACAAATAGGAGGCTAAAATGGGATGGGAGACTTAGCTAGAAATAAAAGGACCTATTTTCTCCTCTTGGACATGGCTAGAGGGCCAAAGACACGTTTTAGTGGATTCTCTCAGTTGGGAGTAAAATTAAAGAAAAATGAGCCAAGGAGCAAGGGGAGACGCAGTTAAAAGAATAAATTAAAAGAGTAAGTGGATTTATCTAAAACAGAAGTCATGGTCTTGCCACTGGAGTCAAACACGACACTTGAGAGCTGCATGGAAGTACATGAGAAGAACTTGAATAAATTTAAAGCTAATTTAGCTCTGAGAATTAAACAAGGCCACATACATATGCACATGGATTAGGATGCATAATGTGAAACACTTGACAGCCATATTCAGTTGAAATAAAAATAGATAACATTTCAAAAAAGAAAACACTGCAACCTTTCATAAACAACACTGGTGACTTTTGGCTATAATCCTTGGATAGATTGCTCTGAATATAATTATATAGTAGCTGCAAGAAAGTAAATCATCCTATGCCTCTCCATTCTGGGCCTTTGTTGTTTGAGTTTTATGAGGATTTATGACTATGGGGAAACTCAGCATATTTTCTGTGGGCAGCAGCTCTTAGCTTAGAAAATAAGGAAGTGGCTCAGTGAGAGAGGTGGCACAATTGTGAGAGTGAGAGAGGACAGAGGCAGGGTGAATGCAGAGCACCCCATGAATTTTTAAAGATCATTTTTGTGTAGTCAAGTGACTCAAGCCCCTGGCAATGTGCAGAATTGACACCCTGCCATGTTTCCTCTGATAGGAGTTCGGCTTTGTGACTAATTTTACTTGACAAACATTTGAAAGATTATGCACACATAAAATTCAGTAGGGGAGGGCAGGAGAAAGTAATTCACTGGTAGATTTTCTGTTTTACCAGGAAAAATAGGAATAGGCTCAGATTCAGAGTATATTTACGGGAGAAATATTTAACTAGAGATTATAAGGGGCTAGGATGGACCTCCAGGGATTTCTTTAGGAATCAATTGGAAATCTCTCTGAATAAGTTAAAAGCAATCAAATCAATACGTTGGCATAAAACAACTGCAGTGCACAGTAGAGGTGCTATCCTGGAATTAAGCATGGTTTTTTTTTTGAATTCTAAAATAGTAATTCTATTATTACAATCCCTTCCAGCATGTTATATTATATGGGACAGGAAAATGGTGAAAGTAAGGATCAGATAGATTCGGACAGATTTGCATCTCCTCACCTATGATTTAATTAAAAACATACTAAATGTCAGGGACTTTATTAGCCATTAGGATGCAAAAATGATTAAAACAAAGCTTATGCTCACAAAAACATTCACAATCTAATACAGAAGACAGAATAGTAAGCTGATAAAGTCATAAAGAAACAAATGTTATCATAGTAAAAACACAAATTAGTGGCACCTGATCTACATGGCTTGTGGAGAGGCGGGCACCAGAAAGGCTTTCTGGAAAGGAGCACTCTTAAGCTGAGCATTGTGGATTCACAGGCATTTTGTAGGTGAAGGGAAGGAAGATGGTTTATGTACTAGGACCTACACAGGTGAAGACCAGAAATCTAGAAATAACACAATCAGTCCAGAAAATGGCAAGTAGTTCCTTAAGTCTGGGCAACAAAAGATGAGCCTAGTGAGGTAAGCAGAGATCAGGAAATAAGGCCTTTATTTAGTATATATATGAAAGATTTGGACAAGCTTCTAATGGCTATGGAAAGATATTGGGAGATTACAAGGCAAAGAGTGTTGTAATCAGAGTTAAGTTTGGGGAAGACCACTCTGTCTCCAATGTGGCCAAATAATTGGACCAAAGTCAAAGCCATTAGGAGAGGACTGGAACAATATGGGCAAGATACGAATCAATCTGCAAGGGCCTAACAGAATAAGGTAAATAGCATTGAGGATAGGGAAGAAAATGATACATTTGGAATAGAATCAATAGAGTTGGTGTGAGAAGATGTGTAGAAAGCGGAATAGAAAGGAGTCAAAGTGACTTTACTTGAACCATGGAGAGAGAAAGTGGTGTGACTGTTGAGAGCCTGAATTCCAATTTCACCCCTTGGAGCGAGAGCCAGGTTTGGCTGCAGACTATGTGACGTGAACAAGTTAACTTACAACCTTGAGCCTCATTTGTATATCTATAAAAAGAATGATAACAGTACCTATCTCACAAGGTAGTTATTAGGGTTGAGTGCAAAATTTCATATACAGTACTTCTCACAGTGCCTGGAACATGGAAATAATAAATGTTAGCTACTGTTATTATTAATTGAATAGTGTAACTTATGTAAGTGTTGACAACAGTAGAGAAGAAACATATTTCAGTAGGTTAAGCATGTCAGGTTTAGTTTTGTCCATGTTGTACTTGAAGCGTCTATAAAATACCAGGATACAAATAGAAATACAGATTTAAGGCTCAGAAGAAACATATAGACTGGAGATATAGCTTTGGGATTAATTAGTATAGAGATGGTTTGTTGAAGACACCAGAGTAGATGTGATCACTACAGGAAATTTTGTAAAGTAGAAAAGAAACTCTGGAATAGCTAGAATTCTGGGAGAATGAGATGTAGGGCCTTTGAAATAAACAGCGAAGGAATATTCAGAGAGGGAAGAGGAAAACCAGGAGAAAGAATCACAGAAATCAAAGAAGGAGACTATTTCAGTAGTGGTCAATGATAAATGTAAAGATAAGGACTGAGAAGTACCCAGTTTCTGAATGCAATTTCCATAAGGTGTTGGGGAAATAAATAAGATTGCATAATGTTGCTGAATGATGAATGGAGGAAAAACTAAAAAGAGGGTAAGAATATACTGCTGTCTTTACAAGCTTGATTATGAGAGAGAACAGTAATAACATGGAGAAACGAGGCAAGGTATTTTTGTCTGCTTTATTTTGCTTTACTTCTTAAGATAGAAGAAATCTATGTCTGTTTAAATTTTGATGGGAAAGAGCTAGTAGAGTGGAAGGAATTATTTGTAGATGCACAAGCAAGACTTGATATTGATGGCGCATGGTTCCTGAGGAGGCAAGAAGGAATAGGATAGGGCTCATCCTTCTTTTTCTTGTCAGAAAGGATTGTGCCTAATTCACTGATCTGTCTGCAGCACCTAGCACAGTATCTGGTACATGGACGTATCCAATACATGTTTGTCAAACAAATAGATAAATGAGTGAATTAAAGAAGAAATGAATGAGATGCAAAGAAAAGAAATAAGGATGATCATGGTTGCAGATTAATTTTAAGTAATGAGGAAGAAAGTTGTGAGTTTAGCAAGTTGGTCTCTATTTTTTCAGTGAAGTAGAATGGAAAGTCATTGATTGAGAATGAGGGTAATGGCAAGGAGAAAAGGCATGGCTGTTCATTGTGGGAAATGTAAGAAGTAGGGATGGGTAGACTACTGATAAGTTCCATTCATTTTTTTAAAAATAAATGAACTGGTGTGGTAGTAAATTACAGCTGATCTGAATTTCTTTGTGACATCTAAACACTTCCCAGTAAGTCTGTTCTGGGACTCATTCCCAATAAACCATATTTAGAAGAGCCACTTTATTAGCCAGTAGCTAGCTGGCATGGTCCTCAAGGTTGTTTCCTTTGCTGTTGCAGCCAGGGACACACCCAAAACAGGTACGATTTCATATTTAGCACTCTATTCCCCTTCACTGAGGCAAGGATCTTATAATTAGAGGCCAGACTGAATCATATTGGATGCACATCCACAGGGCAGGGATTTCTTCATTTGCCAAAAAATTCCGTCTGAAGCCCTAATTCCAAATCAATAGAAGCCAAGTGCCTCAATACATCCCTTACTCAAAAACATGTGAACAAGGCAAACTTATGAGTAATAACTCTGTTCTCACATCTTAAACCAGGTCTTTCCTTTATCAGCATTCCCTGATGACATGTCTTATGTTCACAGTCCATTTTTTTTCTTTCCCTCAAATATCTTGGCTGTTTCCACTTTATCTTTAAAGAATTCTAGAAACACATTTAGAAGCAATTCAATTAGCCTTGTGACAAAAGCAACGCACTCCATTTTGCACACAGTACTTGACTTTATTTTGCTACTGCCTTGACCTCAAAGGAATGTGATAGTGTGAGGTACGAATGCTCTTAATAAACAGGATCGATCAAGGGTGCTTGACTCTTGTTGTTCATGTGCAAGTATAGTGGCTTTTTTGTGCCTCAACAAAACCATCAAGAGTACTAAAGGCAAAAGCCAGAAAGCCTTTCTCTATCAATCTACCACTCTTCACACTTGAGCATCATGCAGAATGTTTGGTTGTTCCTTAGGGGAGCTCTCCCAACTCAAGAAGTCTGTGTCAGCCACTCAAAATCCAATGCAGACCCAAAATTGAGGCAGGTGGAAAACTGCCTGATCATGGCTTTTAAGCTAATGAATAACAGTTTCTGTTGCTGACTCCTCCTCAACTGCATCCACTTCCTCAGGATAATCAATCGGGAAAGGTTATTAAATCACACCGGGCTCACTGTTCCCATCATTAACATGTTTTAAATCAGACCAATGCCAATGCATATACCAAAAGTAGAGAAAGCAATCTTGATTTTTTAAAAAACATGAACACTGAGGCACCAGAAGAAAGAAAATTCATGTTCTTATATGCATTGTTAGTCAAAAAACAGAAACTTCTGGGCTGTGATGAAATGAATTATCATCTCAAATAATTTTTAGTTCTCATTAGAAAGATCTTGGTAGACTTTAAGGAAAGTAGACTAGATTTTTGCAAACTGATTCCTAAATATAAGCCCACTGCCAGGTAGCCTGCTATCTTTAAAGAGTTACAGTGGAAAATTATTACAGTCAGAATTCTACATATTCAGTAATATCATCTTTCTTCTTCAGCTAAAGTGACCAAACACAATTCCAAAAATTAATGCTAGAGAGTCAAGTTGCTTAGTAACACTGAGCAATATAAAATATTCTTTCAAAAGCACCAAAAATTTATCATAAAGACAACTTGAAAAATGATGATTAGCAAGGACAAAATTCACAAAACCATTTTTCTGAAAGAGAAATAGAAATGTCTACGTTCAGAAGTAAAACATCTTGGTAAAGTGTTATGTAGTACTGCTAGGGGAAATGCTATGCACAAAAGCCTTTGGAACGAGTAGTGATTTCCTTGTATACTACCTGGCCAATATTTTATATTTATTGCCATTTATAGTCATTATGAAGATTTGAATGTATTATATTTTAATATAATACCTTGTAAATTTATATATTGCAAATTTGTTGTTGTCAACATTTATTTCACCCAAAACCCCTGAAGAACAGGACATTTTCCCATCAGTAGCAGAGGTACATCCCAAGACAAATTCTAAAGATGAGGCAACATTGCAGACTCTTCAGAGAGCATAGTTTTGAAAATCCCCCCAGGTGATTTCTACAACCCTCACAAAACTTCCCCATCCCACTTCAAGCATCACTATTTAAATATTCTAGCCTAAATTCTTCAGTTAATATCACATTTGGTAACTGGGCACCGGGGCTCATACCTGTAATCTCAGCTACTTGGAAAGCTGAGGTGGGAGGATCGCTTGAGCCCAGGAGTTCAAGAGCAGCCTGAGCAACATAGAAACACCCCATCTCTTGAATAAATATATTTAATGCAACAGACTACATGTCTGATTATCTAACAATATAATCCAGAAAATAATCTGTCCCATTTGCATATGTGTCCATGTGTTAATTAACCTTTATAATAAGTAATATTACTGAGCTGTTATATGTGCCAGGCATGGTGGTGCTAAGGGATTTTCACACATCATCTCATTTGTATCTATGACATAAGTGTAATTTATCCTGTGATTTTTAAAGATGAGTGCTATAAGATTTAGTGATATTAAGTTCATGGTCACCCATTCAAAAAATGGAAGAGCAAAAACACTAATTCCTAGAATCTAATCCAAAGTCTTTGATGGCAACACTATTCTCTGCTTTTTCCCACACTTGCCAATGGTACGAACTCTCAGAAATGAGGTGCAGAGATAGAGGCTATATCTGCCCAAGAAAAAGGGAACATTGTCTTACATGTGTGACAATTAAATTCATTCATTCATTCGTTCCACAAAAATATGTTGAATACTTGCACATCTCTGAATCCCGAGTACTCTTTTAGACCTTGGGAACACAGCAATGAACAAATATGACAAACATTCCTGTTGCATGGAGCTATCTTTCTAAGGAGAAATGGGAAAACATGGAATAAAAAACAAATGCCCATATTATATCAAGTTGTGACCTGTCAGACAGTGGAGAAAAATCAAGCAAATAAGGGAAATAATGAAATGCTGAAATGAGAGGGGTCTAATTTAAATAGGGCAGTCAGAGATATTAAATAAACAGCCCATTTTCAGAGCATGTTGTTGTATTGAATCCATATGTTTTCCTAATTAAATTTTTAGTAGAACTTAAAAAGCCATGCCTGTTCCCTTATTTATTGACCATGGCTGCTTTCTCACTACACTGGCAGAGCTAAGTAGTTGTGACAGAGATTGTATGGCCCACAAAGGCTAAAATATTTACTATCTAGTCCTTTACAGTAAAAGCTTGCTGACTCCTGAGCCATTCCTAAAGAATTTATTTGTGAAAATAATTATATACTTGGTACATGTACTGGTGTATGATAATTGCTGAAAAGATAAATTATAAATACACATTAAATAAATATGTTTGCATTCCACAAAATTGCCAAATGCAGGAAAGAGCAAGCTTATCACAGGCAGCCTAAACTAGCAGCTAGTGCATCCCCTGCCTTCATTTTAACTCCTTATCTCCTAAAGAAAATGCTTTCTGTGTTATATTGGAGCCTGCTTATTTCAACAGGCCCTAAAAATACCAATTTATAATCTAAAGATACAGAGTGGCATCATGAGAAATAGCCTTCTACAACTTCATGAGTGAAGGAGGAGCAACAAAAGATTGAATATGACAGCTGACAGATAGGACAGAGCAAGAATACCTGTCAAACTGAGCTTTGTATCTTTTGGAGGCAAATCCCATTTTAGGTTGGTATATATTAACATAGTGCCGATCAATATTCAGTAATAGGAAATAAACTTAGCATAAATCATATTGAGTTAGCATTCCCTTAGCTCTTTATTTTTCCTAAGTTCTTCATAACAATATAGCCAATAATTCTTTATTTCTACAGAATAACAGACTGTTCCCCGAAAAAATTTTCTTCACTGTAATTGCATGCTGCTCTATCAATCATGTCCTTTTCTGAGAAGGAATCTTTACACATTGATGCCAAACTTGTTTTAGAAGTTAGAGATAAAAATATGTAATACATATCCTGCCCTTTTATATACCAGGAAAGAAACCAGACACAATATAATAATGACACTTGTGATTAGGAATGGAAATGTAAAATGGCAACATGGAACTCCACAGAGGCAGGACTTAGACTAGCATTCATGAACTATTTTTCTCATTTGTTTATTCATTCATTTCCTGAACGTTTATTGCACCTACTAAGTGCCAGAGCCTCATGTTGCCCCTTGCAGGTAAAGGAGTGGAAACCCTCAAGGAGGCATCATTCTATGGAATAATGAGAGACAATACATAAGTAAGCCAATGAAGGAACAGGATCCTTTCAGGTTGTGACTATTAGCACAAATGAATAGACAGGGAGACATGAGGGAAAGTAACTTGAAGAAGAATTAATATCTACCACTCTCCAGAATTATTAATGTCTCAGAATCTGTTTTTCTTCAGTTGTATAATAAAGAGAATGGAATACCTGCCTCAGAAATACGATAAAAGTTAAATAATTCAATAAAGTCCCCGGTTCTGTGTTTAAAATATAAAGTGTTCAATAGGATATTATTATTATTTATCATCAAAGGCTTCATCTGTCATTTGGTTAAATACTACACCTTTCCCCAGTGATGGGAAATCTCATCCCCTTAAATTATGGAAAATTAGCTGTCTTTTATTGAGAACCATACCCTATGCTGGTGCATTACCTAAACTACCTCATTTATTCTTCGTACCTCTTTGTATTTCACAGACGTATATACTGAGGTTTACAAGGCTGAAATGTCTTATCCAATGCCATACAGATAGTAAGTGGCAGAACTAGATTTAGATTCCAGCGAGGTCTGCCTCCATAGCCTGTCCCCTTCACCACTATACTAATACTGCAAACCAACCCTGACCATATCATCCAAAAGAGACTCTGATGCAGTAATAATCTGTGTTGAATGTTGGAACTCATAGCCAGGGCCAGCATGGTTTGTAGGCTCAAATTATGTTCTTAATCAAGTAGTGAAGAAGCAGATAAGTGCAAAGAAACTCCATTCAGTCTGCTAGGTTAACACAGAGTGATAAAGCTGGCACCTCTTATCAAGGATGCAGATTTCAAGACAAGATAAAGAATATAACAGCCCCTTATATTAGAAAGGTATAGTACATATTACAATGTGTTTTTATGTTCTCCTTGTAATGAATCCTCATGCATATATTTTCACACATTAAATGCAGACATTAAGGCTCAAAAATCTTTGAGTAGCAATGGTTTGTAAAGCTGAAACTTAAAACCAAGGTTTCTGATTTTGAGTATCATGTTTAGTTGATCAGAAAGCTAAAATCAGTGGAAAAGGTTGAATTCATGGTTTGCTGAAGGAAAGAAAATGTGCCTATCCCTTGGCTGACTCTGTGAGTTCTTTTAGGACAGCTAGAAAATTAGCTCCGTAACTCCAGGCCTGAGCATAGTACAGGCTGTCTCCCTCGGGAGACACACAGGTGGAGAAGGAGTCCGATGCCTCCCAGGTGCTCCCAGCTCTACGATGAGGGACTTTGTCCAAGATTTTTAGAAGCAAGACAACTAAGTGCCCTCTTAAAAATCGGGCAGCTCTGAGAATTTTACTTCTATTTAAGGATCACCATCACCTCTCTCCTTCTCCATCATTTGCATTCTACATTTTAAAATATCCCCTTTGATTTCCCAGCCCCTACTGGGTAAGCAGCTGAGGAATCACTTATCTGTGTCTCTGTTTACAATGTTACCCTTACCAGGCTATATAGCCAGAGAAGCACAAGGGAGAAAAGAGGCTGTGAAATATCTCCCCTGGGAAAGATCAATGTCTTCAGAGAAGTGTTACAGCTAGCAGCTCAGAGCCAGCCTAGATGCCCAATTAGAATTCCTAAAAACTAGTTCCAAATGAAAATATAACCAGGAGAGGTAACCATACCCTAGAGAGCAAAGTTAAGAAAATTAAAGCAAGCTATATTAGGGCAGACTTTTCCACAGGCTTAGCTATTTACCAGTAACATACCTAGAAGAAAGAATACTTAGAAAAGGCTAAATAGCAAACTCAGCCCATGGCAGATCAACGGTAGCATTTTTCCAGCATGGCTCATAAAATAATTCAAAATGACATTTTATTTTCTAAATTTAGATGTTACTGTAATTTGAATCCAAATTCTGCCAGTTGAGTTTTTCTTTCTCAGTGTGTTTCCAAATATTCACCTCCTGTGAACAAGAAAACATTCAAGCAATAGGAGAAAGGCCAACCTCTCATCATTCATGATTGCCAGACTCCACAATCAATACTGAAACCTCAGCACTACAATAGTTGCTAGTATTGCAGAAAGTGTTACATCTAATCCTCAAGTCTAGATGCAAATCTTACCTAGCACACAGCTGTTTTCCATTCTTCGAAGCAGAACACTGAAATCAGAAACATTTTAAAAATATGTTCCATAAGGACTTAGTATCACAGCGTGAATAAGAATACCTTTGTTAGGTGCGATAGGCATAAACTCTTGTGTAGAAATAAGAGTTAGTTTTTCATTCTCCCTGCTCCCCTCCCACATACGACCTCCACCAATTCCGACCTTTAAGCCCAAGTTTTGTTTTTAGGTTTTTCAAATTTCAGGAAAAATATTCCTTCCCAAAATTCAATGCATAATAGTAAAGAGAAAAAGATGATGTTGGAGTCCAATATATCACTTTGATATACCAATGCCTCAAAAGTGTGGCTTTTGATCACCAGCATATAAACTTTCTGACATCAGTCTTATCCTCTCTAAAATGCAGATAAAAAGTAGGGCCGTTAAGGTTAAGTATAATAAAAAAAAAAAAGTAGGGCCGTTATGAAGAATATACTAAGCACCATGCCTGGTGCATACTAAGTATTTCATATATTTTAATTATCTTTCTTCCTTTAATCTGTGAATTCCTATTACTTAGATTAGAATACCTTCAATTTTCATCTAGTTTTTTCCATTCTAGATTAAAATGTGTTCAGAAAGCACTGCATAGTTCCTGTCTCACATAGACTGTCATTGATTCTCAGAAAGCAAGGCTCACTATCACTTGGAGCCTCTCTTACACTGAGAAATGTTGGTGCAACTTAGCATTGAACCCCAGTTCCACTAACCAGGACAGCTCAAAGTCCCATCACTTTTCCCACTCTTCATGTATGTGTGCCTCTCTCTAACTTTCTTCTTGAAAGAAAGTACAAGGCTTTGAGGGTTCATCCCACACCAGAGTGAGAAGCAGAGCTCTGTTGATTTTCCACTGGAAGTACCTTCACACGTACATTTGGTGATGCTAAGTTATTTTCCTAGAGAACTGAAGGTGTCACAGAGGAAGGGTCATGTCATGTTCTACATAGCTTTATGTCATCCTGTAACTCCTACTGTCATCTGTGCTATGATATCCGCCTAATGACAGCGTCAGCTCATGCCCCTACTGGTGCATGCAGCCCCCCTGAGATATATAGTTTCCTGTCCCCTCAAATGTCTTGCTCATAAAAGAACCCCACCTATCTTTCTCAGCACACTCTAGAATTGTGAATAAAAAACTTTTTTTCCCCATTTCACTGGATGTGCCACACTTATAAACTTATATTTTAAAAATCCTGTCTGGGTACAGTGACTGTAACCTATAATCCCAGCACTTTGGAAGACCAAAATGGGAAGATTGCTTGAGCCTAGGAGTTCAAGTTTACAGTGAGCTATGATTACACCACTGTACTCCAGCCTGGGTGACATCGATAACTTGTCTGTGAGAAAAACAAAAATAAAAATCCTATGTCACTTTTTTTTTTTCTTTAGCCCTTCTTCTATTTCCTTAAGCCTTATCAGATACAACCAAAGTTTCTCTATTGTGAATCCCTGCTAATATTTTCTTGAGCATTTTTAATCAGAATAGAGCCCAGAAAACACTCCATAATGCTTGCCAGAAAGGCTATTCTGAATGAAACATTTAGGTTCAGTACTTGACAAGCGAAGTCAAGAACCTATGCATTAGCATCCCTGGGTGGCTTCTTGGCAAGAAATCCATAAGTAATGCACAACACAGAGTATGTCAGTCCACGGTCTTCCCACCATGAATCATCACTCAGCCTTTATTCACTTTTATTACACAGTAACTGACAAGTTGATGTCAAGCCCTTTTGTAGCCCCATCATTCAACTTTTAAGCCCCATGAATGATCTCACTCCATGATATGAAGCACCCCACATTGATTATAACTGTCTTTTAAAAACTGAATGTCAGTTGGGTGCGGTGGCTCACGCCTGTAATCCCAGCACTTTGGGAGGCCAAGGCGGGTGAATCACTTGAGATCAGGAGTTCCAGACCAGCCTGGCCAACATGGTAAAACCCCGTCTCTACAAAATACAAAAATTAGCAGACATGGTGGTGCACGCATAGAATCCCAGCTACTTGGGAGTTGAGGCAAGAGAATCGCTTGAACCCAGGAGGCAGAGTTTGCAGTGAGCCGAGATCACACCACTGCACTCCAGCCTGGGCGACAGAGTAAAACTCCATCTCAAAAAAACAAAACAAAACAAAACAAAACAAAAACAAAAAACTGAATGTCCAGAGATAAGTCAAAACAAAGCAGAATAATCTGCAAGAAGAAATTCCCAGAGCTTCCAATTAGTGTGGAAGCTTGGCTAAATTCAGATTTGTTTAATTATCATGTTAAGTTCATTCAGCTGGCCCAATTATTGTAACAAAATTTAAATAGTCATTGATCACTTTGCTGAGGGCCATCTGAGAGTATAATATTCCCAGTTACAGGACACTTTGTTAATATTCAGAAATACTGGAGAACATGGGCAGAGTCCAAGCACAGAATGTATAGTTACCCTCTGAAGAATGGCATTAGAATATTAAAGACTAAATGTTTTGTATTCATTAACAAGAAAATATTTCCAGAAAGAAGTATATTTCTGAAAATGAGAATATTCCAGCCAGAAGAAATACAAGAACTAGCATACTTTTGCTAATTGAAAGAATTCTAAATCGATGCATAACTCCATAATTATATTTTAACATTTGTGAAAAATAAGTATTTACTCAATAATAATTTAACTGTGCTTTCAGTACTTATGTGTCAGGCATATGTACTAAAGACTTCTCCCAACCTTTTGTGCAGTACAGATGAAGTGAAGGTTTTTTGTTGATTTACTTTGTGAATGAAGCCAAAAAAGGGTTTTGGCATTATACAAAGTGGGATCCAAAATTGATAAAGAGTCTATTCACAAATTAAAGTTATCTGCTTATAATGCTCTTGAAAATCACTCATTATAAAAGAGGTAGTCTTCAAATACAAGTTTAATGATAAGGTTGTCACCATCTGGTATATGACTTTGCTTTTTAGTACTAACAGAGCTTTTTCACAACTTAAGATTGCCCTGGAATTTAGATAAGATTCAGACAAAAGTCATATGACCTGCCCAGTGTCTTCAGAGGCAGAAAAGGACTGTGAATCCAAGATGCTGAATGCAAATTCCAACTCTTTCTTCTATACCTACTACATATTGTCATTCAATAACACATAGAAGGACAAAGCCACAGCCTTTATTTCCAAAGCAAGAGTATCCAGATACTAGCAAGACCCATGAGCATGCACAGAACCTTTTCTGAATCATATATAGAATCAAAATTCAGAATTTTTTCTGAATCAGTACAAAAATTTCGACTAAAACTTCTAGGGAATTGAGGTATGAATCAAATCCTTATGACTCCCTAGGCAAACTAATAAGCTAATCTCTGACAAATAATCAAAATGTCCCCAGATACTATGTAACCAGAACCTAATAAATGGCATACTATTAACTGGGCTGTGGCCCAAGAAATAAAAGTTTTCATTTTTAAAATTTGATTATTTTTGCATTTTTAATTTTCCTTTTTTCCCTCCCAGGAAATAGATGAGTATGAAGGAGTTCTGTCTCCCTTGTTACGAAATCTTCTTCCTAATCAGTGCTTTCTGAATGTAGCACTCCTGTTTGGGGTAAAACCCCCATGATTCCATAGTTACCAATGATTTCTGGCAACAATATTATGTCTTTCAAATAGTTCATAAGCAATATTTACAGTGATTAAAATTCTTCAACTCACTATTTATGTTGATTTTGTGTGATTATCTGGAAAGAAAATGAGAGCTAGACTCAGAAAACCTTGGTTGGGTAGCTAACTTTGATACTTATATGTATAAGCTGTATTGCTTTATTTCTCTGCTTCTCTAAGCTCAGTTTTTACTTCCTCATCAATGAAATGGTAATGATAACACTTGTCCTACAAATTTCAGAGTAATATGGCTCAAATGGTTCAATTACAATAAAAGAACTTTGTTAATTTCAGAGAATTCAACAATTAACTGCTTTCAGAACTCCACTCAGGATTTGGAGCATTGATGAGAAAGGTGTCATTTTCTCATGCATTTTCTTGATCTCTTAAATGTGTGACTAAGAAATAAAAGAGGCAGATGTTTTAAAAATGATTTTCTGGATATGCTTAAGATGAGGCCACCCCCACACTGTGCACTGGACTATTCATTATTCTAGAACAGTTTCCCTAACTGTCCTCTTCCAGTAAAATTCTCAAAAGATATGTTTACTATCGCTAACTTCACATCTTCTCCCATTTTGGCAAGCCTGTTTGGAGCAGGTTCAAGAGAGAATGGTTGATATGTTATGTTGAGAATGGCATGTCACTCCTGTGGCCTCCCTCTCAAAAATTCATAACTCCAGTCTAACCATGAGAAAAACATCAGCTAACCTCAACTTAAAGTGCATTCTATACAATACCTGATGTATTCCTCAAAACTATCAAGACCATCAAAACAAGGAAAGTTAGAGAAACTGTCCCAGCCCAGAGGAACCTAAGGAGCTGTGACACCTAAGATAATGTGGTATTCTAGATGGTATCCTGCAACAGAAACGGGACTTTGGGTAAAATGTAAGGAAATCTGAATAAAGCATGGAGCTAACTAACTCCATATAAAAATTATTGACATGGATTTATTAATTGTGACTAATCTACCATACTAATGCAAGGGGTGAATAATAGAAGGACTTTGGTGTGGGGTATATAGAAACTGTCTGCATTGTGTTTACAACTCTTCTATAAATCTAATACTATTCTAAAAACAAATAGGCAATATACAGATGTTAGCTAATAGTTTTGGAACTTGTAGTAAGAGTCATAGCAGTAGTTACAATAATAGTAGTTAGTAATAGAAGATTCAAAAGCATGCTAGAAGAGATAACCCAATTAGCCTGTTTCTTCCATGCAGCACATATACGCAGGGTTGAACTGCATATATAGCCCTCTTGAGGAAGTATAATCTTAATTTTAGCAATAAGAAATCTGTCCAATTCACATTTATAAAAGATAACTGCCTGAATAGGATCCTTATCTGGAGGCTTTATAAAGATGACAAAAGGGCGTGTTGAGAAGGACTGAATCCAAACTTTTGTGAGAGGTTTATGCCACTTATTCTACATATTTAAATACAGTGGAGACTGAAAAACATATAGCAGAGTTTGGTATCAAAATTTCCAGCTGATATTCACAAAGAAGATAACACTTAGTAGGGTGGCCAAGGACAAGCCATCAAGCCTAGACCCTCATGTTCTCACCTACCCTTTTCCTCAACTATCTCTGCCTGCAAGCTCGCTCTCTAAATACTAAATTTTAATCCATTAATTTTTGCAATCTCTTTTGATTGCCTTCAATACACTCTACAAAAATGGCTGCCTGCTTCTGTGTTGACTAAAATGGCTCCACAGAGCCAACATTTTCAGAACTCAATATGCCTGTACCCCTTTTTGCAGCTGTATCTCTCTTTCTGTAGGGAAGACAGAAGGAATGGAAGGCAAGCACTCCACGGAGTGTGACATCATCTTATCATATAAAAGTAATGACTTTGTAGTGGTTTCCACAAGATTACTAGAAAAAGAGATAGTGTTACTTCATTACATGGTCTGCAATTGGAATTTGCACATTAAATTACTTCTAGTCCCATGATATACCCACTGTTACACTTCCAGATTGTCACACATACTTAATCTCTGCAAGAACAGTCTTCTCGTCTCTCTTTATCTTAAGATTTTAACTGGATCAGAAAGCCCCTGCTAATGACTTCTCAACCCCAAGTTTATATCAAGGGTTCTCTTAGAACCAAAACATTCCTCTGTATTAGCAGTTGTCATATTGTATTATAATTGTTCATCAGATTTAAGGTACATGATTGCATTGCCATGTCTCTCTGGATCACCGTCAAATCATCAAGAACCAGAACATTGACTGATACACAGTAGGGATGCAAATGCGTAACTTAGAATGGATGGATAGATTCCTTCCCAATCAAAAGTATAGTATAAGATCATTTTTACTCAAAGATTGTGTCATGCTATTTCTCAAGGACCTTTAAATCTTAGGGCAGAGGCTGACGTAAAGAAGCTGTCTTTCATATCACCATACACCCTATACGCTACTCTGATCAGATAGTTGTAGATATGCGGCGTTATTTCTGAGGGCTCTGTTCTGTTCCATTGATCTATATCTCTGTTTTGGTACCAGTACCATGCTGTTTTGGTTACTGTAGCTTTGTAGTATAGTTTGAAGTCAGGTAGCATGATGCCTCCAGCTTTGTTCTTTTGGCTTAGGATTGACTTGGCAATGTGGGCTCTTTTTTGGTTCCATGTGAACTTTAGTTTTTTCCAGTTCTGTGAAGAAAGTCATTGGTAGCTTGATGGGGATGGCATTGAAGCTATAAATTAACTTGGGCAGTATGGCCATTTTCACGATATTGATTCTTCCTATCCATGAGCATGCAATGTTCTTCCATTTGTTTGTATCCTCTTTTATTTCATTGAGCAGTGGTTTGTAGTTCTCCTTGAAGAGGTCCTTCACATCCCTTGTAAGTTGGATTCCTAGGTATTTTATTCTCTTTGAAGAAATTGTGAATGGGAATTCACTCATGATTTGGCTGTTTGTCTGTTATTGGTGTATAAGAATGCTTGTGATTTTTGCACATTGATTTTGTATCCTGAGACTTTGCTGAAGTTGCTTATCAGCTTCAGGAGATTTTGGGCTGAGACGATGGGGTTTTCTAAATATACAATCATGTCATCTGCAAACAGGGACAATTTGACTTCCTCTTTTCCTAATTGAATACCCTTTATTTCTTTCTCCTGCCTGATTGCCCTGGCCAGAACTTCCAACACTATGTTGAATAGGAGTGGTGAGAGAGGGCATCCCTGTCTTGTGCCAGTTTTCAGAGGGAATGCTTCCAGTTTTTGCCCATTCAGTATGATATTGGCTGTGGGTTTGTCATAAATAGCTCTTATTGAGATATGTCCCATCAATACCTAATTTATTGAGAGTTTTTAGCATGAAGGGCTGTTGAATTTTGTCAAAGGCCTTTTCTGCATCTATTGAGATAATCATGTGGTTTTTGTCGTTGGTTCTGTTTATAAGCTGGATTACATTTATTGATTTGCGTATGTTGAACCAGCCTTGCATCCCAGGGATGAAGCCCACTTGATCATGATGGATAAGCTTTTTGATGTGCTGCTGGATTCGGTTTGCCAGTATTTTATTGAGGACTTTTGCATCGATGTTCATCAGGGATATTGGTCTAAAATTCTCTTTTTTTGTTGTGTCTCTGCCAGGCTTTGGTATCAGGATGATGTTGGCCTCATAAAATGGATTAGGGAGGATTCCCTCTTTTTCTATTGATTGGAATAGTTTCAGAAGGAATGGTACCAGCTCCTCCTTGTACCTTTGGTAGAGTTCGGCTGTGAATCCTTCTGCTCCTGGACTTTTTTTGGTTGGTAGTCTATTAATTATTGCCTCAATTTCAGAGCCTGTTATTGGCCTATTCAAGGATTCAACTTCTTCCTGGTTTAGTCTTGGGAGGGTGTATGTCTCCAGGAATTTATCCATTTCTTCTAGATTTTCTAGTTTATTTGTGTAGAGGTGTTTATAGTACATTCTGATGGTAGTTTGTATTTCTGTGGGATCAGTGGTGATATCCCCTTTATCATTTTTTATTGTGTCTATTTCATTCTTCTCTCTTTTCTTCTTAGACCTATGGTTACATATTTTAAAATAATTCCTTCCATGCCTGAATGTATTCAAGTTTTTTCTTAGGGCCACTTTATGTCACATAGTGCACTAAATCCCTGAGAGTAGGGAAATGAAGAAATTTTCCCATACCCTGAAGGAGTTTACTATTTATTTGAGAGATCAACAAGTATAGGTCACTGCAATGAAATGTTTGGGAATGATGTCAAAGTATGCCTGGAGGCGCTGTGGAAATGCACAGGAGAGATACTAACCTTGAAACAGGTTGCTCTTCTCCAACACAGTGAAAGTTGCTCCCTTCACTGACATTCCGTGAAAAGAGGCAGGTAGGTATTACTTGTGGATTCAACATTTTACCTGACAGTTGTAGGGAAAGATAAAGGTAGTTGAAATTCAACCTTTCTTCTGAAATTTAGCAGCAGTAAGTGTTGTTGGGTTTATAATTGAAGAATTTAAGTGTTTGGGTGATCATAATGGAAATAACACAGTAGAAATGTTATCGAAAATGCAAGAAACATTCATGGAAAGGGCAAAGTATATAGGAAGGAGCATGACCTTTGTCTTAAGTAGACAGATTTGAATCACAGCTCTGTCACTTACTACTCATGTGTCTGTAGACAAATCATATAAATTACCTAAACCTCAATTTCTTCACATGCAAAATGAAAAGAATACTAGCTTACTCATGGAATTACTATAAGTATTAAATAAGATAATGTTTATATGGCATTTTTCAGATTACTTGGGCCATCTTAAAGGACTAAAATGTGATGGTATAGATCTAATTGTAAATTAAACTAGGTATTTCAATGTAGGATGCTTTACCCCTGACAGGGAGTGGGAGAATGTTGACAAGTGTGAAGCAGTGATCTGATTTCAGAGTGCCTGGAGTACCAAGCAGAGAATAAAGGCAAGGGTGTGGTTCATAATGACGAAGATCATGGTGATGATGACAATGAAGATGATAATCACTACATCTCCTTCCAAAGCTTAGAACATTTATCACTTTGATTTCCTATGACTAATTATTTACTTATATATATTTTTTAAAGTCTACTTAGGAAAAATCATGTTTCAGTTAACCCCTTTGCTAAGTAGACCCTCTTTGGCTCTAAAAGAAGTCAGAATCTCTGGAATGTCTTAGTTGGTATTATATGAACCAGTGTGAAATCACATATTCTCACTGAACAATTTTTCTACTCCTAGTGGTAAGATACGTAGCCTTAATATCCTACATACATTGAGTCAGAATGAAGCTCAGTGAACAGTGAGCAATCTGGGATATTGACCTCATCCTACCTATTGTCTTACTTCCTGTGCATTGCTTATACTTAGGAGTGGCTTCAGCATTAGGTAAAATTCCAGCATTTGCTTTCTCTCTCTTTCACTTCCCTTTAACCTGAAAGAGTGCAAAAGCTTTGAATTCAAGCTCACTTGGACAGTAATCCCAGCCCTGAGACTCTACAGCTTCCACCAAAGTACTTAACAGCCTCTGTACCTGTTTTCTAATTTGAAAAAGTAGTGGGTACAATACCTATTTTAGGAGGTTTAAAACTTTTTAAACATGGTAACAAATAAACACCTTGGATAGTGTCTGGCACATAGCAGTCACTAAACATTCAATAAACACTGACTTTTTTGCATTATTCTTTTCATGCACTGTTACCTCATTTGATTTAGGAGGGCAATGTTGGCTCCATTTTACAGATGAGCTATAAGATAGGTTAAGATAATTTCTTAGGCCACACATAGGGTAAGTAAGGAAAGGATTTGACCCTAAGTCTCCTAATGCTTGTCACAGACACTTTTGGTGCCCTGTGCTAACATTCTCTTACAAGACTCTGATTTCAGCCATAGCTGCAGTAGATGGTTCCTGCAGTGGGAAATATCCCACTTCAGGCATCCACTGTACCATTTGTCTCTCCTCTTCTTGGCCTCAAGTGTCTCTCTAAAGGCCCTAGGAGTTTTCAGGCAAGAGAATCCTGGAAGTACACAGGAGTTAAAGTCCTTAACAATATCCTTTAATGAATGGACGCTGGCATTCATTCTCTTACTTCTGACAGATAATTCTCAATTGCATTACTTGAGCCAGAGTTGGCTATAGGGGGAGCTATCTCAATAACACACTGCTTTGGCTTTTCCTACTTTGGCTTTTCCTTGTCTATAGCATTCTAATTGATAACCCTTAATCCTGCTTCCTGGGATCACCTCCCCAATAAATGACCTGCACCTAACTCCTTGTCTCAGACTACATTTTGGGAACTAAAGGTTTGGGTGAGAGAAGAAAGGGGGTTTTGTTTTGTTTTCATTTGTGTTTGTACAGCATTTCTCTCTATTTCTCCCTAGGTCACCAAGATGCTGGCAGTGGTTGTAATTCTGTTTGCCCTTTTATGGATGCCCTACAGGACTCTAGTGGTTGTCAACTCATTTCTCTCCAGTCCTTTCCAAGAAAATTGGTTTTTGCTCTTTTGCAGAATTTGCATTTATCTCAACAGTGCCATCAACCCGGTGATTTACAATCTCATGTCCCAGAAATTCCGTGCAGCCTTCAGAAAGCTCTGCAACTGCAAGCAGAAGCCAACAGAGAAACCTGCTAACTACAGTGTGGCCCTAAATTACAGCGTCATCAAGGAGTCAGACCATTTCAGCACAGAGCTTGATGATATCACTGTCACTGACACTTACCTGTCTGCCACAAAAGTGTCTTTTGATGACACCTGCTTGGCTTCTGAGGTATCCTTTAGCCAAAGTTGATTCATGAATTAGAAGAAAATGGATGACAAAGAAAATGAGAATCTGTGCAGTCATCAACAAAAGGGAGAACATGGCCAATAGTCATATGTGAAGACAGAGCAGATCAGTCTTTGTCAATGCTCTAACAAATTCTGGCCCTAGATACTTTAACCCATGAGGATGATTCAGACTTTCCTTCTTACAAACTAATATCACTAAAAATGGAGCAGATCTGTGAAATAGCTAAATGATGGAAACTTAAAGTTTAGCCCTTTTCATTTAACTTAAGAAATTCACTATATTTTCTGGACTTATAGAGTTTCAATAAAATCTAGACATCAATTTACATTATTCATAGTAACCTTATCAAATGTCACTTTTCAACTTCCCTAATTTATTTATACATTCGATAATTTGACAACATGCAGATTTTTAAATGTTTGCATTTAGTATTCATTTTAACATAGTACAGGGCTAGTTCATGAATATCTGAAATTAAAGGGAAAAATATTACAGAAACATTTTATTTATTGAGTAAAAATAAGATTTTAGACATACATGTTAACTGTATTTTAAAAGTTGCCATAATGTTTATAAAATTCTGAGATGATTTTTATATCTTAGAAGGTAGATAATCATCACTCAACTTTAATGTAAAATAAACCTCAAAATATCTGAAATTATTAATTAAGGAGAAATGTAGATTTTAAGATAAATCCAACTCTTATCAACTCTTCCAGCCTCCCACATGATGGGTGGAAAAAGGCAAAAGCCCAGATTAAGTAACTGTGAAGATACAAACTAACATACAATTAAATTTGAAAAGTATAGTCAAGACAAAGCAAGTATTTATAATTAGATTTTGCTTCTTCTCTGACGCTTTTAAGCAATAAAATCTTTTTGAACATTCTTGTTTATAAACTACTCAGCCATGTCAAGCAAATCATTCAAGCAAAATCTAGCTGAAAAGTCTGAAACATTCTTAAAAGCTTTGTTGTTATTCTAAGTCAGCCAAAATCCTGGTATCCCTCTTCCAGATAAAGAGCTCCCACTGAGAATTGTAGTCTATGGATTTTACCTTGACTGCAATTGTCTTTCCTTCCTATCTGCTTGTTGTTTGTAGGTTCTTTTTTTGTTTTTCTCAAATGCTAGTGATATTTTGTTTACAGATTCTAAAAGCAATGCAAAATTCTGTTGGCTTTATTTTCAGCAGAGTTAAAACTGATTTCATCATATTATCAGTATGTCATCTTTATATTTATGACTGACATCTGCTATTCCAGTGTTTATTGGAGACTTGTGAATGAATCTGTCCAGGACACTTGTCAGTTCCTACCTGAATCTCTTACCTATTGAGATTTGGCCAACCAGAATCTCCGAGGGCAAAAATTGCCCTTGGTGATGGTTCAGTAGTCATTGATTTTTAATGAGTAGATCAAAAAAGTACCCATACCTTTACATGCCCGTAGGCTGTCATTTTCCCTCTCCAGCCTATATCCCTATTTTATGGACTTTTCTAGAACCTAATCGCTAATGATAATTATGCCTCCCCATCTTCTTAATGAAGAATATACCATTCTTCTGAAACTTGTTTTTACGTGCTGTTTCATGGAGACTATGCTATCCAGAACCTCATTCTAGAGTGCGCTTTTTTTTTTTTGAAAATTGGCCTTATCTACTCCAGCAAGACATTTTTATCCTGTTACTATAACAGTAAATGAATGCAAGCAAATATTTGCAGGAAATACCCTAAAACCCTACCTGCATGACAGTAAGCAATCTATGTTAACTGACTTTTCATTCTGGTATAAATATTAATCTTGGCATCATATAAATAGAGCACCAGAGTGACCCAACCCCAAATCACACAAGCACATGTGTGTTTATAAACACATACCCACATGTTCATAAATTGGTGAAAAAGGGGATTGGAATATACGAGATTTTTTCATTACAGAAAGGACCTAATATCATTGAGCATCGACTATGTCTCAGGTATGCTGGTAGGTAGTCAATCAACATTATCTTCATCACAATTTCACTACAGCTGTAATTTCTCTGATGATTAGACCAGTATTCCTGTGACCTAATTCCTAATTAATAAAAAGTTATGGATTTTGCAGAATGATTATATCAGGTGTTAAAAAATACAATTAGTTTAACATGATATACACAGAATACAAAGATGCTCTTCTTATCTTTGGAAATTTAATGTATGGGCTGAATTCTTTCACTTTAATTTTTAAAAAGTTATTTCTCAAAAATCTGTTAGTTTTAGACCACATGGGAAATTCATAAGAACTCAGTTCATAGTGTTTTAACTCTAAAGCAAATGCCATTTTAAAATTAAATGTTCCTATATAATGTCCAATAGATATTTGAATTTACACAGAAGAGATATAACTTTTTAAAATATTCTTTATCACACTATACTCAATCATAAAATATTTCCACAAATAATCAAAACTTAATATACCACCAAATGAGAAATAAAGAGCTAGTTTAAAATTTGCTGGTGAAATCAAGTAATGTTATTAAGAGCCCTCCTTAATAAAAATTCCCTGTGTTCTTTTGTTACTTCCAATTTCATTAATTGCTGAGGGTCTTTGGTTAGATATCATACCTGAGGTAATTGAGTAAAGGGCACAGATCATGAATAAAATGAACAAACATAAATTCCCTCTTAGGACCTAAGGGCTGTGAGTATATTTCTAGACCTTAACATACAAGGCAAATATTCTAAATGCTGAAGAAAAATAAGACAAGTCCAAACTTTACAGTCATTCTTAAACAAATTGAATGTACAGAACAATACACCCTGATAATATACCAAAATTAATGGCTGATTTGGCTAAACAATTAGCAATGTCAAAGGAAAAGCTACAGCCATAAAACTTAGTTTAGTACAACTAAGTCTTGATGGATATTTGAAGTGTTTTATTTTCAGAAGACTATGTTGGAATAATAAGAACAACATGTCTTAGTAAAAGTTGGGTCAACATAGTTTTGGTTGGCTCTTCAAGAATAAAAGAATTTATATCATTCTAAACTATGTTAAACCTGTAAACATGATAAAGAGAAAATATTAACTTTCAGAAGGAAAAGATTTTATGTGGTTAACCTGTCAATGTATAAATTCTATAAATATTATATTTAATATCATCTTTACTTCTCAATTGCAATTAAAACAGGGATTGGAATATTTATATATGAAGTAGGGAAATTCAATGTGAATGAGAGTACACCTAAGAAGAACTAGTCAGATCCAGAGTCAAGAAAAAATGTTTTCAAATGTTTTAAGTCACTCATTCCCCTAGGGGGAAGCAAACATGAATATCTCCAGCAATTTATTTCTTATGTATCCTTAGCTGTCTACAATAAATAGCCATCAAAACCAAGATTTGACTGAGTCAACATAAGCTTTCAGAATAATACACATGAAGAAATCTTACAGAGTTCTGTGGTCATAAGTATTTTTCTCTCTCTTCCCTCTCCCCACCAAACTCTCATCACTCCACAATCATCACTATCCTCATAGCAGGAAGATTCATCTAACTTCATTCAAGACTAAACCTGGACATGAAATATCTTAAGTAAAAATACGAATGTTCTTTCAAACATATTTATCTATAAAAATATGTCATTGTTTTGCAAACTTTCATTTTCATAAAATCACTTTTAAACATAGAAAAACTGATGCTTTAAATTAGAGTTCTCTTTATGTCCTCATTGACATGGTAGGAATCATGTACAGAGTTGAGAAGTTGGCATTTTAGAGGTTTCGATCAGAAACTAATCAAAGAACACTCAATATGTGCAAAATTGCTGCAGAAATTTGTTTCAGCAGACAAACTCTCCCCTTTCTTATGAAGCTCACAATCCTACAAGAAAAAGAAGACCAACATGTCATCACCTGAAGATATAACTGTTTGGCAATATTTAGAATACAAATCTGAGATATCAGAAATATAATTTAAAGAAGCAATTGTTAATGGTCCATTTGAAATATCATAAGATGACTTTTAATACAAGAATCAATTTTGCATATTCTCATTGTACTTTATGGACTCTAATGAGAAGTATCTGTTAACTTAATTCTTCACTGATTACACAGGAAAATAAGGTCAGATAAGACCCTGTACTATTTTTCCGATATGTTCAGTCTATAAGTACAATCTCATCACTCAACAGCAAACCTCATTTATAGGAGTTTCACATCAGAGAACAATTTTGTTACTGACATGGTTAACACCAAATGATGACAATGTTGACATAAACTAAGTCTACAGGGTTCTGCTTCTAATATTCCAATACAGTGCTCCTCCATATCCTCCGGTGATCCATTTCAAGACCCCTAGTGGATGCCTGAAACCGTGGGTAGTACCAAACTCTGTATATACTATGTTTTCTCGATCTGATAACCAAGATGGCTACTAAATGACTTGCAGCAGGCAGGCAGAGTGCACAGCATGAATACAGTGGACAAAGAGAGGATTCACGTTTTGGGTCGGATGGCACAAGATTTTATCATGCCACTCTGAATGCCTCTGAATTTAAAACTTATACATTGTTTATTTCTGGAACTTTCCATGTAATATTTTTGTGTAGAGGTTGACTGCAGGTAACTGACACCACAGAAAACCAAACCAAACTGTGTATAAGGGGCAACTATTGTAACCTCTTTTGACAAGAGGGATCATGAATGTGTGTGTACAATGTTATCGCGTCTATTTACATTCTTCTACACCAAGCACATTCATGATAAAGCCAATATAAAGTTATTAATTCATATTTTGGAAATGAAATCTGGAAAAATAAAAGAGCTAAATGAAGTAGTACAGCTAAGACAGTACACTGTCCAGAATTTTCAAACATGGATCCAGCAAGGAAACAAAGGATAGTTTTAATGGCCAATAAACAGTGAATTCACACTGATTGCCTGCCTGGCCTCATGAAGAAGCATCTGGGTTAAGTCCATACTACAGGCTCTCAACTGGAATAATGGAAATGAAAGTACTTTGTAAATTATAAAAGTTGAAAGAGTGGGATAAAGAGTGGAGTCAGCTGGAGCTCTTTCAGTGTATTTGAGCCCTGAAGCAGCACCCATAAGTGGTTATTTCATTCCTCACAGAATAATGAACTTAATTATTGTGCATGTGGCTGTTTTCTGACTTCCAGAAAAGAGAGAGTATGAACTTCCTCAAGAATGCCGTGGACTGATATTGATAAAGATGGAGGCTTTGGATAAAAACAGAAATAAATACAAGGCAGCAGAGTAAGACTCCATCTCACCAGAGATCTGAATTCAGAAGTCAGTAAGAACATTATATTCCTGAAATGGCATAAGATGCCCTAGTAAGGAGGCCAAATATTTAATTCCTAGCTAAGAATAATAAAACATTCCTGCTTTCATATACATAAGAGTTACCTGGGAGCTTATCTTAAAATGCACTTTCTTTTGGTCTTGCCCTAAGAAATTCTCATTTATTAGATGATTTTGATGCCAATAGTCTTCTGAGCACACCTTGAAAATCACTGAACTCAGGCCCTCATATAGAGCCTTCAAGGCTCTTACTTATCACATAATTCTTAATAAGCAACTAAACGGAAAGATCCTTGAGGGTAAGTCTTTTTCATCTTTGTATTCCACAAATTATCTAAACTATTATTTAGTTAATTATTTATTATCTATTGGATGATATCCCTAAATATCTGTAAAATGAATGAAATCAATCCCAGCTCAGAAATACATTCTAAACTTTTGATAATACCCAATTTGCCTATAGATCTATCTTCACAATCAGATAACTCATTGTGCTTGTTTTATTTTTTAAATAGTTTTCCTGGCTCATTGAAAGGCACTGCATGAAGTATGCCAGATGATAGTCAGAACAATCCCTTATGTATGTAACATGCATGACAATTTCAATGGTACTCTCATGTCCATCATCCAATTTAATAATGAGAAAAAGGAAGACTAAAACATTGTTTCTGTTTTCAAGGAGATTACAATTTAGTGATAACATATTAACACAGAAACATGCCAGAAAAAAAAGAACACATAATTGGAAGCCAAATTGTATGATTTCAGACTATAAACAGCTGAGTTCTTCAGAGGGAAGGGGGCTTCCATGGGGCTTGGAGTCGTTAAGGAGGGCTTTGTAGAGAAGGTAGGACGTCCTTCAAGGATAGATTTCATTTAGATAGTTAAAGAAAAGATAAACCGTGTGAGAAAAATAAGATGAGTAAGGAAAGGAGACATAAATCAATCTTAAAGCAAGGCTCTTGATATTAAGAATGTATATCCAGAGCAAATCCAATTCATCAGGGATTGATTAAGGAAGGCAGCTAGTCCAAAAAAAAAAAAAAAAAACAAAAACAAAAAACCTGACAAAGGAAGTAAGGGACCAACCTGTACTTATATTTGGTGAGGAAATGTTCACTCATTCACAAGAATATAAAGTAGAAGTGTATATAAATCTGCTATGTCTATTTTGTAAACTTTGTGAATTTCATCATCTATAGAAAATACAGTATACTATTTGTCTTATGTTGTAATTCTAAAAGTATTCTTATAGTCCTAATTTTCCAAGTGAAAAATATATGTATATATATTTATCTTTTTTCTATATTATATTATCATATATTTAAAATATTTATATATGTGTATATTATTCAGGGGTCCTAAATGACTCTGGACTTATCCAATTATGCTACATATAGAGATCAGAGCTAGCTCAGGGACCTATGCCCTTCATGAACCTAAGCTTCAACATTAAACATGAAACTGAGAAACATGTAGTGATTAGCTTCAGGCTACTGTGATAACATTGTTGACTTGCATGTTGCTTATGATGTGTCTTGGAATGTTTTGGCTTCCTTCTATCAGCTTTAGAAAGTTGTATGCTGACTCACTTCATCATTTGGGAATTAAACATTGTGTCCTTGTGGGGCAAACACTCTTTTTTAAGAAAGTGCAGTATTATGTGCTTTACTGTGAGAAACTGTGTGTCTGTTCCAATATTGTATGGTGAGCAATAAAGAATCAAACTGAAAGAGCTGGCTCTTTAGCTTTCTTTTTCTTCCAAATTATTTCATTTTTGGTGTGACTGGACCTTAAACCACTTGCCCCAAAGAATTCATTTTAATTCAGTGCCACTCACATGTACCACTGGTGGTTTTTCGAAATAATGGTAAGTAATACACAAATAGACATTTTAATTTTAATAATAAATTGAATGTGTCCATCCCATCCACTCCACTTAACTTCCCATTCTACTGATACATTTATTCTAAAAGGTGAGATAACGTAGACAAAGCTATACAAATAAACCACTGGGGTAGTAGCCACTTGCGGTTCCTCATGCCGCATCTCCTCTTTGGTCCCATGATTTCAGGACAGCTATGGTAGACCATTCCATATACATTGCCATTCTCCCATCTTCAGCAAACTAAAGTAGCAGAGTGCTCCCAAGCTGTGTTACATCACTCAGTATAAGCACAGGTAGCCAAGGATTTCAAGGGAGTTAATGCCCCTAGGGACACCAATCAAAAAGTGGGGAATAAAAACCAATAGAAAAATGTTCCAGGCTCTTATCTTCTAATGGAATATTTCTGAGGCATCTTCAAAATGATTCTTCAAAAGGTCCTCAGCATTACTGAGCCCCTATTCTTCATACTGGAAACCAACTCACATACCCTTCACCAACTTTTCCGCCTTCCTTGTCCCACTACTTGAACTTCCTCACTTTTACAAAGTTGAAAATATTGTAGGTTGAAGATGTATTTAATACACCTAAACTAGTGAACATTGTAGCTTAGCCTAGCCTGCATTAACCATGCTCAGAACACTTACAGTAGCTTATAGTTAAGCAAAATCATCTAACACAAAGCCTGTTTATGAAAGAGTGCTGAATATATCATGTAATTTATTGAATACTGTACCAAAGTACAGTTTCTACTGAATCTGTATTGCTTCATACCACAGTAAAGTCAAAAAATCATAAGTATTATGAATCAAACTATGGAAAGTCAGGGAACATTTGCATTTCCAATCAGAAGTTGCTTTCTAAACTATAGAAGAGGTAACATTGCATATGTATGTCAGTTAAAATACTTTTAATATAGCACAAATTTCATGAATTGCAGAAAAAAATAATTGTTTCTCTATACTCCTGAACCATAAACGATCTTGTTATTTCAACTTAACTTTGTTCAAATTCTCCCCTGTGTAATTTATAAGTATTTTACTCTTATAATATAATAATTGCATCTGTAAAATAGAGATAGAAACACGTCTAATTCATGAATGAATTATGAGAATTAAATTAAGTTACATTTAAAAGTAGTTATAAGATACAAGGCCCATAGTTTGCACTCAACATTTCCTAACAATTACTAATCAGACTCAATAAAAGGAATTCCAAATATCTGAAGCCATAAATACTCATTGAGAAATGCTGGGTACAAGGCACCTTCCTTAGTGCTACAATAAGACAAAAGAGGAAATAAGAATTGTCCTCAAGAATCTTACAATCTAGCTGAAGAGACCAAATACATACATTTTAAATTTAGGTAACAGTACAAGGTTTAACTAGCAGTCTAAGACACCAGGAGAAGAAAAAAGGAAGTACCTGATAAATTCCCCAATCATTAACATAAACAATAATGGTCATGAAATTTCAGAAGAGAGAGATAAATTACTCCAGTCTAAACTAGTATCTTATTTTGTTACCTGCTACAACAAAATATCAGATCAGGGTAGCTTATAAACAACAGCAATGTATGTCTCACAGTTCTAGAGTCCAGAAAGTTCAAGTCCAAGGCACTAGTACATTTGGAGTCTGGTGAGGGCTGCTTCCTAGGTTCATAGCTGGTGCTTTCCTGTTATGTCCTCACATCGCAGAAGAGCCAAACGGGCTCCCTTGGGCCTATTTTATAAGGACACTAATCCTGTTCATGAGGGCCCCATCCTCAAGATTTAATCATCTCCCAAAGACACCACCTAATACTAGCACACTGGTAATTAGATTTCAACATATGAATTTGGTGGTGGTAAGGAGCCACAAATCTTCAGATCATAGCAGCTAGCAAGAAAAGACTTTGAGGAGGCAGTGAGATATGTGCTGAATGTTAAATGGTAGTAAAATATGAAAGGGCAGAGAAGGTATGGGGTGGAGTAGACAGAAAAGGAGACATTCAAAAAATGCCTGAGCTAAAGTAATGAGAAGGAATAAGATGGTGTGGAGACAGACAAGTGAGATAGAAACTGGAAACTTGTTTACCATAGAATATCAAGAGTAGAATAGATCTAAAGTCAGGTAATGCTCATTCAAAAAAGGAAATTTAGGGCCAGATGCAGTGGCTTACTCTTGTAATCCCAGCACTTTGGGAACCAAAGGCTGGAAGATCACTTTAGCTCAGAAAATTGAGACCAACCTGGGCAACACAGTGAGATCCCATCTCTACAGAAAATTTAAAAAGTTGCCAGGTATGGTGACATGTGCCTGTACACCCAGCTACTCAGGAGGCTGAGGTGGGAGAATAGCTTGATCCCAGGAAGTTGAGGCTGCAGTGAGCCATGATTGCACCACTGCACTCCAGTCTGGGCAACCAAGTGAGAACTTTTCGGGAAGGGAAGGGAAGGGGAAGGGGAAGGGAAGAAATTAAGAAAGAAAGAAAGAAATTTAGCTGGGCTATGTCTTACTTTCAAACTAAGGTATTTTTTCTGAAAATATAAAGCATGATAATAATAATAACAGTTTTTTGCTTAACTTTTTTTCTGGTTTAGAATAATGGTAGTAGTATCTTGGCAACTTTTCTGTAAATCTAAAATTATTCCAAAAGAATATGTTTACTAAATAAGTAAATGTTGGTAATAGAAGTCCAAAAGAAAAGTAGTTTGATCTAGAATATTTCTCCTATAAGGCCCCAGATTATTTTGGCACTAAAGTTTTTTTAAATTAACCAAATGGCAAAATTATTTAAATTCTCTTTTCAAAATGACCAACAATGCTCATAATTCTTAAATCATAATTTGAGTGCAGCAGGGCTTTTATTGCAAGGATCTTTTTGAATGACTATCCCTTGAGTCAGTCAGTTTCATGTTTTCTTATGTAGCAATATAAGCCAGAAAAGTCCATCTCAATTCCAAACTACACACACACACGCACACACACACACACATTGCCAAATTACAGAATTTTCAGAAGTATAAATCATAGGAAGCACAGGGTCAACACAAACATCTTTCTTCACTTCATACACACATTTATTCATCAACTAAAATATATAACCTACCTACCACTCATGACTTTGGTTATGCTTTTCCAATATGAAATGGATACCAATTGACTCCATTTCATTAGCAGTTTCTAATTTCATTTCATTAGCAGTTCCTAATGACTCTGGCTTTGCCAAGTTGTCCTCAGAGAAACTCCATCACTGATGATTAAATGGATTTCAACTTTTACCCCACACTCCATACCTTGAATGTTAAATGTCTCATGCCCTCGGCTATTATGACAGGTGACATGATTGTGACAACTTCTAACTTTTACGGAAGACTAACTCTTGAGCTGAAAAAACTCTGAAAAATAGGCAATAATACCAACAATTAGAATAGTTGTTTGGTTAGCTTCTAAGTCCTATTTGTCATGGTTGGATAGATGTGTACAAAACTATTTTGAGACATTACCGCAACAGACAGATAAAGAGAAGAAAAATAGAATTTAAAAAAGATCAATGAGAAGTCTTCCAAATAGCACATTCTGGGTTAGATTTATTGGGGGAATGGTTTTTAAGAGTTTAATATTAAATATTTCATGTGAGTACCATTACTTCATTCACAATCAGTCATTTTCTTAGGGAGGAATGCAATTGGCCACCAGAAGGATCTGAGACAATTGAAAGAATCTGTCCCTTTGCTTGGCATATTGAACACATTGTTTTAATGCCAACATATGAAGGATGTGAAAACACTGATTTCCATGGCCAGGTGGCAAACTACAACTTGGGCAAATTGGGTTGTTGCTGAGTTTGCCATTACTTATTGATCATCTAGGCTATATCTCATGATGCCCTTCTGCTTGCTGATCAGAAATGGCAATGAAGATGATTATAAAATAATCATTCTATAATTATAACAGTATAAAATACCGTTCTTTAATTTCTTATGTCAGTTGCATATATTTGGGATTTTTATCAAAATTTAATATTGCCATGGATTATGATTGACATGATATAGTCAAATAGAAGAGCTAGAGGGTTTGGGACCTAGCATCAAAACTGCTGCCTACATGAAGCAGACACTAAGAAGAAAGTATTGAGGTGATGGTCATCTATCTGTGGAAGCAGAGAAAGAATTCAGTCCAATAGGGAAAATGTCAAACACATAATCAACTGAAGGCAATAAATAAGTAGTCAGATGGAGACCATTTATAATTCCAGGGAATTCTCCAAGACTAAACAGTGTCTGTGCTTAAAACAATTGACTGTGCCTTCTGAGAATGTAAAATTAGTAAGCATTTCTGTCTTGGTTTTATGTGCTTTGTATAGAGGTGATATGTAATGGCCCTCTCTTCCTCTTCTCAGCCTTGAGTTTTATTCTCCTCTTCCAAACCATCTCAACCCCTACACCTCATACCCAACACACAACTCAAAGAAGTAAAACTTAAAGACGAGGGTGAGAATATTTGTTTCAAACATTTCTTGATAATAAAATATACCAATCATTTAGTAATTTTCTTTTCTTAGACTGAGTCAAAAGTGCCTGCTCCAAAACCTCTGGGACAAGCTGCTGCATCAAAATGTCACAGGAGCTACAAGCTTATTTACCATGATGGCCTCAAGGCAGCTTTAAAATGTCTTCTGATCTTTCTCATCATCTTTCTCTTTCTTCTTCTCTACCTCCTTCTCTACCATTATTTTCTTCCTATTCATTCTCTTTCTGATCCTTCACAGAGCGTTATTTAAAACATGGTACTAAAACATCAGGGAGGGACAAAGTGGGCTTATTAATAGAGATTCTTCATGCTTTAATCAAGCAATATTTTCCTAAACAGGGAATATTTCCCAGAAAAGATTCTAAAAGCTTATTCAATTTGCCACTGTTTTGATCAAAAAAAGCAATATATGTCAGAACTTAAATCTATAATTTTTAACATTAAAAACACATAAACATAAAGCTACACTTTCTCTATATCTGTTATTGCAGATTGAAGTAAAGATCTTTATTCAATTAAAGATTGACTTTATATATTTAAGGAGGATTAATGGATACATTGATGAACAGATAGATAGAGAGATAGAGAAATAGATCAACCCAGCCAGACAGATAAGCAGATATTATTTGAATATTTAAGTTGCTAAACAATGACTTAAATGCTCTTTAAAAATGTTTTTAGGGTTACTCTTGGCACACTTTTTCCTCCTACTATTCTCACTACAAGTTCACTTTCTAGAAGTCTCATCGAAACTTCCACAAGTTCATAAGTTGCCTTTCAGACATCCCTCATCTTCCACTCTCACCCCTCTTGCTAAAAAAAGGCAACTAACTCATTCCACACACTATCATCTGCCAGAAGCAATTTCTGCATTTGTTTTTTATTACCACAGTAGGATTTCACATTCTGCAAGCTTCCATTTCTGAAACAACACAAAACAAATAGAAAAGTTTATCTCATCAGATTTTAGAAAAAGTCATCAGATGCAAATGTGCTGAAATAATGGAAATGCAGCAAAAAGAGTGATCTCTGCCAATAATTTGGCATTAATGCAAAGTGCCCTAAGGCAAAATGTAATGCCTCTGTTTTCAAGTGAATTGAAATCTGAAGTCCCAAATACATATTTTTACGGTGTGAAACAGGAGGAAATGTAGTTTGTATTCCCCTGGACTTCACCAGCCTATGGGCATAAACTAAGTCACATTAAGGTTAACATGCAATTTCACTGGGTGGCTAACCTCCCTACCTAAAACAGAGAACCTCAGCCTCCCCTTCAGATATTTCCTGCAGGGTGGGTATCACACTGCTCAGGGCTTATCTTGTTCTTCAACCTCAGCCTCCTTTTTGACTCAAAGCCACAAAAGGATAGCACTTCTTGCTGCCATGGCTTCTGGTTCCCCTCATGATAATGCAGCTTTACCCAAGGAATCATCTCTTCTGACTTCAAAAGTTGCAAAAATTTCCATTGTCATAAAGAACTGCACTTATTTCCCTGCTCCATGTAAATATCCCCTATCTCCTACATCATATCATCTTTTGCCATAACCTTGGTTCCAATGTCACTGCTTTTTCACTGTGTATAAGAATGACTCATGAAAATAGGCTGTCAGTTTCCACTGCAAATGCTCTCTTGCTAGAAGATCAAATCCAGCCCGGGTCCACCCTGTCTTCTGCCTCCTCCACCTCTGCTCTCAGGCACTCAATCACAAAAAACTTCCATCTCTAGCATATCTTCCCCCCAATATAAGTCAACTCGCAAAGGTAAATAGCAGGCACTGGCTCTCCAGAACAGCAGACTGAATTGCAGTGTCGATTCAGTGAAAATTACAATTGTATTGAAAACAGGCTGTTTGAGAAACAAAGTAGATATGCTAATTTCCTTCTTCTTTTTGGAACATAGAAGAAGAGTAAATGTCAAAGAAAAGAAAAACTCAAGGGATCCCTAGCTTACTTCAAATCTGAGTTCAACCCTACCCAAACAAGAAGTACTAACACCAACTAACATCAGATATCACTTATGGCTTCAGAATGTCTTTCAATCAGCAACAGCCTCAAGCATTCAGATGACATGAGTGAGGGGCAGAGCCAGAATGAAACAAAACATATTTGGCTGTCATTAGACTATAAATGACTAAAAAGAAAAATAATCTACTTAGTGTGGCCAACTAATATCTGATAAAGCTGAGGTGGAATTTTGAAATCAAACAGGGAGATTTAACTGTTAAGATCCTAAAAGCAAACATATTCACTGGTCTTTATTCTGCCTTCCAGCTGTTATTTTGAAATCCTGTAGACTGGACTGAGATTACAAAGCATTCTACCCAACAAACCTAGACCTACTGACTTTTTTCTTTTTTTCTTTTTTTTTTTTTTTTTTTTAGTGCATTTGGAGGGAAGCCACAGAGTCCACACTCCACTTTCCATAGCCGTTAACTGATGGATTCACAAAATTCAATTTTGTGGTGAAAGGCTGCAGCCTCTCTCCATGTTTTAGAGACCATCAAATTATTCATTCTCTCCTTTCACAGTGATCTCAAGAGAGAGTAACGTCTAAATCTCCACCTGCAGGTAAATAAACAGAACTTTCATAAGCAAATGAAGAATGCAAACCAGAAGTTTAATCTTGGTTTGTACATGCAAATCAAAAAGCAGCAGCTCAGCCAGGCTTCCTGAACCCAGTAAGACCAGAGTCAAGTAACATTCTTTAAATGGAATCCTGGAAGCTTATTTCCCTCTTTGTGTATTACCTCTCCTGGAGAAATTTCTCCAGCAATTAAAGGTGTCAAATTCATGCAGAGTGCCTGTTACACAGAGAAAACCGCACACAGAAAATTGGGAGACACATCGCAGCATCAAGTACTGTAATTAAGAAAATTGTTTTTATGCTTTTCTATGAATATGAATGACTGAATAAATGACTGAGCAACACCACAGCCTCTTCATTACTAAGACAGTCAGAGACCAGAAGAGGCTCCTGGGTCTTCAGGAGATCTGAGGAGGGTTAGAAGGAGGAATAGGGTCAGAAGCCAATTGATCTCAGTAAAACATAGGAGCCTGTACACTTGCAAACCGAAGATAAAAATAAATGAAATGTGCAGCCCAGGTGCAGGTGCTGAAACATAGCCTGAGTCAGAGATAGGAAATAAACTGTCACAGCTGGAAGGTACCTAGGAAAGGTGTGGGATCTATACTGTGAAAGTGGACTGTCAGCTCCCTGACCTTAACGCTGCTCTTGATCCTGGCTCTTAACTCCTACCCTACTAGGAACATTTACAAATTTCTCTGTGTTCACCTCTTTGTGCTTCTCCAGAAATCAGGGCTGGTGTAAACTGGAAGTTCTAAAAGGCTGAGAAAGAAGCAGAGAGACACTGAACTGGGCTCTCAGAAATGCCCCATGCCTACCTGGCAGAAATGGGGAAGGTCTTGGTCAAGAGTCACCTTTGGGAAAGCATGGAGGAGGAACTAAAGGCTGAAAAGGGGGATTTGAGAGGCAAATGGAACCCAACATACCAGGGGCAAATGAACAGCCAAGGAAGAGGAATTAGGGCCCCTTACTTGGGTATTGTTTGCAACAAAGAGGAATAGTTGCATGGTTCTAGCTCACAATTTCCCTGTTAGACTTGGTGACATATTCCAAACCAATCTTCAAATTTATTTTGCAATGTTCTAGATTTCCTTGAGTTCAGTCTTTCAGATTAAAGACGTCTTTAAAGATACAATTAGGAGCATTTAAACTTATGGCTCTGGTGTTCATTGTGAGGAAATATTTATAATAGATAGCAATTAGAAATAATCTAAAAATTCAACATTAGAAGATTAATTATAATTCTATAGATGGAATATTATGGGATCATTAAAATTATATAGTAGTAGTACTTAAGATATAAAGCAGCATTTGTGTAATATTCTGATTTTATATACATGCACATGTAATTTCAACTTGCATTATTTGTATAGAAATTTTTAAACCCCTTTATTTTTATCAAGCCAAGACTCACTTGAGTAGCCCTTTTGGTTGTTGAGGTGTAGGAAACCAAAATCTTTTGTAACTTGAGCAGGTCATGATCTCAGAAGAGTTACTTGGGAACCCAGAGAACTTCTGAAAGTCAAAGGAACACAGCCTCAACACTGTTGCCTGAAAGAAGAACTTAGGAAGAAAGTCTGATGGGGCTTTCTGGAATTGCTCCGGTCAGGTTTCATTGGCAAAAAATAGGAACAGGGCACCTGAAATAAATTTACCTTGACAAAAAGGTAGCTGTCTAGGCTTTTGACCCAGTCTTAAGAACACAGCCTAAGAGCGTATGTGGAAAGGCTGGTTCTAACAATGCATGCAGCTGATTTTGGAAATTCTCTGGAACCACCCCTTTGGGATACAGTGGTTGTGCACTCGGAAACATTGACTTAACTAAGACAATAGTCCTTGGGAATCCAAGTGTAGAATTTAGATGAAGCAGAATATGAAAGACATGCATGCCATCTGCCCTTTCAATTTAGGACTGGCCAGCTCCAGCATATGCACCAATTGAACCAGTTCTGAATGACTCCATAGCTACTGCTTTAAAAAAAATTCAATAGTTTTTGGGGAACAGGTAGTGTTTGGTTACATGGATAAGTTCTTTAGTAATGATTTCTGAGATTTTGGTGCATGCATCACCCAAGCTGTGTACACTGTACACTGTACCCAATGTGTAGTCTTTTATCCCTCATCCCCCTACCACACTCCCCTCAAGTCTCCAAAGTCCATTGTATCATGCTTATGCCTTTGTGTCCTCAGAGTTTAGCTCCCACTTATAAGTGAGAACATACAATGTTTGGTTTTCCATTCCTGAGTTACTTAATGGTCTCCAACCCCATCCAGGTTACAGTGAATGCCATTATTTCATTCATTTTTCATGGCTGAGTAGAATTCTGTGGTATATACATATACATATACACATACATACATACACACACACACACCCCACATTTTCTTTATCCACTCATTGATTGACGGGCATTTGGGCTGGTTCAGTATTTTTGCAATTGTGAATTGTGCTGCTATAAACATGCATGTGCAAATGTCTTTTTCATATAATGACTTATTTTCCTCTGGGTAGATACCTAGTAGTGGGATTGCTAGATCAAATGGTAGATCTACTTTTAGTTTCTAAGGAATTTCCACACCGTTTTCCATAGTGGTTTACTAGCTTACATTCCTATCAGCAGTGTAAAAGTGTTCCCTTCTTACCACATCCATGTTAACATCTGTTATTTTTTCATTTTTTAATTATGGTCATTCTTGCAGGAGTAAGGTGGTATCACATTGTGATTTTGATTTGCATTTGCCTGATAATTAGTGATGTTGAGCATTTTTTCATATGTTTGTTGGCCATTTGTATATCTCCTTTTGAGAATTGTCTACTCATGTCCTTACCCCCCTTTTGATGGGATTACTTTTTTTTTCTTGCTGATTTGTTTGAGTTTCTTGTAGATTCTGGATATTAGTCCTTTGCCAAATGCATAGTTTGTGAAGATTTTCTTCCACTCTGTGGATTGTCTGTTTAATCTGCTGATTATTTCTTTTGCTGTGCAGAATCTTTTTAGTTTAATTAAGTCCCATCTATTTATCTTTGTTTCTGTTACATTTGCTTTTGGGGTTCTTTCTCATGAAGTTTTTGCCTAAGCCAATGTCTAGAAGTGTTTTTCCAATGTTATCTTCTAGAATTTTCATGGTTTCAGGTCTTAGATTTAAGTCTTTGACCCATCCTGAGTTGACTTTTGTATAAGGTGAGAGAAGGGAATCCAGTTTCATTCTTCTACATGTGGCTTGCCAATTATCCCAGCACCATTTTTGAATAGGGTATCCTTTCCTCATTTCATGATTTTGTTTGCTTTGTCAAAGGTCAATTGGCTGTAACTATTTGGATTTAGTTCTGGGTCCTCTATTCTGTTCCATTGATCTATGTGCCTATTTTCATGTCAGTACCATGCTGTTTTGGTGACTATAGCCTTATAGCATAGTTTGAAGTTGGGTAATGTGATGCCTCCAGATTTGTTCTTTTTGCTTAGTCTTGCTTTGGCTCTGGGGGGCTCTTCTTTGGTTTCATTTGAATTTTAGGCCTGTTTTTACAGTTCTGTGAAGAATGTTAATGGTATTTTGATGGGAATTGCATTGAATTTGTAGATTGCTTTTGGCAGTATGATGATTTTTACACTATCAATTCTACCCATCCCTGAGCATGCAATGTGCTTCCATTTATTTGTATCATCTATGATTTCTTTCAGCAGTGTTTCGTAGTTTTCCTTATAGAGGTCTTCCACCTCCTTGGCTAGGTATATTTCTAAATATTTTATTTTTGCAGCTAATGTAAAAAGGGTTGAGTTCTTGATTTGATTCTCATCTTGGTTGTTGTTGGTGTATAGCAGTGCTACTGATTTGTGTATATTGATTTTGTATCCTGAAACTTTACTGAATTCATTTGTCAGATCTAGGAGTTTTTGGATGAGTCTTTAGCGTTTTTAAGGTATGTGATCATATCATCGGCGAACAGTGACAGTCTGACTTCCTCTTTACTGATTTGGATGCTCTTTATTCCTTTCTCTTGTCTGATTGCTCTCTTGTTTGCTGTTTGAAGTGGTTGGCTCATAAGATGGCAACCAGCAGCCACTGGAATAACAGGGTCTTTTGTTAATATCCAGAGGAGGAGAGAGAGAGGAATCACTGTTCAAGGATGGAATATGTCTTTCACATTAGTCTGATTGAGCCAACTAAAGTCAGAAGCCCATTCCAACATCAGTAACAGTAGTGGCCTAAGAATTACCTGGGAGTAGCTTACATATGTAGAAAATTGCAGAGTCACTGTTATATTTCGTGCAACTTGGGAGAGCAACTTTCTAAAAGTATAAAAATATTTCTGTCATCAGTATGCAAGTAGTATGACCAAAAAAAAAATGGCTGTATCGAGTTTTCAGATAACTGAATCAGTGTCAGTAGTGTTGAGCCAAAAGTTACACTCCTGCTAAATTCAAAATACTCCCAGTGCACTCACACAAAGATTTCATCTTTTAACTTTTCCTTCATTGTGTGTGAGCTGCCTACAATGAGGTGTTTAGGCCCCTCCCTCACGAAAATCAATTGCTGGTGACTCTATCCTGTCACAGCTGCATGCCCCAGAACTTAACTCCCCATGTGTACACAGATTTGGTTTCCATCTGGGATCCCCACTAGGTTAGCAGCCTCCAACATAAAAAATAGAAATGAATCTGAATGATTCAATAGACTGCATATAACCAAGTCTAAATGATGGTAAAGGATTGTTCAAGCTAAAATCCATTTCCCAAATGGTCAGATTGATGTCATCTGATTAAAGCATGCCATGTTGGACTTTAAAGGCCAGTTTTTTATAAGACTTTGTGATTTAAGGCAATGAATTGAGTTTATAAATCTTTCAGATGTCAGTTGCCTGAGAGTATTAGCTTCTGAGGGTTAGTTTAGATTACACATTCTCCAGTTCATAGACCCATGCCAACTGGAGTCAGTGAATGTATAAATAATGAAAGCTCATTTATTAAGTAATAATTTATTAAACACCTATGATATGCCAGGCACTGTACTAGGACAAGGCCATTCCATTCTCAGTTGTGAATTGACATATATTTAGTTAATACTGAAATAATTTTTTTTTTAACATAGAGATCCGCAAAGTGCTTTGGAGCCATGCAGACTAAGTGGTACATTCTTTCTGAAGATGTCAGGACAGCCTTTACAGAGAAAGCAACATTCAAGAAAGGTTTTTAACATGAGTAAAATCTTGAAAAAAAGAGAAAAGAACCAAAAGAAAGTATTTTCAGGAAAAGGGAATTTCATGGACAAAAGCATAAAATATAAACAAGTATAATAATTTCACAGAATGTTAATGGGCAGAAAATTTGTTAAGATGATTTTAGGAAAGGAATAGATAGGTGATGTGGAAATCAGTAAGCAACTGGATTGAGATACTAAAGACATGTATCGGGGACCTGCCCCGATAATCATGTAGGTTCTTTTCTATTTTTCCTAAGCGTCAGCTGGCTTGAGAAATAAAGGGACAGAGTACAAAAGAGAAAAATTTTAAAGCCGGACGTCCGGGGGAGGCATCACACATTGGTAGGATCCGTGATGCCCCCCAAGCCACAAAAACCAGCAAGTTTTTATTAGGGATTTTCAAAAGGGGAGGGAGTGTGTGAATAGGTGTGGTTGACAGACATCAAGTACTTAACAGGGTAATAGAATATCACAAGGCAAGTGGAGACAAGGTGAGATCACAGGACCACAAGACCGAGGTGAAATTAAAATTGCTAATGAAGTTTCGGGCACCATTGTCATTGATAACATCTTATCAGGAGACAGAGTTTTGAGATCAACCGGTCTGACCAAAATTTATTCAGCTGGAATTTCCTCTTCCTAATAAGCCTGGGAGCGCTATGGGAGACTGGGGTCTATTTCACCCCTGCAGCCTCAACCATAAGAGACAGGCCATGCCCAGGGGGGCTGTTTATAAGCCGATACCTCCAGGCGCGTATTCTCTTTCTCAGGGACGTTCCATGCTGAGAAAAAGAATTCAGCGATATTTCTCCCATTTGCTTTTGAAAGAAGAGAAATATGGCTCTGTCCTGCCCGGCTCACTGGCGGTCAGAGTTTAAGGTTATCTCTCTTATTCCCTGAACAATTGCTGTTATCCTGTTCTTTTTTCAAGGTGCTCAGATTTCATATTGCTCAAACACACATGCTGTACAATTTGTGCAGTTAATGCAATTATTACAGGGTCCTGAGGTGACATACATCCTTCTCGGCTGACAGGATTAAGAGATTAAAGTAAAGACAGGCATAGGAAATCACAAGGGTATTGATTGGAGAAGTGATAAGTGTCCATGAAATCTTCACAACATATGTTTAGAGATTGCAGTAAAGACAGGCATAAGAAATTACAAAAGTATTAATTTGGGGAACTAATAAATGTCCATAAAATCTTCACAATCCATGTTCTTCTGTCATGGCTTCAGCCGGTCCCTCCGTTTGGGGTCCCTGACTTCCTGCAACAGACATGGGTTGGAAATTTTATTCTGTCACTTAATATCTAGGTCTCTCTTCAACTGTAGATTATGGATGTTAATCTACCTTAACTGTTTAACAAAATAATTGCTGACCATGCTGCAGCAGGTAGAACCCTTGCCTTAAGATTTAGCAAATACTGATTCTCCAAACTGTGACACTGGCACCTAAGAGGGTACCTTGGTGGGACCAATCCCAGCCATCCTTTCATCTACTGTGAGGAGGGATTTGGACACTAGCCTGTATTTATGTGTTATGATACTTTGCACCAATACTCAACAGATACAAAGGCTGCAACATTTTTGGAATAGTTGATTTATTATTAAGACAAAAATAGGTAAAGGTAATACTTGACTGAATCCTAGACATGGTTAAAAAAAAATCTGTATACAGTTTGAGGCCACTTCAGAAAATTTGAATATGGAGTCAATAGTACTGTATCAATGTTAAACTTTTTCATTTTGACAAATGTACTGTGGTTATTTAAGACAATTTACATTCTTAGGAAATGCATGATGAAGTATTTAGGGGTAAAGGAGCATGACGTCTTCAAAATACCTCAAATGGGTACAGTAATTTCTTGTTCTCTTCTTGCAATGTTTCTGTAAGTTTTAAATGCCATTTTAAAAAGGAGAAAAGGTGATTAAGGTTTCATACCATCCAATAAGCCATTAATTCATTTGTCACATCCACCTGGGGACAATGACAATGGAAGTGACTCCAAGGGAATTTTCAGAAACTATGAAAGAAGACACCTCCTTGGGCAGGCAAATCTTTGATCCCTTCACAAGTTGATAGCTGCCCACAACATCACTACTACTACTAGTGTTAACTCTGTCTGCCTTGAAAAATTGACTGAATTTTTGATATAACCTAATTCTTACTGTGAATTGTTACTCACTCAGTTTGAACTGAATTTTTTTTCTTTTTTCAGATTGGTCCAAGCATACTTCTTTGAGTACACTTCTTCCCCAGATTCCTGGTGTTTGGCAAGTCTTATCACTTAATAAGGAATCATGAACTAATCTGCCACTTGGTAGGATAAGCTACTCAGATTTTTCATTCATTGAAGTCCTCTAATTTTCAGTTTCAGTTGTAAAATGGAGATATTAATTCCTGCCCCCCTTATCTTAAAGGATTGCGAGGAGCACAAACAGGAATAACAGGTATGTAGGTTTTTGCAAACTCTAAAATCTGACACAAGTTAGGAATTTGTATAATTTAATTGTGATGTCAGAATCAAAGGCTCACATGAAGTTTAACCCTTCCTATCCTCTACTCTGGATTATTCCTGGGGCCTGAACTGTTTGAATTTTGAGGTACTTTGATTCCTACTATTAAACTATCTCATGGAGCATTTTTCCTATACAAATATAACAAATGCTGAACATTTTCTGTCCACAGTACTACATGAAATGTAATGCAGATAAATTACTGAATGAATAAATATTTTAGAGCAAGCTAGAATGACACCATCCCAAAAAACTAACAAAGAATGTTTGACTTTCTTATGCACATTGATTTGAGTTGTACTTGGTTTCGGAGATCACTAATGAAAAATTCATTTTACATTTATGTGTTTGGATCAAGTATGGCTTGCTCTACTTCTTAAATCCCATAAATTTCATCCCAAGGTAAATTTTTAAAGATTAAAATAAATCCTATGATAAAAGGGTTTTTGTTTTTCTAAAATATTTTCATTTTTAAAAATTAAATAACAGCCTGGCATGGTAGTTTACGCCTATAATCCCAGCACTTTGAAAGGCTGAGGCAGGAGGATCGCTTGAGACCAAGAGTTCAAGACCAGCCCTGGCAACGTAGTGAGACCCCATCTCTAATTTTAAAAATTGGTTAATTAAAGAAGTAGGTAAGGAACATAATATTATTGAAATAAATTTTTAAAAATCAGACTCATGTACAGTAAAAAAAAAAAAAAGGTAATTACTATTAACAGTGTGATATATGTACTTTTTAGCCTTTTCTCTACATTCAGAGAGAGAGAAATAGAATAGATATATAGCTTGAGTTTGTTTTCTTAAAGAATGTTGTACTAAACATGCAAATCTGTAACTTGATTTTTCTTATTTAAGTTAATTTTATAGTATCTAATGTCTATACTTAAAGATAGTCCTCATGCTTCCTTTGGAAATAATTTTTAAAAATCTCTTAGAGAAGGTCCATACATCATTCAGGTTGAAGAACATTGGTCAACTGCATATTATTCTATTGTGTGGATGTACCATGATTTACTTACATCCATCTATCAATGACACATGGGTTATCCCAGCATTTTACTATCACAAACAATGCTTCAGTAAGCATTATCATGAAGTTTGTTGTGGTTTTTTTCTTGCATTTCTTCCAGCAATCCTATAGGATATCAGCCTTAAAAAAGAAATTGCTGAGTCAAATGGCATATGCATTTTTAATTTTATTGCTATAGTGACTTCCAAAAACACTGCATCTATTCATACTCCTAACCAAGCATACATGAGAGTAATTATTCCTCTATACTTTCACCCATGCTAGATATTATCAGTCTTTTAAGATTTTTCTAAATGGAAGGTCAAAAGTCACATTATTTTATTTATTTATTTACTTATTTTTTGAGATGGAGCTTCCCTCTTTTCACCCAGGCTGGAGTGCAATGGTGCTATCTCAGCTCACCGCAACCTCTGCCTCCCGGGTTCAAGCAATTCTCGTGCCTCAGCCTCCTGAGTAGCTGGGATTACAGGTGCCTGCCATCACACCTGGCTAACTTTTAAAAATACGTTTAGTAGAGACTGGGTTTCACCACGTTGGCCAGGCTGCTTTCGAACTCCTCACCTCAAGTGATCTGCCCTCCTCAGCCTTCCAAGATGCCAGGATTACAGGCATGAGCCACTGCACCCAGCCAAAAGTCACATTATTTTAAATTGCAGCTTCTTTATTTCTCCCTCTCCTCTACTTGTACGTTTTTCTGTAAGTTTTTTTTTCATGACCTTTGTCCATTTTTTTAATTGCTTGAGTTTTCTTAAAACTTTATGGAAGTTTTTTATATATTTTAAATATCCCTTGTATATTTGTAGCATATTTTCTTTTATTTGGTAGTTTGTTTTTTAATGTGCTTTTATATCTTTTTTTTTTTTTTGAGATGGAGTTCGCTTTTATTGCCCAGGCTGGAGTGCAATGGCGTGATCTCGGCTCACCACAACCTCCGCCTCCTAGGTTCAAGCGATTCTCCTGCCTCAGCCTCCCTAGTAGCTGGGATTACAGGCATGTGCCACCACACCTGGCTAATTTTGTATTTTTAGTAGAGACTGGGTTTCTCCATGTTGGTCAGGCTGGTCTCAAACTCCCGACTTCAGGTGATCTGCCTGCCTCAGCCTCCCAAAGTGCTGGGATTACAGGCATGTGCCACCACACCCGGTCTTTATGATATCTTTTATTGCACAAAAGTTTAATTCTTTAGTTTTCAGGTGATATTTATCTGAATGTGAGAAATTTCTAACCAAAGAATCAGAACCCTTAGGACCAGTGATCCTAGTAAATCATTTTACACAGACATTCTAGTGGAAAAAGGCAAGATAAAAATCCCTTTAAATAATATCTTAATTTCTTCAAGTTTCAACATATGTTCTCTTAATTATCAGAAAAAACAGTTATTTTTCTTTTTCTAAAAATCTTAGCCCAGAACCAGAGCACAGATCTCCATGATAATCGATTTTCATTGGAATCCATTTGATTTCACTTTTCTGCAGTTAGTTTGTACATATGTTGACCCTTCCTTCTTTTCCATTTTCCATTGCAATTCTCTCCCTCTTTGTACCTTTTCTAGAAATCTAAGAGTATTTTTCAACTGTTCATGTGGTATGTCATGAATAAGCCCTAAAGGTTCTAGTTCAATGGCTAGTGAAATGTTCCCAAATTCTATTTATCCAGTTTTCTAACTGGATAAAATCTTGCATGTTCTTACTCATATGTTGGAGCTATAAAAAGTGGATCTCATGAAGATAGAGTGCATATTGGCAGTTACAAGAGGCTGGGAAAAGGAAGAAGGGAGGATGAAGGGGGGAGTATATATATGTATTTATTACCAATGAATTGTACACTTAAAAATGATAAAGATGGTAAATTATATATATATATAATAAATAAATATCTGCTTCTGCAGAAGGAAAGGAATAAAGAGCTTCCAGTCAACTTATTAGACATAACTTATTTCCTTTAGATGGTACACATCTAAAATTAGAAGGGTTTTTTACTCTTGGCCTGGCCCAGGAGTGCCACAACCACAGAGTGAACATGGAAGAAGTATTGATCCAGTCTACCATGGTTCAGAGATGCATGTTTGTATTTTACACTATGTGTGTCACATGGTCAGAGCTAGTGACAGGTAAAATTAGGAAGGAGGCCATGTTTGTCTTAGTATCATTTTGCTATCTTCCCCCAAGAGTCCCACCCCCTGCTCCTTCCCTTTGTCCAGGCAAATAAAGGGACCCCAAGCATGGATATCCAACCAGGATAACTGTTATGGTTTGGCTCTGTGTCCCCACCCAAATCTCATCTTGAATTGTACTCCCATAATTCTCACATTTTGTGGGAGGGACCCGATGGGAGATAATTGAATCATGGAGGCAGTTTCCCCCATACTGTTCTCATGGTAGTGAATAAGCGTCACAAGATCTGATGGTTTTATCAGGAGTTTCTGCTTTTGCGACTTCCTCATTCTCTCTTTGCCTGCTGCCATTCATGTAAGATGGGACTTGCTCCTCCTTGCCTTCTACCATGACTGTGAGGCTTCCCCAGCCATGTGGAACTGTAAGTCCAATTAAACCTCTTTCTTTTATAAATTGCACAGTCCTGGGTATGTCTTTATCAGCAGCATGGAAATGAACTAATACAATAGCTCTCCAGTTTCACCCTGGTTCCTCTCTCTGACTAAATTTTAAAAATACTTGTTTCAATTGGACTGTAAGCTCCATAAAAACAGGGATCAGCTCTGTCATTGAATACTCAATGTTTACTGTATAGCAGGGGCTCCATAAATATTTGTAAAATTAATGTTTCAGATTTCAGGCCTTTTTAAATGAATGGGGCTTTTCTCCTTGCACCACAAAGTCTATTCTCAGAATGATTTATTTCACAACAGTGCTTTAGAATTCAACAACAGCTTAGTCGAAAGGAGAAAAACTTTAATATAAACATTTCAAATGTGAAGGCAAGTAGACGGGCTCTCCAATGTCCTATACCGTATTATAGACAATCTGCTTTTCCTTTCAAGCCAAGCTCTGAACTCAACCATCCTTCTTTTATTTTTTATTTTTATTTTTTTGAGACTGCATTTCACTGTTGCCCAGGCTGGAGTACAGTGGTGTGATCAAGGCTCACTATAGCCTTGAACTACCAGGCTCAAGCAATCCTCCCACCTCAGTCTCCTGAGCAGCTGAGACTACAAGCAGGCACCACAATGCCCAGCTATTTTCTTTTTCAGAGACAGGGTCTCACCATTTTGCTCAGGCTGGTCTCAAAGCTCCTGGGCTCAAGCAATCCTCCTGCCTCAGCCTCCCAAAGTGTTGGGATTACAGGCATGAGCCACTGCACCCAGCCAACCATGTATCATTTATTCTTGTTCTACAAACCTGCTATTTTTTGGAAAGTGTCCTTCCATGGCATGATACATTTTAACACTTGTAAGCATGCACAGCTGGAGTGCTTTGCTACATTTCTATACATACATGTCTGTACATGCATATGTAACATTTAATGGATCAGAATGACCAAAGGAAGGAGAGAAGGGAGGAAGAGAAAGAGGGAAGAAAAGCAAGGAGGAAAGAAAGAAGGGAAGGAGAGAGGAATATAACTTACAAACATGAGTTTAGGTTACTTAGACATAAAGTTGGATCACATTTTCTAATTATTTAATTTGTAAACCATTTTATTGACATATGATTGATATATACAGTTGTAGATATTTAATGTATACTTTTAAAGACACTATGCAGGTGTTAAAAATGAAATAGGGCAAAGCAAAGGAAAGCAAATCTATGGAATTATAATATGAATATACTGATTAGCAATTGCTAAATAATGCTGTAGCCTTGAACATTCACATATGTGAAAAAGGAATGATTTGAGGAAGCAAAGTGATGAAGTAAAAGGTGCCTGGTTTTATAATCAAACAGGCTGGATTTAAACCCTGATTCTGCCACTAGATTTAAAATCCAACTCTTCATCTCAGAGCTTCCATCTATAAGTTAGGGGTGATAAAATGAAATAGTGTGTATAAAAAGTGCCTGGATCATGGAAGTGTCAATAAATAACAGGCTTAATTATGTTTAAATATTTGGTTATTTACAGACAAATCAAATGTCAAACAAAAGATTAATGAACTTTTTTCCCTAAGCTGATCATTCAAGTACACTAGATCCCTTCTGAAATACCAATCGTCAGAAAACAGAATTTGACACTAGCCACCCACGAGTTTAAAGGACCGCTGCAAGATGCATTTCTACCCAAAACACTTTCTGTCTCTGTCCTGACTCGAGGGCATTTGTCAGGAGATTTCATTAGAGTTGGCTGGAGTTTTATGAAGATAAAAGAGAAAACATTTAGAACTACTCTGTAATGAGCACATCAAATGCTCATTTATTCTGTACAACAATTCTAAGAGGTAGATATTATAGTCCCTGTGTTATGTATGCGGCAACTCTATTCTATTGAATGGAAGTAACTCATCCAAATTACCTAAATTCTGTCAGCTTGTCAGTGGTAAAGACAGGATTCAAATTAGGCTGACTGCAAGCCTACTACCTTTCTGTCACATAATAATGCCAATGAGAGTCAATCTCAAACAGGAAGTCTTCTAGTTCTCAATGTGACAACAGTTCAGTGCATGCCAAGTTTAGAGAACAGACTTTTAGGCACCATGAAATCAAATGAGATAACATTAAAACTTTATTTCTGATTATTTCAGGAGAATTTTAAAGATCAGAACTCATAATAGATCAAAAACAATAACGCTGCCATGATGCCATAGAATGTTGGTTTGGTAGCCATGAGTGCTAAATCTAATTGTCTTTTTTATTGTAGTCTTGGAAACTGTTTGTAAAACTCTCTGTGACATAGGTTCAAATTCTCTGTTTTCCAGAGAATGTTTTTCTCCCAGTCCATTTCAAGATGCAACAGATGTTCCTTCTAAATGATTCATTACTTGAAACTTAGAGAATGCCTTTCAGGAAGTCAGTTTCTTTACTCTCTCTTGCTGAGCATCAGTTGACACATTTTTTAAATTTAATTTGGTGGAAATTTTTTTTAACAGCCCTATTGATGTACAATTGATATATAAAAATTGTACATAATGTATACAATTTCATTAGTGTGAATATATGCATATATCTAATACATTTTATGTGGCGAGTTTTGGCTTTTTTTCCACTTTTCTCAAGAGAGTGAAAGGTCAGAATGTTGTGCAGCACTCTGTCATCATTCATGCACAATACATCCACTGGTCATTCCTAAGCATTCATCTTCTGAGGTAGTGTTCATAAAATATCTACACAATTACCCCACAGCAAAAGAAGTCTTAGTCTGTTTTTCATGTTAAAACAGCTAAAACCTGAATCATAAAGTTTCCAATATTGATAACTTTAAAGTTTCCATTACAGATATCTCCACAGGGTTTCTCTAGTTGTTTCCAGAATGCATAATCTTTGTGTTTTTGCATCAGAAGTTCTGTTGACTAGGACTATCGTAGGCCAGTTCTTCACATTTTCTTCCTTAAAATCTTAGACATGTTGCAAGTTGGTATTAAGGCAATTCAAAGTGAATGAATGGATGCCTAGATAGCTTCAGGGAGGCATTAAAACAAACAAAGGATGACTGTAATCCCAGCATTTTGGGAGGCTGAAGCAGGCAGATCATGAGGTCAGGAGTTTGAGACCAGCCTAGCCAATATAGTGAAACCCCACCTCTACTAAAAATAGAAAAATTAGCCAGGCGTGGCTGTAGTCCCAGCTACTCGGGAGGCTGAGGCACAAGACTCGCTTGAACCTGGAGAGGCGGAGGTTGCAGTGAGCTGAGATCACACCACTGCACTCCAGCCTGGGCAAAAGAGCGAGACTACATCTCGAAAAAAACAAAACAAAACAAAACCAGAAACACAAAGGATGCGCTATTGCTTAACAGGAATTCAATTACATGAAGGGTAACTGAAATATCTTTAAATAATAATGAAAATAATAATATGAGGTGCAATTACTGAAATACTATGTGTTTAATATACCAAGAGGATAGCATTTATCTCACTTGATCCTTTTAAAATTTTGGTAATATTATTATTCCCATCTTACAATTGAATAAAATGAGACTTGGGAAATTCAGTAATTTAAGTTTCCACATCTAATAAGTGATAAAAGCAACATGTAATTCTAAGTCTGTCTGACTCCTAGGCTCAGGCTCTTAACCACTTAACCACACTACCTTTCTAAAACTTTAGTGTGTGTGTGTTTGCTACCCTGTGAATACCATATTTACATTGCGTGTCCCTTAAAAAACAATTAGGATATCCTTTTTTTTTTTTTTTTGTTGTTGTTGTTATGATTGTTCGATTTTATTTATTTATTTTTTTTTATTTTTCTTTTCTTTTTTTATTATACTTTAGGTTTTAGGGTACATGTGCACACTGTGCAGGTTAGTTACATAGTTGTACACATTAAAGAAAGCAAAATAATTTGAATTTTTCCTTTATATAAGCTCTCATTCTTGCCACTATTTTGTCTTTCTATCAGAACCAAGCTAGAATGCATTTAAAAATAGTGCTGCCATAATATATACAACATTCATTTCACAAACATTTTCTAAGCATTTACAATGTGCTAGGTCCAGTATTAGGTCCTGGGGATACATGCATGCAGCCTACACAGTCCTCCTAAGGAAACAAACTGTTATGTATATTTAGGGCTTGTTCTAAGTGCTAGGTATTTATATTAGTCCATTCTCACACTGCTATCAGGAAATGCCTGAGACTGGGTAATTTATAAAGAAAAGAGGTTTAACTGACTCACAGTTCCGCATGGCTGTTGAGGCCTCAGGAAACTTACAATCAAGGCAGAAGGCAAAGGGGAAGCAAGGCACCTTCTTCACAAGGCAGCAGGAGAGAAGTGAGAGTGAGCACAGGAAAAATTGCAACTTTTAAAACCATCAGATCTCGTGAGACTCATTCACTATCATGAGAACAGCGCAGGGGAAACCACTTCCATAATCCAATCACTTTTCTCCCTCAACAGGTGGTGATTACAATTCCAGAAGAGATTTGGGTTAGGACACACAGCCAAACCATATCAGTATTTAAACTTAAACAACACAGCGTGCCCTCCTAGGCATCACATACCCTAATCATCATACCTGAACAAGAGTCACTTGATCAGAAAACATTTGCTAAATTCCTGCTATGTACCAGGGACAGTATTAGGTGCTAGTAATACAATGCAGAACAAGTTAGACACTACCCTTACCTTCACGGGGGTTACAAACTAATGTGTGTGTTTGGGGGAGGCGCTTCAACAAGGTACATAGCCCAGTCTTGAAGAGGGGATGAGAGCAAGTAGTAGTAGTTACCCATATGGATGTGGAGAAGGGAATAAGCCTCTTCACGCAGCAGGAAAAATTTCACTCTGCAAAGTTTCTGAGCTAAGACAGAGCTCAGTGCCAGTATGTCTGCAGTACAGAATTTGATGCGAGAAAGGAAAAGTATTCAATTGATATTATTTCATCCAATCATTCAATTCATATTAGCCATATTAGAGAGTTTGGACTTTATCCTGAGAACAATAGGACGTCTGTAACAGGTTTTAAGCCAAAAAAATAAATAAATGACACAATCAGATCTACTTAAAAAAAAAGTATTCTAGCAGCAGACTAAAGAATGAATTAGAGGGGAGCTAAACTCAGGGTAGGAAGATCAGTAGGAGATATTTGTAATAATTCAAGTGAGAGATGTTCAAAGTCTAACCTAGAGTGATGACCATAGGATTAGATAGAGACAGATTTCATAGATATAAATGGTATACAATCCAAAACGATAGCTATATAATTCCATGTATGTCATAAAGAAAAGGGAAAATTCAGGATTAACTTGCAGATTTGTGGTTGGGCTAAAGAACGGGGAAGGGTTCAATTTTGCATATATTCAACAAATATATATTGAGCACTGCTTTTGGTGCTGGGGAGAAATGGGTGCTGGGAGAAATTGGCGTGGAAAACAGCAGATAGAATCCTTGCCCTGCTGTGTCTTACAATCAATTACCATGCTGAGATATTCAAGCGGAAATGTTGGACAGCTGTTCTCGGTGTTCTAGAGAAAAAAATATCTGCTAAGGAGTGTCATTTTAGAGATCTTCCGACACATCATATTTAGCTTTATTAGAGACTAATTTAATTAATCACTATCTGTGACTTTCTGTGAATCTATAATTATTGCAAATAAAAAGCCAAAAAGAAAAATTTTAAAAATAAAGGAGGCTCAGCTTGTCTATCCCTAAAGGAAGGGAAAGAGTAGCCCTGCCGAATTCTGCGGGATGAGCCTTGCAGACCTAGAGAATAGCACTCACAAAGGCCCCGAAGCACTTGGCGCTTCCCAGGAACAGCAGAAGCCAATGAGGTTGAATTTCACTGAACAGCCAGGGACCATGAAGGGATGAGAACCAGGAAACAGGGCGTACACGCCTGGCGCGGTGGCTTACGCCTGTAATCCCAGCACTTTGGGAGGCCGAGGCGGGCGGATCACGAGGGCAGGAAATCGAGACCATCCTGGCTAACACGGTGAAACCCCGTCTCTACTAAAAAAAATATAAAAATTAGCCAGGCGTGGTGGCGGGCGCCTGTAGTCCCAGCTACGCGGCAGGCTGAGGCAGGAGAATGGCGGGAACCCGGGAGACGGAGCTTGCAGTGAGCGGAGATGCGCCATTGCGCTCCAGCCCGGGCGACAGAGCGAGACTCCATCTCAAAAAAAAAAAAAAAAAAAAGAAAAAGAAACAGGGGGTACAGACCCCCTGGAGTCTTAGGGCCATAGTAAGGACTTTGGACTGTCTTCTGAGTGGGTTGGGAGATGATTGGAGATTTCTGAGAGGAGGAGTGACATGATCAGACTTAAGTAACTAAGGATCATTCGCTCCTGAATGAAGAGACTTCAAACAGTGTTAATCCGATTGTTTATATTGGGTAGCCCACTGTCAGGGATTACTAAGTGATTAAATGCTTTTTCACCTCTGTCCTTCCTCCCTTCTCTCTCCTCCTTTATAATGTCTCTCTATATAGAGTCAGCCTAGAACGGCTGCCTTTGCAGCTTTGTTCCAGAATCTGACAGGGACCAGAAAAGGCACTGCAGATGAAGCTGGCAGGTTCTAGACTGATCACACTCTCAGGAATTAGGGTAAAGGTGTCCTCTGCAATCCCCTCTACAATGTACAGGCAGTTTTCTAAAGGTAGGGACTCAGGACAAGAGTTTCCTTCAGAAGAACGTGCTACACACTTATGTCCCTGGGAGGAGTATGGTGTCACTCAGGAATATGAATGCATCAGTGAGTTGGGGTGGGGGGGGGGGTTGTGTCACACAAACAGTGAAAAAAAGCATCCCACTCTTGGCTGGGAAATAAAGGAGGATTAGTAAAGCTGCTTTTCAGGGGAGCTCAGGTCTAGCTGAGGTATGCAGGGGGATTTCTAAACATCTAGCTAAGTGGAGGAAGTCTAGTAGTGTGAGACAAAGTTATGAATAATCAAAGCCACAATGTGTTTTGCCCTGAATTTTCTCTAAGGTCATGATACCCTTAGGGTCAGGGAGCTGGGAACCCTGAAGTTACTTTGAGCATGGGAAAGGTCTACCAAGAAAGGATTTTTACTTGTGCCTACAAGCTTGGAAGTACATTCATGTATATATATTTTTAAACCAAATACAACCATTATTGTTTGCTTACAGATACAATTCAACCATAATATCAAATAGGGCTATTTTTTGTTGTTAGGTTCTTTGGTTTGGTTGGTTGATTGGGTTGGTTTGTTTGTTCATTTGTTTGTTTTTACTGCTTTTGTACTTTCCTAGGTTCTTAAAGCATGCAGCCCCTGAGGTTTCTACAAGGATCCCTGTCATTTCTAGTGGGGATTTCATGTTGTCAACCCTGCTACATGTTAGAATCAACTGTGGAAATATTTTTAAAATATTGATGCCCCAACTTCATCTCTAAAGGTTCTAATTTAATTGATCATGGGTGGACCCACAGCTTTAGATGATTTTTTTAAGGCTTGCCAAGTCATTCTGAAGTTCTGCCAGCTTAAGAATTAACATACCAAATAAACATGTCAACCAGGTGTCAGGCAGATAATTTCTGGATTTTGGCTTTCTTATTGAATTCTAATTAAATTAGTGTTTACACAGTTCTTTGTAATTTTCCAGTAAAGTCATTCATAACTTTTTTCTCCCTAGGGTACTCGAAAAATGCTGGTTATTTCTCAAATGGAAGAAAATAGGATATTAAAATTTCAAACTGCAAAATTAAGCCCATAAGTTTATGGCTTGTTTATGCCTTGAGACAATAATATTTCTATTTCCTTTTGTCCTCATTCACTTCTAAGGCTTAAAACCTAACTATCTGCATCGTAGCAGTATTTGAGGCTCTAAACAAAGTGACTTGTAGGATCTATTTTGTTGTTTTATCATTAAAAATGAAGAACATCAGAATAAACAGGAAAATAATGATCAAGGAACAAATGTATGTACATCAATTGATGATGGATAGATGCTGTTGGCTGGGGTAGTGCCTGAGAGAAGAAGAGTGACAGATGGCATGTGTTGATGTGCACAGAGCATGAGGACTGAGGACATTTTTTTTTCCTTCCAATTAGCCATGTCTTCCTTAAAGGAGGAAGGTCTGAGAAACCAGGTCCGATGCTGCTTTGGAAAACTCTACCGTCATTTGACAGCTTGGCAGCATGAGTAAATTATTCACAACTTGCCCCCATGCTGTGATGTGGCTTGCCTCAGACCATTATACATCTTCCTCTGACTAAATGCCTTCTATACTTCTATACTCTGAGGAATAATTAAGAATGTCCTTTGAAACAAAGAATCTTGATGTTCCTGTGATAGGAGTCTTTAGGTCATCCAAGGATCTGTGTATTAATCAAACCAAAAGAAACCTGTAGGAATCATAACATTCATAATAGCTCACATTTATTGAACACACTATGTGTCAGGCTTTTCGGTGAACATTTAATATGCATTATCTCATTTAATTCTCACAACAACCTAGGATGTAGGTGTTACTTTAAGCCCCATTTCAAGATTAAACAGAGTAAGTTTTCTAAGATCTGTCACCATGTGGTGACACTGGTAGGCATCCCTACTAGATAGGTAGCCTAGTGCTAGATGGGTTTCAAAGTTGGAGAACTTATGTTAATTATCTTGCATTTAGAAACTCATATCAAAAGAATGTTTCTCCCGCCAAGGTTATATAGGTCACTGAGGCAAGAAATTTCCTGGACTCCTGTCAATCAACCAGAAAACTAACGCACTGGTTCTCAACTTTCCTATATGTAAGGCTTACCTGTGAAGCTTTAAAAAATAAGAGTCTGTCGTCTCAACCTCAGAGATTCTGATTTAACTGATGTAAACTGGGGCTCAGGTATGAAGATTTTTAAACGTTCTCCAGGCAGGACAGCTACAAGATTTGTAGGGTCCATTGACAAAACATGCAGTTCTTATTTTAAAATTTTAAGAGTGTTAAGATGGTAACAGCAGACCATTAAACTGAGTGCAGGGCCCTTCTTTGAATGAGGCCCTGTAGGATTGCACAGACCACATACCCATGAAGTTGGCCTTACCCCACGTGATGCCAATATGCTGAAACTTTGAAAACCATTGGACCAAAGGGTTCCCTTGGCCAAGCCCCACTCCTGTAGCTTGGTTGGCTCTTCATCATCATCACTGTCATCACATGTATTAAGCTGTTTGCAAGCACCACATAATCCTCACAATGACATTGTGAAGAAAGAATGGCAGGTACATCCCAGTTTTTCAGATGAGGAAACGAAGGCTCTGCTAAATTTAGTATTGTGCCTGGAGTCCCTGAGGAGTCAGTGCCCCTGCTTACATGGAGCCCAGGCCACACAGATTCTGGATCCCATACTCCTTTTTTTTTCTTTCTCGAGACAGGGTCTCACTCTGTCACCCAGGCTGGAGTGCAGTGGCACGATCTCTGCTCACTACAACCTCCACCTCCCGGGTTCAAGCAATTCTCCTGCCTCAACCTCCTGAGTAGCTGGAATTACAAGTGCCCACAACCATGCCCAGCTAATTTTTGTATTTTTTGGTAGAGAAGCAGTTTCACCATGTTGGCCAGGCTGGTCTGGAACTCCTGATCTTAAGTGATCTGCCTGCCTCAGCCTCCCAAAGCGTTAGTATTACAGGCGTGAGCCACTGTGTAAAACCGTGGATCCTGTACTCTTAATCATTACCTGACACTGCAGCATCTTGAATAAGTGGTTCTTTGTGTAATAATTATCTGTGTGACCCCCCAGATCCCAAATTTTGAAAAAAAAAAAAAGATACTCGAATGGAAACAGATTCATGTCTAAAAGTTTATAACATGTAATTGATTTCCTTTACACCTGAATGTGCCATTGTTTGCTGTTTTTTTATGTTTTAATTTTGCCATTATATTGCATATACACTGGCTGGAATATACATAGACATGCATATACATAGGCAAAAATATAATTTGTATGAAATCTGACTTGTAAACTCAGAAAGGGATTTACAAGTCCCCAAATCTAAATCTTCTCCAGCTTTCCTAACTTCAAAATCCTCTCTGAGGTGAATGGCAGGTAGGAGGTGTGCAGGGTCACTCTGTGACTGAGGGAGAAGACAGATTTTTTACTTTGAGGAGTCATAAATAGCTTTGCTCACTGATTTGGTATACTGCACTCTAAAAATAAAAAGAAGATTCTGAGAATAAGCAGGTGCTCACCCCAGGGATCAATACATTTAATTTAGTCCTCAGGGAGAGTTTTTAGTGTGGCTCTATTTTGTCACACTTAAACATATTTGTTAAGAGGAGCTCAGTTCTTCAAGCTCCCTCTCAAATAAAAAAATCATATACCTCCCTCCCCACTTTCCACCCTACACTGTGTTGTGTCACTGCTGTATCTTATTATAGCCATTATCTCACCGTCCTGCAATCATTTGTTATATGAAGACTTGCCTTAGACCATGAACTCCAGAATGCAAGAACTGAGTTCTATTCATTTTGTGTATCTTTGGCTTTTTACACAGTATCTGACACATACTTGGCTTTCAGTGTTTACTAAGTGAATGAATGCAAGCACACATAAATGACTATCTTTCAGAGTTCATTATGAAATTCATCCATTCCACTGCAATATGAAAATGCTTCAAAGCATTTTATTCTTTCCTCCCTTTTAGTGACTTACTTCTGCAACTACTTTCTATCATTTTTGACATCATTTCACTCATTTTTATTTATGTCCCTCTGCAGATTCAAACGAACTCCTTATTTTTGCAGTTGTCATTTGTATTTTATGGAAATTCCTCAAAGGATCTGCTTGTACAGCTTCAGAGTTGTCTTGGGAACTACTATTTATCCTGGCTTTCAGAAGGATTTTGATTCTTAGCACAAGGCTGTGTCACTGGAAAGTACAAATTCATTATTATCCAGGCTCTTGACTGGGGACTAGAATTATTAGGTTAGCTTTATCTCACCTTTCCAATTTTTCTCCTTCCCTAGTTAAATTATCTCATATTTTCTATCTCTTATACTTTCCATTATAATTCCTAAAGCATAGACTATCACATGAAGCAGAAATTTGAATACACCCTCATAATCAATCACATGGCATTTTCTTTTTTTTCAATTCTTTGCCTTCTACTTTTTTTTTTAATTATACTTTAAGTTTTAGGGTACATGTGCACAACGTGCAGGTTTCTTACATATGTATACATGTGCCATGTTGGTGTGCTACACCCATTAACTGGTCATTTAGCATTAGGTTTATCTCCTAATGCTATCCCTCCCCCCTCCCCCCACCCCACAACAGTCCCCAGTGTGTGATGTTCCCCTTCCTGTGTCCATGTGTTCTCATTGTTCAATTCCCACCTATGAGTGTGAACATGCGGTGTTTGGTTTTTTGTCCTTGCGATAGTTTGCTGAGAATGATGGTTTCCAGCTTCATCCATGTCCCTACAAAGGACATGAACTCATCATTTTTTATGGCTGCATAGTATTCCATGGTGTATATGTGCCACATTTTCTTAATCCAGTCTATCATTGTTGGACGTTTGGGTTGCTTCCAAGTCTTTGCTATTGTGAATGGTGCCGCAATAAACATACGTGTGCATGTGTCTCTATGGCAGCAATCACATGGCATTTTCATTGTAGGCTGGTTATTCATTAGCTTAGCCAAGCCCACATTTTGCTAAAAGATTTGCAGATTTAAGATAATATCTAGTATTTGTTATCTAGTTTTCTCAGCATTTTTCAGTCTGTGAGTATTGCCTAACAGAGAGTCAAGTGTCCAAACTTAGTCTTTACTCCAGTGGTCATTGATACATAAAGCCCTGGGTTATGGATAAAGCTTCTTACCCCCAGAGCAACACTAGGTTCCATGTCTATGTTTATTTGCTTCTGTGATTTTAACATTTCCTTCTCATTTTCTGGTCCTTCAAGATTTTCTATACTTTGTTGTGAACTTAACACACATTTTCAAAATGTCTTGCTGTGGCAGAGACAGCTAAATGGTACCTTAGCCCACAATACTGCTCAAAGTGGAAGCCCCCACTTTGTGGTTTTAATTATGACCAGGATGCTGGTTTTAATTCTTTCCTACCCCCACCCCCATGCCTTCTCTTTGTTTCTTTGGAAGATTCCTATTTATCCTTCAAAACCCAGTTTAGAAACCCTCAGCTGGGTTAGACATGAATCTGTTTCCATTAGTAGTATCCTTCTTCTTTTTTTTTTTTTTTTTAATTTGGGAACTGGGGGTGGTGGTGGTCAAAGAAGAACACAGTGGTTCACAAGAAAGAACCACTTATTCAAGATGCTGCAGTGTCAGGTAGTGATTAAGAGTACAGGATCCATGGCTTTACACAGTGGCTCATGCCTATAATCCCAGCAGTTTGGGAGGCCGAGGTGAGTGGATCACTTGAGGTCAGGAGTTCAAGACCAGCCTGGCCAGCATAGCAAAACCCCATCTCATCTAAAAATACAAAAATTAGCCAGGCCTGGTGGCATGCACCCGTAGTCCTAGCTACTCCAGGGGCTGAGGCAGGAGAGTTGCTTGAACCCGGAAGGCAGAGGTTGCAGTGAGCTGAGATCGTGCCACTGCACTCCAGCCTGAGCAACAGAGCATGACTCTCTCAAAAAAGAAAAAAAGAAAGAAAGAAAGAAAGAAAGAAAGAAAGAAAGAAAGAAAGAAAGAAAGAAAGAAAAGAGACCACCTCATATTGAAGGCTTTCTATATAGAGAATAACTTCTTCCTGTGTATGCTGTTTCTGTAATTGCACAAAATTCCCTTTTTTCACTTAGCATGTCATATTGTAGTCTGTTCACATGCCTGTTTTAATCACTAAAGTATAAGTTCCTTGAAGGCAGAAGCTAAATCTTACCCATCGTTTTATCACAAGTTCCTAGTACGGTACCTAGCAGACAACCAGCAGTACCAATCTTTTTGGCACCAGGGATCGGTTTCGTAGAAGACAATTTTTCTACAGATGGTGAGGGGATGGTTTCAGGAGAAACTGTTCCACCTCAGATCATCAAGGCATTAGTTAGATTCTCATAAGGAGCGCATAATCTAGGTCCCTTGCACGTGCAGTTCACAATAGGGTTCGTGCTCCTATGAGGATCTAATGCTGCCACTGATCTGACAAGAGGCAGAGCTCAGGTGGTAATGCTTGTTCACCCTCCGCTCACTTCCTGCTGTGAGGCCTGGTTCCTAACAGGCCACGGACTGATATCGGTCCATGGCCCAGGAGTTGGAGACCCCTGCAATAAAGAATAAAATTTATCTTAGAAAGATTTTAAGTCTTGTTGTTTCCTTTTTTTTTTTTTTTTTTTTTGAGACAGAGTCTCACTCTGTCACCCAGGCTGTAGTGCAATGGTGCGATCTTAGCTCACTGCAACCTCCACCACCCAGGTTCAAGCGATTCTCCTGCCTCAGCCTCCCGAGTAGCTGAGATTACAGGCATGTGCCACCATGCCCAGCTAATTTTGTATTTTTAGTACAGACGATGTTTCACCATGTTGGTCAGGCTGGTCTCGAACTCCTGACCTCAGGTGATCCGCCTGCCTCAGCCTCCCAAAGTGGTGGGATTACAGGTGTAAGCCACTGCACCCAGCCAGTCTTGTTGCTTTCTTAATGTACATTGCAACAAAACAGATTGCCCCTTCTACTGCTGACTCGGTAAACTATACTAGGCATACAGTGGACAGATCTTCACTGTGGCTGTTGTTCAAAGAACAGGGCAGCTCTTTATATAACCCCACTCCAGTGCTTAGAATACCACAGATGGGCCCAAAAACAGTTAATAGAATCAAGTAATTCTGCTTAGTCCTCTATTTTACACACCCCCACACCCACACACCCCTCCCCACACACATATACATATCACAGTATAACAACTTTTGATGTTAAATTTCCAAATGACCGTAGAAAAATTATTCTGTAGAAGATAGGTAGATGACAAGGCCCTTCTACTACAGTCCAAGATTTCTATGATAAGAGAATTTCACGGCACTATGGAGCACATGGGAGGAACCCTTCACCTATCCTTTATAGGGTGAGGTTAATTTTTCTGGAGAAGTGAAGCTCATACTGAACCCTGAATAAGATGCCATCCAGATGGATGCAGCTGACCTTAACATTCTGATACATTTTTAAATTCAGCTTCATAGAATAGCCCTCAACATACCTCTAGAAACCGTAACTGTCAGGACACCAAAGCTTTAAGAACAGTAGAAGTATACCCCATCACAATAATAACATATTTTAGCTGGTCCAACAGAAAGTCAGGAAAATATTGTCTACCACTGATTTAGAACTTATGTTCGGTTTGTCCATAGACACTGGTTATTAACCCCTAATCCTCAGATTTCACATCGTTGCTCCCAGACCCCCAATCTCTCCTGGCTCAGCTTTATCTTCATAAGAATTAGAGTCCAGATCACAGTACCCCGTCTTCCAATCTTAGAATAACATTTTTGTTTTACTACTGCCCTCTTGATGCTTTAAACTTGTGAGAACCTGCCCCATTATGTGATTGAGATTGAATACTAGCCTTTTATATTTTTTATTTTCGTGGGTACATAGTAGGTGTGTATATTTATAGTTTACATAAGATATTTTGATACAGGCATGCAATGTGTAATAATCACATCAGGTAAATAGACTATCCGTCACCTCAAGCATTTATCCTTTGTGTTTCAAAAAATCCAGTTCTATTCTTTTTACTTAAAATTATTTCTTACTATAGTCACTGTTACATGAATACTAGCCTTTTAATGATTTACGCTATGTACATCAGATCACATGCATATCCTAGAATACATACAGCTAGCTATATTGCCTTACTTGCCTTTTCTATCCAGGGCAAATAGCATCTGTTTATAGCCTAGGACAGTGGTCCTCAAACTTTACTGTGCGTCAGAATTACCAGAAAGACATAAATTGCTAGGCCCTATCTCCAAAGCTGCTGATTGAGTAGATTTGGGATGGATCCCAAGAATTGCATTTCTAACAAGTTCTCACGTGACTCAGATGCTGTTGTTCAGGGAACCAAACTTTGGGACTCACTGGTCTAAGAATTAAAGGAAGAGGCTATTATTTCTCAAACTAATATATGTTACCCTCTGGGGATCCAAAACATAGTCTCAAGGGCCTGAGAGTTGTTTATAAAATTTTTAACTTTTGTGTATCTATTTTCATAATAATCTGAACAAAATTAATACAAACTTATTTTAAAACATCTAGATAAGCATCATATTGCTGACTATTGTAATATAATTTCAGTGCCCATGTTTGCATTTATGATTATAATTTCATTGATGCCAAGTAGTACTACTTTAATTGTTGATAATAAACTAGCTAATGAGATAAGAACAGAGGTAGACTAATTACATAAATGATGTATTCATACTCAGTGAAAACTCACTGTAATTATGAATGCTATCTGAATAAAGATTTGGTAGTAATTTGAATAGAGAAACATATTAGAGAAAAAGGATTGGCACAACTGAGCCAGTGCACAAGAAAGCAATGGCATGTCCAATTCAAAAGAACCCATGTGGTAGCAGTCAGTGCTAGATTCCCTAAGTGAATGATGCTTTATTTTCAGAAAAATGTTAGGTATCAAGTAAACTCAATATTATTATTAAATGTATTGGAGTATTGTTTGAATGCAAATAAATGATTGAATATATCACTTTTCATTGAAATATTTTAGCATAATTTAGGAACTGTCACTTAGTGTTAGCAGGCTTATCATAATCTTATCAGTTAGCCTCCTGGATAAACTGGAGGCGAGCCTTCATGGAAAAAAGCTAGCTCTAAACTCCTAATTATTTTAATAACAAGAATCTTACTATTTAATATTGAATTCAAACAGACGGGAAATTTAATTTTTAAAATTCTATCTATCTGGTGACAAAAACTAAGGAAAGGGAGTGGATTTTTTAAAAGACAAAAGGAAAATGTAAATCACAAATAGGTAAAAATGGAAAATAAGAGAAACGGAAGAGTGAGAAAATGACAAAAAAAAAAAAGACAGAAGGATCATGAAACAGAAAAATGTAAGTCAGTGGAAATGTGCTTGGGAATAAATAATATATCTCCAAAAAGGTCAAATACATATATTATGCCTCATATTTGATGAGAATATAAAAATCTAATTATTATGACAAGGTTTGTACAAGAAACTCATGAATCTTTTTCTTTCTGCTATGCTAAAATTACTAAAGTCAATATAAACTTTGTTCAAACAAGTTTCCATACTGAATAAACAAATGACTTTAGTTTAAAGGAACAGATATACCAATTCATATATGTTTTTGAGTCTTTTGTATGTCTCAGGCACACTGCCAGGCATCAGGCATACAATGGTAAACAATTACATATAATCATCATTTTCACGGAGTTCACAGCATTGAAGAGGCTACAGGCAACAATGGACCAAGAAGTTATAATACACTGGCAATCACTTGGGTGGAAGAAACTCAAAACTACAGAAATATTGGTAGGGATACCAGTCCAGATTTAGAGGGTCAGAAGTGCTTACATTAGGAAACTGGGAAGAAAAGGATTAACAGCAGGTTTATAATCTGTTTCTTCCTCCAGGAGAAGGAAGAGATTGCCAAGAATCAACCTCTAGGAAGAGATGCCACAGTCAAACCCTTTGTAATCACACTAATGATAGAGCTGATAGTATTTTCTAGGGGGAGAGTCCTTTCTATGAGATGTCCTAACTGTGGTCTATCTAGGTTGCTTATTATAACTAAAGCTGGAATTTATGAGTTTATGAAACATAGCTCACTAGGAAATGTCATGTAAACTGTCAAATAAAAGAGATATTCCATTACTGAAATGACTCCCTTTATGTAAGTAATATCACTGAAGCTTCATTTAGGTCCTCATGTGTTCTAATACACATCCTAGTATGGGAAGAACAGAACTGGGTGACTTTGTTGACATGCTCAGACTTCTCCATGTTTCACTTGAGTGTTGTGATTTCCCATATGCCCAGAATTTGACAATTCAACCTTCCATGTTATCTCAGAAATGACCAGCTATGACTTGAGAAGTAAGTAGAAGTTAGCCAGATAAAATCATAGAAAGGAGTGGGGACGGAGATGGGCAAAGAGTGAAAGAAAACTGAGTTTATAGCAGAGTAAACATCTGTGAAGGAGCACATTTAGGAAAGGTGAACAAGGTTTAGCTAGAGCAAAGAGTGAAAGCTGCAGCAAGCAGAAGCCAACTAGCAGAAGGCCTGTGGGCCATGGAAGGGGTTTGTAATTCATTCCCAAGCAATGCGACCCAATTGAAGTGGTTTAAAAACATAAATTATAGGATATGGCTTGATTTTAGGAAGAGTACTCCATCTATAGTTTAGAGAATGCATTAGAGAAAGGCAAGAAGTCAAGATAGGAAGCTATTAAAAGAATAATATTGTATCTAGACTAAGTACTGCAATTGAAAGATGAATATTTTCATTCCAAAGAGTTTATCTAACATAAATGCATACAATGTATGCCAAAGGAAATGGACAAGAGTTATTTTAGAAGTATTATTTACAATAGCCAAAAACTGGAAACAACCTAAATATTCATCAACAATAAAATGGATAAATACATTGTGGAAAATCATACAATGCAATATACAGCAATGAAAATGAACAAACTGCTGCTACACAACAACAATAGGAATGCTTCTCACAAATGTAATATTGAGCTAAACAGGTCAAACACAATGCATCCTCTATGATTTTATTTACATACAATTCAAAAGCAGGTAAAATTAATCCATAGTATTAGAAACTGGGGCTGGGCGCAGTGGCTCACACCTGTAATCCCAGCACTTTGGGAGGCCAAGACGGGCAGATCATGTGGTCAGGAGATCGAGACCATCCTGGCTAACAGGGTGAAACCCCACCTCTACTAAAAATACAAAAAATTAGCCAGGCGTGGTGGCGGGCACCTGTAGTTCCAGCTACTCAGGAGGCTGAGGTAGGAGAATGGCATGAACCGGGGAGGTGGAGCTTGCAGTGAGCCGAGATTGCACCACTGCACTCCAGCCTGGGCGAAAGAGAGAGACTCTCTCTCAAAAATAAAAAATAAGAAAAAAAAAAAAAAAGAAATTGGACCAGTGGTCCTTTTGAAGGTTGAGTGGTATCTGAGGAAGGAGTGGGGCTAAGGGATTCCTAGGGCACTGGTAAAATTCTGTTTCTTGATGTGGGTGATGGTATCACTAGTATTCACTTTGCAGTAAGCCAATAAGCTGTATGCTTATTATTTTTTTTTTGCACACCTCTGTGTATATTTCAATATCAAAGTTAGTTAAAACAAAAGCAAAACAAAAACATAGACCATTAAGCTAAGATTTATTGTTCTAGAAGAGAGAATATAAAGAATCCAGTAAGAAAAGAGTGTCAAATTTTGGGATTTTTGTTCCAAAATGTCTTGAAAGTAGTGACTTTCCAGTGCAAGAACCAGGCATTTGAAAGACATAATAGTTTTATGCTACTTGGTTTTTCTGTGGGAAGTTTCTGGTGGACTTAGGGGGAATTCAAAAAGCTTGGCTTTATTGATTAAAGGCAAAGATTGGAAAACTCAAAACATACAGCAGAGAAGAATGAGTGATGGCACAAGAATATCTTTCTTAACACCCAGATAGGTGGTTAAAACCCATTATGGGCTATGGAGAAAGAGGACAAGAACTTAAAAAGAAAAGCAAAAGAGAGATATGAATGTGGAGCACCTGAGAAAACTTCTGCCACACTTTCCTACTCTATTTTAATCCCAGGTGGCAGATCAGTTTAGAGGGATCCTAGGGTGGAGAGGATATAGCCTTTCTTTCCAAAGTTTAGCCCAAAGAGAATGCATATCTCTAAGAGAAGCCTTGCATTCAAACAACACCAGAGAGTGGATGAGCAATGGGTGTGGACCTGATACGTTCCCTCCAAGTCTCCTTCAGATCTAAAGCTACATGGGAGACCTCGCTCAGGTCTCCAAGAGAGGCAGAGAAATTAACAGTAGGCCAAAAGAAAGCTCATGCCTGAGGTAAGGCTAATACATACCATGGTATCCAGCTAACTAAAGGCTGTGGTAGAAATGACACTGTCAGCAGATGCAGCAGTACGAGATGCGAAGCCTCAGGACCTGCTAGCACAAGGCACCCATCAGTACAGACAAGCAAGGTCAGAAGATGATCTTGGATCTTCATGTCACCCACTTCATGATGTTACATAGGGCAGAATCTCCCCTAATTCCAGACACCTCTCAAGGAGATAAGGGGAAGAAAGGGGAGGAGGGAGGCTACAGAGCCTGAGCTCTAAACTGGCAGTGACTGAGTTTCCTTAGCTTAGCAAAATGATGTTTTTCACCACCAAGCAGAAATGAGGAATAAAGTTTCGTGTTTGCACCTGAGTCTGTGACTATAAACAGTTTAACTGCTACACATAAAAAAGATTTACAAGCAGTTTGGAGGCTCAATTGTTATTTCCATCACATCCGAAAAGATGCTCTTTCCAGGGCATGGAGAAAGAATTGAAGGAAAAAAGTGTTTGAGATGGATAAAGCAGTATTAATTACCCAACCTCACAGGATAACTGTAAGGATTAAGGAACATGATAAAAGCAGCTGTCACCAAGTCAGAATCAGTAGATACTAATCCCTTCTCTCATGGAATGAAAGGGTTGAAAGAGACCTCCAGGGGCCTTCTGCTGCAACCACCTTGTCCTTATGAAGGAAAATTAAAAACATCTAAGGCAAATTGTTGTCTTACCTAGTTTTACAGATTTCAGGCATGAACATCCTACGATCCATGCTAGTATTTATCACATGCATAGTTAACAGTATTTCCAATTCATTCCCAGCAATGTAAGCCATTTCTTCTCATTAAAACCTATGCGAAAAGAGAATAATTCACTAAATCTTTTTATATAATTTTTATTTTCCTGGAAAATAGTCATAAAATCATGATTTCATTTTCTTTTCATGTAAGGTAAATAATTTTAACTCATTTAACCTTTCCTCACTGTCATGTTTTTTAGGATGTCATTGTTTTTGAGACTTAGCACTAAAAACTTCTTTTGAAATGTGATGATCAAAACAGAGTAAGATGCTTTATTGACTAGGGAAATTACTACTCAATTTTAGCATTAGTTTTTGAAACAACATTCAAACATTGCTAATTGTAAGAAAGTTGATATTTTTAAGAGATAACTATGATTGGATCTGTCCTGAATGTCATATTTTTTAACAAGAGAGAAAATTGAGACAGGTAATGTTAATCAATTTTAAATTTATAGAATATGAATTAAAGGAAGGCAAAAATATACAGATTTATATATTTTGATAACTATTTTCCAGTAAAAGAAAAAGTATATAAAAATATTTAGCAAATTACTCTCTCTTTTAACATGAGTTTTAATGAGAAGAAATGGCTTAAACTGCTGGGATGAAATTGGGAAATATTGTTAACTACACATGTGATAAATGCTAGCATGGATTGTAGGATGTCCATGACTGAAATCTATAAAATTAAGTAAGACAACAATTTGCCCTAAGTGTTTTTAATTTTCCTTCATAAGGACAAGTAACTTACTCACATGCAAACTGCTAGTTAGGTAGAGCTGAGATTCTAATGCCATTTACTCTCACCCACTCCCCATCCCTGGACTAAGCCACCATTGCCTCTGACATTGTCCACTGTGGTATCCTCATAACTGCTCTAACCTACATACATTTATGCCTTCCTTTAATCCATTCTCTATACTTCAGCTAGAGATCTTTTCAAAAAGATGCCATCAATGCCTTGGTTAAAACCGTTCTATGATTTTTCAGTGCCCTAAGGATACACATGAAAATGCTTTGACATGCAGACAAGGTCCTGCATGGTCTGCCTCAAGCAGGCCTCAGCAGCCTGGCCTACCATGGACCCTCACTCTTTCTCCTCTCAAACTGTACTGGCCTTCTTCCATACTCTCAGTCTCATCAGGCTAGTATTTATATTAGACTAAACATGAGCTTATACTGATATCTCCAACTCTAATCCATTACCACATGAATCATTCTCCTCTTGTTTATCTATATCCCCCCATTCCAGTAGTGAGAAACCCACCATTTACATCCATTTGCTTTGTTTTTCAATTCTGATATACACATATAGTGATATCAAATTGTTACCTCATACTCCTGTGGGAAACAACTTTATCAGTTAGAGTACAGTGCTTATGTGCAGTTCTTTTTGCCTTTAGTCTTATAGATTCCACTCATTTCCAGTTAGGTTGGTGCTCTTTTCCCCAGTACCTTCAATGCAGTGGTTGTTTCACACATTTGTAATACAGTTAGATTCTGAATTCCATCCTGGGATCTGCTGACGTTTTAAATAATTTCTTTAAAATTTGCATATGTCAAGAATTATCAACATCATCATTTATATGTTCTTACCAGTTTGATTTCTGCTCCAGCTAAGCATATCTCTGCTATAACTCCCTAAATTTACCTTTCTTTCCAGATTGAAATATGGTACCCTGTGAACTCAGTTCTCTGATGGGTCCAAGAAAAGTCATTAATGTTCAGTTTGTTCAAATTTTTTCTTGTTTTAAAGACAGAAATGAAGATTTCCAAGATCTGTACATGTTGAAACTAAAAACACTGTATTCACTTTTTAATGTCCATCTTTCTCCTTAAATTCTATGTTCTGTGAGAATAAGATTATGTCAGTTTTGCTCACCATTGTATTCAATTACCTAGTTTGGGTTCAGGCATATAGTAAATACTCAATAAATATTGGTTAAATGAATGGAAAAATGAATAACTCAAGTCCAAATACAAGTCCAGTAAACTTTCATCTATGTCACATGTGCTTCCCTGGTCCTATGCCATTAGACAGTCTTTTTTATTAATTCATGTTGGTTACTTCATAGTGTCCCTTTCAGTCATACTTATAACTTCTCTATTAGTGACAATCTAAGTCTTCATTCCATGCCTTGTTAGTGAAGAAAATGTCACAACCTCTTTCTAGATCCTATTTTTATCATCATCATCGCCAAGAATTTTTTTCAGGCAATAACTATCTACTGGACTTACTGGGAACACTGGTGCTTTAACCTCATAATGATTTTAAATAAATAATATAAAACTAAGTTTTCCTCTACGCTGTATAGTTTGCCTCTCTCAATATGCCTCTGCTATTTCCTGATGTCCAAACTTCCTGACATAACAAGCTTTCTTTGAATGAGGAAATAAGCCAACCTTCAGGACTCTGCAGTTTGAGCAACTAATCAAAGCTTTAAACTATACAGATGCTGAGAGCAAAACATGTCTTCATGTGTGGTAGAATAATTATCTTGATTTGTTTGCCACCAATCAGTTGATATTTAAAACTCTATTTGTAAAGCCTATAAATACAAGAGCTATGAAGAGATTACTGAGCAAGGCAGGGAAACCAAAGATCTCTATAATTTTTCTTTTCTTCTAAATAGATTATTTACACATACATAAAGAAGTATGTTACTCAAACACTCTCTTAACTTTAATACACACTCCCTACCAAAGCTGGGTGTATTAACTTTTCTCAAGTAAACTATATAACCCTCTAAAGAGACTCATATGTTTCTTCTAGGAGTATATATTGATATAACCATTCTGGAGATTATGTATCCAAAGATTTCAATTTTAACACAGAAATACCTTTTCTAGAAAAAAACTTCCAAGGAAATAACTAACAGGGTATTAAAAGATCTAGCTATGTAGGTATTAATCACATATTTGTTTATAGTTATGAAAAAATTGAAAACAACTTATTCAACTGTACTAGATTGATTAAATTGTGATTCAATCATACAATGGAACATTCTACAGCCATTAAAAATTATGTTGTAGATGTACATTTATCAACATAGAAAGATGTTCTTAATGTGTGGTAGAGTTAAAATTAAATTACAAAACAGTTTACACTGTATAATTTCAAATATAGATGGATTTATTGACACAATAAAGGACAGATAAAAAGATGATTGATTGATAAATAGGTACTCCAAAAGTGTTCACAAGTTATTTCTAAATGAATGTATTTATCTCCTTCTTTCTTACTATATTTTCTTGTTTTCTATTATGTACATGTATTTTGTATTTTTTTAAAGAAGATGTACTCAAATATAGTCATTATCTTAGTACCATAATTTGGTTTGTTGCCATTTCCAGTTGGCATTGGTATCTTGGTATTGGTACACAATATTGCTAGAGACCTTGATTGTGAAGTCATGAACATTATCTTTCAAGGACAGATATAACTAAAAGTGGTTCTTTTGTTCTTTCTCTTTCAAAGATGAAGTTATACAAAGAAGGCAATAGAGCAGAGTTTGAATATCATACTGAGAAAGCAATGGCAAAATAACAATATTTCTGTGGCAGAAAAAAAAGCTAGATTTGGGATGGGTCAGGTATAGATGTAGTAGTCACACTGGCTATAATTTTAAGAGCATTCATTTTCAGATTCTTGACTTTCATATGCCCTTTTTCCCATCATCAGGTAGATTATCATCCCCACTTTCCCTTTCAAAATGACTCTTCTCCCATTTTACAGAAGAAAGACATCCCCATGACTCATCTGGAATCTAATTATGCCATTATCCCAGGGTATAAAAATATCTAGGGCATCAGCAAAAGGTAATTAATGTAATGTATGCAGGAAAGCCTCCTTTGTTGATATATCAAGACCCTGTCTTCCCTTTTTCTCTGTCTTATCCGTATTTCTAACAAAACTGAAGCATGTAACATTAGAAATGGGGTATACTGACGCTTGTGAAAATGTTTTAAAATTAGATATACAGTGGCAGCCTTCACCTTTTCCTTTCCTTAGACCCTTTTCAAAGAATGTCTTGCCCCCGAGGGAGAATTTGAGGAGAGAATATTGAAGAAAGCATTGTCAAGAAACATTAAAAGCTAAAAACTCCTTTTCTAAAATGAGCAATTTTTCAGATATTTATAATATTCATAATGAAAGACATGTTGTTGCAAAACACTACAGCTTAATGACACTAACTCTTCTTAAGAGTATATTTTCTGTTGGGAAATGTTTGTCACTGACATAGTATGCAGATGTATACTTAAATAAAACCAAAGTTTAGAAAACAATACTTACTCTTAAAGAAAAAAACAGAGCATATTTTCCAGGACTATTCAATTTTTTTCTACTTTTGTGGAAATTACATCTACAGATGAAGATTTTATGTGATTTCTTTTAGATTCAGTATGCATTATTAAACAAAGTCATTAAAGTGTAATATATCAAATCAGATCTTAAAATATTTATTATAATTATATACTAGTTCATTTTATAAAGTAGTTAATATCTTCTATTTTCTATTATATAGTATGCAATTATATGATAGCTGCCATATCAATTTAGCCATAAAACATTTTTCTTTCATAAAATACATAGAAAATATATTTTGTCAAAAAACTGATGATATTATGAATATTTATATAATATACTTGTTTAATAGTTCCCAAAATCTGATACTAGAGTTCAATAAATATCTACAAACTCATTGAGGTAAGGAATATCATGGTTGATTTATTACACTCCTTACTTCGCAACTACTTATTTTTGCTATCCATCACATAAGATTTTGGATATTGTATAATATTACATTATTAAACATATGAAATTTTAAAACACGTTTTGTTTTATGATTCATAAAAAGTAAAACATTATTTTAGATCCTACATCATCTTAAATGAGACTCAGCTGTTTGGAAGGATCTATCTTACAAGATGGAATCCATTATTTGGTTTTCAGTGCCTTTCATAATAGTGAAAATGAAACACATGTTAATCCATTTACTTGAATTAAAGAATAAAGCTAGACTTTTTCTAACAATGAGTATGCTTGATTTGGTTGACTGGTTTACTAATGAGTACTGACTTTGCTAATTTGGTTATAGAGTGGAAATTTTCTATTAATTGAACGAACTGAATTTGAATTTCCAAGTTTTTGATAAAAATATGTTTAAAGCATGTAGAATATGGGAGACACAGCATTTTGTCAAATGTATGGCAAAGGTATGTAGAAGTTATTACTACCTCATGTCCTAATTCTTTCTTGAGTGTATTGAGTTAAACTATATGCCTCTAAGTGCAAAAATAACAAATATAATTAATACCCATCTGAAAAGTATGGGTAAAGCACTTCTGGTACAGTTCCCAGAAATCAAGAAAATGAATGATTCCAACAACTGTGTAGCAAATCTTTGCAAGTGAATTGATTTTCAGTTCTTTGCTCTCAACAAAATTGAAGGTGGACCTAATAGAATATTCAGTTAATAAATCATCAGATGTGCTTTTTGATGCTAGACCACTTTGAGATGGTTGTCATATAACTCGGAAAGTGTTCAAAGAATTAAGGAAAATCAGTATAACAAACTCCATTCTATTGCCATCTACTTATCTATGTGAATTGATGCTGAACCTTCCCTGTCTCACTCAAGCAATGAGTAATATTCATCTAGAGTTGCATTAACTAATTGAAAAAAGGTGCCATTCATCTCAGTAAGTGCTTAATTAAATTGTCTTTGTTTAATAATTATCATATTATTTTAATCAAATTGCATACTAATAATGCAATGATAATATGATCCCGCACATATGTTCCAATATAATAAAACACTTTAATTGAAATTTATAAACATAGCTTTGTTAAAAACAAGTGTGATGTGGGATCAATAAAATAATTTTAAGGATAAAAATATGTTTTCTTAACATAAAACTCTATGGGGAAAGTAGAATAAAATGTAGAACTCAAGGAATACATGATGTTCAATTTCTTACAATTAAAAAAGTTTCTTGTGTTTTTAAAATGAATGGTGATGACTATCAAATCGCTAGGGTATTTAGATTGGATTAGATACAATTAAAAGAGCATTTTAACAGTTTCATTTAAAATATTAATATTGAAATATTTCAGAAATTGCATCTCTGCATTTCCTTAAATTAATGTTTAAAAATTAAAAATAACTACTAAAAATTAACTACCTAGTCTAATAAAGACATCAGACAAATCTCAGTGGAAGGGCATCCTACAAAACAACCAATAGTCCTCAAAACTGTCAAGGTCATTAAAAATAAAGAAAGTCAATTGTTGATCAGTGAGTACAAAGTTTCAGTTATGCACAATGAATAATTTCTGGAAATCTGCTACACACCATAATACTAATAGTTAACAATTTGGTATTCTGCACTTTAAACTATGTTAAGAGGATAAAGCTCATTAAATGTTCTTACCACAAGCACAAACACACAAAAGAACACAAGGAAATTTTGGAGATGACAGGTTTATGTGCATGTACCATAGGTAATCAATGTCAGCACATATCTTGATTGTGCTGATGGTATTATGGGTGTATATATTTGTCGAAAATCATCAAAATGTTTACATTAAATATGGTGTGCATTTTTGTATATAAATTGTACCCCAAGAATGCTTAAATAAGTAAATAGAAATTACATGCTAATTTTATTTTTATATATGTTACATAGTAAGTAAAATATATCTAATTGTAAAAAAAAAAAGAAAGAAAAAGAGGGAAAGTTTGAGAAATTGTCACAGCCAATAGAAAACTAAGAAGTGTGATGACTAAGTGTGATTTGGTATTTAAAATGGGATCCCCAAACAAAAGAGGACATTACGTAAAAACTAAGGAGATCTAAATAAAGTATTGGCTTTAATTCATAATAATGCATCAATATTGGTTAATTGCAATAAATGTACCATCTTAATGGTAAGATGATAATAATAAAAAACTGGGTACAGGATTATAGGTATTCTCTGTACTCTGAATGTTTTCTGTAAATATAAAACTGTTCTTAAAAATAAAATTTATTAAAAATTAATTACTAAATTAAAAATAGGTATAAAACTAAAAATATTCAAGAAGGGGCGTCATTTAAAACTATATATATTTAGTGGGTATCCATGAGCAAGCATTTTTTTTTTTTTTTTTTTTGAGATGGAGTCTCGCTCTGTCGCCCAGGCTGGAGTGCAGTGGCGCGATCCTGGCCACACTGCCAGCTCCGCTTCCCAGGTTCATGCCATTCTCCTGCTCAGCTTCCCGAGTAGCTGGGACTACAGGCGCCTGCTACCATGCTCGGCTAATTTTTTGTACTTTTAGTAGAGACGGGGTTTCACCCTGTTAGCCAGGATGGTCTCAATCTCCTGACCTCATGATCCACCCGCCTCGGCCTCCAAAAGTGCTGGGATTACAGGCTTGAGCCACTGCGCCCAGCCAACAAGCATGTTTCATGTACACAAATTCTTGCCTCTGCAAATTTCTAACTATATTAACAGAAACAAATGGCCGAACCCGTCTCTGCCTCAGTTTCCCCATGTAAAAAAGAATGTCTTAATAGGGTTATTGATAGGACTAAAACAATGCCTTTAAAATGCCTAGCATACAGGAAACACATAAGAGCAGTTGTTATTGCTATTATTTTCATAAACAGATGAGTCAAATACAGTAGTTTCAAGTAGTAGTTTATAAGTAAATTTGATTTTGTAGCTGAGAGACAGTTACGAGTAGATGAGACCAAGCAACCAAGGTGAAATGTTCAAGAAATATTCATGTGCACATGCACACAAACTTTCTCAAGATCTGAGCCCCACACTTACAATATGCTTCTGTTATTCTCCAGTACTCCCTGTGTCTAGGCCCTGACACCAAACACAGCCTGAGTGCAGCCAAAGGAAAGTTTGGAATCTACCCTTAGTGACAACCCTGGGGAGTACCCAGACACAAGTCAAGAAACCATCTCACAGCACTAAGAACTGTGAAGTCAACCTCTAGCAACCTTTCCTTCTTTGAACCATCAACCTATGACTGAAAATTAGATCAATGAGATTAAATCACTTGCAATCAAGATATTGAGAAAAAGCCACAATGAGGGCAAGGTAAGTGTGCAAAAAGCATTCAAAGTAGCCACATAGCCTTGCAGAAATATTTAAAATAGAGGAATTTCATCTGGATGGTTTCATGTCTGTCTCCCTCTCCAGAACGAAAACTTTTCAAAGGTAGAAACGGTGGCTTTTAAGCTCTTCCTCTTCAACGATAAGCACAATGCCTGGTTGACACTTAATAAATAGTTGCCCCCAAACACAGTATTTATCTCAATTCAGTTTACAAAGATAATAAAATCACATTTTTATTTTCTTTATTATATGAACTGATAGTGATAACAATGTAGCATGCTCTTACATTGGCAGTTAAAGCTTTCAATTTACAATTGCATCTGATATCTTATTTTTATAGGTGCAGATACTTTGTAGAAAATGTAGAGGATTTTTTCAATTTTATGTAGAAAAATACAAACATTTAAACATCTGCCACTTCAAAAGACATCAAATACATGGTTCTCGTGATAGTGAGGGAGCTCTCATGAGAGTTGATGGTTTCAAAGTGTGGCACTTCCCCTTCACTCTCTCTCTCGCCACCTTGTGAAGAAGGTGCTTGCTTCTCCTTTGCCTTCCCCCATGATTGTAAGTTATCTGAGCCATGCGGAGCTGTGAGTCAATTAAACCTTTTATATTTATATATTAGTAAGTCTCAGTTATGTCTTTATAGCAGTGTGAAAATGGAATAATACAGGAAATTGGTACCGGTAGAGTGGGGTACTGCTATAAAGACAACATGAAAATATGGACATGACTTTGGAACTAGGTAACAGATAACTTTGGAACTGTTTGGAGGGCTCAGAAAAAGAGAGGAGGATTTGAGAAGGTTTGGAACTTCTTGGAGACTTGTTGAATGCTGATAGTGTTGCAGACAATGAGGTCCAGGCTGATGTGGTCTCAGATGGAGATGAGGAACTTACTGGGAACTAGAGTAAAGGTCACTTATGCTATGCTTTAGCAGAGGGACTGGCACATTTTGTCCCTGCCTTAGTGATCTGTAGAACTTTGAACTTGAGGGAGATGATTTAGAGTATCTGGCAGCAGAAATTTCTAAGCAGTAAAGCATTCAAGAAGTCACCTGGATTTTTCTGAAGGCATACAGTCATATGCATTCACAAAGAGATGATTTGAAATTGGAACTCATGTTTAAAAGGGGAGCAAAGCACAAAAGAGAGACAGAAGAAAGAAAGACTGATGAATAAGGCATTCTATAAGCCCACTGATGATAGTTTTGACAGAATCAATGCTTATAAGGAAGGCAAATCTATACCCAAAGTGTCTATTTCAGTAACGAAATGCTACCCCTTCCATAATGAAAGCAGTCCTAGTGATCATTCTGGGAAATGATACCTTATCAGTGACTTACTATTGATCTCCACTGCTGGCGTATTGGACATTCAGCAGTGGTTGTAGCCACATCATCCTAGGTTAATGGAAGTCTATGTTACTGAGCCCATGCATAACTTCCATCCCTGTCACCATGGCCACTTTGTTCATGAGCCCACTGGCGATGACAGAGGTGGCTGGAGAAAGAAGCTGACTGGTATCCATAAAACAGGTCATCCTATCCAGTTGATTATTAGAATCCTCCCCTGCTGAGGTCACCCTTTGGTAAGCATTAACACAAAACACAAATATCTTCACATTTTTTGCTCATTTAGAAAGATCTATACACATACCTCTTCCCCAAATTTCCTTGTCATCAATTTTCCAATCATGTGCTTTACAAGTCCCTGACCATCCAACAAAACCATTGGGCACAGGCCATGAATTGATATATAATTGCACATACGCATTTGGCCACTTCCTCTTCCAAGCGAAGTAAACAACCAAATGTGTTGCTCAAAGTTCTGTCCGCTGGTTTCCTCCACCAATATGCTTCAGGGATGCCTGCGTATTTTCCAGAATCATCTGTAAATCAGGCCCAAATCTTCTCTTCTTCTGTCAACAGATGATAGGGAAGTCTCCATGGGCCCAGAGGTACAGAGAGAAGGCAATGTAGCAGAAGTGGGGGCCACTTCTTCATGTAACTTATTCGTGCCCTCGGGGCCTGCTTGGGCCTGATCATGGATATGCTACTTCCAGCTGACAATGGAGTACTCCTGTGCATGCTCAACTTCATGGTTTGGTGGGTCAGATAACACCCAGTTCATGATGATGAGTAGCTTAGTTTGCATGGTAACTTCATGGCCCATGTTTAAGTGTTCAGTCTCTACTAAGGTCCAATATTAAACCAACAGCTCTTTCTCAAAAGTGGTTATCTGCAGAAGATGGCAGGGCTTTGCTCCAAAATCCTAGAGCCTTCCAAAGACTCCAAAGGTCATTCCTATCTGCCACTGACACTTCCAGCACCATTGGATCTGCAGGATTAGATAGACCCAGTGGCAGAGCAGCTTGCACAGCAGCCTGAACCTGTTGCAGGGTGTTGTCTTGTTCTGGAACCCACTCAAAACTAGCAGCTTTTTGGGTCACTTAGTAAATGGGCTATGTAACACACCCAAACAAGAAACATGTTGCCTGCAAAACCCAAAGAAGTTTAGTAGGTGTTGTGTCTCCTTTTTGGTTATAGTGGGGGTTAGGGGAATGCAGATGCAAAAATGTATCCCCTAGTACCTGGTGTGGATGTGTTAATTTTCTTAAGCAATGAAACCACATCTGGTGTGGTAGCTGCAGTTGGAGTCACCATCTTGTTAAGCCTGCAATAATTCATTGTCATTCTCCAAGGTATGTCTGTATTCTACACAGACCAAGAGTTGAGTTGAATGGGGGTGTTATGAGAATCACCACCCATTTATCCCTCAAGTCCTTGATGGTGGGACTAATCTCTGCAATCCCTCCAGGAATGTGGCATTGCTTTAGGTTTACATTTTTGCTACATAGTGGCAGTTCTAGTGGCTTCCACTTGGCCTTTCCCACTATAATAGTCCTCACCCCACAGGTCAGGGAACTGAGATGGGAATTCTACCAGCTGTTGAGTATATCAATTTTAATTATGCATTCCAGAACTGAAAAAATAAAACATAGGATGGGTTCAGAGACCCACTGGCCCACTGTGAGACAGATCTAAGCCCTGACTCTGATGGAGCACAGTAATGTTTTGAATACCTTGAAATTAGTGTCAGCTCAGACCCAGTGTTCAGTAGTCCCCAAGAGTTCTGATTATTTCCTTTTCCCCATTGCACAGTTAAAAGACCAAAGGTGCTTTTGTAGAAAGTTGGAAGAGAGATTAACAGTATACATTTTTGTTGGTGTACTGGGGTCCTTCTTCAAAGGGACCTCCCTTTCATTGAAGGAGTTTAGGGTCTGTAAACTGGCTCAAATCTGGAAATTAATTGAGTGACTATGGCTTTGTTCTTATCTCAGTGTAGACTTTTTTTCACTTGGACTAGAACTTTTCTGTTTATACAGATCAAATAAGAATGTTAGAGGTTTCTTATCTATTTCACTTCTAGGAACACCATGATCAACTAGCCAATGCCATAGGTCTGCAAGTCAAACTATTCCAATTACTGCTTTGACTCTGCTGTTCAATGCAGTAACCACATCCACCTTGCCTTTGATAGCTGAGTGCTGCTACTTGGACACTGTCAAACCAGAAACTAATTACTCTCTGACATGGCAGAGAGTAATTCTCATGCCTGATTGTGGCAATGGTAATTTATGCTGAAGCCAATAACTTTCTGACCATAGGAAAGGCAGCAACATTTTTTTCATTTTTTAAAAAATTATATGTATATGTAATGCATACATATGGTAAAAATTAAATAGAACACGGGAATAAAAAACATGATAAAAAACAAGAGTCCCCCAGCCCTCCCTCCTAGACAGTGGCCTCCTTCCCAGAGGCAACCTCTTTTAACTATTTCTTGTTTTGGTTCTTCTGGAGGTAACTCCCACAGTCTGGACTCACGGAGGTGAGGCAATCTGGATATTGGCATGAGGGTTTTTAGTTGTCACAGTGATGGGGTGTGGGGGGACTACTGGCATTTACTGGGCCCAGGAGAAGGTGACAAGTCTCCTGCAATGCACAAGATGGTCTTGAATAATGAAGTCATGTCCCCGTTTCTCACCCTGTTTATTGTCCTCTGGACATTCACACAGACAAAAAAATCCGCTTCTAATCATCAGTATAACATAACTCCATTTCATACATAAACATGAGTTATTTTGGGGTGGTTTTAAGACATGTTGATTTTTCCAGGGATGCAATTATCTTATAAACTGGGCAAAGATTGTACTTTGTTTTGCTGGGAATTTTACCAATTTGTCCACCATTTGGGGACACTGTGACATGGATGGCAAGGCCACTCTTGATATGTGAATTATGAAACAACACATCTTCATAGTTGGGCCTTTTAGCTGTCCCATTCGTGGGGATTCTATAAGTAGATTGCTCATTGGGTGACTTCATTACATCTTCAACCATCATTTTACCTGAGCACTTATACACATCAAGATAGACACTATTTGTGCAATTATTTTCAGTCCTCTTTTATAGTTAATGAATTATATGGAGTTTTTTCTTCAATTTGCTTTTTTTCCCCTCAACTTTTATTTTAAGTTCAGGGGTACATGTGCAGGATATGCAGATTTGTTACGTAAGTAAATGCATGCCATGGTGTTTGCTGCCCAGATCATCCCATCGCCTAAGTTGGAAGCCCAGCATCCATTAACTATTCTTCCTGATGCCCTCCATTCCCCCACCATTCCACTGACAGGCCTCAGTGTGTATTGTTTCTCTCCATGTGTTCTCATCGTTCAGCTCCCACTTATAAGTGAGAACATGCAGTGTTTGGTTTTTTGTTCAGCAGCAACATTTTTAAAGGTCCAATTTTGCACGTGGCTCTGGGATTCGTTCCTGAAAGCTCAACGTAGAATTTGTTGCTTCATCCCACTCAACAATTTCGTAAGCCATTTAATACCCTAGAATAAATACCTTCTTATATAAATTAGCTAGAGTGGGTTTGCTACGTAGCTAGAGTAATTTATTTTTTCCACAACAACTGAATGCCAAACAGTATGGCCACTAGCATTATTACATGAATTGTAAATATCCTTTTGGCTTTTATTTTTTACAGCGGAAGAAATAAAGACTTGAAGGAGAAAAAGGATTTCTCTCTGGTTGTGGTTCATAGGAATTCAAGTTGTATATGACCGTCATACCTCCATATCTTGTGTGTCTCTCTTTGCTCCCCCATACACTAAATATACCTCTCTACACTGTGCCCAGTGAGGAAGCTGGTAACATAGCTTCATGGGAACAAATCTAAACTTAATAACTGAGAAGCTATGCAACATACATCCTGACTATATTTAGACCTCACAAAGCATAGCAGGAGCATTTGTTTATTTACTTATATACATATGTTCATAGCACCTTTATTCATAACCGCAAAAGAAAACTGAAAATAACTCAAATGTCCATCAACCAATAAGTGAATTAACAAACTGTGGCATGACCATACAATGCAAATACTGAAAAGTAAAACAGGAACTAACGACTAATACATGTAACAATATCAGTACCGCAAAAGTATTACGTTAAGTGAAAGAAGCTGGACGCAAAAGACTATATCTGATTCTGATTATTTGAAATTCTAGAAAAGACAAAACAAAAGTGACAAAAAGCAGATCAATGGTTGCCAGGGGGTAGAAGTGGGGGCAAGGGATTGACTACAAAGGGGAAAATGGAAATTTTTAGGTGATAGAAATGTTATATATCAAGATTGTGGTGGTGGTAATTACATGACTATACATTTGACAAAATTCACTGAATTATATACTTAAATTGGTTAATTTTATTATATATAAAATAATATCTTAAAATTTATTATATATATATAATACCTAAAGTTTATATATATCAAAATGGAACAATGGTAATATGATTTACTTTGTATGCTACATTTCCAAATATTCTTCAATGAGGATGTTTTGTTTTAAAATCAGAACAAAAATCCCATTTAAAAACAATTGTCGTATTATAAATATGAGTATATGTGATCACAATGACTTATAAATAAATACAAACTCAGAGCTAAGAATAAAAGGAAATTTACCACCATTTACTTTGGGTAAAGGAGTACTAAAATTCCTCCTAAAGCTTTTGTATAATTGATAACTTTTAGGGGAGGACTTTGTTTTAAAAATGCAGTAAGAATAGAGAATGCCTTGCAATAATTGGTATAAGTTTATCCAGAGCTTTTGCCCAAATTAATGAATTAGGAAGGCATCGCGTGCTCACTTTTCAAAGATGCCTTTGAAAGGTTATTCAGTAGTTTATTTCTTTTGTTTTTTTCTGCTAAGTTTCTGTTTCAGGTGGCTATTTTTTTTTTTCAAGAGTTATTCTCTGCTGGAGCATTTAAATTGAAGCTATGAAACCAAAATTGAAAGGCTGCTAGTTCTGACTTAGTCATTTCATCCAGATTATGCTACCTGTATGAGCCCAAGAGTCTCTTTTTCCATTAAGGAATTCATGTTCAAATTGTGTTTTGAGGGTGTATATGTATGTATGCCAGCAGCAAAAGGAACAGGCTCACGGGAAGTGAAAGACAGTAAGAGAGAAGGTTTGCATAATCTAACCTTGGCAGGCCCTCTCATCCTCTTGGGTTGCTTTTATTCTCATCTCAGCTCTTTGTCCCAGGTTTTTCCCATCTTCATTTTTCTCCTCTCTATGCCCTCAGATTAAACTTCCACTTCACTGCTCTTTCCTCCCTCCTCCCCATCTTTATTGCCTTTTATCTTATTCTGTCAAAAGAAGAAAGCATAATAGCAAAACAAAAAAGTTCTGTAAAAGGAAAAACAAGCTCCTACTCCTACATCTAATATCTAATTTTCTTCTCTTCTACCACATTCAATCATGTTAACATCTAAAAAAATTTACACAGATAGAAGTAATGAAAAAGGAGAAAACATAAATAAGAAAAAGAGAAAGTGGTATTTAGATGGTTTCTACTACGTGCATTTATTGCTAGATAGGAATAGTTGTTTTTATTATTGTTGTTGTTGTTATTTGAATTAAACATGGGATCATTTATTTAGCATTTATTCCATTCCTACTTTATGTCCCCTGACGGTGGGTTAAGAACTAGACAGAAAATAATAAATGAGACTTAGTGTCTGCCTTCAATCAGCTAGTAAGAGAAACATATTCATACAATTATGATGAAATATGTTAAATCTAATACTCCAGTTTGAGCTAAAAAAGCATCATCTTTAAATCCTCTGAGGAAGGAGCTGTACTATCCTGCTTTGCCACATGGGCTAATGCTCTTTCTAATAAATTCTTATTGGATATTCAGTGCCTCTAACTTAAGCAATTGCACTCTGAAAACCCCTGGAATGCCCTGGAATGTTTAGGGAAACTTTTTGGTCTTAGCTAGCCCACAAAGTGTTCCCTAGTGAGCTCATATTTCATAGTAACACAGTATTGGTAATCATTTTTTATTCCTTTCTTTCCCTCAGCAGCCTCATATCTAATCAGTGAGTAAGTCCCATTGTTTCTATCTCCAGATAATATTTTTAATTTGTCTACTTCTCCTTATCGTCACCAATTAAAAGGCCCTAAAAGAAAAAAGCTACTGTTATTCTGTTTTAGACTGCTGCAACAAACTCTAACTGGTCCCCATGCTAGTTATTTTCTGTTTATTATCCCCACCACCTCCTTCAGATCCAGTCTCAATCTTCTGTGTATCCTGCTCTGTGTCCCAGAAGTCTGATTTTACAGGCTGCCTCATCCAGACTCCCTTCCTTGCTGGCCAGATTCTGGGTCAGTGTGGCTGAAGGGAGGCACCAGCAAGAAGTCAGTGATATGGTTTGGTTGTGTCCCCACCCAAAATCTCATCTTGAATTGTAATCCCCATAATTCTCATGCGTCAAGGGCAGGAGCAGGTGGAGGGAATTGGATCATGGGAGCAGTTTCGCCCATGCTGTTCTCAAGATAGTGAGTGAGTCTCATGAGATCTGATGATTTTATAAACATCTGGCATTTCCCCTGCTTGCACTCACTCTGTCCTGCTGCCCTGTGAAGGTGCCTACTTCTCCTTTGCCTTCCACCATGATTGTAAGTTTCCTGAGGCTTCCCCAGCAATGCCGAACTGCGAGTTGATTAAACCTCTTTCCTTTATAAATTACCCAGTCTCGGGTATTTCTTCGTAGCAGTGTAAGAATAGACTAATACAGTCAAGAAGTGGGGAACAAATGTCAAGATATTTCTTCCCCTCTCTGTTCTTCCTAGGCATCACAGCTCTGGCAAGAGGTATGTCTCTCCCTAACTACATTTCTTGTAGGGCAACCCCTCCTCACAGTTCTAACTCTCATGGAGCTCTGGATGCATAACTTTGCCCCCTTCCTCCTTCAGGCCTAGGAGAGATAACAGCTTTCTGCTGTTGTCAGTCTTTGGGAGCCTCAATATCATTTGTGGCTTCCCTTGAACCTACCTACTCCTCTGTAATAATTCTTCATTAAAGTTTATTAAAGCCTTCTGAGTAATGTTCATTAGATCATGACCCTAATTCATATAGTCTCCTTGTTTCCACTCCTGCCTGCTTCCAATCCATTCTCTACACAGTAGCCCAAGCCAGGCAAATGCAATCACATCATGTTGCATTTACAGGATGTGATTGCACCATGTCTGGTAAAGATGACCTGGTTTATTCTTCCTGATTTTTAGCCCTCAGAGGCTTGTTGGTTCCAACCCAATGTTCTAACCTGTTCTCCAGTTTTCTATCAATTTTCTTGTAGTGTCTAATGGATACTACTCAGAAGGCTTTAATAAACTTTAATGAAGGAATTATTCATAGAGGAGCAGGCAGGTTCAAGGGAATCCACAAATGATATTAAGACTCCCAAAGACTGGCAACAGCAGAAAGCTGTTATCTCTACTAGGCCTGAAAGAGGAAGAGGAAAAGTTATGCATCCAGAGCTCCATGAGAGTTAGAACCATGAGGAACTGTGAGGAGGGATTGCTCCACAAGAACTGTAGTTAAGGAGAGACACCTCTTAGCAGAGCTGTGATGCCCAGGAAGAATAGAGAGGAGAACATGTAAATGCAATCACATCACTCTCCCACTTAAAACGTTCCACTCATTCCCCATCACACTTAGAATAACTCTTCACCATGGCCTACAAAGCTCTGTAGTCCTGCCCTCCCTACTGTTTCTAATTTCTCTGACCCTATTACTCTATCTGTAGTTCCATAAACATGTTGGGTTCGTTTCCCACCTTGGGGCTTTGGCAGTAGGTGCTTCCTCCTTGTGAAACATTCTTCCCCATAATCTTCATGCAATTGGTTCCTTCCTGTCTTTCAGATCTCATCTAAAATGTCATCTCCACACTGAGGTCTTCCCAGAACCAAAAACATAAAATAACCTCTCAATAACCCTGTTTCAATCTTCTATACACAATTGTCATTTTCTGATGTTTGTTTGGCTTATTTGTTTATTGACACTGCTTCTTCCTCCACTAGATAGAAATTGTATCTGGTAGTCTGAAACAAAAAATGGATAATTGGATCCAATTTGAAAGATAGCAGCTCAGATAATTTATAGAAAGCTGGAGAGCAGGTTGGGAAATTGGGCTGGAACCAAGGAGGCTCTGAGGGCTAAATGTCAGGAAGAATAATTCAGGCCATCATCACCAGACAGGTGTGCCCAGCACACCTGCCTGAAACCAACACAGTACCTTACCAGCACTGCCACTAGATGCTCTCATTGCTGCTAGACACTGCAGTTGCTCCACCATTACAAAGTTGGGTCTCCTATCCTTGAGCTGAGGGAACAAAGGCATCTTTGTTCAAAGAAGGCAACTGAAGATATGGTGGATAAAATGAATTTGAACTCTATTAGTTACAGCTCTGGCTGTGGATGTAATCTGTACAGGTCATCTTCTTCAGATATAAAGCAGGGAGCAAAAGGATATGGTTTTGGAAGAAAAACTAGAAGATATCCCTTAAAGCTCACTGCTTTTGCCCTTCAGCACTCATTCTTTTCCTTCATCCTGTTTGAAACTTCTTATCTTCAATCCAGGTGACTAAACTCCCATGAGAAGCTGGCATTAATTTGGTTACACTACCACCTGAAATTTAAAACATTAAATGTCACCAATATTTTTCATATTCGATAGTAGGGGGAAAAGACAGATCATGAAGTTATTAATTTACATAAAATACAGGTGCTCAGTCCCCACTCTGGTAGCTGGTTAGGAGATCTAAGCTGCCTTCTTCCACTACCCAGTTCATGTTTCTTTTACCCTTAGCAAGCACCTTGGCTGCAAAGGGATTTTTACTTGGAAGGGTTATTTGTAGGATCAAAGTGGTTGGTTGTCTTGTCATCTTGAGATTTTTGCTATTTTCCATTTGACAGAACTATTAGACAAGGGAATGTTAACAGGCATCAAAGAGAACCTCTGAGGTCCTAAACATAGTCCTAGTTATGTGAAGATCATGGGCAAGAACACTCCAGAAAGGGGAAGAAGGCATTCCAGGAGGGACATTTACATATCCTTCCTTATCTTCAATCTTCCATTTGTGTCCTTAAGTGCCTGACCACCTGGCCAGCCCATTAGGCCTTGTCTACAAATCAGTGCAGATCTATAACTCAGGCTCTTTGTCTTAACACAAAAAGTGAGCAACCACATGTCTTACCTAAAGTTCTGCCTACTGGCATGATATGCACTTTCACCACTGTCTTTTGGAGTCTTTCTTAAGTCAACTATAGTGAAACAGCCATCCACTCCTGCCTGGTGCCAGTATACCATGCAGATACATCAGTAGGCCAGGCCCACCTTTCTTTCCTCCTCAACAAATAAGCCACAGGAACTCTCTGTGAGGCAAAAAGATATGAGTTGGGAGAGAAGCAGCAAAGCAGAAGAAGATGACATGAGTCTGAACACCCGCTTATGCAGTTTATTGTGCCTCTGGGTCAACTTAGATCCAATACCTATTAGCCATTTCTATTTTATAGTAAAATGTTGCTGATATTAGTCCAATTTTATGATTCAGCAGATCTGATAACACTAGTTAATGTATAGTTTGGGGAAAATAGTAACATCATGTTCCATAGTCAGGCTGCAGTCTTTACCAGAGCCCAGTAACAAGCCAGGAACTGTGTTGTTTTTGTTTTTTTCCCCCTTTGCTGTTGTTTTGCTTTTTGCTGTTTATTGTAGGTAGCACTTATATTTTTTCTCACACAATGATGTGTTCCTTGGGCCTAATGTTCTTAACAGCAATAGAAAAACAAAATGGTTCTTTTAAAGAGTTCTGAATTATGTGCACAACTTTACATTAGTTAAAAGGATACATAAATTTATGGGTATAAATGCAAATCACTTCTCAACTCAAGATAAATAACAATATATGATGTTGTGGTGGGAAAACATTAGGTAAGAAAAGAAACTGGGTGCTGGGACTTGAATTTTTCCAAACTATTCTGGCTGTTGAGACAGAAATGATAACTGATTCTGGAACTCTTGCAAGCTTCTAGAGAAATCTTGAGTTAGCTTTTACATGCCAAAAGTCAAACCATTAATATCCCACACAAATCAGAAAATTGACAGTCTTTCCTCTTCCTAAGCCAATGGCTTTTTTCTCCTGTAAACATGCTATCTTTCCTTCACCTCAGTCATGAAACAATTAAGTCACATCATGTAGGAGTATAAATCAAGGAAATGTATAGGATATGCACTTGTATATATATGTATTTTTTTATATACACATGTATACATATATGTATTTATATATACACATATGCATATATCAAAGCAATCATTGACTGAAATATAAGGTCAAATCAACAAGGCATTTCATCCTTCCAGAGACCAGCAGTAGTTCAGTCACTAGATAATATCTTCTGGAAAATCTGAGTATTTCTGTCTCCCTCATTGCAGTCACTCTAACAATGTCCGCAGCATATGAAGGACTATTTCAAGGCAATCATGGAGGCACTCTGGTTCTTCACATGCTTTAAATTTTATATCACAGCTTCCAGTTTCTCTTGTTTCAAATGTATGTTTTCTAGGACAATCACAAGAAGCCAGATGAATCCACAAGATTTATCATCAATATTTTCAACATAACAACTAAGTTGTTATGACTCCACCTCCTGATCTCCCAATGTCTTGTCTTCTACTTGCACCTTATCTGCCTGCATTTGCCATCACTGGTGATAATTGAGTAATGCTGATGCCACTGTATGCCATAATTTACCCATGTGTCATTCCCTTAAGCAAGAAAATTATCTTTCCATTCCTAAAATATGTGAACAACTGAATTTTAGAATCCCACTTTAAGGCAAGGAGCAGAACATTGTTTCACCATTCACTGAGTGACCAGTTGGTGCAGCCACGGTTAAAGACAGATAAGTGTCATCCAGGAAAGAGAACAGTTGAACAACAAGCACAATAGGCTCAAGTAATACAGCATTTACTTAAAGCCGAGGAGACAAAAGATATACAAAATCCAGCCCCTTGCTATGTGTTGGTCCCCCGTGACCAGCAGATCTACTCTGCAGCCTTCACAGGCAATGGACCTGCACACATCCCACTCCGTGCTGCAGTAGAAGGACCCCTCCCCGTCTTCTATTGGATCTAAAACACAGAAATCTGGACTGTGCCTGAGGCCCATTGATATATGTATTAAGCAGGACAAAGGAGTACACGTTGAGTCTGAAACAGGGAAAAATATTCCCACAAAAGGCAATAAGCTTAGCACAGGCTGTGAAGACTCTTAATTCCTGGTAAAGAAGTGTTTCAGGCTTGCTATGGTTTGAGTGTTTTGTCCCCTTCAAAATTCATGTTGAAACTTAATCCTCAGTGCAAACTTAACCCTTAGGTAAAGGCTGATGGGAAGTGTTTAGGTCATGGATTAATGGCACTATAAAAAGGGCTTGGAAGCTGGCTTTCACTCTCTCTTTCCCTTCTGGTCTTCTGCCATGTGAGGAACAAGATTCCTCGCCTCTGGAGGATGCAGCATTCAAGTTGGTATTTTGGAAATGGAGACTGGGCTTTTATCAGACACAAAACTTGCTTGTGCCCTGATCTTGGACTTCCAAGCCTCCAGAACTCTGAAAAATAAATTTCTGTTCACTATAACTTACCCATTCTCAGGTATTCTCTTATGGCAGGACAAAACAGACTAAGAAAAGGCTCAACACCCATTCTTATGTGGCCGAGAAGGGTTCAAAAGACTATAGGCACACGATTGCCTTGTACAACTCTACTAGTAGATTATTACCAGCTCTAGGTCTGAGGAGCAAGGTGAAGGAGTGATTACTGAAACCTGGAGACGAAGAGAATGCTGGAGAGGGTTGCCTTACAGAAGCAGTGATCTTCAGTCAAGGGACTGAAGTAATCTCACAGGCAGGGAAATAGCAAAAAAGTCCCTCAATCTCATTCTCTTCCTTTCAATCTCCTACCAGTATTTCAACTGAACAGACTTCCCTAGACACCAGAAGTCAAGAAACCTGATGATGTACTCTATACAATTCAGCCTTCTCAGGCAGACAGTAGGGTACAGAAGGTTGTGAAAAATAGATTCAGAGAGGTAAAAAAAAAAGTTATCTAAAATATGTATCCACAAAGCTTAGAGCAAAGTATTTCCTAGTACTGCACTGTCATCTGTCCTTGCTTAGTATAAGTAATATGAAGACATTCTCCATTGCATAAACTGTTATCAGCTGAGACGAATATTCTCTCTGGTTCTCAGTAGTCAACATCCCAACATACTCATAATTTATGAGGCATTCAGATTGCTTCTCATCTTTGCTGTTGCAACACTTTTGTCCTGACATTGAGGCTCCTTTAGGTCCTCTGGCTCTTACTCAGATACTTCCACTCACATATGAGAGACATGGAAACATTTTGCAGTTCTCTAGTTCCACTGCTCTAGATGGAAGTAAATTGGATAGGGCTACCTTGGGACCTTTTGACAAAGGTATACTACATTGCCCTCTCCATTCTGCCTCTCCTGAGCCATACTGAATATAGAAACTGAGTGAGGGAGTACTCCTTGAGAGTGAATGTCTTTTTCAGGTTATACACAGAAAGTGATGGATGGGTATCTCTTGCATGGGACCCCATGGAAGGGATCCTGTGACTCTATCTGGAGTTCTACCATTCTGCTTCCTACCTCTGGGGGATGAGAGGTGAAGAGTGGGGAGTGTGAAAGTGCAGCATTCAAGCCTCTTATCTGGGACATTCACCTGTACCTAATTTTATATCTCTATTTCTAACTTTGTTAAATATTCTGTGTCAGGGATATTTTATAGCCTCTGGGAAGGGGGAATAAGTTTGGCTTGGAAAAAATTCTTCCAAATTTACGTTTCATGGTAAAATCTCCACTTTTGATGTCAAATGACAAAAAGTCACTTCTATTGTTCTCCTATCCTATGGCTACCTCTTCTTCCAGCAGTGAATATAGATTCTTATAGCTGTCTATGGTGGGGGCAGAACCATTGCATATAAGTAAGTGTGTAGAGAAAAGTACATAAGCTAATAATTCACAATATTCACCAAAGGTCTTTTCTTCAAGACTCTAACATGTACACAGCAATCCTTTCTAAAGACACAGATTTTCCCGCCATTTTCCATAGTAAACTGAAGAATTATTATGAATGTAACAGCCAGAATTTCTCCAGCACTTATTCTATGCATTACATTTAAGTATTTTAATAAAATAATTTAATGTATATAAAGTCCTTAGTAGAGATAAGTCTAATAAATGTGAAGTCTCTCCTTCCATATACTATTTACATTGTTGGTATTCACCTCATTGAAAATAAATATTGATATGAATAAACAGGTAAAAGACACAAGAATAATTACATAGCAAACTGGAATTCCTAAATACTTTAACATTTAACAACTTCTAAGTAACTTTAATAAAATAGAAGATAAAAGTAGTGATTTTTACTTCAGTCTTAGCCATGCTTCCACCACTTAGGGGACCTGCTCCTATTATAGTTTAATAACTAGATATGTCTTAAACATAGTTTTTGGCAACACACATATTCTCTGCAGTGCCTCAAACCTGATCATGTTTTAAAGGGATGATACTTAACATCTATCATTTTGATAGTCTACTTTAAAATATACACTGCAATAGATAGAAATAACATGAGTTACATTTTAGAGATAAATGGCTTTTTAAATAAATGTCATTTTATAATTAATTTTTACAACCAGAATTTTGTTTAAGGAAAATATCTTCTTTTTAAAATCTGTGTATATCTTGATAGAATTCCTGGTGTCAAAGAACAAAATTTCCACAAGTTAAGTTTGAAATACCTAATTGGATTTTGTGATTCATGAACCAGGCAGAATTCAGTTTACAAAACAGAAAGGTGCTCCACTGAGTGCGGCAGAAAAATGGGCTTTTATAAGGCAGCTTTAGCAGGAACAAGTAAACAGTATAGCGCAAAGAGTGGATTGGTTATCATTGGGTTATTTCCCTTGCAGGAATGTAAACAAAATCTTGTTGGCTTATGGGATTTGGCAATTATCTCTCTCCAAACTTTTTGGAAGGTCAGGTCCTACAAGCAAACAGCTTATATTTCAGTTTGATGACATGGAACTTAGCATGAGTGACTCCATTTGGGTTCGTCTGTTGGGGTCTAGAGTAGAAGTTCAGTCCAAATCAATGACCTCCATAGATTTTATTTAACACTAGCAACCTAACCTGCCCTCCAAATTTACCATGTTCATTAACCAAACCTGCATTGTGTACTTACGTAGGTCTACTATGTGAAAGGTACCACATTGAGCGTTTTGGAAGAGATAAATAAAATGTAAAAATTAGTCCTGCCCCTAGGGGGATGACAAGTTAGGGAGACAATATTTTAACATATGAAAAGTAAATAATGTCACAGAGTTTTTAAAAACACCATGAAATCAACAATACAGAAAGTTGGAAAGACAACCTAGTTTTAGAATGGTAAACCCAGAGTTCACGGGTTGCAAATCCTATAAGCCACAGTATCCTAAGAAAGCTTGATCTCATTTATAAGATAAAATAATAAGATCACATGTTTACCATGTGTCAAGCACTATGCTCAATGTCTCACAAGTACTTTATTTAGTTTTCATAATCCATCCTGTGTAATCCATACTGTTATCGCCATTTACAGTGGTAAAATAACTTGCACAAGGTTACATAGCTAGCTTAAGTGGCAGAGCTAGGAGGCAAACCCATGGCCTGTACTGTTAATCAGCACATTACATTATCTAGTAGTGTTTACTTGGACCCTGAAAGATAAGTGAGACTTGGGCAATAGTTAAAGGCTTAACATTATTACCAAGTCCTAGAAATTTAATATTTATAATATAAATATTATATTTAACATTCATATGGTATATGTAATATTATAATATAATTAATATTTTTATTTGTTGTCTCAGTACAAAAAATCTACAAAGTAGATACTATTACCATTTCTTTCTTACAGATGAGGCAATTACCATTTAAACAGGTTAAGTAATTTTCCCACATGATACAGCTAGTTAACAGTAAAGAAAATAAAGATTTCAATCCATGCAGTCTGACTTTCTATCAACATGATAAGCTTTGACAGACAAAGTAGAGTAGGAGAGCATTTTGGCAAAAGTAGTAGCTAATGTAGAGCCAAATTAACAGCTATAGAGTTAGGTTGGATCAGTTTCCAAAGAGCCTGGAATGCTGAGATAAGGAGTTTAAATTTCATCTGGTTGTTAACAGGAAGCTACTGAAAGGTGTTAACTGGAAATTCCCACCTATAGAATGGCTTCTAGGTAAAATCAGTAGAGTTAGTCTGTCTATGGGCAAAATTCATGCCAAATCCTCTCACTGCTTTCTGGTAATGGTAATGAACAGTAGATCTGGGGTGATCCGGTGCCAGCTGGGAGAATTAAACAGGGCTAAGACAAACACTCTCTGCTATGGGATGACAGCTCTCTGTATGTGGGAGGCACTGCCTTAGATAAGAGAGAAGAATGCCAAGATCTTTCCCGGATAGCTCCTGCCTTGAGGGAGCTAGCCGTCTGTGATACAACAGCTATTCTTCTTGGTCACTTGTAATACTTCTAACATCAAGACCCAATAGCCTCCTTTTCCAGAACTTAAGTGAGCCTGACCATGATCCTTTCAGACTCAGCAGAATCTTTTCAGTTTCAACTTCTTCCCTGCTTAGCCAATAAAAGCCACTAATCTTTACATCCAGTCTGTGCTTCTTCAAACTTGACCGCTCACCTTGCTGCCCTAAAACCTTGATCAGCCAGATGCTTTCTGGTCCTGGATTATCCTCGCTAGTCTCAAATTGCCTTCATTCTACCTTGATTATTTTAGGATATTAACTCTGGTGGCAGTTATAGAACAGGCTGGAAGAGGAAGACACATGATACAAGAAGACCAGATGAGAAATTACTGTCATTGCTCACATGTGAGACAGGAGCTGCAACTAGAATGATGGCAGCGTGAACAGGAAGTTGCTAAAGACTTCGCAAAGACACAACAGGATCAACTGACTAGAGGATAGAGGTGAGAAAGAAAATGAAGAGTTCGGAGATTAAATTGCAATTTCAAGTCCAGGTAAGCTGGATAATGGTACCATTGAGATGTTAGGTTGGAAGGATGAGAATTCAGCTGTAGATATGTTGAGGTTTAATGTGGCCACTGAACATCCAAATGCAAATCTTCACTGGGCAGCTGAGAATGAAGAACTTGAGCCCAGGAGAGCCATCAGAGCTGGAGCTATTGAATAGGAATTGTTTACATAGTGAGGATCAGAGAAGCAAGGAACCTGAAAAGGCTCCTCAAGGGAAAAATGTTTAACCATGTAGCTTCCCTATGGATTTCCGCTAAAATGTCAGAGCACAGTAGGCCCTGTTATCCTCTTTATCTCAAATGGATTCTTTCGCATTTGAGGCTCAGACAAATGTGTGCGAGGGGGAGAAAATGAGGAAATTGAGAGATAATGAGTATAACAACAGCAACAACAAAGTAATCCCTCCAAAAATATTTTCCCCCCCATATCCTCAATTATAAATCTTAAAATCACATTCCCACTTTCTGTTATAATAATAATACTGTTGTTTTAAAATAAGCTCTCTCAATTTTAATCTTCTTATTTTGACAACAAACTTGATTATATATTATGATAACAGAGTGGACTGATCTAGTTATCCAATCATCCATTCCAGAGAAATATAATATGTAAATATGCATTGATTAATAATTTTTAAATAACTATAAAAATCTCTATAAGTATTACTTATAAGAAAACATAAGAAATACTATTTAATCTTTCTTTGATAATTCAAAAGGCAAAGTAGGATTATGAATTCCTCAGGTTAATCACTGAGGCCACAAATTTTCACTGGGCTAGGAATGTGTCAAAGCATGAGATTCATTGGATTTTCTGATATAAAAAATTCTAGCTCATCGTTTAGTCCCTACCTGAGCCAAGGAGACAAATTAGCCTGGCCACAAAAATGTTCAGGGTAGGTACAAAAATGTTCAGGGTAGCTACAATTATGAATCCTGTAGGAAAGAAACACATTTGTAATGGAGTTAGCTTTTGCCTTATCAAATATCTATTTAGTATGATAATTAGAATGCTGTCACTCACTTTAAGATTGCATCTTTTGGTACCCCCATTAAATGCAAAAGCTCTTAGTACGGGACTACTGTTAATTTAATTGATTGATCATGCATTGTCTTTTTAAGCATCTCTTAAGTATTCTTGATTAAAATATATGACATTTAAAAACATATCTCAGGTATAAAAATAGAGATTTTTAAATAAGTTCTACAGTTTTAAGTTCCCTTTGAAAAGAAAAAGTGATAAAATTGGCAAACCAAAGGAAGCCTAAATGGGATTCATCACTACTGGTTGGGCAACTTTCTGCAACCTTCATTCTAGGAGAAAAGGAGACATTTCTCTGAAACTTGAAGAATTTAACTATTTTCCTTCAGAATGAAATCCTTTTTCTAGTGCTTCTCCAGCAGTACAAAACACACTAAATCAACACATGGGAACAATAACATTTAAATCCATGCACAGAAATCTCAGGTTAGAAATAACAAATAGATAACGTAAATCACCACCACCACCACCACCACAACAAAAAACCCAGAGGTTACCACCCACTCACCACATAGAGTGAAGGACTGGCAATAAGGTTAGTCTTTGCCTAAAAAATCAAAATTTTAAAGTACTATAGGCAGTCCTTCCTTAGTTATCTGAAAATATGTACAAAGTGAGTACACAGTTCAGAGATGCACAAATTTGAGTTCACACAGTGCCCATGCAAATCAAGAACTGCCTATATTTCAAGCAGAGGCTGAGATGTGAGCTGAAGGATAAAGAATGCCAACTTACTTTACATATTCAAATGAAATAAATGTGTTTCCATTGAATTTCTTTCTCCTTTGCTCCTGAGAGTGCAGGGAGGGAAAAGAAGAGAGAAAAACTAGCCAGACATCAAGATGCCAGGATGTCCCATAGAATGTCAGAGCCTTTAAAAATTGCTCAGAGAAAAGATTTTTGCAAATGAAAATATCTAATGAGTAAATTTAAAGTTGTCTGTCACTCTAGACTTGCATTGTCCAACGTGGTAGCCACTAGCTACAGGTGGCTACAAAGTAGTTGATATATGACTAGAAAGAATTAAGAAGTACTCAAAATGTAAAATACACACTGGATTTTAAAGACTTAATATGAATAAGAAGACTGTAAAACAAATCTCATTAATAATTATATTTTATATTGATCACAACTAATTATGATATTTTGGATATGTTGGATTAAATAAAATATACTGTTAAAATTAATTTTACCTTTTAAAAATGTGGCTACTGTAATATTTCAAATTACATATGTAGTTCATATTATATTTCTATTGGATAGTATTGCTCCAGTAAAGCCTGCTACACACCTTGTATGAGCAGGTTTTGGTGAGAAACCAAAAAGGCATTAAATCAAGAAAGCACATGTGAGATGGGGAGACCATCACAAACTGAGTAAAAACACACACAAGGCACAGCTTTAAGAGCTCTGTATATATTGATTTACAGAGTCTTCATTACAACTCTTTGAAGACCTCAGTTTTCAAATGAGCAGACTGAGGCACAGAGAGGTTAAGTAATTTGCCTGGGGACACACAGCCAATCAGTGGTGGAGGAAGATTTGAATCTATGCAATCTGGCCCTGGAGTCCACATTCTTTTACAACTGCTTTATTTAATTACTTCTCTAGCAGCTGCAGAGCTTAAAATAAAAAAGGACCATGAGAATGTTAAGTGTCCTGAGAAAATGCAGAAACATACAGGGAGCAGTGAAACTTTCCATGTGTCTTGTGATGAGTATTTGAGCTAACCTTCCAAGACCTTAAAGGAAAGAATGGTATTCTCTAAGACTTGGATAACACTGAAGTTAGGTTTGCTATAGGCCTTCCATAACTCAATGAGCTTGAACATAAACTTCTTTAAATACTTTGTTTTATTCCCCTCCATTAAGGAAGCCCTATGTTTGGGCTTCACTCTTGGTGTAATCACACTTTCTTATTGGTCCTTTCCACCTTCAAGTCCAAATTGAGCTTTCTCAGCAAGCTAGGTCTGCAGAAAAGCTCTTCCTTTCTAAGCTCCAAATCTAATACTTTAATTTCTTTTTTATTAAAAAATTTTAAATTCTTTATTTTTTAAAGACAGGTTTCTAGAGCAGCTTTGGGTTCACAGCAAAATTGAGAGTAAGATACAGAGATTTCCTATATATGCCCTGCCTTCACACATACATAGCCTCCCACTATCAACATCAAAATCCCCCACTAGAGTGCTTCCTTTGTTAGTAAGGGTGAGCCTACACTGACACATCATTATAACTTGAAGTTCATAGTTTACATTTGGATTTACTCTTTGTTGTATATTCTGTGGGTTTGGACAAAAGTATAACATGTATCCATCATTATATTATCATCCAGAATATTTTCAGTGCCCTAACAACCTCTGTGCTCTACCTATTTATCCCTCCTCCAGTGTCCAAACCCTGACAATCCCTGATCTTTTTACTCTCTCCTAATTTTTCTTTTCCAGAGTGTCATATAGTTGGAATCACACCATATGTTCCCTTTTCAGATTGGCTTCTTTCAGTTGTAATTGCAATTAAGGTTACTTCTTGTCTGTTCATGGCTTGATAGCTCATTTCCTTTTAGTGCTGAATAATATTCTATTGTTTGAATGAACCAGTTTATCTATCCATTCATCTACTGAAGGACACCTTGGTTGCTTCCAAGTTTTGGCAATTATTAATAAAGCTGCTATAAACACCTGTGTGAATTTTTGTGTGGACATACATTTTCAAGCCCTTTGGGTAAATGCCAAGAAGCATGATTGCTGGACCAAATGGTAAGAGTATGTTTAGTTTTGTGAGAAACTTCAAATTGCCTTCCAAAGTGGCTGTATCATTTTGTATTCCACCAGAAATGAATGAGAATTCCTGTTGCTCCACATCCTAAGCAGCATTTGCTGTTGTCAGTGTTCTGGATTTTGGCCATTCTAATAAGTGTGCAATGGTATCTTATTGTTTTAATTTGCATTTCTCTAAAGACATATGACATGGAACATCTTTTCATATGCTTATTTGTTATCTGTATTAGTTTGTTCTCATGCTGCTAATAAAGACATATGCAAAACTGGGTAATTTATAAAGGAAAGAGGTTTAATTGACTCAGTTTCACATGGCTGGGGAGGCCTCACAATCATGGCAGAAGGTGAATAAGGAGCAAAGTCACGTCTTACATGGTAGCAGGCAAGATAACTTGTTCAGGGGAATTCTCATTTATAAAACCGTCAGATCTCATGAGACTTACATTTGCCCCTTTAAGCCACAGCTGGGGCACAGAGCATCAAGTCACGAGATTGCACAAAGCAGCAAGGCCCTGGGCCTGGCCCATAAAGCCATTTTTTCCTCGTAGGCCTCCAGTCCTGTGGTGGGAAGGGCTGCACGAAGGTCTCCGACATGCCCTGGAGACATTTTCTCCATTATCTTGGCAATTAACATTTGGCTCCTTATTACTTATGCAAATTTCTGCAGCAAGCTTGAATTTCTCCTCAGGAAATGGGTTTTTCTTTTCTATCACATAGTCAGGCTGTGAATTTTCCAAACTTTTTATGCTCTGCTTTCCTTTTAAACATGAGTTCCAATTCCAAATCACATCTTTGTGAATATATTAAACTGAATGTTTTTAACAGCACCAAAATCACCTCTTGAACACTTTGCTGCTTAGAAATTTCGTCCTCCAGATGACCTAAATTATCTCTCCCAAGTTGAAATTTCCACAGATCTCTAGTTCAGGGGCAAAATGTAGCCAGTCTCTTGGCTAAAACATAGCAAGAGTCACCTTTACTCCAGTTCTCAACAAGTTCCTCGTCTCCATCTGAGACCACCTCAGCCTGGACTTCATTGTCCATGTCACTATCAGTATTTTGGGCAAAGCCATTCAAAAAGTCTCTAGGAAGTTCCAAACTTTCCCACATTTTCCTGTCTTCTTCTGAGCCCTCCAAACTGTTCCAACCTCTGCCTGTTACCCAGTTCCAGAGTCACTTCCACATTTTGGGGTATTTTTACAGCAGCATCCCACTCTACCAGTACCAATTTACTGTATTAGTCTGTTCCCATGCTACTAATAAAAACATACCCAAAACTGGCTAATTTAAAAAGGAAGGAGGTTTAATTGACTCACAGTTTCATATGACTCACCATCACGGCAGAAGGCAAATGAGGTGCTAAATCATGTCTTACATGGCAACTGGCAAGAGAGCTTGTTCAGGGGAACTCCCATTTATAAAATCATGAGATCTTATGAGACTTATTCACTACCACAAGAACAGTATGGGGGAAACTGCCCCCATGATTCAATTATCTCCATCTGACCCCGCCCTTCACATGTGGGTATTATTACAATTCAAGGTGAGATTTGGGTGGGGAAATGGCCAAAACAATATCATCTGTGTATCTTTTTTTGGTGGGGTATCTGTTACGGTCTTTGGCTCTTTTTTTCAATTGGGTTGTTCTCTTATGGTTGAGTTTTAAAAGTTCTCTGTATTTTTTGGGTAACAATCCTTTATCAGCTATGTCTTTTGCAAATATTACCTCCCAGTTTGTTGTCTGTCTTCTCATTCTCATGGTAGTACTATAATTTAGATAAATGTTGTCCTTATAGTCAAATGACCCACTACTTAGCCCTGTTTCCTAGAGTCTAGCTTCTAAGCTCTGTGAGTAGCCTTTCTTCAGATTTATATCCACTGAGCTTTAATCTCATCTGTTCCGCTTCAGTTTCTCTTACATAGAGCTCCTATTTCTAAATCCACAGATCTACTAGGAGCTCCTCATTTCTTTAGAACATTGCTTCATAGTATTACCATCATGGTACACAACTCTAAGGCAGGACCCTAGAGGAAGAGGTCTCCAGGAAACAGGGATACAAGGACCAGGAAAGGACTAATGCTTACCAAGTCTGTGGGATACCCAAACCTAGATAATTCATATTAACCAGGAATAATAGGGAGGTAACAGTGAATGGGAAAAGGGCTCAGATATTGTTAAATAGGATTTGCTATAACAGTCCCTAGTCCTTAAAAACCTAGAAGGGATTTATTGGTGGAACTAAATAGGTAGACTTGGGCTGCCTTTTGATGAGTAAGCATAAGTCTTTCTGAGTGAGGTAACTTTCCTTAGAGTTACTTGAAGTACTAATAGAGAGTGGCTTCATACTCTATATACTAATGAAGACAAATATTTCTTCCCTTTTTTATTCCAAATTTAGATGTAGTCTTGTGACATCCTATGAAGGTAACAAAGCCCAAGAGAATTCTTGAACTGGGTTCTTGCCATGAGTTTTTTCTCATTTCAATTAATAATGCCACTGTTCACTATTACTCAGGTCAAAACCTAGGCATTGGCCTTAATTCCTCTTTTCATTTCATACCCCACCCCTAATGCATCAGCAAGTCATGTTAACCCTCCCTTCAAATATTTCTGAATTCTAACCATCTAACCATTTCTTACCACCTCCATTGCTCCTCCCACTTAGGATAAGCCACTATCCACTCTAACTTGGAATATTTCAATCACCTCCTAATTGATCACTTGGCTTCCCCTCTTGCTTCTCCAATTGTGTTAGGCTGTTCTTGCACTGCTCTAAAGAAATACCAGAGACTGAGTAATTTATAAAGAAAAGAGGTTTAATTGGCTCATGGCTCTGCGGGCTGTAAAGGAATCACGGCACCAACATCTTCTCAGCTTCTGGTGAGGCCTCAGGAAGTTTCCAATCATGGTGGAAGGCAAAGGAGGAGCTGGCAGGCTACATGGCCAGAGCAGGAGCAAAAGAGAGATAGTTGGGAGGGAAGTGGACATACACTTTTAGAGGAACAGATCTCGTGAGAACTCACTCACTTTCCCAAGGACAGTACCAAGGGGATGGTGCTAAACCATTCATAAGAAGTCCACCCCCTCGATCCAATCACCTCCCACCAGGCCCCACCTCCCACATTGGGGATTACAATTCAACATGAGATTTAGAGGGGAAACAGATAGAAACTCTATCAGCAATTTCCAAACATGGCCAAATTGATCTCTTAAAATGTAAATCAGATTATATCATTCCCCTCCTTAAATCCTTCCAATATCTTGCCATGACACCCATAATAAAGTCTAGGTCCTTAACACGGCACACAAAAGTATTCCATGTCTTGTCTCCTACCTACCTCTCTGACCTAATCACTTAACACTATCCAGCCACACTGACCTTCCTACTCCTCAAAATGCTAGACTCATTTGTATTTCAAGACCTTTATACTCATTCATGCCATTCAGGTCTTTACTTAAATGTCATCCCCTTTAGAAATTAATTCCCTCATCATCTTATCAAAATTGGCTCTCCCCTTGCTCCCCTCCATCACTCTCGACCCCTTAATTTGCTTTATTTTTTCATAATACTTACCGTCCATCACCTGAAAATAATTATTTATTTATATGTTTATCTACCTTCTCATTCCCCATGCCCATCCTCAGGAAATTATAAGCTATCGCTTTGTTCAAGAAATACAGTTGAATGAGGAAATAAATGAGTTTTCTAATCCAATAGAGTCAATTAGTGACAAATTAAAGTTGATTTTGTCTTAGAACTTTCAGAATAAGCATCTAAAAAGTTTTAAAAATGCTTAAAGAGGAACGCTTTGATTTCTCTGAGTTATCTAAAAAATGGTCTTGTGTGGATTTTTGATGGATATAAAATGGAAAAATGATTGAGACTTATTTTTACCCTAAATTAAAGGAGATTAACATTTGACTTTTTAAGTGTGCTAATTGATGGAAGGCAGAAGTTCAACAGTACTTCTTGAATATTTACTATGTGTGACACATTTTTCTAGTTACTAGAAACTAGTTCTTGGAGATATTGTAATGAACGAAGCAGATACCATAAAGTTTCTCTTCCTTCCTTTACCCTTGCATTCATTTTCCATCTCAGCAATATTCTTTACAATGAGAGTTTGGACTAATGTTTCCCCTTTTTATTATATTTTTTAAAGGAGGCAGTGGAGCATAATGGATGAGAGTGACGCTCTTGTTTTTAGAATGCGAGAATGTGGCAAGTTACTTGGCCTCTCTGCACTTCAGTTAAATGGAGATAAAAAAATAGTGCCTAACTCATGTGTTAATACATGACAGCCCTTGGAACAGTACTTAGCAATAATGTGGTGCTCAATAATTGCTAGTCATGATTATAATCATCATAATGAAATATTTTATATAAGGCTTGTCTATTAGTATTATTGGACAAATGTAATGTTGAACTATGTTGTGATAACATGGATGGATTTTCGAATTCAACATCTTATTTCAAAATAATGTGGAAAGCCTGAATTGTGAACACATAAATAAATGTGAATAGGGATACAACCATTGAACAATAAAGAAGGCAGGGCAAAATGGGGACGTGTATAGGCAGGCTGGTAGACTTGCTAGTGGAAAAATATTCACCTTGAAATAATCATTCAGCAAATATTTATTAAGTTCTTACTATGTGTCAGGCATCATACTAGGTGCCCCTAGCCTAAACAATATTGCTGAGCCATACACAATCCCTGCTATCCTGGAGTCTCATTCTAGAGAGTCTGAGGTGAGGCAAATGGGTGAGGAAGAAACTAGGGAAGGCTTGAAGGGAGAGTAAAAAAATTGGAAAAAAAAATTAGGGAAATATGAAGTTTTGATGCTATATTGAAAATATATTTGAGTTTTAAATGAATTTAAAGTATGGCTAATTTGGTCCAGTTGTATAATTTCTCAAACAGCATTCAGCTATTCCAGTACAAGCACAGAGAAGGTCGATAGCTGAGTTCAAGCAGTGGTTGGCTGGATTTTGGGCAGATGACTTTCAAATGAGAAATTCTAACTATTGGTCATAAAATTTAAGCTGGGTAGGCAGCAGTGATGGTAAGAGAGTTAGACGGGAGAAAAATGATAGGATTAAAAAATTAAAAGTCTAGATGGTGTAAATTAAGAGTTTCAGTAGGAGTAATAGAGTGAGGCAGCTGGACGATGAGAGTACTACTTGAAGACTTTGAAGGTGGTGCATTTACTGGGGATAAGGTATTAAGGGGCAACACAGAATTGTGAAGCTAAAATGGAAGCAAAAATCATTTTGGGAGAAGGTCAAGAAAAGTGGGCCAAGATGCTGGATGCGTCACTCAGAGGTTATTGAAACTGCTGAGAATAAAGACGGGGTAGGCATAGAAGGGAAGGAAGTGAACCAGAAGCTCAAACTCAAGTATCTGCCAAGATCACATACATACATGAAGCAGCCACGAGAGCCTGCTCCTCAGCCTGCTCCAGCTGAATGCTGCCAGGCAGGAATGTGGACTCAGTATTGCCAAAGTTTATATCTTTTTCCAGAAATTTTTTTTGAACCACTTTGTGAAGACATGAATATATTGCCTATCCCACAAAATCAGCACCCATTCATTAAGAGTAACCGAAAAAATTGAGTCTGAACAATTTTTAAAATGTATCATCTTGCAACAGACCTCTTCAAAATTGTCCAAGATAGTTTACCCCAAGTCTTCATTTTTTTCTCCCAAATTTATTCACCCAAATTCTTTATGGTTTATTGGAAATGAAGTCAATATTTAAAGTGCTACATCTATGAATTCAAAGTTCACATAAAATCTACATCAAAGACTGGAAGTAAGTAGGATCCTTTAGTGGTCTAGCTCATTTGCTTCTCCAAAAAGCATAATTTTTCATGAGACAAGAATTTATCCAACATAATGTTAAACACATGAAAGTTCAGTGATTACACAGCCTTTCTTTGGGGTTTCCACTAGTCAACTTACAGTTAATATGATTTTTACTTTACTTTGGGGAGAGTTGGTTATAATTCTCAAAGTCATTTTTTCCCATTATATTCCTGTTGTACAGATTAAATAACCTAAATCGTTTTATTTTCTCATCCCTTTTGTTTTTTAACTTTTGAATTGTTACCCTAGTTCCCTTTTAGCTATTGGGGGGTACAGAGGGAGACAATACTGGAGCCATCATACTTACCTTCCTAACTAATTATGACATCTCTAATGGTGTTATCAGATAAAACTCAGAATCCAGGTTCAGCGTGTTTCACTCTTGGTTCCCTCAAAGAGAATTGTTGGCTTTGGGGCCATAATCAGTATTGGGAACACTCTCACCTACTACCTGGCTGAGTCAAGAGGAAAGTAAACTTTTTGCTGAAACAACAAAAGAATGGGACACAGAAAATATAAATTTTCTTTTTTACTTTCATAGGTTGAATTTATCACTCTGCAAAGCAAAAAAAAAAAATTGTCTGATGATACTATAGCTTTTCTAAAACCAGAAAAATTATTGCACAAAAGTCTCTGAGTTGGAAAACAGTTTCTTACAGATCTGGAGTTGTGCTGCAGTAATTCTATTTTTTGATGATCAAAGTATCCTTAGCCAATCAGCTTCCCTCTAGTAAGGTCAAGGAAACTAATCAAACCCACATTATAAACAACACTGAGAACAGAAGTAGAAAGAAATGAGGAAAGCAAGCATAATATATAATTGCTATTATTTAACAGGTGGTGGGAGAAAGGAAGCCTCTGCTTAGCAGAAGGTCTATTGAGTGTTCTAAGATTATGACGGCCACCAGAGACATGGCAGAAAGTGAGGGAAGCAGCCTAGTTTCAGTAATGAGCTCAGACAAGGAAGCAGTTTGTACCCATATCCCGCAGTGTGTAGAAGACATTCAAGAGGTAACTTTTAATTTACAAAGCCTTAGCTACCTCTGGCTCCTTTTGCATGGCAACAGCAGGTCGAAATTAATGGAGCAATTGTACGTTCAAGCAGCAGCTCTGGGAATTTGGACTTCTTCAAGATCTATTTGTGGCTTTGTACCACTTGGACTTTAGTTGCTAAAATAGTCTCAGTTAATTCTTTTTCCAAGATGAAGTTTCAGTCATATGAGATGAACCAAATACAAGTGATTAAAAAAGGGATTTTTACAAAGTCTTGGAATCATACGGTTTTCTTCCACATGTTTCTTCACCATGTGCCTCACTCATTCCTTCCTTTCTTAAGCCATAATTTAAAAAACAGTGGTCCCCATCTTTTAATCCACTTCCTTGCTATTCCCTCATTCCTGCATTGATCTTTTTCCACCTTTACCAAGACACAGAAACTGGCAAATGTGACCAGCGACCAATACCCTTTTTAGTCTTTATCTTACTACATTATTCTCCTGCTTCTGATCATGTGGATTTATGTTTCTTGAAATGCTTTTAATATAGAACTTATGAGAGGTCATTGTTTTGGACTGAGCTCTTGTACTAGACCCCAACAGATCAGACCAAACCAGAATGGAGTCATTCATACTAGATGCTATGTAATCAAACTTAACTTCAAAAAGGGCCAGAATGGCTAATAAAAGCTAATTAGATCTTTCAACTCAATTTGTTGAAATCTTGTTCTTTGACACTCTTTACTTCCTAGACTTCTGTTGTATATTCTCTTTAATTATTCCTTCTGAGTCTCCTATTTCTGTCTGCTCTTTAAAATACTTTTGCTCTCATTCCATTTTCTATAACCAACTGTTCTAAACCATATTTTATTGCTTTAAACACCACTTATGCAATACTAATACTAATTTACAAGTTGTATTTCTAGATCTGCCCCTTCTGTGAGTTCAGACTTGAATATCCAAATGCCTGCTGGATACATCAGTGTGGTTGTCCTATGGGCATACAAACAAACACATCCTTCATATTCTCTCCTTCCCTTTTGCTCCAATTTCACTAGATGCTACCAAAATTCACCCAGATACCCAGGCCAGAGGCCATAGAAATTTGTTGATGCTTCCTAAGACCTCACTCCTCATCATCTCTACCTTCATTTCATCCACACCTCTGATGAAATGCAAACATAATCATCAAGACATGTTGGTTCCAGCTGCAAAATAGTTCTACTCTCTACTACCTCACTTGGGAAAAATACAGTCAATAGATGCCGATGCCAATTCTAAGCCACAGATGTTGGAATTATCTGAAAAAAAAACTTTAAAGCAGTGATTATAAAAATGCTCCAGCAAGCAACTCTTACAAAAATTTTATTGGCTTTATCAATTATTGAAAGAGGTAGGTTAAAATCTCCTGCTATGATTGTGGTTTTGTCAATGCTTCAATAAATTCTAAGTGGGTAAAAGACTTCAATATAAAGAACTGTTGCAGGACTTTTCCTTAGTTCAGCTAAAGATAAGGTCCTTGTCCGTCCCATGGCCATGAAAATTTAGGCTTGCAGGTGGTTCGAAGGGTGAGTAAAGCAGGGTTTTATTGGGTGAAAAGGAAGAAAAGGAGGAAACAGAGACTCTCGCTAGGCCAGAGTCCCTGCTAGAGCACTTCCCGCCAGGCCTTTGGAATCTGAGGTTCCACACAGGAAGAAGAGAGGCCAGGCTCCTTCCCACTGCAAAGGGCTCGAACTTCCTGAGGCTCCACTGCAGTGGGCAGGCTATTTGAAGTTTCTCCAGGGACCCGCCTCCCACCTGGCTGTCTCAGAACTCTATAACCATAAAATCTATGCCAGTTCCTCAGTCTTTCCTTGCTTATTATGAACTTGATACTTTTGAAAAGTACTAATCAGTTATTGTGTACAATATCTCTTAAATTGGGGTTTTCTCATGTTTTCTCCTGATTAGATTGAGTTTGTACATTTTTGGTAAGACTACCACAGAATAGATGTACCTTTATTTTTTCCTCTGTAATTAATATCTTGGGGGGTGATATTTTGAGACTGTGCAAATATTCTATTTCTCCTCAAACATTAGATCACAAATTTTGGCATTGATTGATGGTTCTTGCCTGCAACAATTATTATTGTGGTATTTTCATGGTGACTTTCTATTTTCCTCATTCTGCCTACATTTATTAATTGGAATTCTTCTGTAAGGAAGAGCTGTGCCTTCTTCCTTTTTAATTTGTTCATACAAGGTATTTATATCAGTATATACTCATGTATTTTTCTTTTATTCTTTACATTATAATCTAATAACTATTTTGTTGTTGTTGTTGTTGCTCAAACTGTTTCAGCCTTGGCCATTGGGAGCTCTTTCTGACTGGCTCCAGAGCTTTCCCAATATGACCCATCCTGATCCTTTTTGAATTTTTAAAAACTTTCAGGTACTGTAAGATGCTCCAGGCTTATCTTGTATTTTTCATGTCCCAGACCTGGAATCAAGCACTTCTTTAAGAAGCCCTGGTTCTTATTGGAGAATGGTATATCATGCTCCAATAGAACCATTATCTGGGTGTACTCATTCTTACTGGGCTGTCATTTGTTCTAGGCTCACTTAGTGAACAGAGAATACACACACACACACACACATACACACACACACACACACACAGGCGCATACATAGCAAATTTCTTTCTTTGGGTATCTATCTCAATACATACATTTTAAAAACAATGAGTTTGTACCAATACCTCAGATTTCAAAGAATTCTATCCTTCTCCCTTTCCTTATTTGTAACTTCTTTCTCTGACAGTGACAAATCTGGCTCTTGAATCTAAGCTATATTTACTTATTAATTAAACCTTACTATATACATAGTTTGTGAATTGCCAACCCATGCATTTGTGGACAATTTTTTCTGTTTTAATCCTGCTGAAAATCTGTTTTGCAAAGTAGGTTAGTTCTTTACTATTCCATCTCTCTCAGGATGGTTACATTCATTTATAACTCAGCTAGGTTTCTTTGCTCTTTTTTACCCCAAAAAATCTTTTATAATGAAAAAAATAGGTTTATTTTTTAGTCTGTGTTTCCTTTTAAGTTCCTCCTACATAGAGATTTTTTGTTGATTTTAAGTATACATATAATAAAATTCACTTTTTGTGGTGTAGTTTTTATAGGGTTTGACAAATGCATAAACTTTTAAGTTCACCATCACAGTCATGATACAAAATATTTCTATCACCCAAAAAATTCCCTTATAAATAAGCATTTTTAACATAAAAAATTTTAAAAAGAAAAAAGACTAACCATAAATAAGATAATTAAAGATTTTAACTCCATAAAATATGGTTCAAGTTGTTGATTTTTTTAATTGGTCATTTTAATACTTTGTTCTTCAAATATCATATTTGGTTTACAAATTTTATAGTCTTTACTGAGATGTATTTTAAATTAACCTTATCAGGGTCTAATTTGTAAAAACTAAACTAAAATTTAAAGTATAAAATTCTTTGAAGAAGAGGCAGAGGAGGTGAGAAAGAAGGGAAAATCAGAGAGATTTGAATTGTGAGAAGGATTCAAACAGCCAGTGCTATCTTTGACTATGGAGAAAGGCAGCTTTCACCAAGGAATGCAGGATGGCCTCTAGAAACTGAGAACGATGCCCAGTGCCCGGTAAACAGCCAGCAGGAAAAAAGGGACCTCAGTCCTATAACTACATTATTTACAACTGAATTCTGACAGCAACTTGAATGAGCTTCAAAGTGGATATATCCCCAGAACCTCCAGAAACATGGTGTGCTCACCGTGTTGCTATCTGGATTTTAGCCCTGTGACAGGGAAACCAGCTAAGCCTGCCAGATTTTTGACCTACAGAATTACAAGATAATACATTTATATCATATTAAGCCCCGAAATTTGACATAATTTGTTGCAGCAGCAATAGAAAACTAAATACCATGGAAAACTGATGAAACCCAAAAAAGTCCGTGGTTTTAATAATATACCAATGTTACCGTCTTACTTTTAGAAAATATGCCAAATCATTATGTAAGATGTTAACACCAGTGTAAACTGGGTGAATTGTTTACAGGAGCTCTCTGTATGATGCAACTTTCTGTAAATCCAAATTTCTTCAAAAATAAAATGTTCATTACTAAAAAAACTATGAATTCTGATAAATATATGTGCCTGTGAAACCAGCAGCAGAATCAAGATGCAGAATGTCTCTAACAACTGCAAACGTTTTCTCATGCCTCCTTGCAACCATTCTTTCCCTCCACTTTCACCATAGGCAGCCATTGATCTATTTTCCCTATAAAAATTTTATAGATGTATTCCATTTTAATTTTTCTATTAGTTTACTGGTGTATTAGTCAAGGTTCTCTAGAGGGATGGAACTAATAGATGTATATATTAAGGGGAGTTTATTAGGAGAATTGACTCACATGATCACAAGGTGAAGTCCCACAATAGGCCAACTGCAAGCTGAGGAGCCAGGATGCCAGTCAGTCTCAAAACCTCAAAAGTAGGGAAGCCAGTAGTGCAGCCTTCAGTCTGTGGCCAAAGGCCTGAGAGCCCATGGCAAATCACTGGTGTAAGTCCAAGAGTTCAAAAGCTGAAGAACCTCGAGTCTGATGTTCGAGGGCGGGAAGCATCCAGCATGAGAGAAAGATGAAGGCCAGAAGACTTAGCCAGTCTAATCTTTCCATGTTCTTCTGCCTGCTTTTATTCTGGCCACGTTGGCAGCTGATTAGATTGTGCCCACCTAGGTTGAAGGTGGGTCTGCATTTCCCAGTCCACTCACTGACTCAAATATTATCTCCTTTGATAACAGCCTCAAAGACACAGCCAGGAACAATACTTTGCATCCTTCAACCCAATGAAGTTGACACTCAATATTAACCATCACAACTAGCTATATCTTTTGCATTCATTTTTAGTTGCTCTACGGATTATGTGCATCTTTAACTTATCCCAATCTACTTAGAGTTAATATTTAATTATTTCAGGTGAAACACAGGAAACTTACAACAATATAATTTCATGTACCCCCATCTTTAGTACTGTTGTTATACATATGTATCAGTGGATATAGATACAGATTTGTGTGCATGTGTGTTACAAAACCAACAGTACAGTGTTATGTTTGCTTTATAATGTTTGTTTTAAATTATGTCAAAACAAAAAGAAAAAAAGCAAAAAAAAAATTTTTAATGTTATACGTCCTTGAAAAAATTAAGAAGAAAAACTAAATATATATATAATTACATTTAACCACCAGCTTATCATTTCCAGTATTTTTCATTTCTTCTTGTATATTTGAATCATTATATGGAGTTATTTTCTTTCTACCTGATAAACTTTCTTCAGTATTTCTTGTAGTACAGATCTGCTGGTTCCTAACTGAGTTGTTTACTTGAAAATTTCTGTATTTTATATTGATTATTGAAGGTTAGTTTCACAAGACAAAAAATTATTGATTCCCAGGCATTAATGATATTATTGTTTCCTTGTCTGTAAAATGTCACCTTTTTGTGGTTACTTCCAAGACTCTTTTAATCTTTGGCTTTCATCAGTTTGACTCTAATATACCTAAATATTTTCTTTGTATTTATTCTGCTAGAGTTTCATGGAACTTCTTGGATCTGTAAGCTGATGTTTTCTACCAAATTTGGAAAGGTTTCACCTATGATTTCCTCAAATATATTTAAGCTCCTTTCTTTCTCTCTTCTTCTGGGACCCCGGTTACATATATATTGAATTGCTTGGTAGTGCTTCAATGGTCTTTGAAGATCTATTTCTCCATAAAACAAAATAAAGTATTGACACATGTTACAACATAGACAGACCCTGAAAACTGGGGAGTGAAAGAACCCAGGCATAAAAGGCCACATAGTGTATTAATTTATTTAAATGAAACGTCCTTAATAGGCAAGTTTATAGAGACAGAAAGTGGAGCAGTAGGGGATGGAGGGAGGAGGGAAGAGGTATAGGACTGCTAATGGTTATAGGGTTCTTTTTAGGGTGATGACAATGTTCTGGATTAGATAGTGATGATGGTTTCACAACCTTGTGAACATACTAAAATCCACTAACTATACACTTTGAAAACCATGAATTTTATGGTATGTAAATTATTTCTATTTTAGAAAAGGGGGAGGGAGGAAAAGATTCCAACAAAAGAGACCAAGAAATAGAGAGGTAGAGAAAGAACTAGGAGGTAATCAGAAGAGAGAAAACAGCTTCAAGGAGTGAATTTTCAACAGTGTCAAATATGGTGGGTAGAGGACTGAAAAATAACTATTGGTCTGGGAACTGGGATAAAATCTGTCATCTTAGTGAGAGGCCCTTCAGTGGGTTGGAGAGAGAAACCAAGGAACAGTGTATGAAGAGGAAAATGGAAAACAAGAAATAGAAATAGCAATTATTTGTTATTTCTTCTGGAAGCTTTACTTGGTAGGAAAAAACAGGTGCTGGAGAGGATGTGGAGAAATAGGAAAACTTTTACACTGTTGATGGGACTGTAAACTAGTTCAACCATTGTGGAAGTCAGTGTGGCGATTCCTCAGGGATCTTGAACTAGAAATACCATTTGACCCAGCCATCCCATTACTGAGTATATACCCAAAAGATTATAAATCATGCTGCTATAAAGACACATGCACACCTATGTTTATTGCGGCACCATTCACAATAGCAAAGACTTGGAACCAACCCAAATGTCCAACAATGATAGACTGGATTAAGAAAATGTGGCACATAGACACCATGGAATACTATGCAGCCATAAAAATGATGAGTTCATGTCCTTTGAAGGGACATGGATGAAGCTGGAAACCATCATTCTCAGCAAACTATCGCAAGGACAAGAAACCAAACGCCGCATGTTCTCACTCATATGTGAGAATTGAACAATGAGAACACATGGACACAGGGAGGGGAACATCACACACTGGGGCCTGTTGTGGGGTGGGGGGAGGGGAGAGGGATAGCATTAGGAGATAAACCTAATGTTAAATGACGAGTTAATGGGTGCAGCACACCAACATGGCACATGTATACATATGTAACTAACCTGCACGTTGTGCACATGTACCCTAAAACTTAAAGTATAATAAAAAAAAGGAGGTATATGTTTTTATATAAAAACTAATTTTCTCAGCTTTAAATTATTTTACATATAACCAATGAAACTATAAAAAAAACTATAATTGAGATAATTTAGATTGTTTTTTGAAAAAGAATAGTTTTTCCTGGCATCATTTAACCCCATATCATTATTTAATATCAATATAAAATGCATAGTGGTTTTCCTATAATTAACAGGCTTTAGAATAATTCCTATTTTATGTTTGATTTCCTACTAATGTTCTATTGCTTCATACTACCTTAGTATTTTGCTAATATGCCAAGGCTATGAAAATTCTTTTTCCAATGTAAAGATTAAGTAATGCATCACCTAAAGGTACATATTTCCTTTTCTATTTTCTGTCCTTTTAAAATGCATATACATTGCATTTGGTTTGTAGTGAAAAGTAATCAAGTAATTTCAAAAGAAAGGGTTAATGCGATTTAAGTCACTGCCAATGTAAGCACCTTAAGTTTGGCTTATTACACTTTTCAGTAAGAAAGTTTCATTAAATTTGTTCTGTGCTTTTTTTATAGACACTTTTACATGTTTTATGAACACTTAAAAAACTTAGGAATAGCAACTCTCACCAAATAACTTGACTCTATATTTTTAACAGATCTCTTTTCTATACCTCAAATAGTTCTAAAAAGACCAAGGCAAAAACATTTAATATATATTTCTATACATTTAACTCATTCAGAGGGAGGATTATGTTCACGCTCTTCAGGTATTCATTTGTTTCACTGATAGTAAATTAAAAAAAAAAAAACTAGCAGCTGAGACAAATACAAATGATCCTTCACTATCTTTAACTGTATGTTCTCTAAGAAAGGATTTTTCTTACCATGGTCATTTCATTTCCCCGAACCTGTTCTCTTGTCTATAAAAGATAGAGATTGGATCAAGAGGTCCACGGACATTCACACCCTCTCTGTATTCAGAAATGAGCTTTTCCCTGATAGATGCTTGTGCCAGTCATTTATATATTGTATCTGAGCTCCAAATCTGTTCTTTTGTGCTCCACTCTGATACTGCGGGGCTAGCAAACTGCCCTTCCAGGACTGCATTGTCATCTGTCTTTTAGTTTCTGTGAAAGCAAGGTTTCTCAACCGCAGCACTCCTGACATTTTGGGCTGTATAATTGTGTGTCAACGAGAACTATCCTGTGCATTGGTAGCATGCTAAGCAGGATCCCTGGCCTCTAACATCAGATGGCAACAACATTTTCCACCCACGTTGTGAAAACCAAAAAGTCTCCAGACATTGCCAATGTTCCCTGGAGAGCAAAATCACCTTAGCTGAGAAACATTGTGCTAGAGGGAAACTGGACCAATGGAGAAGGACTTTTGCACTTTGTTCCCATTCCTGTCAGCATTGCTTCAGTGGTAGCAGTTGCTCTCATTTCCAGCATCTTTTGGCAATACCAGAATTGACCTCATTATGACCCCTCAGAGACATCAATGACAGCACAACTGGGAAGTGCCATCTTCAAAGTTCTGATCATCAGCTCCTCAGGGCCTCTGCTCTAAGCTGCAAGGGGACCCCAACTCTGCCCTACTTTATTCAACAGACATTTACTGAACATCTACAAATAGACTGGCACTGTACTAGGCCTCGGGAATAGAAGGTAAACAAAATGTACTCCCTGATATCTGGGTAATAAAGAACAGAATTATCAAGAGCCAACTGTAGATGGATTAAGTACCTGCAAAATTGTTTTCCAATCCAGTGCTTCATTTGACTACCCACAGATCGGTGTCAAGAGGTGCACTGTATTATCTTATCTCTAGTAGTTTTAATTGTTTTTGGCATGTCCTACTTCTTTAGTTTAGCTTTTAAATAGAAAACACACACATTCTGACTCACTCATTTTTATCACTACCAAAGATGCAAGTAACTTCATTATTTTACAGTTGCCAAATTATTAGTAAAGGTAGAAAGAGCTTAGAAAATACAAATCTCTTTCAAACAACTTTGTTACAACTTGGAGGAAATAAGCCAGGTTTATTTAGAGAAATGGATGGAGCATGAGGGAAAGATAGAAGCTGGGAACCAGTGATGGTAAATGTTTAAAATTTCACAAAATCCTTCAAGATTGATTTAAAAACACAGAGATGTTAAATTATGAGTAATGGAAAATTTAAAAACTCTGCTTTTTTTTTTTAAGCCTGTTGGTTTCATAAGAGACTTCAAAAATTCCAAATTTTCTTTTCTTCTTGAATATGCCTGGTGAAACAAGGAATAGACCTTACTATGGTAAGCGGTTATATCAGTCAGAGACTAACCAGGAAACAGAACCACTTGAGCATTTAAAACAGAATTAATCTAATAAATAAATTAATAAATGGATGATGAAAGAAATGAGAAGCCAATCAGAGAAGAAGTGAGACAAGACAGAGATGATTAAAGTAGGAATTTAGGATGACTATCCATAGGCCAGAGGGACTGAGAGAAGAGTTGGAATTACCAAAGCTCTGAGATAGCCAGGTGGGACGAAGTCCCCAGAAAACCTCCAAGCAGCCTGCTCATTGGGGTGGAGCCTTGGGAAGTTTGAGCCATTTGCAGCGGAGAGGAGCCTGGCTACTCCTCTTCCCATGGGGAACCTGGGGTTCGGGGCCGCGCGGGAAGCGCTCTAGCAGGGAATCTGGCCTAGCAGAGTCCCTGTTTCTCCCTTTTCTTGCTTTTCACCCAATAAAACCCTGTCTTACTCACCATTCAAATTGTCTGCAAGCTTGAATTTTCCTGGCCATGGGACAAAGAATCCCGTCTTTAGCTGAGCTAAGGAAAAGTCCTGCAACATTTTTGGTGTGCAATGTTGGGACTCGAGAAGCGGTGAGTAAAATGGGGACTCAAAACCTCTCGCTGTTGCTCTTAAGCCTTTTCATCCTCGGACTTCTAGGGTGAGGGGAACCATGCCTCCAATCTCCATCATTCCTGGCCTTTTTATGGCCTTTTCCTTCCTTTTTTGGGACAGATCAGAGAGCAGCTGCTCCCCACGGCTCTCCCCTCCCCGCCAGGACTGGGACACGCAGCCCAAGGCGCTGCAGGCTGCTGGCTCGTGTTTTCTGCCACAGTCCCATGGGGTTTCCTCCTCTCTTTTCCAGGGAGGCCAGCTCTGACCCACCGCAATTAAACTTGTCCCTGGTGGAGGAACCACTTGCATAAGAATAAGGGGTTCTTCCCCAGGCATTTTAAAACTGTTTCTTTTCTTTCTTTCCCCTTCTCTACACCATCAGCAAGTTAACTTTTAAAGTTTTTTTTCTTTTATCTTTTTTTTTTTTCTTTTAGAAGATGTTTTTACTAGGTAGGGCCCCTCAACTATCACTGTTTATATTTTCTGCAAAGCTTTGGTTGTAAAATCAAGCCTCTATCTTGTTTTACATTCTTAGGGCATCACTGGTAACTGCTGGCAAGGATTTGTTCAGCAATCTTGCCTTAGGGGATAAGCCCTCTCAGGTTGGATATTTGCATGTTTTTCCTAGCCCTGTCTCTCCCTCTTTTTTAAATTGTTTTTTGAGAAGCAGCAAGGGTTTATTAATTTTATCAATTTTTCCAATGACCAATTTTGACTTTTATGATTTTCTTGTTTTCTTCTTTCTGTTTCCTTTGGGTTCTATTTCCTCAACTCTTCCTAGCTTCTTAAGATGGAAGCTTCATTCTTTTATTTTACACCTTTCTTCTTTCTAAATAGAAGCACTGAACACTACAGATTCTCTTCTAAGTGCTGCTTTAGCTTCATAACACCATACTTTTTTTTATATATATATACTATAAGTTCTGGGACACGTGCGGAACGTGCAGGTTTGTTACATAGGTATACACGTGCCATGGTGGTTTGCTGCACCTATCAACTCGTCGTCTACATTAGGTATTTCTCCTAATGCTATCCCTCCCCTAACTCCCCACCCCCTGAAAGGCCCTGGTGTGTGATGTTCCCCTCCCTGTGTCCATATGTTCTCATTGTTTAATTCCTACTTTGCAGTGTTTGGTTTCCTGTTCTTGTATTAGTTTGCTGAGCATGATGGTTTCCAGCTTCATCCATGTCCCACATCATTTTTCATGGCTGCATAGTATTCCATGGTGTATATGCGCCATATTTTCTTTATCCAGTCTATCACTGATAGACATTTGGGCTGGTTCCAAGTCTTTGCTATTGATCAACAGTGCTGCAGTAAACATACGTGTGCATGTGTCTTTATAGCAGCATGATTTATAATCCTTTCGGTATATACCCAGTAACGGGATTGCTGGGTCAAATGGTATTTCTGGTTCTAGATCATTGAGGAATCACCACACTGTCTTCCACAATGGTTGAACTAATTTACACTCCCACCAACAATGTAAAAGCATTCCTATTCCTCCACATCCTCTCCAGCATCTGTTGTTTCCTGACTTTTTAATGATCGCCATTCTAACTGGCATGAGATGGTATCTCATTGTGGTTTTGATTTTCATTTCTGTAATGACCAGTGATGATGAGCTTTTTTTCATGTTTGTTGGCCAAATAAGTGTCTTCTTTTGAGAAGTGTCTGTTCATATACTTTACACACTTTTTGATGGGGTTGTTTTTTTCTTGTAAATTTGTGTAAGTTCTTTGTAGATTCTGGATATTAGCTCTTTGTAAGATGGATAGATTGCAAAAATTTTCTCCCATTCTGTAGGTTGGCTGTTCACTCTGATGAGAGTATCTGTTGCTGTGCAGAAGCTCTTTAGCTTAATTAGATCCCATTTGTCAATTTTGGTTTTTGTTGCCATTGCTTTTGGTGTTTTAGTCATGAAGTCTTTGCCCATGCCTATGTCCTCAGTGGTATTGCCTAGGTTTTCTTCTAAGGTTTTATGGCTTTAGGTCTTACATTTAAGTCTTTAATCCATCTGGAGTTAATTTTTGTATAAGGTGTAAGGAAGGGTTCCAGTTTCAGTTTTCGGCATATGACTATCTAGTTTTCCCAACACCACTTATTAAATGGGGAATCCTTTTCCCCATTGATTGTTTTTGTCAGGTTTGTCAAAGATCACATGGGTGTAGATGTGTGGTATTATTTCTGAGGGCTTTATTCTGTTCCATTGGTCTATATATCTGTTTTGGTGTCTGTGGGCAGCAAGCCACCCAGGCGCCGAGGCAAGAGACCGAGGACACGATCTGTTCCAGTATAATAAAATATAAAACAAGCATAGTTATACCAGATATAGATCTTGGATATGATTATATATGAATATCATTAATCATTAGTTGGTAGTAATTACTCTTTATTCCAATATTATAATAATCCTCGCTCTACAATCATAACCTAGGAAAAACCAGGCCATACAGAGATAGGAGCTGAGAGGACATAGTGAGGTGTGACCAGAAGACAAGAGTGCGAGCCTTCTGTTATGCCCGGACAGGGCCACCAGAGGGCTCCTTGGTCTAGTGGTGACGCTAGCGTCTGGGAAGATGCCCGTTGCCAGGCAGACCATAGTCTAGCGGTAGCGAAAAGTGTCAAGGAACAACACCTGCTACTTAGCAGACTGGGAAAGGGAGTCTCCTTTTCCCCAGGGGAGTTTAGAGAAGACTCTGCTCCTCCACCTCTTGTGGAGGGCCTGACATCAGTCAGGCTTGCCTGCAGTTATCTGGAGGCCTAACCATCTCCCTGTGATGCTGTGCTTCAGTGGTCACGCTCCTAGTCCGCCTTCATGTTCCATCCTGTACACCTGGCTCTGCCTTCTAGATAGCAGTAGTAAATTAGTGGAAGTACTAAAAGTCTGTGATATGCAGAAATAATGGTGTAAGCTGTCTTTCTCTCCGTCTCCTCTCCCTCTCTGCCTTGGCTGCCAGGCAGGGAAGGGCCCCCTGTCCAGTAGACACGTGACCCACGTGACCTTACCTATCATTGGAGATGACTCACACTCTTTACCCTGCCCCTTTTGCTTTGTATCCAATAAATAACAGCGCAGCCAGACATTCGGGGCCACTACTGGTCTCCATGCATTGGTGGTAGTGGTCCCCCAGACCCAGCTGTCTTTTCTTTTATCTCTTTGTCTTGTGTCTTTATTTCTACACTCTCTCGTCGCCGCACACTGCGAAAAGCCCACTGACCCTGTGGGGCTGGTCCCTACAGGTGTCAGTACCATGCTGTTTTGGTTACTGTAGCCTTGTAGTATAGTTTGAAGTCAGGTAGCGTGATGCCTCCAGCTTTGTTCGTTTTGCTTAGGATTGTCTTAGCTATACGGGCTCTTTTTTGGTTCCATATGAAATTTAAAGTAGTTTTTTTCTAATTCTGTGAAGAAAGTCAATGGTAGCTTGATAGGTATAGCATTGAATCTATAAATTACTTTGGGCAATATGGCCATTTTCACGATGTTGATTCTTCCTATCTATGAGCATGGAATGTTTTTCCATTTGTTTGTGTCCTTTCTTATTTCCTTGAGCAGTTGTTTGTAGTTCTCCTTGAAGAGGTCCTTCACATCCTTTGTAAATTGTATTCCTAGATATTTTATTCTGTTTGTAGCAATTGTGAACGGGTGTTCACTAATGATTTGGCTATTACTGGTGTATAGGAATGCTTGTGATTTTTGCACATTGATTTTGTATTCTGAGACTTTGCTGAAGTTGCTTATTAGCTTAAGGAGATTTTGGACTGAGACAATGGGGTTTTCTAAATACACAATCATGTCATCTGCAAACAGAGACAACTTGACTTCCTCTCTTCCTATTTGAATACACTTTATTTCTTTCTCTTGCCTTATTGCCCTGGTCAGAACTTCCAATACTATGTTGAATGAGAGTGGTGAGAGAGGACATCCTTGCCTTGTGCTGGTTTTCAAAGGGAATGCTTCGAGCTTTTGCCCATTCAGTATGGTATTGGCTGTGAGTTTGTCATAAATAGCTCTTATTATTTTGAGATACATTCCATCAATACCTAGTTTACTGAGAGTTTTCAGCATGAAGAGGTGTTGAATTTTGTCAAAGGCCTTTTCTGCATCTATTGAGACAATCATGTGGTTTTTGTCATTGGTTCTGTTTATGTGATGGATTACGTTTATTGATTTCTGTATGTTGAACCAGCCTTGCATCCCATGGATGAAGCCGACTTGACCATGGTGGAAAAGCTTTTTGATGTGCTGCTGGATTTGGTTTGCCAGTATTTTATTGAAGATTTTTGCATCGATGTTCATCAGGGATATTGTCCTGAAATATTCTTTTTCTGTTGTATCTCTGCTAGCTTTTGGTATCAAGATGATGCTGACCTTATAAAATGAGTTAGGGAGAAATCCCTCTTTTTCTATTCTTTGGAATAGTTTCAGAAGGAATGGTATCAGCTCCTTTTTGTACCTCTGGTAGAATTCGGCTGTGAATCCGTCTGATCCTGGGCTTTTTTTTGGTTGGTAGGCTAATTATTACTGCCTCAATTTCAGAATTCGTTATTGGTTTATTCAGGGATTCAACTTCTTCCTGGTTTAGTCTTGGGAGGGTGTATGTGTCCAGGAATGTATCCATTTCTTCCAGATTTTCTAGTTTATTTGCACAGAGGTGTTTATAATATTCTCTGATGGTAGTTTTTATTTCTGTGGGATCAGTGGTGACATCCTCTTTATCATTTTTTATTATGTCTATTTGATTCTTTTTTCTTCTTTATTAGTCTGGCTAGCAGTCTATCTTTTTGATCTCTTCAAAAAACTGGCTCCTGGATTCATTGATTTTTTTGAAGGGTTTTTTGTGTCTCTCTTTCAGTTCTGCTCTGATCTTAGTTATTTCTTGTCTTCTGCTAGCTTTTGAATTTCTTTGCTCTTGTTTCTCTAGTTCTCTTGTGATGTTAGGGTGTCGATTTTAGATCTTTCCTGTTTTCTCCTTGAGCATTTAGTGCTATAATTTTCCCTCTAAACACTGCTTTAGCTGTGTCCCAGAGATTCTGGTACCTTGTGTCTTTGTTCTCATAGGTTTCAAAGAATTTATTTATTTCTGCCTTAATTTTGTTATTTACCCAGTAGTCATTCAGGAGCAGGTTATTCAGTTTCCATGTAGTTGTGCAGTTTTGAGTGAGTTTCTTAATCTAGGGTTCTAAGTTGATTGCACTGTGGTCTAAGAGACTGTTTGTTATGATTTCTGTTCTTTTGCATTTGCAGGGGAGTGTTTTACTTCCAATTATGTGATCAATTTTAGAGTAAGTGTGATGTGGTGCTGAGAAGAATGTATATTCTGTTGATTTGGGGTGGAGAATTCTGTAGATGTCTATTAGGTCCACTTGGTCCAGAGCTGAGTTCAACTCCAGAATATCCTTGTTAATTTTTTGTTAATTTTCTGTTTCATTGATCTAATATTGACAGTGGGGTGTTAAAGTCTCCCACTATTATTGTGTGGGAGTCTAAGTCTCTTTGTAGGTCTGTTAAGAACTTGCTTTATGATTCTGCATGTTCCTGTATTGGGTGCATATATATTGAGGATAGTTAGCTCTTCTTGTTGCATTGATCCCTTTACCATTATGTAATGCCCTTCTTTGTCTTTTTTGATCTTTGTTGGTTTAAGTCTGTTTTATCAGAGACTAGGATTGCAATCCCTGCTCTTTTTTTGCCTTCCATTTGCTTGGTAAATACTCCTCCATCCCTTTATTTTGAGCCGATGTGTGTCTTTTCTTGTGAGATGGGACTCCTGAATATAACACACCGATGGGTCTTTATTTTTAGCCAGTTTGCCAGTCTGTGTCTTTTAATTAGGGCATTTAGTCTATTTACATTTAAGGTTCCATTGTTATGTGTGAATTTGATCCTGTTATTATGATGCTAGCTGGTTATTTTGCCCATTACTTGATGCAGTTTCTCCATAGTGTCAATGGTCTTTACAATTTGATATGTTTTGCAGTGGGTGGTACCAGTTGTTCTTTTCCATGTTTAATGCTCCCTTCAGGAGCTCTTGTAAGGCAAGCCTGGTGGTGACAAAATCTCTAGCATTTGTTTGTCTGTAAAGGATTTTATTTCTCCTTCGCTTATGAAGCTTAGTTTGGCTGGATATGAAATTCTGGGTTGAAAAATCTTTTATTTAAGAATGTTGAATATTGGCCTCCACTCTCTTCTGGCTTGTAGGGTTTCTGCAGAGAGATCTGCTGTTAGTCTGATGGGCTTCCCTTTGTGGGTAACCTGACCTTTCTCTCTGGCTGCCCTTAACATTTTTTTCTTCATTTTAACCTTGGTGAATCTGACGATTATGTCTTGGGGTTGCTCTTTTTGAGGAGTATCTTTGTGGGGTTCTCTGTATTTCCTGAATTTAAATGTTGGCCTGTCTTGCTGGGTTGGGGAAGTTCTCCTGGATAATATCCTGAAGTATGTTTTCCAGCTTGGTTCCATTCTCCCCGTCACTTTCAGGTACACCAATCAAACGTAGGTTTGGTCTTTTCACATAGTCCCATATTTCTGGAGGCTTTGTTCATTCCTTTTCATTCTGTTTTCTCTAATCTTGTCTTTATGCTTCATTTCATTAAGTTGATCTTCAGTCTCTGATATCCTTTCTTCTGCTTTTTCAATTCGGCTATTGATACTTGTGTATGCTTCAGGAGTTCTCATGCCGTGTTTTTCAGCTCCATCAGGTCATTTATGTTCTTCTCGAAACTGGTTATTCTAGTTAGCAATTCCTCTAACTTTTTTCAAGGTTCTTAGCTTTCCTGCATTGGGTTAGAGCATGCTGCTTTAGCTTGAAGGAGTTTGTTATTACCCACATTCTGAAGCCTACTTCTGTCAATTCATCAAACTCATTCTCTGTCTAGTTTTGTTCCCTTGCTGGTGAGGAGTTGTGATCCTTTGGAGGAGGAGAGGCATTCTAGTTTTAGAATTTTCAGCCTTTTTGCATTGGTTTTTCCTCATCTTCGTGAATTTATATACCTTTGATCTGTGATGCTGGTGACCTTTGAATGGGGTACTGGTGTGGATGTCCTTTTTATTGATGTTGATGCGATTTCTTTCTGTTTGTTAATTTTCCTTCTAATAGGCCCCTCTGCTGCAGGTCTGCTGGAGTTTGCTGGAGGTTAACTCCAGACCCTGTTTGCCTGGGTATCACCAGTGGAGGCTGCAGAACAGCAAAGATTGCTGCCTTTTCCTTCCTCTGGAAGCCTTGTCCCAGAGGGACACCCACCAGATGCCAGCTGGAACTCTCCTGTATGAGGTGTCTGTCGACCCCTGCTGGGAGTTTTCTCCCAGTCAGGAGGCACAGGGGTCAGTCCACTTGAGGAGGCAGTCTGTCCCTTAGCAGAGCTCGAGTGCTGTGCTGGGAGATCTGCTGCTCTCTTCAGAGCTGGCAGGCAGAAACGTTTAAGTCTGCTGAAGCTGTGCCCACAGCTGCCCCATCCCCAGGTGCTCTGTCCCAGGGAGACAGGAATTTTATCTATAGGCCCCTGACTGGGGCTGTTGCCTTTCTTTCAGAGATGGCTTTTCCAGAGAGGAGGAATCTAGAGAGGCAGTCTGGCTACAGTGGCTTTGCCAAGCTGCAGTGGGCTCCACCCAGTTAGAACTTCCTGGCGGCTTTGTTTACACTATGAGGGGAAAACGGCCTACTCAAGCCTCAGTAATGGTGGACGCCCTTCCCCCCACCAAGCTCGAGCATCCCAGGGTGACTTCAGATTGCTGGGCTGGTTGCAAGAATTTCAAGCCAGTGGATGTTAGCTTGCTGGGCTCTGTGGGGGTGGGATCCACCAAGCTAGACCACTTGGCTCCCTGGCTTCAGCCCCCTTCCCAGGGGAGTGAATGGTTCTGTCTCACTGGCATTCCAGGTGCCACTGGGGTATGAAAAAAAACTCCTGCAGCTAGCTGGGTGTCAGCCCAAATGGCCGCCCAATTTTGTGCTGGAAACCCAGGGCCCTGGTGGTATAGGCACCGGAGGGAATCTCCTGGTCTGCGGGTTGTGAAGACTGTGGGAAAAGTGTAGTATCTGGGCCGGAGTACACCGTTCCTAAAGACACAATCCCTCAGGGCTTCCCTTGACTAGGGGAGGGAATCCCTGACCCCTTGCGCTTCCCAGGTGAGGCAATGCCCCAACCTGCTTTGGCTGGCCCTCTGTGGCTGTACCCCTGTCTAACCAGTCCCAATGAGATGAGCCGGGTACCTCAGTTGGAAATGCAGAAATCACCTGCCTTCTCTGTTGATCTCGCTGGGAACTGCAGAGCAGAGCTGTTCCTATTTGGCCATCTTGCCAGCCTCCTAGCTCTGTCTCTTAAAGGGCCCCACCCAGCGACTGGGTTTTCTTCCACCTGTCTGTTGTGTGTACTGTGTGTAATGTCTGTTGAAAGAGCTCTAATTAATTTGGCCTAAAGAAAGACACGCAGTTGGATTTAATATTTTTTAAAGGGAAGATAAAATCTGTGGTACCTTCCACTTCACGTGACTTTAATCTTTAAGAAATAAAAACAGCTCTCCAGACTGTTAGTAAAATGTAGGTCAGATGCAAGATTTGCTAAGTGTTTTGAGGTTACAAACTGACTTTTGGGTTTTGAGAACTATTTGACTTGTTGGCTTCACAACTGGTAAGGCCTTGGGACATATGAACTAACCACGCCCTTAACTAAGAAGGCAAACCTTGGCTGCACTTAGCACACAATTAAAGCAACTTACCAAATTTTACCTTAAAGTTAAAAATTGCTAGGAGTTAATTGAAACTACTAGAACAAGATTTACATGCAAGGTGTGTAAGAACAGTACAATGTGTGTGTGTGTGTTTTTTTAGTAATAAGTTATAAGAAGACATGGAAATGTAAATTTTTGCCTGGGGTTAAAGGATTGTTTTAAATTAAGAAAAAGCTGAAAGTTCAAACAAGTGGTAGAAGCATTATGGAAATTAATCCTGCAGAAGAGGTTCTCTGTGAACATATTAACTAAACATGTTAACTAATGTGAACATATTAACTAAATTCTGAGGAGTTCTAAAAGGATTTTGCTTCTTTAAAATTTCTGAGCCATCTTTTTGGCAAAATAAATAACTTATGGTAATCTGGCATTCTATTTCATAATATCAATGCTTTAAACATATTTAACAGCCTTCCCCAAATCAAACTTCAGTTTCAAAATTGTCTTCCCTAGCACCTGGCTTTTTGAATACTTCAGAGGGCCCCTGAAGTGTCCAGAAAAGAGATGTAGACAGGATTATTTGACATGTTTAGGTACACGGGATTGCCAAAATCTTCAATTTAGGTTATATTTTTGTGAATAATGCTAATACATGTTCCAAAATTGTATGGAATTTTAAAAATTCTAATGTCTAAAGTATATGCTATCAGTCACAATTAAGGTTAAGTTATTGTAAACCATGGAGATAACCAAACCTCTTTGTCAATCATGTTTCTAACTGTAACTACCCTGCCCATTTTGGTATTCACAGACAATTGCTGTCTTGTTTTAATCCTTTTTAAAAGATGGTTTATAATAAGCTATAGAACTGTAACAGGTGCTCTCAAATACAATTTCTGATTGTATTTGAGACAATCAGGTTTCCGATAACTTTGGAGATTGTGACATTGGAATAAAGGAAAATGTACAGGACTCATGAAGAGGTGAAATGCTTATGAATACCAAGCAAAACAAGAGTTAACTAAATGGACTGAACTCAGAAAGCTGGAGCAAACTTTTTGACTTTTGCTTGGAATATTGCTGATCCTTGTTTTGTCTTTCAGAATCAAGGAAACTTATTTTGAACTATTTATGGTTTTTAATAATTAAGCAAGGTATAGTCCTATGATCAAAATTTGGAGCATGTTTGTTTCTCTCTGCCTAGTTCCTCCAGAATTTAGAACTTATCTGTGAGTATTCTTAACTTATGGCAATATAATTGTTTGCACTGGTGCAATAAAAATCCATTTTTCTCTTGCAACAGAATGCAAAAGGAAAAACTGAGTATTTTACCAAGGATCTGATTGGAAGCGTATGCTTCCCTTTAGGGAGTCAATCTTGACTTGCAAAGCCAATAAAGCCCAGTGGGGGAAACTGGCCTCCTACCCTTGTCTACAGATTCCCTGAACAGGGTTCCTGGTCTGTGATCAGTAAAATGTCACTTTCTAACAGGTCCAGGAGCTCCAAGTTTATCTTGGGACCTTAAGAGGAGAGGATCACCCAACTCACAGGTATTTTATGATGCAAACCCATGGCTGGGCTCGGCTTTAAAGGTCTTATCTGACATCCTTTGTGGAACAGAGTTCCATCAAAGCCAATCCAAAAGGCCTATGTATAAACAATTATTCTTGCTGCACTTTATGCAAATAATCAGGCCAAATGTAAGACTAAGGCCTATTTTGCAAACCACTCAGTCCTATGGTGATTTTTTTTTTAATTTTTTTAACAAAAATGAGAACTAGAGAGAAAGAAATTATGTTCCAAAATGTACACATTTGTCATTAAATTCTAAACTCACCAGTTGTTTTTAAGTTTTTGCACACATTTTAGACTAACCCTGCTTGTTCCTGTGCTCCAACCAGCAATTTCCAGCAGCAGCTCAAAAAGAACAAGACAGGGCCAGGTGCGGTGGCTCATGCCTGTAATCCCAGCACTTTGGGAGGCTGAGGTGGGCAGATCATGAGGTCAGGAGATTGAGACCATCCTGGCTAACATGGTGAAACCTGGTCTCTACTAAAAATAGAAAAAATTAGCTGGGTGTGGTGGCACGCTCCTGTAGTCCCAGCTACTCAGGAGGCTGAGGCAGGAGAATGGCATGAACCCTGGAGGCGGAGCTTGCAGTGAGCCTAGATCGTGCCACTGCACTCCAGCCTGGGTGACAGAGCAAGACTCTGTCTCAAAAAAAGAACAAGAGGGGATGGGTAATGTAGAAATCCTGATCAATATCCTAGTTCTGAGCAATTATCCTGCAAATCCTGCCAGGTGATGGGAATAAACAGAATTCTCATCACTCAGAGGTTTCCTTTTCAGGAAAGTAAGACCAAGGGAGCTAACCAAAGCCAAGCCCCATGCATAACTAAATCTTCACAAACATAACTACAGCCACCAGTTTTCTGGGTGTGTCACAAGATACCCTTTCCTCTCTCGTTGAAAGAGGACTCAGTTCCACAGTTTCACCTTAGCATTTGGCTTATGATAAGGAGTCCCTCCAATGCCCCCTGAGATACATTTTTGTCCCAGACTCAATTCTAAGCTTCGGGTCAAAGCCCTAGGAAGGAAAACTGGATCTGAAGGATCCAGAGATACATGACAACAGAGGTTAAGAGGCACAATGCAGGCGAGTGTGGCTGATTCTTGCAGATTAAGCCAACCCTAAGCTTCCTGTTTCATGGATAAAGGCCATGTTAATATCCATAGCATAAATGAAGTCTAGGGAACTCCAAGGCTACTGACAGAAGCAGGGAGGCACAGGGGTCATCTGTAGGCATAGGTGAGAATGATAATGCCTATTCTCTAGGCCCTCACTACTTCAGGGGTGCAAGCCGCTTTGGCACTCATGGCAGGACCTGCCAAGGTCACCAGGACTTGGGGATGCAAGGATGGAAAAAGAAAACAGGATGCTCTTCCCTTTCTCCCTAACATACCCTGAGTATCTGCTAGGAAGAGAAGGGAATCAGGGATGCCTGCTCCCTTCTTTCTAGATAGGATGCCATTCATCTTCTGTCTGTACTCCTTTCAAAAGCATCCTGAACCCCTTGGACTCCTTTAAAAAAACAAAAAAACAAACAAAAAAACGCCTTTTTTTCCTTTCTCCTCCTCATCCTCTCTTCACTGATAGGTAATTGTGTCTCCATACTATGGGACACTCCCCTCAGATGCATCCTCCAAACTGGAAATAATTAATTTCCCAAACCTTAAACTGGTTGGCTTAGGATTGGGCTCAGGGGAAGGGAACCCAGAAGCCCAACATGCCAGCAAAAGGGTAAGGTTTTTATTGCCATTCGGGCTTTTGGCTTCCTTCTCCCTGTGCAAACTGGTAAATGGCCTCGGAATTTTTGAGCTGTCCTTACCCTTCCCCTTGTTTCATTTTGATACATGTTTTCTAATAACCTGGTTTGTCTGTTCTTTCCTTCAGGCCATCAAACTCCAGTCATACAACCAGAGCCTGGGACGATGGTCCCTTCTGCTGGGAACACTTAAATAGGCTTCTGAGGGAGATAGATCTGACTGCTGTTTCCCCCAAAGCAGCGCCCCCTGTTGGCAGGAAGCAGTTACGATTGGCCTTCGTCTTTAATGGCAGTTAGATGTTCTTCTTTAGATGGGGGAATGAGACAGCCAGGTGGGAGGGGGTCCCCAGAGAAACTCTGACCAGCCTGTGTACTGGAGTAGAGCCTCAGGAAGTCCGCAGCAAAGAGGAACCTGGACCCTCTTCTTCCTGTGTGGAATCTGGGATTCAAAACGGCCTGGCGGGAAGTGCTCTAGCTGGGACTCTGGCCTTGTGAGAGTCCCTGTTTTCCCCTTTTTTTCCTTTTCACCCAATAAAACCCTGTTTACTCACTATTCAAATTGTCTGTGAGCCTGAATTTTCATGGCTGTGGGACAAAGAACCCCATCTTTAGCTAACCAAGAGGCCAGGGTTACCTGCAGAAGTTGACATCATGGTACACCTGGCCAGCAGTAACTGGGGCCACAAAGGAGAGAGACTGCTGCAATATATGCCACCTAAGTTGGAGAAGACTGGGCATTGTGGGGATTCCTTGGCTTATCCTTCCCCTACACCCCTAATCCCCCACCAGTATCATTTATTGATTGAACCCAGGTGGGACTGGAAACCTGGGAAATGCAGCCTGCAGGGGTCTCATTACTTGCAACACACAAAAGACAAGAGGGAAAGGTAATGCATGGATCTGAGACTGGAGATACTATAGCCTAGCAGAGTGGTTTACTCAGTATCTTATTGAATTTGTGCAACACTCAGTAAAGTCTTATCACCCATTATATACCTGAGGAAACTTAAGCTCATGGAGGTTAAGTGACTTGTGCAAAGTTACAAAGCCCATAAGGGGCAGATGTAGACATTTTACCAAGGTCTATCCTGATCCAAAGCCCGTGCTGCTTCCTCAGCAAAAGGAGCTTGAACATCATAGCTGGGCTTCCTGGTTTGTAAGTTTAGAAAAGCAGCTCCAAGCAGGACTAGCATTCTTCTGGGAAACAAAATAGAAAGACGGTCTATGTGACAGAAACATGCAAGGTTGCAAGAGCTCAGCATCTAGCTGCAGGCTGTGAACCTTTTTATTAAACAAAACAAAGATTCTGGTCTAACTTCTTACATAAATCATCATTGTTCTGCTTAATGGGGCTGCCATAAACCTAATAACCCGAAGGATTTGCAAGCATTTTAATGAAAAATACACTGGTATTTCAGAGGAAAGTAATTGGGCTCAGGGGGACAGAGTTTGGATATAAAGGAGATTTATCCTTGGTAGTCAACAATGAGCTCTGTTACCTGGGAGATGTAACACATTAGCAGAGATGAGTTTATGTGATAAGCTACTGCCAATGAAAAGCAGAGCCTGAAGACAAGTAGAAGGGCACAGGAGAAATGATTTTTATGAAGGATAATAAGAGGTGGTCGGTAAGGGGAAAGGAAGGAAGGTGAGTTGCCTTGCAAAGAGATAAAGTCTGCCCCAAGAATGCTGGATTGACTAAGGAAGTGTATTGGATTTGCAGTTAGAAAGCTGTTAATCTATGACTAATATGTGTGGGTTTAAAAGGTAAAGTAACAAAATTCTTATTCTTTGGTGCTTGTAGAATAGGTATCCACATATTCTAATCTCCATAGCCTGATAGGTTAATAAAACCTCAGTCCATGGTTTTGGTTATTGTCCCTGGAGCCAAGTGAGAGTTTTTTAAATTTCTGATTTATGATTTTTTTGGTACTTTTTGTATTTGTGTTAGCTTTGGAGTTTGTACTGCTTGCTCATTTGTGTTGTAGAGACAAGCTAGGCTCAGAATTCTCCGATGGGCTTTGTTTGGTCTCCTGTAATCTGGTAACAGGCCTAACCCCCACTCCACAGCTGAGACATTGGAGAGCCTTGCTCCTTAGGCACAATGACTGCAGAGATGGGCACACAAAACAAAGCAAATCCATCTGAGGGCTGTCACTGGGATTTTTCAGATTTAAGCAGATTATGAAACTGTTACAATGTAGCACTGTAAACTGTTGCTAGTCACATTACCAGCAGATGGAGACATCCAGTGAGCAGCAGGAGAGAATAAAGGTGATATAAGGGAGACAGGACTGAATGACAATGGTGTTTAAGTTGTGGCTGAAACGTCGAGGTCCCAGATGGTCCACAGTTCATGCAGCTTTGATCCTTTTAACAAGTGCTTCTGTCACTTATAACCCAAGTCCTTAGTTTGTCATGCAGGTGTAATGCTGGTGATTCAAACATAGGGGAAACGTCTTTAAACTCTCCTTTTCCAAATCCATTGCCTGTAGAAATCAAAGCTGCACTCCTTCTCCTCACTTTCCACCTCTTCCACCAAAGACATTAGCTAACTCTTGGGAAGTTTGTGTTATCTTTGCCACTCTAGTGACTGGGACCCAGCCTCTTTACATATTACCTGTATTACACGATGAACAGACCACACAACTGGACAACCTTGTCTGTGGACAGCCTCCATAAAATTCACTCATCCAAGCACACAGGGTTTAGCAGGCCCCACACTGAAGATTTGATGGAGTCCTACAATACAGCCATGCCACATACCACATTGCCTTTTCATTTTCTCCCATTCCCCCATACCTTTTTCTCTCTCATATTTACAGCAGTATTTTTTTCATTAAAAACCCAAGTAGTTTGTTGGGATTGCATTTCTTCCTCTGTGAGTACAATAGCTTGCCCTAATGCCACTCAAAGGGAAAATTAAGGTTAACATGCTCAACTTCATGCTAGGTGCCACTAGTGTAGTACTGAACCATGCCTTTCTTCTGAAAAAATTTATTTTTCTCAGGAATTCTGAAATTTGTTCTTTTGCATTAATTTTATTTAGCATACTCTTGAGTTTTTTCTAAGCTCAAACATTTATTTTATTCTATAAAGTCTTCCTCTATCCTAAAGCTCTCCCTCTTAGAGCCCTCTGTACTTCTGTTCCTAATTGGACTGGTTGCTCTTTAATCCACTACACCACAATCCACATGAGACCCTTTTTACTTTTTATTTGGGCTTACTGTTTTCAGTATTTCACGCGTGTCCCTCTCTTGGTTCATTTTCTCATTTTGTTGGACTATATGCTTATAATGAAGATATTCAACTTTCTGAAAATTTACATGTAGGAAAATTTATTTATTCTGCCCTTACATTAAATTAATAATTTGTTGGACAGAAATTTCTAGATTGGAAATAACTTTAAGACAGAATTTTGAATTTACTATGCCATTATTTTCCACTCTCCAATACATGTGAAAAAACTTGTTGTCAATATGACTCTTAATTCCTTGTAAATGACTTTTTGTCTTTGAACTTTTCAGAATCAGTATTTAATCTTGATATTGTGAAAGTTTATGACACTATCTAGGTGTGGCCTTTGACATAGTTTGGATGTGTGTCCCCTTCAAAGGTGACCTCCAGTGTTGGAGGTTGGCCTAGTGGGAAGTGTTTGGGCCATGGGGGTGGATCTCTTATGAATGGCTTCGTGCCATCCCCGTGATAATGAGTGAGTCCTTACTCTGGTAATTCACACCAAAGCTGTTTGTTTAAAGGAGGCCAGCACCTCCTCCTTTCTCTTGTTCCCTCTCTTGCCATGTGACAAGCCTGTTCCCCCTTCATCTTCTGCCATGAGTAAAAGCTTCTTCATCAGAAGAGCAAATGCTGATGCCACACTTGTACACCCTGCAGAACTGTGAGCCAAATAAACCTCTTTTCTTTATACATTACCCAGTTTCCAGTATTCCTTTACAGTAACACAAAATGGACTAATAAAATCTTTCTGTACTTATTTATGCTGGACTATAGGTGGGTCTTTTTAGCCTGAAGACTCTTCAATTCTGGGAAATTCTTTTCTATAATTGGTTGGCTAATCCTCACCACTACTACCTTCACTACCACAAGTTATTCATTATTGTTTAAAATAAATGGGCAAGCTGCCACTGTTAATTTTCTGTTGTATAGGGTATCTTGGTCTTTCTTCTGACCAGGTCTCTCTTCAGCATAAAAAATTTGACCAGGAACTCCAGTGAGGAAATTCAGGGTATAGCCATTGGTATAATCTCCTTCATTGTAAGCCAATAGAGAACCTATTGTGAAGCTACACATCTGCCCAAAATCTGGGATGAGAAATATTTTTCTTGGAAGCATCACAATCTTTGGAAGCCTTAGTTGTCTCCAGATAATCTTTTTTTTCTTTTTAGTAATAATAATAAAGGCAACACAAGTCACGCCTTGGAGAAGTGCCATCTTCTTGTGATCCATGAATAGGGTAGAGGAAAAAATGGGCGCCCATATACAGGTACAGTTGGCCCATATCAAGTTATTTAATTAATCCCTCTGATTTCAGCCTCATTAGCTTTCCCACCTAACTGAATCTGAGCCCAGAGTTTCCCTGGGGTTCCATTTTGGTAAATTGGCTCCTATCTCTTCAGTGGTCCTCTCCTAGTGTATTACAGCTATTTTTTTCTTGTTTCATCATCAACCGACTTCCAACTTGTCTTTCAGAAATTATTTTGAAAGATTCTTAATTTGCTATCTTTCTATTTATTTTGAGGCTGATCTTCAGGTTTTTACTATCCATTTGTATGATCATTTCATATTTGACTTTTTGTCATAATTGTAGCAAATATACCTTTCTTATACATTGTCTTATTTCAAACAGAATTTAAGGTAGAGATTGCTTTTAAGATACATATACTTAGATAACAAAAATAAACAATGAAATTAAGATGTATTTAAAAGCTTCAATCTATAACACTAATTTAGGAAGCCATATATTCTAGATACCAGGCAATCAGACAGCAGTAATAGACAGAATAATGCCTCCAACAAAGATGTTCACATCCTTATCTCCAGAACCTGTGAATATGTTATATTACATGACAAAGAAACATTAAGGTTGGAGAGGGAATTAAGGTTACTAATCTGATAACTTTAAGATGGAGAGATTACCCTGGATTACCTGTGTGGGCCCAATGCCAGTGTAATCAAAATGGCCCTGAAAAGTAGATGAGGGAAGCAGAAGAATTAGTGTCAGAACAATGATGCAGCATGAAAAAAATCTGACCAGCAATTGCTAACTTTGAAGATGGAAGAGTGCCATGACCCATATAAGCAACTTCTAGAAGCTGCAAAAGGCAAGGAAACAGATCCTCTTCTAGAGCCTCCCAAAGGAATGCTATCATGCCAACACCTTGATTTTAGCCCAATGAGGCCGATTTTGGACTTCTGATCTCCAGAATCTAAGATATTAAATTTGTGTTGTTTAAAGTCATCAAGTTTGTGGTATATTGTTATTTTAGTAATTTGTTACATTTGGAAACTAAGATATCAATAAATATACCAAGTTAAAGAATCTCTCTAGGATTACTACTGAGATTATCATTCTGGAGTCTAGAATGTACAAGACCAGATAGGGAGTACAATTTAGACAATGCTATCTTTTGGCCCATTACTTCATCTGGGTGAAAACAGAATAATGGCATCGACATATAATAGTTTTTATTTTTTAATGTAGTTTTTCAAATACTATTCTTGGAGAAAATTGAGAAAACAATTGCCAGAAGCTTCTCTTTAAGCAACCTTAAGTGTGTATGACAGTGTTGAATTATCTCATTTGTTAAAAGTAACATTTCTAACCCAATCCATGATATTTGGTGTTTGTCATGGACTACTGGAGTTTCTAATTCCACATAAGTTTGAAAAGCTTGCATCACTTGCCTTTAGACTGCTGTCAGACCTAGGATCAATAATTGTTAACCACATTTGGTAGGGGACAGATGGCTTGCACTACTCCTTTCTCTAACTCTACACTGAGTCAATTCTTATGAATCATGATTCCAAAGTCCTGCCAGAAATGCAATGGAAAACACTGGTTAAAGCACTACTGGAGAAGTTCACTCACGTAAAAAAAAATGTCTTCACAACTGTCTCCACAGTAGGCAGACTCAAAAATAGGTCAACAAACTTTCCTGCTTCGTTAATGACTCATCATGGACACCAGGTAGATCAGAGAGCTTAGCCTACTGCTATCTTTGTAAAACAAGATCTTTGGGTAAGTAAACAAGTACTTGTAGCCCGGGATTCAACAAAAGTCAGAATGATACCTTAAGAAAAACACATCAAGGGAGGTTAAAACAAAACAAAACAAGATTTGGAGAAAGGAAAGTAAAAAAAATGAAAGAAACATAGCCTAAAGGAAGATTGCTCATGAACAGGTGAATGGCAGTTTTTCTTCTCTTTGTACCAAGTTATAATAACCCTTTTAGGCCTAATTAGGAATTATCACACAGCTGGGATGAGTCACTCTGTCGGTCAGGGGAAACCATTCAAAAGCATTCATTTGGAAGGAATTCAAAAACTGTGTGCTATGAAAATCACAGTACAGATTATCCTGACCCACCTCACAAAGCACAGGCGAAAATCACCAGCTTCTAAAATCATACAAAAGTTTTCCCATTGATTTGAATATTTTTACTTATTTTCCTAAAACCTCTGTCTCTGAAGATACTGAATACTGACAATTGCAGAAACAGGTAACCAAGCAGCAAAAGAAAAGCAATGACTGAGAAGTACATTTGTGCCCCAAACTCCATTTGCCTAAAATTCTAGAGACTTGGGACACATATGACTTAAGTCATCACCACAATTACCAAAAAGTACATAAACAATTTACTAGCTGTGTGTGCAAAGCAGGTTTTGTTTTGTTTTGTTTTGTTTTTTGAGATGGGAGTCTCGCTCCATCACCCAGGCTGGAGTGCAGCGGTGCGATCTTCTCAGCTCACTGTAAGCTCCGCTTCCCAGGTTCATGCCATTCTGCTGCCTCAGCCTCCCGAGTAGCTGGGACTACAGGCACCCGCCACCATCCAGCATAATTTTTGTATTTTTAGTAGAGACGGGGTTTCACCGTGTTAGCCAGGATGGTCTTGATCTCCTGACCTCGTGATCCACCCGCCTCGGCCTCCCAACAAAGCAGGTTTTAAGTGGCTGAGAGTTCAGCAAAGTCTAGACTGCCTTGGTTCAAATCCAGGTTCTGCCATTTACTATGTAATTCAGACAGATCACTTAACTTCTCTGTGTCCCAGTTTCTTCTTCCGTAAAATAGGGTTGGTATGAAAAAATAGTTAATAAGTGCTAGAACAGTGGCTGGTATATAGTAGCTACTATCTATGTATTAGCTGTAATTGTAATTAAGAAATAGAATTTTGAAATGTCTGTAGCTCTTTGCACATTAAGGCAAAGATTTCAACCTGTCATTTAGATAAATGTGTAAATTTAAGATGCTATTGTCTATTTTATGTTTCAAGATCTCAAGGGTTTTCTGTTTCTGAAAGGAGAATTCTCTGTCCTTACCTTGCAGAAAATTTTCAAAGAAATTTAAAAGGCTGGAACTTTCAACACAAAATGTCCCAAATTAAAGACAATGTATCCCTTCTATAACTTGTTCCTAATCCTGAATGTATGATAAAAGATAAATCTGTACTACATTTTCTTCCTTCTTTTTGCTTATTTGCTACTATTGTCTATTTGTCCTCTTTTTGACAGTAAAGACTATTACCATGTTTCTTGTCTGCATACTTTTACAGATGAACCCTTTTAAGCACCACTTTAATTTCACTACTCTCTAGCCCAAAACTTTCCACAGTTCCCTACTGTCTTCAAGATAAACTCTGAGATCTTTAGCTTGTTTAAGGCTGTACTCAATATAGCCTCAATCTAATGTTCCGACCTTATTTCTTCCTACTCCTTTCTCATAAAGCCAATACTCTATCACAATGGGTTCTCAACTGTGGATGATTTTGCCTCCCAGGGAACATTTGGCAATGTCTGAAGACATTTCCTTGTTACAACTGAGGAAGCATGCTACTGGTTGGTATCTTGTAGGTAGAGGCTGGGATGCCACTAAAGGTCATACAATGTCTAGGACAACCTCTGACAACCAAGAATTATCCAGCCAAAAATGTCAATAAGTGTTGAGTGTGAGAAACCCTGCTCGAGCCAAATGTAATAGCTATTTCACATACCTGCTTAAATTTCCTGCTTCTGTGCTTTATTTTTCCAATGATACTCCTTCTGCCTGGAATTGATATATTCTTCAACATTACTTTATCATCTGTTCATTTATTGAGCATCTATCATATGACAGTCCTTATAAAGGTGAACAAGCCATTCCCTATCCTAAAGAAGCTCAGACTCTCATAGAGCCTATATGACTCTTCTTGTACACGCATGTCCAAGTAGTACCATTTTTTCAAGATTTATAATTACGATTTGAATAATAAGTTATCATTTGAGTGCTAACTCTGTGCTAAACATTGTTCCACGTATGAACTCATTTAATTCTTACATTAATTCTATAGAGCAGGTACAATTATTACCTCCCTTTTACAGATGAGGAAACAAAGAGAAACTACAAAGTCACCCAATCTTATGGTTAGTAAATGGCAAAGCTGGGACTTGAACCTATGCAGTAGCTAGGTGCTCAACCATTGTCACAGTTTACTGCTGTCATCACTAACCCTCGATTACCTAGCTGCTTCATCCTGGCCCGCCTCATCCCTGAAACTTTCAGAATTGTGCTTTCTGCCTTTGACAGTTGCCTTTGGGAGACTCAGCCACTAAGAGCAGCTTACTCCAATAGGGCAGCAACCTGCAGCTCCCCTCAGATGTAGTGCTTTATTGTTACACACTGTGGTGGCCCTTGGAGAGCCTCTGGCTCCAGTATCACCAACTGTCTTTAGCCCCAACACTGGTACCTGCAGGCATGAAGAGAACCATCCCCATACCTCTCAGGCAACAGGAATTCATTCCAGGCTCCTTACCTCACTTCCTCATTGTTGCCCTACTACCAAACCATCTGTCCACACTGCCCTTTACCCTGCTCCACTGGGTAGGTGGGAAAGCCTGACGGCTAAGCAGACATCCAACTAGGAAATAAATGCAGTCCACTCTTCTTAACATCCCCAAACTTTATAAGAATCTCTCAGCATCTCTTTGCAGAAGAAAAATATTCAGGCACTTCCTCTCACCCTCACCAAATGTCAAATTCATCTCAGTCCTCTAAAATCATCTGGAGGGAGTAGGGGTATGAGTGATGTTACCATCACTGTAGGTTCCACTAAACAATGGCCTCTCAGCAAGCCCTGGTGCCTTCAATATCGGGTGGTTACCCAAGTCTACAGGGTAGGGTCCTTAGCAAACTTCTTCTTTCTGTGAGCTTTAATGGTCAATCACAGGGAAAAAAACTCATTTAACACCCAGTATCATGCTGTTACAATTTATTTCTTATCTAACACTTGTATATTCTTTAAGACATTATAAACTCTTCTGAGGAAACCACCATGTACTAAAAATTGGGCACACTATGTAACATATAACTCTCATTCATAATAACTATGAGGAATGTAGCATTGTCTCCATTTTACAGAGTCGGTATTGGGGGAAGTCTGACTCCCTAAATCATGTTAATTTTAGAAAACAAAATTCCTTGAAGATTTGTGTTTACATTTTGATCCTCCTCTGCACTAGCAAAGTTACACGGGAGCATACAGCTGTTAAGAAGTAATGATCATGAGCTGGGCATGGTGGCTCACGCCTGTAATCCCAGCACTTTGGGAGGCTGAGGCAGGCAGATTGCTTGAGCCCAGGAGTTCAAGACCAGCCTGGGCAACATCATGCAATCTGTCTCTATAAAAAATAAAAAAAAAAATTAGCCAGGAGTGGTGGCATGTGCCTGTAGTCCTAGCTACTCAGGAGGCTGAGGTGGGAGGATAGATTGAGCCCTGCAGGTTGAGACTACAGTGAGCCATGAAGCTGTGATTGCACCACTACACCACTGCACTCCAGCCTGGGTGACAGCAAGATCCTGTCTCCCGCTCCGTGCCACTGCCCCCCCCCCCCAAAAAAAAAGAATGAAAGAAAAGAGAAAAAGAAAGAAAGAGTGATCACGGAGAAGGGCCACTTGGTGGAGCAGTTGGAACATACACAGCCTTTACAGATTAAATTCACTGTCTCATATTGGTGCAGTTTATGGTGCCCCAAAACAATTAGAATAGAAACATCAAAGATTGGGCTGGGCGTGGTGGCACATGCCTGTAATCCCAGCACTTTGGGAGGCCGAGGCGGGTGGATCATCTGAGGTCTGGAGTTCAAGACCAGGCTGACCAACATGGAGAAACTGTCTCTACTAAAAATACAAAATTAGCCAGGCGTGGTGTCACACGCCTGTAATCCTTGCTACTCGGGAGGCTGAGGCAGGAGAATTGCTTGAACCCAGGAGGCAGAGGTTGCGATGAGCCGAGATTGCACCATTGCACTCCAGCCTGGGCAACAAGAGTGAAACTCCGTCTCAAAAAAAAAAAAAAAAAGAAACATCAAAGATCACCAATCACTAGTCACTATAACATATAATACTAAAGTTTGAAATATCATGAGAATTACCAAAATATGAGAGACACAAAGTCAGTATATGCTATTGAAAAAATGGTGCCAAAGGACTTGCTTTATGCAAGGTTGCCATAAACCTTCAATTTGTAAAAAATGCAAAATCTGTGAAATGCAATACAAGGAGGAACTGCCTGTATTTTATTATTTTACTTTCTGATGTGTTTTATATAAGGAGCTTAAAACACTTTGAGCTCTCCTTTGACCATGTAACATTTTGCTTTTCCTGTTTACAAAATCTGAAGTCTTTTTTTCTCTTCAAGATGTATAAAATGTGCATACTGAAATCTAACAAAGCGATTCTTCAGCTAAAAAGAAATGTGTAATCAAGGAAGGAACACACACACACACACAAGGAGCCCAGGAGGTCTGAACTGCAGATTATTTTTGTTGTGCATAATTATGAATGTATATACATATATATGTGCATGTGTATATATACATATATACATCCATAATTATGCACAAGAATAATCTGAATACAGTTTCCTCTCACACATAGTGTAATATTGGTAATAAAGCCGACTAGGTAACTATGAGATCTGGCCCTTTTGATGCCCAATCTCCTCTTTCAAACTGCTTCCCCATACTCTGCTCTCTGCTCACATGTCAAGCATCTCTCATTATCTAAGACCTTCACCCACAGTAACAGGAGTATTAGTTTTTCACAGTCATTTTGCCATGTGACACTGATAACAAAGAATTTTCCATGCTAACAATTCTCTCTGCTAACACAAGTATAAACAGATATATTTTGCTCTTTATGTATTAAGGAGGTGATCTGAAAATATCAGCAGTCACATGCATTCTCATTACAGTATTTTCTGTTAGTGATGATATCTTAGATCTTTCCTGGTAGGTGTATGGCAGATGAGTGTCCGGGTTAAGGGAGGGGGAAAACTCTGTCAAGGCAGTAGCTGCCAGCGAGAAGTGGAGAGGAGAGAGGAAAAGGAGGGGGACAGATGAGAGTACAAAGGATGAAGGGGAGGAAGAGAGAGGGAGCAAAGAAGAGAAAGACAAAGAAAATTAGAAGTTCTAGATCATGAGAAACTCGAGTACATGAACATTCCTGCTAATGCTTTTCCCCTGTTCCAAGGCCCTAACAGGCCTCACATCCTTAAATATAATTTGTGATATTTCTCCTGGGCCCACTGCAAGGATTTTCAACTAGACTGTGGACATTTAAGCACTCGTAATTCTTATTATTGGATTAAGTTATTCATTATGGAACATTTATCATTTATGAATGATAAACTCAGAGGTGCTAATTTAAACTATAACATGTTCAGAAAAACTTTAAATATCAAAATGTACTCCAACGCTAAAACCCCTTAGATGGCACATGTCTCATAGGGGTCCTGAAGTCAGTAGATACATTTTTCTAGGATCACTGCAATTTTGGTGAATGCACTCCTAAACAAGATATGTAGAGTGTTTTCTGTGGTTTTCATAGACTGCATGTTAACAAGAACAAAAATGCTGACAGCTTAAAATCATTTCCTATAGACTCACATAGTCTTAGATGAAACGTAAATATCAGAAGAAAATAACAAAAATAAAAATCAAGAAAATGTTTTGTCCAAATAACTCCTCATAATATTATAGGAAAAGTATTTCCTCTGAGAGTTTTTGGCAAGAGAGGGTATCACCACTTTATCTGGTTTCCCTAATAAAATTGTAGGAATAATTTCCCTACCATAAAATTCAAATTTCTTTAAAAATATGTTGTTTCAACAAAGTTGAAGGCAAAAATACTAATACATTTTTAGAAATCCATTCATATTTAGCATGGAAGATGATCTCAGAATCTTTTTCTTAGCTCTTTTCTCATGCTGTTGTTGTTTCCATATGGCTTCATTGAAACAGAATCCACAAGCTACACAACTCACCTATTTAAAGTGTATAATTCAAGGGTTTTTAGTATAATCAGAGTTGTGCAGCCATCACCACAATCAATTTTTGTCACCCCCAAAATAAGCCCTATACCCATTAGCAGTTACTTTCCATTCCTTCCCCACTGTAGCCCATAAGCCTTTGGCAAGCACTAATCTACTTTGTCTCTATAGATGTGCTTTTTTTTTTTTTTTTTCTTAAAGACAGGGTCTCACTTTGATGCCCAGGCTGGAGTGCAGTGGTGCAATCATGGCTCACTTCAGCCTCGACCTCCTGGGCTCAGGTGATCCTCCGACCTCAGTCATGTGCCACCATACCTGGCTAATATTTGTTATTTTTGTGGTAGAAGTGGGGTTTTGCCATGCTGCCCAGGCTGGTCTCTAATGATCTGCCCTCCTCAGCCTCCCCAAGTGCTAGGATTATAGGCATGAGCCACCATGCCCAGCGAGATCTGCCTTTTCATATAAATGGAATCCTACCATCTGTAGCCTATTATGACTGGCTTCTTTCACTTAGCATAATGTTTTCAAGGTTTATCCATGTTGTAGCATCATTTATTGCTATACAATATTCCACTGTATGGATAAGCCACATTTTATTTATTCATTGGTCAGTTGATGGCTGTTTGGTTTGTTTATACTTTTTGGTTACTATAAACATGTGTGTACAGGTTTTTATTACTCTTGGATATATACCTAGGTGAGGAATTACTGGGTTATATGGTAACTGTTAACCTTTTGAAAAACTGCCAGACTCTTACAAAGCAGCTTTCCGTGCTGGCTGCAATCTCAGTTATTTCTCCTCACACCTGATTCCAGCTGGGTTCCTGAGGCACCACTAATGAACTTCCTATTATATCAACCTACGTAGGGGTATGCTTTATGCTTATATTGCCTTGTGCCTCCACTAAGATATCTTCATCCTTCTCTTTTTCCTCTAAGTAGGTGTATATTTGTAGATAAAGGAAAAACACTGAATGCTTATTTACTACTTAGTAAAAGACTTCAGAAGAATAGTTTTTTGAGAGTTCTTCATTTCATAAATTTCAGTGACTGTATTAATTTTGTAGGCCAAACTACATGTTCTTTGTGAAAAACATAGATGGCAGATATGAGAACAATATTTATCCTAATGTCAAGAATATGTTTAATCTTCTTCAATATTCACCTGATATCATTTTTTCCTGCACTATGAGATAGATTCATATTGGATATTTTGGCAAGCATTAAAAGTGAATCTCAAACACTTAAAAAAAAGTCAGTTGCAGAAGTGGAAAAAATTTAAATGGCTTAAAAATGTAATATGTTACAGATTTTTTTTTTCTCCTGTTTGGAGTAAAAAAATTGTAGACTGGGTGCATGGAAAATACTGAAGTCAGAAAATAGAGCTTCAGGATTGAAAGTACATTTACTTTTATCTTCCCTCCCTGGTACCACAGAAACTTCTTCCAAATTTATTTTCATTAATATACATTTTTGAGGAGTTGCTAAACTATTTTAAAGTGAAAAAAAATTCCCCCATTTAAAAAGCACTTGTAACTTATCTATTAAACCCCTATGTGGATTAAAATATCAGTAATTCTCATCCATAGATTCTGATGTAAAAATCTAGAATAAAGTCTCAATGTGCACAGTATAATCATACATTAAAAGAATTTTCCACCACAGAATCAGGCCTCTTCTGAGTACAAGTAACAGAAAATCTGACCTAAACTGACTTAGGGAAAAAGAAAACTTAATGACTCCCATTATCCAAAATTCTAAGAACAGCTGGTTTTAAGAATTGCTTGGTAGGACTAGATTATATTATCAAGGTTCATTTTCTCAGTCTCTTAGTGCCATCCTTTGTTGGCTCCCTATTTTGAGAAGTTCTCACCTTACTGTAGTGACAAATGGGGTTTTGTTTATATCCCTTTATTCTTACATCCAGTGGTAAGCCTTTGTCCCAGAAATCACTGCAAATTCTCACTGTGAATCACTGTTTCTAAATGGGTCAAGTGCCCATTTATGAACCAGTCACTGTGACCAGGGATTCTGCTTTCGCAAAGTACTGACTGGTTTAGCCTTAATAATGTTCTCTATACATGGTACCAAGGACAGAGTCAGTAACACACAAATATATTGGCTTAGAAAGAAATTATGGTATACTTCCAAAATAAGGGGAATGGGTATACTTCCAAGATAAAAGGGAAGGGATGCTGATCCCCATGATATAGGAAACATGCACTAAAATGCCATTGCAACACAAGAAAAAAAAAATTAAAAAGCAGAAATTAAATCAATAAGAAAATTTTGATAAGATTCAATACTTAATCTTTAAACAAATTTAAAAAGCATTATTGAGGCGTTGATGTGCAAAATGGAATGCTTAAGGTATACTTTTTAATAAAATTTAACTTGTGTATATATACACTCACGAACTACCACAATTAAGATAATGAAGATATCTCTTTACCTAAAATGTTTCTCTGCCCATTTATAATCTTTCAAATCCCTCCCGCTCAGGTAATCACTGATCTGTTTTCTATGTGTTTGCACTTTCTAGAACTTTGAGTTGAAGCATACAGTATGTACTCTGGCTTCTTTCACTCAGCATAATTACTTTGCAATTCATCTATGTTGGGTATATTGATACTTTTTATTGCTGAGTAATAATCCATTGCATGGACATAGCACAATGTATTTAGCCCTTCATCTGTAGATGGATATTTGACTTGTTCTGAGGTTTGATTATTATGAATGCTGTTGCTCTGTTCAAATCTTTGAATAGACATATACTTTCATTTTTCTTAGGTAAAAGAATGGGTAAGTGGAATAGCTGGGTCACATGGAAGATCCATGTTTAACATTTTAGAAAACCACTAAACTCTTTTCAAAGGCGATTCTACCATTTTACATTCCAAACAGCAGTGTTTGAGAGCTCCATTTGTTTCATACCTTTGCCAGCATCTGGAATGGTCAGTCTTCAATTAAAGGATTTCAATAGCTATGTAGTGATACCGCATTGTGCTTTCAATCTGCTCATTCCTAGTGACCAATAACGTTGAGTGCCTTTTCACATGCTTACTTGCCATTCATCTTGTATGATGTATCTGTTCAAAATTTTGGCCCAATAAAAAATTTACATATTTGATTATTTTATTATTGAGTTCTGAGGGTTCTTTATACATTCTGGACACTAGTGCTTTATTAAATAGTGATTTGTAAATGTTTTCTCCAAATCTGTGGCTTTTCATTGTCACAACACTGCCTAAGAACGTAATTTCTTAATTTTGATGAAGTATGATTTGTCACTTTTCTTGTTTGGTGTCATATGCAAGAAATCTTTGCCTAACCCAGCCTTACAAAATTTTTCCTTTATGTTATCTGCTAGAAGTTGCACAGTTTCAGGTTTTACATTTAGGTCCATGATCCATTTTAAGTAAATTCTGATATAAGGCTGTGTTAGTTTCCTATGGCCGCTGTAATGAATTTACCACAAATTCGGTGGTAATGCATTCTGTCACAGATCTGAGGCCAGAAGACCAAAATCAAGGTGTCAGCAGGGCCATTCCCCCTCCAGAGGCTCTGAGGGAGAATCTATTCCTTGCTTCTTCCAGCTTCTGGTGGCTGCCAGCATGCTCTAGCACTCCTCGGCTTGTGGCCTTTTAAACACCATCTTCACATAAGCTTCTCCTCTTTGTGTTTGTAATTGCACTCTGCCTCTCTCTTGTAAGGGACACTGCAATTAGATTTAGGGTCCACCCCAGATAATCCAGGATAATTTTTCCATGTAAAGATCCTCATTGTAATCACTTCTGCAAAGACTCTTTATCTTCATAAGGTTATATTTTCATGTTCCAGGGATTGGAACCTGATATCTTCAGGTGGCCACTATTTAGGCTACTACAAAGGCAAAAATGAATACCCAATTGTTTTTGCGCCACTTGTTAAAAATATATCTTTTCTCCATCAAATTATCTCTGCATTTTGAATTGCCTCTTCATTGAAATATCTCTGACTAAAATCAACTGACCATATGTGTCTGAGTCTCCATCTGGACTCTTTATTCTGATCTATGGATCTATTTGTTGAAATTGGTGCCAATACCACATTTTCTTGATTACTGTAGCTTTACTGACCATCTTTATTTTCTTTTCTGTGAATTAACTGTTCATATCTTTTGTCTGCTTTCCTTTTGTATAACTTGTTTGCTTTTTTATTAAATGATAGTTCTTATGTTCTAGATTTTAACATTCATACATTACGCATAAGTCACATATCTTTCCTCAGTCTGTTGCTTTATCTTATACCAAAAGTAGGTCATAAAGAAATTTTACATTTTGTAATGATCAAATTCATCAATCCTTTCGCTTATATTTTTGCCTTCTGGATCTTAAGAAGCCTTCTCAACCTTGAGAATATAGATATTTTCTTCTTGTAAGTATAGGACGATTAAATGTGTGTCTATTTTGTTTACTAATGCAATGATGCTACTCTTTTTACTGCTTCATGATGTATCTTGATATCTAGTTGGGTACCTTTTACCTTGGCTCTTTTTGTGCATTTATTCTTTCTTACCAATTCTAGAAGGCCTTACTTCTCTTTGCTTTATTACTTCTATACTTCCATCATTGGGCTTTTGTTTTTTACCACTCAACTATTATTACTTGTTCAGTAAGACACACTTACTACTAAGAAGTAATTAGAATATTCTTCCAGTAATAATCAGTGATAAGTATCAGTTTTGCCTTCTTATATGACTTGCCACACATAAACTTACCATCTGTTCTTTTCTATAGTTAATAACACAAAATATTAGAAATTCCTGTGTAATGATGGTTTAACTTGTTCTGTACAGTCATTTCCCTTTTATGTAGAAATTTGATGAGTATACTTTATTTAAGAGTATTTTTTTTAACATTGTTAACCATTCCTAATTTCTTGACACTCTGATTCTTTTTTCTAACTCTTCCCATTGGCAACTCCTCTACCTGACTCTTGTGGGTAGTCCCCAAGGTTCTAGCCCTGGTCAGACTTCCTTAGCAGGAAAGCAACCACTCTATGCCACCCTCTCCTCTTTTTTTCCCTAAAAAGAAATTTTATCTGAAAATCATTAAAATGTAGATTGTCTCTTTATCCTTAGTAATATATTATCCTTAATACTGAAAAAATCATGCTAAGGTACATAGTTGATGCTTAAATGTGTTAAAAGAGTGAATATTGTTAATGACTCTTAATATGCAAAACACATAAAATACTACTTTATTACTATCATAAATATTTTATAAATTCCTATTTAAAACATGATAAAAATCAACAAAAATACAAGGTACTATATTCTTAGCACTTGTAGTATATATCTCAATGTTCTAAGTATATGTACCTTAGAACATTGTTTAAATGTTTATGGAATCCCTGAAGCATTTCAGGAAAATAGCTTGAAATCACGGCTCTAGACCTATTCATCTTTTAACGTAGGTCAACATGCGACAATATTTAGGATTAATTATCCTGAGAGCTTTCAATTCAACATTAATCATGCAAAAAAATCACATGCACAAAGAATATTGATTACTAAAATTGGCAATATATACATAGTCATGGTTAATTAAGCACCACATTTTTATTATACATTTTTCTTATGTTCCCTAAGAGGATATTATCTTTGGGGAAAATTTTAGAGAAAATTTAGATCTACTTTCCCATCATAAAGATTTTTAATAATTCACTATTTAAATGGTCTTTTGTTTCATGAAGTTTTACAACAATACTAAAAAGTTCTGGAAATATCACTGTTTTGGTTTTTGGTTACTATACAGTTTTCCATCTCTATGATCTCGTGATGTTTGGTATCTAGTCTCTCTTTCCTAATACGAATAGAGTACTATTAGGACTCCAATTGTCAATACCAGTCCTCAGGACCTTTCCTAACTTTCTACCTAGCACCTCAATACTCTCTAGGAAACTGCAATCTGACAAAGGGTTTAGAACATGTATGCAATCCTCATCTTTTTTCCTCCTCTCTGTCATTCATTCGTTCATTAAAATTTAGTTGAGTCAAATACTTGCCCAGACAGGCAAAAGATATGTTAGGAACAAAGCTTTTCTATCTTATATTTCTTATCTTAATCTTCTGCCTCTTAAATGAAGGTCTTAACTTCCTTATTAAAATATAAAATCCAACTTGAGGTTTATATAAGATACATATCTTGAAATGGTATAAAAAGTAATAAAAATTTCCAGGTACATACATACTAAAACAAACCTGGAAAGGTAAGTTTGAAAAAACAAAATTTGTGGCAAGAAACTATAACATATAAACAGGATTATTTTGTTGAAGTTGTTAGAAAAATAAAGAGAGCCACAAGGATAAATTATAATTTGTCCTTGTGTGGTAAGATTGTTCCATCAATGGCCCCCAATGAGTCATACCATCCGCTGTCAGCTTGTGTAGTCCCCTCATTCTGACTCTAGACTTGGCCATGTGATTTGCTTTGTCCAATGGAACATTAGTAAATATGATAGATGTACAGGATCGATAAGCTCTTGCATATTGGAGCTTGCTCTCTTAAGATGTTTTCTCTACTATGGAAAGAAGATTCGTCTAGTCTACTGGAGGCTGAGAGGCCCTGTACAGCAGAGACAGCCAACTCACTGAATCGTGAAAAATAATAAAAGTCCTTGTTTTAAACCACTGAGTTTTGGTGTGGTTTGTTATGCAGTGATGGATAATGTGAAATCTTATCTCTCTTTGTCTATGTCTGTGGCAGAGCAACTGGCTAAAAGTTACATAAAGCTATACTTAATTTGAAAATAATAATAAAGGTCTCTCAGTAAACTTAAAAAATATTAGACCTGCTGTTCTCTAGCATTTCCTCCTCCATGTAGACTCAGTTATTCAATCCACTTAAATACATATGTACAATACTCAACATTTAACTATTATCCTGTACATCTTATAGGTACAGCCTGTAGCAACTAATCAACGAACAGAGTACACAATAAATATTTTTATTTTTAAACACTGAATTGTACATCTTTCATATAAAACATGAGATTCTAGCCTGTTTTAAAAAATAAGTATACTTGCTAGTACTATCTTCACTCTTTTTTTTTTTCAGAAGCCAATGTTCTCTAAATCTGCAGCTTCATTCCACAGCTTTACAGAATCATAATCTCTTGAATATATTTCCAATGTTATTAAAAAATAAAAAATCATACAAGATATATTTAGCACATTAAAACTTAAGAGGTTACAGTATAACTGTCCAGACCTCCAGGTACCACTGAATACTTTTCCAGTACAAAGAGGCCAATATGTTAGAATAATTAATTCTCTGTATTTACTTTTATTAAAAAGAGGTTTTTGGTAGTAAGAACAAATAATCTCTCATTTGTTGCCTGAAATCCTAAAATAGGATCATTGGTTTCTAGGCTTGCTACTTGCTGCTTAGCAACCTGTCCTACTTGCCTGCCTTCCTTTCTGTTGTAAAGTACAGTGGACATGGGAGCAGGCTGACGATAGATGAATACTCGACGAAGGCACTCACAAAGGGCTGCATACGAGTAATTTGGAGCACAGGCAAAAAATTTTTTGTCTCTCTTTGATGCTTGGACATAGCCTGCCAAGAATATGAGACAAACAAAAGAAAAACTATATATTAAACAGAAGGGGAAAAATGATGATTTAACATTTAATATTTTGCAATGTTTATTACAAATTAAAATGCCCAAGTAAAATATATACCATAAGGTATATAATTCTGAATCATTAACGATTAGCCACAATCAGTCTCTCCCATCTGGTACAAAAATACGACTTTAATTCCTAAGGAACAAAACAGATATGGCTTTCTCGCTTCAAAAAAAGCGTAATATAGCTTCATTTAATTTCCACGAATAATTCGAACACTAAAATTCTAAAATCTAAAACACTCAATACATGACAAAATATCTTTAAGTGCCAATTTAATATTTAGCTTCGTGAGTTACGGATAGGGCATCACAGAACCATTTTTTTCCTCTTAAATAAATTGGAAAATGTGTATAGGATACCATCATAAAGTTATTTTAGTTTTCTGTTCATAATGTATCCCTGAATGTACTAGTATTCGTGATGCATTCTCTTATTATCCCTAAAATGTTAGTGATATTTTTATACATCAATACCAACACTGTAACTGGATTTTTTTGTACTTTTAGCCCCCACAAGTAGAATGTTGATCACTATAACTTCAAAAATAATTTCAAGTCTCTAAACTGAAAAAAATCCTTATCTTAATTCATGTACATGTTTAAAAAGTATCTTTTTGGATTAAAACAACATTTATATTCCAAAATATAAATTATGATTTTTAGATAGTGACATGGTTAGCAAATGTTAGGTATTTATGATCATGTAAAATAAGAATATAACATTAATTAAAATTGAGATCTCATCAAACAATGAATAAGCAAAGGAACTACTGAGCACATGCAGATCAATACTGTTTTTAAAAATATTAAGCAGGTTTGAAGCAGGAAAAGTGAAGATTTAGATACCTATTTAAATAGTTTAAAGTAGCTATCCAGGCTAACCTTGACAGAATAATGTATATAATATTTCAAGAGTACATATCTAATATATGTTGATTTAACTTAGAATTAAGCATAGAATTCCCCTATAATAGGGGATTTGGGGATACAAATAGAACATCTGAGCATCTAAAGATGATATGATAGAGCTTTCTTCTGACCAAAGTATAGATAATTAAAAAATAGCATTATAGTAGGGAGGCTAAAAATTATATGGTTAAATTAGTTAACCAAACTTTGTACTTCAGGTCATAAAAATCCATTTGGAGTCTGAACCAGTTTAGCAGCCTACATTATTAACTATAAGGGATAATTAATAAATTTCTTCTACAATTAGGGTTGTGCACATATAGCCATCAAAATACGTAACTTCACTTCTTGCTGCCTGTTTAAAATAACCTTTCAATAAAGCAACAACTGTGGCTAATTCACATAAAAAATTTCTGTCACACAATACTAATGCATTTTGACAGAAAATCAATGATTGCATACGTCTATAATTAAGTAGTTTAAACATTGTCAAGCCCTAATTTTAAAACTGATTTTTTTCCTTTTATCCTACCAAATAAATTTAATTTCTGCTTATCACCGCTTTCCATAAGTATTTTCATTATAATGGCTCTCTTTTGTACTTAATTTTGACAAAAGATGTCTCCTAATGTGCATTACACCTTAGGGGAATTCTATGATGTTTCTGAAGATTACTCTGAAGAAACTTGAACACCAGTTCCATGTAGGGTATTATCAAGCTCCTTGCTCAGACTCCAGTATTATATGGCTTACAGAATTAGAAAAAGCAAATGACTTATTAGAATAATTCAAGTGGTTAGATAACCACTTTCATTTCTATTCTGTGTTGATCTTCTGTACAAGCATAAAAACAGATTAGTCTAAATGTTCCAACAGTGCTAACACTCACAACTAGTACAAGCAAACAAATCATAGCGCAAATCAATCTAAATGTAATCAGGACAGCTCAAATTAAAAAGAAAAAAAAGAAATGAACTTTAAATGAATGATGACTGTATTTCTGATTTCATGGAAAATGTCAAAGAGTTTGCTTTATACCTAAAGCATTGAAAGTTGCGATGTGCTCCCACATATCATCTTGTTTGCTGGAGTGTGGTTGCCAGAGTAGGGCATCAACATCATGGCGCAAACAGAAGCAGGGCATTTCTTTAGGATCCACTATGACAGAGAAAAGGTACTGGTTGCTTCCAAGATTCACCTAAAAAGTGATTTAAAAAAAAATTTACTCAACAACAAATTAATAATAGCAACAATAACAATGGCAGAAGCTGACAGCCAGCATTAAGTGTCAGCAACTGTTTTATACTTTTTATATACTTAATCTGATTGACTCCTCATAATATCCCTGAGATAAATGTGCTACTGTTATGTTCATTTCAAAGCTGAGGAAAGTGATGCACAAGGCATTTAGGTAACTTGTCGATGGTCAGCCTGGCCATAAGTCATGGAGCTGAAATTTGGACCCAGAGTCTATGTTCTTAATCACCACGTGATATACCACCTCTTAATTGTTAGTAAATAGTTTAAAACACGATATAAAGCAGGGGTCCCCAGTCACTGAGCCGCAGACTGGTACCAGTCAGTGGCCTTTTAGGAACTGGGCCGCACAGCAAGAGATGAGCAGCAGGCAAGGGAGCATTACTGCCTGAGCTCCACCTCCTGTCAGATCAGCAGTGGAATTAGATTCTCACAGGAGGGTGAACACTATTGTGAAATGCACATGCAAGGGATCTAGGCTGTCTGCCTTATGAGAATCTAACTAATACCTGATGATCTGAGGTGGAACAGTTTCATCCTGAAACCATCCACCAAGCCCCCACAGGCCCATGGAAAAACTGTCTTCCACAAAACTGGTCCCTGGTGCCAAAAAGGTTGGGGACTGCTGATATAAAGCACCAATTTTATAAGCAGACTATTTTTAGGCCATAGAATACACACATGAAGTTTACTAATGCTAACTTGTAATAATTACCAAGAACAATGACACTACCAGAATTTATGAGCACACTCTCATAACATTTATAACCAGGCATGTTATAAATACTAATCTTAACAACTCGCAAGGCTATTATTATCTTCATTTAAGGGATGAAAGAACAGGCTTGGAGAGTTTGAGTAACTTGTTCTAGGCTAAAGAGAAATATCACAATGCTGGAATTCACACTCAGATGTTTAAAACTATTTACTTAAACGTACTGCTTAATTAAAGTATCAATGTCAATATGTCAATAATGTCAACATTTGTTATTGTAACACATCAATAATTGTTACTGCAATATTGATGCCTAAAGAAATGCATTTTAATACAAAATCATCAAATTGAAACTCACTGAATTTCATCTACAGCAATACTTTTTCTAAATGAAGACATGTTGTAAGGATAGTCTTCTTTATGAGAAATGTTATTATCAGAGTTGAAAATACGAAACAGAATACCAACAAAAATCACATCAAATGTAGAAAATATAAAATATGCACAGTACTTATAAATATGTAATTGATTCTAGGAGTTTGCAAGCAGACTGGAGAACCGTAAAAGATTGGGTTAAAGTAAGAAGTGGAGACCTGACCTGAATTCAACAGGGAAAGCTGTGAAGTGGCTCTCCAGCAAGGGGACCTATTATTGGTAAAGCTGTGACAACACAGGCTATTGGTCACAGGAGAATACAGTGTCAGAGCAACCCATCTTCTGCTCCCCAGCAATGCCAGGGAAATAGGGCTTTTTCGTAGAGCCAGTGCTTGCTCTCTACAAAATAAGGGGAGAAGGCCAGCACACAGAGACCACAGACTATTTCTTTTCTCTCCTTACTCCCGATGATCAGTGGCTAGATGAGGTTTATTTTCAAAGTCACCACTACCTAACTGGCCTTTTATTATTATGTTTGACAGACCTAACACTGCTTCAGCTCTCTTCCCTGTACTCCAACTCTGATACTCTATTTTTTTTAACCAAGGGCTTTCACAGAAGAAAAATAAACAACAGCTAAAATAAAATACAAGTTGAAACAATATTTTCACAACAATACATCTACTTTCATGAGCCAAGTGCCTAAAGAATGTATTGAATATTATGAGGATTAATATAATTGAATGATCTCTGGTCCATCCATACTTGAAGAGACAGCAGTGAGAAAAGAATAGAGGACCTTGAACCACGAAGTGAAAGGTGACCACCAAGGGAGATCAATCATGAAAATAAGAGGATAAGAATGAAGGTAGGTGCCTTATTATGAGCCCCTCACTCTGACTTAGATGTTTCTTCACTTCAGCAGCCACTTACCTTACGCATATTTCCATTATGGCGACTGTGTCAAGTGTTGTTAATTGTGAAACTAGCAATTTCATACAGCTTGTCTTTGCCATACCTTTGACATAGCATTCTGTTTGGACTCCTTGTATTTTTTTTACCTGATAGATTCCCACTTATCCTCTAAGACTCAATTCAACCATCAGTTGCTCTCAGAATTCCCCCACTCTCGTGGTTATATGAGCTGCTTGAATTCTGAGAACTCCAGCATCATGTATGTTATTCCTATCAAATTATTTATCATATTATATTAGATTATTAATATTTTTACATACCACCTGTGGCAGGATGAATAACGTCCCCCAAAGATGTCCACATCTAAATCCCTTGGAACCTGTGAATAAGTTACCTTATATAGCAAAAGGGACTTTGTAGATGTGGTTAAGTTTAAGGTCCTGGGATGGAGAGATTATCCTGGAATATGTGGGTAGACTCAATGTATTAAGAAGTATTCTTAGGGAGGGAGGAGGGCCACAGACACAGAAGGTGAGATAACAACAAAATCAAGGGGATAGACAGAGTTTAGAAGATGATATACTGCTGGCTTTGAAGACACAGGATGGGCCCGGCCACAAGCCAAGTAATGGAGGCAGCCTCTAGAAGTTAGAAATGGCAAGGAAATGGATTCTCCCCTAGAGCCTCCAGAATGAATGTAGTCCCTACAAACCACTTTAGGACTTCTGACCTCCCAAATTGTAAGAGAATAAGTCTGTGTTGTTTTCAACCACTACACCTGCAGCAATTCGTTGCAGTAATAACAGCAACCTAACATACCACCCATCTCACAACACTAATTCTTCTTAGGAACTAGAAGTCTGCCCTTTTTTCTCCAAATTGTAAAGAAATTTTTTTAAATGAATGTTATGTAAAAAGTGATTATTTCTGTAATATCTTCACCAAGGCTAATCTATCTTTAGATTTGGGAATTATCTATTTTACAGTTAGAATAATTGGCTGAAGATTCTGTAAGGCAAAAATCTCATAATTAGGTTCTTAACCTAACAAGAGGGTGACTAGGGTCAAGAGCTTCTAGACTTAGTACATAGTTCTCTGTGCCTTTTAGTTCTCACTTCCAGAAATGTTAGTTTCTCAGTAATTTCCCTCTATAGCTTTCCACTGTTTGGAAAAAAAAAAAAAAAAAAGGTCCACATTGCCTTAAATGGCATTTTGAAAGCTTTTCGAAACCTGACCCCAGCATACTTTTCAATATTCACTATTACTTTCCTTAAAATATAACATTTAGCAAAACTGGATCACAATTTGCAAAACTGTCTCCCCTATTTCCCCATTCCTTTATTCATGCTTTTTTTTAACCTGTTGCATATCCTGTCCATTATACACTCTATGCCATATGCAAATGGCATCTTCTCCTCCAAGGAAGTTTTCCCTAATTCTAATAAAAAGAAATTGTGTATTGCAACTAATTATTTATACTTTTCCTATAGAGTTTGTCTCTTCATTTCACTTATATGCTCTTTGAGGGTGATAGCTATGACTTTGGGTAGGATATTTAAACCATTTTATTCCCCTTATAAATATGGTAACTACTACTCACTTCACAATTGTTATGATGAGTAAACAATATATTTCAAAGCTTAGAAAGAACTTAATAAGTGTTCATGTTGATTATTACCTGTCTAGGAAAGCCCTTAATAAGTATTAATGTTAATTATTACCCTTCCAGCATTCTTAAAACATTTTGTTTTGTATATTAATGGCATTTCAAATTTTAAGAATGAGATGAGTAACACTGACAGAAAAGCATAGCAGCTTTCAAGTAATCTTCCCGTAGCTCACAGCTACAGCTCTTATACAATTTTATGTCTCAGAAATGTGTAAATAGCTATAAAAATAACATACACTTATTCTGTCTTAATCCCAGCATATTTGAGACAAATTTCTATACTCTTGTACCATTTCAAAAATGAGAAATACAGAATTCATTGTTCTACTTGTCATTTTGTCATATAAATTCTATTTTTATCAGTGGTTACAAATGTATGCTTATTGCTTTCAATTTTATATATTCCTGTAATGCATATATTCCTCAGTAAATGGATCTGCCCCTGAAAAGGGACAAAGTCATGTTTCAAATAAGATTTGGATTTTTAACATATACTCAAAACCAAGTACCTTAAAGTTTAAAATCCAAAGTAAACAAACTAGTCAATTTTTTGATGGCAGTAACTACATATAATTTACGGAGAGACATAAGAATCCCATTAAAAAATGAGATATATAAAGAATTGTTGAATTCTTTTTTTTTTTTTTTTGAGATGGGGTCTCACTCTGTCACCCAGGCTGGTGTCCAGTGGCACATTCATGGCTCACAGCAGCCTTGACCTCCTGGGCTCAAGCAATCCTCCAACCCCAGCCTCCTGAGTAGCTGGGACGACAAGCACACACTGCCATGCCTGGGGAATTTTTTTATTTTTTGTAGAGATGAGGGGTCTCACTATGTTGCCCAGGCTGGTCTTGAACTCAACTCAAGCAATCCTCCTGCCTCAGCCTCCCAAAGTGCTAGGATTACAGGTGTGAGCCACTGGTGCCTGGCAAGAATTGTTGAATTCTTTACTTCTTTCTGTATGTAGTAAGAGACTATGTGATACTCATTTTACTTATTAAATAAATTCTAGCTTCCCTATTTTTTACTTCAAAACTAAGTATTTCATACAGCTAAATAAAATAAAGATTTTGCCACTGCCAGATGTTTGCTACTTCTTAGGTTGGCCAGATGCCACAAAAGGAAAACAATTCAAAGATTCCAAACTAAGAGTGGATAAAGAAACTGAACATGAGCATTATTTTAAGATAATGCCTAAAAGGTGTTTGGCTTCATTTTTTTCATGGTGGTATTAGAATCTCTTGATAGCTGTTTATGCCTTTCACTATTATTTCCTGCCTCACTGCCTACCTGGGACTCCCAGCATTATGCTTAACAGGAGTAATGCGAGCAGACATCTTGGCCTGTTCCCAGTTGTAGCAGAAGCCTTCAGTCTTTTACCATGAAGTATGGTGTTAACTCTAGGGTTTCTGATGAGGCAGTTTCTTTCAATTCCTAGTTTGCTCAGCATTTTTATCATCAACGAATGGTATTTTTTTTTCATATTCTTTTTCTGCAACTACTAGGATGATCAAATATTTTTCTTTAGTCTGTTGATATGGTGAATTATACTGATTGATGATATTTGAATAACAAAATCAGCTCTGAGTTCCCAGAATAAACCCTACTTGGTCATAATGTAATTTTCCTTTTTACTTATTGATGGATTTCATTTACTAATATTTTGTTAAGAATTTTTGTGTCTGTATTCATGGAGGATACTAGTTTTTTCCTTCCTGTTTTCTCATCTTTTAATGTCTTTGGTATCAGGGTAATGCTAGCCTCATAAAGTAAGTTGGAAAGTGTTCCTTTCTCTTCAACTTTCTAGAAGTTTGTAGAGAATTGGTATTGTTTCTTCATTTGGTAAAATAAACCAGTGAAGCCATCTGCGGCTGGAGATTTCTTTGTTGGAAAGTTTTTAAAAATGAATTTAATCTTCTTCAACAGATATAACTAATAAGGTCTCATCTATTTCTTTTTTTTTTTTTCTTTTTTTTTTGGAGAGAGTCTCGCTCTGTCGCCCAGGCTGGAGTGCAGTGACACAGTCTCGGCTCACTGCAACCTCTGCCTCCCAGGATCAAGCAATTCTCTGCCTCAGTCTCTCGAGTAGCGGGGATTACAGGTACCCACCACCACGCCTGGTTAATTTTTGTATTTTTAGTAGAGACGGGGTTTCACCATCTTGGCCAGGCTGGTCTTGAACTCCTGACTTCGTGATCCACCCGCCTCAGCCTCCTAAAGTGCTGGGATTACAGGCATGAGCCACCGTGTCTGGCCAGGTCTCATCTATTTCTTAAGTGAACTTTAGTAATTTTGCAGCTTAAAAAATTTGTTCCATATAAATTGTCAAATACATGGAAATATAGTTGTGCATAAGACTTCATTGGTTACACTTTAGTGTCTTTAGGATCTCCATTGACATCCTAAGTGCTATTCCTGATGTTGATACTTTGTGTTTTCTTTTTCCTCAGTCTGGCTAGAGACTTACCAATCTTGATCTTTTCAGAGGACTAGCTTTTAGTTTATTAGTTTTCTCTATTATTTCCTTCTTTCAATTTAACTGGTTCCCACTTTTATCCTTACAGTGTTCTTCCTTCTGCTTGCTTTAGATTTAGTTTGCTCTTCTTTTCCTAGTTTCTTAATGTGAAAGCTTAAAGTACTAAATTGGGGCACTTTTTTCTTTTCTAGTATAACATGTAATGCTGTAAATATCCCCCTAAGCTTTAGCTGTATTCCACGTGTGCCATGTTTCATCTTCGTTCAATACAAAATATGTTTTAACTTTCCTTTTGAGTTCCACTATAATTCATAGGTTACTCAGTTTTGCTCGAGTACTTTCCTCAATGGTATTGTTCCATCCCAAGCTTTAGGCCTTCACTGTGCATGTTCACCTCAGAGTCTATGCTCTTGCTTCCTCTCTAGTGGTAGGCTGTGGTTACTTGTTGCTTGATGTGCTTCCTAGCCTGATGGTGAGGGGGATGTGGGTTGGGGAGTCAAGGAAAAGCATTCTCTACTGTCTGGTTCAGCCTCAGTACTCTGTGACCTCAGTTTCAGGTTTTGAGGTTTTTCAGAGATACTGCCCTCCTCCAGTGGTAGGAGACTTCTAATAACCTGGATGATTTTCTGCCCCTCAAGGCATAGAGATGGTGTTTTGAGGTTTTTCTTTATCTTTTCCTCTAGCTGCAATGGGTCTTCTTCTGAACCCTTGGCAAGCTAAGATTTGACACTCTTCCCTCAGCAGCTTAGGCTGCTGATACTTAAAAAAAAACAGTGCAGGCAAGACTTCATACTTTTCCCACAGCAGAGAACACACCCCTTTAATCCAATTCTGAACCAGGACATCTTCTAATGTCCTGCCCTCGCCAAGGTCCATAAAGAAGATCCTTTAAGTGTGAGCAACTTCCCTTGTGTCTGTGAATGCTAGGTGACAGTTACGGGTCACACCACGTCTTTAGCAATCTGTTAGTTGAATCCTTCTTACCCACTTACATGGCAGTCCTCCTGTCTCCCTCCAATGTTCAGGTGAACCAGTGTCCCTATCTCATCTCTTCTTGACATACTTTTCCTTAGATTTTAAGCTGTTGGCTGCCCTGTAAGCTCAGCTTTCTGATGAGTCTTTAAAAAGTTATGATTCCATAAATAATCCAGCATTATTTTATTACAATGGGCGTGACAATCTTTCCAACTTTCTACATTTTAGGCAAAAGCAGGAATTTCCTTGATCACTATTTATTAACTTGCCTAAAAAGCTTAGGATTTCAACTTATAATCAACAGACCAGTGACAATTCAATATCTACAAGAGGTTCCAAATATACAAGTAGCCAACCCATGTACTATAGGAACCCACTTCCCTGGCTTCTGCTAACAGAATCAAGGGTTGGCATCTAATCCAAAGTTAACCGTCTTTAATCTATTGATTTATAAAATGGTTATGATGAAGTGTTTTCTCGAACAGATGCTTCCCATACTGAATGGTGGTTAGCCAAAACAATAAAGTCCTCTTGTTCAGGAAGTTTAAATACCAAAAAATAAACAATTCAAGCTAAGAAGAGAGGCAGAAGACATAGCTAGAGAGTACAGTAAGCAGAAACCATAAGATGTAGAAAGGAAAGGAGTGATCAATAAGTAGAAGTATGCTCAGCAGAAGCAAATACAGAAGATGGCAATGTGATCATAATAGCACAGAACTGACTTAGAGAACAAGTTGATTATCAAGAGGCAAATAGATCGCCTGGTCATCAGAACTTGTGCTATTTTCTAAACAATGTTCCACGTTTCCTTTAGGCCTGACTTGCCAGTGAATTTGTTTCCAAAATGACCTTAGTTATCCATGAGATCTAAAGAGATTGTTTCCACTGTTCCTCACAGGCTCCATATATGCTCACATCATGACTTGAGATAACCAAAGGTTTTCTCTGTTGCCTGCAACCTCTAAAAGTTTAGGTAACAGGATTTCTTCCAAAACGATTGTACTTCCAGTACCATTGTACTTTGCTCTTTCTTCCAAAAGCAAAGTACAATTAAAATTAAAAAGTAAAGTGACTAAAATAACTAGTTTTGCTAAGTGAATTAAAATGAAGTGTGATAAAAAGCACGATTAAAGTATACTTACTGTATAATCCTATAGACACAGAAAATATCAATATGAGAAAAAGAAAAAATATATGAATAACAAAAGGATATTGCATCATAATTTGAAGTGGAAAACAGGGGAAGTAAAACATTATCCATTATCTAGCATGGGCCATTACCTGGAAGAAAAAAGTACAAGATGTTCAGAAGGTTCCTGAGTCAAGAACAGGTGCCACAAAACCCATTTTTCACTAGAGAACTATTTATTCTGACTGTGAACAAAATTCCATCGAGTTTACAACTTGGTAGCCAAGAGCAAAACAGGAAATAAGAAAGAGAAGGACTGTGGCTTTGGGTACATGCACTGCCAGAGGTGAGATGAAGCAGCCAATAGCTTATGAGCAGTGGAAACAAACACAAAAGACATTTTTTTAAATGAAGTAGGCAAAGACTCCCATTTAATTCAAATACCTTTAATGGTAATTACCTAGAAATACAAAGTATGGTAATTAATGTTCATTCTGATGATATGTAACCATCAACAAAATGTTACTTTCTCTTCAGAATGCTTTATGTAAGATGTTGGGCAAATAATACATTTTAGTAAGATTCCAAGGGGGAAAAGAAGGCTTTAAATATTTTTGGTATTTGAATGGAAAAAATTAACTTATTTAGGCAATTTACTCATTTGGAAAATTCATTCCTTGTTAATACCAACTAAATATCTTACTGCATAAAAACCAACTCTAAACTCCATAAATCCTTTGGGCAATAAAATATACTTCCACATTTCTTATCTTATGTTTACTCTAGAAAAGGTTATATTTACCTTTGAATTACCTTTGTAGTCTTTGAATGAAGACTACAATTAGAGTAAAATATTCTCTAGGGAAAATTTGGCATGCATTTCAAATAGTCAATTAATTGTCTTATTCTCTGTAGAACACTTAGCAATTAAAGACTACTGAAGATTAAATGTCAAAGTGAAGACATTTAGACAACTTTTAATCACTTCTAATACCAAATTAAATTTAAAAATAATATTAATAAAAAGGTTTTATCTACTCAGAAGGTATGTATTGGGATGCCAGATTGAAACTTTAATTCCAAATTCATATTCTGTACACAGAATAAATTGTAAAAATTATTTACTGTGTTCTTACTATGCATCAAGTATTTAGCTGATCTGTATTTACTACCTTATTTAACCTTTGCTAACTGAGAATTAAGAATATGATCCCATTTAAAAGAGGAAACTCAAACTTGGTAAGTTCAGAGATTTAAGTCAAGAAGCTAACAACTGGTAGCTAGAATTTAAATTCAGATATATTTCCAAACTCATGTTCTTTACCACCACCTGCATGTTCTCCCAAAGTCCATTTTATAGCGACTATTAACCACCAGAATGTGTCCCTGGCTAGACACTAGTTCAGATACAGTAATTCACATACTATAAATATGCTTATAATCTAGTTTTGTCAGTTAAGTTGTATAGATAAGTTGTTCATCTATTTTGTATATAAAATTGATGTCTAAAAAATATGGAAAAGAAGTAAATCCTGGGTTGCATTTTTTGGTTTGAACACCCATTAAATTACCTATATACTTAAATATCTCTTTACCTTGACTAGAGACTGAAGCATAGGAAGATGTCAGATCTTAGCTAAGTGGTATAAAATACAACTGGTGGAAATGCACTTAAATTTCTACTTTAAAAAGCCACATAACTATTACTTAGAAATATTTTTTAAAACTGATACTTTTTTTTCATTTTTTGAAAATTATCAAATTAGGTCTTAACTATGATGTATCATAACATTTTACTGACTATTCCAGTGGAGGATACATATAAATGTTACCAGATAAAATAAATACACAGATACATATCAGAAAATAGAAAGTTCCACACAGAAAAAAAAAAAAAAGAAAAAAGCACGTGAGAAGATGGATAATGTGGTTATGTTTTAATAGGGGACAAAAGACAACATGAACAGAGGTAAATAAAGAGAATAAGAGGAATAAAGTAAGGAAACAGTGAGAAAAGGTAGAACATTTCAGGCAGAGATAATAACAAATGCAAAGACTCTAAGGGAACAGCATGTTTCAGCAGGTTTGAAGAACAGCATAATGGCCAGTGCAGCTAAAGAAAAGTGAACTAGTTGCCGGGTGCTGTGACTCACACCTGTTATCCCAGCAATTGGGAGGCTGAAGTGGAAAGATTACTTGAAAGTTCAGGAGTCTGATACCTGCTTGGGCAACACAGTGAGATCCCACAACTACAAAAAATCCAAAAATTAGCTAGGCGTGTTGGGATGCACCTGTGGTCCCAGCTACTCAAGAGGCTGGAAGTGGGAAGACTGCTTGATCCTGGGAGGTCTAGGCTGCAGTGAGCATGCACTTCAGCCTTGGTGACAGAGCGATACCCGTCTCAAAACACAAAGCAAAACACAACCCAGAAAACTGAACTAGGAAAAAATGGTGAAAAATAAGATAATCAGGACTGGATGGCAGTGTTCTTTTAAACTATGTCTCCACATTGGTAGCAAAATCAAGTTAGAAGATCAAGAACAGGATTTTCTATTTTATTTCATTAAAATACCACAGAAGAATATTAGAGTACATCTCATACAATAAGGATAGTACTGTTTTGTGAAACTTTTGCATCAGATGTGTGTGTGCATGTGTTGAGTCTCAAACACGTATCACCTACAGTGAGTTGCAGAAACTTGGAAGGTTCTTTGTAGACCATGGTAAGGACACTGAAAATTATTCTAAATGTAACACATAGGAAGCCTACTATAGGGAGAACAGGAATAGAGAAATGACATAATCTACTAAATCCTTTAAAAAGATTACTTTGATCTTCACACAAAGTACTTATTAATTCAAAATGAAAGATAACTTTAGATTACAGAAACCTGCTAGACATCACATAATGAAATATCGCACCACAAGAAAAGGAAAAAATGACACCAAGTTCCTCTTAATGTGATGCACTGCAAGGGAAACATCTTTTATGTAGTATTCCTGGCAAAAAAAAAATGCAACATCTGAACCCGATGAGGATATACAATCTAATTAAAAGATAATCTATAAAAAAAGTACAAAATAAAGTTAAAAATGTTGGTTAACTTGCTATTCCAAATTACAGGAGATTAAAGAGACACCATAACTAAGCACTTAAAAATTCAACACCTCTTCATGATAAAGAAAAAAAAAACTCAGCAAACTAGGTAAACATGACTTCTACTTAAATAAAAACTCTAGAACTAATGTCATATTTAATGGTAAACCACTCAATCTTTCTTCCTAAGATTAGGAACAGGACAAGAATTCCTATTCTCATCACTGATATCTGCATTGCATCTAATATCCTAGCTAGTACAATAAGGTAAGAAAAAGAAATAAAACGTATGCAGATTGGAAAAGAAGAAGTTAAACTGTCTTTATTCACAGATACTACCCTGTACACTGAAATCTTGGAGTATCTACAATAAAGTAACTGGAAAGAGATAATTTATCGAAGTTACAATATAAAGTCAAGTAACACTGTTGCTACATAATACACAAAATAAATTGGGAATTAAAAAATACTAATTATATTAGAATTCCAAAATACAAAATATCGGGATTAAATATAACACTGACAACTTCAAAAGGCTGCTAGGACACATTAAGGAAAACCTAAATAAATGAAGAGACAATGTTTATGGATCAGAAGATTCAATATCATTAAAGTATCAATTCTCCTCAAGTTGACCTGCAGATCCAACACAATTCCAATTAAAAGCCCCATAGCCATTTTTGTGCAAATTAAAAAGCTGATTGTAAAGTTTTTACAAGAACCAAACCTATTTAGGAAAAAAAAATCAAGACTAACACCATCTGAACGGAAACTCCCTGTAACGCGACAGTAATCAAGCCAGTATAGTACTGTCTAAAGAAGGAATCAGCAAACTTAAGGGGTCAGACAGTAAATATTTCAGGCCTAAAGGTCATACAGTCTTTGTTAAAATTATTAAACTCTGTTGTTGTAGTTTGTAAGTAGCCATAGATAGCATATAAATACATGTCTATGACTGAGTTCTAATAAAACTTTATTTATAAAAACAGGTACCTGGCCCACTGAGTCTTGCAGATAATGAATCATTTGTCAAACACATGTATTACAAATTCATTCCCCTCTCTGTAGGTTTTTGTTTTACTCTCATAATGACATATTTTTGAAAAATAGATGTTAATTTTGATCCAATTGATCACTTTCTTTTTTTGGAGTTAGTGTTTTTACATGTCCTAGTCAAGTAATCTTTGCCTAATCCAAGGCCACAAAGATGACTTTGTGTTTCCCTCTAAAAGTTTTATTAGTTTACTTCATGTTTATCATCATAGTTTATTATTTCATATGCAGCCCATCTGTAACTGATTTTTGCATATGGTATGATGTAAAAGTCAAAATAATTTTTTTTCTTACAGATATCTAACAGACCCAGTGCCATTTGTTGAAAAGACCATCCTTTTCCCACTGCACTGCTATGTCACCCTTGTCACAAATAAGGTCATTGTATTCATGTGTCAGGTTTATTATTTATATTACTGTCAAACCCACAAAATGCATAGCAAATGATAATAATAATAAACAAACTGCATTTATTATCAACTATCTATCAATCCCTCCAGCCAGGAACATAGACTTCATCTCATCTAGTGTGTGAGGGGCAGTCTCCCTAGGAAAAGGTTGGCGAAGAAAGAAAAGCTATATTTGATAAAAATTCTTCCAACTGGGATAGTAATTTATGATAGCTGCTAAAAATGGCTTTGCCCTTTAAGATTCTAGAAGGAAAATAATTAAATATCCTAGCTAAAACAACAGCTTCTAGGAAGAGTATATTCCTGGAGAAAGGCTCAGTATATATGAACACAGATTCTAAGAAAAAAAAAGTATCAGTTAAGCATTTCATTACTATCCCAAGGAAAGGACTGAATTCTACTGCACTGAAGGCTTGACACTGTACAGAATTTTAAGAATCAAAAAATATAAGATTTGCAACTAAAAGTATATCTTTTCAGAGGAGAATGAAAGGCAAAAAAGGAATTAAAGACTTCTGCACATAAGTCCATCATAGGTAATAATAATTGGCAACCAATAATTAACAACATTATTCAATATACTCTCACAATCCCGAAAGAAACTAAAATGTCTCCAATAAAACCACACTCATATTGAGGTCAGCATTACTGTGATACCTGAACTTTAAGCTGCTGGGAGACAATTTTCCTAAATACTCACATTTTCTGCATATCTTTGAAGCAGAGGCACTAAATATAAGTCCTTAATTCTCAACTACTATTTCAAGGATGTTTGTAAAGCAAATAACGCAAATAACCTAGGAAGATATAGCATCTCTTTCCAAAGCAAAAGGCAGATTTGTTTAAAGTCCAGTAGAATAATGTTTCTTCTAAACAAAGTACAGGAAGGCTTACTGGCCATCTCCACATTTCCCCGTGGAAACTGAGGATCAGGGAACTGGTCCAAATGCTGATACTCTGGGTTAATGCTATTGCTGTCAGTAATAAACTATCCTTTGTGTCTGACACAGGAGTTTCATGTCTTTTTACCAGCATCTATGAAACTGTGATAGGCTAACTTGTTAGCTTGCAAGTAGGCTAAAAATCTCAGACCCACTGTCATTATGGATAAGAAGATGGAATGCTGACAGAGAAAGGGCTCCCTGGAGGAGAAAAATGAGAGCCTTACAGGTTGATTAACAAGGTTAGAGGTGTGTCTATGGGATTATCTGGTTAATCAGGCAATAAATGCCCTCCACTTCACTGCCTATTAATGAGGAGCTGAAAAGGCAGGTTGAGTACTGGGAAGATGGTTGACAGCTGCCTGAATAATGCCCTGGCTGTTGCTAACTCTCTTCCAGAAGAAAGTATCTTCTCACTGATTTGGTGGTAGTACTTTAATTAAAGCATAATGTGCTTTAATTTCTGTTTTGCTAGAAACTAAATATCACCATCTGTTTTTTAAAGATTTTCATGATAAGTTTCACTTTCTCAAAAACAGGAGCAACACAAATTTACCTTATTTAATAAGTTTCTTCTGGGCAAATCAAGTACTTGCTAATTCATACTTTTAACAGCTTACTATTCAAAAGATTTTTTCATATACTAAAAGTAAACCTCAAAGAGTCACACAGAAGATTAGGACACAATAAAAATATCAAAAAACAGTATGAATATTTACCAGATTTTTATGAGGGCAATAATCTTCTAAGTGCAAGAAGGCAAATATATAAACATTACTCAAATACATAAACACTTAAAGCTGTCATTAAAGTGAGAAAAAATAAGCAATATTAACCAAAAACAGCCAAAGGGAAATGTCTGCAACAATTATGACCCAAAATCAAATCATATGCTATTTTTTCCTTTTATTCGAGAGAAGGTCTCACTCTGTTGTAGGTTGCCTAGGCTGGAGTGTAGGCACCATTATAGCTCACTGGAACTTCCAACTCTTGGGCTCAAGAGATCTTCGGGCCTCAGGCCCCTGAGTAGCTAGGACTAGATGTGTGCACCACCACACCTGGCAAATTTTTTTGTATACACAAGAGGTGGGGGTGGAGTCTCGCTATGTTGCCTAGGCTGGTCCTGACCTCCTGGCCTCAAGTGATCCTCCAGCCTTGGCTCCCTAAAGTCTGGGATTATCGGCATGAGCCACTGCGCCTGGCCCATATGCTAGTCAAAAAGCTAAAAAATAGATAATAGGTACAACAGGAGCAAACAGAATTTAAAACAAGCATACAGAAATCAAATGCAATATGAGCCAAAGAAACTCAATGTATAATTCACATATCTCAGATATCAATTCATAACCATTAAGATGGAAATAGTATTAAGTAGTATTGCTACGCATACACACATGCACACGTCTCTTTGAGACTCTATACTCTGGCCTTGCCAGATTTGTGCTGATTCTGAATCTCAAAAGAACCATCATCTCTGGGATATCACATAAATTGCAATATTTGCTTGATACAACTCTCTTTCCTCACTTTCCTACACTATAATTATTGTTATAAATATTTATTTACATGCTTGTTCCCCACATGACTGTATGTTTTAAAAGTAGAGACTGTCTTGATTACCAACAAGTCTTCGAAATTGAATGTAAGCACCATATACATTTATTTGCTCAATGTTGGCATGGTTACATTAAAAGTGGTGACAGGTAACTTCTGCAATATTTGTAGAACACTTTAATCCAAGGCCAAGACTCTAAGATAATTTAAGAAATACATGTAGGGGGGTATTTTAAATGATTATATTTGTAATTTTTAAAAATCTAGGGGAAACATATTCATTAGATAACTGATTAAATTATAGTATAAGCCTATATGACAGCATGCAATATATTAGTATAAAATGCTCATGGCAATATTAATTTTTAAAACAGTAGGCTACAAATTGAACCTACAGTATTGTTATAGACATAAAAATTACACAAGGACTACAAGGTGAAAGTTTCAAAAAGGTTAACATTAGCACTGCTAGGTCAAGAAAATGAAAAATCCACACTAGAATGAATAAATTACATATATATACATGATGAAAACTATGTAAGAGTCAAAACGAATGAAACTCAACTATACATGACAATGTGGTTGACTCTCACAAACTTAAAGAAAAAAAGTCACAAAAGAATACTCCAGATTATGATTCCATTCATAGAGTTCAAGAACATGAAATTAACCTATTATTAAGAGGTAAATGTGATAAGGGCTGTTAAACATATAAGTAATAAATACTAACAATGAAATATTAGACATTTAGGACTGCTTTCTTGGGCAAGAGGAAAAAGGCGTAAGGAGATATAAGTAGTTAAGAGATGAGATCTAGAAAACATAAAACACAAAAACATTGATTCATTGTTTATTTTCATTTACATTAATGCTATTTAAACAATATATATTTTTAATAAAAGACTTCTACTTAAACTTTATTAAAATGATGACTTCATACCATCATAATTTGCCCGGTTTAATTATTTTTCTAAATGTAAATTTTCTTCAAGTAGGACTCATAGGCCCTCAGGACTCACAGGGCCTCACTATGTACTAGTAAGGGCTAGTACACACCATAAAGAAGTATAATATATACCTATACATACACATCTGTACTAGTACACATACACACACAGGTATGGAGCACTGCATTACATGGTGTTATGAACAGCAATTACTGTTGCAACAAAAAAAAACGTCTTTCAGTTATCAAACTACAAGGGCAAGAAAAGACTACTCACTTCAGCCACTCTCTATGGGCTAAAGGAATCTACCAAGAAAAAGAAAATTTAAATACTTGTATATGTGGTTTTACTTCGTATTGTTTTAAGTTAATTCTACATTTCTCTTTAACTTCTGTATGTTTTGAAAGCGGAGATACTGACTGCTCTTTACTCTCTAATACCTTTCCAAATGTTAATGCCCCCAGTGGACAGACAAAATGGACTCCCATGGCTGAAGTGCTCAAAGTTAAAACAGAAGCAGGCAGCCAAGGCTGGGTGAGGAAGTGGTCACCTATTGTGTTCTCAGAAAGCTGTTGTAAAAGTATGACAGGACTTCCTTTTCTACAGCCAAGTCAAACCAGTTCCTATTGTTGGTGCCAAAATAAACAGCAGCCAGAATCCCCTCACCCATCACTCACCATTTGAAAGAAACACTTGACAGAGACTTCTGGTTTTATGCTTGAAAACCAACCAGTCAGAGCTCACCTGCCCTGGTCAATCAGGGCTCAGCTGTGGTTATTCAGCTCAAACTATGGTTATTCAGAATTGGGTATTTGGCAAACATTCTTCCAAAGTAAATCAATCAATCATGGCTCAACTATATTGACCAAGGGGCTCAGCTGTGCTGATCGATCAGAACTAAGCTGTAATTCATTCATTTGCATAAACGGATCTGCTTGGGAACCTGGGCAGGAACTGTTGCTATAAAACCTGAATGTGGCCGGGTGTGGTAGCTCACGCCCGTAATCCTAGCACTTTGGGAGACCAAGGTGGGTGAATAACGAGGTCATGAGTTTGGGACCAGCCTGGCCAACATGGTGAAACCTTGTCCCTACTAAAAATATAAAAAATTAGCTGGGTCTAATGGCGGGCACCTGTAATCCCAGCTACTCAGGAGGCTGAGGCAGGAGAATCGCTTGAACCTGGGAGGCAAAGGTTGCAGTGAGCCGAGATCGTGCCAATGCAGTCCAGCTCGGGGGACAGAGTGAGACTCTGTCTCAAAAAAAAAAAAAAAAAAAAAAAAACCCTGAACCCTCTCTTTGTTCTCTAGAACGCACCTTCATTTTACACTGAAGGCTGCCTAAGGCTACATCTCCTCAGTCTGTAAACTGTTCACTGGAATAAAGTCTCTTTCCTCCAAATTCCTTCTCAAAGAACTTTGTTCACACAGGGATGTTTGCATAATGAACAACCTTAGAAGATAGAGTGCCTCCCTCCAGTACTATGGGCAAAATGTTTATGACAACAAGCAGTTAGACATGCTAACTGATCATTATAGCAGATTCAAGTTCCCTAAGCTCAAGTTTTCTCTCCTGTAATACAGCCTATTGATGTAGGTGGGAATCCATCTGGACCCATCTGTTTTGCCCAGTGGGAATTTTAGACTTGAGAAATTGGCACAAATATGCTAATGCTTATGCTGTTTACTGTGCAAATAAAGACTCCAATCCAGTAATTTCCTGTCTCCTACCAGAATCCATTAAACTGGCAGGTTAACTTGTTAGCCTGTAAATGGGGTAAAATCTCAGAACCTTCACAGTTCTTGACGTAACTATTATTCTGTAACTTTCTAAGAATTAGTGCTGTTACTGTGTGAGTGGCATATACACACAATCTCTGCTTTAGCCACTCTCAAAGTATGATATGCAGAACCCTATTGGGTTGGGGAGGGGGGTGCTGGGAGACATCTTCAGGGGGTCCATAGGCTTAAAACTATTTTCATAGTAATACTAGGATGTAAATTGCTTTCTCCCTATTTTTAAATTTGTATGGATGGTACAAAAGGAAAAGTAGGTAAAACTGGAGTGATAGCATAAATTACTGCAAATAATAGCACCACATACTAGTAATTACTTGAAGTTGCTACATTCTTCACTGCCACGTACTCACTGTAAAGAAAAGGCCAGTTTCACTTTAAAATGTCCTTGAGAAAGAAGTCAAAATGATTAATTTTATTAAATCTTGACTCTTGAGTATATGTCTTTTTAGTATTCTGCATGACTAAATAGGAAGTACACATAAAGCACTTCTGCTGCATACTAAAGTACCATGGTTGTACTTGGGAAGCACTTGGGAATCGTTTGAGTTGCAAACACTGAAATGGCTGTTTTTTCATGGAACATCATTTTTACCTGAAACAACAGTCGACAAACTATGGTTATTCTGAATTGAGATTTGGCAAACATTTTTCCAAAGTAAATGACCAAAGTCTGTCACTTCAAGGAGAACACCCAAAAGTATTTGTTGCCAAAGATAAAATTTCAGCTTTTGAACAAAACTTAGAATTTTGAAGAACTCATATTTATCACCATGAGGATAATAGCCTGCCAATCCTTAAACACTTTTCTGGTGAGATTAGTGGTATATTAACAAATGCTTATGTGTGTATCGGTTTATATTGAATAATGAAATAGATTAGCATTTGGAAAGTCTGCATAACTCTGAGAAGCAATATTTCCAAGTTATCGTCATGGGTAAAAACATCCATTCAAAGTGTCTCAAAAACCAACTGATTTTAAAGTAACAGAGCATGAAAAGTTTACATTGCAACTAATATTTAAGAAATGGGCATGTCAAATTTTGGTGTAATATCAAAGGAAAAAACTCACCATTAACTGCAAATGATAATTAAGTATCCCTTTCTTTCCAGTTATATATCTATAGGAATCTGAATATATTTCAACTACAGTATCATATTGCAAGAGATTGAATGCAGAAGCAGATATAAGGATTCAACTATATTAATGCAGACATTAGAGAGATCTGCAAAAATGTAAAACAATGACATTCCTCCTACTTTTTTTTTTTTTACTCTGGAAAAGATCCCAATTTTCATTAGAAAATATTATTTATGTTAATAGGTTATTATTTTAAAATGAATATTTAAAAAAATTCTTAATTTCTAATATGATACGTTTTGATAAATATAATCCAAATATAAAAATTAAGTACACCAAAAAGCTTAAGGAGGTAAAGACAGGCAAAGTAAACCCATTGGGTGGTTAAAAGGCTTGCTAAGAATACTAATTATTCAGTGAAACATAATTGCAAGGATAATGTTTAACCTAATTAAAAAATAAATCTCAAATCTTCTAACATTAATTTTAATTACAAATGAATTGTTAGTAATTAAACAATTTTGTTTCGTAAAAATGCCGTTTACATGAAATTACTTGATTATTCATTACTTTGAATGACTTTTTGTAATGGATAATTCTGTTTTTTATAATAATTTAAATTTTTCATTTCCAAATAGTTTAATAAAATATGGAGGGAAAAAAAAAGAATGTAAAGGGGTCCTGAGACCAAAAACCACTGGTTTAGATACCTTTTAAATGTTTTTTAAACTATTATAACTATTTACACTATTATAAATGCTCTAATAACTTCTGATCCTATCCTTAATATCCTCTTGAAAGGATTAACAATGTACAGCACTTGCCTTTCCTACTTCCTTTCATAATGACATTAACTTAAAAGAATTATTTTCTGTTTGTAACTCTTCCTCCTGTCTTGATGAGTTTATTTAAAAGTTACAAATATTATTTCAGGTGTTTCAATTTTATATCTTAAGCCAGTGGTCCCCAACTTTTTTGGCACCAAGGACACATTTCATGGAAGACAATCTTTTCACGGACAAAGGCAGGGGTGTGTGGGGGTTCCAGGATGAAACCTCAGATTATCAGGCATTAGTCTCATAAGGAGTGCATAATCTAGATCCCTTGCATGCACAGTTCACAATAACGCCATTTTGAGACTCTAAGACTGCTGCTCATCTGACAGGATGCGGAGCTCACCCACTGCTCACCTCCTGCTGTGCGACCAGGTTCTTAACAGGCCAGGGACCTGTAAGGTCTGTGGCCCAGGGGATTGGGGACCCCTGTCTTAAGCAACAGATGAATATCATCTGATCTAAGAAATTCACCATAATCTAATACTTAAAAATATCCTTTCACCTTCTGGTCATTCAAGTCTATATAATTTGATTAATACAGATCAGTGTTGTCCAACAGAAATAAAATGGGAGCCACATACATAATTTTAAATTATCTAGTAGCCATATTTAAGCATTAAAAGAAACTGGATAAATTAACTTTAATAACATTTTATTAAATGAAACATATCCAAATGATTATCATTTCAACATGAAAATTGATATAAAAATTTATTAGTAATAATTTTTTTTTTTGAGACGGAGTCTCGCTGTGTCACCCAGGCCGGAGTGCAGTGGCGCGATCTCGGCTCACTGCAAGCTCCGCCTCCCAGGTTCACACCATTTTCCTGCCTCAGCCTCCCAAGTAGCTGGGACTACAGGTGCCTGCCACCATGCCCGGCTAATTTTTTTTTTTTTTTTTTTTTTTTCGTATTTTCAGTAGAGATGGGGTTTCACTGTGTTAGCCAGGATGGTCTCGATTTCCTGACCTCGTGATCCGCCCACCTCGGCCTCCCAAAGTGCTGGGATTACAGGTGTGAGCCACCTCGCCCGGCTATTTGTAATATTTTATGTTTTATGTATTTCATGTTTTCAAAATCTGGTTGTGTATTTTATATTTATACCACATTTCAATGCAGACTAGCCACATTTCAATTGCTCAATAGTCACCATATGGCCAGAGGCTAACATTTTGACAGCATAGCTCTTAGAAGTAAAAATAATTCATCTTCAATTCTATCTGAATTCTGATTTGTGCTTTACACTTCAGTGACCAATTTAATATTTCAGAGAAATATTAAATATTCAGTTCTGATATTTAATATTTCTTTTATTGTGCTGCTTCATTTATTTATTTAACATTTTATTTTCAAAATGGCAATTCTAACCCTAATGTCCATGTCTTTAAAGGAAACATATTTTGGGATATTTGTCATTTAAAACATAGAGTTCTGACCTTTTCATTACAGTATTATTTTCTAAAACTCTAAGGACATATACTAACCTTCCCATGTAAGGTAATTTCAAATTTCAAACATTGTATGAGTATCCATTCTACATATACGTTTATGCATTTTTACTTCACTGCATTTTTGTCTATATTTATAAAAATTAGTAATAGAAAAATCAAAACGCTTATAATTTTTAAATTTTATGTTCAGGGGTACTTGTGCAAGTTTGCTACATAGGTAAATTGCATGTCATGGGGGTTTGGTGCACAGATTATTTCGCCAACCAGGTAATAAGCATAGTTCCCGACAGGTAGTTTTTCAATCCTCACCCTCCTCCCTCCCTCCACCCTCAAGTAGGCTCTGGTGTCTGTTGTTTTTATTTGTGTGTCCATATGTACTCAGTATTTAGGATCTCACACGAGTCAGAATGGCCATTATTAAAAAGTAAAAAAATAACAGATGCTGGTGACATTGGGGAGAAAAGAGAATGCTTATACACTGCTAATAGGAATGTAAATTAGTTAGCTATTGTGGAAAGTAGTTTGGAGATTTCTCAAAGAACTCAAAGCAGAATTATCGTCTGACCCAGCAATCCCATGACTGTATATATATCCAAAGAAATAAAAATTGTTCTACCATAAAGGGCTTATAATCATAAAAAGAAAGTTTGGTTTAAAATCCAACTGAAACAAAGATAAGAATCTTTAGTTTTAATTATACACTAATTGAAGTTAAACCAGCAATTAAACTCTGAAATGTGATTAAATAGTTAAAACAGTATGTACAAAATACTGGAAATGTCTCATCAAATATTGTCTATAAAAGCTATGGTACAGTGAAGGATTATTTGTTTATTTCTTAAGTTACTGAGGATAGAACCTGCTTACCACAGAAATCTATTGTTCACACTCTTAGGAACACAGAAGACTAACTGTATTTATTCAGAAGTAAGTACTAACTGCAGTAGCTTAGTAACTCCAAATAGAAATTTATGATCCTGTTGTTTAGGGAAAATTATGGAAAGCATACTGGCAGCCCGAGAGATCTAGTTTCTACTACTGACTCTCGCTTTGATCCCATATAAACTCCATCTATCTCAGCTTGTCTTAATAAATCTGTAAAATGAAGAAGATGAAATATGGAATTTCTTTGAAGCTGGAAAGATTGTCCCTTTTTATTATATATTGGACTTCTTCCCCACTCTTGATGTTTCCATCTACGACACTGAGAAGATCCACTGCTATAACATTCTAGCTTTTATAAATTCCTGAGGAGTGAAGTCACATTTGATTGGTAAATGTAAGAAAAATCGGTGTATTTTGCTCAGTTCTATCACTTTTTCCTATAAGGAGCTAGAGGCCTCAGGAAAGAAGAGGTTTCAGCTGCCCCTCTAGGGGCAGCCAGAGCTGATGTAACATTGCCTGTGACTATAGTTAAATCTGCTAAATTCTAGGACTTAGTAAGCAGATCCACTAAGCTTTGGTACTGTAATGTATCAGTAATAATGGTTTTATTTTGCCATTGCTTGGTTTTAATTAACATGCTCAAACATAGGAAATGAAGAAAGGTATCATAAACTGGGGGTATCTTAGTGACCAACATTAAACTACTGATCAACAATACTTAGGAGTACTAAGATGAACTGAAATTCTCAGGGAAGCTACGTTTAAACCACAGCATTTTATGACACCTAAGATATAGCTGCCTTCAAAAGTTTGGCAGAAAACAGTATCTAAGAGTTATAGCACCTAAAACTATAACGTTAAGAAGAACAACCAGATTCTTCATTATTAGAACAAATAATCTCCAGTTAAGTCAGATTCAACAGCCTTCTATCAGTCACGCCTGCAACTGGTTCTCTAAAATTTAACCCAAGGTAATAAAAAGAAGAGCAGCTATGTGATAGCTCTTATTTATCACAATTCAGGGAATCATGTATGGGATTATGTCAAAACTAAACAACATCTAGGAAGTAAAACTCCTAAAAAATCAAAACAGCTCCAATAATCTTGGGTTTTGACCAGTACCCAGCCTGGATATAATAATCTGATTAAGAATACTGCTTACTCTTCAATTAGAAGAGTAATTGAAGAGGAAGCGGGAAAATGAAAGATATTCATTTCTTGAGATCCAAGATGGACCTAAAACCATTTTTTTAATTTAATGACTGTCACTAAAAGATAATTCTAAAGAAATATATTAAGCATCTATTATGAATCAGAACATTTGGTAGGTGTTGAGGACACTGGTAAAATGTCATACATGTGCTTTTTAGAACTTACTGGTGTTAAAGTGTGGTGAACAAGAGAGCATTGAAGAGATAGAAATTAATTGTAAAAGCAAATATTTAATTTTGATACAGTTTCAAATGGTACTTCTGCCTAGCCATTGGTCCTATGCCATTCCACCTCATTTATCTACACTGGTGTAATCTAGAAATGCTCATTTTACTTCTTTGAGTACTAATTAATGTTCAGCCATTAAATAAAGCTGGTAAGTATCCAAAAAGACTAGGAAGGGATAGCGAGTGAGAAGAACAGTTATATTTCCTTTTAGTCAGTAAAATGTTGGGCCAGAACTCAGACCTGGTAAGCCAGCTTCCCATGACACTTTTAACTTCGGTTACATGAATTCTGCTAGAATACACTTTCCCCCAAATCTCTACGTGACAAAGAAACATCAGGGCACACTTGGCAGACATTTTTCAGGTTTTTCTTGAAAACAGAACCTTTGAAACCTGTATCAAAGACTCACAAGTCTAAAAACAGAAACAAAAGACCAAGTTGTTCTCAATCTCCTCTGTTGCTTTTGCTTGGAATGAGTCTCCTAAATTTCCTTCTGGTTTCAGTAATAACACTAGATTAATTTCTATATGCACAGCTCTAAATTAGCCACTGATTTGCTGAGACACCCTGCTCACATAAACAACTCTATGAAACACATTTAGTAGTATTAACTAATGGTTAAGGATTCCCCTAAGAAGGAATATCTAATAAGGTTCTAAATTAAAAAAAAAAAAAAAAAAATCTACATCTACTGCACCAAGCCACTCCAGGCAGTCTTCTTCAGTATCTTAATACAAATCTGTCAAAGCTTGTAAAAAGAGTGTAATTTTGAGGTGGCGGGGGCGGGGGGGGGGGGGGGTGCCTTAAGGTGGGGTGTGAAATATATGCATATATGGCACACCAGAGAGAAAAGGAAAAACAAATTCCAGATGAATTAATGAGCTGAATAAAAAACATTCCAAAATATAAAAAGAAGAAAAAAATTAACTCACTTGATATAGAAGCATTATTCAAATTTAAAACACATCATACAAATTGGTAAGAAACACTAAGACAAATAAAAACTTCACAAAAGAAATAGTTATTACATAAAATAACTTGACAGTAAAAAAAAAAAAGATTGGCACAAGTTTATTCTACACACCAATTAATAATGATCAAACAAAAGTGAAGGTGAAGATGCAGTGAATCAGGCAATAACTGCAATCATTACTAATAAAAATATAAGTGGTAATCAATTTGTCAGAGGCTTATGATTCATTAATTTGAATTCTGTAACTCGTTATTAGATAAATATCCCTGGAAATAGAAAAGGCTTCATATGACAGAGATTTTTAAAAATAGCATCATCATAAATAATGTACTTTAAAAAAGTTATTACTTATTGTAATGTGTAGAACCACTACATGCAGACATGACCAACATCATAGCATAATCCAACCATTAAACCAGACATTTCAATAACATGAGGAAACACTTAAGTCCATACTGTTGAATGAAAAAAAAAAAGTGAAGTTATTATACATTACAGGGTCACAATTGTATATTAAAAAGCTGTCCAGAAAAGCACCACTTGAAAGATATCAATATACAGTGGTACCAAAACTATACAACACTGTTTTGCTGAGTGTGGTAGTATGAAAAGATGCTACTTTATGGAGTGATGAGACTTATCAAAGCCAGTAACTGCTAATCAAGTATCTTTGAAAAACATATTTAGACCAATCATTATCTGAGTAACTACTGACAAAATTTTAGAAATATTAATATCAGTAACTTACCACATGAGTAGTTTTTAATGTATTGCCATCAAATCTGCATAAACTGGAGCTCTCTTCAAAGAAAATATCACATTCTTCTAACTCTTGAGCATTGCAAGGTGGTTTTTCTTTATCTGGATTTGGATTCTTAGTCCAGAAAATAAAATAAGTAAATAAGTAAAACAAATAAACAAGGGAATGGGTTTCTTCATCTTTAAAAATTTTAAGGTTACAGCAGTAATTAAAAATGAATTGCAAACCTATGACCAATAAAATCATAATCACAAAAACAGAAATAACAGAATGATGAAGTCAACAGAAAAGGATATGAAAACAGGTATTATAAACAGTTCCATATACTCAAAGATGTAAAGGAAAACATAACCATGTTGAGAAAGAGAGAGATGAAAGAACCACACTGAACTTCTGGATATAAAAACACAAATCTGAAATGAAAAACAAAACAGATGTGACAGACAGCTGATTAGACACTGCAGGAGAAAAGACCAGCGAGCTTGAAAAATAGCAATAGTGACTACAAAATGAAGCACAAAGACAAAACATAAAAGCAGGGAAACTCAGTGACCTGTGGAACAATATCAAATGGTCTAGCATATGGGTAACTGGAGGAGGGCAAGAAGAATGGGGAAAAAAATTGCAAATAAGTAATGGCCAACACTTTAGAATGTCAAAGAACTCCAAGCACAACAAACATTTTCTTTAAAAAATCAAAAACCACAGTAAGTCACATTATAATTAAATTTCTGAAAAGCAGAAATAAAGAAATTCCTAAAAGCAGACAGAGGAGGAAAAGATACATTATTTACAGAGGAACAAAGATGTAAAAGACAGCTGACTTCTCATCAGAAACTATGTAGGCCGGAATACAATGGTGGATATTTGAAGGTGTAAGAGAAAAAAACAAAAACAAAAACCTGTCAACACCAAATTATATACATAACAAAAATAACTTTGGAAAAGGGAAGAAAAGAGAAATATTTTTGCAGAAAAAAGCTGAGAGAATTTATCACCAGCAAATCTACACTAGAAAAAATGCTAAAAGAAGCTCTCAAGCCAGAAAAAAATAACATCAGATGAAAATGTCAATCAACACAAAGGAATGCAGAATAGAGGAAAAGGCAAATATAAGAGTAAATGAAAGACCTGTTTTTCACATTTTTAATCTCTTTTAAAAGAGAATTACTGACTATAGCTAAAATAACAAGGTATTATTAATTTTAATAGAATATAAAATATAAAATGTAAGACAACAATAATACAAAGAATAGAGTGGAAAATATAAATTTCTTAAATTATAGATGATACAGTTTTTAAAGATAGTTGGTGATAAGTCAAATATGTAACCTCTAGAACCACTAAAACACACACACACACACACACACACGCAAATATCTACCCAAACAGAAACATTGAAATATAGTTAACAATATGCTTAAAGTAGACATAAATAAATTCATAAAATTCATAAATTCATAAAAGCAATTTTTAAATGTTCCCTTGCTTCAATGCAAGGGTCACTGTCTGGTCTTATATACCTCACAGAGTAACAGGATCACAATAATTAAGGAATAAATTATACAATATTTGCATATAGCAGAAATACAATTCTACAACTGACCAAATGTGTAAACATCTAGTTTGCTAAGATACAGAGATATGTTAATTCTCATGTTATTAAGAACTTAATGAAATGAACTGAGAGAATCTGAAACTAAATGGATGGGAGTTCTAGAAGATCTACATACTCAACATGTGTCCATGTCCCAGCTGGGATATGGAACCACCTAGTTGTGGCTGTTGCCTCTACTCTAAATATCAATGGGAACAATTATGGTTGCTGTGGCTGGCTGTAAAGGCACCGCCAACAATCTCCTGGTTAGTTGATGCCATTGTGCACAGTGACTCAAGGAGATATCTATGTCCAGCAGAATAGAGAAAGTACCCTATAGATTTCTCCTTCCCTTCCCCTTCCAATTATTCATACTTTAGAAGCAGAAAAAATTAAAAGTTCGGGACTATCAAGGCCACCAGTGCTTCACAGGACAAGATTAGAGAGACAAGGAAATTGCAGAGAAAAGGGTCAAACATGCTATACTGCTTTCCAAGGACCATTTGCTGATTTCTAAACTGAGTCGAAAAAGACAAGCGGAAAGCAGCAAATAAGGAGCTAAAAAGCTGAGTTTGGGGTATTAAAGTGCTTGGGAGTCAAAAATTAGACTTCAGAGTCCACACAGTAGGAGAAGACCTGGTAACCATCCTAGGCTTTCAGTTGAGATAAATGAAAAGTTTTGCCTTAGGTGTAAGAATAAACATGGAATAAATCAGCCATGTAAAAGACTGAAGCCCAGCATCAAATCAAATCAATCCCTATGGAATTAAGAAGGTAGGCAAAAATTTAGAGAATGCAGCTACAGTAGTGCTTAGAAGGATATGTACAACATTAAGTGCTTTCATTGGAACAGAAAGGTCAAAAATCAACTAAGTATCACCTTCAAAAATAGAAAAAAAGAGCAAAATATATCCCCGGTAAACAAAAGGAAGAACATAATAAATTTAACACAGAAAATAAGAAATGGAAAACTGAAAAACAAAGGCAATGGAAACAGATGCTCACATTAGACCTATATCTGTTAAAAGAAATGAAAAACATTAAAAACTAAGGCACCATAGTTAAGTGCCTTCCAAAAAAGCAAACTCAAGGTCCAGATTGTTTTACTGACAAATTCTACCAAACATTTTAAGACATAACACTAATTCTATACATTCTCTTCTAGAAATAGAAGAGAGAACACTTCCCTAATCATTTTACAAGGTTATTATCCCAGATACCCAAACTGGAAAAAGATGGCAAAAAACAAAACAACACAAAACAAAAAACCTATCCAATATTCCTCACAAATAGACATAAAAATCCCCAAGAAAATATGAGCAAATCAAATTCAGCAATATGTAAAAGGATAATACATCATGACCAAGACGGGCTTATCCCACCAATGCAGAAAATTCTATAATCATTCATGATAAAAACTCTCAGCACACTACAAATAGAAGAAAATTTCTTCAATGTAATAAAAAGAACCTATCCTTCTTAATGATAAAAGTCGATTATTTTCCCCAAGATCACAAATAAGGCAAGAATGTCTGCTTTTACCATTCGAGAGTTCTATATAGCTGTGGAGTAGACATTCTAACCACTGCAGTAAGGCAAGTATGAATAATTGAAAAACATAAAACTGCCTTCAGCTGCAGATGAGATTGTATATTTGTCTTCTCATAATCTAACAAACACACTGGTGTTCAGGCATAAATAACTTTCTCATAAACACTAACATTCAATTGAAACCATTGAGTTTAACAAGTAGTTAACTGCAATTATCTACAATCTCAAAACACATCTCCACTACTGTCACTATTATATCCCCAGAGCCTAATACAATAATACTTGCTGAATGAGCGAATATAAGGCAATGCAGCCTGCATGGCTTGTTGTAAACAGGGCTATGAAATCAAAGTTTTGCAGTCCTACATAAGAATTCCAGTGATTTCTGAAATTTTCAATTACTACTGGCAAACATGAAACTTAGTTTCTCTATTTAGCCATGTTTCCTTTTGATAGTGACATTCACTTTCAATATTCCAGTCCTTCTTTTCTATCTTAGGATGCAAGTAACATTACAGTATAAATAATTTTTGCACAGTCTTCCTCATCTCTATAATTCAAGATGGCAATAAACCAGACATCTTTCATATGCTGATATCATTGTTAGAAAACGAACACATAATTTCAAGTTCTGATGTACTGCTGTATTTGTTCACATTCTTAACATGATCTTACACGTCATGAGAGTGGGAATGTATTCAACCTCATGATTAAGTATTGTGTTGTCACTGTAATTATCACAATGAATTACATTATAAAGAAAAAATAACTATACTATATATGATACATATATCCTTGCAAAATTGTAAACTCACCTCAAAAATTTTAGGGATAAGTAGATTCTTAGCAAATAAATTGTAACATAATTTTTGTCCTACCAGCATTGGTCAGTTGATTCTCCTAAAGAATACATGTAGAGAGAGAGAGCGCACAATACATACGCACACATAAACAGATACAGGCAAACCCTCTATACAGTATGACCACACATATATGTATGTATTTACATAGTGTAAGAAATAAATATTAGAACTTAGGCCATATTCAAACATCACTCAGATCAGTAGTATCTGATATGTATCTTTTATATTAGGAAAAGCAAAATATTGTTTGAAAAGCATGGCATAATCTTCACATAACATATTTTTGGACCCTTGGAAAGTCACACTACTATTCCAACTACTTACCAGTTCTTCAGAGGTCAAATGCATCAAACGTTCAGCTATTGCAGCACACTGGGCTGAATCTCTTATAAGTTCCCCTTGTTTATCTCCAATTACTAGCTCTGGCCAGGTCAGTCCTTCATTCTTCTTAATCAAGGAAATCTCCAAGCTAGAAGTTTAAATGGGAAAAGTAATGTTACATTAAGCAATTATACAAATTATACAATCAGTAGCAAACATTGTTTGTTTCTATCTTCTATAGAAAGAACCCTCCGGTGTCCAGAGGATGGTTTACCAAAAATCTTGCTCATTTAAGTTTTGCATGTGATGGAAAACCTATAATCCAATGGCAAATAGTCCAGATTTAATAAAGAAAGAAAGTACCACTGGAAATGGTACATCAAATGGCCTGAAGAGAGGATTGCCTGGAAAGAGTCAAGTCATCCAGAAAGTACTGGTATGCAGTATGTTCCTGAACTTAATAGAAATACAAGAAGCATGGATCTATAAGACATCTGGGGAATGGTCGGGGGTGTGGGCATGTAAGCAAAGAGTAAAAGGGCTGTAATTAAAGGATAATTCTTTGTGTCTGGAATCAACAATTAACTTTATTTTCACAAACTAAGAGCCATAATATATGATTATTAACCTGAAGATCAAGCAGGTTAAATCAACGCAAATCTTAATTTTAAAATACAGATGTTAAATAACTGAAAAGTAGAAATAAGGAAAAAAATTAACTTTGGTAATACAGGGAAAAAAGATGTTAATGTGTTCTCTATTAACTTATTTAAAATCTAATTCTGTACATGTAAACAACTAAACAATTCCAGATGCACTTAAAATGGTCTGTCAGGGAACCCTGAGATCAAGGACTGATGCAGCAGGAAAGGGAAAGAGAGCAGAGTCAAGGCAGACTACGGACATAGGAGAAGAAGTAACTTGTCCCATGTTCCTCTGGAATAGGAAGGAAAACCCAAGTAAGATGCTTTGGGAGCACCCACTGCTATAACAGAAAAGGGGAGTGGTAATAGCTATTCCACAACAAAGCAACCTTTTCCATGTGCCATCTTTCGTACACATGTACCATATTAGCTCATGCCCTGGAACACAACTGCAAGAATACAATAATAACTATTATAGTTATCAAATAGGACACGCAAACTTACCAGCTGTTCTTTTTCAAGACTGTTACAATCACTACCTTATGAATTACAGCATTTAACATTTTTCTGAAACTACCTATTTTAAGAGACTATACAAAATAATAATATGAGTACTTATAATTAGCACTGAAAATTACTCCCACAATAAAAGCCCAGATTTAGTTACATCTTTTCTTTTTTTGAGACAGAGTCTCACTCTCTTGCCCAGGCTGCAGTGCAATGGCACAATCTCTCTTACTGCAACCTCCAACTCCCGGGTTCAAGTGACTCTCGTGCCTCAGCCTCCCAAGTAAGTAGCTGGGATTACAGGCCACGCCATCATGCCCACCTGGCTAATATTTGTATTTTTAGTAGAGACAGGGTTTTGTCATGTTGGCCAGGCTGATCTTAAACTCCTGGCCTCAAGTGATCTGCCTGCCTTGGTCTCCCAAAGTGCTAGGATTATAGGTGTGAGCCACCGTGCCCAGCCCCCAGACTGAGTTACATTTTCTAAGGATAAAGGTAATCTTGATAATAATGATGATGATAATAATAGTAATAATGACCATAGCTTATACTTACCTATATGTCAGGTGCTGTCTTAAGCACTTTACATGTTTTAACTCATTGGTTACAACAACCAAATAAAGTACTGTAAATATTATTATCATCACCATTTTACAAGTAAGAAAAAAAAGTACTGAGGTTAAGCAACTTGCCAAGGTCACAAGCTATTTAAACAGTCTGGCTCTAAGTCCATGTTCTTCACTACTGCACTATTCTGCCTCTCTGAAAAAATATATGTAAATAACTATTAAAGAACACTTACCCAGTGAACTGTTCTTAGTTGCTACCTAAAGAGGTCTGAAAGAGTTGATACAATCTGTTATAATTTCCAAACCATCATTAATTTGCACAGTTAATCAGTGCACCCTTCTTCTAAGACTGCATTTGTACGTTTTAAAACTAGTATTGTATGCTACCATCCAAGCAAAAAAAAAACCCCAAACAATGCCAAATATAATAAACTACAGATTAGTTAAAAAAATCTTTCCAAAGTGAGACAACAGTAACTTTTGAAAACGAGAGGTACGAATAATTTACTCAAGTACAGAAAATCGTGTTTTTAAAACAACAATACCACCTACGCTACATTGTAGTTATCTTTTTTAACACAAAATAATAATCAAACACCTCAAATTTAATGGAAAAATAATACTGATCTATGTTGATGCATTGAATGCTGAAACTACTTACATGAAGTCAAGCTATTCCCCCAGACCTTTGCTGGGTTACTGCTTGATGACTTACATTTAACAATATGTTCTAGTTGGCTTGCCAATTTGTAAATGTGACTCACATACACATAAACATAATTAAATGGAGTATGTGGAGATACAAAATACTTTTAAAAGAAACTTTCAAGCAATTATTTTTGATATATTAAAAAGTGTAACAAAATCACCAAATGTCTTCATTAATAAAATGTAAGATACCTTTTACAACTTCAAACTTTCTATGAGCTAGATATATTTTTCTTGGATGCTCATGATTTAGACTTGTATCAGACTCACATGGATCATATACTACTAATTAAGAACTATACTTTGTGTAAAAACATCTAAGTTATCCTCTATGTAACATCAACTTAAAGCACAAGATTTAGGTTGTATTTTAAATCAACCATTTCTCATTTCTGACCAAATTTGACTATTTAAAAAATTAACTGCCTAACTCTATTCATTAATCCATCACTGAATTTAATAATTACTAAGACTTGATTTAAAATAAAAGAAAGTAATTTTAGTAATCCAAATAATTGGGGAAAAAACTGCCTGGAATAATAGATTTGCAAAATGGCACAGTTGTGGGGGGCAAAGGATTATAATTTTAAAAGACACTTAACTTTATCTTTTTTTAAAAAGACACAGTTTTGCTCCTTTAATTGAGGTGTAATTTATAAATAAAATTCACAGGTTTTAAGTGTAGAATTTACTGATTTTGACAAATGCATACACCTTTGTAACCCAATGAGGATACTGAATTATTTCCACCATACAGGCAGTTCCCTTGGCCTTTCTTCAGTCAATCTCCCTACACCCTAGAGATAACAAGTGTTCTGATTTGTATCACCATAGATTAGTTTTGCCAGTTCTAGAACTCCATATGTGGAATCATACAGTATGATTTTTTGTCTTTGGCTTCTTTCACTCCACATGTTTTTAATTCATTCATATTGCTTTTTATTTATTGCTAGCACTTTATTACAGAGTAACATTCCATTGTATGAATATACCACACGTACTTATCCATTCACCTTTTCAGTAACACTAGAGATATTTCTGGCTTTTATAAGTATGCCTGCTATGAATATATGTTTGCAAATTTGTTTTGGCTTTGTTTTGTTTTTTAACATATATTTTCAGTTGGGCATGGTGGCTCACACCTGTAATCCTAGCACTTTGGGAGGTCGAAGCAGGCAGATCGCTTGAGGTCAGGAGTTCGAGACCAGTCTGAGCAACATGGCAAAACCCCATCTCTACAAAAAATACAAAAATTAGCTGAGTGACTGTGCCACTGCACTCCATCCTGGGCAACAGAGTGAGACCCTGTCTCAGAAAAACAAAAAATTATATACATTCATTTATTTTGGTTAAACATCAAGGAGTAGAATTGTTAAGATTAAAAATAGGTATATGTTTAACTTGATATGAAACTGCTAAACAGTCTGCCAAAGTGATTGTATTATTATTTTACACTCGTACCAGATATGAATGAGTTGCTGGTGCCCCACATCCTTGCCAACGTTTGATACTGTCAGTCTTCAAAGTTTTAGTCATGTATTGGTGTCTCACTCTAGTTTTAATTTTCCTAATGTCTAATGATAATTACCTTTTGATGTGCTTACTAGCTGTTCATCTATCTTCTATTGTGACATGTCTATTCAAATAATTTGACCATTTAAAAAATTGGCTTATTATGAATTTGTAAGGCTTCCTTATACACTAAGAATGAAAGTCCTTTGGTTTAAGATGAATACTGTGAATATTTTTTCCCAGTTCATGGCTTACCTTTTTGTTCTCTTAATGGTATCTTTAGAAGAACAAAAATTTTTAATTTTGATATGCAGAAAATGTCTGTTTTGATGAAGTCTAACTTATGTATTTCTTTCTTTTTTTTTTGAGACGTAGTTTCACTCTTATTGCCCAGGGCCGGAAAGCAATGGCCTGGTCTCGGAAACCTCCGCCTCCCGGGTTCAAGTAGTTCTCCTGTCTCAGCCTCCCAAGTAGCTGGGATTACAGGCACCCGCCACCACGCCCAGCTAATTTTTGTGTTTTTAGTTGAGACGGGGTTTCACCATGTTGGTCAGGCTGGTCTCGAACTCCTGACCTCAGGCAATCCACCCGCCTCAGCCTCCCAAAGTGCTGGGATTACAGGCATGAGCCACTGTGCCTGGCCACTTATGTATTTCTTTTATGGCTTTGTGTCCTGAACACACAGTTCAAAAAACAAATGTAAATGGAGAATTTACATAAGAAAAAATTACTACAATTTACAAAGAAATATTAATTATTCCACTTTTAGAAATTTATCCTTCATATATATTTCTACACATGTGAAATAATATGTATATAAACAGAAGTTATTGAAAACAACCTAAATTAACACAATAGAGGATTAATTGTCTAAAATGATGGTGCAGTTGATAGAATAAAATACCGTGATGTCATAAAAGAGAATTTAATAATTTTTATATATTCATTATGGAAAGATCCCTAAGATTTATCATTGCAAGTGAACAAAAGCAAGATGTATAATTGTGTAAAGTATGTGTCAAAAAACTTTTTTATTGTTGTTAGAGACAGGGTTTTCTCTTCTTGCCTAGGCTGGTCACAAACTCCTGGCCTCAAGCAATCCTCCTACCTCAGCATCCCAAATGTTGGGATTACAGGCGTGAGCCACTGCAGCTAGCCGCCAAAAGTAGTTTTCCTTAAAGAAAAGGAAAAAGTATGTGTCATGCTTGAATGTATGTAAAATGTAACAACACTGATTGTGAGGAGTGGGAGGATGGGTGACCCATAGGCTTGTGTTGGAGGCAGACTTCTCACTCTACATCCTTTTGTATATTTAAAATTTTAAAGAATGGAAATATATTATCAAGCCAGCAAACTAAAGTTAAAAAAATTATTTCTATTAAAAAGTTTGAAAAAGTGCAATTTAAAATAGCCATTTTCACCTATGATTATTATTGTATCCAGAGCTGGTAAAACAAAGCACTACCATATTCTCCAAGTGATAGCTATGCTACTATCTTTAATTTCAACTAGAAATATGCTCTTTGACACAGTAATTCTATTTTTAATATATCTTAAGAAAAGTAACCAGCAATACAGACAGAACTATTGTATTAATCTCTGATGTAACCACTGTGGAAAGAGTAAAAAGAAAAGAAAAAAAGATAATAGAATATTAAAGTAAAATTAAAAAAAAATACCTATTACTCTCTTTAATTATCCATGTACTGCTTTCATGATCAATAGATGAATAGAGTTTTCCTTCTAAAAACTGGTGATCCTTCAGTACAATGTTGATGTGATCAGGCAAAAACTGTATTTGAATGTCCTCCTTAGTACTGTCTTCTGGAAGCCGTATGGTTACTGTCAAATCATCTTCAGTCTGTTGCCAGTAATACAGAGGTTCTATTGGGAAAAGAAAAATGCATCATGTAATAAAAAATTAGAGAAAGCATACACACACACAAAACCTATCTAAAAGAATTTTAGTATATTTACTAGTGATCATCTCACAAAACGTAATTATAAACAAACATGCACAGATCTCTTTGAGGAATTTTCACTCAAAGATTTGCAGCAATTAACATGAAATTTTCCTCTTCCAGACTTACCTGATGCTTGAGGAGATAAAGCACTCATAAAATACTAATGATAGCAATCCTTTATCCTCATTTCTTCCCTCTCTCCCTCCCTTCCTCCCTCTTTCACTCCTTCTTTCCTTTAAACAAACACACACACACACAGAGTGAATCCCTAGTTCAAAAGAACATAAAATATGTTACCCAGAAAAGCTAGCAAAGCAGTTACATAATAATATCTCAATGGATAGCTTCTGCCAGATAATGGGAATGGGAGGATGTGCAAAATCACATGCACTTTTAGTATAAATTAAAGGCCATACTACCCCAACCCTTCCTGTGCATACATCACAGTGCAGCCAGGCCCTATCCACTCCATTTCTAAGCAGACCTCCAGGCATTCAAAGCACCTTGCCCAGATTGCAGCCTGAACTGTCCCACCTTTCCTATTCATAGATCTGGTGTTGGGGGGCCCTCTCTGCTTCACACCCAGGTGGACTTTCAGGCATTCAAAGCACCTGTTTGCCTGTTTCAACAGCCTGAGTTAACCTACATCTCCTGTGCAGAGATTTTCATACAGAGGGGCCCTCCCTGCTCCATGCCTAGGCAGAGCTCCAGGCACCTGGAGCTCTCCTAGATTAGGAGCTCATGCCATCCCCCGAACCCTGTCCAGAGAACTTGGGGCTGGGAGGGTTTCTTAGCTCCACACTTAGGTATGCCTCTGGGCATTTAGTGGCTGCCAGGTAGATTCTCCCTCAGCGCTGGTGTCCACACCTGCCACTGGGGGATCTGTAGGCAGATCTGCCCAGTCTCGTCCTGCCCATCTTGGCCCCTACTCCCCGGGGCTGAGCAGGGAGCTCAGACAACTGTGCAATCCAAGAATCAGCCCATTGCCTGAGGCAATAGAGAGTTCTCCCAGTAAACAAGGATTAAGTATATACCCTGCTGCACTGGCTGCAATTGGCTGTTACTAACAAGCACCATCTACTGGCTTGTAGGTTAAACTGCATAGCCCAATATACAACCTGCCAACAGAAGTGCATAGGGCTATGGAAGCAAAGCCCAAAGACCCTACTCTGCATTCTCTATAGTCACACCCCCTAGAGAGGGAAAGAGAAAGAAAACAAACAAACAAACAAACAAAAATAATATTATAAGGAAAGAAAGAAAACTAAAAAATCCTATCTGCACAAAAATATTATAAAAATTTGAAGTGCCAGAATCTCTAGATAAGAAACCAGAAAATCAAACACCACATGTTCTCACTCATAAGTGGGAGTTGAACAATGAGAACTCATGGATACAGGGAGGGGAACATCACACACCGGGGTTGTCGGGGGGTGGGGGGCTAGGGGAGGGATAGCATTAGGAGAAATACCTAATGTAGATGGCGGGTTGATGAGTGCAGCAAATCACTATGGCACGTGTATACCTATGTAACAAACCTGCACGTTCTGCACATGTATCCCAGAACTTAAAAGTACAATAAAAAAATTCCAAAAAAAAAAAGAAACCAGTGCAAGAATTCTGGCACCATAAAAAAAATCTGAATGTAGTGACATGACAAAAAATATCACTAGCTTTCTAGAAATGGTCCTTAACCAAAATAGACACTCAGAAAAAAGACACAAAGAATTCAAAGCATGGATTGCAAGGAAGCTCAACAAGATCTAAGACAAAATTGAAAATCAATACAAAGAAACTTCTAAAGCAATCCAAGAAATGAAGGAAGAGATAAACATCTTTAAAAGAAATCAGTACAAACTTCTGGAATTGAAAAACTCACTTATGGAATTTCCAAATACAATTGAAAGCTTTATCAACAGACTGAACTGAGCAGAAGAAAGAATTCCAGAACTTGAAGGCCAGTCTTTCAAACTAGTCCAGCTAGACAAAAATAAAGAAAAAAGAATTTTAAAAAAATGAACAAAGTCTCTGAGAAATATGAAATCATGTAAAGTAACCAACCCTATTAACTACTGGCATTCCAGAGAAGAAACACTAAACAAACTGAAAAACATGTTTGAGGGAATAATTCAGAAAATTTCCCTAATCCTGCTAGAGAGGTAGACATTCAGGTATAAGAAATCCAGAACCCCTGAGAAATACTATACAAAATGAAGATCACCAAGGCATATAGCACTAGACTGTCCAAGGTCAACACTAAAGAAAAAACCTTAAAGGCACCTAAAGAAAAGAGATTACATAGGGGAACCCCATTAGGCTAACAGCAGACTTCTCAGCAGAAACCTCACAAGCCAGGAGAGATTGAGAGCTATTTGCAGAATTTTTCAAGAAATTCCACCCAAGAATTTCATATCCCACTAAACTATAAGCTTCATAAGTGAAAGAGAAACAAAATCTTTTCCAGACAAGCAAGCACTAAGACAATCAGTTACCACTATACCAGCCTTAACAAGAGATCTTTAAGGAAGTTCTAAACAGGGAAACAAAAGAACAGTATCTGCTACCACAAAAACACAAGGACAGAGCCATAGTCCCTGTAAAGCAACTATACAATAGAAACTACAAAGCAATCAGTAACAACTTCATGATAGAATCAAAACTTCACATAACAATATTAACCTTAAATGTAAATGATCAAAACATCCCACTTGAAAGGCACAGAGTAGAAAGCTGGATTAAAAAAAAAAAAAAAAAACAAAACAAAAACAAGGCCCATCGGCATTCTACAAGAGACCCATCTAACACATAATGACACCCACAGGCTCAAAGTAAAGGGCTGGAAAAAAACTTGCTATGCAAATGGAAAACAGAAAGCGCAGGAGTCACAATTCTTACCTCAGATAAAACAGACTTTAAACCAACAAAGGTAAAAAAGGACAAAGGGCATTACATAATAATAAAGGGTTCAATTCAATGAGAAGACTGAACTATCCCAAATATATATGTGCTCAACATTGGAGCACCCTGATACATAAAAACAAGTACTTCTAGACCTATGGAAAGACTTAGCCACAAGACAATAGTGGGGAACTTCAACATACCACTCACAGCATCACACAGATCATCAAGGTAGAAAACTAAAGAAAAAAAGTATGGACTTAAATTTGACACTTAATCTAACAGACATCTACAGAATACCCCACCCATCAACCACAGAATATAAATCCTACTCATCTGCACACAGAACATACTCCAAGATCACTCACACACTCAGCCATAAAGCAAGTCTCAATAAATTATAAAAAATGAAATCATACCAATCATACTCTAAGATCACAGTGGAATAAAAATAGAAATCAATACCAAGAAGATCTCTCAAAAACCACACAGTATCATGGAAATTATCTGGGATGCAGCAAAAGCAGTGTTAAGAGGAAAGTGCTATGTATCTACCTCAAAAAGTAAGAAAAGTCTCAAATTAATGATCTAATATCACACCCAGAAGAACAAGAAAAAAAAACAAATTAACACCAAAGCTAGCAAAAGAAAAGAAATAACTAAAATCAGAGCAAAACTGAATGAAATTGAGACCCAAATATGCAAACAATGAATCCATGAAACCAAAAGTTGGTTTTTTTTTGAAAGGATAAACAAGATCAATAGGCTGTTAGCTAGATTAACAAAAAAAGAGAAGATGCAAATAAACACAATCAGAAATGAAAAGGTAACATTACAACCAATTCCACAGAAATACAAAAAAAAAACCCAGAGACTATTATGAAGCCCTGTATCACACAAACTAGAAAATCCAGAGAAAATGGATAAATTCCTAGAAACACAATCTCCCAAGACTGAATCAGAAAGCAACTGAAACCTTGAACAGACCAATATCAAGTTCCAAAATTCAATCAGTAATAAAAAAATCTATCAACCAAAGAAAGCCCTGGACAGATGGATTCACATCCAAACTCTACTAGACATACAAGGAAAAGCCGGTACCAATTCTACTGAAACTATTCCAAAAAAATCGAGAAGGAGGAACTCCCTCCCTAACTCACTCTATGAAGGCAGCATAACCTTGATACCAAAACCTGGCAAAGACACACACAAAAAAACTACAGGCCAATATCCCCGATGAACATACATGTAAAAATCTTCATCAAAATACTGGCAAGCTGAATCCAACAGCACATCAAAAATTTAATTGACCATGATCAAGTAAGCTTCATTCCTGGGGAAGCAAGGTTAGTTTAACATATGCAAATCAATAAATGTGATTCACTACATAAACAGAATTAAAAACAAAAATCATATGATCACCTCAATAGATGAAGAACAAGTATTCAGTAAAATCCAACATCCCTTCACTATACAAATCCTTAAGAAACTAGGCATCAAAGGAACACACTTCAAAATAACAAGAGCCATCTATGACAAACTCACTGCCAACATCATACTGAACAGGCAAAAACGAAGCATTCCTCTTGAGAACTGAAACAAGAAAAGCATGCTTACTCTTACTGCTCCTATTCAACATAGTCCTGGAAGTACTAACCAGAGCAATCAGGCAAAAGAAATAAATAAAAGGTATCCAATTAGGAAAAGTCAAACTTTGCAGATGACATAATTCTATACCTAGAAAACCCTAAAGATTCCACCAAAAGGCTCCTGGAACTGACAAATGGCTTCAGTAAAGTTTCAGAATACAAAATCAATGTATGAAAATCAGTAGCATTTCTACAAACCAATAATGTTCAAGCTGAGAGCCAAATCAAGAACACAATCCCATTTACTGTAGCTGCCAATAATAATAATAATAATAAAATACCTAGGAATTCATCTAACAAGGAGGTGAAAGATCTCTACAAGGAGAATTACACAGCACTGCTGAAAGAAATAACAGATGACAGACAACTGGAAAGACATTCCAAGCTAATAGGTTGGAATAATCAATATCATTAAAATGTCCATACTGCTCAAAACAAACTACAGAGTAAATGCTACTCCTATCAAACTACCAATGTCATTTTTCACAGAACTAGAAAACACTATTCTAAAATTCGTACGGATCCAAAAAAGAGCCCAAATAGCCAAAGCCATCCTAAGCAAAAAGAACAAAGCCAGAGGCATCACACTGACTTCAGAGTATACTACAGGGCTACAGTAACCAAAAAAAGTACAAAAACAGATACACAGACCAGTGGACCAAGAAATAAAGCCATACACCTATACCCATCTGACAATCTTTGATAAAGGCAGCAAAAACAAGCAATAGGGAAAGGAGTCCCTATTCAATAAGGGTGCTGGGATAGCTGGCTAGCCATATGCAGAAAAATGAAACTGGTCCCCTACCTCTCACCATATACAAAAATTAACTCAAGATGAACTGAAGATTTAAATGTAAGACCTCAAACTGTAAGAATCTTAGAAGAAAACCTAGGAAACACCATTGTGGACACTGGCCTTGAGAATGAATTATGACTAAGTACTCAAAAGGAATTTCAACAACAAAAAAATTGACAAATGGTACCTAATTAAATGAAAGAGTTCCTCCACAGCAAAAGAAACTATGAGTAAACAAACTATAGAATCAGAGAAAATATTTGCAACTACGCACCCAACAGAAGTCTAATATCAAGGCTCTATAAGGAACTTAAACAAATGAACAAGCACAAAACAAATAACTCCATTAAACAATGGGCAAAAGACATGAACAGCACTTCGCAAAACAAGACATACAAATGGCCAACACACATGAAAAAATACTCCACATCACTAATCATTAGCACTAATTATCAGAGATTTGCACTTGCAAATCAAAACTACAAGGAGAATATCATCTCACACCAGTCAGAATGGCTATTAATAAAAAGTCAAAAAACAACACATGCTGATAAGGCTGTGGAGAAAAGGGAATGATGATACACTATTGGTGGGAATGTCAATTAATTCAGCCCCTGTGGAAAGCAGTTTGGAGATTTCTCAAAGAACTTAAAACAGAACTACAATTCAACCCAGTAATCTCAATAGTGGGTATATATATAAAAAATAAATAATTTTTTTGCCATAAAGACACGTGTGCTAGTATGTTCATCACAGCACTATTCACCACAGTAAAGACATGGAATCAACATAGGTGCCCATCAACAGTGGACTGAATAAAAACAATGTGGCACATATACACACCATGGAATACTACACAGCCAGGTAAAAGAACAAAATCATGTCCTTTGCAGCAACATGAATGTAGCAAGTGGCCATTATCCTATGCAGATTAGTGCAGGAACAGAAAACCAAATACCACATGACCTCACTTATAAGTGTGAGCTAAACACTGGGTACTCATGGACATAAAGATGGCAACAACATACAATAGGGACTACTAGAGGGGGTAGAAAGGGTTGAAAAAGTAACTGTTGGGTGCTATGCTCAGTACCTGGGTGACAGGATCATTCGTACTCCAAATCTAAGCACCATGCAATACAACCAGGTAAAAGAACATTGACATGTACCCCGTGAATATAAAATAGAAGTTGAAATTTTAAAAATGTATTAATTAATGAAAGGCCATGGATGTAGACTAAAGGTAAAGTCACAGTTTTTTAATCACCTCCCCATTGTATACATTGTTGAATGTATACAAACACCTAAATAATTCTCTCAATTACTGGTTGCTTTGAGTACCTTTCTATGCCTTTAGAGATTGTGTTTTAGGTCTTTAAAAACATGTTATTAAAATGCCAAATAGCCAATAGATAATACCAGTCTTCTTGAAGTTAACAGAAAAGGAAACCAGTATATATATTAATATTCAGAAAGTATTACAAATGCCAATCAATGACCAAACTACCCATAATTTTTAAAAATTACAACACTTTTCCTTTATTACTGTGAAAATCCTATGACAAAATAAACAATGAATTTGGAGGGAACTCAAGATACAGCATGAGATGTCATCAAGGAAAACAATACCTGTGGTAGTGATTTAAACACATGATGTGTCCCACTTAGGCTTCAATCTGTCTTGGAACTGCATGGTTCCAAGTTATCTGGGCAGAACGGTTCCAAAGATTAAGGCAAGCTTTCTATTCCCTCGAGATTGCTTACCAAAGGAATTCTAAAGACACATGATCTAGAGAAATAAACAGCTATTCTGGCTAAGCTTTGGATGAGGTTAGCATTATAATTAGACAGAATAGTAACATTTATTCAGGAAAGGATCTTAGAGATAATCTAACAAAAAACGAATCCCACATGAGAAAACCAAGGTATTAAAAGTCTAAAGAAAAGGCCTACTAAGCACAACTTTTTGTATTCAGAGGTGCATATATTTATAAACCTGTGGAAAATATTTTTCAATTATATATTACATTAATATTCATTTCTTAAAGCATCCAAAAATAGTAAACCTAGGTTGCTCTGCTTATGGAGTAGCCATTCTTTTATTTCTTTACTTTCTTAATCAACGTGTTTTCACTTAAAAACAAAAAGGTAAAACTAATTTTTTAAAATAACTTGTTTAACAAAAAAGGGAGATTCAAAGAATAATATGTAGAATTGTTAAATATTATAAAAATCTCTGTTAAATAAAATATACTATTCTCTGGCTATGAACATCAGAAATATGAACAGTAATTATTACAGAGGAATGTTCTCTTGAACAGCTTTAAAAGAATGTCTGTTCTTTATATACAAATATAAATTTCTTCTGAAATTTCTTGTTAGTCTTTTCTTTTTTTTTTTTTGAGACAGTCTCGCTGTTGCCCAAGCTGGAGTGCAGTGGCACAATCCTGGCTCACAACAACCTCTGCCTCCTGGGTTCAAGTGATTCTCCTGCCTCAGCCTCCCAAGTAGCTGGCACTACAGGCACCCACCACCACATCCGGATTTTTTTTTGTATTTTTAGTAGAGACGGGGTTTCATCGTGTCAGCCAGGATGGTCTCGATCTCCTGACCTTTTGATCCGCCCACCTAGGCCTCCCAAAGTGCTGGGATTACAGGCGTGAGCTGCCGTGCCTGGCCAGTCTTTTCATGCTAAAACATAACCTTCATTCATTCATTCAACATTAATAAAATTATGTGATTCTGCCCTCAAGGAACTTACTTTCAGTTTAGTATAAAAGGTAAGAACAGGTACATTAGCTTAACTTATTTTTAAAAATTAGTATCTTCAATATTACACTATTAATACCATCAATACTAATAGCAAATAGACATTTATTTGATAACTATTTATTAAGCACCTAATCAAGGAAGCTAATAAACGATTTTTTAAAAAAACATTTTTGGTAATAACAAAATGATCAAATTAAACCAGTTCATTCACACTATTAAGGTGGTATACCTTATAAAAGACTTCTGGAAAATACATGAGAAAATAAAGAAAAAATTATGCATCTATCTTGCCCTTGTAGAACTATTAACCTAACTGGGAAAATAAAAGACATAAATATATGTTTATGAAAATACCAATAAGCTCTATTAAGAATAAAAATTACCTTTGATTTTCTCTGATATGTCTTCATCCATATTTTCTTCAAGATCTTGACCAGCCTGAACAAATGTTAAAGACTTGTAGGATACAATCATTAGACCATTTCCATCAGGCTCAATAGCAGCATAATGTGGCACTGACTTTCCACGGAGAATATCACGCTTAATAATTTCATATTTTTTATTATCTGTAAGAAAAGTATTTCAGAACAAAACATTACAAATAAAAACTATTATCAAAATATTCTGATATTTAAAAATTGATTTTAATTATAATTAAATAATTTGAATGTATTATTAAAAGGTACACTATTAAGAGTCTTTTCATAAGGATAAACAATTTACAATCTAATTTTCCGTAAATAAGTCCCTATTTTAAAATATTGGGTCTGGTGAAATTTGTTCCCGATTGTCCTGTCCAATGTGGTAGTCACTGGCCAGAAGTATCTACTTAAAATTAAGTAAAATTTAAATTCCTCAGTCATACTAGCCACATTTTAATTGCTCAATAGCCACACATGGCTAGTAGCTACTGCAGTGAATGGTACACATATAAAACATGTCCATCTTGGAGAAATCTCTTATTAGACAGCAGTACCCCAGAACTCCAACATGACCGGCTTACTTGGAATAACAGCTTCTGTATGACCTACCTCTCCTTGACTAAAGCCTGTCTGCCTTCTCAGCAGGTATGTGATAAGTTTCTTCTGAAAAGTGACAAATTGAGGACAAGGGGAAACATGCAGTGTGGTCTATTTTTCTGCCTGCTCTAACTCCCGATAAGGGGCATTTTAACAATGAAATAAATTTATAGCAGAAATGATTTTTTTTACACAAGACATTTATCTATATGCTTATAATTAAACATAAATTAGTGCTACTTTTAAGATATAAACAATTAACTGTATTCCAAAAGTTTCTGACAAATTAAACTTATTTTCCTATAAAGACAGTAATTTTTTGCTTTAAAAAGTACTCAAACATTTTAGCTGACTCCATACTTTTACCTATACTGTTACTCTTTAAGTGGGTTATACTTGTAGGCTTCATACTGAGTAGTCGAAAATCACAACTTAATGTCATATTATTATGAGTTTTTACATAATAATACCATCTGTTCTAAAATATCTCATTGTTTTTACTCAAAATCCTCACCTACATTCACACATTCAGTTCACACATATTTAAGAACAGGCTTGTAATTTAATGAATGAACAAAACTCCTACACTTCCCCTATAGATACATGCAGGGCCAAAAGTCCTACTTGACTTTAAAGATCCAAACACCGACATCACATATTTATAGCGTGGCCTTTCCCAGCATGCATGGGACAGAAAAGAATAGGAAGCCTCAAAAACCGGATTCCGTGGTTAAATATGTGGAGAAATGCTAGGTTAAAATTAAATGTAAATTGTTTTTTGTTTGTTTGAGACAGGGTCTTACCCTGTTGCCCAAGCTAAATGCAGTGGCACGATCACTGCTCACTGTAGCCTCAAACTCCCAGGCTCAAGCAATCCTCCTGAATAGCTGGAACTATAGGTGCACAACACCATGCCGAGCTAATGTTTCTGTAATTTTTGTAGAGACGGTGGCTCACTATGTTGCCCAGACTGGTCTCAAACTCCTGGGCTCAAGTGATCCTCCTGCTTTGACCTCCCAAAGTGCTGAGATTACAGGCATGAGCCTTTGCATCTAACCTAAACTTTTTTTACTCACAATTTTTAGAAACTTTAATATGCTTAATGTGTAATGGAGCTATTTTATGTCCACATTTTCAAACTTATCTGACCATAAATATACTTTATGAAATGTTTCATTCAAAATAGTTTACGAAAATACTGTTCTGTTAACTAAAAAGAAAAAGAAGAAAAAAACCAATCATATTAGTAGTAGTCTGGGAGAGAAGGAACAAGATATAAAAGAAAGATAAAGGGAACAATAAAGAGAATTAATGATTCTATAACTACAATCTTGGGAGAAAAAAGGTTAGTCTCAATGTATTTGTCCAGCTGAGGCAAAGAAACGAAGACAAACGGGATGGAGAAGTAGAGCTGGAGCAGAGTACTGCTATGTTCTGAGGCAATTTGATGAGTTACCACAGATTGAGAAAAAGATGTTACAGAACCAAGTGTCTTGGAGAAAGGAGGAGGAATATGCATGACAATGTCTCCTGTAAGATTTTGAATTACGTACCTTAAAAAAATTAAGGCTTCCATTATCTAAAGCAGGGGTTCTGCAAACTAGGACCCTTGAGCCAAAGCTGAATCTAGGCCTATTTTTGTATGGCCTGTGAGCTAAGCATGAATTTTATATTTTTAAATTGTTAAAATAGTAATATTTAAAGAATAATATTTAAATATATGTCAAAAAAACATAAAATTCAAATTCCTATGTCCATAAAGTATGATTGGAACACAACTATACTCATTCATTTATATATTGTCTATGGATGCTTTTGTACTGTGTTGGCATACTCGGATAGCTGTGACATAGATCTTATGGTTACCAACTGGGATTTCAAAAAAGTTTTCTAATATCTAATTAAAGTTTAAAGTTACTGTGTTCCTCCAGAGATAAAACTACAACACCAAAAAGAACTAATAAATTATATTGAATACTTCAAAGAACAAATCTAGGAGACTTATTCAGTTTATTTATAAACAATTTTGAGATATCTATTAGATAGACAGATAGCTGTTTTAGAATAAAAGGCAAAACCCTCTTAGGAAACAAATACTAACAGTCTTTACTGAATTGCAAACTAGCAGCTATGGTAAAGAAATATTTTTCTACAGAGATGAATGATAATTTAATTTATATTAACTTACTCATAAATGAGTCAGCTAATAAAAACTACTGAGAAAAAGAGCATAGAGTCATTATGGAAACAAGCACTCTCAGTACTCAACTACAGTTAAAAAGAAAACACTCAATGAGTCAGCAGGAACTAAGCAAAGGCAAAGAGATTTCTTAATACCTTAAAGAAATCCTAATTAATTCATGAGATTGTAATTTTTAATGTCAAGTTAGAAGCTTGACAGACAGCTTCAAACAGACCAAAGTTCAGGACTATTCTAAACATGGGAGCACATCAGGTAAGAAAAAGTAACAGTTTTCCTAAATGTAGAAACAAATAATGAAGTTCAATTAGATTTAAAAGAAATCATACCTGTACTTTAATGAAATAAAGACATTCATTTCCAAGTAAGTATTTATATTTATTTACATTTAAATTATACTATAATGTATTAATTTACATTTAGTTTTAGGTATATGTTTCTGTGTATCACACATATATATGCATATATTTTTGTATATATTAAAAATATACCCGTTAAATTATTCAAAACTTATATAACAATGTCTTCTTTTATATAAAAGGCATAATTGGCTGTGGATGCACACTGCAATTTTTTTCTATAAAATATACCTGAGGAAAAACTATCTATACATATTCATTCCACCAGTGGTGGCAGGTGCCAGAATTGTAACACAATGCCCAAGAAAGAGCAAACAGTATTTACAGGGACAGCTTTGTGTTTCAAAATCTACTAAATAATGCCAACCAGTAGAGACAGATTCAGACTTTTGTTTTACCTTGATTTTTCTTACTGATAGTGACCCACTCCAGAGAAACATAGAAACCACTTCCTTTCATATCCAATTCCTCTTTCTCTATTCGAAGAAGTAGGGTAGCTATAGAATGTTCTTCAGCATTTAGCAGTGAGATACTGTGAATTATAATAAAAGGATCCCCAAGTTCTTCATTAAACATAATCTACAAAACAAAATTACACACACAAAAAAGTGTACATAATTACATGAACACAGATAGCATAGAGGGAATATATAGGATTCTGGTGATTCAACAGTTATTTTGGATACTATTTATTACAAGAAATTTGAAAATAAAAAGGCCTTTACATAAAGACTGCAAGTTTAGATAATGTTCCCTGAGGACAGAACTTTTAAGAAAATATTTATTTGTATAAGAAAAAAACTGATCATTAGTCTTGGCTACCTTGCTTCCTCTCAGTTTCTAGATATTGTATATGAGTGTGCATGTGTGTATGCCTTTTTCCTGTTTTTTGTTTGTTATTTATTCTCTGGAAGTTTACAAAGGCAAGAGTCAAAAACATTGAAGAATAAATCACCAAAACATGTTTTTTCTCAAAAACAAAAGAGCCTATTAGCATTTAAGAATAAGTTAACAAACTCTATTTAAAATAATCCTAAAGTGTTTTTTGAAAAGCAAAAAAGCATCATATAAAAACACACAAAATCTTGTCTAAGCATCATACAGAAACACACAAAATCTTATCAAATTCTTTCTTATACCACAAACACAAGATCTCAACAACTATTACATTTTTAAGACTAAATACAAAATAGAGAAGGTTTTAAGGCTGCTTCCTAAACAAGATTTCCAAATAAGATATGGACAGTTGAGAAAAAGCCTAACTGAAAAAAAGGTAGCTTTAAAAAACAAAAACAAAAAACAAAAAACAAAACCTGTACCTGGTATCCCCACATATCTACTTCTACTTGAAAACCTTACAAAGAAAAATGTGCTTTAATGTCATCAAGTTCCCTATGTATTTGAACATCTGCCAAAATCATTCAAGTAATGGGCCTTCAGAATCCATTCTTAAGATTTCCATAAACAGAAAAAACAAAAGCTTAAAAAAAATCCTTAAATATTCAAAACAGAGATGACAGATGAAGGCAGGTTTTTATTGGTTGATTGGGTTTTGCTTTTGTTTGAGGAATAGGGGAAACAAAACGGAAGAACAGAAAATGACAAGTTTTGGCAGGAACAAGTAGCTAGTTTATTGTTTCTTTTTTTCTTTCTAGTATGAGTGAAAGGAACTGTAATGAAACCAGAAGAGTAGATGGCGTACTTTTAAAAATTGTTAGGCTGAAGTTTCTAGTTTTCTGAACAAGCCCAGCATCTAAACTGTGATACCGTTGATACATGGCACTTCCATGGTATTAGAGGCAACACATTTGGAAAGCAAGCTGTCTCCTTTAATTTCTCTTTTTAAACTTCAGTAATCACCACCACCACCCTTGGCCCCCTTACCCCCCACCATGCTCCGTAATCACTTCTACTTTTAGCTTCTCTGTTATATTAATTACCCTAAAGTCCTAAAACCCTCCTGAATTGTTTCTTAAAGTGACCAATATTCCACAGTATCCCTCCCACCTCAATTAATCCCCAAGTCTCCTCCCTCTCCCACCAGTATCTAGTCAAAACTATTATTAGCTGAAAACATCTCTGAAGGGAGCTTATTTCATTAGGGCAGTATATGCTAAAGAAGGCACAAGGTAGAATTAAGTTTTTAAATTTATTTAAAAGATACTATTGAAGTCTTAATACACGCCAAGGGGATACACAAAACAAAACCAAAAGAAGTATAAGCCCATATGAAATAATGTGTGGTATTATTTTTAAGATGAAAGTGAGCCAAGTAGGTTTGTCCTGTTCAAAATCTACAGAATCCATACAGCTCAATACCAGATAAATTCCCACTCATATCTCTCCTGCGCATTATTCTCAAAATACCTTCCAACTGTTTCAGGTAGCTGTGCTACATACCACATTACTTCTGTTTTTCAGAAAAATGAAAGTTGTTACTAAAGGCCAAAACAGAAATTGCCACAGTATCCAATGAATATCTGAAACTGTGAATGCAACAGGCTCTTGTAAATAGGCTACTGCTGTTCTGGTTATTTACTGTGTATTTTGAACATACTATAATTTGGTAGTATAACATTTAGTATAACTTAGTAAGGTAGGTAAACCATTTGGTTCTAAGACCTAACTGGTTTTTCTCAAGTAATTAAAGCCTGGTCTCTGTAGGCATCTGTTGGTCAGATGAAATTATTTTATAAGACATAAATATATTAAGCTCGCATCTCTTTATTTACCCAGAACTAAAGGCTACCTACAGAGATTCAGACAGTAGCAATATTACAATACACTTATTAGCATAACTCAAAGGAGCTGAAGCAGTAAACTAAATCTTTTGATTATCTACTTGGCATCATTTTCTTCTGTTTTCAAAAACTGTAGTTCTAGAGAAATTAATTCCTTATTTATTACTATTAAAACCCTAAACTACCCTTTAGATTTATATCTAATTTTTAAAATTAAAGTAAAAATGTTGTCTTGGAAATTGGCATATAACTATATATTTATATCATGTATTTTTCTAAGTAGAGAATATTCTGGTAATCTGACTACTATTTGACCAATGTAAACATCCCAGCAAATCTAACATAATGGCAGAGGAGAAAATCATCCTAACATAAGCTTTTGGTCAACTCTTCTTCAAGAAGGAGGAGGCAACGCCAATGCTTAATGAAGTACTCTACGCATATAAGATGTCTGCTGAAAAATGAATGCAATTCTTGACAACTGCACTGACTCCAGATCAAAACAGGAGTGGTTAATGTAACAGTTTGTGAAAAATATATATGTTATAATTTAGTTAAAAAGAGATCCAAAACATTATATATCAAACAAACAACAGATCACATGTAAACCATCCTTGAAAAGTGTCATTTTAAAATAAGTAGGGTGTAATTTACATATACTTTCTGGACTTCGCATAAGTCTTAAACAAACCCTCACCTCCCATTTTTCAGAAGCGCTATTTCCACGTTCACCTGTTCCAATGACATACAATCTTCCAGTTCCATCTGACAAGGTAACCCAGGTAGAAGATGAGAAATGGATAGATGCACAAAGACGGTTGTCACATGCTGTCAAATCTGTAGGAAGTCGAAACACCTCTCGTGGTTTTCCTAAGGCAGTGTCCTAAAAAGACCAAACATTATACATTAATCTCTTCCTCTTCACTGATCCACACACACAAAATAAATATCTGCGGTGTGGTGGTTTCTCTCCTTTTTAAGAGTTGGAGTCTAATTCCTCTTCCTTTGATGTGAGCTGTCCTACTGATTCAGTTTTAACAAAAATATACAGTAGATGTGACAGATGGCATATGACTTCTAGAACTAGGTCATAAAAGACTTTACATCTTCTACTTCACTCTCTCTCTTGGATCACACATTCTGAGGGTGGCTAGCTACCATGCTATGAATATGCTTAAGGTAGCCCCATGGACAGACCCACATGGGGAGGAAATGATGGCTCTTGCCAACAATCAGCATTCCATGAGTTAATCATTTCGAAAATGTATCCTTTAGTCCTAGTCAAGGCTTCAGATGACTGCAGCCCTGGCTATCGTTTTGGCTATAAACTCATGAAAAAATCATGAGCCAGACCACCCACCTGAACTACTCCCTGATTTCTGACCACAGAAACTGTGTGATATGGTAAGTGGTTATTGTTTCAAGTCACTAAGTTTTGAAGTTGTCGTATGACAGAAAACTAATACAATGCAGTAATCTAGTTTTCATTCTCTTAATTTTAGAGTTAAAGATCAGTATTTTTAACTCACTAGTTAGAAATACCACATCATGTTCAAAATGCCTACAGAGACACCAGTCTGCGGTATGAAAACACTACATTTAGCCTACTATGAATCTAGGTTTTTGTTAACAAATTTTAATTGGTCTATGTACTTATAATGTAAAGTTATGAGTTGCTGCTAGGGTTTGAATGTGGTATCCTCCCCAAAAGCTGAGTTAAAACCTAATCACCAAAGTGATGTTACTAGAAGTTAGGGCTTCTGATCATTAGGGCTCCACACTGGTGATTGGGATTAAGTAACCTTGGAGAAGGGACTGAAAGAGGGAGTTTGTCTCTTTTTCCCCCTCCGCCTTCTGTCATGTGAGGACGTATTATGCCTCCTTTCTGGAGGATGCAATGTTCAAGGCATCATCTTAGAAGCAGAGACTGAACCCTTACCAGACACCAAACCTGCCAGTACCTGGATCTTGGAATTCTCAGCTCCAGAACTCAGAGAAATAAATTTCTGTTCTTTATAAATTACCAATTCTCAGGTATTTTGTTACAGCAGCACAAATGGACTACAACAGTTACATCATTAAAATGTTTTACAAGAGAATATATTTTTAAAGGTCTATAATTTAGAAGATAAACTTCCTCTCATATACCAAACTGCATTCAAATTCAACCATTTGTTTTTCTTGCTAAACTTTACAAGTTTTTCTATAGGAGAAAAGTAATCCTTTATATCCATATTTCATTACTTTCTCCTAGAACTTAGATCTATATATGCTATAATATTTAAGTAAACTGTATACAATGTCCTTACTGGCCACAAAATTTTTGGTGACCCATTTTTTCTTTCTAAAGCACCTAATTTAGCTTTCTCCGAAACAGCACCTTTCCTTCCTTTCATATTTTACTGCTTTATATAATATTAAATTAAATAATAAATACTCAATGGCAAGCAGAGCTCACATTAAGTTTGTAGAATGATCAAATCTGAGTATCAGTGATCTAAAACCACAAGCAAGAAACAGAATCATACCAGCATAGTATTAAGTAGCCTATTAGTAGTAAACATCAAGCTTACTGTGGTCTTCCATCAGTATGTTTTACAGAGAGAACAGAGACTATCAATTAACCCATTTGGTCTGTTAAGTGGAGGTCAATTAAGATAAATTTTACTGTAGGTCACATCATTTAGAGCATGATGTGGTATTTCCAGTTAGTGAAATAAAAAGAAAACAGACTAGTCCACAAATGCTACTGGGACACCAGAGAACTTCTGGGAAAAAATTAAACTTATTCTCTCCCTCATATCGTAAACAAAAATATTCCATATTCCAGTAGATCAAGTGTCTAAGTGTGTTAAAGGAAAAGGAAAATAATACTGTTCTTATAATCTCAGGATAGAAAAAGTCTTTCTACATGTAAATAAAAGGCATGTAAGAGAAAGGGAGACAAGTATTTGTCATAAATATAACCCAGGGCTAATATGTATAACATAAAAAAAGCCCTTAAAACTTAACAAGAAACATGATTATTTAAAATGTTTAGGGGGATGGGCAGATCATGACAGACGGGAGGCAGGACTAAATTGCAGCTCCAACTCTGATGGACAGAGCAGCCTGTGGAGCCTCGCATCATGATTTTTTGCTCCAGAATGACTGCAGGAATAAATCAGGAAAGCCGAGAGAACCCGCAGACCCTCTGAAGGAAGTGGATTGCTCCTACAGGACCCGGGAGACACCCCAAATACTGTGAGTACCCAAACTGTGGAAGTAGGAAAGAGAGACCCCTCAAACACACACCCCCACTTGGAACCTGAAGGTCTAGGTTATGGGAGAAGATTCTGACCTTACCTGGAACTGAGTCACTTGAGAGAGCTGAGCAAAACACAGGGGTAGAGGAAGCAGCAGGGAAAGCCCTGTCAGCTCGCTGGGTTCCCTAACAAACCATTTCTGCCTGTCCTCACAGGGGTCCTTCGGGAGGGCAGCCAGAGGCACCGGGCAAAGGCCACAGGGAAAAGGAAATCGCCAGCTGAACTTTGTAACACTTTGAACTGATGGAGAAGTCTCCTTCCCAGAACTCAGGGAAGGGTGTGAATCTGGTGGGCAGACTCCACAGGCAGGCAAAGAAGGAAAGCCATATTTGCTTTTGCAGCTGGGAGACAGGTAGCCTGGGGCAAGTTCTCAGCCCTGCTTGCCCACTACCTGGAAACAGACTTGGTGCTGTTGGCAAAGGCATGTTGGGAGTGAGACAGGCCCCTCGGATTGCATGGGAATTGGGTGAGGCCTGTAACTGCTGGTTCTCCCCCACTTCCCTGAACAATCTGCAAGACTCAGCAGAGGCAGCCATAATCCTCCTAGGAACATAACTCCATTGACCTGGAAACCTCACCCCCATCCCCCACAGCAGCTGTGGCAAGAAATGCCCAAGGAGAGCCTGAGCTCAGACACGCCTAGCCCTGCCCCCACCCAATGGTCCTTCCCTACCCACCTTGGGAACTCTAGACAAAAGGCATATACTCTTGGGAGTTCTACAGCCCCATCCACTGTGTGTTCCTCCCCATACTACCACAGCTGATGCTCTCTGGAAAGCACCACCTCCTAATAGAGAGCAAACCAGCACAAAAATAGCGCATTAAATCACCAAAGCTAAGAATCCTCACAGAGTCCATTTCACCCCGCTGACACCTCCACAAGGACAGGTGCTGGTATCCATGGCTGAGAGACCCACAAATGGTACACAACACAGGACTCTGTGCAGACAACCCCAGTACCAGCCTGGAGCCTGGTAGACTTGCTGGGTGGCTAGATCCAAAACAGAGATAACAATCACTACAGCTCGGCTCTCAGGAGGACACATCCATAGGAAAAGGGGGAGACTACTACGTCAAGGGAACACCATGGGACAAAAGAATCTGAACAACAGCCTTGAGCCCTAGACTTTCCCTCTGATAGAGCCTACCCAAATAAGAAGGAATCAGAAAATCAAGTCTGGTAATATGACAAAACAAGGTTCTTTAACACCCTCCGAAAATCACAATAGTTCACCAGCATTGAATCCAAACCCAGAAGAAATTCCTGATTTACCTGAAAAAGAATTCAGGAGGTCAGTTATTAAGCTAATCAGGGAGGCATCAGAGAAAGGCAAAGCCCAACGTAAGGAAACAAAAAAAAATGATACAAGAAGTGAAAGGGGAAATATTCAATGAAATAGCATAAATAAAAAACAATCAAAACTTTAGGAAACAATGGACACACTTACAGAAATCCAAAATGCTCTGGAAAGTCTCAGCAATAGAATCAAACAAGTAGAAGAAAGAAATTCAGAGCTCGAAGACAAGGTCTTTGAATTAACCCCATCCAACAAAGACAATGGAAAAATAATAAGAAAATATGAACACTCCTCCAAGAAGTCTGGGATTATGTTAAATGACCAAACCTAAGAACAATCGGCATTCCTGTGGAAGAAGAGAAATCTGAAAGTTTGGAAAACATATTTGGGGGAATAATCGAGGTAAACTTCCCCAGCCTTGCTAGATACCTAGACATCCAAATACAAGAAGCACAAAGAACATCTGGGAAATTCACTGCAAAAAAATCATCGCCTAGGCACATTGTCATCAAGCTATCTAAAGTTAAGGTGAAGGAAAGAATCTTAAGAGCTGTGAGACAAAAGAACCAAGTAACCTATAAAGAAAAACCTGTCAGATTAACAGCAGATTTGTCAGCTGAAGCCCTACAAGCTAGAAGGGATTGGGGCCCTATCTTCAGTCTTCTCAAACAAAACAATTATCAAGCAAGAATTTTGTATCCAGTGAAACAAAGCTTCATATATGAAGGAAAGACACAGTCTTCTTCAGACAAACAAATGCCAAGAGAATTCACCACTACCAAGCCACTGTCAGGTCTCTGAGCCCAAGCTAAGCCATCATATCCCCTGTGACCTGCACGTATGCATCCAGATGGCCTGAAACAACTGAAGATCCACAAAAGAAGTGAGAATAGTCTTAACTGATGACATTCCACCACTGTGATTTGTTCCTGCCCCACCCTAACTGATAGGATATATTCTCCCCGATCCTTAAGAAGGTACTTTGTAATATTCTCCCCCCGCCCTTAAGAAGGTACTTTGTAATATTCTCTCCGCCCTTAAGAATGTACTTTGTACACCTATCCCAAACCTTAAGAACTAATGATAATCCCACCACCCCTTGCTGACTCCTTTTTCGGACTCAGCTCGCCTGCACCCAGGTGAAATAAACAGCCTTGTTGTTCACACAAAGCCTGTTTGGTGGTCTCTTTACACAGATGCGCCAGACATTTGGTGCCGAAGACCCGGGACAGGAGGACTCCTTTGGGAGACCAGTCCTCTGTCCTCTCCCTCACTCCGTGAGGAGATCCACCTACGACCTCGGGTCCTCAGACCAACCAGCCCAAGGAACATCTCACCAATTTCAAATGGGGTAAGCGGCCTTTCTACTCTCTTCTCCAGCCTCTCTTGCTACCCTTCAATCTCCCTCTCTTACTACCCTTCAATCTCCCTGTCCTTCCAATTCCAGCTCTTTGTCCTCTCTAATAGAGACAAAAGAGACACATTTTATCCATGGACCCAAAACTCCAGCACCAGTCATGGACTCGGGAAGACAGTCTTCCCTTGGTGTTTAATCACTGCAGGGACACCTGCCTGATTATTCACCCACACTCCATTGGTGTCTGATCACTGCGGGGATGCCTGCCTTGGTCATTCACCAACATTCCTTTGGTGGCAAGTCAAGTGCGGGGATGCCTGCTTTGGCTGCTTGCCCACATTGCAGCCCAGGGCTGCTCACTACCTCCCTTCTCCCTGTCTCTACCCTCTCTTTTCTCTGGGCTTGCCTCCTTCACTATGGGCAACCTTCCACCCTCCATTCCTCCTTTTTCTCCCTTAGCCTGTGTTCTTAAAAACTTAAAATCTCTTCAACTCACACCTGACCTGAAACCTAAGCATCTTATTTTCTTCTGCAACATCGCCTGGCCCCAATACAAACTAAACAATGATTCTAAATAGCCAGAAAACAGCACTTTTGATTCCTCCATCATACAAGATCTAGATAATTCTTCTCATAAAATGGGCAAATGGTCTGTGGTGCCTGATGTCCAGGCATTCTTTTACACATCGGTCCCTTCCTAATCTCTGCTCCCAATGAGACTCATCCCAAATCTTTCTTCTTTCTCTGCTGTCTGTTCCTTCAGTCTCCACCCCAAGCTCTGAGTCCTGGGAATCCTCCTTTTCTACAGACCCATCTGACCTCTCCCCTCCTCCCCAGGCTGTGCCTCGCCAGGCCAAGCCAGGTCCCAACTCTTCTTCAGCCTCCACTCCCCCACCCTATAACCCTCCTATTACCTCCCCTCCTTACACCAGGTCTGGCTTAGTTTCGTTCTGTGACTAGCCCTCCCCCACCTGCCCAACGATTTCCTCTTAGAGGTGGCTGGAGATGAAGGCATAGCCAAGGTTAATGCTCCTCTTTCTTTATAAGACATCTCCCAAATCAGTTAGCATTTAGGCTCTTTTTCATCAAATATGAAACCCAGCCCAGTCCATGGCCCGTTTGGCAACAACCCTCAGACGCTTTACCGCCCTAGACCCAGAGGGGCCAGAAGGCTGTCTTATTCTCAATATGCATTTTATTACCCAACCCACTCCCTACATTAAAAAGTTCCAAAAATTAGATTCTGGCCCTCAACCCCACAACAGGACTTAAATGACCTCGCTTTCAAGATGTACAATAATAAAGAAGAGTTGCAATTACTCGCCTCCACTGTGAGAGAAACCCCAGCCACATTTCCAGCACACCAAAACTTCAAAAAGCCTAAACTGCAGGGGCCAGGTGTTCCTCCAGGACCGCCTCCCCAAGGATCTTGCTTCAAGTGCTGGAAATCTAGCCACTGGGCCAAGGAAAGCCCGCAGCCTGGGATTCCTCCTAAGCTGTCTCCCATCTGTGTGGGACCCCACTGGAAATCGGACTGTCCTACTCGCCCAGCAGCCACTCCCAGAGCCCCTGGAACTCTGGCCCAAGGCTCTCTGACTGACTCCTTCCCAGATCTTCTCAGCTTAGTGGCTGAAGACTAACACTGCCCGATCGCCTTGGAAGCCTACAGGACCATCACAGACACTTTGGGTAACTCTTACACTGGAGGGTAAGTCTGTCCCCTTCTTCATCAATATGGAGGCCACCCACTCCACATTACCTTCTTTTCAAGGTCCTGTTTCCCTTGCCTCCATAACTGTTGTGAGTATTGACGGCCAGGCTTCTAAACCTCTTAAAACTCCCCAACTCTCATGCCAATTTGGACAACATTATTTTATGCACTCCTTGTTAGTTATCCTCACCTGCCCCGCTCCCTTATTAGGTTGAGACATTTTAACTAAATTATCTGCTTCCCTGACTATTCCTAGGCTACAGCCACCCCTCATTGCCACCTTTTTCCCCAGTTAAAAGCCTCCTTCACATCCTCCCCTTGTATCTCCCCACCTTAATCCACAAGTATAGGACACCTCTACTCCCTCCTTGGCAACCGATCACGCAACCCTTACCATCCCATTAAAACCTAATCACCCTTACCTCGCTCAATGCCAATATCCCATCCTACAGCACACTTTAAAATGATTAAAGCCTGTTATCACTCGCCTGCTACAGCATGGCCTTTTAAAGTCTATAAACTCTCCTTACGATTCCCCCATTTCACCTGTCCAAAAACTGGACAAGTCTTACAGGTTAGTTCAGGATCTGCGCCTTATCAACCACCCCATGGTGCCAAAACCATATACTCTCCTATCCTCAATACCTCCCCTCCACAACCCATTATTCTGTTCTAGATAAACCTAGCTGACCCCATAAATCCTAAATCCTTTCCCCACTCCCCTTTCCAATCCTTAAAAAACAGCCCTAAAAGCTGCTCCCACACTAGCTCTCCCTAACTCATCCCAACCTTTTTCATTACACACAGCTGAAGTGCAGGGGTGTGTGACTGGAACTCTTACACAAGAGCCGGGACCGTGCTGTGTAGCCTTTCTGTCCAAACAACTTGACCTTACTGTTTTAGGCTAGCCCCCACATTATTCCTGATACCACACCTGACCTCCATGACTGTATCTCTCTGATCCACCTGGCATTCACTCTATTTCCCCATATTTCCTTCTTTCCTGTCCCTCACTCTGATCACACTTGGTTTATTGATGGCAGTTCCACTAGGCCTAATCACCACTTACCAGCAAAAGCAGGCTATGCTATAGTATCTTCCACGTCTATCCTTGAGGCTACTGCTCTGCCACCCTCCACTACCTCTCAGCAAGCTGAACTCATTGCCTTAACTCGGGCCCTCACTCTTGCAAAGGCACTACGCGTCAATATTTAAAGACTCGAAATATGCCTTCCATATCCTGCACCACCATGCTGTTATATGGGCTGAAAGAGGGTTCCTCTCTACGTAAGGGTCCTCCATCATTAATTCCTCTTTAATAAAAACTCTTCTCAAGGCCGCTTTACTTCCAAAGGAAGCTGGAGTCATTCACTGCAAGGGCCATCAAAAGGCATCAGATCCCATCGCTCAGGGTAACGCTTATGCTGATAATGTAGCTAAAGAAGCAGCCAGCTTCCAACTTCTGTCCCTCAGGGCCAGTTTTTCTCCTCCTCGTTGGTCACTCCCACCAACTCCCCCACTGAAACTTCCACCTATCAATCCCTTCCCACACAAGACAAATGGTTCTTGGACCAAGGAAAATATCTCCTTCCAGCCTCACAGGCCCATTCTATTCTGTCGTCATTTCATAACCTCTTCCATGTAGGTTACAAGCCACTAGCCCATCTCTTAGAATCTCTCATTTCCTTTCCATCGTGGAAATCTATCCTCAAGGAAATCCCTTCTCAGTGTTCCATCTGCTATTCTAGTACTCCTCAGGGATTGTTCAGGCCCCCTCCCTTCCCTACACATCAAGCTTGGGAATTTGTCTCTGCCCCGGACTGGCAAATTGACTTTACCCACATGCCCCGAGTCAGGAAACTAAAATACCTCTTGGTCTGGGTAGACACTTTCACTGGATGGGTAGAAGCCTTTCCCACAGGGTCTGAGAAGGCCACTGTGGTCATTTCTTCCCTTCTGTAAGACATAATTCCTCAGTTTGGCCTTCCCACCTCTATACTAGCCTTTATTATTCAAACCACCCAAGCAGTTTCTCAGTCTCTTGGTATTCAGTGGAAACTTCATACCCCTTACTGTCCTCAATCTTCAGGAAAAGTAGAACGGACTAATGGTCTTTTAAAGACACACCTCACCAAGCTCAGCCTCCAAGTTAAAAAGGACTGGACAGTACTTTTACCTCTTGCCCTTCTCAAAATTAGAGCCTGTCCTCGAGATACTACAGGGTACAATCCATTTGAACTTTTATATGGATGCAGTTTCTTGCTCGGCCCCAACCTCATCCCAAGCACTAGCCCTCTAAGCAACTATCTTCCTGTCCTCCAGCAGGACAGACAGGAAATTCACCAGGCTGCTAATCTTATTAAGAATCTGACCCCTCAAATTCTACAACCTTGGTGGACTGGACCCCACTTAGTCATCTATAGTACCCCAACGGCTGTTCGTCTGCAGGACCCCCGCATTAGGTTCATAGATCCAGAGTAAAGCTGTGCCCGTCAGCCAGCCAGCCTGATTTCTCCTCTTCCTCCTGGAAGTCGCAAGTACTCCCCCCTACTTCCCTTAAACTCACTCGCATTTCTGAAGAACAGTAATAACCCTTATAAGCCCAATACATCCCTTCATTCTATTAGGTCTATTTGTCCTTACCCTGCTTTTTGCAACAGGGCTTTATGCAGTCACTCTCACTACTTGGACTGCACCCCGAAAACTTGTCATCCCTACTATTTCCTGTCTAGTCTTACTCCTACTCACCACTCTCAACTACTCATAAATGCCCTGCCCTTGTTTACATTGCCAGTTTACACTTTTCTTCCAAACTATCGTAGTGGATATCCTCTGGTACTAGCCCCAATCCACCACTCTTGACTCCCTCTTGGAGTGGATAGATGCTCTTTGCTGACAGGTTACACTCCAATACTTTCACCCTGATGAAGTCCTATTCTTTACTTTTATACTCACTCTTATTCTTGTTCCTGTTCTTATGCCACCCTCTACCTCTCCCCAGCTATCTCTGCCACACTATCAATCTCACTCACTCTCTCCTAGCCGTTTCTAATCCTTCTTTAAGAAACAATTGTTCACTTTGCATTTCTCTTTCCTCCAAAATCGCCAAGGCCTCTATTTACTCACTGCTAAAAAAAAAGTGGGAATCTGTATATTTTTAAAAGAAGAGTGTTGTTTTTACCTAAATCAATCTTGCGTGGTATATGACAACATAAAAAAAAAACTCAAGGATAGAGTCCAAAAACTCGCCAACCAAGCAAATAATTATGTTGAACCCCCCCCACCCCCGGACCCCACTGGACACTCTAATTGGATGTCCTGGGTCCTCCCAATTCTTAGTCCTTTAATACGTGTTTTCCTCTTTCTTTTATTCAGAGCTTGTGTCTTTCATTTAGTTTCTCAATTCCTACAAAACCACATTCAGGCCATCACCAATCATTCTATACGACAAATGCTCCTTCTAACAACCCCACAATATCACCCCTTACCCCAACAAAATCTTTCCTCAGTTTAATCTCTCCCACTCTATGTTCCCATGCTGCCCCTAATCCCTCTCGAAGCAGCCCTGAGAAACATCGCCCATTATCTCTCCATACCACCCCCCAAAAATTTTCACCACCCCAACGCTTCACCACTATTTTGTTTTGTTTTTCTTATTAATATAAGAAGACAGGAATGTCAGGGCTCTGAGCCCAAGTTAAGCCATCATATCCCCTGTGACCTGCATGTATACATCCAGATGGCCTGAAACAACTGAAGATCCACAAAAGAAGTGAAAATAGCCTTAACTGATGACATTCCACCAATGTGATTTGTTCCTGCCCTACCCTAACTGATAGGATATATTCTCCCCTGCCCTTAAGATGGCACTTTGTAATATTCTTCCCATCCCCGCCCTTAAGAAGGTACTTTGTAATATTCTCTATGCCCTTAAGAATGTACTTTGTATGCCTATCCCAAACCTGTAAGAACTAATGATAATCCCACCACCCTTTGCTGACTCCTTTTTTGGACTCAGTCCGCCTGCACCCAGGTGAAATAAACAGCCTTGTGGCTCACACAAAGCCTGTTTGGTGGTCTCTTTACACGGACGTGTGTGACAGCCACCACTACAGAACTGCTAAAAGGAGCTCTACATCTTGAAACAAATTCTAGAAACACATCAAAACAGAACCTGTTTAAAGCATAAATCACACAGGACCTATGAAACAAAAATACAATTAAAAAAACATATATACGGGCAACAAAGAGCATGATGACTAGAATGGTACCTTACATCTCAATACTAACATTGAATGTAAATGGTCTAAATGCTCCACTTAAAAGATACAGAATTGCAGAATGGATAAGAATTCATCAACCCATTTGCTGCCTTCAAGAGACTCACGATTCACATAAACTTAAGGTAAAAGGGTAGAAAGAGACATTTCATGCAAATGGCACCAAAAACGAGCAGAAGTAGCTATTCTTATATCAGATAAAACAAACTTTAAAGCAACAGCAGTTAAAAAAGGCAAAGAGGGACATTATACAATGATAAAAGGCCTTGTCCAATAGGAAAATACCACAATCCTAAACATATATGCACCTAACACTGGAGCTCCAAAATTTATAAAACAATTACTAATAGATCTATGAAATGAGATAGACAGCAACACAATAATAGTGGGGGACTTCAATGCTCCACTAACAGCCCTACACAGGTCATCAAGACAGAAGGTCTACAAAGAAACAATGGATTTAAACTATACCCTGGAACAAATGGACTTAACAGATATATACAGAACATTTAATCCAACAACCACAGAATATACATTCTATTCAAAACCACGTAAATACATGGAAATTAATTAACTGCTCCTGAATGATCATTGGGTCAAAAAATGAAATCAAGATGGAAATTAAAAAATTCTTCGAACTGCAGACAATAGTGACACAACCTATCAAAACCTCTGGGACACAGCAAAGGCAGTACTAAGTGGAAAGTTCATAGCCCTAAACACCTACATCGGAAAGTCTGAAAGAGCACAAACAGACAATCTAAGGTCACACCTCAAGGAACTAGAAAAACAAGAACAAACCAAACCCAAAACCAGCAGAAGAAAGAAAATAACCAAGATCAGAACAGAACTAAATGAAATTGAAACAAACAAAAAAATACAAAAGATAAAGGAAACAAAAAGTTGGTTCCTTGAAAAGACAAATAAAATGCATAGACCATTAGCAAGATTAATCAAGAAATGAAGAGAGAAAATCCAAATAAGCTCAGTAAGAAACAAAATGGGAGACATTACAATTTAAAAATTACCAATAAAAAAAAAGTCCAGGACCAGACTGGGTGCGGTGGCTCACGCCTGTAATCCCAGCACTTTGGGATGCCAAGGTGGGTGAATCACGAGGTCAGGAGATCGAGACCATCCTGGCTAACACAATGAAACCCAGTCTCTACTAAAAATATAAAAAAATTAGCCAGGCATGGTGGCAGGCAAATGTAGTCCTAGCTACTCGGGAGACTGAGGCAGGAGAATGGCATGAACCCAGGAGGCAGAGCTTGCAGTGAGCCGAGATCGTGCCACTGCACTCCAGCCTGGGTGACAGAGCAAGAGTCCATCTCAAAAAAAAAAAAAAAAAGTCCGGGACCAGACAGATTCACAGCAGAATTCTACCAGATGTTCAAAGAAGAATTGGTACCAATCCTATTGACACTATTCCACAAGACAGAGAAAGAGGGAAGCCTCCCTAAATCATTCTATGAAGCCAGTATCACCCTATTACCACAACCAGGAAAGGACATAACCAAAAAAGAAAACTACAGAGAGATATCCTTGATGAACCTAGATGCTATAATCCTTAACAAAATACTAGCTAACTGAATCCAACAACATATCAAAAAGATAATCCACCATGATCAAGTGGGTTTCATACCACAGATGCAGGGATGGTTTAATATACACAAGTCAATAAATGTGATACACCACATAAACAGAATTAAAAACAAAAATCACATGATCATCTCAATAGATGCAGATAAAGCATTCAACAAAATCCAGCATCCCTCTATGATTAAAACTCTCAGCAAAATTGGCATACAACGGACATACCTCAATGTAATAAAAGCTATCTATGACAAACCCACAGCCAACATAATACTGAATGGGGCAAAGTTGAAAGCATTCCCTCTGAAAACTGGAACAAGACAAGCATGCCCACTCTTACTACTCCTCTTCAAATAGTACTGGAAGTCCCGGCCAGAGCAATCAAAGAGAAAGAAATAAAGGGCATCCAAATCAGTAAAGAGAAAGTCAAACCGTTGCTGTTTACTGATGATATAACTATTTACCTAGAAAACCCTAAAGACTCCTCCAGAAAGCTCCTAGAACTGATAAAAGAATTCAGCAGAAGTTTCCAGATACAAACTTAATATACATAAATCAGTAGCTCTTCTACATACCAACAGCCACCAAACTGAGAACCAGATCAAGAACTCAACCCCTTTTACAATAGCTGCCAAAAAAAAAACAAAACAAACAAACAAAAAAAACCACTTAGGAATATACCTAAACCAAGGAGGTGAAAGACCTATACAAGGAAAACTACACAACATTGCTGACAGAAATCACAGATTACACAAATGTAAACACATCCCACACTCATGGATGGGTAGAATCAATATTGTGAAAATGACCATACTGCCAAAAACAATCTACAAATTCAATGCAATACCCATCAAAATACCACCACCATTCTTCACAGAATTAGAAAAAAAAATTCACATGTAACCAAAAAACAGCCCGCATAACCAAAGCAAGACTAAGTTAAAAGAACAAATATGGAGGCATCACATTTCCTGATTTCAAACTATACTATAAGACCATAGTCACCAAAACAGCATGGTTACTGGTATAAAAATAGGCACACAGACCAATGGAAAAAAAAAGAGAATCCATAAACAAACCCAAATACTTACAGCCAACTAATCTTCGACAAAGCAAACAAAAACATAAAGTGGGGAAAGGATACCCTTTTCAACAAATGGTGCTGGGATAATTGGCCAGCCACATGTAGGAGAATGAAACAGGATCTTCATTTCTCACCTTATACAAAATTCAACTCAAGATGGATTAAGGACTTAAATCTAAGACCTGAAACTAAAAATTCTAGAAGATAACATTGGAAAAACCCTTCTAGACATTGGCTAAGGCCAGGATTTCATGACCAAGAACCCAAAAACAAATGAGATTAAAAACAAAGATAAACAGCTGGGACTTAATTAAACTAAAGAGTTTTTGCACAGCAAAAGGAACAGTCAGCAGAATAAAGAGACAACCTATAGAGTGGGAGAAAATCTTCACAATCTATACATCTGACAAAGGACTAATATCCAGAATCTACAACAGCAAGGAAAAAAAACAATCCCATCAAAAAGTGGGCTAAGGACGTGAATAGACAATTCTTTTTTTTTTTTTTTTTTTTTTTTGAGAAGGAGTCTTGTTCTGCTGCCAGGCTGGAGTGCAGTGGTGCGATCTCGGCTCACTGAAACCTCCGTCTCCCAGGTTCAAGTGATTCCCCTGCCTCAGCCTCCCGAGTAGCTGGGACTACAGGCGCACGCCACCACGCCCGGCTAATTTTTTGTGTTTTAGTAGAGATGGGGTTTCACCATGTTGGCCAGGACGGTCTCAATCTCCTGACCTTGTGATCCGCCTGCCTCAGCCTCCCAAAGTGCTGGGATTACAGGCATAAGCCACCACACCTGGCCATGAATAGACAATTCTTAAAAGAAGATGTACAAATGGCCAAAAAGCATATGAAAAACTCAACATCACTAATGATCAGGGAAATGCAAATCAAAACTACAATGCGATACCCCCAACTTAGTCCTGCCAGAATGGCCATAATCTAAACATCAAAAAATAGTAGATGTTGGCGTGGATGCTGTGAACAGGGAACACTTCTGTGCTGCTAGCAGGAATGTAAACTAGTACAACCACTACGGAAAACAGTATGAAGATTCCTTAAAGAACTAAAAGTAGAACCTCCATTTGATCCAGCAATCCCACTACTGGGTATCTACCCAGAGGAAAAGAAGTCATTATACAAAAAAGATACTTCCACACACGTTTATAGCAGCACAATTCACAACTGCAAAAAGTGGAACCAACCCAAATGCCCATCAATCAATGAGTGGATAAAGAAACTGTGGTGTATATATATATATGATGGGATACTGCTCAGCCATAAAAAGGAATGAATTAAAGGCATTCACAGTGACCTGGATGAGATTGGAGACTATTATTCTAAGTGAAGTAACTCAGGAATGGAAACCAAACATTGTATGTTCTCACTTGTAAGTGGGAGCTAAGCTATGAGGATGCAAAAGCATAAGAATGACACAATGGACTTTGAGGACTCGGGGGAAAGAGTGGGAAGCGGTGAGGGATAAAATTCAACTACAAATAGGACTACAAATAGGGTATAGTGTATACTGCTCGGGTGATGGCTTTACCAAAATCTCACAAATCACCGTTAAAGAACTTACTCCTGTAACCAAACACCATCTGTTGTTCCCCAATAACCTAGGGAAATAAAAAAATTAAAAATAAAAAATTAAAAAATGTTAAATGGGGAAAATATTTGAACGGGACAACTATAGTTTAAAAAAAGTCGGCTGGGCGCGGTGGCTCATGCCTATAATCTCAGCACTTTGTGGGGCCAAGGCAGGCGAATCACCTGAGGCAGGAGTTCAAGACCAGCCTGGCCAACATGGTGAAACCCTATCTCTACTAAAAATACAAAAATTAGACAGGTGTGGTGGCAGGCACCTGTAATCCCAGCTACTCAGGAGGCTGAGGCAGGAGAATTGCTTGAACACGGAGGCAGAGTTTGCAGTGAGCTGAAATCGCACCACTGCACTCCAGCCCGGGCAACAGAGCGAGACACTGTCAAAAAAAAAAAAAAAAAAAAAAGCCCCAAATCACTGGTATAAAATAATGGATTAATAGAATATGATTATCTCATTGGCCAGAGAAAACAATCTTACACTAGTAATGACAATTCTTGGCTAAAGTGCCATGTTGGTGGGAATAAAAATAACTATAGGCTTTTTGGAGATAATTTAAAGCTATGAGGTGCTGCTATGGTTTTATTAAGTTTTATGTTTTATATACTGTTTGACATGATTCCACTTACAGGAATTTATTCAATAAGAATACCTGCATATGTACACGAAGATCCACGTAACAAGTATGTTTATTTTAATAACGAAAAGGAAAAACTGTGCCAATAAAAACTAGGAAAAACAACCTAGTTGTTTATCAATAAAGTAGGTAAAGATGAAAGCAGACCCTGACATTACGGAGAAGGCCTAGCAGTATCAGCCAGGCCTTTGTTTTGTTACTAGCTAGCCTGGCACTAACAGGTGTTCTGTTGAACAGGAATAGTTTCACAAAACATACACATCAGATAAGGCCTCTGCATGACCGTGATGGAGCAGGACAAAAAAGCAGCACTTCACAGTAATATCTGAACACAGATAAAACATCAACACTGTCAAGGCTACAAATATGACCAGGCCAATATAAGCAGCTGCAGCTCCTTACTAATTATAGTGTGAGCCTCAGTCTAGTCTTCCCTCCTTCTAGGTAAGACTTATTAAGATACCCATTACATAAACAACCAATTTCCTGACAGTATTCAATCTAGAATAAAGCCTCACTTTCTTTAACCCTTCCTCCAAAATCACCCAACAGAAGCCAAACCTTCTAACAGCATCCTGTTCCTTTTACTGAACACTCTGTGGTTCCCATGGTATGTGTTCTCCCTTACTGCAAAAGTAACAAATCCAACTCATTCAACCACAGATGCGTGCCTGGTATCTTTGTCTGGAGAGCATTGGCAGGCAAATGGTTAACTATGGAGCATCCACCCTATAGAATACCAAATAATTGTTAAATATACTAAGGCGGATTAATAATACTGACATAAAATACTGATTTTTTAAAAAAAGATGCAGAATACATACAATATGAATCCATATATGCCAAAACAAATATCATGATACGACAGCACAAAGTATAGATAGACACATGCTGACCTGTTAAGAATGTTTACTATTAGGAAAATAAGACTGAAGTGTAGTGGTCGGGGAGATCAGGAGTATGAGAAAATTTTCCCCTTTTGCTTCAAATACATTACTATTTTAAGACTGAGCAACTTGTGTGTGATATACGTAATTTTAAAGGTATTAGTAAGATACAATGGGAGGCTTTCCTCAAAACAGTTATTTCAAAGTAAAGGTTTCTAGTTGTGTCTACTACATGGCCCCACACTGCATTTAATCTAATAAACCATTACTGGGAAGAACGTAGAGATAAACTTGTTAAATTACTATTCTTCATTTTATACACAATTATGAGCATTTTAAGCCATTTTCTTTAAAATACCTGGTTATACATGACGGAGGTTGCTAGAAGTCTAATTATCAATCAGATAAATGGGTACAATATCCAATAGAATGATTAAGATACTTGAGTATCTAAATGTGAAAACAAAATTAAATTAAAACACAAAAGGAAACACATAGTGGCTCTCTTACTTGCATTAATGACAGTTAAAGTGAAAGCAAACTAAATGTTTCTGATTGTTTAGATCTAATTTTCAAAGTACAGTTTAATTTTAAATGGACTATAAGCAATAAAATATCTTTTTCTCTAAATCCCAAAATATAGCATTTACTTATATCTGAATAACCTCTATTGACAATTTCACTACATGCCCTCATAACAACACTTTATATGCTAACTGACATCTATAATGTCCAGCTCTCACATAATCATTTTCTTTTTCCTCACAAAAAGAGTTAATGTAACTACGTTCAAGGGCTAACACTGAAAATCATTCTAAGGCAACATTACACAGCTGACTGCAGAAGGATTAAAATTTCATTGATGAACGGAATACTTACTGAATCAGTATAATGTATAAGAATTTTATTAAATAAGTGCTTTGACTTTTTGCCATGTCATGTATTTATCACCAAACTCTATGAAGTTAAAATTATTAACTACACTTAGAAGAGAGGTTCAAAAAGATTAAATAATTTGCCTGGAGCTCCACTGCTAGAAAATGACAGGGCCAAGACTCAAATCCTGATAAAACCCTACTCCAAAAGTTGGTTTTCTTTCCCCTACTCCACATTTGCTTGAGAAGAAACCACTTCTGAAGATTTTCTAAATAAATTAATACTTCAGATCTCAATACAATTTCTAGTATACCCATCCCCAACCCCCCAAATCAACCTTGAATGTAACTACTATATTCAGTTTTTCTTCAGGCCTCTACACAGTATTTTTAATGCAGATGCCTGGGTCAATATAGATGTAATATAAAAATTATAATGCCCATATATTATATATAAATGACACTGTAAATAAACAGTAAACAAGTAATACATAAACTATATATATTTATAAAAAACATCTTTAAACACATTTTGGGACCCTCTTAGTTGCAGCTATAAGTAGAGAATCTTTGAACTAACGAAGTAGTTTTCTAATAAATATAGATTTATAGAAAGGGCTACTCAAGTTTAAAAAAATAAGCAAGTGGGGATACCATTTACTAGTATTATTAGATACTATTTACTAGTATTATGAGACAATGATATTTAAAACTTTGCCGTTTTAAAAGGCAGTGATCTTTTTCTGGACAAAGTATTTTCATCATTAATAACCATTAACTTTATTTGGAAGAAAGAACATAAAAAGTTCCTTTTTCCTTTTCCCTTTTTTTTGTATTAAACGCACAGTTCTACGTATTTACCCCACTCTTTATTTTTTTCTTTCATCAGGCATTGCAGCTCAAAAAATGTTACTCCGAAATAATGCCACTTCAACATGAAGCAGCCTCAAGGTCTTTCTGGCCTCCCCTCCCTTCCTGTTTCTCCCAAGCACAGGATGAAGCTATTCTCTGAAGTTCCTTCATCTACCTATAAACTGGACCTGCCAAAGAGAAACACAATTGCTTTCCCTGAAATTTCATTAACCAGAGAAGATTAAAACTTCTATCACAGAGGAAGAGGCTGAAAATTAAACACCCCACCTACAGCCCAGATGAACTTAGTCACAAACCATTGTCTGCTCTCCATCCCATTCAATTTCCAAAGAAAAGTATTAACTAATCATTGTCTGAGCATCAGGCCCATTCATTCATTTCCCCCTAAAGATCATTTGCTATCCCGCATGTCCCCCATGTCCCCTACTGATCAAGCATAAGAAGGGTATGAATAAGGGTATATAAGCATCTGTACCCCACTGGGTTACTGGGTAGTCATTTTCCTGGATTCTGCCATGTACACATGTTAAAATATATTTATATGCCTTTTTCTCATGTTAATCTGCCGTTTGTCAACAGATTTTCAGCAAACCTTCTAAGAATAAAGGGGACACTTTGCCTTCGTCTCTACACAGGTAAGTAAGTGGTCCCCTAATAATTAACTCAACTGTGAAAACAAGCTGACATTCAGGCCTAGAGATGAACATACTGACATAAAACTGAGCTCCTCTAACAAATAGTTGTAACATGTCACTCCAAGATGCAACCTCACACATATATTCTTACAAATGAAATCCAGTAACTGCCCCTTAGACCTTTAAGTACAAATTAAAGAGGCACTATAAGATGACACTCTTTTAGTAACAGAAACAAATTAGCTTTTCAGGTAAATACAAAACAAATTATTACAGAAATAATTTCCTAAATATTAAGAAACGGAACACATTACTTTAAAATAAGCCATAATATATAAAATAAGGATGTATTAAAAAACCAAAGTTTAAACACATTTTTGCTTTCCCAAGGCATTTTCTACTTCCTTAGCACACTTCTTTCCGAGGGACATTTCCCTAAAATTAAGGACTGTAAACCTACAAGTTAAACTTTTTTGTAAGGAGAGTATTCTGTCTTTATAAACCAGTATGTAGACCTGCTGCCACCTGTTGGCTCCAGACAGTCTGAAGACCTAGCAACCTATGGCTTTCAAGTGTTGGGTCCCATAGCATTCACTTTTACTACAACAGTTCAGGTTTAACAAAGGTGGTCATTTGTACATCAGTCACAGAAAAGGAGCCTGTCTAGGATTTGTGCACGTGTGCCTTTGATGAAAACAAAAGAAAACAAAAAAAATTATTAAACAATAAAATGGATATTGGAAGAGCTGTTTTCTGCTATAAGCCAATAGTCTAGTTAGTGGTCAACATTCTCTACCTGCCTGCACCTGACAGAAACTCAGAGTAGGTTGATTTCATTTGTTGCTGATGAGAAAAATAATAAAAAATAAGTGTAGTATTCTTCTGTATCCCAGGTACAAAATTTCTTAATACCTGGTCATCCCTGGACCACAAGCAAAACCACCTGAGGTGCTTGATAAAATGCAGGTTCCCAGTCCATGACCAACCCTGACAATAATGAATCAGAATTTTGGGAAATGGTACCTTGAAATTAGTTTTTGTTTTGATCAATTACTCCACAATTATTCCAAGGTACAATATGGTCTGAGAACCAAAGAAAATTAAGCAGAAAACAAGCTTTAAGAACCTAAAACATGGTTCTTTAAAAATAAACTAATACCTTTCCTAAAGCTTGATTAGGTAAAAAGAGGAAAAATATAGAAAGGAAAGAGAAAAGACAACAATAATCTTAAGAGCATAACGCATGCAACTTTATAGCAGCATATTTGGAAACCTAAGAGGAAACTGATGGTTTCCTCTAATAAAAATACATATTACAAAATTACCCTAGAAACACACTTTGAATAAACCCATTACTGCACAAAAAACTGAACAGGTGATTAGAGAACTGGCACTGAAAATGATAATAGAGACCAGGAGCAGTTGCTCATGCCTGTAATCCTCCAGCACTTTGGGAGACTGAGGCAGGCGGATCTCTGGAGCCTAGGGGTTCAAAACCAGCCTGGGCAACATGGTGAAACTCTGTCTCTATTAACACATAATATCCGTCTCTATTAACAAGAAATAAGGAGAACTGGTAGAGCACTGTGGCATTCTGGAATAAATGAGTTTAAATCCAGACTCTTACAAACATCCTATGCCTCAGTTTCCTCAACTGTAAGATGTGGATAATAATAGTATCTGGTATATCAGGATAATATCAGGATATTATCCTATGAGAAAGGATCCACAGGATCCATTGTTCTGTGGATTAAACAGTTAGTACGTGTAAAGTGTTTAGAATTGTTCCTGATATGTAATAATCTCTATGCAATAAAAGTTACCTGACATTATGATTTATTCTTATCATACAGTTCTACTGCTCTCAAAGAAGGAATATGTGCAAAAAAAACTAGCCAGTGTTTGTCTCCCATAAAGTGATACCCCAAGGCATATGCCAGTAATATCTCTTTATATTTGCATAATGCCTTCCACTTTTCAAAGCATTTTCACACACCTTGCTTTAACGTCTAAAAAACCTTATCATTATTCTTATTTTCTATGAAACTGAAGCCAAGGATATATGGAGACTGCTGTACCCTTTTTGTCAGCTACATATTACCATGTAATAGTTACCTGTACACTCATATTAGCACCTAAAAAGTATAACATATAAGTTACCTGAACTTATATGTAGAAGTATAAGTACTTGAACATGTTAAAAATAATGGTAAAACAGTTTTTATTTTTGCACCAACCTATACATTAGTGTCCTACACAGAGCAGGTTTTCAATAAACACGTTAAAATGAACTCATTTGGTAAGTCTGTCTTAAATGTCTAGTTTCCTTTTGACCAACTACCCTACCTCCCTAACAACACGTATTAGAGCTACATTACATGTGCCACAAGATATCTATGGAAAAGTAAAATAGATTATGAATATGGATGGTACTACAAAAATTAACACTTTCAGATCTACCATAATGTCATCTGACTTCGAGTCAGAAAATTGGTAGAATAAATGTTATTGGCAAACTTTATGGTACAGCAAATGCTATCAACAAATGCCCTATTTGTTAACACAAAAAGGATTAAGGAAAAACTTTCATGCACATACACACAGAACTCTACATCAAAATCTATTTGATCATTAAAATTTATTTGATCAGAGAGATCAGAGCATAGCCACTCATAAAAATGCATGTCCTATCACTTTAGTTGGCTTATACACATTGGGCCTAGATAGTAATCCTTAGTAGAACATGGGGCTAGCAAGAAAAAGCAACTAATATCTAAGAGTAAGAGGCCAGATTGCATTCCTCTGATCCAACAAGAAACAATCAGAATTTTACACTATCTGTTTTAGGAGTCACCTGAAGGAAAATATTTATTACCAGGAAATGTCTAACTCCTTTCTGAACATTTTGAGATAAACACTGCATTGCCAATACAGAACTCATACCTACACTTGGATTAGAAATAACAGGAGGAAGACCCTATTCCAAAGCCAACTCCCAACAGTAATAATGAACTTTACACAGCTATTATCCATTCAACAAATATACTGATCAAGCCTTCTGCTGGGTGCTAGAACCCATGGCCTCGTCCAGTGGGTGGCAAACTATAGTCCACAGGCCAATTCCTGCCCATTTTATGTTTTTTTTTTTTTTTTTGAGACGGACTCTTGCTCTGTGGCCCAGGCTGGAGTGCAGTGGTGCGATCTTGGCTCACTGCAAGCTCTGCTCACTGCAAGCTCTGCCTCCCAGGTTCACGCCATTCTCCTGCCTCAGCCTCCTGAGTAGCTGGGACTACAGGGACCTGCCACCACGCCTGGCTAATTTTTTGTATTTTTAGTAGAGACAGGGTTTCATCGTGTCAGCCAGGATGGTCTCGATCTCCTAACCTCATGATCCGCCCGCCTCTGCCTCCCAAAGTGCTGGGATTACAGGCGTGAGCCACCGCGCTCGGCCCATTTTATGTTTTTGTAAATAAAGGTTAATTGGAACACGGCCACACTCACTTGCTTATAAACTGTCTATGGCTGATTTCACACTACAACAGCAAAAGCGAGCAACAAGAGACTATCTGGCCCACAAAGCCTAAATTAGCTGGCCTTGTGCAGAAAAGCGTATCAACCTCTAGAATAGAAGAAATTCACAGCACATGTAGATTTGAGAGCCAATGGTGTGAATATTCCTAGGGGAACAGAGGTAAGATGTCAAGGCAAGCTTGCTAGATGACAAAATGGTTACCTAGGACTTAAGTAAAGATTGCAAAGCAGACTGACACTGAATTAAAAGTATGCTCCAGGTAGTTAATCAATGAGAAAAGGACCAGAAGAAATAGGATACAGCACATGTCTCAGGAACTGCAAGAGTTTAGTATGGCTAGAATGTAGTATACAAAGTGCTGTAAGACAAGGTTGGAGAAAACTCGGCATATAAACGTATATGCAAAGATGAAAAGTTTATTTTAAGAATATATATCATTTCATCAGGGAGCCTGCCCCAATATTCACCTAGGTTCTTTTCTATTTTCCCTAAGCATCGGCCAGCTTGAGAAATTAAGGGACAGAGTACAAAAGAGAGAAATTTTAAAGCCGGGCATCCGGGGGAGACATCACATGTCAGTAGGTTCCATGATGCCCCACTAGCCGCAAAAACCAGCAAGTTTTTATTAGGGATTTTCAAAAGGGGAGGGAGTGTGCGAATAGGTGTGGGTCACAGACATCAAGTAGTTTACAAGGTAATAGAATATCACAAGGCAAGTAGAGGCAGGGCGAGATCACAAAACCACAGGACTGGGGCGAAATTAAAATTGCTAATGAAGTTTCAGGCACCATTGTCATTGATAACATCTTATCAGGAGACAGGGTTTTGAGATCAACCGGTCTGACCAAAATTTATTAGGCAGGAATTTCCTCTTCCTAATAAGCCTGGGAGCACTATGGGAGACTGGAATCTATTTCACCTCTGCAGTCTCGACCATAAGAGACGACCATGCCCAGGGGGGCCAGTTCAGAGACCCACCCCCAGGTGCACATTCTCTTTCTCAGGGATGTTCCATGCTGAGAAAAAGAATTCAGCGATATTTCTCCCATTTGCTTTTGAAAGAAGAGAAATATGGCTCTGTTCCGCCCAGCTCACCTGCGGTCAGAGTTTAAGGTTATCTCTCTTACTCCCTGAACAATTGCTGTTATCCTGTTCTTTTTTCAAGGTGCCCACATTTCATATTGCTCAAACACACATGCTGTACAATTTGTGCAGTTAATGCAATTATTACAGGGTCCTGAGGCGATAGACATCCTCCTCAGCTGACAGGATTAAGAGATTAAAGAAAAGACAAGCATAGGAAATCACAAGGGTACTGATTGGGGAAGTGATAAGTGTCCATGAAATCTTTACAATTTATGTTTAAGAGATTGCAGTAAAGACAGGCATAAGAAATTACAAAAGTATTAATTTGGGGAGCTAATATATGTCCATGAAATCTTCACAATCTACGTTCTTCTGCCATGGCTTCAGCTGGTCCCTCCATTTGGGGTCCCTGACTTCCCGCAACATCATTTTGTGTTTATACTTGCAAAAAACAACAACAAATAACCTACCACATCTGGAAAGACACACAAAACCAATAAAGACATTGCAGGGGAAATAATGGATACTGGAGATAGGATAGATAAAAGATGGGATCAAGGAGGCTTCACTAAATACCTTTTATAACTTTTTTGGTTTTTAAATTACATGAACACATTGCCTATTTTTAAATTACATATTAAAAACATGGATTTTGCCATGAAGGAAATATTAAAAGAATTTTAGCAAGTGATAATATTAAACACGCAAATCAGACAGACTACTCTGTAGATGCAATGCGCAGGAGGGCTAGAAGGAATAGAGTACTTAGGAAGCTATTAACAGATTATTGGCTGTTTGAAGCAAATATATTAACAATGTATTGTGGAGTTTCCAGCATATGAAGGTGAAAAACATATGATAAAATTAGCTCAAACAATGAGAGGGTAAGTGAAAGGAATTATATTGTTGTAAAGTTTTCACATTGTTTTTAAAGTAAAATAATATTAATTAGAGGCAGACTGTGGTAAGTCAAGGAAAACACTATAACCTCTGTATCAACCATTTAAAAAATAATAATACAAACAGGTTTAAATAAAAAGCCAAAAGAGGAAATTAAATCGAGTTCTAAGGACATTTTTTTTAAAAAGAAAAACTGTGATTAATTCCTCCTGCAAAAAAGTAGGAACAAAGACACCAAGGAACAAAGAACAAACAGGGCATAATGAGAAGAGCAAGATGGTAATATTAGCCCAAGAATATTGGGAACTAGATTAAATTAAGTATAAATGTAAGCCCTCCAATTAAGAGAAAGACTGTCATATGGAAAAAACAAGAGCCAACTATATGCTCTTTATGACACATACTTTAAAAACAAGAACACTGATAAATAGAAAAAGCATATAAGAAGAAAAATACTAATTTACAAAAATCCAGAAATAACTGTATTAATACCAAAGAAGATTTCAAGACAAAAAATATTCACAGAACCTAGAGATAAAGAGACATTTTAAAATGCTAAAAGAATCAATTCAGTATAAATAAAACAATCCTAAATGTTTGTACCAATTAACATAGTTAAAAATACATAAAGTAAAAACTAAAACAAAAGCAAATTCATCATTATAGTTGGGGACAACACCTCACATAGGAAAAGCAGACATGAACAGTTACATCAGTATTAATAATATATAAAATCCATGAGAGTTGCTGCCCAATGGTGAGAGTGGAGGTGAGTAAGTGTAAATAACAGGATCAAAGAGAAAAATTAAAATTGAAATAAGAAATGGAGTATTACGTAGATAGGATTCCATATACTACAGGTATGTGCACCTCACTTCTCTGGATATTAGATTCAAAAGGGAAACTTAATTATCAAATTTGCTTGATATTACATACATATATTAATTATTACATACATGTTTCTCTTACCAGCATTACTGTTAAATTCATAATTCTTCCAAGGGTATCAATATAGTAGACACTGTCTTGATACCATGAATCACAGTGCAGGTAATTATACATTCCAAAAGCATGCATGTGTTCCAGTGTATATTGATCATCTCGAAGTTTTACCTCTGCCACAGCTGAAATACAAGAAAAGCAAACATAAACATCAAGAGTTTTGCCTCAGATAGTTTCTATCTGTAGAATGCCTACAAGGCAAAAAAAAAAATCACAGAATGCCAATCACAAAGGCCTTCAGGACAATTCAGTATATCATTCTTTCAAAGATAATTTCTGGGTACTGTGTACAGAGGATAAACAGTAAGTAAAACTGATATGGTCCCACGTCCTTACAAGACTTAGAATACAGCGGCCACAGGAGATAGGGCTTTTTATGTCATGACCCTCTTTTAGGCACCTCTAATAATTATGAATAAAAATAACAGAAATTCTAAAATTGAAGAATCTACCATTTCCAGGAAAATGTTAAGCCCAATTTATGAAGTGTTTATATACTTTAAAAATGTTTTAATATACTATTATCTCATTCATTTTAATACACATTAAGAAATTAACTTTTAAAATCTCATTATACAGTTATATAAATAAATGTATACACAAATAATGACTTCTCCAATGTTATACTACATCTTTTCCAAGGGTACAGAGCAAAACAGTATCACAGCTGGACTAGAAACAAGATCTCCTACTTACAGAACAGAGATTTCTTCACTTAAGCATTAGCTGCTTCCCTAGGTTTAAATCTAGCAAATGTGATCTCTTCCTCCCACTCCTCCTGCCCTTTCATGAAGATGGAAACTTTCATGGCTCAGAACTGCTCATGATCTGGAATTAATTTCTGCCCCAGCAGGAAACATATAAATGGATTATGCTGGGCCAATATCCTACCCTAATATAAAACTCACTTTACTGTATTCTGATGGCAACTGTTTTCTTCCTCCCCCAAATGCTCACCTGTTCCCACTTCCAATACCTGCTTTGAGTCCTGTCTGACTTATATTCATTTATACAGAAACTAATATAAATTTAAAAATAAATAAATAAAATTTCAATAGGCATCGATGACACAGTGATGAGCCAAGAATGGAATCTTGCCAATTAGCACTTATGATACAGTGAGGAAATGGGCATTAGTCAAATAATCATATAAATCTTAAATAATTTTTATGAAATAAATTTTATATAATTAAATTGTGATAAAGAATAATCACTGGGTACCATGAGAACACATAATGTAAGAGTTCTATTTGGGGAGATTAACAAAAGCTTTCCAAGGTTTGAGCCACGACATAAAAGATAAGAAAGAATTAACTTAAGAAAAAGTATTTTAACAAGAAGGTGAAAGACTTCTACAAGAAAACTACAAAACATTAATGAAAGAAATTGAAGAGGACACAAATAGACATCTCATGCTCATGGATCAGAAATAAATCCATGTACATGTAGCCAACTGATTTTTGACAAAGGTGCAAAGAACATACACTGGGAAAAGGATACCTTCCTCAATAAATGGTGTGAAAATTGGATATCCATAGCAGAAAAATAAAATTAGACTCCTATCTCTCATCATATGCAAAAATCAACTCAAAAACTATAAAAATACCAAAAAGGAAACAGAGAAGAAATGCTTCAGGATATAGGTCTATGCAAAGATTTTATGGTTAAGACCTCAAAAGCATAGGCAAGAAAAACAAAAAGACAAATGGGATTATATTTAACTAAACAACAACAACAACAAAAATACCTTCTGCAGAGCAAAAGAAACAAACAACCTAGTGAAGAGACAACCTATAGAATGGGAGAAAATATTTGCAAACTATTCAATCGTAAGGAATGAAAATTTTTTTTGCTGTTGAAGCAAAAAAAAAAAAGTCCCATTATAAAGAGGGCAAAGATCTTAATAGACATTTCTCAAAAGAATATATAAATAAATAGCCAACAGTTACATGAAAAAATGCTCAACATCACTAATTATTGAGGAAATGCAAATTGAAATCACAATGAGATATCATCTTCCTGTAGTTAGAATGGCTATTTTCAAAAAAATACAAAAAAAAAAAATAACAAATGCTGGCAAGGATGTGGAGAAAAGGGAACATATAATCTGTCAGTGGGAATGTAAATTAGTATAGCCATTATGGAAAATAGTAAAGAGGTTTCTCAAAAAACTAAAACTATAACTACTATACCACAATAGGCACTCCCACAAATGAATATTTATCAAAACAAAAGAAAGTCAGTATATCAAAAGGAATACCGTCACTTCCATGATTATTTCAGCACTATTTACAAAAGCCAAGACATGGGGGAAACCTAAGTGGCCAAAGGATGAACAGATAAAGAAAATGTAGTATATACACACACTGAAATACTATTCAGCCATAAAAAAGAACGAAATTCTATCATTTGCAGCAACATAGATGGAACTGGAGGTCATTAAGTGAAATAAACCAGGCACAAGGCCGGGCGCCGAGGCTCAGGCCTGTAATCCCAGCACTTTGGGAGGCCAAGGCGGGCGGATCACGAGGTCAGGAGATTGAGACCATCCTGGCCAACATGATGAAACCCCGTCTCTACTAAAAATTCAAAAAACAAATTAGCTGGGTGTGACAGTGCGTGCCTGTAATTCCAACTACTGGGGAGGCTGAGGCACGAGAATCGCTTGAACCCAGGAGGCAGAGGTTGCAGTGAGCCGAGATCGCTCCACTGCACTCCAGCCTGGGACAGAGTGAGACTTCATCTCAAAAATAAATAAATAAAATAAACCAGGTACAGAAAGACATCATACACGCAGCTAAAAAAGTGGATTTCATGGAGGGAGAGAGTAGAAAGATAGTTATCAGAGGCTGGGAAAGATGGGGGTGGGGGATGAAGGGAGGTTGCTTAATGGGTACAAACATACAATTAAAAGGATTAAGTTCTCATGTTTGATAGCACAGTTGGGTGACTACAGTTAACAACAATATATTGTGTATTTCAAAACAGCGAGTACCAAAATAGCTAGAAGATTTCAAATGTTCCCAACACAAAGAAATGGTAAATACTGAAGTTGATGAACACCCTAAATACTGATTTGATCATTACACACCGTATGCATGCATCAAAATATAACATAAAATCCCAGTTTATCAATTTAACATATTTTTAAAATAAAAAATACACCTATATACATGCATACCCACTCCTCTACTTTTCCAGACAGAAGGAAAATCTGTAAAAAGTAGGAAGAAAAACTTGTGTTCAAAGAACACAAAGAAGGCCACACTGTTCAAAGAAGGCCACACTGGCCGAAATGCAGAGCAACAAGGGGACTTGTACAGGAAAGGTTGCAATAAATGAAAACTCAGCAAGAACTGGATTATGAATGGACTGTATTTATTTTTGTTGACAAATTCAATTTAAAAGAATTCATTAACAGTTTTTAAGCAGGAGAGTAAAGTTCAGATTTGAGTTTATAAAAGAGTACTTATAACTACAATATGGAAAACAAATTGGAATAAAGCAGGGTAAATCCAGGAAGATCCATTAGAAAGCTATTGCAATCATCTGGTTGAGAGATAATGGAAACATCTCACAGGTAAAAATCCAATTATGATAGATTTGATAGAGGTTGAGGAAACATATAACACCACTTATTTTATAAGCAACAGTTAGAAATATGTATTCTTGGTTTTCTAGCACCACTGTGTGGATGAAACTCGATACTGCAGGAAAACTGCATGGTAACATAAGGGCCTGAAGCAGTAATATTAGACAACGATATAACAAATACATTTTCTTCATATCTGTGCAAAGACCTCTGGGCAATCCTGAACAAACTGGAGGCTTCTTAGACATCAGTCTTATTACAACACTTCATGATTGTTTCATTCCAACAAAATAATTTATATAAGTTATTAAGACACAGATGTGAGTCTAGGCCATATTACATGCTATTTTGTAAAATCTCTATTAACGCATAGAAAAAGGACACCTCTCTGGCCTCAAATGAGAAAGGAAAAGTTATCACATGATGATGACCATGTCAATTATCTTGATTATAAAAGTGGGAGGCAGAGCAACTGAAAGTAGAAAAGCAGTGTCCAGAATGTGACAGTTCTTAGCTACTGGCAGAGCTCTTTTGCAGAGTTCTCCCAAAAAAAGAAGTAGGGGGCAGCGAGGCTTCAATCTCTGCATAGATCTTTGTAAGGGTTGAAGAAGAAGAACTTTTTACAGAGAAGCCAGTGTAGTAAATATTTTATTATTTAATGATACCTTGCATTGAAAATAAAAGAGCTTTGCTGAAAAATCTGATAAGGATTAGTCTTCTAAAAAGAACTTAGGGCCTCAAAAGAAGAGTCTCCCTTAACATTTGCCCAAATACTTACCGAACCTCAAAACCTAGTTTTTCACACATGAAAACCACAAAAGCCTCATGGGACCTCAAAGGGCTATAGTTTTTCATTCATAAATTATTTATTGAATATCTACTATATGTACCAGACATTGTGGTTGGCATTGGGCACAAACAGTGAATAAAACAGACCTGTCTCCTGCACTAATAGTGCTAACGATGATATTCATTACTGTTTCTTGGCTTCTCAAAATACACTATTACTTGAACCACATGATATTGCCAATATTTAACTCTTTGACACCAATTAAATATGATGCAGTCTAATATTTACATAAGCAAAGTATAATAATCTTTAAAGAGGGGGAAGAGAGAGGCCAAGAACGTTAACTTACAAAGGTCACTTCATGGACCACTTAGCTTCTAGAATCAACCCAATAAGCCTTCTTTTCACCTAGTTACTGAGCTTGCTATTTATCTATGAAGGTGTAAAAAAGTAAAAGTACAAGTCCACAAATTCTAAAGCGAGACTTAAAGAACACGGGAGGACCAGAGTTAAGAGCACTGCTCCCATAAAATTATTTTATGCAATACTTCTCTGACCTCAACACATTCATGTGGGTATTTTCCCCATCTTTTCCTCCATAAGGGTAGAGATGAGTTTTATAGTCAACTCTACATAAATACAATGGTTACGTGGCTTTTCCCTCCCTTTACTCTAACTGTAGTGTAAATCTTCACCAGCTTTTCTTCCCTCTGCTCTGAAGAAAGAAAAAGGCCAGAGTGACCACAAAGATCATTAGGAAAAGCATGAGCTTTAGGGTCAGCTTTGCCACTGATGAATAACTTGGTTAAGTTAGCTCATCTTATTGCCCATTTCCTCATCTATAATAAAGGTTAGTAATACTAATTGTACCAAAACATTGACAAGCTTCAGTCGAAATATGCAATGTATTTACTATCAATGCATGGCACATAAGATTAAGCATTGATTTCCCTGTTCCTTTTCTCCCATTCAAGGCTAATTCCCACACAGGTGTTTATGATTCAATTTTCTCCTGCCAGAAGTTATCTCCTGTCCACTGGTGTTTCTCCTCCACTTACATATGCTGAAACTTCCCCACTCGCAAAATAAACAAATAAAAAAGGCTTCCTTTTCTCTGCCTGGCCGCTAAAGCAGAGCTCTCCCCTACCTTGTTCTTCTCAAACTTCTTTAAAAAGCTGTTTATACATCCATTTTCTCACTATACTCATTAGCCCTTTTCAATTGTTTCTAGCTCTATTATTCTACAGAAAATATTTTTTCACTTAAAAATATACATTGAATAACTTTTGTTTGCAGCCAACATGGAAGAATAGGAACCAGATTTATCTTTCCACCAGAAACATCCAATAAGATGAAACAAACCAGAGAAAGTTAAATGAAACAACAGTTTTCAAGACATCAGACATAAAACAACAAAGGACACTTATGAGATTAGCCCCACCACCAATCTAGTTTACTGCCTTGAGGAGTTTCCAGACCACAGCACAAAGAAGGGAAAGTGAGGTATAGTCAACTCTACATAAATACAACGGTTACATGGCTTTTCCCTCCCTTTAACTGTAGTGTAAATCTTCACCAGCTTTTCTTCCCCCTTCTCTGAAGAAAGAAAAAGGCCAGAGTACTTGTATGCAGAGTTGACTTCAACCTCCTTGAGTTGAAGAAACTAGGCTACTACTCTGTCATTAGACAGAGTAGCAGAGAAAAGAGAGATGCAGAGAGAAGCCCAGAGATCTGAGAGTCTGCCTCAAGTACTCAAGAGTACTAATGGCATGTGTTTGAGGAGATTACCCCAGGCTACAGAAAGAACCATCTGAAAGGGTTGAAGAGAAATCCTGGGCACTCACATAAGGCTAGGAACCATAACTGCTCCCAATAAGCAGAATGGAGAAAACCCTTAATTTGTGGGATACTGGGTAGTGTACACAGGAAAGTCTTGCCTCGGTAGTGGGAAATAACCCTAGACTGAGCACTGCTCCTGATCGGACTAACAAATCATAAAAGCAAGAACCAATGGAATTAATCTGTTTCCAAGTAACTCAACTATATCCCGGAAAAAAAACTCAAGAACATTATAAAAATACAAAAATAACCTGCACCTAACAAGGTAAAATTCACAATGTCTGGCATCCAATCAAAGATTACCACATATGCAAAGAGGAAAGAAAACAAAATCCATAATGAAGAGAATTACCAATCAATAGAAGCCAATATAAAACTGACATGGAAGCTACAATTCACAGAACAAGATGTAAAAACAATTATTGCTACATGTACTCCATGTATGTTCAACATAAGTAAGTAGAAGCAAGAAAGATGCAAAAGATTTAAATCAAACTTCTAGATGTGAATATTACAATGTCCAAGATGAAAAATACACCAGATGGGATTAACAAGAGACTAATATTACAAAAAAAAAAAGTAAACGGAACTAAAGGCATGAAAATGGAAACTATTGGCAATAAAACAGAAAAAAGTATGAAGAAAAAATGAAACGGGCATTCATGAGCTGAGACCAACTTCTGTGATCTAAAAATGTGTAACTGGAGTCTTCAAAGGAGAAAAGGAGGGGAAAAAGTTGGAAGAAATAATAGCCAAAATATTGCCATTGATCTTGATAAAAACTATATGTCCGCAGTTTATAGCCCAACAAACCCCAAACATAAGAATCATAAAGAAAACCACAGCTGGCCACAATATTATCAAACTGCTCAAAACCAATGTAAAAGAGAAAAATCTTAAAACAGAAGAAAAAAGGCATGTTATGTATAGAGCAACAAAGATAGGATAATGTGAGATTTCTCATCAGAAACAATATAAGCAAGACTGAGGCTATAACTTTAAAGCATTGAAAGAAAAAACTGTCAACCTAGAATGCAGAAGGAGCAGAGAGATGGTTACAGAAGGGTACAAGGAAACTTTGGGAATGATAGCTAAGTTTAGTATCTTGATTGTGGTGATGATTTCACGGGTGTATACATATATCACAACTTCTTAAGTTGTACATTTTAAATTTGTAGTTTATTGTCAATTATGTCTTCATAAAGCTGTTTAATTTGTGAGACAAATTTATGTCCTACTTACCAGGCATGCTCCAACCCTGGAGATAAAGCATTGAAAACGATGGACATGGGACCCTTCAATACAAAATCAATAATCTTAGCAAAGAAAACATACTGGATGCTACGAAGTATGATAAAGTCTATGAAGTACTGGTTACTATGGCAACGCATAATACAGATTCTATAGTGTAGATTCTGACTAGTCAAGAAAGGAATCCCTGAGGAAGTAACATGTAAGCCAACATGAAAGAATGAAGTATGAATTAGCTAGGTGAAATATAGCTGGGAAACATATAAAAACATATAAAAAGACTTGTACTAAATGAAGATTCTAGGAAAAGGATATTTATAAATGCCTAGGAAGGAAATTGCCGGATCAAAAGACAATTACAATTTGATTAAAAATAAGTTTTTTGTTTCGTTCTTTGGAATAGAAAAAGACAAAGTGACATTTACTGCTTATGTAGCAAAGGAAATTTTGGTACAACTTAATAACATTATTTAAGACAAGAGAATAAGCCTCATTGCATCAAGTTCTTGACACCAGAGACCACATCATCTTTACATCTTAAATGCAGTGTTTCAGGTAGCCAAGGTGCCCATCAAAGGTTTGTGGAACTAAAGTGAACTCCTTCAGTTAGAATAAAAGAAATCAAATTACCAGAAGCGCCTCAATTATGCTTCACTATCTCTAGAAATGATAGTTTTTAAACAAAATAATCTTTTTCATCATCCTCAAGTAATTCCTAATGAAAAACTCATCATGTGAACTATTGCAAAAGCCTCCTATCTGCTGTGTGCAGTCATCTCATCTTCCAAACTCAACCTCCACAGAGTCTGAGGTAAGCTTTTCAACTCCCGTATCTGTTCACGTCCCTTGTACTTAAAATGTGGTACACATACGCCATGGAATACTATGCAGCCATAAAAAGGAACACAATCATATCCTTCAAAGGGACATGGAAGGAGCTGGAAGCCACTGTCCTCAACAAACCAACGAAGGAACAGAACACAAAACACCACATGTTCTCACTTGTAAGTGGGAGCTGAATAATGAGATCACATGGACACAGGGAGGGGAACAACACACACTGTGGTCTGTCAGAGAATGGGGTAGGGGGAGGGAGAGCATTAGGAAAAATTGCTAATGCATGCTGGGCTTAATACCTAGGTGATGGGTTGACGGGTGCAGCAAACCACCATGGCACACGTTTACCTATGTACCAAACCTGCACATCCTGCACATGTACCCCGGAACTTCAAAGAAAAAAAAAAATCGGTCGGAGCAGTGGCTCAGGCCTGTTAATCCCAGCACTTTGGGAGGCCGAGGCAGGTGGATCGCGAGGTCAGGAGTTCAAGACCAGCTTGGCCAAGATAGTAAAACTCCGTCTCTAATACAAAAATTAGCTGGGCTTGGTGGCGGGCACTTGTAATCCCAGCTACTCCAGAGGCTGGGGCAGAGAACTGCTTGAACCCGGGAGGCGGAAGTTGCAGTGAGCTGAGATCGCGCCACTGCACTCCAGCCTCAACGACAGAGACTCCGTCTCAAAAAACAAAACAAAAACAAAAAGAAACAAACAAAAATTAGCTGGGCATGGTGGCGGGCGCCTGTAATCCCAACTACTCGGGAGGCTGAGGCAGGAGAATCGCCTGAACCCGGAAGGCAGAGGTTGCAATGAGACGAGATCACACTACTACAGTCCAGCCTCCGCAATAGAGCAAGACTCAGACTCAAAAAAAAAAAAAAAAAAAAAAATCTTCAAATGGCACCTGATATCCTGCAGCTGTACATCCCAAACACAGAATCTAAGATTAACGCTGATGAAATGAGTACGGAACAAGGACAACTTTGTGAATTTTTTCTAAAGTTAAAGTATTCAATGGATTGTTTATTGTGAGATTTTGCTTCCTGCTTTTTTGGTGTTAAAATATCCTTTTGTTTATGAAAAGATAGATGAGTAAATGATAGTTTTTAAGAAACATCTCCACCTAGTAAACAGAAAAGTTGGCAGAACTACAGCAGCTGAGTTTTATTTTATATTGTAATGGCTCAATACAAAAATGTCAGGGAAACACTGAATGACCGGAAATCCAAGAAATCCAAAAGGCAAACAAGGCCCTCACTGATTTATTTCCTCTCACTTTCCCAGACGTTTTGCTCCAGCAATATAAGAGTGCAAGGATGTCCAGCATACAACCTACTAATTATTTCCCTTTCCTCATGCTTTCCCATGAATGGAATGACCTCAACAATTTCTTCTCTTCTTCATATACTCATTTTATTGAATACATCCTATGTGCCAAGCACTAGATATAGGGTAGTGAACAAAAGAAAAACATCACTGTTTTCAAGGAACTCATAGTCTAGTGGAGGAAACAGACAACAAATCAAGATAGAATTTAAAAGGCCGATAAGTACGTCTTATGGAGAATGCAATGACGAAGCCCAAAAGTGAAGGCAGGAAGGCTAGTCAGGAGGCTACTAGAGTTCAGGTAAGAGATAACTCTGATTTGGATTAGGGTGGAGGCCTAGAGATATCAAAATGTGGAGCTGACCGGACTTGCTACCAAGCAGACAGTGGCTAAAAGAAATAAACCCCAAATGACTCTGGCACAAGTGTCTCTTGGTACCAACCTGGGCTAGTCTAGTCGGCTAAAGGATAAGAGACCACACGGAGAAAAGTCAAGAGGAGACCATGTGAAAGAATCTTAAACAAGCTTATAGTCTGAGACCCTACCCCCACCCTCCAAACATATGAGGAAGTCCAGCCAAATGAGCAGAGCTTCCCAGCAGATCCATTACTGAACAAGGATGCATCAATGAGCCCAACTAGGACTAGAAGAACCACTCAGCTGACCCGTAGACTTGTGAGCAATAATAACTGCTTCTTGTTTTGAGACACTGAATTTTGGCTTCACTTTCTAATGCACTAACTAAACATGGTGATACCATCTACTGACATGGGGTGACTGGAAGAAACACGGTGGCAAAGAGGAAAAGGAAAAAAATAAAAAGAAAAATCAAGCTTATCCTCTCTCATCCTAGTCAACTCTTAACCTACCCTTCAAAGCTCAACTTAGATATTAACTCCTCCAAGACGCCTTCCCAGATCCCCAGACTAGTTTAGGAAAGATATTCAAGTACTACCATTGTATTTTGTACATATCCCTATCACTGCCTTCCCATATTGTTTTACAATTATCTGTTTACAATTTTCTTCCTAACTAGCTAATAGTCCTCTTTTGTTACGGAAGGTGTCTTGTTCATTTTGATATTATCAGGACGTAACACAAAACAGGTACTCGGTAAATATTTCTGAATTTAATAAATCAATTAGCATAAACTTATTTTATACTTTAATGTCTGTTATTATAATTAACTGTAGATCACTATTTCTCAAAGTGTGATCTCTGAAAACATGCATCAGAATCAGCAGGGGTGTGAATTTTAAAATGCAGATCTCTGGGCTCTATCATAACGAAAATGCCGTTAAGTTGTAAAAACAAGAGTAAGGATATTCTACCAGCTACAGATAAAGCAAGGAGTAGCAGTGTGGGAGTAAATCCACTTTTCCTCACTATCTTCTAGAGATGTTCTCTACCAGAGTTCTTAATGTGCCAGGAACTGAGTAATTAAAAATGCTATGACTGGAATGTAGTTTCTCTTCTAAGAAACGGCTCTCGGTCAGAGGAAACAGGAACTGGGGGTCCTCCAAGGAGGTGTGGTTTCTCAACGCACACGTTCACAAGCGATGCTCCAGGAGGAAGGAATGTTCTCAGCGTCCCCCGAAACAGAAGCCAGGCTGTGGACACACAGCAGCCAGAGCCCCAGGCACTACCCGCACGCCAGCCCTCAGACCTCAGACCTCAGAGGCTGGGCTGCTGACGGAGGGGGCCCAGGGTCCCGTTACCGAAGAGCGCGCGAAGGCGGCTCCCACCGGGTTCTGGGATGGGCATCATTCCCCAGAAGCAGCGGCCTCCGTGAGTCCACGCAAGCCGCCACGGTGGCTTCGCTTGCCAGTCAGAAAGAAAGAAATTGCGGGAAGGGTCAGGCCGGAGGCAGCCGAAAGGGGAAAGGAACGGAGTACGAAGGGCGCCGCCGCTTCCCACCTGCGTCAAGCTCCAGCTGGTAACAAGGCAGCGGCTCAAGAGAGAGCTTGTAACCCTCGAAGCGGGGATCCAACAGAGGTCTCTTCACCCGTAGGGAGCAATTAGCCGCCACCTCCATCGCTTTCCAGGGCCGCAGCGTGAGAATTAATAAAGCCCTTGTTGAAAGGTCCGCGCTTCACGCCTCGCACAGAGACTGGGAAGCGGCGTGGTTCCCATCCCAGAAAACACTGCGGTGCGAACTGCCTTCTGGGAAATGTAGTGTCCGTGAAAAAGTTGAGACTGTTGCATGCTGGGCTATGTAGTTCTCCTGGTACTTAACGCGCGCGCGACGGCAAGGTCTGAACTCTGTTACCCAGAGGCCCTAGCAACCAGGAGGCGGCCCGCGCTGGTTAAATTCTCACATTATAGGCAGGGTGGCGAGACCCCGCCCCGGAAATGCGTGTTCTAGCTTTCTGTGTGCTTAGGTGCCCGAGCTACTGAGGGTCTAAGTCCGGGCAGCCGAAGAGTGTGGTAGGTAACGGTCCTCAGCGCAAGGGTCATTTCGTCGCTGGGAAGGGACGGCCCTCGCCCGCGGTGATGGTGGTGAGCTATGCCCGTGGTCCTCAGGGCCGGGACCCGGGCCCAGCCCAGGCTCCTTTCGATGTACTGTCTTTCGTTAGCGTCCCCGACCCGCGCTCGCGGGCCTGTAGGGCTCTCCGACAGGGCGTGCTACCGGAGTTGGCCTGAAACCAGTCCTCGCTTTGTTTTCTGGCTCCTCCTCTCCCGCCTCTCCCGCTGTCTCCGCCCTGTTCTATTTTCCCTAAGAATGTCTGAACTGGGAGGGATACCCTAGCGCCCTTGTTTTACCAGTGAGAAAACTGAGGCCTTTAAGAATTAAGTGACTTGTCCAAGGTCACTATCCGTATTTTAGGAGCCAAGACGAGATCAAGTTCAATATTCCAGGAGTGGTACTGACTAGACCTTGTAGTTATTTTGAAAATGTTAGCCTCCAATTACAAAAGCAAGCATTTCCTAGTTCTCACTCAACTTCTCCTTTTCCCTGTTCCTCTCAAAAAAGAAAAAAAAAATCAACTCTGGTAACTCATTGCCAGTCTGAATTTTCAATAGGCCAGATGGAAGACAACAAAAGTAATCTCAAGTTAGTGACAGATTAGGTGGGAAAACGTTAGTTTACGCCAAGTTTTATTTAATTTAAACTTTTAAGTGGCTTTAACGCTTTCAAAACCTAACTTTCCTCTTCTTTCAACATCATTTTGGTTTGGGTTGTCTGTTTTTACTGACAATTGAGGACTTTGTAAGTTAGGAATTAGTTTGAGATTTGTTTTCTTCTTATCCCACCAGCAGTGTGTGTGTAAACACACACATCCACACACTTAGGTTTAGCAGTTGTAATTGTGGGTTCATCCTAGTGAAGAGTAAAGCAAAACACTTAGAGCCTTATCTAGTAATTTTATTTTTTTTGATTAATTAATTTTTTTTTTTTTTTTTGAGACAGAGTCTTGCCCTGTCACCCAGGCTGGAGTGCAGCAGCGCAATGTCGGCTCACTGCAACCTCTGTCTCCTGGGTTCAAGCGATTCTCCTGCCTCAGCCTCCTGAGTAGCTGGGATTACAGACACCTGCCACCAAGCCCAGCTTATTTTTCTATTTTTAGTAGAGACGGGGTTTCACCATCTTGGTCAGGCTGGTCTTGAACTCCTGACCTCGTGATCCACCTGCCTGGGCCTCCCAAAGTGCTGGGATTACAGGTGTGACCCACTGTGCCCGGCCTGGTAATTTTATTTTTTTACTAATAGTATTTAATCTTTTTTTGATGTTTAGTATGTATGACTTCTCCCAATTTTTGGATGCAGTCTCTGCAGAAGTGATCGGCAGTTATGTTCAGTTTTGGAGCTCCTAGGGTCAAAGTACTTGAGTTCAAATTTTGCCTTTCCACTTTCTATCTCTGTGCCTCAGTTTCCTCATCAGTAAAATACAGATTATTTTATTAATATAAATATGTAACAATACGTTCTGGGAATTAAATGTGATGTTTAAAAAAAAGCAAACCCACACTGCATTAGCCCAGTGCCAAGCACATAAGTGTTTAATAAAGAGTAATGATATTATTAACACACTTGAAATGTATCACCCCTTCAGTTAATAGAATGGTAAACATGTTAGGATGCCTGCCTAGAGGATTTAGCAGAAAATGCTTTGTAAATGTTCTATATCTGAAAGTACATGTTGATGTCCAGGTTAGCAAGATGAACAAAGATGCGCAGATGAGAGCAGCGATTAACCAAAAGTTGATAGAAACTGGAGAAAGAGAACGGTAAGTAATAGATTGTGTTAATAAATTACATTTCACCGCCTTTAATAGTTAGCTTGTAAGAATCTAAACAAGAAATGAAACATGTCACTGGAAAGAATTACAATTGAGATTATAAAAGTTTCTATTCCGAACATCTGGAAAAAATAATTTAGGTTTGTTAAGTATTGCAGGACTTGGAGGGAAGTGGTGATGTAGAAAGATGAGCAAGATATGGCTCTTAAAGAGTAATTTGATGGAGAAGAAAAAGTACATACCTGAATTACAACTGGAGACATAATGTTACCTGGGTTTTAACAGGGAGACAATGTTGTGGAACCAGCTTCATTTACCAAGCTCTCAACCTTGGAGCAGCAAGTGCTGTTTCCACTCTCTAAAACATTCTTCCTTCTCTTCCTTTTTAGCTAATTCTAGCTCAACTATCAGGTCTAATTTATATATTGTCTCTTCAAGGAATGTTTTTAAGTCCCAAATACCTTGTTCCATCATAGCATTTAATCAACATTGTGTTCTAACAATCTACTTGGCTAGTTTGTATCCTCCAGTATAATCTAAGTTCTTTAACACCAAAAACAACATTGTATACCCAGCATCTAATGCTTTGTTTGGTTCATAATTGGCCACGTAAATATTTGCAGAATCAACAGGTTTAGAAGTACAAAGAAGGGGCTGAGGAATCAAGAAAGGCTCCCAGAGGCAGGGTTATAAAGTGAGTAAGACAAATATGTATAAGGAAGAGGCAAATATGTATAAGGAAGAGGGGGAATCTTTCAACTCAACCCGGGCATTCAGGTGATCATGTAAGATCTCACACAATAAGAAAAAGAGGTGCATCTGTTGCTGACTTTATTTTTGGATGATGGGAGTCATTTAAAGTTTTAAGAAAGGAAATGACTAGATCACATTTACACTTTAGGAATCTTACTCTGTTGGTGTGGAGCTTGGACTTGAAGGGGACAAGATAGATGGCAGAAAAATGAGGTAGAAGATTATATAGGGTTGAAAATGGAAAACTCCAAAAATTGGAAGGAGACCTTAGAATTTTAATAAAATGTAGAAACAGCAACCCTCAAAATGAGGAAGGAGGCATCGATAACTGCCTTGGGTAGCTTTAGAGGATAGTACTGCTGGTAAGGAGTACGGATTGTATGTTGTTTTTTTTTTTTGTTGTTTGTTTTTGATTCATGCAGCTTCAAGTTACTGAGTTTCTATCATATGCCATGCCCTGTTAAGGTGTTGGAGGTAACAGTAGTAGACAAAAATGGAGACTTTGTTTTCACAGAGCTTGCATTCTAATGGGAGGAGACAGATAAAACTGTGTAATAATGTCAGATGGTGATGAGCACTAGAGGAACAATAAAGCAGAAAATAAAGAGGTGTAATATTTTAGATAGAAAAAACAAAGAAGAAATCAGAAGGAGGCCGTGCATAGTGGCTCACGCCTGTAATCCCAGCACTTTGGGAGGCTGAGGCTGGCAGATCACAAGGTCAGGAGATTGAGACTATCCTGGCTAACATGGTGAAACCCCATCTCTACTGAAAATACAAAAATTAGCCATGCATGGTGATGGGCTGTAGTCCCAGCTACTCAGGAGGCTGAGGCAGGTGAATCGCTTGAACTCGGGAGGCGGAGGTTGCGGTGAGCTGAGATCGCGCCACTTCACTCCAGCCTGGGTGATAAGAGTGAAACTCCGTCTCAAAAAAAAAAAAATCAGAAGGATATGAGGGTGAGCAGGGACTCTTTAAGTTCCTGAGATAGGAGCTTGCCTTTCATTTTTGAGGAGCACAGGGATGCTAGGGAGACTGAGTAAATTGGGTGAGGGAGAGTGGAGATTAAGTCAGTGGCATAGCTGGGGAGAAGGCAGATCATGAAGGATCATGTAGGCTGTAATAAAGTCTTGGAGTTTTATTCTGAGTAAATTGGGAAGGCACTGGAGGTTTTTGAGCAGCAGGAGAAGAACTAAGTGTACAAGGGAAGAAGCAGGGAGACAACCTAGAATGCTATGGTAATATTCTAGAGAAGAGATGATGGCTTGAACTAGAGTAGTAATGGCGGAGATAGTGAGAAAGGTGAATTCTAGGTATATGTTTTAAATTGAACCCAATAGGATTTGCTCATAAATTGGATGTGTAGTGTTAACAAGGCAGCTGAGTGGAAGGATACTACAGAGATTCCTAGTCTGAGGAACCAGAAGAATGGAATTGCCATTCTCAGAAGAAGAACAAACAGGATGAATTGGTAGAAAATCAAAAGTTGGATTTTGGCCCTATTAAGATTGAAAGACCTAATTAAATATTAAGATGAGAATGTCACATAGTGGATGTCTAGGGATAGTGAAAGTGGTTTGCAGGGAAAGAGAATTTGTTTGGGATGTGACATTTTTAACCTGAGAAGTTAAATGATTTAGGTTGAGGATTGAAGATTTGTAAAAGTGGATATGGCAAAAGGATAAGAAAATATTTTATTGCACCTGTGATGCCATTAGTTGCATATACACTGCCACTTTTTTGCCATCGAGAGAAAGAAAACACTGGGGGCATGCCAATTACTGAATCGTTAAAATGTGGGGAGAACAACGGTCTTACAGTCAATGAAATACCATTGTCATTTTGTAGTTTAGAAGGGCCTGATAGGCTGGGATCAAAGAGGTGGGTAGCCTGTGAAGTTAGAGGTAATGGGGGAAATAGTAGAGCTAAAGGGTAAGAAGTTGAGGTTAAAGAATGGATTTTGGAATTTGAAGATTTCGAGGTGCAGCTGCTCCAGGTTCAGTTAATACTTTCTAGATGTTGTACAAGACCCATGATATTCCTGTTGGTAGAGGACGGTGGAGAGTATATAACGTGGCCAAATAATAGAGCTTCTTGAAAAGTATTTTAGCCCCTCCACTTCATTTAATTTCACTCATTAAATGAGACCCAGATGAAATGAAAGGCCTAGAATTTAAGTACTTGCATGAGATCAAAGAACTATTTAGCATTTGAACCAAGATTAGGCCACAGTTAAAGTTTTGTAACTGGAAGGCAGGGAATTTTTAGTTGAACACTGAAACTTTGCTTCATACATTCCTGTCTAAGATGTTATACATTGTTCAATTTGAAAACACTTCTGTTTCAACAGCCTCAAAGAGTTGCTGAGAGCTAAATTAATTGAATGTGGCTGGAAGGATCAGTTGAAGGCACACTGTAAAGGTAATCAGTTTCATTTGGAAGATAAACTAATCCCATTTTTCTGATCAGGATTGGTTTGGGGGTTGCTTATTTTAAGGTATATTGAGTATTCAAGCATGATTTTAAACAAATATGGAATTTAATCTTGTAATGGTTTCCTCTTGGTGGCATATGTAGACCTAATTCCCAAATTTTTAGAAATTTTCTGTTTCTGTTAAGCGTGAGCACTTAAGATTTTCTCTGGCATCAGAATATGGAATCTCATGTCTTTCAGCAACTTTATTGTTTCTTATGTTTTAACTTAAATGGAACACTTTAGGGTTGGCAGACTTATAGAAATTATCTCTTTCCTGTCTTTAACAGTGAATATTTGAAAAATTCATCTATGAAAGCTCTTAGAATGCACTTAAAAAAAAAGTAGAAGGGAAGCTTATTAAATTGCTGGGTATTGTTGATGATACCATTTGATGGATTATACATGTCACTAAGGGGAGCCTCCTTTCTGTCTCAGCTTTTGATATAATGGAACTCTGGATATTTTTAATGAATCCCCATTGTAATGGTTTCTACAAATAAAAATAAACTATATGTTAACTGTAAGAAGGCAATGTGACAAATTAGTAAAAGCATAGACTTTAAGGTCATATAGATTTTCATCACTGAAAGAATAGAGCTGGATTTCAACTCAGGGCTGGATGACTTATTTAAGCCTCAGTTGCTTCACCTGTGAAGTGGGAAAATGCCTAGCCCATTAGATCATCGTGAATATTAAATGTTGTAAAGCACCTAATAGAGATCTAGTAAATGTTAATTAAAACAGTTAGTTATAAGTTTTTGGCATTTTACAGATGTTAGATTTGAATATTACAGTCTAAATTTATTGTAAGTGTCACAATTATTTAGTTGCTGGTTATTTAGCTGAGACTTACGAACAACTTTTATCTTTTAGATCTAAAGAATACTTGATGTGTTTGTAAGGTTGAACTAAATTTTCAGTGTCCTTTTTTTAAAAAAACCAGTCTACACTCTAAAAACATGATCTTAACCCTTCCTCTATGAAAATCTTTCTTACAGATAATGATTTTAAATGATATGATTTGTTTTTTGCTTTTGCATAAGAGGTAATTAAAGAAAAAGGACTAGAACACGTTACTGTTGATGACTTGGTGGCTGAAATCACTCCAAAAGGCAGAGGTAAGGAATACAGAGTTTGTTAAAGGAAACATGCTGCAGACATGATTTTTTTAAAATCTCTTGCTGGTTCAGATTTTCTTTCTGTTTTTAAGGAAAAGCACTACCTGTGTTGCCTCTTGTAAAGAGTTAAAATTGCCTACCTGCCTCCTAGCATAGTCTGGGAGTAACAAATGAGATACTAGGTTTCAGTGTTCTTGTACTCTAGAACAGTGCACCAATGCAAGTTGATACAGTTGTTCAAGCAAATAATTTTTAAAATACGGGATTCTGCAGTGTCAAATACTACATGAAGCTAGGATTTATAAACTTTATCAGATATGGCATGACTCCACTTAAATATTTAATAATTCAAAGTCTTATTCCAACCCCTGAGTCATTGCCCCTTTATCTCATTAAAAATTAATGAAGGTCTGTCTTAAATGTCTACTTAAGAATTTGGTAGCTCCATGACTTCATGTTCAGAGTAATTCATATTTAAGACTCACAATGCAACCACCTTCTTAATTTCAACCTTTAATGCCTTGTTTACAGAAGGCAAAGTTAAGATGGGAAATATTATGTTAAAACTGATGATGTGTAGTAAATGTTGTCAGGAGCTACATCATTGTTATCTTAGATATAACTACATTATTTTCATTTACTTTGGTAAAGTTGGGGTTGTAACTGGAAGGTAAATTAGATGGCCCAAGTTGTTTTCTCACACAGAAATTGTGAAAAGAATTTAAGTGTAAAAAGTAAATAAGTTTGAAAATTATTACTACAGAACATGAATTTTTGAACTCCTCCCTGCTGGGAATAAGCTATAGAATCCCATGGTCCTTGTCAGCCATCTCTTTAGGCCTGTTTACAATTGAAAAACATGACTTTTTCTTCAAGTATGTCTCGGGGAAAGGAAAAAAAATTATTATTCCCCTTATGAATTTATATTTTTAAATTTCTCTAAATTGATTTTGTTTTTGTTTTCTTCTGTGACTTACACTTATTCTGTTAACATTATTTAGGAACCAGCTATACAAGTTAGAAACTATCCTTTGCTTCTCCTTCGATACTTAAAACCTTGGACATTTCAATGTCTTGTAGCTCCCCTGCTAGAGAATGAGCAAATAAAAGAGAAGTAAAAATAGATATTTTAATTTATGTTCTTAGTCTTCTTACTGTTGTTAAGAGAAGACATACTTTTTAACACAGTAAAATTGTCGTTTTTTAGTGTGCAGTTCTGTGAACTTTATACATATGTATAGGTTCGTGTAGCTACCACCGTCAGGATACAGAACAAACAGTTCCCTCACCACCAAAACCTCCCTCATGGTATTCCTTTATAGTCCCATCTTATTTCAAGGCAACTCACTAATCCTGTTCTCAATCACCATAATTTTGATTAAAATTATTTTTAGTATACATATTGATTACATTTCCAGTGGACTTGAATTAATTATATAGTCTTGATTTGTAGGTTGGCTTAAACTAAACAGTTTGTAAAGAAGAATATCTGGCTTATTTGATTTGTATAACTTTTTTATGGAAATACTGAACTGTATCTGAAGTTTTCCATTTCCCCAGAACACAAGTAAATACGTTAGAAGTTTTAGTTAACCCCCCCCTTTTTTTTTTTTTGCATTTATGGTTTAATATTCTGAATAGATAATAGTCAAATGGGTCAAAAGTATAACATATAACAGTTGTAATTTTTTGGATTTTTACTAGCTCGGAGTGTATATATGTGAATTATTTCAGTAAAATACAGATTACCTTCTAAAACATATACCAGTTTATACTCCACGTAATATGAGAGTGCTCCCTTAGTCTTGCCAACACAATGTTGCCAACAGTGTGTATGTATACATATATATTTTTACATATGTGTATACTTAAAATATATATTATGTATGTTTATATAGTTTATGTATGTATATAAATGTATATTTTTATATATGTATAAATATATATACCCTTTTTTTTTTTTTGAGATAGGATCTTGCTCTGTCACCGAGGATGGAGTGCGGTGGCATGATCATGGCTCACTAGCCCGGATCTCCCAGGCTTAAGTGATCCTTCTCCCTCAGCTTCCCGAGTAGCTGAGACCACAGACACACACCACCATGCTCCACTAATTTTATTTTTTGTAGAGACAGGTTTCGCCATGTTGCCCAGGCTGGTCTTGAGCTCCCGGACTCAGGCAATCCTCCTGCCTCAACCTTCCAGACTGCTGGGATGACAGGCGTGAGCCATCGTACCCAGCCAACACAGTATATTATTGACCTTTGTATTTTTGCCTATGATTGGTAAAATATGCTATGTAAATGTGGTTTTAATTTCATTTGTCTTCTGAGATGGGGACCCTTTTATGTTCAAAAACTCTCCTTTTCTTCATCTCTTTTGTTCATGTTTCTATTAGCCTTTTGATCTTTTCCTTATCAGTGTGAAACAACTGTATAGTAGAAAGATCAGCCCTTTTCTGGAAGAACATTTCCTCAGTTTTTATCTTTTGGCCTTGCTTATGGTGATTTTTCATTCAGCATAAATTGTTACTATGTTTTAATCAAATTTATCCATCTGTTATAGCCTCTGTATTTAAAAATGGTCTTCTTTACTCCTAAAGAATTTTCTCACGTTTTCTTCTCATCAACATGCAGTGCATTTAGGCATTGGATAGTTCATTTAAAATGATGAATTGCAAGAAGACACTTTTCTTTGTCAGATAACTTTACCTTTTTTTTAATTGAACATGAGGGTTATTTATGAAATTCTTATGTTGTTTACCCTGAGCAAAATGTCAGATCTTAAATTCTCATGTATTAATTGGTACCTTCTTACTCTTATTTTTTTATTTTTGTTTTTCAGCCCTGGTACCTGACAGTGTAAAGAAGGAGCTCCTACAAAGAATAAGAACATTCCTTGCTCAGCATGCCAGCCTTTAAGATTGAATTAGATTGTGTTGTTGTGGTTTTATTTCTGAAAGTAAAACTTGCCATAAATTAGAAAACAATTTCCCAAAATAAAATCCTTTTTTGTATGATGGTATACAGTTTTCAGTAATGATGTATACATTGTATTGATTTTTTTCCCTAAATGTGTTATTTTAATAAATATCTCATGAATGAGTTTGAAGTTTGCTTGGATTTTGAAATGAATGGGACTTTGTCTTTATTACTAATTCACCAAATTTGTTGAGCGCAAAAGCAATTAATGTAGTTTAAGTATTTAGTATGTACAGTTCTCTGTGTTAACAGCTGAGAAGTAAGCAACCTTTTCTGACTGCATATGGTGTATTCCTCTTTTGAGTCCCCATAATATTTTATAAATTGTAATGCCCCATCTTGTACTACAGTTGTCTTATTCGTATTGTTTATAAACTTTGAGGGTTAGGACTGGGTCTTACTCATCTTTATGTGCCTTCCTTATGCTTCAAAGAATTTACCATCTAATGGAAGAGAACATTTGCAAGTTGGCTCCATACCAAGCTCCTTCCACATACTCTACTCATCTGAACTTTGAATGCAGAATCTTTAAATTGCAACCCCACATACTAAGGTCAAGAAAGAACTTAATGGGAATTAATCTCCACCCATTAGCTTTACCCTGACATCAGGATTGCCAAATCCAATGGACTCTTGTCTATTCTTACGTGACTTCTGCTGGAAAATGCGAATGTTGACCATCCTGCCACTTGGAACTCTCTTCCCACTCCTCACATTGCTTTTGCTACCACTGGAAGTTCCTTCTGTTTCTTGTGGAGTACCTTTTGCTGTCTGGGACTTGTAGATAATGGTGTTTCCTAGGGCTCCCTCCAGGGCCCTCTGCCTCACTAACTGGATATACTTTTCCTGAGCAAATCCCAGGAAACTTGCGTCAGACCGTGACTTCAAATACAGGTTGATAAATGCTAAACTGTCTCCAAACCAGACTTCATCCTAGCCTCCACACCCAGACACCCAACTGCTATGGATCAACTTTTTAGAATATCCTCACTTCAAACTGACCTTACCTAAAATAATGACTTTTTCCCCCAATAATTGCCCCTGCTATATTCCTTATTTCTGAATGGTACCTCCTAGCTATATAGATTATCTGAGGAGCTTACTGAAATGCTGATTCTGAAGATAAGGGGCATGGCTTTAAGATTCTGTATTTCTGGCGAGTACCCAACTGGTGCTCATGCTGCTGATTGAGAACCACTTCTGAATATAGCAAGGCTGTAAATTATCCACTACGTGCCCTCGTAATTGTCTTAGTTCAAGCCCAGATTATTGTAGTAGACTTAGTATTTCTTTGCCTTAGTTGATCTGTGACCCCTCCAATATCTATTCCACACTGTTGCCTAAGTGGCCTTAGTAAAATTCAAGTCTGGTTATTTTATTCCCCTGCTTGGAATTTCTCAATGTAGAATGAAACTCATTCAGCATTAACACATAGGCCCTTCTTGATCTGACATCGTGTTTCTCTAGTTAGACTAAAGAATCCCCACTATGAAGTTGTTTCATCCGTAAGTACCTTTGAACCCAGAAGCCCCCTTTCTCATATGTTTCTCATTCCTGTTTGCCCTTCAGAGTTCAGCTTTAGTTGCTAAAACATTCAGACATCCCTCTGACTTAGATCCCCCACTACTGTTTTTCTGTGAGAAGCAGCTATGCATAATTCCTCTTCAACACAGTAGTTCTTGAAATTTTGCAGGCCTCTCCTGGAAAGGAGGAAATGACTTCTCTGACTTTGTATGATGCTTATTTGTGGATGAATGGGCAAGGGAAAAAATGAAGGAACAAGTGAATGAACAGTATGGGAGTATGAGAAAAGGTATAAATTGGGTATAGTTGAGAAAAGGATTCAAATTGATCTTTGGTTCGAGAGACAATTTCATCTTTCTGATGAATTTAAAGTGTAGTCTTTGAACCAGCTGGGCTTAATTATGTAAAGTTTTGAGCCTGAGATAAGCACACAATCACAAAACCTACCCAAACAAGTTTTTTGTTTCACTTCATCTCTTATAAAACAATGTTCTAAAGTAAGTGATAGGGATGCTCATCATTCTGCTACCTATTATCACAATGAAAACAATCATAAATAGTACACAGGAAAGGTGAGAAATAGCGGATAGTTCTTATTTCATAGTACTGTATATGGAAATAAACCAAATTTGCTCATAGAGATACTATTTTATTACCTCAAAAATATATAAAAATGAAAACGTTATGAAAATATTTTAAAATGGGATTTAAAAATAATTGAGAACATCACAGCAATTTAGAATACTAAAGAGCATAGCTTTAAAATGATAGTGCTGAGAACTCCCCACCTCTACCCCACCACCTGTAGGCTTCTTTGACAACTTACAAATGTTCTCTAGTTTGTATCTAGAATCACTTATATCTTTCAAATAAACCAACTTTGTGAACATCTTGACTCACATGATTGATTTCTGTAAGCTAGGAATATATTCTTTAAATTCTTGCACGCTTTCATGCTTAATGTTGGAAATTCAATAGGATTACTGTTACATGACTGCACCAGGTGAGTAAAATACTAATTAGGATTACTGTAAGCTGCTCGTATAGGATTAAAGAAGACCCAACTAAATTATTTATGTAATCACTTTGCTTTGGCATTATAAGTGTATCATTTGGTTGAGCAGTGCCAAGCGAGGAAATGGGTGATGCTGGGGATTGGTAATTGGATATGGGACTTTTCATAACTTGATCAAAAGCTCCATCCAACTGAAGAGAGCTGTGACAGCTGTTCAGTAGCTGATGTTGGAAATGATCCAGTGTGTGGGTGCGTGTGCGTGTGTGTTTAAAACCCATCTTGTAAATAACTCGTGTTACTCAATGACTTCATAAAACCCCTCATATTTACCATTAGAAACCACACGAAAGTCATTGGATGAATCTGCCAAGAAAACTAATGAGTGCAATTAATGCAGGTTCCAGTCTCATCTCTAATACTGAATTACCAGGTAAGACTGACCCTTCTGCCTCAGTTTCCTTGTCTGCATAATAGGTCTGATAGTGCTGACCTGGAAGGGATGCAAATAATAAAACAAATATTAATAGAATAAACAAAAAGTAATATGGATTCATGTTATCTTAGAAATAATTGAAAAATATAAAATTATTTACAATGTGTTTTCTAGTTGTACAGAGATACAGTACATGAATTAAACTTGTGTGGAAAATAGCTGCTTTTATTTTTTAGGAATTTCTAATATTAATTACCATAAGAATATCTACAAAAATGAAGATGACCAATGTAACTTGATTGAAATAGAATAAATATAACTATAGTAGCACTTAGCAGGGAGGGTTGAAATTATCTGTAGTCATCTCGCCTTTATTCTGTTATGAACTTCTCTATGACATGGACTGTATCTTATTTATCTTTGAATTTTCAGTGCCTAATAAATTATTGGTAAGTAAGTAAGTGGCAAAAGAGAAAAATTTGGCTTGTGCCAGTTTATTCCAGGCTTCAAATTATATTTGATTATTCTGTTATCAGCCACAAGAGGGCACTTGAAGCCAGTATTTTGGTCCTCCTTGGGGCTCTAACTGAATTGTGTGTTCATTCAAACAGGTCCGCTTCTGATTAAGGCCACCCAGCCATTTACTTTTTCAAGATGAAAGTGTTACTGAATTAAATCTTAATGTGAGGACTTCAGAAAGTGCTTCTTGTATAAATTAAGATGAAGCTACTGTGAGATGTAGATGTTGTTTAGCTGGGATCGTTTTCTGAAGTCAATTCAGCAATTCAAGCAAGAAGATGATTTAAATAGCATACACTGCTACTGAAATAGTCTATTTCACTTACTTTATCAACAATAATAATAATAATAAGCACAGTAAATTCTTAATAAAAATGAAAGAAAAATAATTTTCAGTGTTTATTTTCCTTGCTGTACCTTTCTCATAGCCTTTTTTAAAGGTAATAATATTCATATTTTCCTTTTTAAATCTGTATCACTTTATCAAAACACACACACACACACACACACACACTATGAATAGAGCCTTATATTATGCCAAAACCCTGTGGCCACTGAATGAATGTTGACTTTTGATTACAATGGTAAAACACGTCAATAAACAAAGGCATGTAGAACCTGCAGTCCTCGTGCTACGTTGTTCATAAAGTAATTTTGGGTACAGGAGTTGGTGCCAGTGCTTATCACATCCATTAATACCTCGACTTTGTGCCTGGGATCACTAGAATTAAATGATAAAAAATGGCTTTCAGTTGCCATATAAATTTTTACCTTAAAATATTTTGTTGAGAGCACACCCTTGATAATTTATCCCTCCTAGACAGCTACGTTTATCAAAGTTGGGCTTTTTCTGGGCTAACAGCCACAGAGTAGAATAATGGAAATAGAAATGTTTATTAAACCATAGCCTGTCTGATATGCAGGTGATTTAAGTAATGATATATATTTTCTGATTTGAGGAGCATTCAGTTGGGCTGAGATACTGACAGTATGTGAGTGAGTGCTCTGGTTCTCTTCTCAGTTCTACCATTAATTTCATTACTTATTTGGGGGTTCATGTGACAATTGCATTTCAACAATATATCTCAGATTTGCTAGGGATACTGGCAATATAATCAAGTAAAAGAATTATGGGTGCTTCTTTCGAAGGTGTGACCTAAAGTCAGTTATAGTAAAGAACTTTACAAATCCATGTGTATATACACACATATGTACACACATGGATTTGTGTATATGTTGTACTATTCTAGCAATGGTACTCATAAAATAATTTTGTATGTGGGGTCTATCACCCATATTTCACCTCCTACAAAAAAAAATTGGGCTTTCAGGTAGACGAATTTAGTAAAATAGAGCAGACATATTCACTGATTAGTTGCATTTCCTGTGTTTCTGATCTAATTATTTCACTTTATAAAGACTTTTTAGAGACCTTCAATGAACTCCCCCTTTATCATTATCATTGCTCCCCACATGCTGTCACTTCCCTCCTTACCAGCCTAAATTTGGTCACTATTAAGGTTAAAATTGATCGGTTTATCGTTAGAGCCTCCTTACTATTAACCTTAATTTCTCTCTCTTTTTTTTTCTAACCACACACAGTCCTGTCTAAACCTGGCTACTCTGAAATCTTAGTCCATGCATGCACGTGTTTATCTGAACTTTGTTGAAGAAAATTACACAACCCTTCTGATAATGCTCATTTTAAAATAAAAACCACTACATTGTGAAAAATGTATTTACATGGATTTCTCAAAACGAAGTCAATGTCTTGAAGGAATGAAACACTAAAAAAAAAAGAGAAAGAAAAGCAAAAGCAAAGACAGGGCCTGTGCTAGATTAAAAGAAAGATATACTAAAGTTTAAAACAATGTGTCATCCTTGATAAATAAACAAAACACAACTATCCAAAACATTATTTGGACATTTGGAAAAATTTAAGCATAGATTGTAGTTTCAGTGTTAAATTTCTTGAGTCTTACACTTATATTTGGGAAGAATGATCCTGTTCCATCTTGAAGTATTTAAGGATGAAGTGCCACATTGTAACTAACTCTCAAATGTTTTAATAGCAAAAACTGGTACTATATGAATAGATTATGAATAGAAAAATGAATAGAAAAAATGATACTATATATGGAGATAAAGATTTAAAATGTGAATCTAATAGAAGTGTATACACCAACTTATTGCAAATAAGTTTAAAATTTTTCAAAATACAAGTGTGATTTTTTGCTTCATTTTTAAAATGAATAAAATATTACAGATGGCATAAAAATATTTCCTGGTTTGGGTACATTTAATATGTATGGAACAATAATATGTATAATATGTCAGCATTCCTTTTATGTCTTTGGATACATGTTATATATATATATATATATATATATAAAACTTGCCTTTATTTTCTATGTTTTCAAAAACCACTTTATTGAGATATGATTGACATGCAAAAAGCTATACTTATTTAATGCATACATCTCAATGAGTTTGGGGATAAGTGTATACCTGTGAAACCATCACTACCATCAAGGTCATAGACATTTTCAGCACCTCCCAGACTTTCCTCCCCCACCCTTCGTTATTGTTTGTGTGTGTGTATGTGTGTGCGTGCATGTATGTAGTAAGAATACTTAAGATAAGATCTATCTGCTTAGAAAATTTTAAGTATACAATACAGCATTGTTAGCTATAGGCACTGTGCTGCATAATAGATCACTAGAATTTACATAACTGAAACTTTGTACACTTTAACCATCATCTTCTCGTTTCCCCATCACCCCAGCCCCTGACAATCATTCTACTCTCTGCTTCTATCAGTTTGACTATTTTAGATTCCACATATAGGTGAGATCATATAGTATTTATCTTTCTGTGTTTGGCTTTTTCACTTAAACATTATATCTTCTAGGTCCATTCATGTTTTCACAAATGGCATGATTTCCCTCGTTTCTCAGGCTGAATAATTCTAGTGTGGAGGAGAGTGGGTAGATTAATGTGGATGTGTGTATTAAATTTTCTTTATTCATTATCCATCGAAGGACACTTAGGGTAATTCCATATCTTGGTTACAGTGAATGATGCTTTAATCGACAGGAGGTGCAGACACATATTGAAGATCCTGGTTGGGTGCAGTGGCTCATGCCTGTAATCCTAGCACTTTGGGAGGCCAAGGTGGGCAGAACGCATGAGCCCAGGAGTTCCAGACCAGCCTAGGCAATATGACAAAATCCCATCTCTACAAGATATTCAAAAACTAGCTGGGCATGGTGGCACACGCGTATAGTCCCAACTACTTGGGAGGCTGAGGTGGGAGGATTGCTTGAGCTCATGAGGTCAAGGCTGCAGTGAGCCATGATTGCACCACTACACTCAAGCATGGGGACAGATGAGATCTTGTCTCAAAAAAAAAATTCTGATTTCAATTCCTTTGGATATATACCCAGAAGTGGAATTGCTGGATTATATCATAGTTCTATTTTTTAACATTTTGAAAAAAATCTTCATACAGTTTTTCATCATGGCTGTACTAATTTACATACAAACCAACAATGTATCAGGGTTCCCTTTTCTCCACATTCTCGCCAACACTTATCTTTTGACTGTTTGATAATAGTCATTCTAAAAGTTGTGGGGTGAAATGGTGATTTTGATTTGCATATCCCTGATGGTGATGTTTAGCACCTCATCATACAGCTTTTAGCCACTGCTATGTCTTCTTCTTTAGAGAAATATTTATTGGTCCTTTGTCTGTTTTTTTAATTGGGTTGGTTTATTGTTGTTTGTTTTTTGCTATTGAGTTGTAGGAGTTCCTGATATTGTGGATATTAACCTCTTATCAAATATATGGTTTGAAAACACATTCTTTCATTTTATAGATTGCCATTACACTCGGGATTGCTTTCTTTGCTGCAAGAAAGCTTTTAAATTTGATGTAATCTCGCTTGTTTATTTTTGCCTGTATTTTGGCATCATATCCAAAACATCAGTGCCAAGACCAAGGAGCCTTTTCCCTGTTTTCTTCTAGTTTTACGGTTTCTTGTCTTTGAGTGTTTAATCAACTTTTGAGTTGATTTCCTGGTACTTAAGATATATGGATTAAACAGTTTTTTCTTTTTTCATGTGCACATCTAGTTTGCCTAGCATAATTTATTGAAAAGACTGTTATTTCCCATTTTATATTCTTGGCATTTTTTTCAAAAATTAGTTGACTGTACATGCATGGGTTTATTTTGGGCTCTCTATTCTGTTCAATTGGCTCACGTCTTTTTATGCCAGCATGACACTTTTTTTCTTTCTTTCTTTCTTTTTTTTTTTTTTTTTTTTTGAGACAGGATCTCCTTCTGCCACCCAGGCTGGAGTGCAGTGGCATGATCATGGTTTACTGTAGTCTCAACATCTCAGGCTCAAGTGATCCTCCCACCTCAGCCTCACAAGTAGCTGGGACTGCAAGTAGCATGTGGCACTACACCTGGCTAATTTACAAAAAAAACTTTTTTTGTGGAGTTGTGGTCTCAGGTCTCCATATGTTGCTCAGGCTGATCTCAAACTCCTGGGCTCAAGTGATCCTTCCACCTCAGCCTCCCAAAGTATGATGCTTTTTTGATTACTGTATTTGTTATAGCTTTATAAAATTATTTGAAACCAGGAAATGTGATGACTTCTGCTTTGTTCTTTTTGTTCAAGATTGCTTTGGCTTTTCAGGTCTTCTGTGGTATCTTTTGAATTTAAGGCTTGCTTTTTCTGTTTCTGTGAAAAATATTATTGAAATTTTAATGGGATTGCATGGAATATGTATATTCCTTTGAGTAGTATGGACAGTTTAACAGAATTAGGTAGTCTAAGCCATGAACATGGTTTGAAAAGAAATAATGGTCACAACCTCAAATGAACACTTTTTTCCTGCCCAAGAACTCCAGTACATTTTCCTAGGGTATACACTTTCCTACTCACCAAAATGCCTGTTTCCCACTTCTCTCCAGCACTAATAACACTGCCTCATGCTTATCAAGGCAACAGCAGCAATCTGACAAGAACCTGGCATGATCCCATCACCAAATTTACCAGTCTTCCTGAATCTGGACCCATACATTTAACCTTGCCTCCACTTGTCCCCTGGATTCCAGCACCTCTCTTCTTCTCAACGATCTCTCTCTTACAGTTGTCCCTCCCTCTCTTCCATTAGAATTTTAACCCTCTGCTACATCAGCCATAGCAGCATAGTCACTTGGCCTGGTAACTACATTCTTTTATAAAAACCATGTCTTGATCACGTATCTCCCTCTAGGAACAGCCCCATTCCTCTGCTCCCATTATAAGCAAAAGTTTTTAATTGGATTGTCTCTACTCCTTCACCTCCCACTCAACTCCCTCAATTTGGCCTCATGGAAATCACCATTCCATGGAATCTATGTCTAGGTCAAGAGAGATTATCACCCTCTTCAACCTCCCAAAAGCATTGATAACAAGTGATGATTCTACATCTTCAGATGCGTTCTTCTCTTAATTTCTGTACTGCAATAGTGTTCTGCTTCCCCTCTCACCCACGGCTGCTGTCTGTCAGTCTTATTTGCTAACCTGTCTTCTGCTAGACCTCTAACTGTTGGAGTTTTCCAAATCCTAATATTATGACCCACTTTCTTTTGTATCTTTACCCTCTGCCTAAATCAGTTGTTCCTAACCTTTTCTGAGTCCCTTTGGAAGTCAAGTGAAGACTATGAACTCTTTCTCAGAATATTATGTTTAAATACACATAATAAAATTTGTAGAATTATACAGGAAACAAATTATATTAAAATTATAGTTATCAAATATTTCAAAATAAATGCATGATATTCATCTTTATTAACACAAAAATAAGACAATATATTTTAAATACGAGTAACTTTAAAATTGTACCTTATTTTAAAAAAATCAGGGTAAAGTTGTTTCTTAACTTGGATAAGAACATTACACTGTAGGGTTGTGATTGACAGGACAACATGCTTGTTACTGTTATGCAGGATATGTCGTCAATTTCAAATTTTTGTTTTAATGTTTGTAAGTATTGAAACTCTTGATTAGTTAAGATTGTGTGTGTGTGTGTGTGTGTGTGTGTGTATGTTTGTAGCAAAAAGGATATCTTACTTCATTTGGACTGCTATAACAAAATAGCATAGACTGGGTGGTTTATAAACAACAGAAATGTATTACTTACAAACAGGAAGTTGTTTCTTATAGTTCTGAAGGTTGGGAAATTGGTGATCAAGGTGCCAGCGATTTAGCGTCTGATGAATGCCATCTTCTGGTTCATAGAAAGAATCTTTTCACTGCATCCTCACATGGTGGAAGGCGTGAATGAGGTCCTTTGGGCCTATTTCATAAGGACACTAATCCCATTCATGTGGGCTTTCCATGACCCAATCACCTTTCAAGAGCCCCCACCTCCTAACAGCATAACTTTGGTATACCATCACTTTCAATACACAAATTTTGGGAGGATACAAACATTTAGATCATAGCATTAAATTAAAGTTTTTTAAGCTTATTTTACAAGGCCAAGATAAGCTTGCCTCAAAAGATATCAGAATCCTCAAAGGTTTTTTGAGTTATATCCTACCTATAATGTTTTTGAGCCTAAGATCAAAGATTATAGACTAGGACAATGCTTTCAATTACAGTTTATATCAGAAAGGAAAGGATTCTGGATTCATAGTTCAACTTTAATACAATTAAGATAGAAGTAACTTCCAAAAGGGTACTAAACAGTTTCCAGATATTTATAGATATCTCTTTCAAAGAAATTGATAGTTAGCTAAGGGTAAAACATTTCAAAGTTTGGCAAAGATGTCAGTTTCTATTTTGATATTCCAAATCAGCTACATATTCTGGAAAGATTATAATATTATTTAAAGTAGAAAGCCTAATGAACTTGAAAATTTTAGCCCATCCATGTGGCTAAAAATAATTGCCAGGTAAGCCAACCCATGCATCAATAGTTTTTTTCGAAGTATTCTGAATGCAGAATTTCTTTTCTTTAAGAAACATTAAGTAGTTGCCCTTAACTTAAACAAGCTCTTAAATCATACCCCTCACTCCCAAAATAAATTCATATATTTATGGTCAAATGATTTTCAAGAAAAATGCCAAGAACAAATGATGAGAAAGGACAGTGCCTTCCAAAAATAGGGCTGGGAAAACTGAATATCTACATGCAGGAGAATGCAATTAGGCCCTCATCTCATACCATAAACAAAAATCGACTAAAATAAAGATTTAAATGTAAGACTTGACACCATAAAACCACTAGAAAAAAAATATTGGGGAAAAGCTTGATGACATTGGTGTGGGCAATACTTCGTTTTGGATATAATTCTAAAAGCACAGGCAACAGGAAAAAAAAAGACAAATGGGCTAACATCAAACTAAAAAGCTTCTTCACAGCAAAGGAAACATCGACAGAGTGAAGAGACTATCTATTAAATTGAAGAATATATTTGCAAACTGTACATCTGATAAGGGGTTAATATCCAAAATATATATGAAACTCTTATAACTCAACAGTAAGAAAACAAACAACCAGATTAAAAATAACCAAGGACTTAAATGGACATTTCCCCAAAGAAGACATACAAATGGCCAACAGGTATACAGCAAGGTGTTCAACATTAAGCCAGTATAGGAAAGAAACTCGGTCCTGGCAGATAAGTGACATAGTAACCCAGATCTCCTCACCCCCACTCCATAGGCCTCAAATGTCTGGGCATTTCCCTGCCATACCTTCTTGCCTCCCTTAACAAGCTGACCAAAGTCAGGGAGTAGAAAGCTGCCTCTTCCTAACTTAGCTGACCTGGCTGAATCCCTAACCATAAAAAGAAGAAACTGACCATTTATATCTTTGAGTGATGTCTTCCAAGGTTACTGAAGTGAGACTCTGGCATTCCCAACAATAAACAGACCAGATCCAGCCAGCCGAAGACAAGATGAATGAATTCCAGCACTGATCTTGCATGAAGTTTCCCTCATTGTAATACTGCAAATCACATCCAGGGGTGGGGATTTAGCATGCTAATGACACATACGACACATGAAGAAATATGTTATCAAACTGCGCAGGTGCTAAAAGTTTCCTTCCTCTATATGCCTACACATAGCTCCTTTTCTCGCCTTAGCTCCCTTAAAATGACAAGAGCCAAGCCCTTTGGGGAGCCGGCACTGAGATCCATTTTCTGTACATTTCTGCTTGCTTTGTGTGACCTGGAAGCCTATTAAAACCTTGCCTAGACAGAGCAAGACTCCGTCTCAAAAAAAAAAAAAAAAAAAAAAAAAAAAAACCCTTGCCTAAGAAAAAATTCTGTTTGGTCTGGTGTTCATTTCTATTTACTTGAGAGTCAAGAATTCATAGTCTGAGCTTCAGTAAAAACATCACTAATCATCAGGGAAATGCAAATAAAACCACAATGACATATTACCTCACACTTGTGAGAATAGCTATAATAAAAAAGACAAAAGATAACAACTGTTAACAAGAATCTGGAGTAAAAGGAATCCTGGTGCACTGTTGGTAGCAATGTAATTCAGTACAGCCATTAAGGAAAATGGTATGGAAGTTCCTCAAAAAATTAAAAATGGAACTATCATATGATCTAGCTATCCTACTTCTGGGTATGCATTCAAAGGAATTGAAATAAGGATTTGTAAGATACATCTGAACTCCCATGTGCATTTCAGAATTATTCACAATAGCCAAGATATGGAATTAATGTAAGTATATATCAGCAAATGAATGAAGAAAATATGGTATGTATACACAAGGGAATACTATTCAGCCATTAAAAATAGTAAAAAAACTGTGATTTGCAACAACAGGGATGAACCTGGAGGACATTATGTTAAGTGAAATAAGCCAGGCACAGAAAGACAAATACTGCATAATCTCACTTATATGTGGAATGCAAAAAGGTCGAACTCATAGAAACAGAGAGTTGAATGTTGGTTACCAAAAGTTGGAGGTGAGGGGCTTTGGGAGATGTTGGTCAATCGATACAACATTTCAGTTAGACCAGAGGAATAGTTTCAAGGGATCTATTGTACAACATGGTGACTACAGTTCAAAACAACATATTGTGTGCTTGGAAATTGATAAGAAAGAAGATTTCAAGTGTTCTCATCACACACACACACACACAAACAAGTTATAAATAAATAACTCCTGCTCCCTTGGAAATCAGTGAACTTTTATTTGATAAAATGTACTTTATATTTTGGTTGCCCTATTTCTTGATCATTTTTAAAACATGCGACAATTCAGGGGGTACTTTAAATAATGTCGATGACTTCTATGATTGGTGACAAAGCTTCTCTCAGGATTGTAAAAACAGCCTTTATTCCTATTGTATGTCTGTGTAAAAAACAACAAGTAATGACAGCATGAGGTGATTTCATTGTCACTAAGGTAACAATACCAGATACATTGAAAAGCATTGTTGGAACCAATTAAGTAAAGAGTGTATAATGCTTTAATTTTTCCAATCAATGTTTTACTTGGAAAAAGAATATAAAACAAACCAGAACAATAAAACAATTTTTTACCTTTCCCAAAATGTCACCAGCCTGGTTAGTTTCCAAAAGAGACTCACAAAATCAGAATTTTGCCAGGTGCAATACTGAAGGGCAATGGTGAGAACATCAATCCTTTGATGGCTCATTTTAATGTTAAGATATTTCAATAATTCTACAATGTATGAACATACTGGACAAAAGCACCTCTTCTAGATTTCTCCTCTATTCCAGTGCAAAAACCAGCTTGAGCATCTCCAGTGCACATGGCTGAACTGAAGTCTCTCCAACTTTATAGGATCTTAAGTAAAAGAATTTTGCTGGCCGGGCGCGGTGGCTCAAGCTTGTAATCCCAGCACTTTGGGAGGCCAAGGCGGGCGGATCACGAGGTCAGGAGATGGAGACCATCCTGGCTAACATGGTGAAACCCCGTCTCTACTAAAAATACAAAAAAGAAAAGAAAAGAAAAAAAGAAAAAATTAGCCGGGCTTGGTGGCAGGCGCCTGTAGTCCCAGCTACTCGGGAGGCTGAGGCAGGAGAATGGCGTGAACCCGGGAGGCGGAGCTTGCAGTGAGCCGAGATCACGCCACTGCACTCCAGCCTGGGCGAAAGAGCAAGACTCCGTCTCAAAAAAAAAAAAAAAAGAATTTTGCTAAATGGAGAATTCATGTTTTCAAAGTGTCCTAGCTTTTACACCTTGAGATTTTTCTTGCATAACAAAAATCTACTATTGGCAAGACATTTTATAAATAAAGACACGGTGGCCTTGGTGTCCCACCACATTTATGCAAGCGAAGCTATAATCCAGTCTTCATCATCATCCTTCTCTTCAATATAAACTGAAATAGGTTCTGTAAAAAATATAAGAAATAATGATAAAATAAAACATTTGATTCAAGTGATATTTTGAAACTCTATATTACACGGCTTAAGGCTTTTAACAATTTGATAAATGTCATAGAAACAAGTAATTTGGCTGTCAATTAAGTAAATTATACGATATTCAAGAAATTTGTAAGACAAGTGAAATAAGACAAGTTTTTTTTCAATTTGTTCATTTTTTAGCACTTTTTATTACTTTAAACCTCAGGTAGACACAAGGTTTCAGCAGGAGTTCAGAAGCCATGCCCTTCTAGGAGTGTGAATAGTTTTGAGCGTGGAATTTCATGGCGTTTTGTGTCTATGCCTTACTACAAATAATCATTCTCATTTCTGATATTCACAGTTTTCACACAGTTATTTTTAAAATACACACTATATTCATGAAGGAGTAATCACAAATACCCATTTTACAACACACCAGGTACAAAAAAGGAATTTAAAGGAAATAAATAAGTAAATGAAAGAAACATTGACACTCACAGAAGGTACCAAACTTTGTAAAACCTTTGTTATGGCACAACATGTTAGCAATAATGAATGACTTTAACACACTTGAGCAATTGTCTCAACAGTCAAATATGTTTGACATTACCTGGGCTATGTAACTCCATGAAAATTTGCCAGTGGAGAGTTAATGATTTTTATTTGAACCATCCCATATTTGCACCCTTAAGCAATTAGAAACCTTTCATCTCCTTCCAGGCATTAAGCAACAAGGTTACATTGTTTGTTGTCTTCCTTGCTTTAGTATTTTCCGTCTAGCATTTATTAGTTTTGAACATGCTATGTATTTCACTAATTTTTGTATTTATTGTCTATCTCCACCAAGAATGTAAGCTCCACGAGGACAGAGATTTTTCTTAATCACTGCCATTTTCTTAATGCCTACAATACTGAATATATGTTAAAGGCAAACTATTGTTTTCCAAGTACCTAATTTTGTTCACCATCTTTCACTAATAGGTCTGGTTTTGAAATTAGGCCCGAGTTGAGTGATACATTCACAATTAAATTCCTTATTCCCTCTAGTTCTGCAAGAATTTCTATCAATCCCTTATCATTTTCTTATTGCTTTTAGGTCAAGGGACCAATAAGTTTAAAAACAGTCTCTTTTTTCACCATATGGGCCAGTAGAACAGACTACATAATTTGTGAGGTCTCATGCAAAATGAAAAGGGGAAGTCCCTTGCTCAAAAAATATTAAGGATCCCAAGATGACAGCAGAGTATTAAACCGAGTATGGGCCCTATGAGATTGCACAGGTCACACTCACTATCCTGGCCCTTTAGGCAGGGTTTTGTTAGAGCTAGATTTTTGAAAACCTGCAAAAGAAACGCGGGCTTTAATGATCAGGATTCTACTTTCATGTTTTCTCATGTCCATGATGAATCTATGTTGCAAAGGTTTGAAGATTGTAAAAATGAACACAAATTAAATCATAAATTACATCAACTACATAACTGCTTTTTCTGGATCCAAGTTGACATTTTGGTTATATGAATCTCCATCTAGTTACAATTATTTATTGGGACATTATCCCATCCAATTATTTTAATAATTGAAGACCAAAATTCTCACTGGTGTGATCTTTTTTAGGACATTTATTTATCATATAAATAAGCACTACTTAAAGGGAAAAATCAGTTAAAGATGCTCATTCATTCCACAAAAATTTATTAAAAATTTATATATGCAAATTATGGGGCTTTTTTTTTAGGCATTATAAGACAAGAAAGAAGGCTAATTTACCAGAAATCAACTTTCCTGAAGCTAATTGGTCCAATGATCATTTTGCTGAATGACTAATGTGCTAAATTTGCCAACTTAGATGACTGTAGTTTAATAGTATTTACTAGCTTTAATATGATTGTTTAATGTGAGTGACTAATGGTGATACATACAGAAAAACATTATATATATGTATAATATTGAATACATATGTACGTATATAATATGTATACCTAATACATACTTTATATATATTTTACTTATTCTAAGAAGACTAAGTGTGAAAGAAAGTGAAGCTATCTGAAAGAAACTAGTATAATAAACCATGCAATTAGTATGTGTTAAGTAGAAAAATAAAATAGGACACAATAGAAGTAACCAAATTATATTTTGGATGTTGCATGCCATTTGCTGGTTGATATACTATCTAAAAATTTGGTGAAAAAAATCTTTTAAAAGTTTGGCAAAACAGAAGTCAACATAAAAAATTTGAAGCACTTTATTGATACACTCAATACTTAAGAAAGTTTTCCTCTTTGTTATAAATTATATGAATTGTATCTGCAGGGAAGTCTGCCTAATTTAATGGTTTCTCATTAAAAATTACAACTTCAGTTTATAATATGGTAAGGATTCCCAACCCCCAGGCCGTGGACTGTTACCGTGGCGAAGTATATACTGTTACATACTTTACCTTTATAGGCACAATTTTCAGTAGCTGATGACATGGAGAGGGATTCCAAAAATTTATGAGATGAATATAACTAGATAGCAAAATTATTTACTTTTCTTTTTCAGTTCTTTTTTTCTTTCTTTCTTTTTTGGACACAAAGTCAGTCTCTGTCTCCCAAGCTGAAGTGCAGTGGCGCCATCATGGCTCAGTGCAGCTTCGACCTCTGGGACTCAAGTGATCTGCTCACCTCAGCCTCTTGAGTTTCTGGGACTACAGGAATGCACCACCATGCATGACTAATTTTTAAAAATTATTTACTTTTTAAATTTTTTATAGAGATGGGGGTCTCGCCTTGTTGCCCAGACTGAAAATTATTTTCTTAACCCCACTAGACAGATATAAACTCCTCAAGAATAAGGGCCTAACTTCACTTATTTTAGGATTCTTTCTTCTATTTCTTCTCTCTTCTTTCCCAACTAGAGTTGTCAGATTTAGTAAATAAAATTATGGAAAGCTGAGTTAAATTTGGATTTCAGATAAACTCTGAACAATTTTTAGCATATGTATGTTCTAAATCTTGCTTGGAAATACTTAAAACTGGAAAAAATAATTTGTTGCTTATTTTAATTTCAAATTTACCTGGGTGGCCTGTATTTTATCTGTCAACCTTACTCCCAACCTCTACCTTTCCTCCATCCCCCAGCAAGTACTTAGAACAGACCCTGGAACACAGATGGCCTTGTATGATAGATGAATGAGTAGGTGGACAGTGACCTTGAACAAGGAGTTTACTAAAACAGGCAACTCTTTCAAGAAGTTTAATAACAAGTAAACTAGAGAGTTTGCCTCAATTAAGAAGAAAAGAAAGGATTTTTGGTTTGTGTTTAGTTTTTTAGTAATGAATACTGTATATCTTTCTAGGAAAAGAGGAGAAAGGGGAAAGTGAAGTAATTAGAAGTGAGATAAGGGGGATATTGTTAGAATAATAATCAGTAAGATGGGAAGAGAAGAGTTTTCACAAAGAGTTCAAAGAGGGGATTGACCATGTCATGGAAGAAAAATACTTCTTCCCGAAAGAGAGGAACAAAAGGAAAGGAAGGAGGGAAGGAAGGAAGGAAGGGAGGGAATGAAAGAAAGAGAATTTAAAATTTTCTACTTATAAAAATTTTTAAACTAATAAAAAAGTGCAAAGGATCATACCTACACTTAAATTCAAACATTGTTTAAAATTTGCCAGATTTTTTTTCAGCAAAACCATTTTGAAGTAAATTCCAGACATAAAGACACTATGACCCCAAATACCTCATCATGCAATTCCATCACTTGAAAACACTCTTTGACTAAAGTATGATACCACTATTATACCTAATAAAATGAACGCTTCTATAATATCTTTCAATACTTGTTACTTAATCCATATTCACTTTCCCTAATTTGTTCTGCAAACGTCCTTCATAGCTTTATATTATTATTATTATTTTTTACAAACCAGGATCCAATAGAAGCTTATGCATTGCTATTTGGGTAATAATCTTTTAATATCTTTTAAAAACACATAACATTTTAAAATGTAGAAACTGCAAACTAGGTAGGTGGATCTTCTCATCTTTTTTTGTTGTTTGTTTTTGAGACGGAGTCTCACTATGTCGCCCAGGTTGGAGTGCAGGGGTGTGATCTCAGCTCACTGCAACCTCCGCCTCCCGGCTTCAAGCAATTCTCCTGCCTCAGCATCCCAAGTAGCTAGGATTACAAGGCATGCGCCACCCCACCAGGCTAATTTTTGTATTTTTAGTAGAGATGGTGTTTCACCATGTCAGCCAGTCTGGTCTCGAACTCTTGACCTCAAGCGATCCGCCCACCTCGGCCTCCCAAAGTGGTGGAATTACAGGCGTGAGCCGCTGTGCCCAGCCCCTTCTCACCTTTTAAAGAGTAGGGAGAGGTGGGCAATCAAGAGATCCTGAGGTTAAGATATTAAGAACAGTGAGAGGATTTGGAATTAGCCCCTGGGGAGCATTCAGTGGTGAATAATAAACTGCCTTCTCCAGGGAGGTCAGAGAAACTTGCGTTTCATTCGTCTGCTATCTGGCATCCCAGAAACAGGTCAGCAGTGCTGGACCTCCCTCCATGCCAACAGTAAGCCTTCGCCCTAAGTCTACTGATTGTCAATTAAAGAGAGAGCACAATCTCATATGAATGTGAAGGGGTAAACACGCGTGGGGTTTGTGTATTAGGTGGTCTTATAGGCCCACCTGGGGAGGATTAATGACCAAGGCAGACAGGCAGATGAAAGTACGCGGGGAAAGAGAGAAAAGAAAAGAAAAGAAAAAAAACAAAAAGAAAATAGAGAAGGAGACCTAGGGAGACCTCAATGACCATTGATTCCTTTCGCCAAAAGGAGTAAGGCCCTTCCACCTATGGGGACAGCCTTGGGAAGGCAGCACCCAGGTTTGAGTGTGGAGGTTTGATTATCACGGACTGGCTCGGGGCCGGCTTGGTTCTCCCGCGAAGGTTCCAGGGTGTGTGTGTGTGTGTGTGTCCGCGCGCGCATGCAAATCCCAGAGGAGCAGCCCGACAGCAGGGGCGGGGCAGGCCACGGGAGGGCGGCCCAGTTCCCCAGCTCTCCCGGGACGAAGCGGGCCCGCCAGCGAGTCGCAGTCCCAGGAGCCGAGCTCCAGCACTAGAGCCAGCTGCGAGCGGAGGGCACCAACTCCGCAGAACTGGCTTTTCAATGGGACACCTGTGGCTCCTGGGTATTTGGGGCCTCTGTGGGCTGCTCCTGTGTGCCGCGGATCCCAGCACAGGTAACCCTTTGGGCACGCTAGGCAGGCAAGCAGGAGAGGCCCGCGTAGACACTACCCCTGCTCCCGGGGTCCTGGGAGAGGCAGGACCACCTGGCACCTGGCTGAGGCTGTGGGTGCGGTTGCATGACGATCCTGGGGACCAGGGGAGCTGGATAGCAGGCCTAGCAAACAGAGACAGACGCAGAGAGAGAGAAACAGAGACAAGGACACAGAGAAAGAGATTGCGAGAGATTGCCTTTTAACTCATCAATGCTGCTACTTGAATGATGAAATCTCCCACCGGCACCCACAAAGTGACACAAGTAGACTGAAATTTGGCGGGGGAGTGGGGACTGGGAAGAGGCAACCTGAGTCCCTTTTCCTCCATTCTTCTTGGGTCGCTTTCCTCACAACAGAAAGGGCAACAACCCCCAGTAGGACGGGGATGGGACTTCGTGGCAGGTGTCAGTCATTTCCAGGGGCAGCTGCCCTGTGTTTTCAAAGTAATACCCAGAAGAGGGCTGGGAAGAGACTGATAAGATAAGAAATTGGAGTTGTCTGTGGAGATAACAGGAGGATGAACCTGAGATAGGCGAGGAGCAGCACTGTCTGGAGATAGGATCCAGCTTCCCCGCTGGAGTTTCCTACTCTTGGGCTGCCCTGAGATATGAATGTGCGGGAATAAGAACACCTTGGAGCTCTTGGCAAAGACAGACCCGAGGTACAGAGGCACTGGGTCTGGGGCCTCGGAACTGGTCTCCTTTATGTTGGAGAGCTTTTGCTACTATAGGTGAAGTCCACTCTAAACCTTTTTAAGACAGAACTGAACAAGCCAATCATAATTCCCTTAGCCTTTTTATATACATCCATTTTGAGAAATTAATAATTTCTGTGGCCTTTCTTTGTATCATCCCTTAAATTTTTCTACCTACTGTGAAAATTTCTTTTAGGATTCCAGCAATTACTAGATCTGTACAGTGTAAGCAGAAAATAAACACCTCTATCCACTGTGTAGCTTTGAGTTGTTTTAAAGAATTATTTGCAATACTCCAAAGAAGCAGCTCACACAATCCTGTTTGCCCGGGCAGTTCCCTCTATCTAGAACTATCTTTATCTTTCTGACAACTGGTCCAGTCTAATTCATATTTGTCCTTAAAAATGTGGAAGGGGCATGTCTTCTTTATAGAAGCCAGTGTGACACAAGCAGCGTGGGTGAAATGCTCCTTGAGGCACCCGTGGCCTCTATGCTCTCCTCTGTCTCTTGGTACTGTCTAACCTAAGCCTTTGGAAAGTTAGGACTGTTACACATTTATGTATCTCCAGGAAGCTAACACAGTTTGTTGAATGAATTAGTGACCTTTATATTAAGAACTCACTATCATCAGGAGGCTAGAAGAATCTCAGAAATTATCTTTCCTGAAGCCACACTCCCTCACAGAAAATAATTTCTTCTCAAAACCAACATTTCTCTTTGTACCTGGTCTAGTCTTTCAAACTACCTAGCATTGCATTTCTTCTGTGCTCTTATAATGACCTATTTCTTCTTGGTGTCTGCTGTTAGGTGAGCTGTTAAGCATAGTTATAGATCTGCAGTTAGCAGAGCACTACATGAAATTAAGGATTTAATACGTGTTTTATAATATGATAGGTAAGTGATGAAAATGATCACGTGTTATTTTTGCTCTTGGTAGCACCTAAGATAGTGCTTTGCACAAAGCCAGTGGGTATTAACTAAGTTAATGACTCTGTCAAGTCATTGGCAGAGCCAAAAATAAAACCTGGGTGAATTTTACTTTCAATCCTGTAAACTTCATAATGTTTTCCTTGCAACCTTGTGGTATGTGTTACAAATTTTGATGACTGAAATGAAGAACTTGGTGATTTTTACCTCTACTGTATTTTAATATTTTTCAGATGGCTCTCAAATAATCCCCAAAGTCACAGAAATAATACCTAAATATGGCAGTATAAATGGAGCAACAAGGCTGACTATAAGAGGGGAAGGTATCGTTGCTTTTTTTTTTTTTTTTTTGCCAAGGTTGAGGTATTTTCAAGCCTATTTCATATTTAGAGCTTTATGGACAAACAAACAAACAAGCACCACTGGAGTTATTTCTTCACTTGGCCAGAATAGTAAAACTCTGTCCTCTTTGATAGCTAGTGAAATCCCCAAGAGTCTTTATCAACCTGATCATCTGAATTCTTATTATACTGACTTGCTTAACATCAAGATCTGGATTAATGACTGAACTAAAAGGAATGCAATTAACCCAACTCAGCAATTATTTGCTTTATTCTTCATGAGTCTAATAACATTTAATTTATTTTAAGATCAAATAAAACATTTTGTGGGTGTTGGGTAGAATGTTGATAAGAAAGTATAATAGAGAAATAATATGTTAATGAAAGAGGAAAGGCAATAGAAAACAAAACTTTAGATTCCTTCTCCTGCCACCCAACCTCAGGCTTCATAAAGGCATGAGTACCGTACATGGTTCCCCTTCTCCTTGCCTGGTCTTAGGATGAAATGTAGAAGGCAATCAGTAAATATATTTAATGCACAGCTTTTCCTAGGTTTAAATAGAAATATGTGTTTCTTTCAGCCATAAGACCTTTGCAATATAAGTGATACCAGTATTCAGATACTTAGGAATTTTTGAACAATAAGAAACATTTAAAAATATTAGCAAAATCTATTATTTGGTCTTTAAGAAATGAAAAGTTTTCATAGCTAACAAAGATATTTAATTATTTTGTTATATAATGTAATGTCTTTTAATGTTTCTAATATTTCTGCAGAATTCAATCTCTCAATGATATGCTTAAAATGGTTTATACTTCTACATTATAAACAATATATTTTGGATTAAAGTGTTATTTTTTAGAGTTAAGACCCATGAACAATATAATTGTTAAAGATTATTTTATATTATTCATATATCTTTAACCATATGTTTCTTATATTGTAAATTGCTGATAAGATGGTATGCTTGAAAGTTACTGGGTTTTAAACAGAAATTTAAATGCCGCGAGAGAAATGCTCAGATTAAGAAAGAAGAAGGGCTAGGCGCGGTGGCTCAAGCCCGTAATTCCAGCACTTTGGGAGCCCAAGACCGGTGGATCACGAGGTCAGGAGATGGAGACAATTGTGGCCAACATGGTGAAACCCCGTCTCTACTAAAAATGCAAAAATTAGCTGGGCATGGTGGCGCGCGCCTGTAGTCTCAGCTACCCAGGAGCCTGAGGCAGAAGAATCGCTTGAACCCAGGAGGCAGAGGTTGCAGTGAGCCGAGATCGCGCCACTGTACTCCAGCCTGGCGACAGAGCGAGTCTCCATCTCAAAGAAGAAGAAGAAAAAAAGAAAACACCCAGCCATTTTCTTCTGTTTCCAGACCTGAACATTTTCTGATCTAGGAACTATGGCTTCAGTTTAAGCACATAGACCCAGATCATCCCTAGTTTGAAATAAAAAAACCAAAACATTCTATTCTTTGGAAAGGTATCCTTTTAAATCTAGCTAAAATGTAGTCTTTTCTTTTGTGTGGACGTTCTGAGGCAATTAGCCTGAGGACTCTTAATTATAAAGCCCAGAGTGTCATTTGGTAAATTTCTACTTTTCTCATCCGTCCCAGTTTCTGAATGTGTTTGGCATTGCAGATACTTAACAATTCCCGATTTCTCTTACAGTCCCTTGCCTTAACTACATTTTATAGATGACTAAAAACGTGTTCTCATATGTCTTTCTCAGAGGCTGAGTCTAAATACTGCCTTATAGAGGCAGAGAATAGAATAGCGGTCATTGAGAACTGGGAAAAGAGGAAGTGGAGGAGGGATATTGGTCAAAGGGTGCAAAATTTCAGTTATGCAAAATGAATAAATCCTAGAGATCTACTGTACAGCATAGAGCATATAGTTAACAAGACTGCATTGTATACCTAAATGTTTGCGAAGAGGGAAAATCTTGTTACATATTCTTATCAAAAAAATTTTTTAATAAATAGAGCAGGAGGAAACTTTTGGAAGCAAGGGGTCTGTTTATGACCATTCCTGTGGTTATGATTTTTTTTTTTTTTTTTTGAGACGGAGTTTCACTCTTGTCGTCCAGGCTGGAGTGCAGTGGCATGATCTTAGTTCACCACAACATCCACCTCCCAAGTTCAAGCAATTGTCCTGCCTCAGCCTCCTGAGTAGCTGGAATTACAGGTGCCTGCCACCACATCTGGCTAATTTTTTGTATTTTTAGTAGAGATGGGGTTTCACTATGTTGGCCAGGCTGGTCTTGAACTCCTGACTTCGTGATCTGCCCACCTCAGCCTCCCAAAGTGCTGGGATTACAGGCATGAGCCACTGCACCCTGCCGTGGTTATGGTTTTATGGGTATATACTTATATCCAAGCTCATAAAGTTGTATATATTAAATACATATAGCTTTTATATGTCAATCATAGCTCAATAAAGTGGTTTAAAATAAATTAATAAATGCTATTTTAATGTAGGCTTTTGGGTGCCCATAATATATACAGAATGATATCTACAAAATGATAATGAATTTGCAAAACACACCAGAGCTTCTATAGCTACATGAATGAACTTAATTTGGAGGGACTATATTCATGTACATCACCAGGGTGTCTCTGATAGATTCTCTGTTTTTAGAATTGCATGCAGTACTTATTTATCAATTACACAAGAACTACTTCTAAATGGAATTGTAAATTCTAGATGACTACCTATTGGCTTCATATTACTTTTTGAAATGTTTTATTTTTGTAAAAGTCATTATAAAACAGTAAAATATTATAGAAATACTTGACTTAGAAAGTGAGTTCTCTGAAATTCTACCCAGTAGAAAGATCTACTGTTAACATTTTCATGTATCCAAATGACTTTTGGCTATTTCCAAACATAGTATAGTATTGACTTGTAAACATTTGCCACAGCATTACTTTGTTTAAAAGGCTGTGGTTGGGCTGGGCACGTTGGTCCGTGCCTGTAATCCCAGTGCTTTGGGAAGCTAAGGCAGAAGGATCACTTGAGGCCAGGAGTTTGAGACTAGCCTGGGCAACCAGCCTGGGCAATATAGCAAGACCCTGTCTCTACAAATGAAACATTTAAAACATTAGTCCAGCATGATGGCCTGCCTGCCTGTAGTCCTAGCTACTTGGGAGGCTAAGGTGAGAGGATTCCTTGAGGCCAGGAGTTTAAGGCTGCAATGAGCTATGATTGTACCACTGCATTCCAGCCTGGGTGATGGAGTGAAACCCTGCTTTAAAAACAAAATAAAACCTCACAAGACTATGCTTCAGGAGATATAGATACATGATTTTACTCTTATGATACCCAGGCCAAAGTGTTTTGAACAATGGCATGATTGTAGAAATTATTATACCTCCCTCTGAGATGACTAATTTGATTAAGAGCATTATAATTTTGATAAGTTCTGGAGTGTTTGTAATTATATTGGCTTTGTTACTTTATAGTCATACCTTGTATTTCTCAATTGTTTTCTTTGATATTTATCATGTTGGTTTTTATTTTAAAAAATCAGTAAGATGGGAGAAATAACATTTTACTTTTGGCTCCTTTTTCTAGCTATTTCCCTTACAATTTCTGGCACACACATTTTTGTTGAAGTGTTGAATTATATACTTTTAATAATGTCACAGAAAGCATATGGACTTTGGTTCAGTCTGACTGGCTTTCAATTCACCTTTGCCATTTCATATCATGTGACTGGGGCAAGTTATTTCGCTGAGCCTTAGCTTACTCATCAGTAAAATGGACTATTAATTCCTACCTCTTGGGACTGTTGTGAATACTGAAAAGGATGATACACCTAAGGTACCCATTATAAATAGTATAAATTCTATCCATTAGAGCTATTTTTGTTTGTATTATTCTTTGCATTTATGTTATAGGTCTGGTTTAAATCTTTAGGAGTTGTCTTCCATCCATCACGCTGTATCTTTCTTTCCCATTGTTTTGAATGCTACAACTTTTAAGTAGGTGAATACACTTTCAACAGTGCTTTTTTAACTAGAGAAAACAAAACAGCCTGCATTCTTCATGACAAGTGCTGGCTTTAATAACACTGACATTTTCCATGATAGCAGCCCAGGCGTTCCTTTTGGATTGCTGCTATCAGGAGACCCAGGTTTGCGTGCCTGGCAATTCCTGTCTCCAGTTTTTCTGCAAAATTAAAAAAAATACATCAACATGTCAGGAATTTCCATCCGAAGCCTCATCCTTTTCCATTTCCAGGGTACACTCAGCCTTTCCTGTAATCTTTGTGACTTGGAGTACTTCCAGAGGTGGTGTTTTTATCTTCAATCATTTGTTTAGAATTACATATTTTTTTTTTTTTGAGATGGAGTTTCACTCTTGTTGCCCAGGCTGGAGGGCAATGGCACGATCTCGACTCACTGCAACCTCCGCCTCCTGGGTTCAAGAATTCTCCTGCCTCAGCCTCCCAAGTAGCAGGGTTTACAGGCACCTGCCACTACCCCCGGCTAATTTTTTGTATAGTAGAGACAGGGTTTCACCATCTTGGCCAGGTTGGTCTCAAACTCCTGACTTCAGGTGATAACACCAGTCTTGGCCTCCCAAAGTACTGGGATTACAGGCGTGAGCCACCGCACCTGGCCTAGAATTATACTTTTAAGTTAAAATTTTTAAAAAGAAGACTCCTTTGTATTTCTTTTTAACTCTTTGGAATTAGTTTAAAAGTCAGAAATATTTATATACTTGTTTTTTCAGCAATATTAATAATAACATTTATGAATTATTGTGGATTTGGTTCATTATTTTCCCATAGATTTTACTTCTAGGACTTTTTCACATATGCTATATATATTTGACATTATAGTAACTCCTAAGCTGAAAATGATATCATCTTTTGTTGGCATTATTTTTCAGAATGGTTGTTGTCTTGAGAATGCTGAAGAACAGATCCATGTTACGTATCATTGACATGACATGTACCTGATAGGAAAATATATATATATATATATACATATCTCACATCTGGAACCACACCACAAGTAAAACTTTCCATTCTTTAGTTGGTTGCCAGGAGCTCTTCTGTGTGTTCCAAACTCAATGTGAACACCAAAGATAAGCAAAGTTGACAAAAGGGAAGAGTGGGTTTACACGTAACTTGCTTTGCAGTGTTTTCATGTCTTTTCACAGTCCCATTTTAGTAATAACTGCCTTTCTAGATTCAAAATTGCAAAGTCAATGCAAATGTCTCTCACATGTGAAATTGGTATTTATATTGTACTTTAGTTTATGCCGGATGAGTTATTTGGTTAAGCTTAGAGGAATAAAATGATATTTATTAAAATCTCTACCCTTTATTGAGTTTCTGCTTACTTTTCCTACATACTAAAGAAAGAATAGCCTAGCAGCTAAGAACATAAGGGCTGGAGGAAGGCTACAGCCTGGGTTCGAATCCCGGCTACCCACTTACTGATTCTGTATTATTTTTATTTATTTTTATTTTTTTGAGATGGAGTCTCGCTCTGTCGCCCAGGCTGGAGTGCAATGGCGTGATCTTGGCTCACTGCAACCTCTGTCTCCCAGGTTCAAGTGATTCTCCTGCTTCAACCTCCCGAGTAGCTGGAATTACAGGGCACCACTGCATCTGGCTATTTTTTATATTTTTAGTAGAGACAGTTTCACCATGTTGGCCAGGCTGGTCTCGAATTCCTGACCTCAGGTGATCTGCCTGCCTTGGCTTCCTAAAGTGCTGGGATTGCAGGCGTGAGCCACCGCACCTGGCCTCTGTGTTATTTTTAAAAAGGGATATTAATGATGAACCTAAATCTCAGGATTTTTTCTTATATTTTATTTTATTTATTTTATTTTTTATTTTTTTAATTTTATTATTATTATACTTTAAGTTTTAGGGTACATGTGCACAACGTGCAGGTTTGTTACATATGTATACATGTGCCATGTTGGTGTGCTGCACCCATTAACTCGTCATTTAGCATTAGGTATATCTACTAATGCTATCCCTACCCCCTACCCCCAACCCACAACAGGCCCCAGTGTGTGATGTTCCCCTTCCTGTGTCCATGTGTTCTCATTGTTTAATTCCCACCTATGAGTGAGAACATGTGGTGTTTGGTTTTTTGTCCTCGCGATAGCTTGCTGAGAATGATGGTTTCCAGCTTCATCCATGTCCCCACAAAGGACATGAACTCATCAATTTTTATGGCTGCATAGTATTCCATGGTGTATATGTGCCACATTTTCTTAATCCAGTCTATCATTGTTGGACATTTGGGTTGGTTCCAAGTCTTTGCTATTGTGAATAGTGCCGCAATAAACATACGTGTGCATGTGTCTTTATAGGAGCATGATTTATAATCCTTTGGGTATATACCCAGTAATGGGATGGCTGGATCAAATTTCTAGTTCTAGATCCCTGAGGAATCGCCACACTGACTTCCGCAATGGTTGAACTAGTTTACACTCCCACCAACAGTGTAAAAGTGTTCCTATTTCTCCACATCCTCTCCAGCACCTGTTGTTTCCTGACTTTTTAATGATCGCCATTCTAACTGGTGTGAGACGGTATCTCATTGTGGTTTTGATTTGCATTTCTCTAATGGCCAGAGATGGTGAGCATTTTTTCATGTGTTTTTTGACTGCATGAATGTCTTCTTTTGAGAAGTGTCTGTTCATATCCTTTGCCCACTTTTTGATGGGGTTGTTTGTATTTTTCTTGTAAATTTGTTTGAGTTCATTGTAGATTCTGGATATTAGCCCTTTGTCAGATGAGTAGGTTGCGAAAATTTTCTCCCATTCTGTAGGTTGCCTGTTCACTCTGATGGTAGTTTCTTTTGCTGTGCAGAAGCTCTTTAGTTTAATTAGATCCCATTTGTCAATTTTGGCTTTTGTTGCCATTGCTTTTGGTGTTTTAGACATGAAGTCCTTGCCCATGCCTATGTCCTGAATGGTATTGCCTAGGTTTTCTTCTAGGGTTTTTATGGTTTTAGGTCTAACATGTAAGTCTTTAATCCATCTTGAATTAATTTTTGATAAGGTGTAAGGAAGGGATCCAGTTTCAGCTTTCTACATATGGCTAGCCAGTTTTCCCAGCACCATTTATTAAATAGGGAATCCTTTCCCCATTGCTTGTTTTTGTCAGGTTTTTCAAAGATCAGATAGTTGTAGATATGCGGCATTATTTCTGAGGTCTCTCTTCTGTTCCATTGGTCTATATCTCTGTTTTGGTACAAGTACCATGCTGTTTTGGTTACTGTAGCCTTGTAGTATAGTTTGAAGTCAGGTAGTGTGATGCCTCCAGCTTTGTTCTTTTGGCTTAGGATTGACTTGGCGATGCAGGCTCTTTTTTGGTTCCATATGAACTTCAAAGTAGTTTTTTCGAATTCTGTGAAGAAAGTCATTGGTAGCTTGATGGGGATGGCATTGAATCTATAAATTACCTTGGGCAGTATGGCCGTTTTCACAATATTGATTCTTCCTACCCATGAACATGGAATGTTCTTCCATTTGTTTGTATCCTCTTTTATTTCATTGAGCAGTGGTTTGTAGTTCTCCTTGAAGAGGCCCTTCACATCCCTTGAAATTTGGATTCCTGGGTATTTTATTCTCTTTGAAGCAATTGTGAATGGGAGTTCACTCAAGATTTGGCTCTCTGTTTGTCTGTTATTGGTGTATAACAATGCTTGTGATTTTTGCACATTGATTTTGTATCCTGAGACTTTGCTGAAGTTGCTTATCAGCTTAAGGAGATTTTGGGCTGAGACGACTGGGTTATCTAGATATACAATCTCGTCATCTGCAAACAGGGACAATTTGACTTCCTCTTTTCCTAATTGAATGCCCTTTATTTCCTTCTCCTGCCTGGTTGCCCTGGCCAGAACTTCCAACACTATATTGAATAGGAGTGGTGAGAGAGGGCATCCCTGTCTTGTGCCAGTTTTCAAAGGGAATGCTTCCAGTTTTTGTCCATTCAGTGTGATATTGGCTGTGGGTTTGTCACAGATAGCTCTTATTATTTTGAGATATGTCCCATCAATACCTAATTTATTGAGAGTTTTTAACATGAAGGGTTGTTGAATTTTGTCAAAGGCCTTTTCTGCATCTATTGAGATAATCATGTGGTTTTTGTCTTTGGTTCTGTTTATATGCTGGATTATGTTTATTGATTTGCATATATTGAACCAGCCTTGCATCCCAGGGATGAAGCCCACTTGATCATGGTGGATAAGCTTTTTGATGTGCTGCTGGATTTGGTTTGCCAGTATTTTATTGAGGATTTTTGCATCAATGTTCATCAAGGATATTGGTCTAAAATTTTCTTTTTTTGTTGCATCTCTGCCCAGCTTTGGTATCAGGATGATGCTGGCCTCATAAAATAAGTTAGGGATGATTCCCTCTTTTTCTATTGATTGGAATAATTTCAGAAGGAATGGTACCAGCTCCTCCTTGTCCTCTGGTAGAATTCGGCTGTGAATCCATCTGGTCCTGGACTTTTTTTGGTTGGTAAGCTATTAATTATTGCCTCAATTTCAGAGCCTGTTATTGGTCTATTCAGAGATTCAACTTCTTCCTGGTTTAGTCTTGGGAGGGTGTATGTGTCGAGGAATTTATCCATTTCTTCTAGATTTTCTAGTTTATTTGCATAGAGGTGTTTATAGTATTCTCTGATGGTAGTTTGTATTTCTGTGGGATCTGTGGTGATATCTCCTTTGTAATTTTTTATTGTGTCTATTTGATTCTTCTCTCTTTTCTTCTTTATTAGTCCTGCTAGCGGTCTATCAATTTTGTTGATCTTTTCAAAAAACCAGCTCCTGGATTCAGTGATTTTTTGAAGGGTTTTTTGTGTCTCTATTTCCTTCAGTTCTGCTCTGATCTTAGTTATTTCTTGCCTTCTGCTAGCTTTTGAATGTGTTTGCTCTTTCTTCTCTAGTTCTTTTAATTGTAATGTTAGGGTGTCAATTTTAGATCTTTCCTGCTTTCTCTTGCAGGCATTTAGTGTTACAAATTTCCCTCTACACACTGCTTTGAATGTGTCCCAGAGATTCTGGTATGTTGTGTCTTTGTCCTCGTTGGTTTCAAAGAACATCTTTATTTCTGCCTTCATTTTATTATGTCCCCAGTAGTCATTCAGGAGCAGGTTGTTCAGTTTCCATGTAGTTGAGTGGTTTTGAGTGAGTTTCTTAATCCTGAGTCCTAGTTTGATTGCAGTGTGGTCTGAGACAGTTTTTTATAATTTCTATTCTTTTACATTTGCTGAGGAGTGCTTTACTTCCAACAATGTGGTCAATTTTGGAATAGGTGTGGTGTGGTGCTGAAAAAAATGTATATTCTGTTGATTCGTGGTGGAGAGTTCTGTAGATGTCTATTAGGTCCGCTTGGTGCAGAGCTGAGTTCAATTCCTGGATATCCTTGTTAACTTTCTGTCTCGTTGATCTGTCTAATGTTGACAGTGGGGTGTTAGACTCCCATTATTATTGTGTGGGAGTCTAAGTCTCTCTTTAGGTCTCTCAGGACTTGATTTATGAATCTGGGTGCTCCTGTACTGGGCGCATATATATTTAGGATAGTTAGCTCTTCTTGTTGAATTGATCCCTTTACCATTATGTAATGGCCTTCTTTGTCTCTTTTGATCTTTGTTGGTTTAAAGTCTGTTTTATCTGAGACTAGGATTGCAATCTCTGCCTTTTTTGTTTTCCATTTGCTTGGTAGATCGTCCTCCATCCCTTTATTTTGAGCCTATGTGTGTCTCTGCACATGAGATGGGTTTCCTGAATACAGCACACTGATGGGTCTTGACTCTTTATCCAATTTGCCAGTCTGTGTCTTTTAATTGGAGCATTTAGCCAATTTACATTTAAGGTTTATATTGTTATGTGTGAATTTGATCCTGTCATTATGACGTTAGCTGGTGATTTTGCTGGTTAGTTGATGCAGTTTCTTCCTAGCCTTGATGGTCTTTACAATTTGGCATGTTTTTACAGTGGCTGGTATTGGTTGTTCCTTTCCATGTTTAGTGCTTCCTTCAGGAGCTCTTTTAGGGCAGGCCTGGTGGTGACAAAATCTCTCAGCATTTGCTTGTCTGTAAAGTATTTTATTTCTCCTTCACTTATGAAGCTTAGTTTGGCTGGATATGAAATTCTGGGTTGAAAATTCTTTTCTTTAAGAATGTTGAATATTGGCCCCCACTCTCTTCTGGCTTGTAGAGTTTCTGCCGAGAGATCAGCTGTTAGTCTGATGGGCTTCCCTTTGTGGGTAACCCGATCTTTCTCTCTAGCTGCCCTTAACATTTTTTCCTTCATTTCAACTTTGGTGAATCTGACAATTATGTGTCTTGGAGTTGCTCTTCTTGAGGAGTATCTTTGTGGCCTTCTCTGTATTTTCTGAATCTGAATGTTGGCCTGCCTTGCTAGATTGGGGAAGTTCTCCTGGATAATATCCTGCAGAGCGTTTTCCAACTTGGTTCCATTCTCCCAGTCACTTTCAGGTACACCAATTAGACGTAGATTTGGTCTTTTCACATAGTCCCATATTTCTTGGAGGCTTTGTTCATTTCTTTTTATTCTTTTTTCTCTAAACTTCTCTTCACGCTTCATTTCATTCATTTCATCTTCCATCGCTGATACCCTATCTTCCAGTTGATCGCATCAGCTACTGAGGCTTGTGCATTTGTCACGTAGTTCTTGTGCCATGGTTTTCAGCTCCATCAGGTCCTTTAAGGACTTCTCTGCATTGGTTATTCTAGTTAGCCATTCGTCTAATTTTTTTTCAAGGTTTTTAACTTCTTTGCCATTGGTTCGAACTTCCTCCTTTAGCTCGGAGTGGTTTGATCTTCTGAAGCCTTCTTCTCTCAACTCGTCAAAGTCATTCTCTGTCCAGCTTTGTTCCGTTGCTGGTGAGGAGCTGTGTTCCTTTGGAGGAGGAGAGGTGCTCTGATTTTTAGAGTTTCCAGTTTTTCTGCTCTGTTTTTTCCCCATCTTTGTGGTTTTATCTACCTTTGGTCTTTGATGATGGTGACGTACAGATGGGTTTTTGGTGTGGATGTCCTTTCTGTTTGTTAGTTTTCCTTCTAACAGTCAGGACCCTCAGCTACAGGTCTGTTGGCATTTGCTGGAGGTCCACTCCAGACCCTGTTTGCTTAGGTATCAGCAGCGGTGGCTGCAGAACAGTGGATATTTGTGAACCGCAGATGCTGCTGCCTGATCGTTCCTCTGGAAGTTTTGTCTCAGAGGAGTACCCAGCCATGTGAGGTGTCAGTCCGCCCCTACTGGGGGATGCCTCCCAGTTAGGCTACTCAGGGGTCATGGACCCACTTGAGGAGGCAGTCTGCCCATTCTCTGATCTCAAGCTGCATGCTGGGAGAACCACTACTCTCTTCAAAGCTGTCAGACAGGGACATTTAAGTCTGCAGAGGTTACTGCTGCCTTTTGTTTGTCTGTGCCCTGCCCCCAAAGGTGGAGCCTACAGAGGCAGGCAGGCCTCCTTGAGCTGTGGTGGGCTCCACCCAGTTCGAGCTTCCTGGCCACTTTGTTTACCTAAGCAAGCTTGGGCATTGGTGGGTGCCCCTCCCCCAGCCTCGCTGCCGCCTTGCAGTTTGATCTCAGACTGCTGTGCTAGCAATGAGCAAGGCTCAGTGGTGTAGGACCCTCCGAGCCATGTGCAGGATATAATCTCCTGGTGTGCCATTTGTTAAGCCCGTTGGCAAAGCACAGTATTAGGGTGGGAGTGACCTGATTTTCCAGGTGCCGTCTGTCACCCCTTTCTTTGACTAGGAAAGGGAATTCCCTGACCTCTTGTGCTTCCCGGGTGAGGTGATGCCTCGCCCTGCTTCGGCTCACTCACAGTGCGCTGCACCCACTGTCCTGCACCCACTGTCCGGCACTCCCCAGTGAGATGAACCCGGTACCTCAGTTGGAAATGCAGAAATCACACGTCTTCTGCATCGCTCATGCTGGGAGCTGTAGACTGGAGCCGTTCCTATTAGGCCGTCTTGACTCCACCCCCCAAATCTCAGGATTTTTGTGACAAATAATAAGAGCAGGTGTCTACTGAGATCTTAGCAGATATCTGATTAAGTCAGGTACCACGTTAAACATTATACAACAATGATCCTTTATTATTCCTAACTATCCATTAAGATAGATTATGGCCATTTTTCTGATGAGGAGACTAGGGTAAGAGGGGTTATATCTTGCCCAAGGTCATAATGGCAAGGGAGTGTTAGAGCTGGGATTCCAGGCCAGAATGTCAAGGTCCAAAGCCTGGGCCTTTTCAATTAAACATCACTGGCACCTGCCACGTAGCTTTACCAGAACTGGAGGTGAGAGGCTTTGATATCTGATGAACATCAGGCACAATGAAGTCCTGCTTCCAGGCCTACAAGAAACCACAAGTATTCATGTTGTCTAGCAGACCTTTGTGGAACACCGAAAATGCGTAATAATTTAAAAAGCAGTTGTACCACAGATATCTTCTGGCAACCCCAATTCTGCCACTTCAAGTATTATTTAAGGTGAGCACATATTGTAGTAATGATTGCTTTGTTGAAACATTTTGAAAACTGCTAACATTGTAAGGTAAGTAACAAATACTTATCTTTTTATAATGTTAGTATTATAAATGGAATATATTATAGCACTATTTGTCACATTGTAAATAGTATTATATACAACATTTAAAGAGTTAAATCTACATCTCTGGGTTTACCTTTTTTTGTTTACTGATGTTATGTTTATTATTGTATTATGGGATAATATGGTCTGTAGGTAATTAAATTCTGAAATTTAAATAGCTTATAAATTTACAATGACATGGATACAAATTTGCTAGTGCAAAAGAAAAATTTTCATAGTTTCAAATATAATACTACCGGTTAATTTGCCTAAAGTAGAGTTTTACTGTTAAGAACCTGTGATAGAGAAAAATAATATTTAAAAATTCACATACTGTTAGAATTCAGAATTTAGGAATTTTAGATATTGAAGTAATCTGGGCAAAAGCTGTTTATTTCCTCGTTCAACTTTATTCCAAAGCAGTAAAATATATAAAATTCCATAGATGTGTGTAATTTACTTTGTGAACTAGAACAGTATAAGTACCTTTTTAACATTTTTATTAGGAGAACATTTAATTATAGGATTTAATTAATGGAACACTAATCTTATTCATAGGTTTTATTTCTTGGGTTTATTCCAAAAGTGAATATTGTTTCAAAAATATAAAATATTCTTATATGGCATACAAGGCTTAATCTATATTTAATTACTTCCAAATGTAGTTTTGAATTTTCATATGTTTATAGAAAGATTAAAGTAATTTTTGTCTCTGTTTTGCATTACCCTTTTGTCTCTTTCTGTTAGATATCCCGTCAGCATGCAAATATACTGTTATTCTGCCCATCTGAAAAAAAGTAAAAGAAAAATCATCAGCCTTCCCCTTGCTCCACACACCTTTCTAGCTACCAACACATTTCTCTGCTCCTGTTTGTAATTAAACTCCAAAAAATGTTAGCAATATTTGTTCTTTTCACTTTACTGTCCTCTGATCTTCTCTTGAACTGATGCCATTTATCCCATTATTTATCCCATTTTTCACTGAGATAATGTCTTCACTCCTGCCCCTATTCTATTCTCAGAACAGCAGCTAGTGAATCTTAGACAGTGTGAGTCACATGATGTCACTCCTCGTTTGAAAGCCTGCAATTACTCCCCACACTTAAAAATAACCTAAGTGCCTTCATTTCTGGTCTCCTCTCCTACCATTTCTCTTCACCCATACTTCTTCAACCACACTTGCTATTATTTGAATCCACAAACATGGTCCCACCACAGGGCCTTGGCACATCCTATTTCTTCTACTAAAAATGCACTTCCCATAGATATCCTCATGGCTTGCTACCTCTGAAAAACTTCCATGACTGTCTATAATACATACATCCTGTGTCCCACTTCACATCTTCATGGTATCACCTCTGACTTCAGTCATAAATGCTGCAAAGTGGCCCTAAGGCTCTTAAGTCACTTCTCACTATCAGCCTCTCTGGTAGGCAGAGCCATGATCAGTATACACAGTTGCTAACTTTGTAGGCAGGAAAAGTGGTTTGTAGTAAGAATGTACATGGGCTTCTGGGCAGTCGAAGAGGACTTCACTAGTTGGTTAGGAACTGAAGGGAACATGATTGGAATCCAGAAATTAGAATGTCTTAGAGAGAGGCATATGAAGGGACTCATAATAGTGAGCATAAAGCATGCAGATCTATGTGTCTCAACTTAACTTCCGCAAGAGAACATCCCCCACAGAGGAGATGGAATAAACAGATGGATTGGATGATTCGTCCAGGAGCTTCTCTCTGTGGCCACCGCAGTGCTAGCGCATTGGGCCCATGAAGAATGGCCATGGGGTGGAGGCCATGCATGAGCCAACAACATGGACTCCCTTTCACCCAGACTAAACAACCTACTGCTATTGCTGAATACCGGAACTGCCAAGAGCAGAGACCAACACTGAGCTCTCAATAGGCTACCACTCCTCAAAAAGTCCACCCAGCTTCTCAGTGACAAGTTGATTACAGCACTTTCCTTCTCCCATGGAAAGAACAGAGATCGACTGCTACCGGAACTGACCCTCCAATTATGGGCTTTGCTTCCTCTTTCTACAGTTCTCTGTCAGCACCATCTTCTGAGAGCTTAGAGAGCCTGATATACTGCCATAGAATTCCATAAAATATTGCTTCAGAACAAGAAATGTATTTTATAGTGAAAAAGTTCCGATAATGGGCACATGACCATGAAATCTGTCACTCAGAAACATGTAGCTTAGTAGAATGATGGAACTGCCTGTTAAAGCTATGGCCAAGATGTGAACTTGGGGAAAAACATCCTGTGGGGTGGGACCCTGGTATCCTCCATAACATGCATTGAACCAGTGGCAGACATATGCTGTTGTTTTGTAATAGACAGATGCATGGAGCTGGATATAAAGGGCTGCTTCCCTTCACCATCACTCCCTGTTATCCAGAAATTGAATTTGTGCTTTCTGCCTTTGCAACCTTACATTCTGCTGGATTTGTGGTCTTAGTTTCCAGGTAGAAAATGCTCCCATCATGGGTCGCAATATAGATTCCACTGAACTGAAACTACCACCATGGTCTACTCAGTTTGAATTCATCAAACATATTTAGTATATGACTAGAGATAATCAGTTCTAATTATCATAAAGAAATAGGGTTGCTTTAACTTAATGTAGTTAAGGAGGAGCTGGTCTGGAATTCAGGGTATTCATAGGGATATCTCTTGGCTTCATGTCCAGTGATTACTGAGAACAGGCAATTGCAGCAACCACCACCTAACAAGAGCAAGGCAGTTAGGGGCTCAGATTTCTCCAGGATGAACATTAGTGTCACCCTATTAGCTACAGTGCTGGCTGCAGGTAAGGGAAATCTACAATGGCTGATAGCAAGGGGGCATGGTGAAAATTAATTATAGTTTTAGGACTAATTATAGAGTAGTATAGCCTGTAGCTTGTCCCTCTAACCCTCTTGTATTAAATCTTAGCAGAGATCTCAGCTGGCTACCTCTAACACTCTTGTATTAAATCTTAGTAGAGCTCTCAGCTGGCTACCACCTCAAAAACTTGGTGATGGATTGTGCTTAATATGTAGGCCATGAGTAGCTATGTGTTGTATAGTGGGTAGACTGTATCAGATGCCTTTTATATTCAGCTTTACATCCTCTCTTTCTTACCTCTAACTCTAGTTAGAGCTGTGGCAAATAGTTCCTTGTGTACTTTGACTCAACTTATGCTTCCAGCTTCTTGACTGAGTTCTAACACCATGTCTTTGTCAGTTATTCAAGGACTTGTCTAGTGCAGTAACTCCGAACTTTGGAACTTATATAGCATATACCTATGTGCAGTGTGAAAGTGCAGAAAAAGTTACTTCCCCCAGGGAGAACCCTCAACCAATGGGGACCAGATTTGATGAATAAATGCTTCTTGCCATTGATTTTTTGATTTGGAAAGACATGCTATATTTTCCTTAGAAATTCCCAGCAATATTGAGCCCCAGTTGTCCTCAGTGGTACCCAGCTTTTCTTTCCTCACATTTTGCTCTCTCTCATACCTAAAATAGCTCATTGCCCAAATAAATTATGTGCTGGCAAATCCTTACCTCAGATTTTGCTTTGTAGAAACTTGAAACAAAGACCTCATCCTTTATAAGATAGTGTTCTCCTCCTCTATTCTTTTTAGTCCTCTTAGCCTACCTTTTTCATGGTACTTATCACCTCCAGATATAGAATCTGGTGCTATGTAGGCTCACAGTAGGCTCTCTGTAACTTCGAGCCTGTCATCCACGAATCTAACCAACTGCGAATGGGAAATACAGTATTCACCAGATGTGGAATCGGGATACTTGTCCTGCAGGGCTGACTACAGGACTTGAACATTTGTGGATTTTGTTATCCAAGGGGATGGTGGAACAAATCCCCATGAATACTAAGAGATGACTGTATCTACCCTCCAGCAATACTTTTATGAGTAAATGAATTAAAGGCTAAATTTTGTGCTTCCAAAGAAGATTACAATCATAAGGATAAATATGAAATAGGTTCACTGCTTCAGTAATGTTTATGAAATCATTTACTGCATGATTTGATACTAGGTGACAAATGTTAGGTCTCTGAAGATAGAATACCATTAATAATAATTAAGTCTTCTTACTTTTCCAGGTTTTTCTCAAGCAAACCAGTTTAACTATGGAGTTGATAACGCTGAGTTGGGAAACAGTGTGCAATTAATTTCTTCTTTCCAGTCAATTACTTGTGATGTAGAAAAAGATGCAAGTCATTCAACTCAAATTACATGCTATACTAGGTCTGTTTTAAAGTATCTTTAATAAAATCATTTTCATCATATCAGAAGTTACAGTTATGAATATTAGTATTATAATAGTTTTATTACCCTGGCTATTATAAATAATATTTTTCTGATTATAGGTTAGTATTTTTCATTTTGTGATGTTTAGACTATTTTATGCATTTATTATATTCAATTTTAATTGGCATGATAACAACATATTCTATGTCTTTTCCCATGTTATTAGAGCTATTACCTTATTGTTGAGCATTTTTAGAAGATAAATGACTATTTAATTGTAATGATGTGCCTTAAAATACCAAAATTATGCTATTTTGTTCAATTTGATGAATTTTGTTCAAAATATTCATATAGTCATTAAGATTAAATATAATCATTTTGCATAGTGACATTTCAAGTTCTTTACTATCAGCCCAAATTCATGTATGTTATTAGCAACTTAGGAAAAATTTTAAAAATCACTTTAAATTGCAACTTTCAATATTGAACTTAGAAACAGATAGCACATATTCTAGAGGATTTCATTTATCTTAGGCCTGTCGGCTGTTCTTCACCAGGAAAAGCTTACTAAGGGGAAACTTGATTAACTAGTCCTTTTTAGGAAACAAAGCATGGAATAACTGATTGTACCGAGGTGATATGTTACTATTTTAAATGTTTATTATTGCATTTGTTGTTATTATACTTGTTGTCCTTTTTAATACCAATGTGCACAGTCGGAATATGCATTTGCCTGAAGTTCATGAGGTTAGAGTTTGCAATAAAGAGTTCAGGATGGAGATCATTTTTCCATAATATAGAATGGAACTTAACTAGACATCAGTTACGACGTTGGACACTTTCTGTCAAAAATAGCCTGCAGTCTGGGGCAGTATTTTTCATTAATACTATACACTAAATAAGAGAGGAATTGCATGTCTCATATATTCTTCATTTTCTTTATAGAGCAATGCCGGAAGATTCCTACACTGTTAGAGTCAGTGTGGACGGGGTTCCTGTTACGGAAAATAACACCTGCAAAGGTCACATCAACAGCTGGGAATGTACCTTCAACGTATGTAGGAATCTTCTCTTCAGTTTATGTATAGTTGATCTTGCTTTCTTTCCTGCAGAACTGAATTTTTCCTTTTTAGTTTTATAGACTATTTCCACATTTAAAAATACATTAGCATGTAACAAAGGATAATTTCCCTCAATTTAAATTATCTTCCATAGTAATTTAATGTCTGTTATTTCTGATTTGTTTCCCCTCCTTTAATTTTACTATTAAATTAAACTTTTGTACTTCAAACATGTTTTCTTGTTCATATTTTCCCCTTTATCTCTACTTCTACTCTTAGTGTGATTCTCCCTTTTCCTATTTTAATCGAAGTAACTACCTTTCCTTTCTACGTAATTTCTAACGTAATGAGATAAAATGTGCCTGCATGTGGTGTAAGAGCCACTCAAAATTTAGCTGCCCTAAATAGAAGTATTAGCAGTAATACATTTTCTTCTAAGCATTATCCCATATATATATAATTAAATTAGTTATATATATAAATAATTATATTTTATATATAAATAGTTATTATATATAATATATAAATAGTTATATATAATATATAGTTATATATATTATTGTATATATTATATATATTTATATATAATATATACAATAATATATATAATTATATATAATTATATATTATATAATATAATTATATATTATATATAGTTATATATAACATATATAATAGATAATTATATAATATATAATAGAATTATATATTATGTATAATTATACAATTATACATAATATATAATTAATATTATATATAATATATATTTTATATTATATATTATAATATATTATATAGTATGTATATTATATATTATATATTACGTATAATTATATATTATATATAATATATAATATATAAATATATTATAAGTATATATAATATATAAATATATATAAAACTATTTTTATATAAATATTTATATATAAATAGTTTATATATATTAGTTTTAAGTTGTCAATTACTGAGTAGTACAATGTTCTAATATAAGATGAAATACTGAAGAAAACAATAATGACATCTGTCTTCAAGAAGCTTCTATGATTCCAAAATATATTGCCAAATACGATTCCCAGATATCTCTGGCTTTCTTCTGTTTCCCCAGACGTGGAACTCTGTTTGGTTTTCTGGTATGTCACACCTAAATGGTCTTAAAGCGACCTAAATTGAGCATCAAACTGCAGTTTTTGTATTCCTCCTTAAATCTACTTTTTCTCTGATTATTTCTCACCATCTCAAGTTAGAAACCTGTTACCATTCTTGGTTTCTCTCTCCCTTCTCTTTCAGCCCCACAGCTATTAAGAAGCAAAACCACGATGATCCTATCCTCTAATTTAACTCTTAGGTTCATCTTATTTAAATATCTTCTTTCCTACATGACAGTTACATTATGAATATTGTTGAAATTTAGTAATGTAAGAAATTATCTATTTCACAAAACTAGAAACAAAACAGAGATAAGTTTTCATATTGACATTATTCTTTTTACAGGCAAAAAGTTTTAGAACCCCAACAATAAGAAGCATCACACCTTTATCTGGAACTCCAGGTCTGTTATATGACATCTGAAATAACTTTTGGTTTCATGGTAAATAATGTGTTTATTTTTTAGTATATGAAATTAGTATAATTCCTGCAATTTTTAAATAGCATTTTTTTCATTATAAAAATAACTATCAGCCAGGCGCGGTGGCTCATGCCTGCAATCTCAGCATTTGGGGAGGCCAAAATGCAAGAATTCCTCGAGCCCAAGAGTTTGAGACCAGCCTGGGCAACATCATGAGACCCTCTCTCTAAAAAATAAAAATAAATAAATTAGCCAGGCTTGGTGGCAAGCACCTTTAGTCCCAGCTACTCCGGAGGCTGAGGCGAGAGGATCACTTGAGCCCAGGAGTGTGAGGCTGCAGTGAGACATGATTGAACTTACATGACAGAGCAAGATCCTATCTGAAAAAAAAGAAAAAAGTACCAATATTTTAAAAAATTGATTTTCAATGGCTATATCTTCATCTACTATAATGTATTTATCACCTCCCACCCCCACCACTTATACATTCAACTGGTTTCCAGGGTTTCATTATAATAACTATATTATTCCAGTTTATAATCCCAATGGCAATAACAGAGAATGTATAACCTTGACAATTCTAGGTACTATTTTTTCAAGAATTAATATACAAGATACAGTAGTTTTAAATTTTTTTCCAACTCTTTAATTTATGTAATTAAACTTATTTTTTGCCTATTGACCATTTGTATTCCTTCTTTTATACATTACCTGTTTATCTCTTTGGCTTAATTTAAAGTTATTCACCATTTTTCTTATTAAGTTACAAGGATTCTTTATATATCCTTAAAAAAGGATATTAACCATTTATATGTTATATGTAAGACATATATTTTGAATTTATCATTTACTTTTAAAACATGTTAATGATTTTTCTGTCATCAGACAACCTTTTATTTTTATTATCACATCTATAGATCTTAACGTTTGTTGTTTTTTCTTCATTTTTAAATAGCATTTAAAAATGGGTGGGAGGCCCTACTAACCTAACTATATAAATATTATATAAATTTTCACCTATTTTTCAATAATTGTTATGGTTTTATTTTTTATATTTCATTTTTATTTCACCTAAGATTTCTCTTACTTTTTGGTACAGAGATCTTTTTTTTTTTTTTCTCAAATAGTCACCGATTGACCCAAGCTGTACTTGTGGAATACCATCCTGTCTTCTATGCTACACTTCTTTACTCAATGAATATTTACAGATACTCATTCATATTTTATTGTGTTTGCTAGAACTTTCAGAACAATGCTAAACAATAGTGGCAAACATGAGGTATAAGTGTCTGGGTCCTGGTTTTATTGGGAAAATCTCTTATGTTTTCGTATTAAGTGTATGGATAGATTTTCTTACACAGAATCTTTTTGGGGTTTTTGTTTGTTTTCAGGTACACTAATAACAATCCAAGGCAGAATCTTCACTGATGTCTATGGAAGTAATATTGCACTAAGCTCAAATGGGAAAAATGTTAGGATTTTGAGGTAATCTTTTGATGTGGAAATATATTCTTATAACTCATAAATGAGAAGTAATATTATAAAAATAATGGGTCCAATGATATTAAATCCCATTACAATGTAATATAACTAACCAGTGTTTTTTTTTTCAGCCATATTATAGAAAGTAAAACAGACTATTGGAAGATTCATTGACACAAAAGCAATGGTCGATATGTCATTCTTTTTTGGTCTGGTGTAATTTCTTATTGTTTTGTGATGGATTTATTAACAGAAGAAACACACAGACAAGTCCAATAGTAATTGAGTTATAGTCATACAACTTTATTACTAGAGGTCTTTATTACTTAATCTAACTGTCTCATTTTGTGTATAAAAACACCTGAGGCCTAGAGATCACAAAGCTTAGTCAGGGTCAGGAGTAGAACACAGTCTCGTAACACAGTTTTGACACATTTTCTACTGCTTCATGATGTACAGGCAAGTGCTGAAACCAAACATTGTCAATAACTCATTAACAGGCCAAGCTTTGAATCCTGTTTTGTCCATTTGCCAGCTGTGAACTAGATAGTAACCTTGGCTAGTTAGCTAATGTCAAAAAAATAATTGTCCACATTTTGGACTAAAAACTAGCGTTGTCACTAGAGTTTCCTCCTGTAGCATAGATGGTGTTATTTCAGTCCTGCCTTTAAAGACTGAAAGTCCTGTTTATTTCCTACAGAAAAAAGTGTAGACTCATGATTATGGCTTTCAAGATATTTTATGTTTATCAAACTCATGCATAAAACAGGTAAATGGATAAGTTAAACAATTCAGATAGACACTCAGCAATTAGAGAATTTTTTGAATGCTGTAAAGGTGAGGTATATATACACACACATACAAATACATAATTTTGTAAAACAAGCAATTTAAAAGGTTTTAATGAGTGAAATAAAGATTTATCTGGAATTCTATAGAATAGAACCTTTAATTAAATCACATTTGTATGCATCTATAATTTCTGAAAATATTCATACTAATTCCTTATGTGTAATAAAAGAACTTCCAAGTAGAGATATTTAACATTTTATATGTACAGATTAGTAGAAGTAAAAATTTTGTCTGCTTCAACATAGTTGAGCATTAGGAATGGTTTATATTCTAATTCTTAGACAGGTTTTTCTAAGTCATCCGTTCCCATAATGAAGCCAGGAAATAGAAAGTTTAACTTTCAAAAAGAGATTCCTTTTTTCCCCCACTGAAACTGGAATTTATTTCTGCTTAATATAAAGATTTGGATGGAAATTATTCCATGAAATCACAGAATTGCAGTGAGATGGGACATTAGAGGTCGGGCTACCTAATCCTTGTACTTTGGAAATCCTGAGCTATTATATGTAAATATAGAATTTTTTCACACATCTATTAATGTTTGGGCAAGAAAGTCTTGGAGCTGCATTTGTCTCATTTCTCCCATGTTAATTATGATACCAGGGCTCCCAAGGCAATTTATTATGCCTGGATTCTGTTAGTAGGGAGGGAGTTGAGAGCAATGGGCTGTGTTCTGGGCAGGAATTCAGGAGACCTGCTTCTCACAAATCTTGTCCATTCAACTAAATCTCCAAATTCAGACCAGGTAGAAATTATAGAGGACATGCAAATGGATAGAGGGATTAGTGCTTACTAAGCAGCTTTTGATCTAAAAGATCAGGTAAAAAGAATTCTAAAAAGTATGTATTAAAGACCAAATAGGGTGGTTTTACTCTAGATACGCATACCCAGATCACTGTGTGGATTACCAACTGTGGTTAAGAATACTGACTGCAGCCAAATTGTCTGAGTTGGAATTCTTGCTCTACCCGTTATTGTCTGCAGGCTTGGGCAATCTGCTTAAGCTTTCTGTTTCAGTTTTTTCATCTGTAAAATTGAAGGATAATAGTTACTAACTCATAAGATGGTTGCAAGGATTAAACATCATAGGAACCTATAAGTGTTAGCTCCTAAATTTATTATTTAGCTAGAATAAGGCAGGAGGTTAGGAGAATTTAAATCCATGAATGTGTATAATGGGTACAATAATTCAGTTTACTTGCTTTGCAATCCTAATGTAATGATCAAATGAAGGGACTTATGTGTAAAAGTATATTAAAAAGTTCAAAATTTTCTGCAAACAAAAGTCCTTATTTTTTATAGTTCAAGTTTGTATCTGGCCTTATTTTGAGTCTGGGATTTGCTGTCCCAAAAGCTGATAGTTTATTCTGGTGTTGTAAAGAATCTAACACCAATCAGTCACCTGCCAGCCTCCAATAGCATCAGGTACTATCAGCTTCCAAGTAATAGGTCAGACCCAATCACCTGAGGAAATATGAAGGCAGATGTTTTCCCTGCAGCTGAACTCTGGCTCTTCTCAGCTTCTTATTTTCATTTATGTGTCACTGATGCTGTTAGACATCCTCTTTCTCATGATAACTTTGTGCTGTCTGTGCTGTTTACCTTAATTCCTATAGTACAAAACCTATTACAAAATTGTTTTTGAGTTGATTGAACTTCAGATGGATGACTTTATTATCTGTTTCTATGTTGTCTTTTCTTGTAGTATTTAACACCTCTAACACACCAAATATGTTATGATTATCATGTTTTATTCATCTTTCCCAGTTAAAATGTCAGCTCCCCAAGGGCAACAAAGGAACCTTTGTTAAGTTCACCGATGTGTGCCAGTACCTAGAACAGGGACTGCCACATAATAGAGGTTCAGTAGATGTTTTGTTGAATGCATGAGTGAGGGATAATAATAAGTGATTGAGAAAAAAAATTTAAGGGAACCAGTGAGTTGATGGGAGGAGTGCATTTTTGAAACAATTTGTTAAACATAACTTGATTTTTTCTAATAAAAATATTTGTACAGAGTTTACATTGGAGGAATGCCCTGTGAGCTTCTCATACCACAATCTGATAATTTGTAAGTAATTCAAATTATTTTCTTTACAAAAACAAATAGCAGATATAAGCATACTAAATTTAAATAGTAATTGCTACCAATACTGCATAGCTAAATGGTTTATAATACAGTATAAATTATAATATTCCACATAGCGCATTAGCAATCATTTTTACAGTTAGGTGCTACCTTACAGTTAGGTCTCCAAGATAGTATGATATGAACTATTTAGATTTTTATGAAAAAAGATGTTTTGAGCAATATCTTTACCAAGCAATTATTTCATTTGGCAGTATCTCAAAGTCTTTTAAAGGAATATTAAAGGGCATAGTCAAATTAATTATAAAATATTTTATTGTTGTATAAAATTTTATGCAAACATCTTCAACAAAGTCTGGGAAATAGTTTTATTTTACAGAAATTTTGGTTGTAGCAACAATTTCTGTCCTGATTCATATTCTGAAATTAATGAGTAGTTTTTAAGAGAAACACAATATTCTAAAATTTTAGTGTCTATATAAGCTTTGACATTAACTTTTTTTTAATTAGATATGGTCTAAAACTGGATCATCCAAATGGAGATATGGGTTCTATGGTTTGTAAGACGACTGGAACTTTTATTGGCAAGTGTTGGTCATCTTTCTTCATAATGCTCACAGATGCCTTATTCTATTTCCCTGTTTTGTATTCTCCTAGACCTCCCTCCTCTGCCCTTTTGGATCAGGTGTTTTTGTTTGTTTGTTTTTTGTATTTTCTCTTTTCCTTGGCTTCTTTTCACTTTCATGCAAACATGTATGAATCAGTATTTTCTTATGGTTTATATATAAGGTAAACTTCCTCAGGTTTCTCTTTCTTCTTCTTTCTCCCTACAGCATTCCGTGTCTAATTTGGCTATTTTGCCTGTTGCCTTAATTTTGCTCTGTTCTTTTCTTCTTGATCTATGTCCTCCAGACACATAGATCTTTTAAGAGTGTGTGTGTGTGTGTGTGTGTGTGTGTGTGTGTGTGTGTGTGTGTGTTACAGAGTCTTGCTCTGTTGCCCAGGCTGGAGTGCAGTGGCGTGATCTTGGCTTACTGCAACCTCTGCCTCCCAGCTTCAAGTGATTATTGTGCCTCAGCTTCCCGAGTAGCCGGGATTACAGGCGCACACCACCATGCCTGGCTAATTTTTGTATTTTTAGTAGAGATGGGGTTTTGCCATATTGGTCAGGCTGGTCTCAAACTCCTGACTTCGGGTGATCCGCCCGCCTCAGCCTCCCAAAGTGCTGGGATTACAGGGGTGAGCCAACGCGCCTGGCCTTCTTTTAATTCTTGAATGGGCTTCCCTCTCTTCTGTCTCAGGCCCTTTGCAAACTTCCTATCCTGAACATTTCAGATAAAATGCCATGTTCTCAAAAAGGCCTAGGTCATCACTTGTCTTACATTCTCAAAGCTCATACTACTTTTTTTTTTTAAATAGCATTATCACAATTTTTAGTTCTCTGTGTCATTGCTCTTGGCTAATGTTTCCTTCCTCTAGACAATATGTTCTGTTATAGAAGAAGGACAAGCTGTGTGCTCACCCCACATCTGCTCTCTCAGCCTCTAGCAGAGTGTCTGAACAGTTAAATAGCTGTTAAATAAATAAAAGAAATTTCAGGGCAATATGGTTACATATCTGTTCTTTTATTATTCTTCATTCATGATCATATTTTGTTATGTGTTTCTGGTTATAACTTCAAGACACCTTATTACGTATATTTTTATATAGTGGCTGCTTTAGGATAGTTCAATTTTTATTTCTTTGATGATGAATATAAAATTGGATAAATACAATTTTGATTTTGTACTTTTTCTCTGCTTTTAAATCAGCTTTATAATATAGAGTTATTGTTCTTCTGTGACTGGGAATTTAATTGATTGTGTATTTTCATTAAATTCCAGGTCATCACAATGTCAGCTTCATCTTAGATAATGATTATGGAAGGTAGGCTATTTTGTAAATAATAACTTTTATAATTGATTCAACAGGGTAAATAAGATAAAATGTATATTTAGTTTGTGCTGTAGATGCAGAGGTTTAAAAATTAACTACTTTTTTTCCCCAATTAACAGTTAAAGAGTCTGTACCTTCTTTTCACTCACAATTTATGCTTCATACATAACCTTTCTGTTGTAGGGAAATCTAGCATTAACTAAAATAACATAAAAATCTTTACTTGTGTTATGGAAAAATATTATTTTATGTCCTGCAGCTTTTCTGATTTAATTGTAACTTTTTAAATAACTAAAGTAATTAAATTTAGATTTAAACTAATGGAAGAATAAAAAAAACCTCATGGTTAATATTACCTGATAAAGATTTTCTTTTAAGTTATCAAGACATAGAGAGTTGTGAAAGATGGTAGTTATATCTTTCAATTGTTCATCTTAACAGCAATATTAATAACTCATATTTATGACTTCTAATAAAACTAGAACTCATTTCCAGATGTTCTACATTCTAATTTCAATAAGAAAGATCATCATACATTTATAGAAACATCAGAATATGCAAATCTCAATGCATGTTGAAACCCCATATTATAGATAATAATAGTGAACATTTAGCAGCAGGCATGGTATTAAGCACTTTACATACATTATCAAGTTTAATCCTCCCAAAGAAGCTCCCAAGGATAAACCGAGTGTTATCATCTACCCTGTGTTACCCACTGGGAAAATGAGACTTAGGAACATTAGGTAATTTGCCTAGGGATTTTCAGCTAGTAGGAAGCAGCATTAGTGTGCAAACCCATGCCATCTAACTCTAGGACCTGAGCATTTTATTCCAGTGCTTTGCCATGACTGATGGAGCAGTTCAGCAACCAGTACCACATTTCATCACTGCTTACCATCCTGATCCAGGATTTCATACCATAGCAGGATTTCCCCACTCTTGGGAGCATTTGCAAATGTGTGAAGAATCCCCTGGCTGTCATAGTAACTGGGTATGTTAATGGCCTTTAGTGGGCAGTATCATGATGTGCCAAACCCAAATTAATTGTTCTGCCCAAGATGTCATAGTGTCTCCCATTGAGAAAGCGAGTTGACAGAAACCCATATAAATTGCATTATTTAACACTCAATCCTAATATAGCTATAGTAGATTAATAATAGGAAAGATCCGGTAATTTCTTTTTTGTCTCTGAACAATGATCAGAAGTCTGAAAAAAATGGCAATATTACAATCTAAGTAGATGTTATTCCTAGTAGCACTCACAGACTACAAGTGAAGGATGAGATTTTGTCCCTTCATGTATGGAACTGCAATTGGTTTGTGAACTCAAGTACACTATCATTGTATTTAGAGATCATCTACTTCTAGACACCTAGAGGCAATCGGTGTCATTATAACAAATTGATGCCTGGCTGGACACTTTATTATAGACCAATATAGGCTAGACCAAAACTAAGAGTAAATCAGAGTGGAAGATATATAAATGATGCTAGGATACACCTTTGTGATTTACATGGGACACATGACTTAGGGTCCCATAACTTAACAGTTATTCTCCTTAGGGATGACCTACTTACATACGACTTGATAAGACACGGCAACAGGATTTTGTTGAACGTATTAGAAAACCATGTTAGGAACAATAATTATTGAGTTTTAAATTATTTTTTGAACTACATATGATTTTTTTAAATGCTCTTAGTAGCAACCTTCCCAAGGTGAAAGAAAAATGAATTCTTAGTTCTGAGTCTGTATGAAAGGCATTAATTGCCAAATCCATCATATGTCTCTCAGAGAAATAATTATCCAAAAATAGAAGGTTTGAGTGATCAAGGTTGAACGTGATTGATAAGTACCCATAAATCAATATGCTGCATTAACATGCCCAGAAACTTTCAATTTAGAAATGCCAGGAAATTCACATATAATATAAGCAAAAATACTGCATTAAATTGTTGATTCTGTGGACTCAATTTATAATTCCACCCCCCACCCATTTTTTTTTAAAGCCAACAGCTATCCCTTTGTACAAATGTCTTAGAATTGAGGAAATTTGTGTTTCTGTATAAAGTATTCTTATGAATTTAAGATAACAGAAATATGACATTTATGATTTAAAATCCTAGTTTTAAGATTACATTTAGGTAATCTTACATTAAGATTACCTAAAAAGATAAAAAATCTTACATTTTGAATCTTACATTCAAAAAATACATTATTTTTTGAATGTTAAATCATTCATTAACTTATAAAATTCATATTTCACAAATTTCATGAGCATTGTTGAATATCAAACAAACCAATTAAAGGCCTTTCTGTGGCATCTATTCTGTATTTCTTTTAATAGCCAACCTTCTCTCCTCTATTACCCCAAGTTCAAACAACAGCTGTTCCCAACTGATAAGGTTCAGACGAAGCTGCCTTAATTGAGAAATGCCTAGTCATTATCAATGAATTAGTGAAAATAACCTCAGTGTCATCCAAAATAAATTACATTCAAATTTTATTTCAGGAGGCAATTTCCCCACTAACTTAAGAAGCAGAGTTAATTTTTGAGATGCAGGATCTGACCAGACACAGTATCGCTGGAGCTAGCATCGTTTCAGATCTTTGGGAAATCAGCCAAAAGGCTTCTGACATAAAAATATGAAATCTAGTATGAATTTCTTAAGTAACTAATCTAGCATAAAATATTTCCAGAGACTCTTTAGTCTTGCAAATGAACATGGTAATGCCTGGGTTAGATTTACAGGAGCATTAATTGTTGGTCTCGGTGACAAGATTTACATTATTCTTTTAGATTCTAATTCAGTGTGATTATGATGAATGAGATTTGAGTCTTAATATTTGAATTTCTTAACTTTTCTAGTGGAGAACGTCTTGAAGGTAATTAAAGTAACAGCATTTAATTTCCAGAATTATTTTCCTTCTTAATTCTTTAGGTTTATAGAAGTATAAGTGTATATGTATGAATAATGGGCACTGTGTTTATTAAGGACAGTTTTAACCCAGTCAATTGTTGCTAATTTGCTGTCATCCATTTGCAGTGTCACACACATTAGTGGGCAGAGGAGTAGTACTGTGTAATACACACGTGAGGAGCCACAGCTCTGGACTCAAACTGCCTGGGTCCAGTTCTGTGTCTGCCACTTACTCACTGTGCGATCTTAAGTTAATTCTCTGAAATTTATCTACCTCATGTGGTTGATGTAAAGATCAAACGGCATAATCAATTGAAAGTTCTTAGCATGATCCCACCTCTTAGAACAAAAAGGAGGTTCTAAAAGAAGACAGACTGGGGCGGTCAGCGGAAGATCCCAGCCTTTATAAAGGGTAATCCTTTTGTATGCTTTTTTATGTCAATATAATTTCTTAAAATCAACTGTAGGGCCGGGCGCGGTGGCTCACGCCTGTAATCCCAGCACTTTGGGAGGCCGAGGATGGATCACGAGGTTAAGGGATCGAGACCATCCTGGCCAACATAGTGAAACCCCGTCTCTACTAAAAATACAAAAAAATTAGCTGGGCATGGTGGCATGCGCCTGTAGTCCCAGCTACTCAGCAGGCTGAGGCCGGAGAATCCCTCGAACCCGGGAGGCAAAGGTTGCAGTGAGCCAGGATTGCACCACTGCACTCCAGCCTGGCAACAGAGCGAGACTCTGTCAAAAAAAAAAAAAAAAAAAAAAAAAAAGAAATCAACTTTATTGAGATATAGTTTGCAATTTAGTAACAAATGTATACACATATGTCACCAACAACCAAATCAAAATAAAGAACATTCTTATCTTCTCCCAAAAGTTCCATCGTGCTCTTTTGCAGATTATGACATAATTTCTATCACTGAAGTTAAAAAAATGTTCCTAAATTAAAGATCATTTAAAGCAGAAAATTTAATCTTTTTTTAACAGGAGTTTTCCACAGAAAATGGCATATTTTGTTTCTTCTCTCAATAAAATTGCAATGTTTCAAACATATGCAGGTATGTGACTTTTCTTTCACTCTGTTGCGGGGGTGGTGGGAAGGCAGTGTATAATTGATTTAATCAAACCAAAGACAATGAGTGTAAGGTGTATTATATTATTTGATGTACTGCTAGGAAAGGAAAAATCCCTAAGATGGGGAGTCTAACAGGAAGCTACAACATTAAGCATGACCTCCCCCACAGCAGACAATATTCTTAGTTTAAGATTGATTGAAAAATAAACTCATTACACTAACACAGACAGCAGGGAAATTTGCATGTTTCAACTTTGGCTATTGGTAGAGGGAGGGAAAAAATCTCCACTGTCAATCTTAACCAAAACCAGTATAGATGCCTCTCAATTTACGATGGGGTGACCCCATCATAAGTTGAAAATATTATTACATCGAAAATGCATTTAATCCACTGAATGTGTATTAGCTTAGCTTAGCTTTCCTTAAACGTGCTGAGAACACTCACATTGGCCTACAATTTGGCTAAATCATCTGACAACACAGTGCTCTGCAGAATACAGGTTGTTTACCCTCATCATTGTGTGACTGACTGGGGCTGCAGCTGGCTGTGCTGCTCAGCATCGGGAGAGAGTATTTACCGCATATCACTAGCCTGGGAAAAGATCAAAATTCTAAGTACTATATGGTTTCTACCAAATTCATTATTTTTAAATCATTGTAAAGTCAAAAAATGTAAAGTCTGGTAACTTGGAGACCATTTAAGCTGTCTGAGATTTATGCTCTCAGTGTGGTTCAAAAGAATCCTCAAGACAATCATAATTTAATTTAAAGAGGTTTCAGGTTGATAGTATCCCTTGGAGAATATCAGAACAAACACAAATCATCCTGAGAAAATTGTACGTCATTCCCGGTCAGGAATAATGGAAAGATCGTTTAGATTTCAAAGATGTTAAAAAAGGTGGGTCTTGGAATCAATCAAATGTGATAACTTTTTGTGAATCAATCAAATGTGAAACTTCCTAGAAGTTTATTTAGTGTGAAATTCATATGTAAGAATACATAGATATTTGATAGAGTTAATAAGGATAAATTTTAGTAAGAATCTGCCATATGTCATTTATTGGGCTATTTTACAATATAACTACAACTTATATATGCAAAGCCACAAGAAGTTCAATCATAGTTAAATGTGTTACTCTAAAAGAAAATTATAAGAGGTTGGTCCATAAACATAGGAAAGATTCATTCTTCAAGAGCATATGGAAGAAGAGGTGGTTCTACCTGCCTTCGTGCTCAGCTCAGGTTTTCCTTACTTCTTTAATGCTCGCATTACCAATGTTGCTTTAATACCAGTCACCACTAAAGCCTGGTCCTCATGGAATGTAAGTCTCTGTCAATGCCATGTCTATTGTCCTTTTTTCAGGATTGCATCAGAGAAAGTAATGAAACACCTAATTCATGCAGTTGGTAATCTACTACCTGTGTTAGGCACTATGGCTAGGTAATTTGGAATTTTTAAAAAATCAGGTATTTGGGTTTATGTGTAATATTTATGATATTTTATTTAATGTGGTTTTCCCCCAGAGGTCACCATGATTTTCCCTTCACAAGGAAGCATTCGAGGTGGCACCACGCTGACAATAAGTGGGCGTTTCTTTGATCAGACAGATTTCCCCGTCAGAGTTCTAGTTGGAGGTATTTCTCATGGTTTTTGATATATTACTTTATTACCACAAATTCTGCCTGCTCTTTAATAATTTGTAATAATAATAATAGTCTTTTCTCAACTCATGCCTTCAATTGGAAGCTGAGTATTTTCACATAGTCATTTGGTTCTGGGATTTGATGCTCTTTCCATTGCAGTTTTCCAGCAAGGGTCACTCCCTGAAACCTCATGTGAATAGGACCTGAGCTCTAGGGATGGCACCAACAGGCTTTGTGTAGCAGCATTGTAGCTGCCATCCATGAATTCCTCGCCACAGTTTAAGGACACACCTACCCTTAATTTAGAAGCTCTTAAATGCCTTTTTTGAATGGTTGTTATTTCTCAGCGAGTTAGCTAATTGTGAGGAAATTTAAAGTAATATTTTGGTTATTCTCCTCATACTCTTCTCATATACTGTGCCTCATCTGGACATCAGTAATCACTGAAGATATTGGCCTTGGAAAGAGCAGTAATTTCAATGAGTTATCTGTTTACAAATCCATGTAGGGCTTGGCTCTGTGGTTATGCTTCACTTTTATGTGTCCTGTCCAGATCTGTTCAGAGGTAGGGAGCTATGCAGCTCAAAAGAGGTGAATGTGATTGTGGGAATCTTCCCATTCAGCCATAATGACATCACGTCTATTGCTAGGCAGGGGACAGGATGCCTGCCCATGCAACAAGGCATATGCATTTCCACAGTCCTCTTGCTCAAGTACTTTCTACCTTTTACAGATTCTGCCCACAAGCCAGCCAAAATGTGATTTCAGAAAAAAGAGAAATGGATATTAAGCAACCTCATGTAATATTTATACAGTCTTCTTTCGTGTCTGCATGAATCCTTGCTGGTCATTGGCATACATATTAAAACCTGGGCCATAAATATTTAAAATTTGTATAATGTATTAATCTGACCAGATTTTATGTTTTAAACATTAAAACCAGGGCCATAATGTACTTTTAATTTATATACTATGTTTTATAATCTGATCTTATGTTTATTTTGCATACGACTATCATACAGTTGATATGAAAAGAGAACATATTAGTTTTCTATCATCTTTCACTACCATTAATATGGCAACCAGATTCAAGATTTTGAATCCTCAATAATCTCTTGAAAACATGATGTTTATGTGTCTTTCCTTTGCTTCCAATAAAATGGGTGATTGGTTTAATATACTGTTCCTATTTCCTTTTTTCTGGTTCAAATTTCTTGCATCCATAAAACACTCAAAATAGTGAAACGGGCTGGGTGCAGTGGCTCATGCCTGTAATCCCAGCAGTTTGGGAGGCTGAGGCAGGAAGATTACTTGAGCCCAGGAGTTTGATACCTGACTAGGTAATGCAGAGAGATCTGTCTCTACAAAAAAAGAAAGAAAAAAAAGAAAAAAAAATTAGCTGGCATAGTGGCACATGCCCGTAGTTCCAGCTACTTGAGAGGCTGAGATGGGAGGATTGCTTGAACCCAGGAGGTGGAGGCTACGGTGAGCTATGATCATGCCACTGCACTCCAGCCTGGGTGACAGAGCAAGACCCTGACTCAAAAAACACACAAACAATAAAATAGTGAAAAGTATTGTCAAAATTTAAATTTTCCAGGCTATCAAACAAAACTTGGCAAAAATATCTCTCTCCATTTCCCTTGTCCTCACATTTCATGGGCTGCAATTGCCATTTCAGTGAATACTTTCTGAGGGCTGACCATATGTGAGGCATTGTGAGGAACACATGGAGGTTTAAAACATAGACTCTTCTCCTAAGTCTAATTGTGCTTATGTAAAAGTTACAATAGCTATCTTTTAGCCTTTTTTCCTGTTTTGGTTTCAGTCTGTCTGTGAAAATGCCATTTAACAATTATTATCCCCCTTTTTTTTTCATTTGAAGAACTTGGACTAAGCCAGCACTTTTTTCTACTGAAGAGGTCTAGGGTCATCTACCTTTGCAAATTCTGAATGACATGGGTTTATTCAGCAACTTCTCTCCAAGGAACAAAATATAAGTTTTTACTTTGAATTCAGAAGTAACATTTTGTGCAAAGACATAGTATTATCAAATTTTTTATCTCAGAAATTATGAAATTTTCTATCTCAGTCTTGTGATTTTCCACCAGAAAAAAATGTTGCTTTTTGGAAGTATGACAATTATTATGTGAAAAGCTTTAATAGAGAATATGTAAAGGAAATAAAGAGCCCTAATTTTGCCTCTTGTTTATGCAACTTTGTTTTAATTGCAAAAGTGCTTAAAGATACACTGATGTGATTTGCATTCTGAAGTTTCAGTAGTAACGGTTTTGTATCTTGCTTCTCTATAGGTGAACCTTGTGATATTTTGAATGTCACAGAAAATAGTATATGTTGCAAGACACCCCCCAAACCTCATATTCTCAAAACTGTATATCCAGGTAAGTTACCATAAGGGACAATGGCCATTTCTATATTCACATAAAAAGAATATATTAGTAAAAAATATTATTTAAATTTTTAGAATTTAGAATTTGTAGTAAGAATTGTAAGAAATTTCCTCCAAGTTTTAAAATTTACATTTTCTGGATTAGAAAATATTTCTATTAAAATAGCTGCCACAAAGCTGTACCTATGGAGAAAAACCCAGCCTAAATTATCAAGACACCCTACTGAAAATAGCACATCTCTACTGACAGAGTTTAATTATGCTTTTATTTCTAATTAAATTATGATAACTAAAACTTGGTATAGTCTACATAGAAATTTTTTAAATGCCTTTTTCTGATTAAAAAAAGATAAATAGGGGAAGTTAAATATTCACTTGTCTAGAATAATGTGGGAGTGAAAACAGGAGATGAGAGAAATGTTACTCTAAATTCTTTTCAGACTTACACCTTGTGGCTCAGTGAAATTGCTTTCCTATCTACACTAATATCATTGAAATGCTGTACATGTGTCTGCGTGTGGTGTGTATCTCATATCTTGTTCGCACCGTGAATGTTGTTTATAATCGTGTCATTGTTTCACATTTGAAGCCAAATGAATCGTTTATGAACCTCTTAAATTTGTTTGGTTTGAATATTAGAAAAAAATGAACAGTTTAAGAAAATAATTTTGATAATTTATAATTGATGACTTTAAAGAAAATTGTGTATATCACTAGACACTGCTTCTGTGAAAGTTTGAAGTGCTCAAAGCTTATCTTCAACCAAATTCAGCTGAAGAAGGGTAGCCATTATTTTCCACATACAGAAAAGCTTAAGGCTGCTAAAGGAAGAAGTAAGCCTAATTGTTGTTGCAGTTGAAGGAAAAAAAAAAGAGAGATGGCTCTTTTCTGATTAGGAAAAAATTTAATCACAGGGTTTATTCTGGCAAGTATAGGTACAGTTTATTGAGAGTATCCTGTTTTTGATTCTGTCCAAGAAGGAGAAGAAATCCTAGAGTAGAAGTAATGTTTTTTTTAAAAAGTAAAACAAACATTGAGAGAAATCTGAAAGCCAACAATTTCTCTTCTCTGATTAATGGCTTTGTAAGCCATTAATTTACTTTTGTTAGAATAGTCAAGGCAAAGGTTTTGTAATAAAATGGCATGAATCTTGAAGTTTCGCAACATCAGTTATATCATAATAATTACTATATATTATCTTACATAAAGCACTTTTTAAATGCCAGCTGTTTTACATGTGTATTATACATAATCCCTATAGCACCCATGCAAATATTATTATTACTCCCATTTTACATATGTGGAAACTGAGGCTCAAATAAGTGAAGTAATAATGAACAAATTACAGACTGCCCTCTGGCTGCAGATACGTGTAGGGGAATGTGTAATTGTTTTGTCTGCACACATACTAAAAATATGAATTGATATACAAAATCTATAACCAACATCCAAATAGAAAGCCATTGAGGCATTGCATTATGATCCTGATGAAAGTCTTATTTTATTTCATTACACTTAGGAGGGAGAGGCCTGAAGCTTGAGGTGTGGAATAATAGCCGTCCAATACGTTTGGAAGAGATACTGGAATACAATGAAAAAACGCCTGGGTACATGGGTGCCAGTTGGGTAGATTCAGCTTCCTATATTTGGCTCATGGAACAAGACACATTTGTTGCACGCTTTAGTGGATTTTTGGTGGCTCCAGATTCTGATGTTTATAGATTCTACATCAAGGGTGATGACCGTTATGCTATTTATTTTAGCCAGACTGGACTTCCAGAAGATAAGGTAGGGAAGCCTCAGAATACTATTTGATACTGTAAAAACATTATGGTGATATTTATATGTATCTTACTCTAAATCAAAACGAATGAACATTTTTAAAATGTATGAGAAATGATGTCATGTGGTTTGGCTCTTGGCTATTATCCTGGATATGATACAAGATATAAGATGATAGAAAACCTATAGCCTACAAGAAAATTTCCCGTACCTGAAAATATTTCATTATTCTACATTAACTTGGTTATGAGATAAAATTCATCTCTCTATTTTTTATAAATAGAATTATACATTTAATTTCATATGTAGTTTTTCACATATTAGTATTAAATACTAATTTTATTAAATAATTTATGTAATCACTAGTTTTAATGACTAAGCAGTGTTATTACTTGGGTTTACCAAGCTTAGATAACCATCTCCCTACTGATAAGTTTTTATTTACTTCTGGTGTTTTATGACCACAAATAATACTCTATTGAACATCTATGATCATTAGACTTTTCTGTATTTGGGGTTACTTTGTTAGGACAGTTTCACAAATATGAAACTAACAGATCAAATCAAAGTAACATTTTATGACTCAACTTATGTGGCAAGATTGCTTCCCAAACTGGTTGTGTAAGTTTAAATTGCTATCTGTAATTTATGAATTCTAATTTTTATCATAGTTTGTACTCCAAAGCATGTGTACTCCAAAGGTGGTATAATCATTCCTAATGGGAAGCCCAAAGTCCTCTCACTCTAGTGTGCAGAACCATTTAGCAATCTTTGGCAATCTAATTTGGATTAAATCTCTCAAAGTTCTCCACAGAGCAAAAGAATATTTTATTTGTCAATAACTACCTTTTTCCTGGTAAGTATCTTCTTAGTTTCCACTGCAGTTCTAATTATGGAAAAGCTATGATCTGCGTAGTATACTTAGTACAGTAGTGTTGATGTTAGTGAATGGTAGAAGGAATGAAGTGAACTTTGATAATTTAAAAAAAATTTATAGCATAGTAGATAACAGATCTTAAAAGAAAAATATAAAGTAGTTTTACATTTTTCTACTTATGAAACTTCTAAAACTGAAATAATAAATGATAAATAAATAAATGTTGAAAAGGTCTATTAATAAATTCTCCCTTTTCTCTGTCTCTGTCTCTCTCGGATTAGGTGAGGATTGCATATCATTCTGCTAATGCCAACAGTTATTTTTCCAGTCCAACACAAAGATCAGATGATATTCATCTGCAGAAAGGAAAAGAGTAAGGCTTTTTCCTGTCATTAAATTACTGTGTGGTATTTATAAGCTTTAAGTTTATATTTTAAAATATTTTCAATTTATTTTTATTGGTGGAAGTGATATTAGTTTATTGGTTTAATTTATAATTGGTCATTCTCTATAATTTTATTCAAATGTGTTTCTTGATTTTCAAGAATACTGGCATTCAACTAACCAGGGAAATTTGAAGTCTAGATTAACCCTGTTGCAAAATTATACTTTTGTGAAATGTACTTGATCCTGTTCTTAGTTCTTTACTTGGACCTTTCAGTCAATCCACCCATTTAATTTCTCTGTTCCTGCAGCTGAGCTCTTCAGTATTGCTAGGGAAAAATCACTAAGCCACATAGATTGTTGCCACTTTTAATATGTATTTGTTATTAACTGGTTTATTCCAGGCCCTGGGCCAGGTACTGGAAATTTAAGAATATTAAAATACACTGCCAGAACTGAAAGAGCATTCATTTAGTGTTGAAAGGTCAAGTCCAAGGAGCCAATGAGTGGGATTATCATCCAAATACCAGATAATCCCATTCAAAAAGCCATTCAGAATTCCTAGGAAACAGGAAGATAAAAGACATGATACATTGAAAATGGAGAAGGTGGTGGAATGGAGTTACATGAAGAACATCAAAAGATGCATTTGCATCTGCTAGACTTTACTATATAACAAAGCACCTCAGACTGTAGCAACATCAAACAAGTGTGAATTATTTTGCACAATTTTATAGTTGGCTGAGCGGTTCTTTTAGTCCTGGCTGGTTTATTTGGGGACTGGTAACCTAGAATGCCTCACTCCATGTCTAGAGCCTCAGCAGGCATGGTTGAGTCTTAGATATTTGGGGCATCCCATTGCACATGGTCTCTCATCATCCAGGAGACTAGCCCCGGTTTGTCACATTGTGGATAGCTAATGCATACTGGGCTTAATACCTAGGTGATGATGGGTTGATAGGTGCAGTAAAGAGGGGAGTCCTAATGCACACACACTCTGCAATACTCTGTCTGTGTCATATTTGCTAATATCCCATTGCCCAAAGCAAGTGGCCAAGCCTAGACTCAAGGATGAAGAAATAGACTTCCCTTCTTGATGGGAGGAGTGCTTTTTTCTTTTAAGTTTACCACATCACCCTTTCAGATATTGAAGAAGTTATGCTCAGAGGCAGCATCATGAGGATCTTTTGGAATTGGACAAGGAGGGTTGGGATCAATGGAACCTGGGAGCAAATTAATGTTCTCACACTCAATGTTCTTGCTGAGGTCTTAGTAATACTGACATGGGGAAAGAGTTTCATTCCTTTTTTATCCTCTTTCTTCTGCTTTCACTTCTTTAGACATTAAACATTTTCTTCTATAACCATGAAAACTACTGGGCCAGGTCAAGATAAATGGAGTTCTTGATTAATCCCTACTGCAATTAAGTGTCAGTACATTTTCAGACTTTGGCTTGGTTTTGGAAAATGAGTTCAGTCTACCAGCTAGGCAGGAGCACAGAGTTTGAATGAAAGCAACTCCTAATACATCTGCTGCCTGGTATCTGTGCTCCTGCAAAACCAGCTTGGAATTTACATACTGTGCTTACAATGATGGCTATGAAATCTGAAATTGAGGCCACTCTAGCTGGTTTATTGTAAAGTGGCTCTTCAAGTCTTTCCAAAGGTAGCTCATATTGCTAAATCATTTTACTCAAATATTAAAAACATAGCTTCACCTAGTGCATATCTTTTTGGTCACCTTATTTTGTTTGGAATTCTCCCTCAGTTACTAGTTTAAAAAATTTTGAATCCTTAAAATTCCCTTAGCATTTGTTATTCATATGGATAAAGGAATAATATCTATTTTATGAGAATTTTGTGAAGATTAAACGTAATAATGTCTGCAAAGTGCTTAGTTTATTGTCTAGCACAAAGAAAGTGCCCAATTAATAGTTTTAAGCCACAAGTAAGGATGCAAAATTTTAATGGTTCTTCTTTGAATTCTGCTCTTTAATTAGTGTTGGTCATCTCAAGTCAGAAGAGCTGATGAGCAGGTTCTTATGGAAGTCAAGAGCCTGATATAATCCCCAAATATCAGTTCCATTGGGCAATGATCCAGAACCCTATCATTCTACACATATGAAACATGATAAATTTCCCTCATTCAGACTCTTTCATGAACTGTGGATACTTATTCTTCCTATATAAGAATATATGTTGAGTGATGTGAGACAATTTAGGGAAGCTCCCAGCTGTCCTCTCCAAAGATGTGAGCAATGGTGACATTGCTAGAGATTTAGAGGAGAAGTAGTAGTTTTGCACTCTCTTGTTAACAGCTGCTCAGTGAAGGCACTACCTTGGGTACACAGTAGGATGAGGGGCAGGAGACATCAAGAATCAGGAATTCAAAATATAAAGTGAAAATCCCATCCAGCTAATTGGAGGATCATAGTAAATCTGACCGGTAAAAGTTTCCTGAGGCAATGTTTTATTCCCCAAGTTACAAATGGAGCCAAATTTAAGGAATGTGAAAGTAGGAACTTCTACTCCTGACAAATATAACTACTCAGATATAAAATATATGCTATGTCTAAGCCTGCCATTTTCTTGAACACATTAAAATATTTAACCTCTGCATGTTGTCTGTGTTATATACCAGGGACAGGGTTATTTTTCAAGATGTTGAGTATAAGAAATAGTATTGTCTTCTATAAATATTTATTGACTAAGCTGAATGAATTGGTTATGAATGAGAACAACTTTCTACTAATGCAGATATCTTACATAATTCATTTTATTTTGGCAAAATGCTGTGAAAATTTTAACATTTGAATATTTAAAATATGAGATACTACAATATAAGTCATTTAACAGGCAGGCTTTTAAGATAATATTGATATTTTATTCATTAAAATAATTTCATGGCAAGTGTTCTGGAAAAAAGTTATATTCATTAGTTACTCTATTTTCCAGATACTATATTGAAATCTTGCTGCAGGAGTACAGATTAAGTGCATTTGTTGATGTTGGACTGTACCAGTATCGAAATGTTTATACTGAACAACAAACAGGAGATGCAGTGAATGAAGAACAAGTTATCAAATCCCAGTCGACAATCCTCCAGGAAGTACAGGTTTGCTATGATTGCAGTTCCTCTTACAGAAAGTAAATGTTCGAAGGCAGGATCTCAATTTGATTATTAATTTTACTAGGTAAGATACTGTTTTAGGTGAAAGCAGTCATGGACAATTATTAAATTATGACTTTGAGTATTTGTACGATAAGCCAAAAAGGCTGTTACTTGTCATTTGTAGTAAAATAGAGCAATAAAGTGGCATTGAATAGCTGAATTATGATGCTTTTAAGATATATATATTTTTCATATATTAAAAATGTTTCTTAATTGGAAAATAGGTTATAACATTGGAAAACTGGGAAACAACTAATGCAATTAATGAGGTTCAGAAGATCAAGGTAACCAGCCCATGTGTGGAAGCTAATTCATGTTCACTTTACCAATATAGATTAATCTATAATATGGAAAAAACTGGTAAGTTATAAATAATAAGGGAGATACTGTTTCTGTTCATGTATAGATGTAGTCATAAAGTATTTGCTGTAGTCAAATTACACTGTCTGGAAAATATAGTTTTGATGATATGCTAGACAAAGAAGCAGAAAAATGTATTATGGAAAAAAGCCTTCAGACTGGGATAGAAAATGACATCCATACAAATAACTTTGTGGCATATACCATCATTTTCTAATAATAATGATAAATATATATCTAAATGCACATGGAATTTATATATTTGCTACTCATAGGTGTAAGTTAAGAAAATAGGAATTGTGAATAGTCAACCCAAATGCCCGTCAATGATAGACTGGATAAAGAAAATGTGGTACACCATAGAATACTATGCAGCCATAAAAAGGGATGAGATCATGTCCTTTTCAGGGACATGGATGGAGCTTAAAGCCACTTCCTCAACAAACTAACTCAGGAACAGAAAACCAAACACTGCATGTTCTCACTTATAAGTGGGAGCTGAACAATGAGAACACATGGACACAGGGAGGGGAACAACACACACTGGGGCCTGTTGGGGGGTGGGGTCGGCACGGGGAGGGCATTAGGTTAGGAAAAATAGCTAATGCATACTGGGCTTAATACCTAGGTGATGATGGGTTGATAGGTGCAGCAAACCACCATGACATACGTTTACCTATGTAACAAACATGCACATCCTGCACATGTACCCCAGAACTTACAATAAAAATAAAAAATTTAAAAGGAATTAAATTCATCATTGCACAGAAGTAAACATGTCTTTCAATTTTTTAAATTAAATGATAGGCCTATGGAACACCAATTTATCAGCCAATAAACAACATTGCATTTCTATATTTTACAATAAATCCTAAAATACAACTTTTGCTACTACTGTTAATTGTTTTAACCAGTAAATATTGATGATTGCTTATTCTTTGCCAAATCCAATGATTATTACTGTGGGAATATTAAAACAATAAAATATCAGCCCTGTCCTCAAAGAGATCACAAATTAATTAAATAGTCAATATTACTGAACTTGAATCAGTTTCAAAATACAATTTCTCTAAGTGATAACTTACATGGTACAGAGTATAGGTGCTTTAAAAATATAAATACGAGACATCAGTGTTGGCTGCAGTAGCTCAGAAAGATTTCAACTTTTCTGTTTGTTTGTTTGTTTGTTTTAATCCAATCAAAGTCTTCCTACCTGCTGATGCTTCTGAATTCATACTGCAATCAGCCTTGAATGACCTCTGGTCTATAAAACCGGACACAGTTCAAGTAATAAGAACACAAAATCCCCAGAGCTATGTCTACATGGTAACATTCATATCAACTAGAGGTAAGCATGTACTTAATTTTGTACTTCTGTAGGAAACAAATGTATATCCTGTGCCACTCTAAAAGTTCCATAAGATGACAGAGAAAAAGACTTGGTTAATCTTAGGAGAAGCAGAAATTAAATGGTTTTTTCTACGGTAATTTAAATTTTAGTTGTATTTCAAGGAATGTACAACTCTAATGCATGAGAAATGCACTATACATACTACAAATGCGTTTTCCATATAATAGCCTACTTTATAAATTAGTAAAAACTAGTGAAAATATTCATTCTGAAAATAAAATTTAGGCAAATCACTATTGTCCAGGAGACACTCATCTGGTCAAATCTTGCCTACTGAAAGGATTTTGAGGTCAAATTCACATGGGAGACACTGTATACCATGGGTCTTCCTTGAAGATTGACAGAGCTCATTGGAATATTAAAATCCCTGAGGAGTCCTGCAGTATTAAAAAAAAAAGGAAAAAGAAAAAAATCAATTTACCTGTGTTTAATGCAAACGTATTTTATATTTCCATCTTTTTTCAAGTAATAGCTATTAACCGCCTATTAATGTTTTACACAAAACACTTTTGGAAATATTGACATAGACATTCTGCCTTCAAGTCAGACTTCGCAACTAATTTGGCTTTTTGGTATATTTAGCTCAGAAAGTAGGTCCCTGAATGTGTGTGTGTTTACTTTTCTTTGGGCAATCATTGTTTTTCAATATGTAAGTAAAATGTTACTTCAATATTTATGTCTCACTTTATGTAATTGTTTATTTGATTGTTGAGTGGAGGATAAAGAATTTGATTTTACATGAATTTAAGTTTTAAAAAGTGTACAAAAGTTAGATTGTCAAAATACTTATGAATAAACATATGGATATCCTTTTTGATGTATTTTTATACATCAGAGAGAAATTTTAAGGCTTCAGCAGAAACCTTAAGAAATATGGTGCCCAAATCCTAACTGGGCAAATTTTAAGACTTTACCCAACAAAAAGGGTCAAAAAGATCAATGAGATTCCACTGGTAGAGCATCCTTTCAAAGAAGAGAGACATTTGAGGACAGGCCTTATTCCTCTCAAAGTGGCAAAGCCAATGATTATCATACTAAGTGGCATGGTATGAACAAACCTCACAGATCAGAGATTGTTTCCTGGAATTCAGCTTTGTGCCCTATTCATGTCTAAAGAAAATAGAAATATTCCAGCTGAGCATTTGCACTAAAATAATGGTACTAGCACAAAACTAAAAGAATTTTTGGAATATCCTACTACTCATTGATCTTTATTCATGGTCCTAATACATCTGTCTATCTTACAATACTTCCTTTTAAGCTATAGAAACAGCACCTTAAATATATAGCACTTTGTCTGCTTTGCTATTTATGCTATGGATAAATCTGCTCAAATTTTAAGGATCTACATCGCCCCCATTCTTCCTTCTTTTCTGATAATGGAGCACCAAATGAAACCAATTTGGCTACATTTGAGTGTCTATTAAATATATATAAAATATATAGTTTTATATATAGGCATTTTATTAGTTAATGTCTACAAATTCTGTTTGTCACTTAATTTCAGGAGACTTTGATCTGCTTGGTTATGAAGTAGTTGAAGGGAATAATGTCACACTGGATATTACAGAACAAACCAAAGGAAAACCCAACTTGGAGACATTCACACTGAATTGGGATGGGATCGCTTCTAAGCCACTCACTCTATGGTCATCAGAAGCTGAAGTACGGTGTAGGAATGTTTCTACCACGCATTTTCCCTGCACCCTCTCACATCATTCATGGGCCATTTGTAGACAGATGGGAAAGAGATGTTACTTCAAAAAAAATCACTGCAAATTATTTATCACCTGATCAACTCACCACAATTTATATACTGTGATACTTTTATCTGAAAGGAGACTAAGAGTCAACCTAGTGCAGCCACCTCTTTTTCCAGACAAGGCATATCTCAAAGGTTCCAAAGCCTTGCCCTGCCTATGTGTAGAAGCTTTGAGTCCCTCTATGCACACTGGAGTTGTTCTTCACTCAACATCCAATTTGTTATCCTGTAAAATCAGAAATTCCTTGAGAGATGTAGTGCAATAAAAGCTTAGCTATAAAGTATTGGTTAGTTTAAATATCCTATTATTTTATTGATGTATTTTTATACATCAGAGAGAAATTTTAAGGCTTCAGCAGAGACCTTAAGAAATATGGTACCCAAATCCTAACTCAGCAAATTTTAAGACTTTACCCAACAAAAAGGGTCAAAAAGATCAATGAGATTCCACTAGTGGAGCATCCTTTCAAAGAGGAGAGACGTTTAAACAGAACACCATTTAAATGTCAACCTTTTATAAAGAACACTTTAAGGAGGAGTAATACATTCTTCCATTTGGCGTGATAGGTTGGAGCCTACCCGTAGTGAGGAGAGAAGGGAGGAAATATTCCAAAGACAAGAGAAGGAAAGGGAAGATCTTAGGTCTGTGCCAACAGGGCCTAATGTATCTCCATAGGGGGCAGCCATTCATAAAGAAAGAATGCTTGTGAGTTACAACATTTTGACAACTATCTGGACAATGAATTTAAGTTAAAATCTGTTTGCAGATTAAAGAGTATATATTGTCTCAAGCCCTTAATTCTAAGCGACAATTATTTCTGTGCTTTGCTGGAGAAAATGATATGGAAATTTTAGGAGACTTGTGAATATGTACTAATTTCTGCATAATCTGCAATAATTTATTATTTTTTGAATAATTATAAATACAAGCTTACAGTATATGCATGTAACCTTTTTTTTTTTCAAGACGGAGTCTCACTCTGTCACCAGGCTGGAATGCAGTGGTGTGATCTCCACTCACTGCAACCCTCCACCTCCTGGGTTCAAGCGATTCTCCTGCCTCAGCCTCCTGAGTAGCTGGGACTACAGGCGCTTGCCACATGCCCAGCTAATTTTTATATTTTTAAAAGAGACAGGGTTTCACCATGTTGGCCAGAATCCATTGGCGTGTATAGTTTTTTTTTTCCAGTTAATTTTGAGTTATTTGGAAAAAGTATTTATTTGGAATCTATCTAATTGGGTACTAATTAATTTAGGTTTGCTTCATTGCTCTCTTTAAAAAGGTACTAAACAAATATGTCTGCCTTATAACTAAGTATGCTATTATTAGCCAATTGTATGTAACTATTGTTATTCTAGAATAAAAGTCTTGAAAACTCATTAGACACTAAAATTATCACACTAACTTAAAATTATTTAGAAAATTAACTCATAATCATGACTAAAATATGGGAATTATGAAAATGTCCTATTAAAACTAATTAGTAGAATCAGTAGTAGGATTACGAGTGTTCTAACTTTTCATGAAAAGAAGTTACTAATGTTTATATTGTTAATTTAGTTTCAGGGAGCAGTGGAAGAAATGGTTAGCACTAAGTGTCCACCACAAATTGCAAATTTTGAAGAAGGATTTGTTGTGAAATATTTCAGAGACTATGAAACTGATTTTAATCTGGTATGAAATATTTAATGAACTGTGAAACTGACCTAATAAGAATTTATATAATGGTTTTAAATTTTATAATTTCTCTTCTGAAGTAGCATTAATAACTTTGTTATTCACAGTCAAATTGCAAAAATGACTTTGTTATACATTTGTTGTAAGGGCTGTTGGTAGGTGCTATTGGTACTGCCGTCTATGATTCGTTTGTTAAAAAATTTTTACTACTCATGAATTTTCTTGCTAGAAAGTAGGAAAGCTGATCAAAGGTAAGATTTGCAGTGTTTTTGTTTATTTTGTGTATAGGCCATTGTTGCGTTGCTATAAAGAAATACCTTAGACTGGGTAATTTAGAAAGAAAAGAGGTTTAATTGGCTCACAGTTCTGTAGGCTGTACAGGAAGCATGATGCTGGCATCTGCTCGACATCTTGGAAGGCCTTGGGAAACTCTCAATCATGGTGAAGGCAAAGGGGGAACAGGCACGTCACTTGGCTTGGTGAAGAGCAAGAGAAGAGAGTGGGGCGGTGCCACCCACTTTTAAACAACCAGACCTTGTGAAAACTCACTCACTATCATGAGAACAGCACCGATGGGATGGTGCTAAGCCATTCATGAGAAATCCACCCCCGTGATCAAATCACCTACCAACAGGCCCTACCTCACACTTTGGGGATTACAATTCAACATGCGATTTGGTGGGGACGCAGATCCAAAATCATGTAATTTTGTTGGTATTTTCTTTTTTCTTTTCTTTTCTTTTTCTTTTTTTTTTTTTTTTTTTTTGAGACGGAGTCTCACTCTGTCTCCAGGCTGGAGTGCAGTGGCACGATCTTGGCTCACTGCAACCTCCACCTCCCAAGTTCAAGCAATTTTCCTGCCTCAGTCTCCCGAGTAGCTTGGACTACAGGCTTGCGCCACCATGCCTGGCTAATTTTTGTATTTTTAGTAGAGACGGGGTTTCACAATGTTGGCCAGGATGGTCTCGATCTCTTGACCTCGTGATCCGCACGTCTTGGCCTCCCAAAGTGCTGGGATTACAGACTTGAGCCACCGCACCCGGCCTTGGTTTTTGTTTTCTTAGCTTGGATGCACAGTATATCCTTTCTCCTCATTGACTTCAGAGATTATAATTTATGGTGGGGCATTATATGTTTTTATGTATTATGTAGTTTTATATAATTGCTTCTCGACATAACACTCTGGTTAATTAGTACACGGCCCAGTCATTATTTATTTCTTAATGAGATATTTTCTTTAATATAGAGTAAAGGAAGAAAATTGAATATGTGCTTTCTAATTCTCATTTTCAAGACTTCAGGAAGCCAGCTATTTGCTATTTCCAAGTGAAAAACTGTAAGAATAAAAAATGTATACTCTAGTTATTTAATTCAGATTAATACCCTGGATATGAATATAAATCCTTAAAAATATCTCTCATGATACTTTTCATGAGCAGATTAGTGAGAAAAAATCTTTCCATTTAATAGATGAACTTTTCAACTTCATTTAATAAGCATATGTGTATTTATGTTCTATTTTGAACGTAGTACTAGCAGCCATGAGGATGGTACATGTAATTTACCTCCTACTCCTTTCCTACTTCATTTCTCATCACCACCCTCACATGCATTTCCATGCTGCACCTAACCTTACAGTTTGCATTCCCAGCACCATGCTCTCTCACACCTCTGCTTTTTTGCACACATTTTGGACTCTCTCTGAAGCCCCTACTTTCTTTTTACCATTTGCACAGTGCCTTTGACACCTCTTTTCCATTCCAACAGCTGCTATTTATCTTTAAAGACTTAACTCATTTGTCACTTCCCCTGAGTCATCTTTCTTGATGCTTTTATGTGAGTTAGATGCCTCCCTTGAGCCTTAGTACGATAATCATTGGCTTCTTTGTCTTAGACGGGTGGCCTCTATCTACAGGGGGATAGGGTTCTTCACCACTTGAATCCTGAAGATTAAACAGCAAACACGCAAACAAGCAGAAACCTGACACACAGTAAACACTGCATAAACACTCATGGAGAGAATGAATAAATACCCGTAAAGAGCTCACAAAGTAAGGAAAAAAATCAAACTTGGGAACTAGTCAAATACTGGTATAAAGGATTATATAATTATGGATCCGAATGAGAGCTTTAGATTTCAGACAAGGAAGAAAACATCTAAAGTTAAAGTAATCAGGGAAACAATGGGATCTGGGTTGAACCTTGAGTGGTTTGGGTGCACACGTTGGGGGAAAACCAGAACAATAAATCATGTTTTCATTTGAAATATTATTGTTTCGGTAGGAACATATTAACAGAGGGCAGAAGACAGCTGAAACCGATGCTTACTGTGGTCGTTATTCCCTGAAAAACCCAGCTGTTCTTTTTGACTCAGCAGATGTTAAACCAAACAGACGACCATATGGAGATATTTTATTGTTTCCTTATAATCAGGTAAGCTCAACAAAATGATATGCTAATTGAATCTGGAAAATACCTTGGTAATAAAATTTCATGAAATTTTAAGACAAGAAAAAATATTTGCCATATAAATAGTATGTCATATTGTAACAGGCACCGAAGTGTACATTCTGGGTGCTTGTGGTTTCCTCTTCTGAGGATTCTCAAAATAATAGATATATTCTATATATATATGTATATAGCACCATATATCATGTATTATATTTCTCTTTTAATTTCAGAAAAAAATATTTGCACACAAGTTTAAATACTAAAATAATTAAAAATGTATAAGCTTCTTCATTTTTCTTCATTAATTAAGAAGAAAGAAAAATGGCTAGCCATCATAGGATGATCTTGGATATCCAGTCAGGGAGAAGTGAAACAAAATTAGGAGCAGAGGAGATGGCAGTTTTAGTGAGGGTATTTAACACTGTTAATCATAGATTCACCCTTTCTCTTATTTTAAAATTCTCAAATTGTGGCACCTATCCTAAAATTCAAAGTTCTTAATATATTTGGCATGCTTAAGGACTTGGGGACCATTAAAATTGGTATTTAATTACTATTTTACAGTGACATTCATCTCTCTCTCTAAATGTTCAATGATATTTACGTCCCATTTAATCTGCCTGAATGTTTACCTCTCTTCTTTTCTATGTGCATTGGACTTTTAAATTTACTGAGTAGCTTAGAGTTAGTACATAACTCATCTCTACAGAGAGTGAATTGTTTCCAGTTTTAAAGGAAACTATACCTAAAAAGAAATAGAGAATTATAATTAATTGTAAGGTCACCTCAACCTCACTTTGTCTGTAAAATCTTTCGCAATTCTTCTGCACATAACTGGCTGAAATTAATCATTTATTTCTCTGTGTTCTGGTACGTTTTATGTAGAAAATGCTCAATAAATATTTATTGACTTTGAATTTATTTGAATTGTTGTGAAACAATGTAATGGTAATATATTGTTACCAATGTTTTTCATATTTTTATGTAGTTATGTTTAGCATACAAAGGATTCCTGGCAAATTATATTGGTCTAAAATTTCAGTACCAAGACAATAGCAAGATTACTAGAAGCACTGATACACAGTTTACATACAACTTTGCTTATGGAAACAAGTAAGTTACGCTATGAATTTGAAAATTACATTATACCATGGTATATAAACTACAAAGATAAGACAAATCCATTTCTTGGGGTTTTTTGTTTTGGTCTGTTTGGGGAGATGAGGGCAAATAATGCACACAATGGATGTAAATGGCAGTTTTCCTATCTTACACATGTACATCCAACAGAAATAGTCATGTTTTAAAGAAATCTCTAGATTATGAAAATGACAATTGGTCATGACATAGTCACCCATAACCATAAAAAGACAAAACAATGGTAAACTTTAGAATTTAAATTATGTATTACTAAATCTAATAATGTTCCTAGTTATGCTGGAAGGTAGAAAGAGACAGGCTTATCACAATATAGTCATTATAGTTTGATCACTGAAAAAAAAGGAAGTAGAGAGATTTTGAAATAATGCTTGCTGTGCCAAAAGTTAGGCACAAAGAAATGCAAATAGAGAAACATAAAGGAAGAAACAAAATAAACCTAGAGAAGCTATTTAATGACTACAGCTGTCATGCCTTTAAACACAATTTAGTTCTATATAATTATTTTTTGGGTTTTATTAATTTTTATATCTTCTGAAATTTATGTCAGTTGTGACTGCATTTTCATACACAGTACATACAAAAATTTCATTTATGGTATTTCATTTACAACAGAAGCAATAGTGAAGACATACACAGAGACACATACCTTTCTATTTTATACAGTACTCCCCATACATTGTTGTTGTTTATTAAAGTATAATTTACATAAAGTAAAATTCACTCTTTTTAAGTGCACAGTTTAGTGAGTTTTAACACATGTATACAGTCACGTAACCATCACTCCGCTGAAGACATAGAACATTTTCTCTCTACAATTGTAGAAGTTTTTCTTTCATATAAAGTTTTTCTCATAAAAATAACCATGGTGGGATCTCCATATCTTGAAAATATTCCTTTTTTTTTTGCTTTTTCTTCTGTTATAGCTACATCACAATTTTTATTTTATATGGGTCTATACAGTTTATATGATACTTTAATACATGCCATGTAAGTTTCCATCATTTTATAAGATATGGAGAGCATTATTCTATTATAATAAGACATGGAGAGCACTATTTTCTTCCCATCGTAGAATAGAACTCTGTAACTCAGAACTTTCATGTGTGGAACAAGCACGAGGGAGAACCAGCTTCTCCTCTTGACACCCAGACAGAGAGAGTGAGAAAATGATCCAAAGTTGGAAATAGAACCAAATGTTGACAATAAACAAAACAAAGACAAGAAATAAAAACAGGCAAGATGTTAATGGAGAGTAGAGTAGTTAGATGGGAAGAAATGGCAGTCTTGATGGAAGAATAAGTTTCTTGATGCAAAAGCTGCTGCTCAAATCTGCAATTTCAATTGTCCTGTTTTCTACATCATCCCAACATTATTATTATTATTATTATTATTATTATTATTATTATTATTATTATTATTTTTGAGACAGGGTCTGATTCTGTCACCGTGGCTGGAGTGCTGTGGGACCATCACAGTTCACTGCAGCCTTCACCTTCTGGGCTCAAGTGATCCTCCCACCCCAGCCTCCCCCCACAAGTAGCTGGGACTGCAGGTGTGCACTACCACGCCCAGCTAATTTTTTTGTTTTTGTAGAGATTGGGTCTTGCCATGTTGCCACAGCTGGTCTTGAACTCCTAGGCTCAAGCAATCCTCCTGCCTAGGCCTCCCTCCCAAAGTCCTGGGATTACAGGCATGAGACACCATGCCTGGCCCCCAACACTATTTTCAAAATGCATCAGCCAGTTCCCAATTCATAACTTTAGAAATTCATATACTCTAAAAATTGTTGACATATGTTGGACGGGAAAGGAAACCTTGTTTGTTAAAAGTTTTAAGAACTATCTTTTAGAGGACAAGAAGTATGAAGTGGGAAACAGCCAGGGTGTAGACCTGGAGGTGCTCCAGCAAAGCTAGGTCCCCGGACTCTACCAGGAGGAAATCAGTTGTGTTCACTGGGACAGTGGCAGAAAGGTGACAAAAGATGGGACCAGGCAGGTGGGTGGGAGCATATCAGAGTTATCCTTCCTGTGGAACTGGAATGATCTTAATTTAAAAAAAGGAGGGGGCTGGGCAACATGGCAACCATCTCTACAAAAAATACAAAAATTAGCTGGGCATGGTGGTGCACACCTGTGGTCCCAGGTACTCAGGAGGCTGAAGTGGAGGATTGCTTGAGTCCGGGAGATCCAGGCTGCAGTGAGCCAAGATTGTGACACTGCACTCCAGCCTGGGTGACAGAATGAGACCTTGTCTTAAAAAAAAAAAAAAGGGGTGTGTGTGTGTGTGTGTGTGTGTGTGTGTGTGTGTGTGTGTAGGAAATCATAGTCTTCCGTTTTTAATATAAAACATCAACATCATATTTGAAGTATATATCTCTGGCATCAGATCCTGAGCATATGGACCTAATTCTCTTCAAATACTCTGATCAATCAATGGATAAAGTGAGGGCAACTGTAGACCAAGTTTAAATACAGGTGTCAGTATCTCTTTAGTCATGAGGTAGGAGTCCACAGTCCAACAGGTGTTTGTCAGAGGGAAAAACTTTAATAAGGGCGTTAAGCTTTTCAAAGGATTCTTCAGGAAACACAAAAGTCATGCTTCATATATTCCTTAGGTTCTTGAAATAAGCATTAAAAAGATAATGATTGATGTCTTGTCCCAAGTATAATATCTACACATGTTTCCACAGAATGTAAAGAAAGAGAAATTCTTGTTTACACAAAGTTCATTAGATACTGAAGTGTGGTAGAACTTGAAGTGGACTTCAAAGAAGAGAGAGAGAAAAATGCCTGAAATCTATACATGCTGTGGATGGTGTTTGCACAGAACCATATGATTTTAATAATTAACAATATCAATTCTTCCAATCCATGAACACTGAATATATTTCCATTTATCTGTGTTGAGAGAGATATATTAGTATTGAAAAACATGTTGCATCCCCCAGTGCACAAATATATGCCTTTGAGGCCATTACATAGTTCAATCCTATGTATAAAATGGGACTGAAGCTAGCTCCTGGAATGAATGAAATGAGTGGGGAGAATGCTACCATTCCACAGAGGAATTATTGACTCAGAAGGGGACATCCTTTGTTGGTAGTCACATAGGCAGATGCAATACCAGAAGTCGAGCCAGCCCTGCCTCTGTTAGGTGGCAAGGAGCATGAAAAGTCCATAAACAGAATGATTATATACCACTGCTTCATGCCCAATTTGCTACAGTCCATCTTTATGAAGCAGAAATCCTTCTCAAAGGGACATCTGAGGTACATTTTCAACAGGAAGGAATGATTGAATTAAACAGTGAAATAACAATTTTACTTTTGATGCCTATCGCCCTTATGCTATGAACTCCTCCACTGCCACAGGATTTTGGAACATTTTATTGATCCTTGTTCTTCTGTATCAATCAAGTCATCACTTACCATATCATTAAATAGTTCTCTTTTTAGCCTATAATTTGGGATGGCTGAAGGGATGTGGGGATGGTTAATGGGTACAAAAAATAGCTAGAAAGAATGAATAAGACCTAGTATTTGATAGCACAACAGGGTGGCTAAAGTCAATAATAATTTAATAGTACATTTAAAAACAATTAAAATATAATTTGATTGTTTATAACACAAATGATAAAGGCTTGAGGGGATGGATACCCCATTTTACATGATATGATTATTATGCATTGCATGGCTGTATCAAAACATCTCATGTACCCCACAAATATATACACCTAATATGTATCCACAAAAAAAAACTAAAAATTTTTTAAAAATTAAAAAATGTATCTACTGTGCACTAATTTCAAGATGTATTACATTTGATGGAGTTCATGGATTTTCTTTACCCTAAATGTTGCAAGACCTTTAAACAAGAATATCATGATTGTTAAAAATAACAGCGTTCCCTTGATATTACCAGTCAAGACAAAATTTATCCGCTTCTAACAGGTATTTCTTTTTTTCTTTTGAGATGGAGTCTCACTCTGTTGCCAAGGTTGGAGTGCAGTGGTGTGATCTCAGCTCACTGCAACCTCCACCTCCCAGGTTCAAGCAATTCTCCTGCCTCTGCCTCGGCCTCCTGAGTAGCTGGGATTACAGGCGCGTGCCACCCCGCCCAGCTAATTTTTTGTATTTTTAGTTAGAGATGGGGTTTCACCATATTGGTCAGGCTGGTCTCGAGCTCCTGACCTCGTGATCCACCCACTTCGGCCTCCCAAAGCTCTGGGATTACAGGCGTGAGCCACTGCACCTGGTCTCTAACAAATATTTCTAGATCTGCTTTAATATAGGTCAGACAGTCCACCTGGATCAAGTAGATGTATTAGTATTTGTTATTTTCAGTACACTGTTAGTGTTAAAAGTGCCATTTCCCATCCCCCAAAATTGTTCTACAACCTTCCAAAAAGTGGTTTGTAGTTGTAAATCAAGTTTTAAAATCTAAAAACAGGCTGCCTTTCTCTTCAAAAAATGGAATTATTTAATCACAAAGGCACAGTGTACAGTTCAGTTTTGATATCATTTTCAGTCTCCTTTTCCCTTATAAAAGGTCCTGTTCAGTATGCCAAATTTTCTAAGTTGTGGTTTTTAAAATTTTAGAATTGCATAATCAGTTGTACAGTTCTACGCTGAGGCCCTAAGTACTTTTTTTTTTAATTTAAAGAGCACCTTAACTTAATGTCGTTTGCATACAATTTGCTAAAACTGATATGTGTAGTCTAATCTTTGATGAGCTAGAGGTGGATCCCATGATGAGTTTATGAACCCTGAAGAAAATGGGACTGTAAGGTACCCAAACAAACTAGTCAGTTAATAACTACAGTGGTAGCTGATGAAAGATTATTGTTAAACTATATTTAATTATTTGAATGGAAATACTTATATATGTGTTACAAACTCTTATAGCTTTAATGCTTAACTGTAATTTATGGGATTCCAATGCAGTTATGATTTAATGGAAAATCTGAATCTGAGTTATACATTTAAAAGGTACTGTGCAACCATTTATATCTACAAATAACACCCTTCTAGCACTTAGAACAATGGACAATGCTGCTCCAGGGAACTTCCCTGGAAGAGTTATAAAGTTCCAGTTTTGCTTCTTAGCAGCGGACTGAACTTACTGTTCTATGCCTGGTATTGTTCACAAAAATTGTTGACTCCATTCTTGTGTCTTGTTTTGTTAATATGCTCTACACAAATGCCTGTGCTTCTTAGTTTCCTTACTTGTTGTTACAGAATGTTATTTTACATTCCTATGGCTACTGCCAAGGCTACAAATAAAAGAAAGCCTATATTTGTATACAATGCTAAATCTTTTACTGCCAATGTAAGTTTCTGCCTGCTGTGCCTTGTTACGGCTGCTTTTCTGTGCTAATAAAGCTCCCCTGATGGTCGTCTTGTGGGAAAAAATATTTTACTCTATAAAATTTTAATGCTTTCTAAAGTGTATTTGCTTAAACATTACCACTGATCTATACAACAAATTAATCAACCGTATTTCAGCTGGACTTACACTTGCATAGACCTTCTGGATCTCGTAAGAACGAAATACACTGGGACAAATGTTTCTCTTCAGAGGATTAGCTTACATAAAGCATCAGAATCACAGTCCTTCTATGTGGATGTAGTGTACATTGGACACACATCTACAATCTCAACATTGGATGGTATGTTGTATCATTTTATCTCTGCTTTAATCTAAATATAGTAAAATCTTACCATGGAAATTATTTTTATATTCTGCAGTATGGATAGAAACATTAATATCTAAATATTAATGAGTCACTCTTTTATCTGAATAATATTATGATTTTATTTTGTAATGAATAGTGCAAAGTGATTATTCCAAGGATAAATGAATCCTTAATGAAAACTTTCTCACAATAGCAAGAATTTGCTTTATAGTCCAGGATTTTGTTTATGGATAAATACACTATGTCAAACATTTTCTTTTTGCTTTGTTTTATTTTTGAGAAACCAACTACCATGAGAGAGATCTATTCCCAAAATGCAACTACTGACATTGACATCTGTCTACTAAGATCGACTTGAAACTTTCCATAGACTTAAGAGTGATAATTAATAATACTACAAATGAAACCTTCATTTCAATAGTGTTAGCATTGTGTTTCTAGTCATGTTAATAGACATGACATTTATTAGATGTAATAATAATAAAAATTAAACTCCACGATCTTTTAAAAAATTAACCTAACTCCAAACAGTCACCTTAAAAGTGACTTTTCCCATTTTTGAGAGGAACATTAGAATCCTTTTCTTTGGAACTGCTTTCAAGTGCAAGGTGGTGAGTTAACTGATTTTTTTTTTTAATGTAAATGCTACTACTTCATTGTCACTCCTTTTGAATCTGCTGTCACCAGACTTACATTATGATTGGTAGAACATGTATAAGACAGATGGATTGTGCTGGGATAAATATTGTCGTTCATTAAATGATATTCACTTAGAACCTACTATGTGTCAGGCATTGTGTCAAGTACTAAGAAAAGAGCAATGAAGATGACAATCTTTGTCCTGCCCTCATGAAGCACACATCCTAGTGAGCACCACATTTGGGGGATGTAGAACAGAACAAAGCTAACTAACCACAGAAGGCTGCAGGAAACCCAGGGATTGGTGGCCTTTAAATATTTGGTTTTTACTTGATAGGGTTCATATGTCAAAAGACATAGAGCTTCATAATATAAAAGTGAAAGTTTAGCAAGCTTCATAAACTACTTGCCTTCAGGTCTTCTTTCTAATACTTGATTTTAAATACTTCATGACAATGTTGATATTATTTGATGATTTTATTTTTAGCAACAGAAGCAATGCAATTTTATCTCCTCTATTAGGTTAATTTTACATGGCAAAAACCACAGTTACTTTTACACCAACCTAATATTTTTATTTATATTCTTTAGAAATGCCCAAGAGAAGACTTCCTGCATTAGCAAATAAAGGAATATTCTTAGAGCACTTTCAGGTGAATCAGACCAAAACAAATGGGCCAACTATGACAAACCAATATTCTGTTACCATGACTTCATACAATTGCAGTTACAATATACCCATGATGGCTGTGAGCTTTGGGCAGGTAAGCCTAGAATTTTGCATTAATTTTTATGTAGTGAATTTTATTTTTAATTTTTTTAAATAACCAACATACAGATGGAATATTTTAACAGGAAAAGACAGCTAACTATTCTAAGGTTATATGAAGATTTGGAGTATGAAAATTGACTTTAAGTATTAAAAAAATTCTTACAGAAATATGTCTATGGGAAGGAAAACAGGGAGAAATATCCTTAAAAAACAAAGTCATATTTAAGTAGAGTTTTCTCTGTGGACGTAAAAGAAAAAATTATGGTCTCTTCCAATAAACATCCTGAAACAGATATTATTGAGAGAAAAATTGAGATTCTGCATTATGCTTTTTAATTGTTTTGTTATAAACACCATTTATTTTTGCTTGTATGAAAATTTATACAAGGGAAGAAAGAAGTGGTTTTTCATAATTCCAGAAGGACCTGAACAATTTTTTGTACATTTGTAATAAGATTAATATTAAATATTACAAATATAATGAAAAATTTAAAATTAAATTTCTATAAAAATATTCAATGAGTTAATATAATTTCCTACCACAAACCAAAAACAAGTATAATAAGCTCAAGATTAAAGATTAAATAATCATTAACCATTGTAATTGGATTAGAGCCTCACAGAAAATTTTTGCAAAGTAAACAATTTTATGATTAAAATTACTGAAAAATTATAAAAACTCCAAAAAAATTGCCTTTATCCCATCCTGGCCCAATGTTTTAGTCTTAATATCTTCCAGATTAGCATCTTACAAATGCTTTTCAGTGCTTTACTCTTAGCTCTATTAGAAAATATAATAACTGGCCGGGCGCGGTGGCTCACGCCTATAATACCAGCACTTTGGGAGGCCGAGACGGGCGGATCATGAGGTCAGAAGATCGAGACCATCCGGGCTAACATGGTGAAACCCCATCTCCACTAAAAAATACAAAAAAATTAGCCGGGCGTGGTGGCGGGGGCCTGTAGTCCCAGCTCCTTCCGAGGCTGAGGCAGGAGAATGGCGTGAACCCGGGAGGCGGAGCTTGCAGTGAGCGGAGATCGCGCCACTGCACTTCAGCCTCGGCGACAGAGCGAGACTCTGTCTCAAAAAAAAGAAAATATAATAACTAATTCAAGGCTCTGTATTCTCAAAGCATCTGTGTCAAAATTCTCCCATTTTTCAAGATTCCTCAATAAACTAATTGGTAACTGTAACCTCTATCTTTAATTATTCATCAAAGTTTACACTGAAGAATACAGGACTTAGATTTTTGTGACCTTTTAAAAAAATTCAAGTGATAGGTACATGTAATAAATAATATGCACATATGTTAAATGTATAGATCAATAAATTGTTTTAAGAACTTTAACTTTGACATAATTGTAGATTCACATGCAGTTGTAAGAAATAGCACAGAACTATTTTTATATCCTTTACCCATTTTCCCCCAATGATAATTTTTTTGTATAATATAGCATAATATCATAACCAGGAAATTGACATGATAAAATCCACTGACCTTATTCAGATTTTTCCAGGGTTGTGTGTGTGTGTGTGCGTGTTTGTGTAGTTCTTACACAATTTTATCATAGGTGTAGATTCATCTGACCACCACCAGAACAGTTCTATTACGAGCGTCTCTTGTGCTACCTTTTTGTAGCCATGCTGTCACAGCCATCTCCCTCGTTCCATTCCTCCTGCACTCACTTATATATGGCAACCACAAATTCATTCTCTCAATAATTTTGTCGTTTCAAGAATGCTACAAAAATGGAATCAGATGTCATATAATCACACAAATACATAGCTTTTGTATACTGGCATTTTTTTAACTCAGCATAATTCCCTTGAGATCCATTCAAATTGTGTTGATCGATTTATTCATTTTAATTGCTGAGTATATTTACTGTTATGGATGTACCAGTTTGTTTACTCACCCGTTGAAGGACATTTGAGTTGTTTCTTGGTTTTGGCTATTATGAATTAAACCGCTATGAACATTCATCTGTAGGCTTTTGTGAGACATAAGTTTCCATTTTTTCTCGGTTAAATTCCCAACAGTGCAATTATAGGGTTGTATGGTAAGAACATGTATAGTTTTTAAAGAAACTACCATATTTTTTTTCTGAAGTGGTTGTACCATTTTAGATTCCCACCAGCAGTGTACGATCCAGTTTCTGCACAATCTTGCCAGTGTTTGGTGATGTCACTATTTTTAATTTTAGGCGTTCTGGTAGGGTGTGTAACGATGGTTCATTTTCATTTTAATTGATATTTCCTAATGGCTAATGATGTTGAACATCTTTTTATGAACTTATTTGCCACCTACATATCTTCTACTGTGAAATGTCTAGGTATAATTCTTTTGTCAGATATATGGTTTGCAAATATTTTCTCCCAGACTGTACCTCACCTTTTCATCTTCTTCATAAGGTCTTTGACAGAACAAAGTTTTAAAAATTTTATGAGGCCAAATTTATCACTTTTTTTTTTCTTTTTTGAACGGTGCTTTTGGTTTCAAGTCTAAGAACTTACTTAGCTCTAGGTCCTGAGGATTTTTCTTTTTCTAAAAATCCTACAGATTTACATTTTATATTTAAGGGCATGATCCATTTTGTGTTAATTTTTACATGTAAGATGTGATTTTTCGTTGAGGTTCATTTGTTTGCCTATGCCTCCAATTGTTTCAGCAACATTATTGAAAAGGCTATCTTTCTTCCATTTAATTACATTGGAACCTTTGTCAAAAATCATATTTGTGTGGGCATATTTCTGAGTTTTCTATTCTTTCCATTGGTCTATGTGTCAGTCCTTCCACCAATACCACACATTCTTGACTATTGTATCTGAATAGTTAGACTTAACATTGAGTAGAGTGATTCTTCTTACTTTATTTTTCTTGTGCAAAATTGTTTTAGCTATTCTAGGTCCTGTGCCTTCCCATATAAATTTTAAAATAAGATTATTTATGTCTACAAAAAAACCTTGCTGGTATTTTGACAATAATTACATTAAATCTATAGACTGTTTTGGAGAGAATTGACACCATTGTGATATTGAGTCTTCCAATCCATGAACACAGTATGTCTCTCCAATTATTTGTCCTCTTCGTGCTTTACCAGCATATTTAGATCTTCATTTATTACATTTATCGGCATTTTGCAATTTTCAGTTCAGGTCTAGTACATGTTTTGTGAGATTTATAAACGTGTTTCATTTTCTTCGAGCAGTTGTAAATGGTCTTGTGTTTTTAAATTCGATTTCCACATGCTCGTTATTTGTATATAGAAATGTAATTGATTTTTGTGTCTTTATCTTGTATCTTATAACCTACTGAATTCAACACATTTTTACAAAGTAGATACACTCATGTAATCACACCCAAATGAAGATAATCATTAGCTCCCCAAGTACCTTCCTTGAACCGCTCTTCTTTCTTAAACTCACTCCTCACCCCAATAACCACTCTTTTGACATCTACTACCCTGAATTATTTTCGATTGTTCTTAAACTTCATATCAATAAAATCATACTGTGTGTACTCCTTTGAATCTAGCTTCTTTCATTCAATTTTGTGAGATTCACATTGCATATACTGTAGTTTCATTCTCTTTGATTGCTGTACATTTTTCCATAGTATAAATATACCATAATTTATCCATTCTATTGAACAACTTTTGCATTATTTCCAGGTTGAGGCTATTATGAATATAGCTGCTAGGAACATTCTTGCTTATGTCTTTTAGCACTAATGTTTATTCATTCTGTGGTCTAGAAGGCTTATCATTTTAAATTTTACAGTAGTAACAGATAACTATAAGGTATCATCAACAGGAGAATATAATTTTCATTATTGGGGTTACAATCTATGAATTTCTACAGCATTTGCTGCTTCTGTCAATTGATTAGCACTGAACATTAAACAAGTATTTTTTTTTTTAGCCTGGGTCAGCCACTGTATAAATCATAAATTTTCTTAAATTGTTGGTTAACTTTTCAAGACTCCATGTACTATTTTTTAAAAAATCATTTTAGTTTTTTAATAGCCAAGACCACATCTCATGCTCCTTTGCCTCTCTGCAGTGATTAGCACTGTACCTTGAACAGAGTGCCTGCTCAATAAATATTTGTTCCTTGAGTGATGGAGGGTGCATTCTGAATTAATGAGGTATTACTGCAGTTCCAGCTGATTGCTGCACAGATGAATGAGTTGACTTTGGCCTCATTATTGCAGCCATATAGGTATGGCCTGTGTTGATTTATGTGACACTCCTTAATGTTCTGAAGAATCCTGAATACATGAGGCTCATTTATGTCATGTCACAGGATTGTACCATGATGAAATAGAAATCATGTAAGCCATTGTTAAGTTTAATCATTTTATCAATATTTATTTTGGAAATTAGATAATCACACATGAGACAGAGAACGAGTTTGTCTACAGAGGAAATAATTGGCCAGGCGAGTCAAAAATTCATATTCAAAGAATTCAAGCTGCATCTCCACCTCTAAGTGGCAGCTTTGACATTCAAGCTTATGGACATATTCTTAAAGGTATATGAAAAAAATTTAAAATATTGGTGTATACGCACACACATATGTATAACCTTATAAAGTGTTAAATTTTGTTTAACTTGAGAATTACTACTTATTGATACATACAAATATATTAATTATTTATTTGATATATAAGTAAATATGTGATATATTAAAGTCACACATGCATATATATTAATATATACCATATTAGGGTCAATTAATAGCCAATCATAAAGGTGTTTCAAATCCTTCTTTTTAATAGATTAGGAAATACTTCACCCATCCAAAGCTAACATTATTTATTTTGATTGTTTTCCCTTAAAAATAATATTTTTAAAAGTCTGCAAAAATTTATAACAATTTTTTATAGCCATTTTTTAAAGGCAGTTGAAATTATGACTTTCATAAGTCAAAACTTTCTATAATACATGCATTTTAAAAAATAAGCATTCATTACCTACTGTGGTAGCCATAAACAATAACAATAATATTAAAATAGAAAAATTGAGAATTGGAATATGATTTTAAAAGTCATCTATAATTGAATTATCTAAGTCTGTGCTATTCAATATGGTAGCCATGAGTCATATGTGGCTACTGAGCACTTAAAATGTGACTAGTGCCACATGTCAAAATATAACATTTGAATATAAGGGATTATATGCAATTTATTACTATTAAAATATTTTACCTGGTTTTGTTTTCTTTCTAAAATATAGCTACCAGAAAATATACAATTATGTATCTGGTTCACATTATTTATCAGTTGTACGGGACTAATCTAGACAACTATAATAAACATTTTGGTGTACTCCTTTTTAGTAGTATTTCTCTTATAATTTACATAATTGAGAGTATGTCAGTAATATGAAGCTAAACTATTCAGGGCAAGTGACATTTTTATGTTTTTGTCACTGCTTTATCCACTACACTGGTGACATTCTCAAATGTTTGTTTCTCTTTTATATTCATGACTTATAGGTTATCAGTATTTTCAAAGACATTACAAATTAACATTGTTATTAATTTAATCAAAATCGATTTTAAAAATAAAAGTATTTCTATATTAAAAGATCATTTTAACACTCAATATATTCTGACACTAAAAGGATTTTATTTTTAATATCAAAATGAATTGATATGAAAATATCGACTGATATTTGATATTTGTGAATTGATATTAAAAATATTTGGTCCAAGGCCACAGTATGAGGTACATTACTCATATAATTTTTAAAAATAATTATTTATTATTATTTTGAAATTGATAAAATTGCATATATTTTATTTCCAGGAAATATATAAATTCTTGGCAGAAGTAGAATGCAAATTTTATTTTTACTACATTGGAGGGGGACATAGAGTTTGCAAGTGATAATACATAGTACACATTTCATGTGCTTTAAAGATGAAATTGGTTTGTGAATATATTTTATTTTATTATTAATTTTTTTTTGAGACGGAGTCTCGCTGTCACCAAGGCTTTAGTGCAGTGGCACGATCTTGGACACTACAACCTCCGCCTTCCGGGTTCAAGTGGTTCTCCTGCCTCAGCCTCCCGAGTAGCTGGGATTACAGGCACGCACCACCATGCCCAGCTAATTTTTGTATTTTTAGTAGAGACGGGGTTTTACCATGTTGGCCAGGCTGATCTCAAACGCCTGACCTCAGGTGACCCGCCCGCTTTGGCCTCCCAAAGTGCTAAGATTACAGGCGTGAACCACCACATCCGGCCCGTTTGTGAATTGTGACTCCTGCTGTTTGCCACCCCTCTGTGAGTGCAGGCCTCCCCGCTGCTGTGTCAGCTGCAGATCTGCAGTTTGCACTCCAGAGTCTGGAGGGAATGGGAAGAATCTCAGTTACACGAGAGGGAACCTGTGCTGGCTACGCGTGGAACATCAAATGGAGAAGCACCTGCGGAAAGCAGAATCTTCTACAGGTTCCCTCATTTGGCTTGGCTTCTCTTTTCTTCTATGTGCTGTTTGCTTATTTGGACCCTGCCTTATTCCAAAAAGAACTGGAGGCTATGTTTATTATAAAAATTCAAACCATAAACTAAAATTTCTTTAAAAGGAAGTTAAGGAGAAGGTTTTTTTCTAAATTAAGCTGATCCAGTGTTCTCTTTCATGGAGAATAGCTGTTGGTACTTTACTCCATATCCCACTTAGAAAAAGTCCAGAAATATGTGTGTTAGAATCCCCTTGACAGGGGCAGGTGGAGCGCAGTCAGGACCGGTCTCAGAACTAAACCGAACTAAATCCAGATGTATGCTAAGGGGGTCCCAAAGAGAATCAGCCTCACTATCATTCTACCACGAGAGCTGTATTTTGGGGCCTTGGATACTTTTGTGGTTATAAAGATGATTTTTTCCAAGTTCATAAGGGAGTAACACCTTAGGCTGTCATCTAATTACCTTTCTTTAGTTAGAAGGAAGAAGAGAATGGGGGAAAGGAGTCAGGCCCAGAGTATGTGAAGGAGAGGAGTCTAGGGACTCAGATTGTCAAACATTAAAAAGATGATGCTTTCAGCCAGGCACAGTGGCTCATGCCTGTAATCCCAGCATTTTGGGAGGCTGAGGCAGGTGGATCACAGGAGTTCGAGATGAGCCTGACCAACATGGTGAAATCCTGTTTCTACTAAAAATACAAAATTAGCTGGACGTGGTAGTGCATGCCTGTAATCCCAGCTACTTGGGAGGCTGAGGCAGGAGAATCGCTTGAACCTGGGAGACGGAGATTGCAGTGAGCCGAGATTGTGCCATTGCCATTGCACTCCAGCCTGGGCAACAAGAGCAAAACTCCGTCTCAAAAAAAAAAAAAAAAAAAAAAAAAAAAATGCTTTCTGGTGATGATGAGAGTGCAAGGAAATAGTTTCTTCTATGCAATGTTGGTGAGAATGAAAATTAGGACAACCTTTTGGGAAGATAACTTAGTAGTATCTTAATACAGAGACCTTATGATTCATCACTATCACTTATATAACTCTATTCTACTGAAATAATAAGATAAATGTGAAATGATATAGGCACAAAGGTAGTCACTGCAGCATTATTTGTAAAAGTAAAACCTAGAAACCTAAATCCCCATCAATAGCAGAAGGATTGGTGTAACTTTCACATTGAACACCATGCAGCCATGTGTAGACCCACATATATTTACCTGGAAAGAAATTCGTGACTTAAAGTGGAAAAAAATGCAGAACTCTACTTATGAAATCATTTGGGGAAGGAGAGGAAGTGGAGAAGATAAGGAAGTGGGGGCAAAAACAACTATGTAAACATAGAAAACAAGTCTGTATGGTTGTGCAAAATAGTAATAGTCATAAGGATATGGGGGTTATTTTAAAAAAAATACATGGCTGGGAACTGAAATTAGAGAACTCCACAATGAAGATAGGTCTAGTGACTGACCTCCCTTGGTGTCTCTGCTGGTGTCTGTGCATCTACTCTCTTCCATCTTTTCTAATCAGTCTCTTCTGCTTATTCATTGTTTCTGTTCCATATCATTTGGCTCACACATGGCCCAGCATGGAGACTCCTATCTCTTTGCTAGTCCCTGAATACATCAGAAGGTTGCCATATTTGCAGAGGAATTTTGTAAAGAACAAATTGTATATACTGATTTAACTTGGCTTTATTTTTACCATTGGAAGAACATATAATTCCAAAATTGGGTGAAAAACCAGGGTAAAGGTAAAAAATGATACAAGGAAAAGTTGACTCTCAGATAGAAAGATGACTCAATTTTTCAATTATTTAAGAATAATTTATCAGTTATCATATTCAGAAAAAGCATAGGACATTTTGAGAAAATCAAGTTTAGTAGATTCATTTTTAGATTTATTTTTTAATTATAAAAATTCAAGTTAATTTTTGTTTTAATTCAAGTTGTAATTGATGCAATGTATGATAATGCAATGGTCTTAATTTTTTTTCTTGGATAGGTTATGTTCATTTTTGAAGAGGCTCCTTTTATTTAAAAAAAGTGACTACAATGGTTTTGAATTTTATTTTACATTCTTTGACTTTTATTCACCTTTGCCTATGCTGAAATTTAAAATGAAAAACTAGTGTCGTCATATTTGTTATAACCTTTCTAGTAAAATAATTGTGTGTAAAAATAGATTAATGATTCCAACATTATTGGAGAAAAGGCTAATATGACAGTTACAAGGATAAAGGAAGGTGGCTTATTCAGACAACATGTACTTGGAGACCTACTTCGTACACCCAGTCAACAGCCACAGGTATTTTTGAAACTTTTCTCATGATGCTTAATGTAATTTTAATAGTATAACTAGTTTGTAATATGTTAAAGACCTGGTGAAACAGGAGGTTTGACTTCTGTATTTCATGGGAACATTTGTCTTAATATTGATCAACTTGATAATATTATTTTATGATTTTTGGGAAAATTATCTTCCTTATGATAAAATAGTAGATTTTTTTAGCTCTACTATGCCAGAATTTGAAAATAGAGGAATCTTTCCTTCAATCTTTACAGCAGCTCTGTAAAGATGAAGAAATTAAAGTCAAAAGAGATTAGGTGACTTTCCCAAGGGCAAAAATGAATGAAATATCAAAGTACAAAAAATATAGACTAATTTCAGTAAATTAGCAAACCAACAAAATTCCATCACTTTTGTTAAAACCTATTCATATTCTACTGCTGCCTCTTTGCCCATGTTCTGTAGCTTCTTGTTTCTTTACTTGAAGGTTGAAGTCTATGTCAATGGAATTCCAGCTAAATGTTCAGGTGACTGTGGATTTACATGGGATTCCAACATTACTCCCCTAGTCTTGGCGATAAGCCCTTCTCAAGGTAACTTCCTGATTTTTAACCTATACTGGGTGTGAAAGATAATCAGCAAAATGTAAACTCTGATAATGACTTTTAAAACTATGTTTCTACTAGTGTCACTAGCTAAAGCAAGCAAACAGTTCTACATTGTGAAAATTAAAAACCCTATCAGAGAAAAAAACTATGGAAAGGGCACTAATTATTTATTTTTGAAAAAAAAATATTTCTTTTGAAGCTGAAATCTTGCCTTTGAAGTAGAGGATTTACTAATCTTAAACTTCTCCAGTTTCACCAGTTAGACTCAGTCTCTAAAATTTCACTTGGACACTGAGGAACTTTTATTCAACTGTACCAGCTAGGGTATTAAGTGGAGTCTTTTATTCTATGAGACCACTTCCTCTAGGAGAGTTAGTATTAAAAGGCTAGTAACAAGACATCTGCTGTTTCATAAAAGAATATAATCGTGTCCTAGATTTGAGAGTAAGAGATATAAAAATTATTGCCATGAACTCAATCTAAGGAACACATTATGCCATTTCTTCATAAATGGTATTATTGCTTCAAAAATGTGATTATGCTTTGTGTCTGAGCAACTAAGGACTGAAATAAAACAGCAGGAATCAGGATAGTAAGGGATGGCTTTTTTCAATCAGAAAAATAAACTCATATGCTATAGTTACATATTTAGTCTTGGTGGATAGTAGGAAAATTCGCCAACTAATTTTATATTGGTACCTCCTAAAAAATTATTAAAATTTTAAAAGTAGTGCATTTTTGTGTTGAAAGAATATATTCTTCAGACTTTTTAAAATAGTGATGATACTAACTTTGAGATAATTCATGTTACATGGGGTTAAAACTCACAAGAATAAGGATTTGATGAACTTTAATTTGGTTACAGTCCTTTGGTATCTTTATGTTTATATCCACTCTTGCATTTTGTAATGAATTCCCACTTTTTTTTTTTTTTTTGAGACTGAGTCTTGCTGTCACCAGGCTGGAGTGCAGTAGTGCGATCTCAGCTCACTGCAACCTCCGCCTCCCAGGTTCAAGCGATTCTCCCACCTCAGCCTCCCAAGTAGCTGAGACTACAGGTGCATACCACCACACTCAGATAATTTTTGTATTTTTAGTAGAGACAGAGTTTTACCATGTTGGCCAGGATGGTTGAATTCCCACTTTTACATGCACTTCCTGAAAAACTATTTCTTACCCAATATAACAATCTGAATTGTCTTTTGCCACATTTGGATCATTTTTAAAATTGTGAAAATTTAAGCATAAAGAAAACTACAAAAATACATATATTTTTCACTGAAAATTAACAGCTGTTAACATTGTGTCATATTTACTTCCAATCATTAATTTAAGAAAGAAATATTATAGGAACAGCTAAATTTCTCTTTAAGCACCATCCCTAGACCTAGTCCCCTACATAACTCTCGAGGGACAATCACAGTAATTAATTATTGTGTGTGTATTCTTCCATGACATTTTAAATACCTTTTGTATATAACACACACACACACACGGTAATTTTGCCAGTTTTGTAAGCTTACAAATGAAATATTACAATGTAAATGTTATTTTGCATATTACTTTTGTCATTCAGAATTCATTTTGAGATATATTTATGTGGTTTTATGTACACCTAATCAATCACCTTAAAGTATTTCATGAGTACACCAACTTACTAGTTCCTCTATTGGTGGACATTTAGATTGTTTACAAGTTTTCACTTTTACCAATAAGACTATATTGAACTTTCTTGTACAAACCTCCTATTGCATACGTGTTAGAGCTTCTTTAGAGTATATACCCAGACGTGCTATTACTGGATAACAATTGGTTGTATGAGTATTCGGTTTACTAGATGACCAAATTGCTCTCCCAAGTGGCTATACTACCAGCAAATGTAATAGCAACATATCCCCTACATCCTTGCCAATATTGGAAGTGATCGGCTTCCTAATTTTAACTATTCCGATGGGTGAAAGTTAACACTTTTTAGAAATTTTTCTATTCCCTTATTAGTAATGTACATGATCATCCTTCATATGTTTCTTGGACATTCAGATTATTTCTTCTGCAAAGTGTTAGCATCCTTTTTCCCTTTTTTATTGAATTGTCTTTTTAAAATTTACTTGTAACCATTTACTATATTTTATGTTTACCAATCCTTTGCACATGGCTTCTCTCAGTATATTAGCTGTGCTTTGATTTAGTATCTTGTTTACAAAAAGATTTAAGTCATTGATTTATTCTAGGTTATTTATTTATTCCATTATGGTCAACCCCATGACTTCATGTATCATATTTGAGAAATCCATTTCTACCTCAAAGTCATCAAGATATTTGATTATATTTTCTTATAAAATTTTTGAGTTTTGTTTTTTGTTCTTAGCTATTTGAATCTATGTAGAATCTATATTGTGCATGGTGTTACGTAAGTAGGGTGATCATATATATATGATTTGTTATAGTTAGATATGTAATTATCTATCTATCTATCCATCTATCTATCTATCTATAATTTGTTGATCAAACCTGGACACTTTTAAGAGGGAATGGAAGAACCTTAAGTTTAAGACGCTGGAACACAGGTGTAAACCAGAACTGTCCCAGGCACTTTGAGATGTGTATCACCATAAACAGAAGAATCTTATTTTCTTTTCAAATGGGAAGTGTCCATACCACTAATTGCATGGTTTATCCTTTCCTCATGAATTTGCAATGGCAAGTCCATCATATACTAAGTTACCATATAGAGATGTCTACTTAATTTCTTTGTTATGAGAATAATTTGTTTCTTTATCTTATGCCATATTTTCAATCAGATAGTTCTTTCCACTAGTCTCTGTCAACACACAGATTCAAAATATGAAAAGATATAGAGTAATTCAATGGAAATAATGGAAATAAAATGCCATTGACAAATAAATGTGGATTTTTCTCCCTGCTCTCCTGTTAGGCTTATTGTTTATATCTTTTGAAGATAGACTTATTTTTATTTGAGAAATGTCTGATTTCATAACAACAGGTTTTATTTTTCTAACTTTAATATTGTTATTTAAATTGATCATTTTTAGGGTCCTATGAAGAAGGCACAATTCTAACCATAGTGGGTTCTGGATTTTCTCCTAGTTCAGCTGTAACAGTCTCAGTTGGACCAGTAGGTTGTTCTCTTCTTTCTGTGGATGGTAGGTCCTTTTAAAAACTATTAAGTCTAATTGTTCTTCTCTAAGATAAAGTGGAATCAAAGGGCAGTATTACAATTATCTTGATCGTGTACAATTATCATGATCCAGTATTACAATTATCATGATCCCTATGGGGTCATGAAATTGGCAACCTGGTCTATATAATGCCTTATCTTTGATTATGATCACAGACTATTTCATTGTTGTACGGTGTCTTTATCCCATAACAGTTTAATTTTATCCTTTTTCCCCCCTTCATTTGGAGGTTACATGAAATCTTTCTTGCATCGGTGTGTCTCTGGGACACAAAAATGTATGAAATGCTTCTCTTGTGTTCCATGGTCCTGTCTGCCCATGTTTTGACAATGCCATGCAGGAAGAGGACCTGGCCATCTCCTGACTTCCAGTCCCATTGAACCTCTCTCCATTAATGTAGAATTTAAAGATCATTCAAATTTTTTTAACATCTTGAAATAGTGAAGGCCATAGTTATTTATTTCCCTAAAAGTTGTCTTTCATAATTCTAGGAGATTTTTCTTAACTTAAATCAATTGAAATTACATAAGTAAATTCATTTACCAAATCCTTTCTGTTGTTTTTAGTTTAGTTCTTTTATGCATTGTTAAGCTCTAAGAGTCAATATTGCACCTGTATTATTGGTGTTCTAAAGAAAAAGAAAATGTGGTACATATACACCATGGAATACTATGCGGCAATAAAAAAGGATGAGTTCATATCCTTTGCAGGGACATGGATGAAGCTGGAAACCATCATTCTCAGTAAACTAACACAAGAACGGAAAACCAAACACCAGATGTTCTCACTCATAAGTGGGAGTTGAACAATGAGAACGAGGGGAACATCACACACCAGGGCCTGTCGAGGGGTTGGGGGCTAGGGGAGGGATAGCATTAGAAGAAATACCTAATGTAGGTGACGGGTTAATGGGTGCAGCAAACCACGATGATATGTGTATATCTATGTAATAAACCTGCATGTTCTGCACAGGTATCCCAGAACTTAAAGTATAATTTTAAAAAAGAGAGAAAAATATCACTCTTCCCAACTCATGAAATCCTCAATATCAAATTCTCCTATCACCAGTGATAGAAATTATGTTTTCATACATACATCTCTGCTGAGGAATTAAATGGTCACATTTCAAAAAAAAAAAAAGTAAGAAAATGTTTTCATTTACTTTTTTGGTTTTGTTTTTGGTGTTTTGTTTTTTGTTTTTGTTTTGTTTTGGTTTCTGTGTTTTTGTTTTTTTGAGATGGAGTCTCATTCTGTTGCCCAGGCTGGAGTACCGTGGCATGATCTCAGCTCACTGCAACCTCTGCCTCCCAGGTTCAAGTGATTCTTCTGCCTCAGCCTCCCAAGTAGCTGAGATTACAGGTGTCTGACACCACACCCAGCTATTTTTTGTATTTTTAATAGAGACAGGGTTTCACCATGTTGGCCAAGCTGGTCTTGAACTCCTGAACTCAGGTGATCCACCCGCCTCAGCCTTCTAAAGTGCCGGGATTACAGGCGTGAGCCACCGCGCCTGCCCTTCATTTAGTTTTTGATCATCTTTCCTGATAAAACGTAGTATTTTGCACAATTTCAGACATAATATGTTTGACCAAAAATTTTAGAATTATTAAATAAATGAGCTTATAAACTAGTTTTTTTTTTAAAAAAATTATGACAATAGTCTGTTTTGGGTACAGTAGCATCCGAAGCAGATTGATTACTTTGCTTTCACTATTGGTTTACCTATTTTCTAGGAGTGTCTGATTCATAGCCTCAGGTAGTTTGTAAGAATTATTCCTCCTAAGATTCCCCCACACATTAATATATGATTGGTTTTCTTTGGATATACTTCGTGAGATCTAAAAATGAAGGCCAATGTTAGTATTTGCAAGCATAACTTTTATCTCATAAAACCATTTGATTTACCATTTTCTTCATCTTTTTCTTTTTTTCACAAGAAAAAGAGCTCAAGTGCCAGATTCTGAATGGAAGTGCTGGACATGCCCCCGTTGCTGTGTCCATGGCTGATGTTGGACTAGCACAGAATGTAGGGGGTGAAGAGTTCTACTTTGTTTATCAGAGTCAGATCTCACATATCTGGCCTGATTCTGGAAGCATAGCAGGTAATGGTTAATAGTTTAAACAGAGAGAAAATTGCATGCATTTCCATCAGTTCAATGTGCTGTTTCTAGTACAGGGTGAAGGGAGAGGATCCCAAAGCTTCCTCTTATAGAACAAAGGAAAGTCTCCTTCGAGAAGGTACAGTGATTAAATGGCTGACTAATTCTTTTGTTTCTTACAAAGCACAAGTCAGGGTGCTGCTTATACTTACATCTTAGGTTATTGAATTAATATCATCAATTATTACATGTTTCTATAACAAGCACATCAATTATGTCAAGATAAGATTTATTAGTTATTATTCTGCTTACCAGCTGCTTCGTTTGTAACCACAGTCTCAGTGGAGCTTCTTGACCCAGACAAAGTTCTGGGAACAAACTGGGGAAAGGAGGGCTAACACACAGGATGGAAAGAACATAACACATTTTTCCTGTCCTGCTTCATTTCCTTTGTACATTTGTTTGTTTTTTTTACCAGGCGTAGTTTAGGGTTTTGTGCTTTGATTTTGATCCTTTTGGTATGCTTTTATTTTACATTATTTCATCGCTTATTTTTAAAGTTTAGTTTTCCTTTTACTTAGAGGTATTAAAATTTGAGATTTGGCAAGAGTCTTAATTAACTCTCCTCTTCCACCCACAGAATGGTTGAGTGAATAGAAGCAGCATAATTATTCGTAGGATGAAGGCACTGTGAAAAATAGCAGATGCTGCTACCAATGCCCCAAAGCAAATGTGTGTTGCAAATCTATGTTATTTCATTAAATCACTTAGCCCAGCTCATTTATGGTTCTGAGCAAAAGCACCCAGGCTCAGGTGTGTGGTGGGGATTGCATTCATCTCAAGTCTGGTCCTTGATCTATTGGCCAGTACATCTCTTGGATCATTAGACTATTCTCAAAAGACAATTCTCAAAAAATGTTACTAACATTTCTTTTTGTTATAGTTGAACTGTTTTGTTGTTGTTTTTGTTTGCTTTTCTTATGAAGGTGGTACTCTACTGACTTTATCTGGATTTGGCTTTAATGAAAATTCAAAGGTATTAGTTGGAAATGAAACCTGCAATGTGATTGAAGGGGATTTGAATAGGATAACCTGCAGGACACCAAAAGTAAGGCCTCTGATTTCAGTCACTTTTTCCTCCTAAGTCTGAAATCTTATAAATTAGGAAACATCTCAGTGGGGCGGGGGGTGAAACAAGTGGTGTATTTACTTAGGAACTGCAGGGTTTCTATTATGCTCCTTAAAACTTATTTCTTCCATATCTTTCCACTAAGATTCAAAGACAAAATATTGTCTCCACATTCAAGATACTTAAAATCATGAAGAAAAGAGACACATAAACTAATATTAAACAATGTATTTCATTTGAATTAATAGAAGTAGTAACAAAGTAAACATAAAACACAGTGGAGAGAGGGTGTCAGAAACAGTTTCACAGAAAAGTTGATGTCCTATCAGAATTTGAGAATGAATGAGAGTTTACCATGGTAAGTTTAAGGATGAAAAAAATGAGTAGTCTAAAGATTTCAGGAAAGTAAATCTAGAAAATAATAGTTTTCAAAAAGGAATACTTTATTTTTCCTGAGACGGAGTCTCACTCTGTCACCAGTCTGTAGTGCAATGGCACGATCTCGCCTCACTGCAACCTCTGCCTCCCGGGTTCAAGCGATTCTCCTGCCTCAGCCTCCCAAGTCACTGGGATTACAGGCATGTACCACCACGCCCAGCTAATTTTTGTATTTTTAGTAGAGACAGGGTTTCACCATATTGGCCAGGATGATCTCAATCTCTTGACCTTGTGATCCACCCCCCTCAGCCTCCCAAAGTGCTGGGATTACAGACGTGAGCCACCACGCCTGGCCAGGAATACATTTTTAAATGTGTTAAAGTTTTAGTTTAAATGTGTTAAATTTTCAGTTTCACAAAAAAAGTGAAGTTCTCTGTGGAATATTGTGTCTTAGAATCAATCATTATTCTTTATTTTTAAAACAGAGTTTTTTTATTATTATGCTTTAAGTTTTAGGGTACATGTGCACAACGTGCAGGTTAGTTACATATGTATACATGTGCCATGTTGGTGTGCTGCACCCATTAACTTGTCATTTAACATTAGGTATATCTCCTAATGCTATCCCTCCCCCCTCCCCCCACCCCACAACAGGCCCCAGGGACACAGGAAGGGGAACATAAAACATAGTTTTTAAATTTAAACTGAGACTCTGGTTTCCTTATTACATGCCAAAACGTAATGAATCCTGTCACTGACTTTTTTTAAAAAGTGTAGCAGAGTAAATGGGGGTATTATGTATTTGCAATCTGCAGGAAAAATAAATTTGTTTTTTGGACCAAATGATGGAGATGAGAATTGAGGGGATATGGTAAGCTAAAACTTACTTTGTTTACAATATGTCATTTGGTTAAACACTGAGTGTGGATTAAATAAATACTAGATGTGAAAAAATGTTTTTCCTAGTTGGGAATCGCATGGATACTATATCTGCAAAAGCATCAAATAGTTTTCTTAGGGGGTCCAAGTGCTTAGTCTTGGATTTTGGAGTGAGGTCTTCAAAAGATATAATGATGTGATTTGTCAGAGAAGAGAAATAAGAACTATACCTGTCTATTTTAAAAGCAAAAAGTCAAACTTTAGTATCTAATGCTTTATCAGAGAATCACTTCTCCAGAGCATCTCAACAATATTGTAGAGCCATCAGAAATCCAATAATATAGATGCATTTAAATTGATCATAAAACCCATAAAACTACTATGTCATGTAACTTTATTTTGAGAACTCAAGCATGTAACCTATATTTGACACCACAACTTTCTAAATATATGAAAACTGACTCTGATCTTGACTTTGAAGTAAAACATCTTCAGAAGTTTATTCTGAATAATCTATTTCTTTTCATCCCTTGCATTTCTGTATCTCAACAATTAATATTTTCTAATTTTTTTCCTCTTATTTTAGAAAACTGAGGGTACAGTTGATATTTCAGTTACTACCAATGGATTTCAAGCCACAGCAAGGGATGCTTTTAGTTATAATTGTTTACAGACACCAATTATAACTGATTTTAGTCCAAAAGTACGAACAATACTAGGTAAGAAATTCTTCAATAAGATTGGTCATTTGTCCTATGTATAAAAAACATTTCTAGAAAGGCTTTTGAAGCATAGTTTCTTCTGTAGTTTTGTTTCTTAAAGTGAAACCAGTTATAGTGTTATGTGTGTGTATGTTTTATCATAGATTAATCTATTTATTATTTTATATTGAACATATGCAATAAGGAGAAAAATAGTAAGTTTTTTTTTTTAAAAAAGGACTTTGTCATCTTTTTTCCTTTTGAGCAATTGAATGTACATTTCATCCCTCTGTGGCTGTTACCAACTCTTTCATTGTTTTTCCTTTTGCCTCTCAAAGTGTTAGGATTTCCTAAATCCAATGAAAGATGAGAGATGAATTGATTTATTTAATATGCAAATTTCACACTGGATAACAAGTTGAACTTTTTGCATTATTTTTTAAATTTTAAAATACCAGGAGAAGTTAATTTAACAATTAAGGGCTATAATTTTGGAAATGAACTCACACAAAACATGGCGGTGTATGTTGGAGGAAAAACCTGCCAGATTCTTCACTGGAACTTCACAGATATTAGATGCCTTTTGCCCAAGTTGTCTCCTGGAAAACATGATATCTATGTAGAAGTCAGAAACTGGGGTTTTGCATCAACAAGGTATGATAATGAACATAAACTTGATGGAGTTGTAGAACACATGGGGCTAGTGGAATTGGGATAGGAAAAGAAGTGGGCATTAAGCTTTAGGTGTTAATTGTTCTCTTTACCTTCCTATATCTTCTTTGGCAAAAGATGCCGAGAATATCTCATACAACTGCAATATGACGCATAGTTTTGAGACCAATACCATTCAGATCAGGTTGTAAAATTCTCTGTACAACTAGCCTTATGTATATGTCACATGATTTTGATTCACTCAGGAAATGCATATCAAGTAACTTCTAGGGGCTCAGTGTTGCTGGCTGGATTTACAGTGGATTAGAGTGGCATCTCCCCTGCATTAATGGTGCTCACAATTTTCTTGGAGAGAGAGATTTCAAACAGAGGATTACCTCAAGAGTTTAATTGTAAATGTGAAAAATACTGTGAGTTAGAGGTACCAGGTGCAGTAAGAGTCTATAATAGAGAGAGCTAACTTATCCTGAGTATCAGGGAAAAGTTCTCTGAAAAGCTGACAATTAAGCCAAGAAATGGGTAGGAGGTGGCCATCTGAAGGAGATGATGCAGAGAGTCTTTCTCCAACTCAGTTTTCTGTAAGGACTTAGTATTTCTTTTTCCCTGAAACTGTTTGTTAACTGATAAAATGTTAGTTCTAGTATGAGGAAGTTATTGGTTTGGAATACTTAGAAAAGGAAGATACTGAAATTTTATGGATGCAAAAAGGCCAATACAGCTAATGTCAGAGTAGAAGGAGAGATGATTGCAGCAAAATCTTGCAAGAAGTAAATGAAGATGAGCAACATTAAACATAAACCTCAGCACTACATCCATCTCTTGGTTTCACAGGGCAGAGCTCACATGGATTCTATATTGGCTTATGCTGTAGCTTGACCATATAATGGGTGAAATTGACACCATACAAAATTGCTCATTCAGATTTAAGAAATAACAAGGTTATGCTGTGGAAGTTAAAAGTTAACACAATGATTCACGTGATTTTTTCTGCCTCTCTGCAGTTACGAGGGAAGTTGGGATTTGGAAGTCAAATATGTCATATCAGAAAAGAATTTACATTTTGATGGCCTCCTAGCAGATGCATTATAACCAAGCAAAATAAATTAAAAACTCTCTCATTGAAGTAATGGGAAGGGAGACCCTGACAAGTTTTCAACAAACGTGGAATAATAACTTCAAATTAATTATACAAAACTTTGATTACTCAAATGTGTGAGATTTAATTGCTAGTTTTAAAGCAGAGCTGCCTTTTTGTTTTAGTTTAATGAAAATATAAAATATTTTTAAAAATCTAATGTATTTCTTGTGACCTCAGTTCTCATAAGCATATTTTTCCATAATATTGTAGGATCTTCCATCTCAAATTCTTCTGCCATTAGAATTTTCAGAAATGTAATTTTCATAGTTAGGGAAAATATTGAATATATCATCCAATCAAATCGAGATTATGATAATTGCCAGATTGTCTATCTTGAAAAAGTAATGTACAGTTAAATATCCAGTTATTTCCTCTTTCTAAAGAAGTCATATCCTAGCAAGAGTTTAGCAAGATAAATCAGTAGGAAGCTCATTGAAAAATCTATTCATTTTTTTTCTCAGAGACAAATTAAATTCTTCAATACAGTATGTTTTAGAAGTGACCAGCATGTTTCCACAAAGAGGCTCCTTGTTTGGTGGAACTGAAATCACCATAAGGGGTTTTGGATTCAGCACAATACCAGCTGAGAATACCGTGCTGTTAGGTAAGAGCTTCATTCATAGGAAAGTGATTATCATTTTTCTCAGCTTAAAGGATATACTACAGGTGCTGAGTTATTATATGAATATTCTAAATCACAGCTTTATTTTTCTAGTAGCATAAAAAAGGTAAGTGTATTTGGTTAAAGTGATAAAGAGAAACTGAATAACTACTTTTTATTTCAATAAATAATTACTGTGTATTTAATGTGTATGCGACATATAGAGTGGAGGAGTTTTTCCGCAAATAATTAGTACTCACACATGATTACTATCAGAAAAGAAGTTCTGAAGATCCTGCTATATAAGGCAGAGTTTTTTTTAGGGTCTTGGCTGTTGATGAATTATGCTTCATCTCTATAATTCACAAAAAAAAATTTGACAAAATGTTTGCTTTTTAAAAATATGCAGTATTTATTCTTTCTAGGGTCCATCCCTTGCAATGTTACATCATCATCAGAAAATGTCATAAAATGTATTCTTCATTCAACTGGGAATATATTCAGGATTACCAACAATGGGAAAGATTCAGGTATCAGCCATTTATATACTATGAAATAATGGAAGCACTGAAACCTGAAATTAATTTGATTTTTATTTATTTTATATTTCAAATTATTGAGAGACTAAGTATTGTTATTTCTTTTATAATTTGTCAGCAGTAACTGCTTGACATAGAGGGTCACATATAGAGCAAATTAGTGGTAGACTTGAGTCTAGAAGGCCATACTTTGCAATTTCCAACTTCAGGAATTACCATTTGGTTTTGCTCTAGTACAGAAACTCCCAGATTGTTGTAGTTTATTATCAGTCATGGATTTCCAAATGAATATTCCAATTAAAATTGATCATAGCTTTAAAAATATTCTATGTAAGATTTCTAAGCAAACTATTTATTGACTTTCCAATTTTTTTTTCAAATTGTCTGTTGATCATCGCTTTTGCAGTTTTGTGACTTAATTTTTCTTATCTTCTTATTACCTTGCTTTCCATTATTTCTATTTGTTTTTGTTAAGTGCTTAAATTATGTAAGTAATTAAGTTTTAGTGTTGATTAAAATGTTTTCACTACTGACTGTATATAAATTGCCATGTTGTCAAAGATAATTATTAAGAAATTCTCTTTTTCTTTTAAAATATTACTCAATTCTTGCCCCCAGTACATGGATTAGGTTATGCCTGGTCACCACCAGTCCTAAATGTGTCTGTGGGGGACACAGTGGCATGGCATTGGCAAACACATCCGTTTCTTAGAGGGATAGGATATAGGATTTTTTCTGTCTCCAGTCCTGGAAGTGTAATTTATGATGGCAAAGGATTCACAAGTGGAAGACAAAAATCTACATCAGGTATGTTTCTGCTTATTGGGTTTTGCATCATGTCACTTTTTCCTAAATGTAATAAAATGACATTTTGTGTAGATTTAATACAGTATTTTTACATAAATAATATACACAAATGCGTAAGGTATTTGGCATTTTATTGCTGCAGTAAAAATGTTACTAATGAGTGTAAGCAAGTTATTTTATACATATTCAAGTGTGTTCTGATATTAGAAATATCTTATATTGATTCTGTGATAATCAACCAATTGAAAAACATATTGAAAAAGCAAAATGCAATAAAATAGGAATATATGTTTAAATCAAACCAATCTGGTAGCAAGCGATGAACTTTGACTGACTGAAATCAATTTAAAATCAGTGTTTCCTACAGGACAGCTCAGTGTAAAATGTGCCTTTTAGATTGTCTGTTTTGTTTTGTACATGTAAGATTTTGAACCTTTCACTCACGAAAAAAAAATTTTCTTTCATTTCATGTTGAATTTTCTTTAAATTTTGGTGTGTTATGCCAGACTTGCCATGGTTTTCTAGAAAATCAATGCCGGAACTTGTTTTCATGGAATGTAATTTCGTTACACAAGATAGCTTTTAATAGCGAGTTTTCTTACTACATTCTGTTGACATTTCATACACATGAAAAATAAGAAACTGTCATCTGTATGTGCATTTAAATGATCATTTCAAATTGTTTTCAGTCTCTTTTCAAATATGCATTAATTGCTTATATTTATTACGTACAATCTCATTTTATGGCAGGTTCATTTTCTTACCAATTTACTTCTCCTGGAATCCATTATTATAGCAGCGGGTATGTTGATGAGGCTCACTCCATTTTTCTCCAAGGAGTCATTAATGTTTTACCAGCTGAAACCAGACACATTCCCTTGCACCTGTTTGTGGGTCGCTCTGAAGCCACATATGCTTATGGTAAGATGGTTAAAGATGGAAACTCTGTTACACAGGTGACCCAGGGTGTATGTGATATTTCTGGAGCCGGTAGCAGATAACTGGGTCTAACTGTGCTTCTATCTTACTAGCCACGTGACCTTGAATAGGTTTGGGCTTCTCTGAGGCTGGAATTTATCCTCTAAAGTAAGGATCGCATTAATGTCTTCCTACCAGTCTTTCCCCCAGAATCCTTGTGTGCTTCCAATGAGAAGTAATGTAAAAAAGTTCTGACACTATGTATGTGCCTGGACGTATATTAAAATGTAAGATGACGTTGTTATTTTCCCCATGGGGTCTGACCTTGGACAAACTGAAAAATAAATCAATTTTATATTCAGTTTTCTCTATTTACTGTGACATCTTTGATCAGGTCTTTAATACTTTTGTACTGCCTAAGACCCATTTGTCATTTTGTTTTTCAAAAAAGATTTACCAGAATTTAAACCATCATCATCAAAATAAAGAGTAACGCAGTTTGAAAACAGTTATCATTTTGGAATGTTATTCATGACTTAACGGGCAGTTCTTTTGTCTAAAGGAGGACCTGAGAATTTGCACTTGGGAAGCTCTGTGGCAGGCTGCCTAGCAACAGAACCCCTGTGCAGCCTGAACAATACCAGGGTTAAAAATTCAAAAAGATTGCTATTTGAGGTTTCAAGTTGTTTTTCACCATCTATAAGCAACATTACTCCGTCCACTGGAACAGTAAATGAACTAATAACAATTATTGGACATGGCTTTAGTAATCTCCCATGGGCTAATAAGGTAAGAATATAAATACCTCCTTTGTACTTCTATTATATGTTCCCAATAAAAGTATTTTGACGATAACCTTGTTATTTAATTTTTACCAGCTTTATTGAGCTATATCACATACCATACAATTCACCCACTTAAAGTGTACAATTCATAAACTTTTAGCATAGGCCCAGAGTTGGCATTCATCACACAATCAATTTTAGAACATTTTCATTACCTCCCCCCCCCAAAAAAAACCCTAAAGCCCTTAGATATCACACCTAACCCCTCCATCGATCCCAGCCTAAGGTGGTCTCTAATCTACTTTCTGTCTATAGATTTGGCTGTTCTGGACATTTCTTGTAAATAGAATCATACAATATGTGGTCCATTGTGACCAAGTTTATTTATTTTTCACTCAACATAATGTTTTCAAGGTTCACACAAGTTGTACCATGTATCAGTACTTCATTTCTTTTTGTGACCTAATAATATTCTGTTGCATGTTAAGCAACCTTTTATTTATCCATTCATCAGTTGATGGACATTTGGGTTGTTTTCACCTTTTGATTATTATGAATAATGTAGCAATGCACATTTATGTAAAAATCATAATTTAATCCAAGAGATGCGTTAATCAGCCCCTCCCAAATTAAATTTATGAATAAAAGATATTTATTTGCACATGATTAACTTTTAAAATTTGTAGTTGTTGCTAATACAAAATTTGTTTATACTGGAGGTATGTATTGACTTGTTTTATTTTGTATTCATTTTACTTACAGGTTACAATTGGTAGCTACCCCTGTGTCGTAGAAGAAAGTAGTGAGGATTCAATTACATGTCATATTGACCCTCAAAACTCAATGGATGTTGGTATCAGGGAAACTGTCACTTTGACTGTCTACAACCTGGGCACTGCTATCAATACGTTGTCCAATGAATTTGATAGGCGATTTGTACTTTTGCCAAACATTGACCTGGTGTTGCCAAATGCAGGATCAACTACAGGAATGACAAGCGTGACCATAAAAGGCTCTGGATTTGCCGTTTCTTCTGCAGGTGTAAAAGTCCTTATGGGTCATTTCCCATGTAAAGTTCTATCAGTGAATTATACGGCCATTGAATGTGAAACATCCCCTGCTGCCCAACAGCTTGTGGATGTAGATCTTCTAATACATGGAGTGCCTGCCCAGTGCCAGGGAAACTGCACCTTTTCATACTTAGAAAGCATCACTCCTTACATAACAGGAGTCTTCCCAAACTCTGTCATAGGATCTGTAAAAGTTCTTATTGAAGGAGAAGGTTTGGGGACTGTTTTGGAGGACATTGCTGTTTTCATTGGAAATCAACAGTTCAGAGCAATAGAGGTTAATGAAAACAACATCACTGCTCTTGTGACTCCTCTCCCAGTTGGACATCATTCTGTTAGTGTTGTGGTGGGAAGTAAAGGCTTGGCTCTGGGAAACCTGACTGTCAGCAGCCCCCCAGTAGCATCTCTATCACCAACTTCTGGAAGCATTGGTGGTGGAACTACACTGGTGATCACAGGAAATGGCTTCTATCCAGGCAACACTACAGTCACTATTGGGGATGAACCTTGTCAAATTATTTCCATCAACCCCAATGAAGTCTACTGCCGCACTCCCGCTGGGACCACTGGAATGGTCGATGTTAAAATCTTTGTTAATACAATTGCTTATCCACCTTTGCTTTTTACATATGCCCTGGAGGATACTCCATTTCTCAGAGGAATTATCCCAAGCAGAGGTACTCCAATATCTGCCTTATTATCTTGATATTATAGTATCGATAATATTTATTAGTATGGAATTGGAATGATATTTGTAAATAACTATTAAGGTGTGTTTATAAATGTTCCCACTTACACTTAATACCTGGGATTCAAGCTCTGTGTAGTCTCTATTGTATGATTATTTTTCACACATTTATGGGATAACAATTTTAGCCAAATTTCAACTTCTATTTAGGAACAAAATTCCCATTAACCTGACCTAAATTTCAAATGAGGAAAAAATAAGTGAAGATAGACCAAAACTGATAATTCATTTATGTTATTGATGTTGATTTGCACTAGAAACTCTAGTTAAAAATCAAAAGTTACAATCTTACTTACATTGAGAGTGTTTCAGAGTACCTTATTTCCATGAAACTACAAATGAATATTAACTTATTAGCATGCCAGAATTCTTTTTAAGGAGATAATTGGCCCATTCAATGGAGAAAATATTATAAAATACGATTTTCTTAATTACTTAGCATGACTCATTTTTCTAATTTAACAATAGGTTGATATATCTTCTTAGTCCTTTGTCATTATGCTATGCTATTTCTGATTATCTTCGAGCTATTAGAATGCTTCGAGCTATTAGAATATATGTACTGAATTCCGGAGAGGAAGCTATAGCATAATAGTTGAGAGCTTGGCTCTCAAATGGTTCAAATTTTGGTTCCTTTAATTTCCAGCGATGAAATTTTGGACAAGTTTTTTAAAACATCAATTTCCTTATTTATGCAGGTACATACATTATAAAGTTAAAGAAGTTTATTCATATAATGTAACTTAGAATAGTACATTTAATGAAGAACTCATTAAATGTTAACCTTTTAGAAAAGTCTTTTTAGGTTACATCACAGGGAAATGTATCAGGTTTGAGTAAGTAGTATTTTCTGCCTTCAACGAGTTTGCTGTCGAAATCTTCTTTAATATGTCAAATTTGCTCATTTTGAAAAATGTGAACAATAACAATGGCACATTTCTTTTCCCATGTGGTTGTAATCATTGCAAATAATGGCATATGTTTCTTATTTCCATGGACTGTGTCTCTTCCCATCTCTGCCTTTGAATTTTTTTTTTCAAAACAATGTATTCAAAGGTATAAGAGACTTGCAGACATGTGAGAACTGAGCTGTTTTATTTGCTGAAGAGACAGGTGACAGAGCACACTGAGAACAACGCTGTTCCATTTGAAAGGCAAAATGTCAAGCAAAATTAAATGTTAAGACCTGTAAAACTTTCTTTAGATTGTATCTTAAAACTATTCTGTCCAGGTGCGGTGGCTCACGCCTGTAATCCTAGCACTTTGGGAGGCTGAGGCTGGCGGATTGCCTGAGCTCAGGAGTTCGAGATCAGCCTGGGCAACATGGTGAACCCCGTCTCTACTAAAATACAAAAAATTAGCCAGGCATGGCGGCATGCACCTGTAGTCCCAGCTACTTGGGAGGCTGAGGCAGGAGAATCGCTTGAATCCACGAGGCAGAAGTTGCAGTGAACTGAGATCACACCACTGCACTCCAGCCTGGGCGACAGAGCGAGACTCCATCTCCGAAACAAACAAACAAACAAACAAACAAAAACTTTCCTAACATGAAATATCTCTTTAGTATCTGTCACGTTTAAAATAAAATAATTATTTATATTTAAGCAATCCTCACTATGGTCAATTATATGGTAATTCTTTACTATTATCACTTGAATTAAAATCAAATTACTACTTGAGGGCACTGCGTTTGTAAAAAGTTATGTTGACGAATTTTCATTTAAAATTTAGGTATGTGGATATTCATTTGAACAACCTATGAAAAGTTCCACGTTTAATGCCCTTCACGTACATTTGTCAAAAGAGGGAAGCAAGAGAACAGCCAGAATCTAATTATTTGTTCTATGTGCACTCATTCAAGGCATTAACATCAACATTCACCTACAAGTCTTTAAATTAATTCCTTTTTTCTGTATTTCCTATCTTACACCCATTTACATATCATAATTTCTTTACCAAGTCATACCTATCAAAAATGTTTGAATTAAGAAAAATGTAGTCTCTCCTCAAAAGAGCTGCTAATGTCAGGAAGGAAGCTACCAAAAATAAAGATAGTAAGCCTCATCCTTAAAATATGCTCTAACCCATGCTGCTCAGACATTCATACTTCCTAACTCTAGACCTGCTCTTTCCTCCTCCTCTATTCTCTATTAGCGTGAATTAATAACTTACAACTCAGTAGAACGGACAGAAGGGCTGGAAAAATAATAAACATTGAGATAAATCACTTATAATTAATATACAGTAGACTGTAGGGTATATTGTAGTCAAAATGTATTGTATGACATAGCATGTATTGTTAATATTTATATTAGTTTTAAAACACTGGTTATTCTTTTATTTGTAAAAGTAAAGAGGTATATCTTTAAATGGATGTGTATTAATAGTTAGATATATTTATATTGTGTGCTTTTTTTTTTTTTAAGGTCCACCAGGAACTGAAATTGAGATCACTGGATCCAACTTTGGCTTTGAGATCTTGGAAATCTCCGTGATGATAAATAACATTCAGTGTAATGTAACCATGGCCAATGATAGTGTGGTGCAGTGCATCGTGGGAGATCATGCTGGGGGCACATTTCCTGTTATGATGCATCATAAGACAAAAGGCTCAGCCATGTCCACAGTTGTATTTGAGTACCCGCTTAATATTCAAAATATTAATCCAAGCCAAGGTAGTCATAAGTATGCAAGAACCTGCAGATATTTTGTTTCAGTAAACACTTATTTAGAAACCTTATTTAGAAAATAATATGTTACTCAAACACATAAAATTTCTAGTGTTTTTTTTGTTTGTTTGGTTTTTTTTTTTTGAGACAGAGTCTCGCTCGGTCGCCCAGGCTGGAGTGCAGTGGCGCGATCTTGGCTCATTGCAAGCTCTGCCTCCCAGGTTCACGCCATTCTCCTGCCTCAGCCTCCCGAGTAGCTGGGACTACAGGCGCCCGCCACCATGCCTGGCTAATTTTTTTTTGTATTTTTAGTAGAGACGGGGTTTCACCATGAAAATTTATAGCACAATACAAATACTTTGCTTTATGTAGCAAATAAATAAGCATGTAAGTGTATAATTATTTATTTCAAAATACTAAACTTTAAAATATAATACCTTATATTTCTTAGTGATGTATGATTAATTTACTTAAAACTTAATCCTACTTAAAATGACAGTTATACATGAAAATTTTTCTTAAATCATGTTTAGACATCACTGGTATGTAATTATTTCTACATAAATTAGTATCTTTTTTATTTAAAAAATTTTTTAGTTAAAAACCTTGAGAAAGTATAAATAAACCAATCTACTTAAAATAGTAATTGCATAGTCTATGTTTTGCCTACTCTGAAATCCTTTGTGACATCTTTTTTAAATAAAATTTTAGTTCCTCGAAATAGTTCAAATAAATTACCAGATATGACATTTACTCAGTGAAGATTTTAAAACACTACAATCAAAAGAGATTCAGTTGCATTAATAGAATAATGCACTATAATTTCAGTTCTAAAAAACTCTTCATTTAATGTAACTTACTTTTAACATTTAAAATAAAGGTAAAAAATATGTACACAGAAGAAGTTTTATTTTAATTAGCTTTGTTTTTCCTTTTTATTTGTCTTCACTAGGGAGCTTTGGTGGGGGTCAAACCATGACTGTGACAGGCACCGGATTTAATCCACAAAATTCAATTATATTAGTTTGTGGCTCAGAATGTGCAATTGACAGGCTTAGATCTGATTACACAACACTATTATGTGAAATTCCATCTAATAATGGTAAGTTGTCAGAAAAAGTAATGGCAGTCTTTGAGAACTAGTTAATTTTATAAAGATCAGTTAATTTCTTTTTTCAAGTTCTTGGATTCCTTGGAGTAATTAAATCACTTTATGACTGTCCTGATTCTAAGCAATTTCTTCAGGACATTTTCTAGATTTACATGTCTTTTGAGATTCATAAATTGCAGATGGAATTGTTTATAATAAATTGCAGTTTTTCAGTTTCTGGTATAAACTGATGGTTCTTAGTTTATTGTGCATACCAAATGGAGAACACATTTTTAGTTCCCATTAGAGTATTAGGATTCCATTAAAGATAGGAGTTTCATTAATGGCTATGAGTATCAACGCCGATAGTGCATTGCTAAACTCAAACCCTACTTGTGTCACTGAATAAGTTATTTAACCTCTCTATGCCTCAGTTTTTTCAACTATAAAGTGAGATGAATCACAGTAGTCTACTGGACTGTTGTCAGGTTTTATCAGTTAATGTACATAAAGTGGATGGAATGATGTCTAGGACCATATGTAATTTGCTATTATTCTTATTCTTACTTATTTATTTTTAGTTAATGGTTAAGAGCCTGGGCTCTGAGGAGTTCCTGAATCTCAATTTTGTTACTTACTGTGTAACCCTAGCCGAGTAACTTCTCTCTGCTTCAGTTTCTCCATGTATTAAATGGGGATATTATTAACTCTAATTCAATGGATTGTTGTGAAGATTAAATATTTGGTACTTTGGACAACAAAACTTAGTTATTACTTAACAAAATTTAAGAAGATATTTAAACAATGTGAATATTCTATAAGAATAAAGGATATGTTTTATGTGAACACATTTTTTAAAACCTTAGCAAAATTTGTGAAGCTTTTCTAAATATTGTTGCTTCTTTCTCTGACTTCCTTAACAAAGAATATTGAAAAATGCAATATTTTTATGACTGAGCTTATGTATCATTTCCACACCAGAGTTTGAATCCTGATTAAAAAATATATATATATATAGCAATGCTTTGAGACTTGTCAAGGTTTTAGGTTGTTTGTCTTAACACTGGCTCTGCATCTTCTCGTTATGTTTTTGCATCAGGTTTCTGTAGTCCTTGTCTCTGACCTTGCCTTCAGCTGTCACTCCTTGCTGTTGTCAGTGTGCCTGCCTTTAAGCAGTTCTTCCCTCCTTCCTGTTCTAATTTACAAAGTTGGATCCTCTAGAATTGGAAAACTAAGCAGGCAGGTTTGTAGAATGTTCTACAGGAAGAGTCTCCCCAGGAGGGTCGAAGGGCTTTTTCTTCTGTCGATAATGGGCATGAACTTTTGTAATGTTTTTGGCTATTGCTAGAGGGCCACTATTATTCACATGTAGCCTAGGTATATTGGAAAAGGAAGATGATTGTGTGAAAAGGAAGATGTTATTGAAAATGTTTGGAGGTTTTGGAAATGAATCAGGGCCCGATGGCAGAACTGCATTCAGTCTGATCTTCCTTTCATAGGCACGGGAGCTGAGCAAGCCTGTGAAGTGAGTGTGGTTAATGGGAAAGATTTGTCACAGTCCATGACTCCGTTTACGTACGCAGTGTCACTGACTCCACTCATCACTGCAGTATCTCCTAAGAGAGGCAGTACAGCAGGGGGCACCAGACTGACAGTCGTGGGATCAGGATTCAGGTACTGTCTCCACACAAACACGCATCATTGTGCATTTCCAGACTTGAGCCATTACTCCTGCTTTCTCCTATGCCCGGACAGTGCAGAAATACAGTCATGCAATGTGTACCTATATGCTCGTAACTTAAGCTTAAGGCAAAAATAGTACTAATTGCTAACATTTATTGAGTATTTATTTTGTGGCAACTACCTGCCTACCCACGGAGAAGTCCTGCCTTACTTCCTGAGATGTTTTTACCTCGTTTTATGGTTAGAAGACAGATTAAACAGGTTAGACATCTTGCCCCCAATCCTAGTATGTAGCATCACAAATATAAATCACCTTCTTGTTATGCTTTCTCCATCATCTTATCTCCAGCCATGATCTGCTTCATTGGATCAAAGAAACATCTTTCCATACAGCAGTTCTATTCCACTGTAATTGCTCAAGTTTCTTTTTCTTAAACATACTCATTATTTGGCTCAAATTTGTGTACTGCATTGTCATCATTATTCAGGTGCGGAAGGCTGAAGTCAAAACACCAGATCGCATACACCATAGAAGCTCATTGTAACTCCTCAAGCAGTTATGATTACCTTGAACTTGCATTTTTATCTGGAGGTTAAGTTCTAAAGTCCACAAACATGATGAAAATGTCACATGGACAAGTGATCCTTGAAAATCTCTTTTAAAAGTACCTGTTGGGAGATCAACATAGAATCACTGAACAACAACAATCACTGTTTCTTTCCCCAACACTGGAACATCTGCTAGTTACAGTCCTATTTTCTGGACTCTTAACCTCTTTGTTTACTTTTTTTCAATAAATATTTTGAAGTCTTAATATTGAAAAAAAGCATCAATCTACACTTTGGTGGCTGATAGAATCAGGTCATTTTTTTTTTGCAATAATACATAGGAATAAAAGGGTTTGACAGTGTGATCTAGATATTTGAGAAAAACATACATGTTATGTTTTCCCTCTTTTTTACAGTGAAAATATGGAGGATGTTCATATCACCATAGCTGAAGCCAAATGTGATGTTGAGTATTCCAACAAGACACACATCATCTGCATGACAGATGCCCATACTCTATCAGGGTGGGCTCCAGTTTGTGTCCACATCAGAGGTGTCGGCATGGCCAAACTGGTAATAGTGCTGTTGGGTATAGTAATCACAGCAATAGAAAACCAGCATTATGGGAGGTGGGCTAATTGGTAATTGTTGTTTTACTTTAATGTCTCCAAAAAAATAACTGAGCTGTGACCATAATAAATCTAAAGTAGCTTACATTTTTTGTTGCTTTTCCTAAAATTTTTATTATTTTAGATTTTTGATTTTTCTGAGTTGTGGGGTAATTGGTAATAGATTTTTTAAACTTGATCATTATTGTGAAATAAACCAAGAGGCAATTATGACACATTTTAAGTAGGTTAGATTTTATTATTAATAAAATGCTTATTGTTTATATATATTTACTATATAATATAAATATATTTATATTGTAATAAAATGCTTTTTGAAAAATCGAATGAAAAACTCTGGTAAAATCCCTAAATTTTAAGGTCTCTTATGTTCTATTACAGGATAATGCTGACTTTCTTTATGTTGATGCCTGGTCCTCCAATTTCTCATGGGGGGGAAAATCTCCCCCAGAAGAAGGATCTCTTGTTGTTATTACAAAAGGACAGACCATTCTGCTGGATCAAAGCACCCCTATTTTGAAAATGTTGCTTATTCAGGGTAAATTTCTGAATATCTGTTCATTGGACTCTGCCTGATAAATATTTCTGTGAAACTGATTTAATCAAAATCCACAATTATGAACAAACATAGTTGCACTATCTTTTTAATATACAGTGTAGTCCTGGGCTTTCTAAATTGAGTATTACAATCCATTTGTGATTATGATATTATTTAATGTGTTGCAGCCAGCATTTTAAAAATTAAATAGGATAGACAGCATCAGAATAGATTGCATGCATATGGGTAAGTACCTTTTAAAGCTAAATGTTGTTTTATGAAACTTTTGGTTCAATAACAATGTGGGGAGGTGTGAGCATGCCCGCCCACTTTCACTAGATCACAACAAAAAAGGTATTTTCCACTTTGAAAAACACTGATGTAGTGGGTCCCAGGAAATAAAAAGTCATCGAGATTTGTTCAGGTCTATCCTAAATGATCCCCTTGACTCCCTTTGGAAGATAGGTTGTGATTTTCACCTTTGCCTGTGAACCTGTTTATGTTGTTGCCTGGGTTTGTCTCTGCTGCTGTGTTTTATTTTTTACTATGGAAAACTAAATAACCACAACTGTGATAATTGCATGTAAAAGAATCATTAATTGGTAAGAGTAGACTGCTTGAGGATTTAGTGCACAAACTTTGCCATAACAGGCTTAGCCACCGGAAGACTCCTGCATTGTTATTTACTATTTTTAACTTCTGGGAAAATAGAAAAGTTTCAGGTTTTTGAAGTTATTAAATATTGGACCTTTGGACAAATAAAATTTTACTACTTACAAATTTATAAATTTACACTAGTCTCATAAAAATGTATCTTGGTATGATCTTTAATAATGCTAATCAGGCTATAGCTGTTGAGAGTGCAAATTAATGGGTAAAAGTTCAAAGCTAATGTTGACATTATAATGGTTTTTATAAACATGCTTTTCTTTAATTGCTTTTGTTCTTAATTTATATTTTGAGGTGCTGTGTTTGTACAACGAATTTGCATAGCTGAGCTATTTAGTAGCATCTAAAATAAGCTACTTTCCCAATGTTCAAGGGAAAATAATCTTCCCTGGGATTTGATTTTCTGTAAACTCCCATGGTCTTGTCTGGAGTTTTTATGCTTTTATGTTGCCAAAGAACTGAAGTGAAGTTATATGCATAACAACAGCAGAACATGAATGAGGAATTAAATTTTAATTTAATGTATAATTTAATAATTATGTTAAATTGTAATGAATAATTTAATAGGTAACTTTTAACAAGATTTTTCCTTGTGATGTATTTCAAAATTGTATGATTCATAGGTGGGACTCTAATATTTGATGAAGCTGACATTGAACTCCAGGCAGAAAATATTCTAATTACAGATGGAGGTGTTCTTCAGGTATTCAAAAGAACATAATACATATTCATTTCCAACCTGTCTCCATTCATTTTTTTAAATACTATGTGTAAAATGGATAGTTAATTATATCAACCTCTCCTAAGTTTATCTTTGTTTAGGTCTCTGTTATTGGTATAAAATCCTTTATGCAAGGAGAAAAGTTTCCCAGAATCTTGTGTTTTTAATGGGAAGATAGTAGTTTATATTCCCATAGAGCAGAATTTAAAATAGAACAGGAAAGAATTAACTCTGAGATGTGGCTAAAGTCAATCAGTATACCTTTCAAAGGTCTGGCATAGTGTATTTATTTGGCTGACTAGAAAATTAAAGGTTTATCTTTCAAAAGAAAGATATGAACAACTGAGCAATTAATTCTCAAAAGAGAAGAGAGGATAGAAAAGAACTACTTTTGTGTGATTAGAATTGTGGATTTGGGGTTTTAATTTTCTGAATGGCATTTGTGACATCTTTTGCAGATTGGAACAGAGACATCCCCATTCCAACACAAGGCTGTCATTACCTTGCATGGTCACCTGCGATCTCCTGAGCTCCCTGTCTATGGTGCCAAAACACTGGCTGTGCGGGAGGGAATCCTGGATCTGCACGGTACTGTGGCCAAGTGGCTAAGGGAGTTGGTAGAGGAAGACTCACCAGGACACCAGGGATAATTATCCTGTGATAATTATAATTTATCCTGTGATAAAGTGAAAGTGTGTTAGGCTTCTCATGTCTTTAGATATCCCCTCTTTACCCCTTCCTTCTTTCCCACATCCAAGCCAGGCTAGCCCAGACATCAAGACTCAGAACCAGGCCAGGTGCGGTGGCTCATACCTGTAATCCCAGCACCTGGGGAAGCCAAAGCGGGTGAATCACCTAAGGCCAGGTGTTTGATACCAGCCTGGCCAACATGGCAAAACCCTGTCTCCACTAAAAATACAAAATTTAGCCAGGCATGGTGGTGCACACCTGTAAGCCCAGCTACTTAGGAGGCTGAGGCAGGAGAATCACTTGAACCCAGGAGATGGTGGCTGCAGTGAGCCAAGATCACACCACTGCGCTCTAGGCTGGGCAATAGAGTGAGACTCTGTCTCTGTGTCAACAAAACAAAACAAACAAACAAACAAAACCAAAAAAACTCAGAACCAAGGTCACACTTGGGAAAGCCTTTCTGGGTCTTTTCTACATTCCTCCTCTTCCCCTTTTCCATGAGCCTCCAGGCTCTTCTCGTTTCATTTTACACTAACCGTAGTACCTGTCTGTGATTGCCTGTTTACTTTATGTATTTATATATATAAAAAGACTAAGTCTAGAAACAGAAGAATGTAATTTCTTAAATTTGTATCTGAAAATGGGGCCTCTCTAAAATATAACAAGGGATTTATAGTTGTGGATTTCTATAACTATATCCTAGAACCTTGTCAGCAAGTAAAAATGATTTTGATCATGTTTGAGGTACCAGGGCAACATACTATTTAAAGAAAGCATGGTGTGAATCTTTTTTATATTGACGTCTTCCACATTGCAATAATCTATCCCCTTTATAAATTTAGAATACCATAAACATGATACCTTATTATCATAAAAGTCCTACATAGGGCTCAATATATATATACTATGTAATTTCTTAGAAAATCTACATTTGACTCTAGATTATTAGTTTAAGAAATTCCTACCAATAATGACAAAGACAATAGACTTTTGCTCATTTTGTCAATATTATCACACCCCATTTACATTGTGTCCCTGTAAAAAAAGATGGTTATAAATAGGGTATATCATTGCAGAAGAATATTTTTGAAAAGTTTTATAGTCATATACATGTCATTACAAACACAATTGTTACTTTTATAAAGCAAGCATTCTACATATTTCTTTTTGGAGAAATGTGTGAAATGCTAAGGTAAAATGAGCCTCTCCAACATTGATTCAATTTAGGAAAAGATTAAAATGTATAAAGTTCTCAATAACAAATCAAACACATGTAAGGAAATACTCAGTGTGTATGTTGGTTCTAGGTGTGCCTGTTCCTGTGACCTGGACTCGCTTGGCTCATACTGCAAAGGCAGGGGAAAGAATTTTAATTTTACAAGAAGCAGTAACATGGAAACCAGGAGATAACATTGTAATTGCAAGCACAGGACACAGGTATGATATCTTCTGGGCTTAATGATGTGTATTTAGAAAAGAAATTTTTATACTGTATAAAGAGGGACAATTCAGATGGTGCATGACTATTTGGTTTAAACTTGAAATCTCTAATAAAGAAATATGAACAGCCAAATACAGATTTGCCAAGTGTTAACATTAGGTTGATCACATTTGTATTGCATTATAATTGATAGATTTACAATAAGAAAAAACATAAATTCGAACCTATGAAATAACTATGTCCTAGTAAAATGTATGTTTTACACGGTTTGGCTCCCATGTAAGAATCTATTTGGAAAAAAGAAGTGTTTGACTACTAAAAGTCATTTGGAAATATCTTAGAGTTTTAAATAAATACCTTAATGAATGCAAAAATGTAAATGAGCTTCTTAGTTGGAGGTCACCAAAGAACATGTTTGAAAGCAGCTAGTGAACTCTCTTATCTTACAGCCTTAGCAAATGGTTCCCACTGAGCAAAATCGTTAATAATGAATAAATAAAAGAGAAGAAATAATTATACAAAAAGTGATGATTCACATAACCTTTTAGGTGCCTGTTATTTTAAAACCGAAACTACTTATGACCCTTAATTTCTGTTTAATTACATTTTTTAGCAAATAAGACATAAAAGAAAGAAAATTAACATAACACCACCAAGTATCACCTGGGTAGGGGCAAGAGGAGCATTATTTTTGCTTTATTGTTCAAATTATAGATAATAGTAAAATTGAATATGGTTGTGATTATTAGGAAATGAACAGTGATTTATAAGAAACAGCTAAATTGTGTTAAGGCCATGATACAACTTAAATTTAAAATTCAAGATGGCATTTTGAGTTTGCCATATTCCATGTTAAAAATAGACTTGCAGTTATTAGGAAGAATTAAATATATACTTAGCTTTAGTGCTCATTTTGTTCTGCCCTTGGAAGAAATTTTAATTATATAATGGCAAAATTAAAAAGCAGGAAAATGATAGGGGTTACTAACAGCATAGAAAATCTTCATTTATGGCTTTTTGTATGAAATGAAAGGGTTTAGAATAGGGCTATTTAGTTTTCAGAAACAAGAATTAAGGAGTTTCCCACCAAATCTAATTGTTCACTGTGTCATTGATAAATCCTATTTGAGAGTTTGCAAAGCCAGTGGTTAAGAAAATGCCTTCAAAAGTCAGTTTGTCTCTGTCTAGCTCCCTGCAATACCACTTACTAGTTCTGTAGTTATATTATTTTACTTCTCTGTGCTTCAGTAAAATTGGAATGGTATTAGTAAGGATTACATTAGTTAATAAGTGTAAAGCAGTAAAAGCAGAACTTGGCTCAAACTAAGTGCTTATTAACACTTAGTGTTGTTATATTACAACAAAGGAAGGAAAGATGTGTTTAGGTACATACAACATATGAAAATGCTTTTCACAACTTCTTTTCTAAAGAAATCATTGTATCATCCGAATCCAGGAAAATTCAAGAGAGGCTAATCTAAGGCCTTTTTGCATACCGCCTGTGAGATCTTGTACCACTGGTTCGCCCTTATCTCTAAGCATCCTTAATCTCCACCTCTCCTTGCCCCTCCCCCACAATTTCTTCCCTCTATCTTTTGGAATGATTCTTGTCCCCATCCACCCATTGTCTTGATAAACAGCTTTGTTCTCCTGTCTCCTGTAGCATCTTTCTTTTTTTAATCCTTTATTTTAGAGTTGTAAACTGCTTAAATATTATATGCTCATTTCTTCTATTTTATCCTTACTATCCTTTGTTTTCTTTCTTTAAACACCTATAGTCTAGTTTTCTTCTTCACAAATCTTTTTCAGTGACCTTCTAATTATCATCATTCATTATTTCCTTTGTATCACCAAGTTCTTTTGGTCTGCCCTTGGCATGTCTCTCAGCTTTCTCTGCTCTCAGTTTGATTTAGATTCTCAGCCTCTCACACCTGGAATATTACATCATCTTCCTCTTTGGGCTCCATTCCACTTTCTTCCCCCCACGAATTCATTCTGCATTAATTTGTTCAATCAATCAAAACCGTTATTGAGTTGTGACAGGTGCTGTACTAAGTGCTCAGCATATAAAATGATTTCAATGGGTGTCATGCCTAGAAGAGCAGACAAGTCAGTGGAAGGGACAGAAAGGTAGATATCTCATAGGACTGCAGCGTTGTTGCTCTGAGCACTAACAGAGCTTTATGCAGAGTGTATTGAGAATGCAGAAGTAGGGTTGGGAAAGTTGAGAGAGCTGCTTTGAATCTATTTCACATGTGACACTGTCATTTGCACTGGCATTTAAAGGAGTAAAAGGATTTGTCAAGGGAGGGAAGGGTAAAAAGAAAATGTTGGGAAAACACAGAGGTAACTCCCTTAGGCTTACCTTTGTTAACAGCAGCAATCACACTTTAGTAGATAATATATTATACAATCAAGCATTGACACACTTGTCTCCTTAAAATCAGGGAAACTTTCTACTTGGTATCCCCAGTGCTTAGTTCTATGCCTAAAATGCAGGTTAGAACCTCAATAAATGTTTGTTGAATGACTAAATGCATGAATGTGTACATTATAGAACTGGCAAATCCCTTCTGCTGTGGCTGGAATTTGGGGTATATTTGGAGGAATGGTAAAAACGAGACCTCCTAAGCTTCAACTCAATCATTTCTTTTCCTTGTTCAGGAACCTTCAGTGACTCTCCCTTGTAAAGGTTCTCAACTTGTGCATGACTGAAATTTTGGACCAGATAATCTTTGTTATGTTGGGGAAATCCTGTGTATCATGGGATGCTTAGAAACACCCCTGGTCTCTACCTACCAGATGCCAGTAGCAGCCCCCAATTGTAACAACCAAAAGTGTCTTCAGGCATTGCTAAATGTCCCCTGGGAGGAATAAAATCATCCTCAATTGAGAACCACTGAGTATGATCCTCCAAGTTATAAATGAATAGTTTTCCAAATACTTTTTATAAGCTAATCCAGTTCTAGGAACGAATGTAGACCTTGAAAAATATTTCATTGAATTGAATATATTTGTAAAACTTAGTTAATCAAGCAAGAATAAAATATTTTTTCTAATTTCTGTTCAGAATATTATATGACATAAGAATAGTTTCCTATTTTGCAGAGTATTTAAAATGAATAAAACAAATATACCAAAACAATATGTTATGTCAATTTATATTAATTTTAAAATTTTTTTGTCAAAATTTTTACAGACACAGTCAAGGAGAGAATGAAAAAATGACCATTGCATCTGTGTCTGCTGATGGCATAAACATAACACTAAGTAACCCACTAAATTACACACACTTAGGAATTACGGTCACACTCCCTGATGGAACTCTGTTTGAAGCAAGAGCAGAAGTTGGAATTCTTACAAGAAATATTTTAATAAGAGGATCTGATAATGTTGAGTGGAATAACAAAATTCCTGCATGTCCTGATGGATTTGACACAGGTAATTTTAGCAGCTCTCGTGGTTGGTATAATCATGCCATATAGTTTTACAATTTAATTGGTTTATATTGAAATACATTATTTCAATGTATTTCATTGTAAATATCATTAAATATAATTTAATGATATTAATCTTATAAGATACCATTAAATATCTTATAAATATAATTAAATGTGGAAATTTGGAAATGCTGATAGTATTTGTGAGTAACATGAAGATATTTGAATATATTGAAGAAAAGTGGTTAATGCTGACACTATAATGGGAGAAATAAGTGCACTTGGATTCTGTTGATAAATTATCTTCCTATAATTATGATTCATTATTATGTTTAGATTAGACCTTGATGATTAGTTTTAATATTGTCAGCAAGAAACTGCATTATTTATATTTACTCAGAAAATATGGCAAACTATATTTGATAGTGATACAAAGATTCTGTTTAGCAAATCCTTGACTGTCAGAGCTTTTTTAATTTTCCAGAATTTGCAGTTTATCAGAACAGTGTGAGAGTGGGTTTACTGTAAAAGATATTTTAATTAATTCCTAGACTGATGATGGATAGACAGACAAATGGATAGATGGAATGATGGGGGGAAAATCTATAGATATATAGATCTGAGCCAGTGGGGGTAGGCTAAGTCCGAGTTTTTCAAAGTCAGCTCTGTTGGTATTTTGGCCCAGATAATTCTCTGCTGTGGGGCACTGTCCTGTGCATCACAAGATGTTTGACAGCACACTTGGCATCTACCAACTAAATTCTAGTAGCCTCCTCTAACAACTGTGACAACCAAAAGTGTTTCCAGACTTTGCAGAAATGTTCCCTGGGGGCAAAATTGGCCTCAGTTAAGAAACACTGGACTAGGTTATGCTCTATTTACAAACAAGCCCAAAATGTCAGTGATTTAAAATATAAAAGTCTATTTCCCATTCATGCTACATGTGTCCCATATGGGTCAACAGGTGGGCTCTTCTCATTATAATTGCCTTGGGATCCAGGCTTATGAAGGATCTATCTCAGCACGGGCTTCTGTGATGTCTGAGGCAGGAGATGAGATTACTGGAAAGTAAAGCACTAGCAACTCATTGCTTTGGTCTCAAAGTGACAGGTGTCTCTTATACTCAAGGGTCATTGGTCAGAACTGATTCCATGGCTATGCCTAACTTGAAGAGAGTGAGTTAGTGCAAAACCCATATACCCAGAAATAGAAGGGAAATGGATATTGGTGAATTTTAGTGATGTTTATATCACAGTTCTCATATCTATAGCAGGAAGCAGAATGCATCTTACATGTCTCTTTTAAATTTTTTATGTAATCATTCATATCATTACAATACTATAAGTAGTTGAACAATAACTGATGCAGCTTAAATAATAGTCTTTTCTTCAAAAGGAAGTATAAGACAAAGCCCATGGGATTTTATGTCAAATGAGCTACGTTCTCATTCCAGTTCATCAGTTCATCTGCGTCAATTATCACAATGTACATGAAACCTAGTTTCATCCATTTAAATTAAGAATACTTCCTGTTCTATTTACTATGGTTGTAAAAAAGTAAGTGACATAATGCATATTCTCATGTTCTACAAATATAAAATTGCATTGATTATGTTAATCCTCAAATCTTGGGGAAGGCTTCATAAATAATAAAACTAAATCCCATTATCAATATTCCCTTGATCATTCAAATATTTGTTTAGTATCTTCTCTGAAAAATACTGTATAAGTACTTTAGGGAATACAAAGTTGAACAAGACAAGGTACTTACCTATCTTGCTATCTAAAAGAGGAAATGATGTGAATGCAAATAACTATGTTCTAGGATGAGGTTGAGATCATATGTGAATCAAATGATACACTTAGTTATGAGAAAATCTTCAATATAAGAGGATTCCGACAATTTTTTTAATGATGCTTTAAAAACTGTTTTGAAGGAGAATTTGCTACACAGACCTGTCTCCAAGGAAAGTTTGGAGAAGAAATAGGAAGTGACCAATTTGGAGGCTGCGTTATGTTTCATGCTCCTGTACCTGGTGCTAACATGGTAACTGGGAGAATAGAATATGTAGAGGTGAGAGGCATTATTACTAAATCACAGTGGTTTGCTCAAGGTTATCCATACAAGAAATGTGTGTTGAACTCCTGCTGTTTGTCAATGCTACTTATAATCTGGTAGGGGAGACAGATACATAAGTAAACAATTTTAATACACCCATTTGATCATGCCAAAATTTTGTTTCTCAAATTTTCTCACACCTCGAATCGAATTAATCAGCATTTCTATCTTCTCTACCCACAAAATGCTGTAACCAGAATCCAGTCTCTTTCCATACCTCCACCTGATCCTGTGCCTGAGCCACTATCTCCTCCCACCTGGACTGCTGTGATTTTCTCCTACCTGGTCTTCCTGCTCCCACGTTGCTCTAATAGAGTTTCCACACTTCAGTCAAAGTAAAATTTTAAAACCATGTATCAGATCTTGTTACACCCCTCTTCAAAATCCTTCAGTGGCTTCATGGTATACGTAAAACAACAGGTCCAAGTCCATCCCATAGGAATCATGTGATCTGACCCAGAGATACCGTCTGATTTATCTCCTACGACCCTATGCCTTGCTCGTGCCATGCTAGTCATAGAGGACTCCTTATGTGATCATGTCAAGCACATTCCTATCTCAGGTCCTTTGTACTTGCTTTTCATTATTTATTTATTTATTTATTGTTGAGATGGAGTCTCACTCTGTTGCCAGGCTGGAGTGTAGTGGCGCAATCTCAGCTCACTGCAACTTCCACCTCCAGGGTTCAAGCAATTCTCCTGCCTCAGCCTCCTGAGTAGCTGGGACTACAGATGCATGCCACCACACCCAGCTAATTTTTGTATTTTTAGTAGAGACGGAGTTTCACCATGTTGGCCAGAATGGTCTTGATCTCCTGACCTTGTGATCCACATGCCTCGGTCTCCCAAAGTGCTGGGATTACAGGCATGAGCCATGGCGCCTGGCCTGTACTTGCTTTTCATTCTGCTTGGAATCCTCCTCCACCAAATACTTGCATGGCTGACACCCTAATTTCAGTCAGATCTTTTGACAAGGGTTATCGCTCCAGAGAGGACTTTTCTCACCACTGTTATTTAAAATTGCCACCCAAACTCCTGTTTACTTTATTTATACATAACTCCTAATAGGATATCTGTTTTTATTTATTTTCAACCTCTTCCTCTAGAACATAAGCTCTATTATTTTACAGATGTTGTCTTTATGGTTCTCTGCTGATTCCCTGGAACAATGCATGGCATATAGTAGATTCTCAGTTGATTATAAATTAAACAAATACATAAATATGCATGTTATCCCTATGACACTAGAAACTCCTGTGTATCTTATTTATATTCAGGCTGTATAATCACGGTTTGGCATAGTTCTTATCATGTATTCAGCAGAAGGAAGGAAGGGAGGGAGGAAGGGATAATAAAATCCATAAATCCATTAAACCAGGCACACCTCGACTGCATTGATGGTGACACAGTCAGCACCTCCATTTTGTAAACTTCCCTCCTCCTGAGATATGTTACATGTGACATCTCAAATATGGACTGAGATTGCTAGGTTGATCTGGATATTGAATATTAATAATGGTTAATTTTTAGCTTTAGATGGACAACAAAAATAGAGGAAGTAACGTTTTATTTCCTTACCCCATGAGATTATATGCTCACATGCATGCACACACGCACATACACACACACACAGACACACTGGTATCCTCTGTATTAAATTATTAAATCATAGACCATTTGAAAGAATGCACAGCAGGGTGATTAAGAGCACCAGCTCTAGAGTTAGACCAACTTGGGTTTAAATGGAACTTTGTAACCATAAACAAGATGCTCAGCCTTTCTAAACTTCCATTTATTAATCTGTAAAATAAAGTCAATGGTAAGTGCCTACTTTAGGGGATTATGGCAAAGACTAGGATCATGCATGCAAAAGAGCACAACACCTGGCACACATAAAACATTCAAGAAATGTTTCTTGTTATTACATAAGAAGCAAAGTAAAGTAAAAGAGGAAAAGAAGTCTTTCAAGATGTTTTATTTCCTAAAACACAAAAGTTTACTAATATACCAAGGCAAAAAGCAGAAGAGTCAAAGATGGCTTTTTACATTCTTTCATTCATTTTGTAATAAGTGTGGTCTGCTATACATTGTATAAAACATGGTGGGTTGGGGGTTCAATAACATTTTCAAATAATAAACATGAAAAATTTGGAAGAAATAAATATATTAATAATAATATAAAATTAGATATTTTTTGAAACAAGAAAATATGAGCTCAACATCTGAGCTATTACTAAATAACTGTGATTTCTGGGCTTAACAGGTATTCC